>NC_000001.11:14269310-15534236 GCF_000001405.40 Homo sapiens
GGTTGATAATGATAAAAAAAAAGTTTGAGAAACTCTCCTAATAGGATGGCTTCTGAACACTTGACTTTGAACCATTTACCCAATTTGTAATAAAGGATATATCTTAATATTTTTCAAAGAAAATAGGAAACTGGACTTGGTAATGGAAAGAACAGAAATAAAAGGCGTCCACCAACCAGTGAACTAGTAACATCCTCCCAGGGAACTGGGAGAAGATTAGGCTGGGAAAAAAGAATAAACAGCAACAAAAGCCTAGAATTGGAAGACAGTGGTAAAAACATGTGGGCTGGGTTGGAGAAAGAAAGCTGCAAAGTAAGGGAAAATACAATGGAAAACTCAGCGCACTGTTGTGGAAGTTGTGGAAAATTCCGTGTGGTTACAATATGGAAACTGAAGGAAATGTAACTCCAAGGTGGGCAATGGAGAGTAGATGTTAATGAAGCAAAGGGAAGGTGGGGCAGGATCACCTGAGGTGAGGCTGCTGTGGGGCATTTCTACATGTGTACTTTAGGAAGAGTAGAACAGGTGATGAAAAAACCGTCAGCTCTGAAATTTCTTTAGTTTATCCAGTGTTCATAGTATCTCTGTCTGAGTCTGCTTTGTGTTGTTGTAACAATACCTGAGACCAGGTAGTTCCTAAAGAAAAATGATTTACTTAGTTCACAGTTCCACAGCCTGGGAAGTTCAGGATGCATAGTGCCTGCACCTGCTCCGGGCAGGTGCAAGCCATTCATGAGAGATGCACCTCCATGACCCAAACACCTCCCCTAGACCCCACCTCCTCACACTACCACACTGGGGGTCAGATTTCAACATGAGTTTTGGTAGAGACAAACCACATCCAAACTATAGCAACCTTTAACTGGACTAGCTTGAAGCATGTGCTCATCCCTGATCAATGACTTTGGTCAGAGGTGTGGAATCTCCAGCCTTGGATCTACGGCAGTGGGGCCAGCCCCACTAAAACCATGTGTGAGAAAATGGAGGAAAGGACATCTCCAAGGAAAAGTAGGATGTGTTATTATCAAAAGAGCAGATAGTGGATATGGGGAGGTAGAACAACTGATGTTGACTCTGATGTTACACAGAGCTGCATTCCCATCTTAGACACCTTGGGCAAAATATTTCACATCTCTGAGCTTTAGTTTCACCCATTACATGCATTAAGTATGAATGATAACAGAATCTACTGCATTGGATTACTGTGAGGATTGAATGACATAATGAAGGTGGCATCCTGGCACATAGTCAGGACTCAGTAAAGTTGGCTCCTCTTCCTCCTTACTGAGGAGGTCTATCCTACCATAGAAGCATAGTTTATGTTAATTAATATGAGTCCACAATAAGCAATTGAATGATGAGAATCAGTGATGAAATTCATAATTCATTAATCATGTGCTTTCAATGAGCTTATTAACTCACTCACTCTCTACAGGGTTATTTTTCCTCCCTTCTCTCAATAACCCTCTTTTTTCTGGACCTCATAAGGCACTAATATACTTCGATCTTCCCTTCAATGCTTTATTTTCTCTGAGTTTGATTTTTTACCCCTTCCATCCTCACTTGAATAGTGCCTGGTAATGACACAGTTTGCCCAGAAATGGGGGACAGCCTTTGAGAAGCAAAGCACCCTCATGGCGCACGGAGAAAGGGTTTGCTACAGTGTCCGTTTGCTCCGGCTGCCATCGCAAAGTACCACCAGATGGGAAGCTTCAACAACAGAAATTTATTTTCTCACAGCCTGGAGGCTGGAAGTCCAGCAGGGTTGGCTACTCCGAAGGCTCTCTCCTTACTTTGCAAATGGCGTCTTCTCCCTGTGTCCTCACAGGGTCTTCCCTCTCTGTATGTCTGTGTCCTATCTTCCTCTTATGAGGACACCAGCCATATTGGATTAGGGCCCACCCTCATGACCTCATTTTACCTTGATTACCTCTTTCAAGACTATCTCCAAATATAGTTGTATTCTGAGGTTCCTGAAGGGTAGAGCTTCAGCATATAAATTTTGGTAGCAGGTAAGGGGAGGAACCCTCAGCGCATATCAGTCGCTTATACACTGTGAGGCTGTGAAGAAGTCTCTTAGCTACCCAGTTGTGATTAACTGAAATCCATTCAAGCTAGCACAAGTAAGAAGAGTTTACTGAAGAGTTTGCTAAAGAGTTGCAAGGTATAATCTGAGGCAGGAACAGAAATCTAGCCGTCCAACCGGAAATCAAAATCTCTATTTCTATTTCTCAGGACTGGAAATATAACTGTCATCTCTGCCTTATTGTATATTCTGTCTATTTCCTCTCTCTCTGTCTCTCTCATCTTTTTATCTACTTACACATGGTCCAACAAAGCAACTAATCCCTAGTCAATATGATCCTTCATCTCTAAATAGTTTTTGTCTCTAAATCTTAATTCTAATTCTCAAGATAGAGAATCTGATTGGTCATTGGCCATCCCTGATTGGTTGATGTTGAATCGAGTGCCCATTGCTGGTCCAATCAGCTATATCCAAGCCATAGGAGAGCAGGGCTGTGTATTACAGAAGAGATTTCCTAGGCAAGTCCATTCAGCAAGTACTAAGGCAGAGGAATTCCCATGTAAGGGACTATAGCGTGAAGGCACATCCCAAAATATGTCTACAACATAGAATAAGCCTCAGCGTGCTCATTTGTAGACATAATGATTCACACTTCACAGAGTGATAGTAAAGAATCAATGAGATAATGTGTTGCAGAATTATTTGGTGACACGAAGCACCTAAAGTGTTTATAGAGTGGAACAAGAGCTTACTAATTACTTTGCTATGTCCCTGCATCAGTTAGCTTTTGACACAAAGTGCTGTGTAACAAATTACCCCCAAACTCACACTCATTTGTTCTCATGAATCTAGATTATCTGATGCTGGCTGATCTAGGCTGGGTTCAGGCATGGGTGGCTTTGCTGCAGATGTCTCTCACCTTCTCCTGGGACCTGTGGACTAGCCAGGATATATTCTCCTCCTGGCGATGGCAGAAGTTCAAGAAATGCAAACAGAAGCAGCCAGGCCTTTTACTGTCTAGGAAACTGTGTTTGGCGTTTTCTCTTTAAATGTCATATCCTTTGAGGACTAGGCTACATGAGTCACAACTTTATAAATGTTACTGTGTAGCAAATCAATCAAACTTTCATGGGCAAAATTAAAATATATTCAGCATTCATGTTTTGCATGCATGTTAGTGCATGACTTTCATATGGGTGCCTTGCTCCAAAGAGCAAGGCACATAAAATTCAACATTCTTGGCTGGGCACAGTGGCTCACACCTGTAATCCCAGCACTTTGGGAGGCCGAGGTGGGCGGATCATGAGGTCAGGAGTTCAAGACCAGCCTGGCCAACATAGTGAAACCCTGTCTCTACTAAAAATACAAAAAATTAGCTGGGCATGGTGGCGGGTGCCTGTAATCCCAGATACTTGGGAGGCTGAGGCCGGAGAATCACTTGAACCCGGGAGGTGGAGGTTGCAGTGAGCAGAGACTGCACCACTGCACTCCAGCCTGGGTGACAGTGCAAGACTCAGTCTCAAAAACAAAAAATAAAATAAAAATAAAAATAAATAAATAAATCTCAACATTGTGAATTCAGTCAGATTCAGAGAGATTCCAAAAGAAGTTAGAGCTGTGAGAGGAATAAGAGATCACTAATAGTTCTGTTTCATTTCACAAGTAGAGAAGATGGAAGCTTAGAGAGAGGAAACGACTTGCCCAAGCCTCAGAACAGGTTCCAAATACATTTATTGTTGGGCTGGATGAAACACGGATCAGACTAAGTCTGGCAATGTTGATGCTGCTAGGGAATTGCAGATTAACTTTAATATATAGATGAGGGTGTGTTGGCTTATTTGTGTTGTTGTTGGATCAGACCTAACTTGATTTAGCCTAAAGATGTTGTTTATTGCTTCCTGGACCCTACCTGGAAATCTAGAAATGAAACGGAAAGGTATGAGTTGTCAAGCAGGAGAGAAATACAGAGAAGATGCAGTTGAAATTGCCAAGTTGAGAAGATGGTTCATTACCTAATTTTCAGCTTTTTCTCTGGTCTCCTGGCCCTAAAATTCCTTATGAAATAAGTCTTAATGATATATGTATATGAACCTCTAATTTTTAAATTGCTTATTTGTGTTTCTCTATTATTGGAATTTGATTTTGAACCATAACAAAATTACTGGCAGAGGAATCAGAGGTTGATAAAATGTTAGAAAATATACAGTTAAAAAAAATATACAGTTTATATTCAAAGCTTAGCCCAGAATTAATGGCAAGAAAAATGCTAATAAATATACAGAAAGGCAAAAATAATATCCTGTGTTCCCCACCTCAAAAAGCAGCCACAAAAGAGCCTTCTTAAACCACACAGAAGATGCCAGACCATCTTTCCTTCTTTGAGTCATCTCAATAGCTACGTCCTTTCCTTCATCTCCTCTTGGTCAAGACCTTTCTAATGGCCAAGACTGTCTTTCTCAAAACAAGATCTTTCTCAAAGTCTGAAAGCTGGGAGCAGTATTTTTTTTTTTTGATTATTCTCTGGGGCTTTGATGAAAAGGATTTCCTAAGTAAAAGCGCTTGGGTGAAAGTAACAGATTCAAAATATGCAAATTACTGAAAACTCATTCTGTAGTCATAGAAGAAGCCAAATTCCTACTGCTATCTAATGAAGTTCTCCCATCTGGGAGGGCTGGAGGTTTGCTTCTCCTATTTATGTGTTTCTTTCCAGGGTACCCGTGCTAGGACACACAAAGGCTGCAGCACCCACTACGGTTCCTATGTCTTTGTTGTCTGCCTTTGAACACTGAGAAAGGACATGGGTTGTGAGCTACAAACGTTGCCTTGGGGTTAATATTTTTGTACGTGAAAAATGTGATGAAATGGATGTTTGCACATCTCTCATTATTACAAGCCTTTTCAGTAGAAGCACTTTGTTGTATGAAATGGGATAAGTGGCTCCCTTGCTGACATCACCATTGCCTTAATGTTTTGTATCTCTGGTCTACTGGCTTCTCTTGCTGAGTATAATTCACCAAACACACCACCCTCCCTCCTGATTCCACCATGTTTCGCATGCAAAGTCAAGCTGGCCAATGATCTCATGAGTTCTGTTGTTCCCCATGATATGGCAAAATGGTGGTCCTGATTCTGACTTTATACCTAAGCATCATCCGGGGAGCTTAATAAAATGCAGATGCCAAGGCCCACCTGTACAAAGCCTAATAGAACAGGCTGGCTTGAGGCTTGGGAATTTTACTTATAAAACACTGTGCACAATTTTGGCACAGGTGATCTGTGGACAAGGCTCTGAAACACTGGTTTGGTGACTGAAAGTTGACCCTTAGCCATCCACCCTGGGTTTGACTTCTAGCTCTGCCACATATTAGCTGTGACGTGGGGAGCAGGTCACTCCTCGTTTTGTTCTTCAATTTCCTCAAATCTACAAAACAGAGTGATAATACACACATCACAGCATGGGATGGGTTCATGGATGGTATCTAGAGGGAGCTCAATAAATATTTCTTTTTTTTTTCTTTTTTTTTGGGTCTGTCTTTAATATTTCTTCAGCGTGACCCAGTTGTCCATAAGTCATTTCTTATTTGAGATTATGATTCAGCAGAGAAAAGTTAGCATGAAATGTAAGGGTTGTATGGGACCATTTTTGGTTTGGTTTTAGTAAATTTTAAAATTATAGAATAGATTATATTTATAAAAATGTGACTCTATGCATACATACATTTTAAAGAATGATTTTTAAAAGACCACCTGTGCCAAACAGCCATGTTCCCACCACCCAGTTTAATAAATAGGACATTACCAATATCTTGAAGTCTCTTCTGTGACCTTTTCTAACCACATCTCCCTCTCCCCACCAGGGAAGCGACTATCCAGTATTTGGTATTTATTATTCCCATGCAGTCCTTCATAGCAACAGTCCTCACAATGTGGTCTCTGGATCAGCAACATCAGTATCACCCAGAAATTTATTAGAAATACAGATTCTTTGGCCCCATTCCCAGACCTATTGAGTTAGAAACTCTGAGGGAGAGACCCAGGAATCTGGGTTATAAAAAGCCCTCCAGGTAATTCTGATGCATCGTGAAAACTGCAGCCTTGTGGTAAATACTGTGTGTGTGTGTGTGTGTGTGTGTGTGTGTGTGTGTGTGTGTGTGTCTAAACAATACATTAGTTTTAACTGATTTTGACCTTGATATCAATGAAATAATTCTTTGTGTATTCTTTCGTTACTTGATATTTTTCTCTACATTATGTTTGTGCGATTCATCCATATTCATGTGTGTATTCATAAGGCCATTCATTTTACAGCGATTTACTATCTGTTGGTGAATATACCACAATTTATTTATACATTTTAGAGCCAATAGACATTTGGGTTTTTTCTAATGTTTTGCTATTTTGAGCAATGCTACCATGAGCATTCTTGAATATTTAACTGATGCACCTGTGCAAGAGAGTGTCTCTAGAAAAGTGCTTTCCAGCCTTTTTTACAACACAGTAAACATGGAAAATGATATTTGTAAACAGGGGTAAGTAAGCAAGCTTATCAGGGCATAGAGTGGATTCTCAGGCTTGGTTCTCTGAACTCCTATTCAACCATGGTCCTATGTAAAAATGTTGGGAATCTTTTTAAACATTTCCAGACTGCTTTGTGGCTGAGTTTCTCAAGGCAAATGAGATTTTGCCAATTAGATGCACAAACACAAGATGGGGACCCATGAGGCCAAGGCTGCCCTCCCAGCTGCTCTTGTCATTGCTGCTAACGAGCTCCCTGCAGCAGCCTTTTGGGGCCCACATTCATGGAGCATAGTGTTCGCTATAAGGGTGTGTGTGTGTGTGTGTGTGTGTGTGTGTGTGTGTGTGTGTATCCTTTATCAAGTTAAGGAAATTCCCTTCTCTTCCCAGTTTGCTAAAGGTTACTTCATCAACATCATCATCATCATCATCATCGTCATCAGTAACTGCATTTTATGGGTTGTTTTTTCAACTCCTGTTGAGAAGATCTTATGGTTTTTCTCTCCTTTATTAAGATGGTGAATTACATTGTGTTCATTTTCTGGGACTGCCTTAACAAAGTACCAAAAACAAGGGAGCAGAGGGGGCTTATATGACAAAAATTTGTTGCCTCGCAGTTCTAGAGGCTGGAAGTCTGAAATCAAGGTGTCAGCAGGGTTGGTTCCTCTGAGGGATGTGGAGAAGACTCTGTTCCAGGCCTCTCTCCTACCTCCTGGCAGCTTCAGGCATTCCTCGACTTGTAGATGGTCATCTTTTCCCTGCATCTTCACACCATCTTTCCTCTGTGTGTGTCTGTCTCTGTGTTTAAATCTCTTTCTATAAAAACACCAGTCATCCAGTAGGATCACAGCTCACCTTAATGACCTCATCTTAATTTGATCACTTGCAAAGACCTTATTTCTAAATAAGCTCACATTCACAGGTACTAGAGGTCACAACTTCAACATCTTTTGGAGGGACACAAGCCACCCCATAACATACATTAATAATTTTCTAATGTTGAACCAATCTTGCATTCCTTTGTCATGCTGAATTTTTTAAATACATTGTTGAATGTAGTTTTCTAACACTTCATTTAGATTTGACTTAGGACTTCCGCCTATACATTAATCAAGATTGGCCTGTAATTTTCCTTATACAATTGTCCTTTGTCTGGCTTGGATATCAAAGTTGTCATAGCTTCACAAAATAAGTTTTAGAAAATAAAACTTCCTCTTTTTCTTTCTATTTTTTACAATCTTTGTCTTACTTGGGAAAATTTCAAACACACAAAAGTAGAGAAAATAATATAAAGAACGCCCTTGTGCCCATTATATACTCAAAAATTAACAACGTATGGCCAATTGTATTTTGTCTATTACACACCCAACCCTGAATTATTTTAAAGCAACCCCATACATCATATCATTTCACCCACAAATATATCTGTATGTATCTCTAAAAGCTACGGTCTCTTTTTAAAACACAGCCACAATGCCATTTGTAACACCTAAATTATTTTTAAACCTATACGAGTTAGAAACAACAGTAACGGCCAGGCGCAGTGGCTCATGCTTGTAATCCCAGCACTTTGGGAGGCCGAGGCGGGTGGATCATGAGGTCAAGAGATTGAGACCATCCTGGCCAACATGGTGAAACTGCATCTCTACTAAAAATACAAATATTAGCTGGGCATGGTGGCAGGCGCCTGTAATCCCAGCTACTCGGGAGGCTGAGGTGGAGAATTGCTTGAACCCAGGAGGCGGAGGTTGCAGTGAGCCAAGATCGTGCCATTGCACTCCAGCCTGGTGACAGAGCGAGACTCCCTCTTGAAAAAAAAAAAAAAAGAAAAAAGAAAGAACAGGAACATGGACTTCTATGTGCCCATTTCTCAGTTTTGATATTTATTAACTCATAGTCAGTTTTCTTTCATGTCCCCTCACACCCGTGGCTCCCTCCAAATTATTTTGGAGCAATTCCTGGATATTATATCATTCTAATTTAAAATTTTTCAATTTATACACATTCACCTACTGCATTAGGGGTAGAGAGATGATGGGGTATTTCTATGCTAATGTTCTTTCACAGGAAAACAGAAACTCACAGGAAAAGATGTTCCCTTCCCTCTCCACCCTCACGTTTATTTACATTCTTAGGCAGTTGCTCCCAAACCTGACTGGTCTCATCAGGGTCATGTGGAGAGGTGGCAGGTGCCTATAATCCCAGCTACTCAGGAGGCTGAGGCAGGAGAATCGCCTGAATCTGGGAGGCGGAGGTTGCTGTGAGTCAAGATCGCGCCACTGCACTCCAGCCTGGGCAACAAGAGTGAAACTCTGTCTCAAAAAAAAAAAAAAAAAAAACAGAGATGCCAGGAAATTCTCAGAGATTCATGTCTAAATGATAAGAGTTCTTTAACGACATAACAGTATCTTTATCACACCTGAAAATTAGCACTGATTCCTTTTTTTTTTTTTTTTTGAGATGGAGTCTTGCTCTGTCGCACAGGCTGGAGTGCAGTGGTACAATCTCTGCTCATTGCAACCTCTGCCTCCCGGACTCAAGCGATTCGCCAGCCTCAGCCTCCTGAGTAGCTGGATTACAGGTACCCGCCACCATGCCCAGCTAATTTTTGTATTTTTAATAGAGACGGGGTTTTACGACGTTGGCCAGGCTGGTCTTGAACTCCTGACCTCAGGTAATCCACCTGCCTCAGCCTCCCAAAGTGCTGGGATTACAGGCATGAGCCACCGCGCCTGGTCTTCATTCTTAATCTGATTAAATATCTAGTCACTGCTTAAGTTTCCCATATTGTATCATCATTTTTTATCTGTTGATTGATTTGAATGAGGATGCAAATCAAGTTCACACATTGCATTCAGTTGATCTGTTTCCTAAGACTTTTTACCTCTATGGCTTTTTAATTTATTGTATATTTGCCATTTATTTATTGGAGAAACTGATTCATTTACGGTATAAATGTCCCACATTCTGGATATTTTTTTAGTCTGTGCATGTTGTCAGTTGACATTTTCTTCCCTCCTCTGTATTTTCTGTAAATTGGTGATAGTTAGACCAAGAAGCTTCATCAAATTCAGCTTTTTTTTTTTTTTTTTTTTTTTGGCAGGCAAGACTATTTCCAACATGCCACTGCGTCAATCAGGAGGTAGATAATGTCTGTTTTGCAAAACTATGAACCATCTCACAGACTTTTTTAAGTGACCATCTAATCTGTATTTATCATAGACATAAGGCGTTTCAAATGATGTAATTTTTGGCATATTATAAAGGTCACATAAAATTGTCATATTACTTATTTAAATGTAGCTAAATACTAAAGACTTTTTATTGCCTGGCAGAGGAGCAGACAGACTGGGAAAGGAAGAGGGAGCAACTAAGTTAAGCATGCCCAATCCTTTATCCCAAATTCACCAATCAGATAAGACACTGAATTAGGGGTGGAGAGAGGCTGGGGCATTAAACTAATGTTTCCTTCACAGGAAAATATGAAATCACAGGCAAAGAGCTTTCTGCCTCTCCACCCTCATGTGCACATCCTAGGTAATTGCTCCCAAATTGAACTGGTCTCATCAGAGTCACACGAAGGCATTTTTAAACAATAGAGATGCCAGGAGATTCTCACTTGGAGATGGATGAAAGGGACTTGAAATCTGTTAAGCAGACATCTCTTGTTAGTGCAGTACTATCAGGGGTCTGGAGTGTTCTAGAAAACCCACAGTCATACAAGTGGTACCTTGGTCCAAAGCCATAGCCCTGAGTATGAACAAATCATTTTCTTTATCAGAAAACAAAGATAAGGATGCCCGTCTCCTAGACTTGTTTGAGGAGTAAATGAGATGGCACATTCATTCACTCATTAAATATTTATGAAATGTTTGCTATGTGCAAGGCAGGGTCCTGGACATTGAGACAGGCAGAAAAAGTGAGAGAGAAGGTTGCCTTCACTGAGCAAGATGAGCCTCAAAGCAGCAGTGACGAGAACATAAGGTGAGGGTCACAGAAGAACGGCCCAGGAGCTGCTCTGGAAAGTACAGGGGCCCACTAGTCATCCCTACATCCCCTCGCTGCAGGCCAAAAACCCCACCAGTTTAGAAGGTGAGTCACTGTTAGGGATTGGGAATCGTGTCCCCCCAAAAATCCAGATGTCAAAATCCTAACCTACAGTGTCTCAGAATGTGGCCCTATTTGGACCTACGGTCATCGGCATATGGACTTAGTTAAGATGAGGTTGCGGCCGGGCGCGGTGGCTCACACCTGTAATCCCAGCGCTTCGGGAGGCTGAGGTGGGTGGATCACAAGGTCAAGAGATCGAGACCATCCTGGCTAACACGGTGAAGCCCCATCTCTACTAAAAATACAAAAAATTAGCCAGAAGTGATGGCACACCCCTGTAGTCCCAGCTACTCAGGAGGCTGTGGCAGGAGAATCAGGAGACTCACTTGAACCCGGGAGGCGGAGGTTGCAGTGAGCCAAGATCGCGCCACTGCACTCCAGCCTGGGTGACAGAGTGAGACTCCATCTCAAAAAAAAAAAAAAAAAAAAAAAAAAAAGACGAGGTTGCATTGGAGTCGGTGGGCCCAATCCGATATGACTGGTGTCCTTAAGGGGAACTGTGGACTCAGACAGGCACACAAGGTAATGCCACGTGAAGGTGAATGAAGAGATCAGGGTGATACATCTCCAAGCCAAGGAGCACCAAAGATTGCCAGGCAACCACCAGAAGCAAGGCGACAGGCACAGGACATATTCTCTCATAGCCTCAGGATGGAAACAACTTGTGTGATACCTTGATCTTGGACTTCTAGCCTCCAGAATGGTGGGACAATAATTTCTCTTGTTTCAGCCACCCAGCCTGAGGTACCTTATTACAGCAGTCCTGGGAAACTATTACAAATACATCCCATACACAGACATTCATTTGGTGAAATGACAATCCACGTTTATAAGCACCTACATATATGCCAGGCATTTTTGTAGGTACAATACAGGTTCATCCTACTTCTGCCTCATAATGACTCTAAAAGGCAGGTACTGTTATGATTCCTATTTTACAGAGGATGAAACTGAGGCACAGAGGTTAAGCAGCCTGTCCAAGGTCACACAGGCAGTACACAGCCAGGATTCAAACCCAGCAAGTCTACAGTCTGTTGAGCCCAAGCTCTGAACTTGCAGGATCCCACTTTAGCTTGGAACACTGAATGTTTGTTTAAGGGGACTTGGAACCAGTTTCACTGGATATTTCCGAAAGGATTTCTAAATGTTCTTAACTGGCACTATGCCATGTCAAGAGGCCTCCCGTCTTGCTTGGTTTCCTTTGATCTAGTTGGTCAAAACAAAAACCCAACAGCCACTCTAGTTGGGTTTCCCTGGAAGAACTGTATTTGCCACCACATTGGTAAATCCCCCAACCCTGTTCATTCTTCACCAAATTGGAGGGGCAAAGGCAATTGAGGTGCACATATGTATTTGTTATCAGCAGCAATTTCAGTAATTACTTCTGCACACATAAAGCAAATCAGCTGGAAGGCAAACTGCAGCCATCTGACTTTAAACAAACTCAGTGCCGCTGAGCAAAACAAGAATCCCAACACTGCCCCTGTAAGGTCAAGGGTGCTAGAGACAGATACACCTGCATTATCACTCCAGCTCCCACTCCAAGCTCACTGTTCTAGCTCTGAATCCTGCCTCATGGTGTCCTGAAGTAAGGCCCATGAAGCAACTTGCCTAGAAACAGAACATTCTAGAAGGCTGATATGCACCCTTCCTTCTCCCACCTTATCTTCCTGGCATTTCCTCTATGCTGGTGATAGTGGTATGTTCTGGAGTCCTATGTTATTTCAATTCAAGCAACATTTTATCAAGTACCTTCTGGAAGAAAAGTACAGAACTTGGCATAGAGAATAAAGAAATGAACAACAGAGACCCTGCTTCCTACTGTCACTTTGCTTCCTGGAGCCCCAAAAGGCTCCCATGGGAAGCCACAGAAGACTGGTCCAGAAAACAGTTTCCACGAGGGTGACTTACTGTTCTAATTTGCCTGGGACTGAGGGGGATCCTGGGACTTTTGGGTAAAGTCCTGGGCAAACCAGGAAGAGCTGATGACCCCAGTTCCAATATCCCAGCCCCCCAGCTCCCCACACCTACAGTTTAAGGAATCAGTGGATCAGCTTAATTCTGTTTTTATCTCTTACATATAGTATAGTGAATTTCCAAGGGAGATTTTGTCTGGAAAAAAAATATTTTTGTTACCTGAAAAATAAAAGATAAAAATATTTGACATCTTTACCTTCTTATTGTATACTACGGGCTGTTTCTTTTACAGATGTTTTGTCCATACCCTGCACCAGATATGACTCAATCACTGGACAGGACAGGCACAGAATTTCTGCAGTCCATGAAATGGAGTCATCCATGCTTGCTTGGAACAGCTTACAATAATCCACAGTTGAAAATTACCACTGTCATTACAACTCCAACCTGAAAGATGTGTCTTAGGCCAGGAAGTCCCCCTCCTCTTACCTAGGTACAAGGACAAATCACTAATACTTATTCCTGAGAACACAGAAGCCATTGTCTATCTTCTAGACCCTTTGTGCCCAAGTGTATTCAAGCATCTTGCTCTGCAAGGGTGTTAACATGTATCCCTCTCATTCTGGGGATTCGGGGCCAATGATTCTCGTTACAGAATGCTCTAATTCTTTCCAAGACATTGATGCCCCCCTTAGCCAACACAAAGAAGCCCTGGGGCTGTGAACAGCCTTGCCTGCTTGGAGACCGACCCTCTTACCAAGGAAACAGGAGCTCAGCATGGTGTACCTCCAGCTCCTGGGACTTGTTTCACTGCAGAAGTCAGGCCAGCTTGCAGCCACCTCCAAATCTTC
The DNA here is from genome assembly GCF_000001405.40 of Homo sapiens. NCBI lineage: Eukaryota > Metazoa > Chordata > Mammalia > Primates > Hominidae > Homo > Homo sapiens. Next base: position 14,282,730 of record NC_000001.11, read on the forward strand.
CTGCCAGGTTTCTTTTCTGCCTGTTCCAGGAGCTCAGGATACCTTCACAGTTGGTGAGGTTGCCTTGACACTGGCAACCACCTAGGGATGCCGAGCGCCCTTTAGGGAAGAATTCAGCCAGGAAGATAATAGATGCTAATGTCAGAAGGGGAGCCCTGGAGGGAAAGAAACGAGAGAGGATCACCTTGCAAGGAGTGGAGTGCTGTTTCTGTAATTTCCCCGTGGAATTTCGATCTGCCCTTGTCGAGAATGAGGTCAGACAAATGAGTTTATTTATTCTCCAGGGTGACTAACAGAATGGAAGCATTCGCAGAGCAAAGAAGGAGTCAGGAGCAAACCACAATTAGCAGTATTACCAGAACCTGCCACTTCCAAGCCAGATCATTTCCTTTCTTTCTTTCTTTGTTTTTTCCACTTTCGCAGACTATTAATTGGGCTGCAGCTTTTTCAGACAAAACAGTTCCCTAAAGTCTGACTCTTTCCTTCTGGATTTGCAGACTCTATCAAGGCATTTTGTCAAGTCCCCAGATTTTCAATTATTTTTTGAGGCTGAACTCCTGCTTGTCACAGCAGAAACAAACATGTTCTTAATTCTAAGAGGAAAACCCCCATTTTCTAGGGTTACTCCAAAAGAGGACATTGATAGAAGAGGCTACTGACATGAAGAGGAAATAACTCCACCCAATTAAAAAATGGGGAAAGGATCCAAACAGACGTCTCTTACAAAAAAATTCAAAGAGCCAATAAATGTATGAAAAGATGCTCAACATCGTTAACTATCAGGGAAATGAAAATCAGCACCACAATGAGATACCACTTCACACTCACTAGGATGGTTATGATTTAAAAATTAGGTAATAGCAAGTGTTGAAGATGTGGAAAAATGGGAACCCTTATACGTTGCTGGTGGGAATGCAAAATGGTGCGACCCCTTTGGGAACAATCTGCCAGTCCCTTGAAAGGTTAAACACAAAGTCACCATATAGCCCAGAAATTCTACTCCTAGGTATGTACCCAAGAGAATTGAAGACCTATATCCATCATTAACATATACAGGTATGAAAACCTGTATAAAAATGTTTATAGCAGCATTTCTCATTATAGGCAACGAGTGGAAACAACCCAAAGTCCATCAACTGACAAGCAGGTAAATAAAATGTCAGCTTTCAATATAATGAAATAGTGTTTGACCATAAAAAGGAATGAGTACTGATACACCCTACAATGTGGATGAGCCTCGGAAACATTATGCTAAGTGAAATAACCCAGACACAAAAGACCATACATTATATGATTCCACTTATACAAAATGTCCAGAACCAGAAACCCATAGATAGAGAAAATAGATCAGTAACTGCCTAGGGTGGGGATGGGAGATCGGGGCTGGGGGGAGCAAAGAAAATGAGGGGGGAATGGGGAGTGATTTTTAATGCATAAGGGGTTTCTTTTGGAGTGATAAGAATGTTCTAGCATAATTGATTGTGGCTGCGCAATCTGTAAATATACTAAAAATATTGTATATTTTAAGCAGGTGAATTGTATGAGATTTGAATTATATCTCAATAAAGTTGTTATTACAGAGGAAAACGAAATGGAAGTGATGCATGAGCTGGTTGCTGAGGACTAAGTGGCAGTCAGCAAGGGAGAGGAAAGGAGCTTCCCAGGCAGCCGTAACAGCCTGTGCAAAGTCCCTGTGGCAGGAGAGAATGTGGTGAGCCCCGGGTTCCAAAAGGCAACTCGTGGGGCTGAAACCTAGAAAGGGATGGAGAGCAAGGAGTGAGAGGATGATGGACAGCAAATAGGGGAAAGATTCTGTTGGACTTTGCAGGCCAGAAAATGAGTGTTGTCTTTATTCTCAGAGTAAGGGAAACTGTTTGCAGGAAATGACTGTCAGATTTACTTTATGAAAAATTGGGCTTCACTGCAGCATGGAGAATGGATCAGACAGAAGGTAGAGTGGAAAGGAAAGGACCACTGGGAGACCATAGAGCAGCCCAGGTGACAGTGACAAATGTCATCAGGAGTTTAGGATCATCACACATACCTTGAGAAGTAAGTACGTCAGCAATTGTCATCTTCATTTGCTGCATTGAGAAACGAAGTGGCTTCATGTGAGGCTATTGGGCAAGTTAGTACCAGAGATGGGTCTCTCTGTTTTACTCTTACAAATCTTCCCTACAGCCCAAAACACTGGGTCTTTTCTCTGGGCTCTTGGCAAGTGCCAAGTTAGCATTTGTTTTGCCCCCTACTCTCCAGAGAACATGGACGTACTTTTCCTCCCCCTGGGTTGCTGAAAGTAAAAAATGCAACAACACTAAATACTCAAGCATGTGGTCTGGAGACACAGGTCTCCATCTAAATCCACCACTGATTACCTGTGACCTGAGGCCTAATCTCTCTCTGTCTCAAGTGCCCAGTCGGTAAAGTGTTGCATAGAGTAGTCCCAAGTTTAGAGGATTGTTGGGAGAATTTAGTAAAACCATCTCACTAACAGCTTAGAACAAAGCCTAGTGTATATAAACTACTCAATAAGTATTGGCCATTATTATCCTTTTCAGAATTATTATTACTTTGAACAAAGAGTAAACAGAGAACACTAGACATTCTCCTCACATCCCAGTCTCTGGAGGCTTTGGCAGTCTATTGGTTCCTCTCTGAGCAAAACTGTCTTCCTAACATCTGTGCACAATGGCCCAACATCTGGCCCTGAGAACTGGCCAAGACTGAGGCTCAGGAGCCTGGTGCTCTAGGGTGAGATAGCATGTGGATCCAATGTCCCTGACCTAGCACATGCAGTGTTTGTCTTCTTTGCAACAGTTGTGTATTTCCTGTGGAATTCGAAGGCTGTCTCTCAATGCCTACTCGCCACTTTATCCATACCCAAACATGGCATCAGCCTGGCTCCTTGGATGTGACCCACTCAGTTGCACAGGGCCCTGTGCTTGGAAAGCCCTTGCACTTTGTCCATTGCTCTGATCTCACCATTTGGAAATTCTTAATAGTTCTTGAGCCAAGGTGCCTTCATATTCCTTTTGCACTGGGCCCTGCAGATTATATAGCAAATCCTGCAATGTAGCCCCTTCTACTACAGCAAGTAAACGGCATGGTGGTGTGGGAGATCATCCAAGAGCTGACTTGGAGTCAGCAACGAGAGCCTGGTACTGGCTGTGGCCGTGGGCCTGTCTGTGGGCTTCTAAGCAATCACAGGAGATAGATGGTTAAGACTAAAGACGCCATATCAAGAATGCACAGGGGCTCAAGAACTACACCCTTGTTCCCTCTCTTACGCTGCTCAATGCTCTAGTTTCTCTTCAGGCTAAGTACAAGGACCATGTCTGTATTAGTTTGCTGGAATTGCCATTAAAAGTACCACACACTGCGTGGCTTGAACAACAGAAGTATGTCATCTCACAGTTCTGGAGGCTGGAAGTCCAAGATCAAGGCATTGGTAGGGTTGGTTTTTTCTGAAGACACTCTTTTTAGCTTGTAGATGGCTACATTCTCCCCGTGTCTACACACTTCTTCTGTGTGTTTCTGCATTCTTATCTCCTTGTCTTCCAAGGACACCAATCCTATCAGATCAGGACCCACCCTAGTGACCTCATGTTAAATTAATTAGCTCTTTAAAGACCTTATCTCCAAATACAGTTACATTCTGAGTTCCCCAGGGTCAGGACTTCAAGTGGCACTAAGGACAAGCCAGGCAAGAGGTCAGGCTCTGCAATCCCAGTTCTGAATTTTCACATCTGTAAACTGGAGGTACTTTCTAGGACTACTGTAAGGATTAGACCATCCATGTACAGCATTTAGTACAGTCACACTTAATAAATATTAGCCATTATTACACACTATCTACAACTCTCACCTCATACTGTTAATACCATTAATTCAGTCTTAGAATTATGTATAAATAATTCCTCTGCAGCTATGCAGCTTCCAGAAGAAAGCTCTAAGCCCACTTTGTAGACATACCCAGGTCCCCTAGATTAACATCCCCAGGTAGCCCAAATTCTTGATGTAACACAAAATTCACCTGACTTTCTTGGTGGGGTGCTTAGAACTATAACACTCATAACTTGAATTTTCTGTATGCTAGTCTTAATTTTTAGTCTTTAAATTTGTAGGCCTGTGGCTATTTTCATAATCTTGGCTGCACACATTTATGTAAACTGTGCTAATGAAATTCAACTACTTTATAGTGTGTGTGGGGAGAGGAGCCTATTTCTCCTAAGAAGCCATATATGAATTGAGGGAAAATTTAATTTGATGAGAGCAGTTGGAACTACAATTGAGTTTTGTATATGCTAATATTTTTATTAGTGCTTGTAAAACCAGCTAATGACTTGGAAAGTGAGTGAGATTTCATGCTCTCCAGGTGAGCCTATGATAATAGGAGCCACGGGTTAGGGAAATCCACTGACCTCCAGAACTTTTAGAGACATTTAGTTCCATTACCTTGACACCGTTTTACATTTTATGACAGATACTGTAGGCTGGTTCACCCAACATCCATTGCCTTTTCTGATTCCCTTCCCACTTGTCTTTCTCTGCACTCATCTATTTTCTCATTCTCCCTTGCACCTAGAGGTAATCATGTGACACTATTCTGACCAGTGAGGCCACAGCAGAAACCTGGGCATAATGCACCTAGGAATGGGTCCTTCACATCCCTTGTAAGTTGGATTCCTAGGTATTTTATTCTCTTTGTAGCAATTGTGAATGGGAGTTCACTCATGATTTGGCTCTCTGTTTGTCTGTTATTGGTGTATAGGAATGCTTGTGATTTTTGCACATTGATTTTGTATCCTGAGATTTTGCTGAAGTTGCTTATCAGCTTAAGGAGATTTTGGGCTGAGACAATGGGATTTTCTAAATATACAATCATGTCATTTGCAAACAGGGACAATTTGACTTCCTCCTCTCCTAATTGAATACCCTTTATTTCTTTCTCTTGCTGATTGCCCTGGCCAGAACTTCCAACACTATGTTGAATATGAGTGGTGAGAGAGGGCATCTCTGACTTGTGCCAGTTTTCAAAGGGAATGCTTCTAGCTTTTGCCCATTCAGTATGATATTGGCTGTGGGTTTGTCATAAATAGTTCTTCTTATTTTGAGATATGTTCCACAAAACTTAGTTTATTGAGAGTTTTCAGCATGAAGGGCTGTTGAATTTTGTTGAAGGCCTTTTGTGCATCTGTTGAGATAATCATGTGGTTTTTGTTGATGGTTGTGTTTATGTGATGGATTACATTTATTGATTTGCATATGTCGAACCAGCCTTGCATCCCAGGGATGAAGCCAACTTGATCATGGTGGATAAGCTTTTTGATGTGCTGCTGGATTCAGTTTGCCAGTGTTTTATTGAGGATTTTCACATCGATGTTCATCAGGGATATTGGTGTAAAATTCTCTTTTTTTGTTGTGTCTCTGCCAGGCTTTGATATCAGGATGATGCTGGCCTCATAAAATGAGTTAGGGAGGATTCCCTCTTTTTCTATTGATTGGAATAGTTTCAGAAGGAACGGTACCAGCTCCTCTTTGTATCTCTGGTAGAATTTGGCTGTGTATCCATCTGGTCCTGGACTTTTTTTGGTTGGTAGGCTATTAATTATTGCCTCAATTTCAGAGCCTGTTATTGGTCTATTCAGAGATTAAATTTCTCCTAGTTTAGTCTTGGGAGGGTGTATGTGTCCACGAATTTATCCATTTCTTCTAGACATTCTAGTTTATTTGCCTAGAGGTGTTTATAGTATTCTCTGATGGTAGTTTGTATTTCTGTGGGATCAGTGGTGATATCCCCTTTGTCATTTTTTGTTGCGTCTATTTGATTCTTCTCTCTTTTCTTCTTTATTAGTCTTGCTAGTGGTCTATCAATTTTGTTCATCTTTTCAAAAAACCAGCTCCTGGATACATTGATTATTTGAAGGGTTTTTTTGTGTCTCTCTATCTCCTTCAGTTCTGCTCTGATCTTCGTTATTTCTTGCCATCTGCTAGCTTTTGAATGTGTTTGCTCTTGCTTCTCTAGTTCTTTTAATTGTGATGTTAGGGTGTGCATTTTAGATCTTTCCTGCTTTCTCTTGTGGGCATTTAGTGCTATAAATTTCCCTCTACACACTGCTTTAAATGTGTCCCAGAGATTCTGGTGTGTTGTGTCTTTGTTCTCATTGGTTCCAAAGAACGTCTTTATTTCTGCCTTAATTTCGTTATGTACCCAGTAGTCATTCAGGAGCAGGTTGTTCAGTTTCCATGTACATGTGTGGTTTTCAGTGAGCTTCTTAATCCTGAGTTCTAATTTGATTGCACTGTGGTCTGTGAGACATTTTGTTGTGATTTCTGTTCTTTTACATTTGCTGAGGAGTGCTTTACTTCCAACTATGTGGTCAATTTTGGAATAAGTGTGATGTGATGCTGAGAAGAATGTACATTCTGTTGATTGGGGTGGAGAGTTCTGTAGATGTCTATTGGGTCTGCTTGGTGCAGAGCTGGGTTCAAGTCCTGGATATCCTTGTTAACCTTCTGTTGCATTGATCTGTCTAATATTGACAATGGGGTGTTAAAATCTCTCATTATTATTGTGTGGGAGTCTAAGTCTCTTTGTAGGTCTCTAAGGACTTGCTTTATGAATCTGGGTGCTCCTGTATTGGGTGCATATATATTTAGGATAGTTAGGTCTTCTTGTTGAATGGATCCCTTTACCTTTATGTAATGGCCTTCTTTGTCTCTTTTGATCTTTGTTGGTTTAATGTCTGTTTTATCAGAGACTAGGATTGTAACTCTGCCTTTTTTTTTTTACTTTCCATTTGCTTGGCAGATCTTCTTCTATCCCTTTATTTTGAGCCTATGTCTCTGCACATAAGATGGGTCTCCCGAATATAGCACACTGTTGGGTCTTGACTCTTTATCCAACTTGCCAGTCTGTGTCTTTTAATTGAGGCATTTAGCCCATTTACATTTAAGGTTAATATTGTTATGTGTGAGTTTGATCCTGTCATTATGATGTTAGCTGGTTATTTTGCCTGTTAGTTGATGTAGTTTCTTCATAGCATCGATGGTCTTTACACTTTGGCATGTTTTTGCAGTGGCTGGTACCAGTTGTTCCTTTCCATGTTTAGTGCTTCCTTCAGGAGCTCTTGTAAGGCAGGCCCGGTGGTGACAAAATCTCTCAGCGTTTGTTTGTAAAGCATTTTATTTCTCCTTCACTTATGAAGCTTAGTTTGGCTGGATATGAAATTCTGGATTGAAAATTCTTTTCTTTAAGAATGTTGAATATTGGCCCCCACTCTTTTCTGGCTTGTAGAGTTTCTGCTGAGAGATCTGCTGTTAGTCTGATGGGCTTCCCTTTGTGGGTAACCCGACCTTTCTCTCTGGCTGCCCTTAACATTTTTTCCTTGATTTCAACCTCGCTGAATCTGACAATTATGTGTCTTGTGGTTGCTCTTCTCGAGGAGTATCTTTGTGGTGTTCTCTGTATTTCCTGAATTTGAATGTTGGCCTACTTTGCTAGGTTGGGTATTATCTCCTGGATAATTTCCTGCAGAGTGTTTTCCAATTTGGTTCCATTCTCCCCGTCACTTTTAGGTACACCAATCAAACACAGATTTGTCTTTTCACATAGTCCCATATTTCTTGGAGGCTTTGTTCATTTCTTTTTATTCTTTTTTCTCTAAACTTCTCTTCCTGCTTTATTTCATTAATTTCATCTTCCATCACTGATACCCTTTCTCCCACTTGATCGAATTGGCTATTGAAGCTTGTGCGTGCCTCATGTAGTTCTTGTGCCATGATTTTCAGCTCCATCAGGTCATTTAAGGTCTTCTCTACACTGTTTGTTCTAGTTAGCCATTTATCTAATCTTTTTTCAAGGTTTTCAATTTCCTTGCGATGGGTTTGAACATCCTCCTTCAGCTTGGAGAAGTTTGTTATTACCGACCTTGTGAAGCCTACTTCTGTCAGCTTGTCAAAGTCATTCTCCGTCCAGCTTTGCTCCATTGCTGGCCAGGAGCTGAGATTCTTTGGAGGAGAAGAGGCACTCTGGGTTTTAAAATTTTCAGCTTTTCTGCTCTGGTTTCTCCCCATCTTTGTGGTTTTATCTACCTTTGGTCTTTGATGTTGGTGAACTACAGATTGGGTTTTGGTGTGGATGTCCTTTTTGTTGATATTGGTGCTATTCCTTTCTGTTTGTTAGTTTTCCTTCTAACAGTCAGGTCCCTCAGCTGCAGGTCTGTTGGAGTTTGCTGGAGGTCCACTCCAGACCCTGTTTGCCTGGGTATCACCAGCAGAGGCTGCAGAACAGCAAATATTGCTGCCTGATCCTTCCTCTGGAAGCTTCATCCCACAGGAGCACCTCCCTGTATGAGGTGTCAGTCGGCCCCTACTGGGAGATGCCTCCCTGTTAGGCTACATGGGGGTCAGGGACCCACTTGAGGAGGCAGACTGTCTGTTCTCAGAGCTCAAACACCATGCTGGGAGAACCACTGCTCTCTTCAGAGCTGTCAGACAGGGATGTTTAAGTCTGCAGAAGTTTCTGCTGCCTTTTGTTCAGCTATGCCCTGCCCCCAGAGGTGGAATCTACAGGAGCAATAGGCCTTGCTGAGCTCCCGTGGCCTCCATCCAGTTCGAGCTTCCCTGGCCGCTTTGTTTACCTACTCATGCCTCAGCATGGTGGACACCCCTCCCCCAGCCAGGTTGCCGCCTTGCAATTTGATCTCAGACTGCTGTGCTAGCAGTGAGCAAGGCTCCATAGGCGTGGGACCTGCCGAGCCAGGCATGGGACATAATCTCCTGGTGTGCCTTTTGCTAAGACCTTTAGAAAAGTGCAGTGTTTGGGTGGGAGTGTCTCAATTTTCTAGATACAGTCTGTCATGGCTTCTCTTGGCTAGGAAAGGGAAATCCCTTGACCCCTTGCACTTCCTGGGTAAGGTGATGCCCTGCCCTGTTTCAGCTCACCCTCCATGGGCTGCACCCACTGCCCAACCAGTCCCAAAGAGATGAACCAGGTACCTCAGTTGGAAATGCAGAAATCACCTGTCTTCTGCATAAATCACACTGGGAGCAGCAGACCAGAGCTGTTCCTATTTGGCCATCTTGGAACGAATCGATTGATCTAATGGTTTTATAAGGGGCTTTTCCCCCTGTGCTTGGCAGTTCTCTCTCCTGCTGCCATTTGGAGAAGGATGTGTTGCTTCTCCTTCTACCATGATTGTAAGTTTCCTGAGGCCTCCTCAGTCATGCAAAACTGTGAGTCAATTAAACCTCTTTTCTTTATAAATTACCCAGTCTCGGGTATTTCTTCATAGCAGCTTGAGGATGGACTAATACAGACCCCCTGTAATTTTTTTGCTTAAAGTCACACTTTCCGAGAACCTAGGGGCAACATTAAGTGATGACTTATAGTATGTTGTATGTATGCTCTGTGTATGTGTGTATGTCATATGTGCGTATAGTTTTGTCTGCTGACATTGCTCTGTGCTGTCATGTCACAGAAGCAATGAAAGTAAGCAATATGTGTGCTTCACCCTGCAGTTCACACATCTTTTGTCTTCTGATCAGCTCAGCTGTTTTCTGTTCTGGCAGTATTCAGGGTAGAGAACACAGAGAGGGAGAAATGAGATGCTGTGTGGTCCCCTGGAGGGGGGCCTCTGGAAAAATCGCCCAAATAGCAGAGGCCTCCTCTGCTTGGGGACCCTTCCAAGGCTTTGGTTCAGTAATCATGCAGGCTGGGAGGAGGGAGGAGGAGCTGCGAGATATAGGGATAGGCGGAGTCCTTGTGGTGGTAGATGGGGCTGGCAGGGATTGATCCATGTCCAGGGAGTGAAGGCAGGTGCAGTGCTGATGCGCCACCCCACTGCAGGCATCTGACTTGCCTGAAGCTGCCCCCATGGCCGGCTCTACCTCGCCTCATTGCAGAGGTGCAGAGACAAGGCCCAGCTGGCAGGCTCTGGGTGATAAATGTGCTCCCGCCTCCCCACCTTTCCTTTTTCATCTGCGTGTTGGTGCATGGAAGAGGGGGTGCATCATTTCTCATGTTGGCCGCAGGCTCACACATCTGATGGATGAGCTGGAGAGCGGCTTCCTTCTCAGTGCACCTGTTTCCTCCAACCCCCTGAAGCTGATACTGCAGCCTTAGCTTTTGCTCTTGTAAATGTGAAGATTCTTAGTAAAACTGCAGGCAGCTTAGCAAGGCCAGAGGAATACCACAGGCATGTACAGTTCAATATCATTAGGCAGACTTCACAGATCCTGGTCAGCACTGAGCATGCTGGTGAAGTGGGCGTGGAGAGGTGAAGACTGAACTAACATGCATGAGGACCAAGTGTGAGCCAGGCCCTGTGCAAACTGGTTGTCTTCTTTAAGCCTCATGAAAATGTGGCAGCCTCATTTCCATTTTGCAAACAAGGAAAGAGTCACAGACAATGTCATTTATTGGAGATCACACAACTACTAAGTGGAATAGCCAAAATTTTCTCCCAAATTTCTCCAGCCCCGAAGGGAACCAATATTTAGATTTTAAATATTCATGAAATTCCCCTTCAAACCTGAGATTCTATGTTCTAGGGCCACCATGAATGATGCAAATTACTAAAACTGTAAATGACATGTCCGCATCTGGCATTTTCCCTCAGCACGAACAGCTAAATCTTTAGTTTCTGTGCTTTCTTCCTCTTCTTCTTCCTCTGCCTCTTATTCATCATCTCTCCCTCCTTCTTCTTTAAGAAAATTCGCATTCTAATCAATCAAGTTTGAATCCCTTTCTGGCATTGCTGGTGTTGCCATGTCCCAACAGGATCACGACCCATTTGGAAGATACCGACATTGTGCCTTTCCTTCTTTGTGAGGTCACTCTGAGCCCCTGGTCTTGGTCCATTCTTTATACCAGTCTCTCCTGTCCCTCTTTCAATTTTCATGAGCATGTTAGATGTGTCCAGAAAACACCATAGGTGTACAGAAAAAAAAAAAAGATCCCAGATTAAACCATTGACTAGCCTTGTTGGGGTCTCCAAGCTCAAGGTTAATATCTTCTCTCAACCCCTGCAACAGCTGCTATTAGCAAGCCGTCTTTCTGAATACAGCATATAGCATCTAACTCCTCCATATACAGCCTCAGTTTCCCCAAGGTGGTTAGCCTTTGGGAAGGCTCTGAGGGGCTGAAGATAGCAAGTCCATTGTCCACCTCTGCTTTCCCAAGCAGAGACTCTCTTCCAACAGACCCATAAAATCACAATAGAAGTTAACCCCATGCATACTCACTCTGCCTGATAGGGCTCTCAGTGCATTACATGAACTAACTTTTCTCCTCTTCACCATAAACTGATAAGGGAGTTTCTTACCAGTTTTATCCCCATTTACAGATGAGATAACCAAAGCTCAGAGAGATGAGCGAACTTGGCCACGGTCACACAAGTAGTAAGTGGCACAGCCTGAAGAACCCGTGCATTCTGAGCCCAGGGCCAACTTCCCTAAGCATCATGCAAATTTGCCTTATGCCTTGTGTGTCACTGATGCATCTCCAAAACAGAAGCAACCACACCAGCAATTCCCTAGGCATCGCAAAGCTGTGCAATAGACCTGCTTTTCCCTACTCACCACACAAAGGTCCTTGGGTTTAGGGTTCTCCATCCAAGGAGTGGAGACCCACTTGCAGATATACTGCAGTCTCAAAAACACTAATCGCTTCTGTCATGGTTGGTACATGCCATATGCCAGGCATAGTGCTAAGCTCTGCAGATGAAGCCCATGGCATCCTTGCAAGCTACTGTTCTCCCATTTAACAGATGAGGCCACTGAGGATCAGAGAGGTTTTGTGACTTAACCAACATCAGACAGCTAGTAAGGAAAGACCTGAAATTCACACCAGTCTACCTGACTCTGTCTAAGAGATGGGGGTTCTTCTTTCCAGAAGTATAAAACCTGAGCCTGGGCAGTTTCCCTGGCAGGGTTTTTGCCAGGGAAACTGCCCAGGCTCAGGTTTTATACTTCTGGAAAATCAGGCCAAGTAGATTTTAATACCACCAATATAAAATGCCTAAAACCCCACGAATTCTATATATTTCACTCATGAGTGCTTTATGAAGCAACTATCTGTGAGAACAACTTTTCTTTACCAACTCTAGAGTGCCTAGGTCATAGAGAGCCCTCAGGAATCATAACTCCTTGGCCAAGCTCATTCAGATCTTTTTTTTTTTTTTCAGCAGCTATGGACACAGAGGTCCCCAGGGAGTATGGCTGTGTTTGATGTGATGGAATGAGAGGAAGCTCTGGAGTCAGACCCGTGCTTATCTACAGGCTCAATCACCTTCTTGCTGTGTGTCCTTAGGCAAACAGTTTAACCTCTCTGAGTTTGTTTCCTCATCCATCAAATGAGGTTAATGATATTTAACTCACAGGGTGGTTGAGAAGGTGGACAAATATGTATCAGATGGCTTTCCTTTGCTCTCAAGCCAATTCCCCCAACCCTTACTGTAACCACAAAGTCATGGCTATCAGGCCCTGATGACATTTCTGTCTCATCTCCAGCCATGTTTGCCTCTAGGCTCAAGCCACATGGCCTTCAGTAACTCTTATTCAATGACTCAAATGTCCAGTTGTCTTTCCTTCTCAAAGATCTTTGCATATTCTGCCTCTCCTTCCCATGAGCTGCCAGAAACATGGACCCTCCCAGCTTCTCCCTCTCATGCACACATATACATGAGACACAGACACAAAGAAAGACAAGGACACACACACCCAAAGAGACTCGGGACAAAAAACCACACATGCAGAAAGTGGGAGACTCAGAGATACGCACCAAAGAGTCACACAGAGGCATATACACACACAGACATGCAGAGAGACCCAGGAAAAGACACACACTTATAGACACACAAACCCATGTGCACCAAAGAGCCACACAGAGACATAAAAACACATAGGCATGCAGAGAGACCTAGGGAAAGACACACAAACCCATGCACACACACACATGCGCAGATACACCAATACCTAGTTAATTCCCAAACATTTTTGAGATCTCAGCTCACTTTCTCAGGGATTCCTTCCTGACATCAGATTTCTTGGCTATGCAATTGCAGAGAACCCCATTTCTTTCCTTCATGTTGCTTATTTTGGTTTGCAGTTATACACTCCTTAGCTAGATCACGGGGTACTGTCTGCCTCTTCTGGAGTTCAACAGATACTCCATGCATAGGAACTACATTGGCATCACCCAGCGCACTGTGGATTGCCCAGTTTGGAATTCTGACCTCACTACTTTCTGTCTGTGTGACCTGGGGCAAGTTCACCTCTCTGTGCCTCAGTTTTCCATAAAATCATAGTACCTACCTCATAGGGTTGCCATAAGGATTAAATGACTTTGTATAGGGACAGCACTGAAAGTAGTGCCAAGCTTAGAGGACATACCATGTGAGTGTAAGCTATCATTATTGAATGAATGAATGTCTAGCATAAAGAAGACACAATAAATGGTAGCTGCTACTACTGTTATTACTACCATCACTGCATGTGGGTCAACTTTTCAGGCAAATGCTGCAGTGGTGGGTTAGGGCCTTTTCTTGCTGTTACAGACGTGACAATGTAATTATTTCAGCTCCTCCGTAGAAAGGCCCCAGTGGGTAAGAGATTAGGCTTCTGCATCAGCCTGTCTGGGCCTAAACCCCACGTCTACACTTTCTAGCCTTGTGGCAAGTGACTTAATCTCTGCCAGCCTCAGTACATTTCTCATGGGCCTGTTACTGCCCACACTGTGACGAGCTCAGTTCCTGCCTGGTGCCTACCTCAAGGTCCACATTCAGGGAGCATGAGCCCTTATTATTGTTCATGACCATGGGCTGTGAGCCTTATTCTGACCACATATTTGAAAACTACACTACTTTTGGCATAATGTAGGGCTGAGTTTTTGTATTTCTTTTTTTTTTTTTTTTTTTTTTTTGAGACAAAATCTTGCTCTGTCACCCAGGCTGTAGTACAGTGGCATGATCGCAGCTTACTGCAACCTCTGCCTCCTGGGTTTAAGCAATTCTCCTGCCTCAGCCTCCCAAGTAGCTGGGACTACAGGCACACGCCATCATGCCTAGCTACTTTTTTGTATTTTTAGTAGAGACGGGATTTCACCATGTTGGCCAGGATGGTCTCAGTCTCCTGATCCACCCACCTCGGCTTCCCAAAGTGCTGGGATTACAGGCATGTGGCATTTCATTCTTAAAAGGTGAGTCATGTTATCGTTATGCACAAAGAACAGCACAGTTCTCTGTGTATATTTGTGTGCATATGTGCATGTGTGTGTGTGTGACATGTCATGATGCTTTGGGATTATCCAGAGGCCAAGGCCCTCTGGCTGAGTCATGTATCAATTAGCAATGCATTCAGCTGCAAGGAACAGAAAACCTGGGCTTACATAGAGGGGCTTATTTTCTCCCCCACAAGAAGCCAGAGGTGGGCAGTTGCCAGCTGTGGTCAGTGGCACATCCTTGTCAGGGCCTGTGTCCCTGAAGTTCTCTGAATCTTCTCCCAAATCATTGCCTTGGTTAAAAGATAAGTGCCGTGTTTTTATGCCATATACCATGTTTATTGCAAGCCAGAAAAACAGCAAAAGGGAGGCATGAATGGGTCCATCCTGTCTTATCAGAAAAGCAAAAACTGATTTTCGTTAGTCTCATTGGCCAGAACTGTATCACTTGGTCACTCCCTGGCTCTAAGCAAGACTTGGGACACTCACCTTTTTATTTTGCAGCCTCTGCGGTAGAGACAGGCAAAGGAGAAGAGGGCTGAGAGTGATTTGGGAGAGCCAGCTGCAGGGCTCCTGGGCTCAGATCAGCTCCCTCCCCCACACCTGCCCCCTGCAAGATCCTTTACATTTTCCCTGCTGGGACTCTGCTGACGGATGGATGGGCACTGTTCTCTCCACCATCCACCCTAGGGGATGCAGTTGTCAGTGTGTCACTGCCCCCTCCCCAATGCTACCTACAACCCCATCTCCTCTTTCTCACTCTTACTCATTAGAAAGCAAGCATTAGAGGAACAGCCTTGAATTTGCTTAAAGTTACATTAAATTTGGGCAAATTATAATGTAAGCCCTGAACAAACTTAAGACCTTATGATGAGTAAGAAATTATTTGTGATGCCTCCCTGGGTTGGGACATCAAGAGTAGGAGTTGCTGCCCTGGATGGCAGATTCAAATGGCCAACACATGGTGGAAACCAATAGAAAATTGGTTAAATTGAAGCTGGGCGCGGTATCACGCCTCTAATCCCAGCACTTTGGGAGGCCGAGGCAGGCAGATTGTTGAGCTCAGGAGTTAGAGACCAGCCTGGGTAACATGGCAAAACCCCATCTCTACAAAAAATACAAAAATTAGCCGGGTGTGGTGGCGCATGTCTGTAGTCCCAACTACTTGGGGGGCTGAGGCCAGAGGATTGCTTGAACCCAGGAGGTCGAGGCTGCAGTGAGCCATGTTCATGCTACTGCACTCCAGACTAGGTAGCAGATTCAGACCCGGTGTCTTAAAAAAGTAAATTGGTTAAACTGGCTCTGTCTTAAAGGAGGCCATTTTAAATGGGCTTCCCTCTAAATCATCCAAAAATCAGCCCAAATATTACAGCCCTTGTCATTCATGAAATCACCCCTGTGTTCCTCCTTGTCTTCTTTCATGATGAAACTCAAGATGGCTTGTGTATAAAAACTCATTAGACTGTTGATGGAGAAAGAAGATATTCATTTGACTTATGTTGAACACAATGCAGTTCTTTTCCTTTATGAGTTTAGATTTGTAAACCATTTCTCCTACCTCCCCCCATGCAAGTGTACGATTTTAATGTTCTTTTGATATATATCTCTGCATGTTCTCCATTTCTCTTAGTTTTCATTTAATTACTTCAGGTATTATTTTTAGTTTGCAGACTAAAAGTTTGGAAAGGAATGAAAGTACACCTGGCACATGAAGCCAGTGTTATTAGCTTGCTGTTATTTCTCTGTATATAACTCGAAATCTTTGGAAATGTGGGGGAGAGAGTCAATTTCCCCTTTATTAAACTTGAATGGCAGTTCTCAGCCATGGTAGGAAGTGCCAGACATAGAATGGGTTACTAATAGAGTATACAAATGATTTATTCTTTTCCTTTTAACAAACTGGAGTGAATTCAACATTTTCCCTACCTACACTACACTCTCACTGGCACTCCAGCTTGCTTTACCTAGAGGAAGTGCAGGCGTGGTAGTCTGGCCTGTGAGCAGGACAATGAGCATACGTAAACATGTGTTGCCTGTGCCGTTAGGAGGTGGCAGGTGGCGTGGCTATTGTTAATGCAACCAGAATAGTTCAGTGGTTACAGAGTATCTACCCATTCAACAGCTGTTTATTGAGCTACTACTGTGTGCCAAGCACCATCCTCAGTTCTGGGATACAGCAGGGAAAACACAAACATGATTCCTACTCTCATGGAATTTACAACCTGGTGGGGGAAACAGATAAGAAACGAAACAAATAAAGAAAATCATTAGGCCAAGTGTGGTGGTTCATGCCTGTAATCCCAGCCCTTTGGGAGGCCGAGGTGTGTGGATCACCTGAGCTCAGGAGTTCAAGACCAACTTGGCCAACATACTGAAACCCTGTCTCTACTAAAAATACAAAAATTAGCCAGGCGTGTTGGCATGCACCTGTAATCGCATCTACCTGGGAGGCTGAGGCAGGAGAATTGTTTGAACCCAGGAGGCAGAGGTTGCAGTGAGCCGAGATCACACCACTGCACTCCAGACTGGGCGACAGAGCAAGCAAGACTGTCTCAAAAAAAGAAAAGAAAAGAAAAGAATTAGACTGTGATAAAGCACTGCATTTAATCAGTCATTGCTGGAATAATGCTGTATACGAACCATTCTAAAAGCCCAGGAGCTTGCAACAGCAGATGTCGCACCCATAGTTCTGCTGGGCTCCACTGGGCTACAGATCACACTCACTCTGTACCTCCCATCCTCCTTAGCTGGCGGCACCTAGGTAATGTTCTTCTCAAGGAGATTAGCAGGAGTTCAAGAAGGCAGACCCAGTCATCTGAACACATTTAAAGCTTCTGCTCACATCACATTTACTAAAGTTCATTAGCCAAAGCAAGTCGCATGGCCAAGCCCAAAGTCAGCAGAACAGGGAGTGTACAGGGAAAGGAGAGAAAATACTCACCCAACAAAAATCACCTCTATCATGAGCATTAAGGCAATTACAGTGGTGGGTGGGGAGGCTTTGTTATATAACATGGTTAGTTGGGAAAGGCCTTTTGTGGGGGTAGGAGGGGGAATATTGGAGCTGACAAGAAACCAGTCCTGACTAGAGGAGAATGGTGTACTTGGAAGAGAGTCTCACAAACGCAAAGGTGCTGTGGCAGGAAAGTGTTTGGGGTCATCCTGGAAATGTAGCACATATGTTTGGAGTGTGTTGAGGAAGGAGGAGAGCAGGATATGGGAAGCACCCTAGGACAGGATCCTGCAGGGACTCGGAGCCTCGTTAGCATTTGGGGCTTTATTCCAAGTTTAATGGGCAGCTATGGAAGAATTTATTTATTTTTTTTTAAGACAGAGTCTTACATAATTACGGCTCACTGCAGCCTTGACCTCCTGGGCTCAAGTGATCCTCCCACATCAGCCTCCCAAGGAACTGGGACCACAGGTGCTCACTACCATGCCCTGCTAATTGTTGAATTTTCTGTAGAGATGAGGTCTCCCTATGTTGCCCAGCCAGGCTGGTCTCAAACTCTTGGGCTCAAGGGATCCTCCTGCCTCAGCCTCCCAAAGTACTGAGATTACAGGCATGAGCCACTGTGCTCAGCCGGATTTTAGGCAGTAGAGCAACATGATCTGAAACATACTTTCAAAAGGTCCCTCTAGCTGCACAGAGGAAAATCAATCAAAAGCGTGCAAAAATGGAAACAGACAGGTTAGGAAGCACACTGCACATGAGACACAATGGCCTGACTGAGATAGTGGCCATGTTAACAGAGAAAGGCAGACAGGTTAGGTTTATATGCAGGTGGCTCAGTCACCAGATCTGGCAACACTTTTTCCGAGGAACCAAAAGGGATTTCTCCCCTACAAATCAGTTTGGCGTATCATCAGACTCTGAGTGCATCCCTAGGACGTATCCTACCTGTGAACACCATCTGTCCTGTGAACCAAGGGGTAGGTATAGGGTAGAGTCATTGTGGAACTTGGGTGTGGAGGTGTGTCCCCTGCTAGAGACCTAGCCTGAATTCTGCAAGCTTGTGGCTCTCAGAGTCTTGGGAAAGAAACCACATTTATACCTATGTCAGACTCAGCCTTGGCAAGGATTGGTGAAATCCACATGTTGGAACAATGAAGCCTGAACCAAGAGATTCCACAGAAATGTCTTGTATGGAAAACTCAGCCTCATGGCCCAGTGAACCTAGGGAGTTACACACCCAGACCATAGGGAATTCACAAAGCTGGGCTTAGCATTCTACCCAGGAGGTTGACAGCAGCCAAGAAGACACTCCTTGGAATTCACATACCCGGTTGCATTTGCTCTATCTGATGACAATGGCATCTGCGAGTCAGACACGGTAGAGGAGAGTTTGATCCTGACTGTTCTCTGGCCCAAAGGCCCTGTACAAGTGTGGCTCTCCCTTCTTCAAACCTGCGGATTCCTTCCTCTAACTCCCCAGTCCCATCGGCTGGGGAAAATCATCTACAGGTTTGCATGATGGGATTGACTTTGGCTGCTCTCAAAGGCAAGCCACCGGGGTAGTGTAGACACACCCCTTCTGAATGTACCCCAGCCTGCCACTACAGGGATCTGTCTGATCTTGTGATTCATGTGAGGCGCTGGCACCCGCCTTCCTCTTTGACAAGGCGGCTCTGCCTGTTGGGAAATTTGGCTTGAGGCTTCACAAGCCTGTCAGCAGATGAGGGAAGACATATGCCAGCAGCAGGAAGCATGCATTAAACACAGAAAACTCTTCTGATCATGACTGCCCCAGCCTGTTCTATATAGAAGACATTTGGCAGGCATTCACGGGAGGCAGGTCCTAGCTGTGGAGGATTTGTCAAGTGCAAGGTACTCCTTCCTTTCCCTACTGGCCCATTCTCATCTTCCAGGTCTTGGGCTCAAAAGTCACCTCCTCCGAGAGGCCTTCCTTGACTACTCTACCAAAGGCAGGACCCCTGCATCGCTTCCTTCCTATCACATCACCTTGTTTTCCCTTTGTAGCATCTGTAATCATTTTAGTTACTTTTATACTTATTTAATATCTACCGCTCCCAATTGGACTCTAAGGTCTAACTGAGGTTTTCCTCTTCACTATTTCCACCTACCTAGTGCAAGATCTGGCACTTGGATACATGATGGGTACCTGGATAAATGTGTGGAAAAAATGGAAGATGCATAGGGAAAAACAAGGACCAATTTTTATTGATAATATCTTTCTCTATTTCCGAACTGACAGCTTCCTCTGAAACCTTTCCAACTAAATGCTATGGTTGTAATGAATGACAAGTTTGGGAGCTGCAGTCCCTTGAGTCATAGCAAAGAGTTGGAGAGAACAGACAGATCTATAATGAAGTTGTCACTTTTTCTCAAATCAACGCAGAACATAATGTGGAAGCAGGTATAGCCTCTCCCATCTTGCACCAAAGGACGTGAAGAAGTGAGCCCAAGTGAACAGGCAAGTAGGTGTCTCAAGTGGGGGTTTCTGAATATTTCCTCAGAAGACAATACACATGGAATCTCAAAGATGAGTCGAGATATGTGTCAATAACACTGAAACAGACATGTATCCTGCCCAGAGGTTGAGTGGATGAAATTGTCTAACATTCAGGAAACTCTAAGAATAAAGGTTAGATTCCAGGTGTAACAAGAATGTGTTAGCTGATCATTTTTGTTGGACTCCATGAAATTACATGGCAAATGGTGTGTACAAGTGTCCATATACAATGATCTAGGAAGAGGGATCAGAGGTTTTATCATATTTTCAAAACAGTCTATGATCTCCAAAAAAGGCAAAAGACAGCTACTCATAGGTGCTTTTATGGGGAAGGTCATATAGGTCATAAATCTATAGAAACCAAAGGTAAAATTGTATCTTACTTCTTGATCACCACGAGCCACCTCTCCCCTTGCCTTGTTTTGTTTAAGGTTGAGCGACGTGAGTTGTAAGAAGGATGGTTTGATGGGGTTCAGTGTTAGCCTGGAACTGGTTGGGGTTACCTGGGTGGAGGCTGCAGCAAGGTGGGAACAAGATTGAATGTGATATTAGCTCACTGCATTTTTGTTATGTCTTTGCCTGTGTGTCCTGGCTTTTCACATCCCATCTTGCTTTAGCTCTTGAAGGTACATTTTTCTTCAAGTTCTAGACTCAACCTTCTTAGGACCCTATCCCTGCTTGGTGCTTTTAATGATTAAACAAAGAAGCCAAGAGGAAGTAGACGTCGGTGTTTCACAAAGTGTGGTCTATGGACTAGCTGTGTCAAAATCATCTGGCTCGCTTGTTAGAAATGCAGATCTCTGAGCCCAAGCCTTGACCCATGAAATCAGAGTCTACAAAGGTGTGTCTCACTCTGTTGCCCAGGATGGAGTGCCGTGGTGAGATCTTGGCTCACTGCAACCTCCACCTCCCAGGTTCAAGTGATTCTCATGCCTCACCCTCCTGAGTAGCTGGGACTAGATGTGCCTGCCACCACACCCGGCTAATTTTTTTGTATTTTTAGAAGAGACTGGGTTTCACCGTGTTAACCAGGACAGTCTCAATCTCCTGACCTCGGATCTGCCCACCTCAGCCTCCCAAAGTGCTGGGATTACAGGCGTGAGCCACTGCGCCCAGACGGGAATCTGCACTTTTAAGAGGCTGTCTAGGTCATCATTCTGATACACAACAAAGTATGAACCCTGACCCTCATATGTCCTCCAGGCTCTCAAATGTCCTCCAAGTTGGTCCCAGAATGAACAAGGCTCATCTTTGCTTACATCATTCTCCCTTCCCATTTATGCCTATCCAAACTCTGTCCATCCTTCAAGATTACCTTATCTCTCATGGCATATAAGAAGTCTTTTTTAGGCATCTCCAGCTTTCATTTGCTTTCTTTTTTATGAATCCAACATCCACAAGTCTTGCATTATTCTCTTTTCCATTTATCTGACTCTGGTCTCTTCAATGCAAATATAAGCAATAAACTCCTCAAATCCTCATTCTCTCCAGTGCGTCATTTATCTCAAGAGACAAGGAGAATGTTCAATAAACAACCCTTCCTCCAGAGTATACCCGACTCTCAAAATGTTAGCGAGCTTGTTTTAGACTCTGCTAAATAGCTCTTACCTTACCAACTTCAAGTATTGATGGTGGGGCTGTCTTGCCATTTGGAAATCACAGCTTCCTCCTAATATTTCTGTTTTCCCAAGGCTTCCCTTCCTCTGGGCATTTCCTTTTGGAGTGGTAGAAAATGGGCCCAGAAGAATTTGAATGACATTCTTCAGTTCAGAATTCATGCAAAGAGCTGTCTGGCTGCAGTAGTTTGCAAAGTGCTCAAAGAGTTTCACCTACCGATGTTCAACTTTCATCCAACATCTCCAAAGGACACTTTTCTTTGAGATTCAAAAACTTAAAGGGAAGGGTTTTAAGCTCAGCATATTCCTAAGGACCTGGTCAGGACCTTGAGAAAAGGACTTACCCCAGCTTAGACCAAAATATTCACAGGATGGCTCTGCATCTCTGTGTGCTGTTCAGCCTCTATTTCCATCCCACGAGGTCTGACTATCTTCACTAAGCTTCAATGAGCAACTGGAATTTTGGAAGCTTGCTAAAATCACATTCCGTTCTGAGGAAGTTTGGTCTATTTCTTGGCCTTATGTCAAACATTGCTATTTTTCTTTCAGAAGTCATCCATAAACACATGGACAATGAATTCATTTCAATGCATTTCCAATGATCCAGCAGGCTTCTGAAACCGGTGAGCTTCAAATGCATTCCCAGGGGTACATCTGAGTTTCGTATAACCACTCGAAATCTCTTTTCTAGTACATGTGGCATTACCACACCACAGTCTTAAGGCATGACATAATTTACTTTTGCATTTTCCGTTCATTCTTGAACAGTTCACCGAGCTCCTGGAACTCATAACAGAGATGTCAGCTGTGGATGTTGATGAAGCCCTAGGACTGTGTCGTCTTTCATCAGAACATTCTTTTAGAAGCCTTAAGAAGCATGATTGCTCTGCAGCCAAAGCTAGTTTTTTTTTTTTTTTAATTTTAAATAAGAAGATAGATCTATGGGCCTTTGAGAAAAGGATTCTCATTTTAAAAAATTAATAATACAACTTGTCTCCTCTGCTTTTCCACATACTCACACATCCCTAAATTTTAGAAAGGATATGTCTGCTGCATTTTCATTCCTCTGCATCAGCTACGGTTTTGTAACCTGGGTTGAATTCAGCATTCCTAGCTAGAAAATAGTCAGCTGAGGAAAAGACTGCCATCGTCTCTCCCACCTTGTCCAACTCAGTTAAACCCATGTCGAAAGCAGAATCTGCTTTCACTGTTGGAGGAATAAAATGCAAGCCATGATATCAACCCTACAGAAGCAGATTATATCTTGGAATTTAAGGATATTTTAGAGGGCCTGACAACTTCCTAAAATTGAATTCAAACATTTGAACATGTATACACTTGCATTTTTAGGGAGTGAAGATCCCTAGTTCTCACCAGATTTGCAAAGAGGTCTGTGACCCCAGAAAAGGTTGGAAAAAAAACAAGCAAATACGATCCTGCAGTCAAGATCAAACATGCCCATTTGCTGAACCAAAATACAGGATGCATCAGCTGTCAAGACAATATTAATTCTGAAGACAGGGAAAGGAAAGATCTGAACTCAAGATTACCCCAGTTAATCTAGGGCATATGGCTATCTGAATTCTGGGGAATGACATAAGGGAAGTCTGCTCTCCCTTTTTTTTTTGTTTTCTTTTTTTTTAATTCATGACACTTTCACTGATCATTTGGATGGCAGGGTATCGCTAAGAACCAGGATTATAAAGATGAACAGGCCTCAGGTCTGTTTTTAACAGGCTTATAATCTATGGTAAGAGGCAAGGCATTTAATCTCCTTTGCTTCTACGATTATGGCTCACATATGTTTGCTCTGCTCTAAGAAAAATGCATCAGAAGCACCTTAGGTTTGGCAGGTAGGGGCTCTGATGTTAACAGGATTGGGTAGAGAAGCTCTTGATGCTTCTGGAAACCCCATGAGAGTTTAGAAAACACGAACCTTGTCCTTCCCTCTGGAAAGCACTCTCATCTTTCCTGTCTGATCACTGAGCCTCCTCCCCAGTCCAGGGAGGAAACAATTTTTGTTGGAAGACATTAAATTGCTTGGCTGGCTGTTGTGGCCCTGGGTGAGATGAAGGCAGACATCGTTAATGGAATGTGTTGTCGCATTTTTTGGTGGATTGTTTTGAAAAGTATTTCACTGGAGAACATTAGCACAGCTTGGGCAAAAGTGCTTTGTGAAAAAATTAAATCCCCATATTTCTCTATCTCTTTCTGCAATTGCTCCCCTGATGTGCTCTCTGAAAGGGTATTTGGTAAAGGCCAATGTATTGGGGTTGACTCTGAAGGTCCGTGGACCACGCATGAGCTCAAATGCAATTGGCCATTGCTTTGTGATCCTTACCACTCAGGGCCAATGTGACAGACTCACAGCCTCTCCAACAGGCCACTTAGAAACTATGGAGAGGGATGATTCAGTAGAAAGGACATGAACTCAGGGTGGAGTGGGCTTTCTCTCCCTTTGCTCTTTCCTGATTCTAACCTATCTGGGCCTGGACAGTCATAAGACTCTGCTATGAAAAACTACCCAGTCCTTGCTGTGAAAGTCAGCAGTGCTGGGCTACTTCTTGAAAGGCAATACCTTCTGCTCTACCATGATGTGAACCAGGCCCCAACCCCTGACCACAGGTGACAGGACATAGCCCAGGGTGTTCAGAATAATGAGCAGCCAATCGCAGACCATGAGGTGATGGGTGAGCTGGTGGGATTAGCTCTGCCCAGACAGGGCCTAGAAGTTGCCAAATTTAGCTCCAAACCAGCAGCATCTCAAAGTTCCTGGGCTCTACCTACAGAGACGCCTTCACAATCAAAGTTCATTCTTTAAAAGACAAGATAAGATTTGTTCTTCAGGCATTTGGCTCCTATCAGAGGCTTAGGTGTGAAAAATAACAAAATTTGATCTTCGTGTCCCCAATCTTTCCATTTTATTTGATGTCATGAGTGACGTCCAATTCTACCAGTGGTTCCCATTCATTTGTTCTCTGGGATCTGCTAATCTCATTTACATTCAGTCAACCCCTAAAGCACCCAGCAGAAAGCAGAGTACACAGAGGGGGATTTCATAAAGTGATGTTGACCCTTCGTGGTCCCACAAGTTCATATGCCACTGCCTCCTCGTGAAGTCCTGCCTGATCACCTGTTGAAATGAATCACTTCTTTCCCACACCTGACACCCTCTGCACCTGTCTAAGATAACAGTCCACTCTGCCTTGGGCATGACTTATTCACCCATGTGCTTCCCCACCATTTTTCACACCCTCCCAGTGGCATCCTAGACACTCAAGAACTGGCATGAACTTATTGGCTAATTATAAAGTCGTTTCAGCCCTGATGTTTTGGGTTGCTTCTCCCTTTCATGATAATCACACAGCTATGGTGGACACTTCTATGGTCCAGACACTGTCTACATTAGGTCATGTCTACACCTATGCTACAACTCTGTGGAAGGAGATACTATCATTGTCCTCCTTTACAGACGTGGAAACTGAAACTCAAAGAGGTTAAGGGACTTCCTCCAAGACCATTATCTATGCTAGTACCAGAACTTGAACTCTAGCCTATGTAACCCCAAAGACAGTGCTGTTGATCTTTGTGGGACACTTCTGTTTATAGCTGCCCAAGACAGAGTCTCCATCTGAGCAATGCTTCTCACCTTTGAGTTGGAAAACAAGCCCTCATATACAAAGAGGCAGTAACGCGTAGTGGGTCGCAACCACAGGATGCTGAAAGTAGGGAGTGAATGTTTGATGAGAAATAGAGTGGATACAGAGTTCCACTCCCTACAAATCATTTATTAACTACAAATGAAGAAATAGTAACTTTGCATCGAAGCAAACTGCCAAATACAATCTTGACCAAATGATCAAAGCCAACATCATCAATATTGGGACAACAGAACATCTCATGTCTCCTACTGTGATGCGCTGAGGATACAACATCATTCTGGTCTTCCTGCCAAAAATGTGTAACTTGAACACAATCATGAGAAAACATTAAGAACATGTCACAGAAAACTGGCCTGTGTTCTTTAAAAATTATCAAGTTCAGGAAACACAAAGAAAGACAAAGGAATTGCTCCAGATTAAAAGAGACTAAAGGCTCTGGATTAAAGACAATTAATTGCAATGTGTACTTTCAGGTTGCATCCTGAACCAGGGGAAAAAAAATAGCTATATAGAACATTATTAGGACAATTGATGAAATTTGAATATGGACTGTGAGTTAGATAGTATTGTTATGAAAATGTTAAATTTTCTGATTTTTGATAACTATTGAGATTATATAGGAGAATATATTAGGAAATGCATACTGCAATATTTAGGGTTATGTGGGCACAAGGTCTCCAACTTAATTGGGTCAGGAAAACAAAATATGCATATCTATGTAAAATATATGCAAAGAATAATACAGCAAAGTAAAAACAGGTGGATCTGGGTAAAAGTTATATAGAAGTTTCATGAACAATTCTTGTATTTTTTCTGGAATTTCAGTTATATCAAAATTAAAAATTGCAAAATGTTATAGAGTAGCAGTTGCAAGTGTAGGTACTGAAATTGTACTGCCTGGTGTAAATCCTGGATCTGCCAAGTACTGGCTGTGTGACCTTGGGCAACATACCCAACCTCTCTGTGCCTGTTTCCTTGCCTGCAAAATGGAGATGATAGAGTACCTACCTCTTAGCATTTTCTGAGACCTGAATGAACTAATACGCATAGACTAGAACCTCGTGCCTCATAAGCATTCAGTCATCAGTATGGGTGAAGGTCAGTGGTTACCAATTTCTTTGATATTTTCCTGTTTGCCTGTTGTGTATGATTTCCTGGTCTGTCAGATTATTTCCAGGGTGCAGCTCTAAAGACGAGCAAATTGTTATTAGATTTGGAAGCCAGTTCATCAAATACATGCAGTCCTCAAAGGGCACGAATGTGTTTAACAAGAATTAATGAAAAATTGGCAGCCT
Source organism: Homo sapiens (assembly GCF_000001405.40). Classification (NCBI taxonomy): domain Eukaryota; kingdom Metazoa; phylum Chordata; class Mammalia; order Primates; family Hominidae; genus Homo; species Homo sapiens. The sequence goes on from NC_000001.11 coordinate 14,308,998, forward strand.
GATATTTTTGGCCCAGTCAAAATGTGTGGAGTCTCATTGCTAATTAAGCCTCCTCATTTTTCCTAGAGCAATGCCACCTGTAGGTTTGCCTGATTTGGGCATTTATTTTTCCAAATGGCAGCTGCCTGAAAGTTTCAGGAATCTCAGAACAATAACTGGAATTTAGGCTAGAAGAAGAAATGGGATATCCCAAAATTGCAACAGGATAAGCAACCCTTTTAAAAAAAATTGATGGTTAGATTTTTGTCAGATGCCACCCATTTATCTAAAACTTCAATTTTAAGTCAGAGAATTATCAATTAATAAAAATTGATTTATATTTACTAGGTATAAGGCACCACACAGGATGCTGTTGGGGAATTGTAGGTAAATGAGATATGGATATTTTTTCAGTTACTACAGCAGAGGACCTCAGTGTCCAGCGTGAAGTGACCAGAGACAGAGTGGAATGGGAGGAGGTCACAGCAGTGGCCAGGACCAGATTACAGGGGCCTTGGAGGCCACAGGGAGGAATTTGGATTTGATTCTAATGCTACAGGAATCCACTGAAGATGGCATTAATTGATTTTTTTGTTTTCAGTTGAGACCAGGTCTCACTCTGTGGCCCAGGTGGAGTGCAGTGGTGTGATCACAGCTCACTGTGGCCTCCACCTCCCAGGCTCAGGTAATCCTCCTGCATCAGCCTCCTAAGTAGCAGGGACCACAGGCACACACCACTAGGCTCATGCCCAGTTAACTTTCTTAAAAAAAATTGTGTAGAGATGGGGTTTTTCTATGTTCCCCAGGCTGGTATTGAACTCCTGGGCTCAAAGGATCCTCCCACCTTGGCCTCCCAAAGTGCTAGATTACAGGCATGAACGACTGCACCTGGCCTGATTTATATTAAAAAAAAAAAATTCTGCAGGGACACAAGTCAAGTTCAAAGCAGGAAGACCAGAGAGAAAGCAGCTGTTGTTCTTTAGGCAAGAGCTGGTGTTACTAGACAAGGGATGAAGCAGCAGGAAGAGATAATAATATTTTGGAGGTACAGCTATCAGGACTTGCCAATGGCATTGGATGGGGTTGGAGCAACGGGCGGCAAGGGAAAGGCAGGAGTCAGGGATGACTCCTAGTTTTGAAAGAAAGGTTGGCTTTGAACACATGGCAGTGGGAAGAAGGATATTACAGGCAATGTGTGAGCAGAAACATGAGGTGAGAAAATGGAGCCCATGTCCAGGGAAGTAGGAGTCACTGGAATCTTTCTGGAGAATGAGGTGCAAAAAAGGAAGGTGTGGAAGATACGGTTGGAGCCAGAATGGAAAGTGCCAGACCAAAGAAAATGCATTTCTTTCCACAGGCAGTATGGAGCCACCAGAGGATTCTAAACAGATTAGAAAACTCCCAGCAGGCCTCGGATGGTTAAAACGAGTCCACCACCTTCCTAATGACCCATTCTTGTACTCAATGACTTAAAGAGTATTTTGCATCTAGCATAAATCTCTCTATTGGTTCCGTGGAAAACACACACGCCCACGCATTGCCTACCTCACTGATTTTTAAAATGGTCTCAATTCCCTTTGAAGGCTGCTGGTGGGCCGACGTATGTACCAGACTATTGGCAATTTCACACATTCAAATTGCAATCTCCAACTTCTGCAAATAAAAGATCTTTATGTTCCCCAGTTGTGAAGTTTACTCGCAATTTCTATGCAGAGCGTTTCGTCTGTGCTTGCATTCAGAGGCTCTGCGAACACATCTGCTCACTGCCACATTTAAGAATTCCCAGGAAAAAGAAGGTTTTGTTATGAAAGGCCTGGCAGCCCCATCTCTTTCCAAAGGATGCATCACAAATGCTGTGTTGGAGTGAAATTGTCACAACAGAGATACCCAATCTTGGCAGTGAAGCCAACTATTTTGAGAAGTCCAGCACCAAAGGAAGCCCACAACAATGAACTATGTTGGTTTGGACATGAGGGGCGGTGTTTTAGAAGTTCCACTGGAGATCCATCAGAGTTGTTGTCCTGTCGATGAGATGACCTGTTTGGAGCTTCTGTGAATCATTCTGTCACTCAGTAAATATTTGAGGTGAATATGAAAGCCTTTGGTAACTGTGGAGAGAAATTCAAGAGGAGATGCTGCTGTCATCCTTGATTGAGTTGCAGGTCCAGCCTTCTCTGCTGGACCACAGGAAGAAGAGAAAAGGAATATCATGGAGGGTTAAGAGCAAGCAAGATTTTGCATTCAGATAGATCTGGATCTGAGTCTAGCCCTTACCACTTATTAGCTATGAGATATTGAACCTGACCTCTTTATGTCTTGGCTTCCTTACCTGCACAATGGCATAATAAAAATTACTTTGTGGAGTCATTGGGATCATTCAATGAGAGGATGATATAAAGCTTTATCTTACAATAAGTTCCCAATAAGATGCTTAGAAATCCCCTTATATTATAACCATGATGAAGGCAATTTCCTCCATTAAGACAGTGGACCTTACGGGGCTATAGAGATTTAGAGAAGATGGATGTATTGGTGGGGTGGAATAATCAGGACGGCATCGTGGAGACCAGAATCAAGCCACAGGAAGTGTGTCAACAGGGCTTTCTCTCCGGTAGAGTTTGACACAATGTATTCTGAGACATGACTGACTCTGAAAGACAGAGGCCTTCCTGATTCTTTCTTGTAGTGGTTCTGTTAATAGTACTTAGCATAGTGAATTAATAAATATTGGATGGATGGGGGTGGATGGATGGATGGATGGATGGAAGGATGAATGGATAAATGGATGGGTGGATGGATGAATAGAAAGATACAGGGAATAATATCCTAGTGAAGAGAAAAAGTAGTGCAAATGTATGGAGGTGGGGACCAGATGAGGCATGACCATGTGGCTAATAAACTTATGATGCTTGCAGCAGGGGAAGTATGCTAGGGAACTTCAGGAAAGTAAATGCCTAGATACAAAAAGTAAATCAAGGCCCTCCATAAGCTGGGAAGAGAATTCTTACTGGATATGGAAGTCAATTGGATGCCTTCTGCTGGAGAACGGCAGATGAAGAAAGACATGTTTGGAGAGCTGGTCTGACAACAGTGTGAAAAAAGAACTGGTGGGAATAGAAATAAGAGGGGAAAGCCATTTAGAGTATGCTACAGGGAAGCAGAGAATACAGGAAAAAATAAATGACTTTGAAGCCAGCAGACTCAGGTTCAAATCCTTGCTCAGCTGTGTGACATTAGACAAGTTACTAAATATCTCAGAGTCTTCATTTCCTCAAAACACCTGACATATAGCCCTGTTTCTTTCTCTTTGCAGATTACTTTGGGAATATCTTTTAAATAACAATAATAACAATTAAAGCTGTGCACTTACCTTCTAGCCGGCCCTGCGTTAGGGCTTTGCACACATTGCTTGTTTTCCCAACTTAATAGATACAACCATTCTAGGAAATAGGTAATATTATTAGCTGTTTTTAATAAAAATGGAGAAGGTGACATTTTAGGCAGTTTGATGACTTCAGCAATCTCTCTCACCTGGTAGGAGAAGCAGAATTTAAACCCAAGTTAGCCTGGTGCCTGAGCCTGCATTCATTATTTTTCTAATAAACGTTTTTATTGAAGTATAATATATAGAAACACCCTTGTATAATCCCCTTCTCTTTGAGTTTGTACTGGGCGTAGTAACTTGCTTCTAATGAGTAGAATATGACAAGTGATGAGATATCACTTGAATGATTGGGTTACAGAAGATGGTGACTTCCATCTTGGTGGCACTCTCTCTGTTGCCTTCTTGGCTTGCATGCTGCCACATTGGAGAGGCCCACGTGACAAGGAAATGAGCGTGACCTCTGGCCTATAGTCAGCAAGCAACTAAGATCCTCAGTCCTTAAAATATATCCTTCCCCAGGTGAGCCTTGAGATGAGACCACAGCCCTGGTCAACTCCTTACTTGAGGGACTCTGGAACAGAGGACCCAGTTAAGCTATGCCTGGATTCCTGAACAACAGAAACTGTGAGATTGTAAATATTGTTTCAAGCTACTACATTTTGGGGCAATTTGTTTGCAGCATTAGATAACTAATACAACATGCATAGAGAAATGTAGACAAATCAAAATTATACAAATTGATAAATTTTCACTAATCAAGCACACCACTGTAACCACTGATTGATCAAAGTAATTAGGAGATAAAACATTACCAGCACCCCAGAAGCTGTGCTCTATACTTCATGGTCCCCACACCTCTCCACCAGCCCCCCACCGAAAGGTTATCTCTTGACATCTAACATCATAGATTAGTTTTGCCTGATCTTGAACTCTCTGTAAATAGAATCATGTGTACTCTTTTGTCTCTGATTTCTCACTGGAGCCTGCCTTCTTTATCACTCCTTAAACAGCTTCATCAATGGAATGAGTCAACTTCATTGTTAAGCTTGTCTTGCTATTATGTTCATCTATGCCATAAAACTAATCCTGTGTACTTATATGTTTAACTTTTCCTTTCTATGAAGGGGTGGTGTTTACGCCTTTTATAAGCCACTTAAAGTCATTAAACTACCTTAAAGTGATCCTTTAATAATGTCCTTTGCTGCCCTAAATTCGATGGAATATCTTGGGTAAGTCACTTCACTTTTCTGGGCCAAAGTTTCTTGTGAATAAAATTAAGTGGTTTGACCTGCTTTTGAGTTCCATCTGTGGAATCTTAAACTTGTGAAAGAAGGTTATCATCTAGATCATCATCACCCCATATTATCTCCCCTTTACTCTGGCATGTTGACAAATCTAAGTAATTTTTCAAAATCTAATTTAATTTTAACACTTCCCAAAGACATATAAAATCGGCCACATGGGATAGTGGGATATTATGAAATGAAATAAATAATAAATAGGATGTGATTTCCAAAAGGGTTGGGAATCATAAATGTAGGAAAAAAAATGATGGCTTAGCTTTTTCAAGTGGAAAATGAGGCTAATAAAGATAAATTACAATCATAATTGCCTAGTTCTAATCAGTGGCAAATTACTGGTAAGTGGGTGGCTGGGAAGTTAGTCCCAGAAAAAGTCATTTGCTCTGTGATATTAGATACAGATATGAAAATGTAACCTTGGATAAAAACACTTTAGCTCCCATGGGCTATTTCTTTCCACATCTTTACATGTAAATACCTTCTGTTGGTTGTGTGGAGTTTGCATAACTCTGTATATGCCTGTACCTATGCCAAAAAGAGATTGCACTACTTGTAGAAAAAGGGAGTGAGCTCTCCACTTTGACCTGATCTTGCAACACCTACTGTGGTCATCTTGCAGTTAGATTTGTCAGAAACTTCTATGATAACTGTCTACTTAAAGCTGTTCAAATTTAAAACCATAAAATTTCCACTCCTTCCACATTACCCAGACTCATCACTCTGATATACTTGATCTGGCCCTGTTTATCTTCATTGACCTCATTGTCTACCATCTTTGCCTCCATTCCCTATGTCCTGGTTACATGAGATTCCTGTTGGCTTTTAAGTTTGGACAAGACACTTTCATGAGTCTAGGCCTTTTGGCACGGGATGGGCCTTTTCTCAAAGCTCCATTCGTGAGGCTTCTTTCCACTCTACGCAGTTCTCAATCACTGCATCCTCATTCTTGTAATGACATGACATCATTCTTTCATTCTTTTTTTTGTTGTTTAAAAGTAAATTTTTATTAAGATACAATTTACCTACTGTAAAATTCATTCTTTTAAAGTGTAGAGGGTCAGTGGTTTCTAGTATATTCACATGGTTGTGCAATCACCATCATTATTTAATTCCAGAATATTTTCATTACTCCCCAAAAAATGTCAGAATCCATTAGCAGCCACTCCCCATTCTCCCTTCTCCCCAGTCCCTGGAAACCACTTCCCTACTTTGTGTATCTATAAATTTATCAGTTATGGGTGTTTTATATAAGTGGAATCATGTGGTACGTGGCCTTTTGCATCTGGCTTTTTCACTCAGCATAATATTTTCAAGGTTCATCAATGCTGTATCAAAATTTCATTCCTTTATGTTGCTGAATACATGCCATTCTATGGATATACCACATTTTGTTTATCCATTCATCAGTTGATGGACAACTGTTTTTCTTTTTCACTTTTTGGCTATTATGAATAATGCTGTTATAAACATTCATATTCAAGTTTTGTATGACAGTCACTTCTTTCATTTTATTCCCTTGTTCTTTATCTGTCTCCAAAACCACAGAAGAAATGTTCCTTAAGGGAAGTTCCTTGTCTGGTTCATCCATCTCTGTTTTTCCCAAAGCCCTAGCACAGTGTCTGGCAACCAAACATTTTATAAATGAATACATACAGAACTAAACAGTGAAGCAGATAGTGTTATGGAACGTATTTCTAAAATCAACTTTGCTCTTTCAATAAGTAATAATTACATATAATACATCTAATATTTAACAAAGCATATATACTTTAATTATACAATTTGATGAGTTTTGACACATATAGATGCCTGTATAACCACCACTAGAATCAAGACATAAAACATTAATATTACCTTAAAATATTTCCTCATGCCCTTCCTTTGTTTATAGCCAGCCTCCCATCCCAGCCCAGGCAGACACTGACCTGCTTTCTAACACTATAGACCAAATTTGTCTTTGTTAGAATTTCATATAAATGGGATGATGTAGTATGTCCTCTTTTGTGTTTGGAGTCTTTCTCTTAGCATGTTTTTAAAGATTTATCCCTAGTGTTGCCTATATCAACAGTGTGTTCCTTTTATACTGTTGAATGTATTCCCTTGAAAGTGTATACCATAATTTGTTTACTGTTCACCTGGTAATTAATATTAGGGTTGTTTCCAATTTATGGCTTCTATGAATAAGGTTGCTGTAAACATTCATGTACAAGTCTTTGTATGAACATTTTTTTTTTATATTTTGGGGGTATATAGTGCAAGTGGAATTGCTATGTCTAATGGCAAATATCATTTAACTTTATGCAAGCTGCCCAACTTCTGCCCAGGTAGTTTTACCATTTCACATTCCCACCAGCTATGTATTAACTTTCCCGTAGCTCCGCATCTGCACCAAACTTTATATTACCAGTCTTTAAACTTTAGTCATCTGTGTGGATATGTATTGGCATCCCTTTGTGGTTTTCATTTGAAATTTCTGATGGCTTAATGATATTGTACATCTTTTCATGTACTTCCTGGACAGGTAAAATGTCTGTTTCTTCTCTGGTGAAGTATCTGTTCAAGTCTTTTGCCCATTCTGTTTTCAGTTGTAAGAGTTCTTTATGTTACTTTTCTTGTGTTCACTTTGTTTATTCGTATTTTTCAAGGAATTTGTGTATTTCAATTATATTGTTAAATTTATTGGTAAGAAGTGGTACATAATATTTCCATAATATCATTTTAATATCTGCAGGGTCTCTAGTGATGTCTCAAATTTCATTCCTAATATTGGTAATTTGTGTCTTCTCCCTTTGTTACTTGATCAACCTAGCTAATGGTTTATTAACTTTATTGATTTTTTAAAGTTTGATTTAATTGATTTTTCTCTATTGCTTGTCCATTTTCTATTTTATTGATGTCTGCTGTTACCTTTACTTTCCTTCTATGCATTTTGGGTTTAATCTGCTTATTTATTTAGATTCTTAGGGAAATACTTAGTCATTGATTTTAAGCTATTCGTTTTTCTTTTTATAGCATTTTTATAGCATTCAAAGTCATAAATCCCTAAATTTTGTATGTTGTTATGTTTTCATTTTTATTTAGTTCAAAATATTTCTCTAATTTCACACATGATTTGTTTTTTTGCCCATGGATTATTCAGAAGTATATTGCTTAATTTCTAGTTATCTGAGAATTTTCCAGATATTTTTCTATCATTGGTTTCTAATTTAATTCCATAGTGGTGAAAAAACAGTCTGTATGATTTTAAATTTTTTTCAATTTATTGAAAGCCTTGTTTGGGGGCCCAGAATATGATTATCTTGGTGAATATTACATATGGACTTGAGATGAAAGTTTACTCCATTATTGGGTCTGTTGAAGTAGTCTATAAATGTCACTTAGGTCAGATTGGTTGAGTATTGTTCATGTTTCCTATATATTTACTGATTTTCTGTCCACTTCTTCTATTGATTATTGAGAGAAGAGTGCTGCAGTTTCTCACTACTTGCGGATATGTGACCTTCTGCTTTCAGTTCTGTCATTTTTTGTTTCATAAAGATTGATTTTGAAGCTCTGTTATTTAGGGTTGTTATGGCCTCTTGATGAATTGACCCCTATATCATTGTACAATATTCATCTTTATCCCTCTTAATATTCCTTTTTCAAAAGCCTATTTCATTGATGTCAATATAGCTACTGTAGCTTTCTTATGATTTATTGCTTACATGGTATAATTTTTACCTGCCTTTGACTTTTAATCTATTTGTGTTTTCATATCTAAAGTAGATTTCTTGTACATAATACATAATTGGTTCTTGCTTTCTAAAAAAATTAGCTTAACAGTCTCTGCCATTTAAATGTAATGTTTGGATCACTTACATTTGATGTATTTATTATATGTGTGTGCTGAAGTCTATTATTTTGCTATGTGTTTTCTGTTTGCTCCATCTGTTTTTTTCCCTTTTTTTCTCCCTTCTTTCAGAATATTTGAGTATTTCTGAGGGTTCTGTCTTTTTCTCCATCTTCATTATTGACCTATTAGCTATACAGTGAGTCTTCTTTTAATGTCATCAATGAATTCTTGGAAATGGCAAATTTAAGTGAAACAACACACAGCAGGTCCTTGAATAACATTGTTTCATTATAACATTGATGAGAAAAAAAAACAATTGGTTTGCTATACATCATTTCACTTAAAGTCACAGTTTCCAAGAACCTATCCATGACATAAAGTGAGGAGTTATTGCACTTTATTTTTTAGGGGGCTGTGGTTTACATTATTTATCTCTGGGTTATCACAGCCTAACTTTAAATTATGCCTTATCATTTCATGTACCAATATTAGAACCTTATAAGAAAATTCTTTTTTCCCCTTTTCCATTTTTTGTGCTACTGTTATCATAGATTTTGTTTCTGCATATGTTATCAACCTCCTGATACCTTTTTATTGTTTTCATTTTAAACAGGTATTTATCTTTTAAAGGAACTTAAAATGAGAAACAATTTACTTTATATTTACCCACTTATTTCCAGTGTTCTTTATTCATTGATATAGATTCTTACAATGAAGAATTTCCTCTCACATCTCTTGTAACACAAGCCTTTCAGTGACAAATTCTCTCAAGTTTTGTATGTCTAGAAAAGTATTTTGCCTTCATTTTTGAAATATATTTTTGCTGGCTCTAGAATGCTATGTTAACTGTTTTTCTTTCTGCTCTTTAAAAATATTACTTCATTTTCTTCTACGTTGCATAGTTTTTGACAAGGAGATTCTTGTCATTTTTATCTTTGTTCCTTTGAGTTTAATGTGTGAGTTTTTTCTCTTCTGCTTTTAAGATTTTTCCCTTTGATACTGGTTTTCCGTAATTTGATTAGCGTGCCTTGGTATGGTTTTCTTTGTGTTTTTGCTGCTTGGGATTCCTTGAGTTTCTTAGACTGTGATGTATAGTATCACCAAATTTGGAGAATTTTTAGCTCTATTTCTTTAAATATTTTTTCTCTTCCCTTTTTGCAAACTTCTATAACATGTACATGAGATCACTCGATATTGTCGTGCAATTCAATGAGATTCTGCCCATGTTCCCTTCTGTGCTTCATTTGGATAGTTTCTGTGGGCATGTCTTCAAGTTCTCTAACTTTTTACTCTTCAGTATTTAATTTGATGGATTTAGTCCCATCCAGTTAAGTCTTAGTTTCAGATGTTATACGTCTAGAGACTTCATTGGTTCTTTATATATCTCCAATATATTTTATCATTATGTTCAGATTTTTCCTTTAAATATTTGGAAAGAGTTAAAAACAACTTTTAAAATCTTTGCTAATTGCTTTATCTCTGTACTGTCTGGGCCTGTTTCTGTTGACCTTTTATTTTTATTTATTTATTTATTTATTTATTTATTTATTTATTTATTTATTTATTTATTTTTCTGGTGATGGGCTCTGTTTTCCTACTTCTTGGCCTGTCAGGTAATTTTTTATTGAATGTTGGAAATTGTTAATTTTACATTTGGGGTTTAGATTTTGTTTTCCTTTAGAGAGTGTATGGCTCTGTTCTGGGGGGTGGCAGTTAATTACTTGTAAGCCACTTTCTATTAAGGTGGTTCCAGAGAAGCCTTTACCCTACTAAAATTCTGCTAGGTGTGGCCTTTCTAGGGTTTCTAGTGAATGAGTTGAGTGATTACTGAATCACCAGGGATAACTCTGGCTGAATTCAAACAATTCCTGAGCCTATGTGAGTTCTGCGAACTTTCAGCTCACTGCTCACAGGTAGATGTTTGCCTGCCTCACCCTACACATAGATGTGTAGAGATTCACCCTACACATAGATGTCTTTGTGTTCAGAAAAGACCCAAGTAGAGGGAGGGGGGCTCTATGCCGATTCTCGGGCTCTTTTTCTGTAGAGCCCCGTTCTCTCCCGAACTCAACCCTCAGATTCTCTGAACTCATATACTGTCCTTTCAACTCAGCAAATTCCCGGAACTCCACTTGGGATCCTCCTCCCTTCTCGACAGCCTGCAGTGTAAGCTCCGGGCAGAACATCAGGGCAGCCATGAGGCTTGCCTTGTTTGTTTCCCTTGTCTCAGGGATCACAGATCTGATCTGTCTGTTGCCCAATGTCTGAAAACTGTTGTTTTATATATTTCATCCAATTTTCTAGTTTTTGAAGGCAGGAGGATAAACCCACTCCCTGTTTTTCTATTATGATTTGAAGCAGAAGGTCTTTATAGAACACATGTTTAAACTGAGTCAAATCTGATTATTTTATCCCCAACCCTGACTCATTCATAATTTATTTCAACTGTAACTTATGTGTAGATTTGGTGAGAATAGTTTGTTGTTATTAAGGTCATCAAAGAATAACAATGATCAATGATCGGATGTTTATTACTTATCAGTTGTGGTGGTAAGCTTTTTACAACTATTCTTGTATTATCTCTATTGTAAAGTTGAGAAAATTGAGGCTATAGGATAGTAAGGACAAAGTCAGGATTTAAATTTAAATACTATTCTTTTGTAACCCACACCCATGTGTCTTAAACATCCCAAATCTTTGGTAGAATGAGGAGGCAGGGAAGCGCAATATGTGATTACCGCACACAGAAGCTCTTCACCAATGTTTTCCAAATTGGGGCAGGATGAAAGAGATATAGGTTCCTCAAAATGTCTGAGTCCTAATTCTTGAGGGATTATAATCTATATATTTATAATCTATATTTTATTTATTTCTCAAGGGATTCTTATACACAAACAGATTTGAGAATCACAACTCTGACTGAACTGGGGATTTAATATCTTTTCTCATGTTAGGCTTATCTCTAACTGCTTCCAAATGATCACAGGGATTGTATTTCTCTACCCTACACACCTGCAACCCCCCATTGCTCCATAATTTCAGTATCTACCCTGTGAATTCTGAGACCTCCAGCATCCTCCATCCTACCAAATCAAAAATAAAGGGGGACGTCAGCCATAAAATCTGTTTCACAATAAACAGCAAAAGCAGCCATGACTCAATATTTCCTGGCAGTTGCTTACACCTGTCCTCTGTATTTGCATTTAAATACAGTGACTTTTTCTTAGAAAAACCGCAACAGTTGGCAGACTTTCCTTTAGCCACTGGTACAAGCTGCATGGAATCCTGAAGCTTCCAGCTACAAAGTCATGCTGATATCAAAACATCATGTTTTAAACTTTGGGTTGAGTCACTCAGCTCTATAGTCCTCCATGTCCATGGGATTCAAATTCATGAGTTAGACATCTAAAGTCTCTTCCAGCTCTAACAGTGTATTATTCAAGATACTAGTTTTTTAGTTAACAAGAAAGTTGTCTGTTTTTGTTTTTATCTATTTATTTTTGCTTTAAGGCATTTTTGAAAGAGTTCATTTTAAAAATCATATTCTCTGGAATTAACAGTAAAAGTCACAAAAATGTGCGGTAGCATTTCCTGGCAGCCCCAAGTTGCAAAAAATGTACCATGAAGCACCCTTTCCACTTCTTAAATGCTCATCAAGGCTCTTTGAAGTGTATATCGTGGCTTACAAAATTTGGTTTGTCAAGGTGAAGAAGATTTATTGATCGAGATGTGGGCAAACAGTCAAAGGAAATGCTGAGCATTTGTCTTTTTAAAAACTCTATCTCAAAGTCAAAGCCAACCAGAACATTTCGTATCGCGAATGGCCGAGCAAGGGGAAAAGGAGATTGTTATCTGTGCTAAGAAGTCACTTCGCCCAGTCTCCTCTATATCCAAATGGGAGTCTTTGGGTTATAAAATATTGATAATTGTTGAATAGCTCTCACTTAAAGTATAACATTGAGGGTATTTAATTACAGAGGGGCATGCAGCATTTTTAAGCCTAAGTCTGAATTTAATTACCAAGGAAGTGAAAGACAGTAATAGAATTTGCTGTTTATAATTTTATCCCTGGCTCACTAAGGCAGCCCTAGCCAGCTGTGCAGTCAGTTATTTGCATTTGTTTGATCAGAAAATGATCATTGTGTACTATAAAAGCATCATTCATTTCCTATTACCATTGACCCCCAGAGAGTTTCACTCAGAACCTGCCAGGAATTTCAAATGGCAGGTGGTGGGGCAATATTTTTCTATGATTAATCACATAGCCCGAATTCAGTGATTACAACTTATTAAAGAGAGCACATTTCCTACTAATAAATGCTTAGTGCCAGAATTCAAAACTCAGAAGGTACAGAAGACTTAGAAAGAAGGTGGATACCAAATTGCAAAAGAAGAGAGCTTACCCATGGACTTCCCTAGGGAAATGAACTCTCACTGGGCTCTCGTTTGCTTATATTAGAACACAACCCATCAAGAGCCAGTTTGCTTCAACAGTATACATTTCACATTCTATTCACTCTAAGGGCTTTATAGCTAAATATGATTGTGAAGACTCAGGACTTAATTTTTGAAGCTCAACTTATCCACTGCTTGCTTAATCCTAACAAACTTGGTAGAGGCTCTCTGAAAAACTTGGTCTAAAAACCAATTAGAAGACATGGTGACATGTGCCTGTACTCCCAACTACTCAGGAGATTGAGGCAGGAGGATAGCTTGAGCCTAGGAGTTTGTGTCCAGCCTGGGCAATATGGCAAGACCCTATCTGTAATAAATAAATAAATAAAGTAAGTAAATAAAACCAAGTATGAAACAATGACGTGGCATTCTCTAACCAGTTGCATTTGCCCACAGAAAATGGTATGGTGTCCTAAGAAAAGTCCTATTCACACTTGAATACTAAATTCATGCTTGAATACTAGATTTCCATTCCTATAACTTTAGCCTCTTTGCCCTTCTTTGCTCCTTTGACAGCCTCTAAACTGTCTCCTGGAGTTAGTTTCATCCTCTTCTAATCCATTCTATAGGAAACCTCTTGACTGCAAGTTTTATAGAAATGTGACATGCTCCCAGTCTCCTACCTAAAGAAAAGGCTTCCAGTAACAGAATGGACTAGGTTATGCTGTGGACATAAATGGTGGCCAAATCTAGTGACTTATAAAAACAAAGATTTATTTCTCATTCACCCTCTCCATCAGTTTTGAGCCATGGAAGGGAGAGAGGAGTTGATGCCTTTTTAACTTCTTACTCAGGAACCAAGACAAGCCATCACTATCTTGTGTGGCACCCAATGAGTGTGGTGGGGGAGGAAGCATAGCAAATAGCAAAATCCCACATGTATTAGTTTGTTTTCACATACTTTAAAGAACTGCCTGAGACTGCATAATTTATAAGGGAAAGAGGCTTAATTGACTCACAGTTCAGCATGGCTAGAGAGGCTGCAGGAAACTTACAATCATGGCAGAAGGCAAAGAGGAAGCAAGGCACCTTCTTCACAAGGCGGCAGGAAGGAGAAGTGCTGAGTGAAGAGGGAAGAGCCCCTTATATAATAAAACCATTAGATCTCATGAGAACTTACTACTACAAGAACAGCATGAGGAAAATGGCCTCCGTGATTCAGTTACCTCAACCTAGTCTCTCCCTTGACACACAGGGATTATGGGGATTACAATTCAAGATGAGATTAGGGTGGGGACGCAAAACCTAACCATATCACCACACTAGCTCTTAGTGGCTTTGGCTAAGAAGTACTTCTGCTTGCACTTTGCATGGCCAATCAAGCCACGTGGCCATGCCTGGTGGATGAGCAGGGAGGTGCAATCTGATCATGGGGCCAGGAGGAGAGACCTGAAAACATTGGTGAACAGTATGAATAACTACATAGGCTAATGTTCTGGTCACCAAATCATTTACCTTCTTTCTTATATAAAATACCCTCTCCCCTTAGCAAAGTTTCATTTAGGCATGACAGTAAGCTCAAAGTCCAAGATCTCTGGGTGATGTGGGATAGTCTCTATGTCAGATCTGGATCCAGAACTAGAACATTCCAGCCCATTCTTTGTGCCAAGACCCACATCCACTGTTCATTTCAAGATAAAATCTTCCTATTTGCTCTGTTTCTCTGCTTTCTCACTGCCTCCCTTTATTCTCAACTTAATCTACTGCATCTTGAACCAATCAAGTGTTAGTGGGAGAATCACATTCTTATTTTCTTTTCCCTGAGATATTTGGCCCAATTGATAGGATTTGCTGGACCACATCTTGGCAGGATCTTTATTAGAGATTCCTTAATCCATTCAGAGGTTTTTAGCAAAGGAGATGATGGCTGTACCTTTCATTTGACCCTTGCCCCAGATTGAGTTTTAATTGAGTTTTATTGCTCTATGACTTTATGGACTCTTACTTAGTGTTTGGAGTTGAGAAGCAGTTGCTTCTTCTAACCTTTCAAGTACTTGGATTCATGAGGCTCTGTATTTCTTTCCTTTTCTATTTGCAAACTGGCCAACTCTTTTCTGAATTTATCTCATACTTACAATGCCTTGCCAAATGCAGCCCACAGCAACCTGTGCACCCTAATTGCATTCTGTTTTCCAACCTGTTCGTCTAAATGTGTATGTTCATTAGGGATGTGATGTGCCTCCCACTGTAACCACAGGTGACAATTTGCCAAATGTTTACTACTCTGTAACGTGGATCACTATCTCCCTAGTCCCTGACTACAGTTTCCTCTCTGGTCACTGCTGTTTGGTGAATTAGTGCCATATATTGTAGGCTTGGGTTATGGCAGCACCTAAATGAGGTCCCAATTTCAGTATTAGTGATTAGCTACTTGTGCTGCAGTAATAAGTGTCCCTAGAATCTCAACGTCTTAAAACTGCAAATACTTATTTCCTGCTTGCACCACATGTCCGTTTCTGGTCAGCAGAAATCTCTGCCCCACAAAGTGCTTACTCAGGGAACCTTGCTCATGAAGCCTCCATCATCTGAAATGACTCCAGTATTCATGCAAGGGGAGGCAAGGTGGTAAATGTTACCTTGGCTTTCAAAGCCTTCTTTCTAGAGAGGGCCATGTGTCACTTCCAATCACATTTCTTCAATCAAAATAAGACATAATGGCCTTATATGGCTTCAAGGGTGTTATGGAGTGCCATTCTACCAAGTTTCTGCAAAGGGGGGGAAGTACTTGAAACATTTATCTCAACTCGCACTACTGTTATTACTCCCTAATCTACTCTTATGGCCTTCATGTTTTAAAAGATTTTTACCAGCAAAACCACATTTATTATGTAATAATTTGTCCACTGAAAATATCCTAAGACTTACGGCTGCAAATATAGATGTTCTTTAAATAATTTGATATCAAATATCAAAACTAGGTAACCTTATGGAAAATTAATGTACAATTTCCATTAGGCCACAGAAAGTTATGAAAATAGCACAGGAACCACCATAATTACTTTTGTGACCCTAAAAATACAGATGCCATAGTAAGGCAGCCATTATTCGGTCTTTATCAAGTAACTTCTATGTACAGAATTTTCTTAGAAGACGGAGATTAGCTGAAAGCGGGGGAACGAGGACTTGCAAAGCCATCTTAATGTGCTTTATAATTTTGGTGGCGCAATTTATGACCCCCACTACCTCCACTAGCTCACATGGACATGTTGTGTGTGTTTGTGCTCTCCCTCTCTCTCTCTCTTTTTCACCTCGGATATTCTTGCATGGAGATTAAAGACAACAGCCACCATCACTCTGAGCATTAAAGCCAGATGGACTCCACTGAAGCAGAGTAGAGTTGCAGTCATCTAAATTATTTTGTATTTGATGCTAACTTGAAAATGCTGCCACCTGACTACAGTGTGTCTGCTTCCCTACATTTCCGGATTAGCTTTATTCCATGTTTAGACTATTTCTGAGAAAATACCAAAGATCAGTCACTCAAATAGTGTTCATCTGACATGACCTCTGAGCATCACTGGACACAGCTGATCTATAAGACACCATAAAGCATACCAACATGTGCATGGTAGAAATTACAGAAAAGTAGGAGAGAGAGAAAAAACAGGCAAAAGAATATTCAAAAAAATGGTCAAAAGTTTCCATATTTGGTAAAATATACAAATCTACATATTTAAGAAACTCAAGGAACTTCTTAATATCAATACCACAGGAGGATTTCAATAAAAGATCTAAGTAGGTAGAAGAAAGAACTCAGCAAACTTGACGTGGGTCTCCCATTTGAGAATCCAAGAGAAATAACAATAAGGAAAAATGAGCAAAGCCTAAAAATTATTATAAAACACCATCAAGCATACCAACTTTTGAAACACTTTCATCACGTGGCTTGAGACAAC
The DNA here is from genome assembly GCF_000001405.40 of Homo sapiens. Classification (NCBI taxonomy): domain Eukaryota; kingdom Metazoa; phylum Chordata; class Mammalia; order Primates; family Hominidae; genus Homo; species Homo sapiens. Next base: position 14,325,846 of record NC_000001.11, read on the forward strand.
CCTGTGTCTTAAGTCTCCTCCAACTACCCCATCTACTTCTTCTCCATATCCTTTGCCGATTTCTCCGAATCCCCCTCTCCTCTTAGTGGCGGGATCCCTGGGATTCCAATCCAGAGGACTCTTGGCAATCTACACCCACTCCACAGGTGAATGCACCTGTCTGTCCTGGCTTGAGAAATCATCTCCACATTGAGAACTCCTGTAGCTCTGTCTGAAGCCCAGACTTCTGCTGTGAACTCCAGATTCCATCAAACTGCTTAATTGACATCTCCCCTTGAGTGTCTCATGGTCATCTCAAACTTAACAAAGTCAAAACTGAAATTCTAGTTTCATCTCTCATGTCTGCCCCCTACCCCCGCCCCACCGCCGAGTTCCCACCACCAACACATCTAAGGAAAAGAGAACTCTATGCTTCTCATAACTCAGGCTATATACCAAAAAGCCATCCTTGTTGTGTCTGTTCCTTTCCCATACCACATGTAACCCATCTGGAAATTTTATTAGCTCTATCCTCTTCAAAATATTATTATATCCAGAATCCAAACTCCTCACCACCTTTGCCTCCACAACCTGATCAAGCCACCATCTCTCACTTGGGTGATTGCACTGGGTTGCCCCCATCCTTGCCGTTGACTCTCCATTCTAACAACACAGTAGCCAGGATGGCCCTTTGAAAGTGAACTTGGATCAAGTTGTGCCTCTGCTCAAAGCCCTCCAATGGTTCCCCATCCTACTCAAAATAAAATTCCAAATCCCTCCCGTCTCACACAACTCTGCATCCTCATGCTCCCCTGGTACCTCTCTCACCTCTCTCTCCTCTTTCCACTCCCTGCATCCTTCCCTGTGCTTGGGTCACCCTGGACCCCTGAATGTCCCTTAATCTTGGTAATCACTCTGCCACCTCAGGACTTTGCACTTAACATTCCAATTTCTGCACAGCTCCCTTCTTCGCTTCTTTTAGGAGTCTGTTCATCCATAAGCTTGTGACCTTCTCCGTGATTTTTCTGATGATCCCACATACAATAGTAATCACCTCTTCCCCCATGTTGCCTGTCTCCCTCCCCCATCCTGCTTTATAGCCTCTGGTGCACTCATAGTACATAGTTATTGTTGATTTGTTTGTCATGGATCTCCTCCTATCCAACATCAGCTCTATGAGAACAAGCTCTTTGCCTGTTTGATTCAATATCCCCAGTTCCTAGAACAGTACCTGGAACAGTTAGCACTTTGTAAACACTTATGCAACGACTGGAGGAATGTGTCGGCTCAAGTTAACAAGTGTGCCTCAAGGAATTACTTATTTAAAAAGATAAAATATTAATGTTCTCAAGGGTTGATTTTCTTTTTATAAGTTAGAGTAGCTTTAAGGTTATACATAATACAATGTCACCGTCACTGACTTGTATTTCAATGTGTTCTCTCCAATAGTGGAGAAAGGGGGAATTATAGCCAGCAGGTTGGAAACCTCTGACCACACACCTCCTGAGCCCCAGCCACCACAGATCCTGCTTATTAGTCCCCCCACACGCTGTCCCTTCCCATCTTTTCTGAAGCCCCTACCTGGAATGCCGAACCCACCTCATTTGCTATGGCGAATTCCCTCTCATCCCCCTAGCGGGCCTCAGTCTCTCCCTCGTCTGTTCTCCCTTGGAGCTAAGCTCTGTCTCTGCCCTCCTATTAGACTAATAATGTGTGAGCTTGCCTTTCTCAATGCCTAGAGTCTAATTATTTAAGAGCTGTATTTTATTCATGCTTTATTCTCCAAAGCCCCTTGAACACAAGTGCCCATCAATAAAGATTTGGTGAATTAAAAACCTGGAAAGTTGTGGTAGACTGACTCTCCTCATCTTTGCTATTGATGACCCTTTGCTGAAGCCACTGTTTACTCAAAGAGAATGGGCTATCATCAGCCCCACGGTGTTCTTTGTACAAACACTAATCACGCATTCTCCATACTAAATTCACAGGTGGCTGAGGGAAAGGATCCCCTTTCACAGACCATGGAAAAATAATTCTGCCTACATGAGAATGCTTAAAGAAGGGGAAATTAAATAAGATGGTCTTGCTAAGCTATCTGGAAGTGAATCTTTCATAATAAAATTACATTAGCATCAGAGATTCTAATATCTAAGCCTATGGATCACTTGTTTTTTTCTTATGAATATTGTATGTTTAATGAACAAAAATGTCTGTGGCTCATGTAATGGAAATAACATTTGATACTTTTCACCCACTATAGACCAGGCGGAAAATAATTAACCTATTTCCTCCCCAATGGAGTAATAATTTAAGCCTCCAGCAAAGGCCATACTGCCCCTAATCTCTTCCAGTTCTTTTCTGTCCTTATCAGAATGTTCCTTCTCCTACCAATCTCAGTTTCTTTAGCTACAATAGATAAAAGTGATATGTATGTGTGAATTTAAGAAGAGATATATTGCTTTATTTACTATGCTTTTCCATTTTCCTCTGCATAGCTTCTCTATTCTCAATTCCCCTCCCCTTCCAAAACCTCCCTTACTTTGTGAAGTCTCTCGCATATGTGTGTTGTACGCATGCATTCTTAAGAAACTCTAAGAGGCCAGGCATGGTGGCTGACGCCTGTAATCCCAACAGTTTGGGAGCCCGAGGCAGGCAGATCATGAGGGCAGGAGATTGAGACCATCCTGGCTAACACAGTGAAACCCTGTCTCTACTAAACATACAAAAAATTAGCTGGGCGTGGTGGTGAGCGCCCGTAGTCCCAGCTACTCGGGAGGCTGAGGCAGGAGAATGGTGTGAACCCGAGACGTGGAGCTTGTAGTGAGCCGAGATTGCACCACTGTACTCCAGCCTGGGCAACAGAGCAAGACTCTGTCTCAAAAAAAAAGAAACTCTAAGAATACTTAAGAAGACATCCCTAACTGAAAAAAAAAAAAAAAAAAAAAAAGCCCTCCAGATTCTATGTACACATGGGTGGATCAAAGGATTGTGCCTTTATCAAGATATTCCTGTATGACTGTACCTCCTTAGATAGTACATTGTGCAAAATATGTTGGGAGGGTGACATGTCTAACAGAAGCATTAGCAAAATAATGACTCAGAGGGAAATAGGTGTTCAGGATGTAAAAGGACATAGAACTCATATTCAGTTCTTTTATGGATACAAGAAAAGACACAACTCAAACTACCTTAACCAAAGACAAATTTTAATGATTCAGGTGAACAAACAATTTAAGTGTATTACCAGTTTCAGATGGAGTTAGATCCAGGTGCTGGAACAATGTTGTCAGAAATCTCTCTCTCCCATTCTCTCTGCTCTGCTGTCTCCTTCATTGGCATCAATTTTAGGGATGTTCTTCCCACAAGAAAATGAGATGGCCACTAACAACACTGAGCTTGTAACCTACTAGATTAGCGGCTCCAGCAGAAGGAGGTCATCCAGGAAAATGTTCTGTTGGCTTAGCTTGGGGGATGTTTGCATCACTGTGACTAGAGAAAGGGGCTGAGGTCAGCACCACCTACACCACATAAACAGAGAGTGTGGGCAGAGATAGTCCCCAAAACTAAATTCAGAGTGCTCTAAGCAGAAGAGGGAATGAATGTTATCAGACAACAATGAGAAATATCCACTATACCGCTTCATAGGAAGAAACATTGAATACATTGGAGAAGACTTGGCAGGGACATGATTGGCAGATCTAAAATGTGGGTGTGCAATTGGATGATCTGGGAAGAGCACAGCAGAACTGGGATCAGTGGGTGGGCCAGGTCTGCCCACTCCAAAGACCATGTTGGTTCCTCTACACCTTGCCAAGCTACACAACTAGACAGCAAAAACAATAACCAGACAGACCTCAGGTTGAAGCCCAACCCTGCCTCTCAGTCACTCAGCCCACTTATTTAACTTTCTTGGATGTCAGCTTCTCCATAAGTCAAAGGATCATTGGAAGGAAAAAGATAAGCCCGAGCTGAGGTTACAGCCAGCTCAGTGCAAAGCACTGGGATTCATTGCTCAGTAAGTGTTGGTCCCCCTACCTGTTTTCTTCACTTCTAGCATGTTTTACAATTTTGTTTTGGGATCGTCTTCTAGGATGGAAGAGTCTAATTTCATAAAACATGCAATAAATAATTCCTAACACTTTCTAAAGCTTTTGAATCACATGCATTAATGAGGATAGGGTATTGCCAATTCAGAACACCTGGAAGCTGCTCAGGGCACACTCAAGCTCCTGACAGCTGTGTGGGTTCTCTCTGAATCTGTTAGAGTAGCACTTCTGCAGTATGGAAGCAAAGGAAACTCCACAGTAAGTGGAAAGATGGGCACTGGGAGGCAAAGGGAACCCAACTGCAGAACTGGACATTTTGTTGGGGTTTTTTTGCCTGTTCTTATTAAACACATACAAAATTAATCCATCTTACTGTGGAAGAGGAGTATCTGCAGTCAAATATAACCACCAAATAAGCTACTGCCCATTTCTCCCAATGCTCTTATCTCTTTCCTTTCTTCACATTAGGATTCCCCAACCTACTATTGGCTGATCAGAAAAGTGAGGCTCCCACAATTCCATCTGTGCCAGTGGGGAGAATCCTAGCTGTGCCAGTGAGGAGAAGAAGCATTTTACTGAAATTGCTCCTTCCAGCCAGACCACACTCTCTCCCATTAATCCCTTGGAAATTTCACTGCAGGTCTCAGAAGAAAAATGAAGACCACTTATTTGACCTGTACTGATGTGCAATAACACCAATTCACTTGAAAAGCCAGATTTGCCATCAGGGACTGTGTCTCTCTGCTTTGCACTTTTCAACTTGAAAAGTTGCCATCAGGGACTGTGTCTCTCTGCTTTGCAACAACATAAATACATGTATGTGGTCATCACGGACTTTCAGAAGATCCCAAGCAACTGGAAAAAAAAAATTCTAAGCATGAATGCGTGGGGGGTTGGTTATATAGATTATGCTACACACATACATAGGAACACTATGGAACCATTGCAAAGAATAAAACAAAACTATATGTGTAAATCTGGAAAGACTCCCGGGATATATCACTACCTGACAAGTTCAACCTATGGAAGAGTAATACTTTATTTAGGGTATATATAGTTTCATAAAGAAAAGTGCATGGACATATATTGATACATTGGTGTGTGTACACAAAGGAATAGTACAATCCCCTGTTAGCTGGGTCTGTGGCTTCCTTGAATAAAGACTACAATTCCCAGACTCCCTTGCAGCTAAGATTTGCCCAATGGTGTGAGCATAAGAGATAGGTACAACTTCTCAGCCTTGTTTTTAAATGGAATAGGAAAGTCCTGGTGGCCCCTTTTACCTCTGCTGTGGAAGTGGTGGTTTTGGGCTCTGGCCTAGCATGCAAAGAAAAGAGACTGTACTCGGAAACAGTGAGATAGAAGGGGCTTGAATCTCCAAGTGAGAGGCATCCATGACTGCATGGATAGCCCACCCCTAGGCTGTGATATGGGACGGAAATCAGCTCCCGTCTTATATATGCACCCGCATTGTGGAAATCTCTTTGTTAGAGCAGTGGGCTCTATCCTCATATGAGCAGGATAGTCTCCAAACAATTGACAGTAGTTTCTGAGATATTGACAGTGGTTTCCAAGGTATGGCATTGGAAGTGAGAAGAGAGGGATTCTTACTAATTTTACTTTTATACCTTACTGCTGCTATTTGTAAATGTTGCAATAATGTTTTACTTGTTAATTTTCTTGGACCTCAGGTGTCAAAATTGGGTTAATTATAAGCTGTGGTTTGTAATACACATTTATCATTGGTCTATAAAGGGGCCTCTTTTATTTAGTTAATTCATTTTTGTTCTCTTCTTAAAAAGATACTAAGCACCGTCTATCACCCGAACAACAAAAACTAGAACCTTCATCTAACCATATGCTGCTATCCACCCCATCCCATCCCCTGCTTCCCCCTACCAGGAATAAATAACCATTTTCCCAATTTCCATCATTTCCTTGCTTTTCTTCTTCTATATATTTTATTGCATTTGTATGCACGCTTTAAATGCCTATTTTTAAATGTTAGCTGGCTTTATACTTATAAAAAGAATATCATGCTATATATAAAATTTTGACAATTTTTATACTTAATATTATATTTCTAAGATACATCTGCATGATTTGCAAGTTGCTATAGTTCTGGAGTTGACAGAGTTTCTGTAAAGGGCCAGAAAGGAAAAATTTTAGGCTCTGCAGGCCACATATAGTCTCCATCACATTCTTCTTTTTTTATTTTATAACCTTTAAAGAAATGTAAAAGCCATTGTTAGCCTGCAGACCCCACAGAAATAGGGCCAGGCAGTTTCCCGACCCTGGCTCTGGTTCATCAGTTTTGATTGCTGTATAATGTTAGCTAGACCATGCTTTATTAATCCATTCTTCCATCAGTGATGCTTGGTCCATTTTTAAGCTTTTGCTGTTGGGCAGAGTGTATTCTCAGTATCTTCTGGTATACATGAGCCAAAGTATCTTTGGGAAGTTCTCCAGGAGGTGTGGAATTGCTGAGTCACGGGAGATGGAATGTCCACCTTTGGGGATAATGCTGAAGACTGAAGGCAGCATTTCAGAGACAGGAATGCCAAGCGCACGATGGCCTCAGAGGCTCTGATGTTTGACATTTGCTGCCTCTGAAGACTTCCCTGACTGTGCTCCACATGGTTCTTTTGCTACTCACCATTCTCATCTAGCTCTTTTATGGAGTTGTTTTATTTTTTTGTGCTCTCATGCCCCAGCCTGGACATAATTCCTTCCCAGTTATGTTCAGTAGTAGCACCTTAATTGCACCTCCTATGGAACAATCAGCATGAATATGAGCTCCTGCACTAGACTTGGACTCCAACATCTGGGATCTGCCAGTTTCTATCTGTTTGGCCTTGGGCAAGTCACTTAACAGCTTTGAATTTGAGTTTTTACACCTGAAGGAGCTGTGAGAATTCCTGTGCCTTTGTTCATCACGTGGCTGCAAAGAACAGGAAGTCACTCTTAGGTGCTCAGCAAAACTGAAATTAAAAGGGTTTCTTTTTTTGTTGTTTTTTCTTTTTAAGTTCTGGGGTACATGTGCAGGATGTGCAGGTTTGTTACATAGGTAAACGTGTGCCATGGCGGTTTGCTGCAGCTATCAACCCATCACCTAAGTATTAAGCCCAGCATGCATTAGCTATTTTTCCTTATGCTCTCCCTACCCCCATCCCACTCCCTGACAGGCCCTGGTGTGTGATGTTCCCCTCCCTGTGTCCATGTGTTCTCATTGTTCAGCTCCCACTTATAAGTGAGAACATACAGTGTTTGGTTTTCTGTTCCTGCATTAGTTTGCTGAGGAAAATGGCTTCCAGCTTCATCCATGTCCCTGCAAGGGACATGATCTCATTCCTTTTTATAGCTGCACAGTATTCCATGGTGTATATGTACCACATTTTCTCCATCCAGACTATCATTGATGGGCATTCGGGTTGATTCCATGTCTTTGCTATTGTGAATAGTGCTGCAGTGAACATGCATATACATGTATCTTTGTAACAGAATGATTTATATTCAAAAGGAAGTTTAAATAAGAACTGGAAAAATGACAGCTGCTCCAGCATGATGGACAAGGTCCTTCAGGGCCCTGGTGCAAGACTCTGTGCCACTCTACTTCTCATTCATCATCAAGCAACTATTGAGCACCTACTATTTGCCACACTATTCTAGGTGCTTGGAATGTGGCAGGGAATTAAACAGAGATCCCTGCCCTGAAGGGGCTGATATTCTAGTGTGGAGAGAGAAACCAAAATCAATGAACATAATAAATGGGGAAAATAAAAGATTCGTGGTAATGAGTGCTTGGACAAGAGAAACAGCATGGACATGGATTAGGGATGCTGACAGGGGCTGGTGGGGGGTGTCGCTTGTTAAATAAGGTGGGTGGAGAGGGCTTCAGTGAGGTGGTGGGATTTGAACAGAGATTTGAAGAGGTGAGAGAATGAGGTGTGGGTGTCTGGGGGAAGTTTTCCAGCAATGAGCAAAGTGGTCAAAGGCCACAGAAATGTGGCTGCCCCTGGACACCTCCTGGAGCCCCGTGAGTATGGGAGAGGGAAGGACTGAGGCCATCACCCAGGTCACATAGGAGGCGTGGTCATCATAAGGACTTTGGCTTTCACCCTGCAGGAAATGGGAAATCAGCCAGGTCATAAAGGAGGCATGGCCATCACAAGGACTTTCACTTTCCCCCTACAGGAAATGGGAAGTCGGCCAGCCCAGGCAAGGTTGGCTCATGCCTGTAATCCTAGCACTTCGGGAGGCCAAGGTGGGCAAATCACCTGAGGTCAGGAGTTCTAGACCAGCCTGACCAACATGGTGAAACCCCGTCTCTACTAAAAATACAAAATTAGCCAGGTGTGGTGGTGTATGCCTGTAATCCCAGCTACTTGGGAGGCTGAGGCAGGAGAATCGCTCAAACCCAAGAAGCAGAGGTTGCAGTGAGCCGAGATTGCACCACTGCACTCCAGCTTGGGCAACAGAGCAAGATTCCATCTCAAAAAAAAAAAAAAAAAAAAAAAAAAGGAAATGGGAAGGCAGTGGTGGTCAGGCCATAAAGGAGGCGTGGCCATCACAAGGACTTTGGCTTTCACCCTGCAGAAATGGAAAGTCAGTAGCCAGTTCATAAAGGAGGCATGGTCATCATAAGGACTTTCACTTTCACGCTGCAGGAAGTGGGAAATCAGTGGCCAGTTCATGGAAGAGGTGTGGCCATCGTAAGGACTTTGGCTTTCACCCTGCAGGAAAAGGGAAGTCAGGCAGGATTAGGAGCAGAAGAGCCATGTGATGAGGTTGCAACCAGCTGAAGGCTGGGCTGGGGCTGGGGCTGGGGAATCTGCTTTTGAGTTCACTCAGGTGACTGTTGGCAGAAGGTAGAGTTCCCTGTCACATGGACCCTTTTGTGGGTTTACACATGACATGGCAGCTGACTTCCCCCAGAGAGAGACAGAAGCAGAGAGACAGACAGACACAGGACAAACGCAGAGGCAGACAGAGACACAGACAGATGCAGAGAGAGAGACAAAAATCCACAAACTCAGAGAGAAATAGAGAGGAAGACACAGAAATAGACACAGAGACAGAGAGTGAGAGAGTGACACAGATAGATATAGGCAGACACTGATATGGTTTAGGTGTTTGTCCCTCTGAGTCTCATGTTGAAACGTGATCCCCAGTGTTGGAGGTGGGGCCTAAGAAGTGTTTGGGCCATGGGGGCGGATCCCTCATGAATGACTCGGTGCCCCCCCCCCACCACCCCAGTGGTGATGAATGAGTTCTTGCTCTGTGAGTTCACAAAATAACTGGTTGCTTAAAGGAGGCCGGCATGTCCTCCTTTCTTTTTTTTTTTTTTTTGGAGATGGAGTCTCGCTCTGTCACCCAGGCTAGAATGTAGTGGTGCGATCTCGGCTCACTGCAACCTCCACCTCCTGAGTTGAAGTGATTCTCCTGCCTCAGCCTCCCGAGTAGCTGGGACTATAGGCATGTGCCACCACACCTGGCTAATTTTTGTATTTTTAGTAGAGACGGGGTTTCACCATGTTGGTCAAGCCGGTCTCAAACTCCTGACCTCAGGTGATCCGTCCACCTCAGCCTTCCAAAGTGCTAGGATTACAGGCATGAGCCACTGCACCTAGTCCCTCCTCTCTCTTAACCTCTCTTTTGACCTCTCTCTGGCTATGTGACGCACCTGCTCCTCCTTCACCTCCTGCCATGATTTTAAGTTTCCTGAGGTCCTCACAGAAGCCAAGCAGAGGCTGGTGCCATACTTGTATGGCCTGCAAAACTGTGAGCCAAATAAACCTCTTTTCTTTATAAATTACCCAGCCTCAGGTATTTCTTACAGTAAAACAAAACAGACTAATATAGGCGTGCATGTGCGCGCACACACACACACAGAGAGAGAGAGAGAGAGAGAGGCAGAAATTCAGAGATAGAGATGGAAGGACAGAAAGTCAGAGAAACAGATGGACAGGGAAGCTCTCACTTCTGTTTTGTTCTATTGGTTGATGGCACAATGGAAAGAATACCAGAGCTGGGGACCACTGGAAACAATCTAGGACAAAGAAGACAAACCAGAGAAGTTGGTCAGAAGGCTCCTGCAGCAATGCAGGTGAGAGACACTGGGGTGTCCCTCACCACGGAAGTAGCAGCAGAGGAGAGGGAAGTGCTGGGTATATTTTGGGTGGGTGCTTACAAACAGGATGTCCTGACTCATTAGATCTGAAGTATGTGAATAGGTAATGGAGTAAGGATTGCTCCAAGGCTTTTGGCCTGAGCAACCAAAGAATGGAGGCTACTAATCTGTCTCTATGGATTTTCCTATTCTAGATAGTTCATATAAATGAAATTATACAATATGTGGCTTTTATGTCTGGCTTCTCCCACTTGGTGTATTTTCAAGGTGCATTCATGTTGCAGCATGTATTAGTACTTCATTCCTGTTTATGGCTGAATAATATTCCATCATATAAATATATCACTGAGTGTTTCTCCATTCTTTAGCTGATGAACATTTGAGATGTTTCCAGTTTGGGGCTATAACGAAGGATGATGTATGAGCATCTCTGTATACAAATTTGACAGTTTTCAATCCTTTTGAGTATATATCTGGGAGTCAAATGACTGTGTCATATGCTAATTCTATGGTCAACTTTTTGAGGAATCACCAAACTCCTTTTCACAGCAGCTGCACCATGTTACATTCCTACCAGCAATGCACAAAGGTTCCATTTTCTCTACCTCCTCATCAACACTTGTTATTGTCTTTTTTACTTTAGTCATTCTCATGATTGTAAAGTAGTATCTCATTATGGCTTTGATTTGCATATCTCTCATGACTAATGATGTTGACTATCTTTTATGTGCTTTTTGCCCATTTGTATGTTTTTGGACAAATGTCTATCCAAGTCCTTTGCCCATACATAAATTTTCTTTGTCTCTTTGTTGAATTATATTTTTTTATATAATCTGGTACTATATTCTTAGCAGATATATGATTTGCAAATATTTTCTCTCATTCTGTAAGTTATCTTTTCTCCATCTTGATAGTGTCCTTTGGTGTACAAAGTTTTTAATTTTTATGAAGTCCAATTTATTCAATTTTTTGTTGCTTATCTGGACAGACTACAAATACTTATCCATGTAAAAATGCAATAGCATTGTCAGAAGGAGGTGAGAACAGGTTCCAAGTGGGAAAAATAACAAACATCCACTGCAATTAGCAGCTTCACTGGTTGTTAGACAATTTAAATGAGATGACGCATATGAAGCACTTAGCACAGAGTAAATGCCTGGTAATTGTTAGCCCTTATTATTTGAAGCTAGCACAAGTGTTTGATATGTAATTTTGAGAAGAATAAATATGGTGCAGGCAGGTGTCACAGTTCTTTCTCTTGTTCTCTGTCAAGAGTAACCCTAGATCATCTGTGGAGGGAAGGATGAAAGAAAAATGGTATTGAAAGCATCCATACTGGAAAAGGATGTGAATGGTTTTAAATGTTCTTCCTTTCCTTGACATGGCAATAGTTTACAAGTTTAGTCTTTAGGGAGGAAAATATGTTTAGAACCCTGAATTTACAAATACTATTTTCCCTCAATAGGTCTTGTATATTGTTAAGACTTGAAGCAGAGTTTTAGATGCATGTAAACAGAATCTGAAATCCCTAAAATTGTCCTCCTTTCCTCCATTGTTCCTGTTTTAATCCTGGGGCAAGTAGCTATTGGTTCATTTTTAAGAGAAGCCTCCTTGGCTGGGTGCGGTGGCTCACGCCTGTAATCTCAGCACTGGAAGGCCGATGTGGGTGGATCACCTGAGGTCAGGAGTTCGAGACCAGCCTGGCCAGCATGGCAAAACACCGTCTCTACTAAAAATACAAAAATTAACTGGGCGTGGTGGCGCGCATCTGTAATCCCAGCTACTTGGGAGCCTGAGGCAGGATAATCGCTTGAACTCAGGAGGCGGAGGTTATGATGAGCCAAGATTGAATCACTGTACTCCAGCCTGGGTGACAGAGCAAGACTCTGTCTCAAAAAAAAAAAAAAAAAAAGAGCCTCCTCTGTTTGAGAAATTGATCTTAATACCATCTGCTGCTGTCACTCTTGATTTTCTCCAGTGTTCACTGGCTTACCTTCTTTGCTCATAGAAGGTAATTTTATCCACATTTCCTTGAGTAACCAAATCATTCTGGTGAGAATGGACCCCTTCCCACCCTCCAGAGAGAGAATCTCAATCTGCCTAAGGCAATCAAAGAGACCTGTCTCTCTTCTGACCCAGTGATGGTTTTAGGAATGACATTGACCCCCTTCTGGTTAAGAACATGTGAACAGGCTGGGCGCAATGGCTCACACCTGTAATCCCAACACTTTGGGAAGCCAAGGTGGGTGGATCACTTGAGGTCAGGAGCTTGAGACTAGCCTGGCCAACATGGCGAAACCCCATCTCCACTAAAGAAAAAAAAATACAAAAAAAATTAGCCAAGCACGGCAGTGTGCACCTGTAGTCCCAGCTACTCGGGACACTGAGGCAGGAGAATCGCTGGAACTTGGGAGGCAGAGGTTGTGATTAGCTCAGATCGTGCCACTGCACTCCAGCCTGGGCAACAGAATGAGACTCCATCTTAGAGAAAAAAAAAAAAAAAAAGAGAGAGAGAGAGAGTGAGAGAGAGAAAAGAAAACATGTAAACAAAAGCCTGCTATGCATTTTCTGGGAAAGGTGTCCTCAGAAATAAAAGAGAGGCGATGGAAGGAAATTTCCTTTTCTTGCTGTATGTCGTCATGTCTCTGGGCAAAGCCTGAAACTGCTGGAGCCAACTTGGTGATCCCAAGAGGAGTCCATTGTGTTCAATCTGGCAGGGTAGGAAGCACCAAGGTCTTCTGTTGGTGTCATTGAGCAAATTAGCCAATCAGGGATTTATCCCATGTTCAGACTTCTCAGTACATAAGTGAGATGAAAAATGTCCTTTCTGTCTAGCACACTTTTAATTGAGTTTTATGTTGCTCGTAGCTGAAAGCACCCTGAAGGATGCATTATTTCAGAAGGGACCCACATAGGAGAGCCATGATGGAAGGGGACACCCACCTAATTGGGCACATTGCTGAATCAATCCTTGGGACCAATGTGATGAAGATGTCACAGTTCGATTGCCCAGAGACTCTGAAAAAAGAAAAAAAGAAACTCTCATGATTTTCGTGGGGATTCACAGACAAACAAGATCAGACGTAACAGAGAGAGACAGAGACTGAGAGAGAGACAGAGAGAAAGAGGGGACTGGATTCTTTATAAAATAAGAAAAGGAAATAACACAGAAAGAAAGAACATAAAAACAGGCGTTCAAAGCTCCCAAATGCTATCATCCCTCAGAACACACTCCTGTTCTCATTCTTTGAATGGGGAAGAGAAAAAAGCAGCCAAAACATAAATTCTTGAAACACTATAGACCCTGAGCAAATTGATTCTCTAATAAATATGAATTAAATCTCTCCTATGTATTAGGCATAGGAGAGGAGAGAAAATCAAATGGGTGGAACAGAGCATTAGTCAGAGTTCTCCAGAGAAACAGAACCAGTAGGATGTGTATATGCACCAAAAGAGACTTATTACTGTAAGGAATTGGCTCACTTGATGACAGGGGCTGACAAGTCCCAAGATCTGCAGTCAGCAAGCTAGACACGCAGGAGAGCCGACGTTTCTGTTCGAGCTCAAAAGCAGGAAAAAAACTGATATTCGAGCTCAAAGGCAGGAGAAATTTCCTCTTTTATGTGTGGGGGGAAGTCAGCCTTTTGTTTTATTGAGGCCTTCAACTGACTGAATTAGCCCCATTCACATTAAGGAGGGCAATCTGCTTTATTCACTTTAGCAATTTAAATGTTAGTTTTATCCAAAACCCACTTGCAGCAATACCTAGAATAACGTTTGACCAGATATCTGGGCACCACATGAGCTAGTCCAGTTGACACATAAAATTAACTATCACAAGTAGCAACAGCTTTTCCCTGAAAATACAGCCTTTCCCCCTTCCCATGAGTTATCCTTAAGGGCTTAACTTGTATATTAACAAAACACCACCCAATTTGCTACCTATCGTCTTACCCTGCTGCTTCAAGCAGCTCTCCCACCATGCTTCACCTTGAAGTTCCCCAGCTGTGGTTTTCTGTGGATTTTAGCATTACAGTGAACACATTTACATATCTGGGTGTTTCATATTCTTTGTTATGGAATATGTAGCTTATAAAATCGGGGAACAGAGTGAAGGGTCTTCCATCAGCATGCTGGGTTCTGAGCATCCGCACTGTGTGAGGGTTGTTTCTTGCATCATTAAATTGCTGGCTTATTGGAAGCTACTTCTTATTTATCTTTGGGTCCCCTGTGCCCAATTTCTGTGCTTTGCACAGAGCAGACATTCAGGAAATATTAGTTGATTTGGATATTAAGCTATGTGTTTCTTTTGAGAAGATCACTTTATATAACCAAGTTTTACTGCTCTCCAGATCTCTGAAAATATTTTAGTAGGTCTCTGTTTTTCTTAAGTCACTGGATGTCAGCCTGGTAAAAGCAAGAGATTGACGTCACAGACTTGGAAATCACAACAATTTGGGTGTAACCCCCAGTTCTGGCAGTTACTGAGTCAACTCAGCCATGTTTCTTAACTTCTTTAAGCCTGAGATTATTTTTCTTCTGTAAGGAAAAATGTGTGTTTCAGTGCCAAGCTATGCATTGTCACAGAGACACCTCTGCAGGTTATCTGACTCTAATCTTATACAAGTTGTAGATAACTGATAACAAGGCACAATGCTTGCTGTCTGTAGGCATACAAATTCCGTTCTGTTCTATGGAAGTCCCGTGGAAGGAGCCAGTTTTGCCTTCATTTGCCATTTATTCCAGCATCCCTGATCTGTAAGTGTGTCTGTTTTTTGACTTCTCCTTTGAATCAGTTAAAACAATTACTTGGTTCCTTCATTATGAGTAAAATGAAAATGTTTATCAGATGTTCATCTTATATCTCCGTAAGGGTCATGATTTTCCCTTTTTTTTTTTTTTTTTGAGATGGAGTCTCACTCTGTCGCCCAGGCTGGAGTGCAGTGGCACAATCTCGACTCACTGCAACCTCTGCCTCCCGGGTTCAAGCAATTCTCCTGTCTCAGCCTCCTGAGTACCTAGGATTACAGGCATGCGCCACCATGCCCAGCTAATTTTTGTATTTTTAGTAGAGATTGGGGGGGGTTTCACCATGTTGGCCAGGCTGGTCTCGAACTCCTGACCTCAGGTGATCCACCCGCCTTGGCCTCCCAAAGTGTTGGGATTAACAGGCATGAGCCACCGTGCCCAGCTGATTTTCCTTATTTTTTAAAAAAGATTAGGCTTTACCTTTTATTTTTTAAAAAGATTAGGCACTCATCTGTAAAATGGGGAAATGATGATGATGATCTCAAGTGTGATTTATCAGATGTGACAGGCACCTGCAGTTGACCCTTCTTGCTCCATTCTCCAAAATGCAGGCAGTGCAATCCTGTTGAATCCTAAGTCAGATCCTGCAGCTCCTGGGCTCAGGGTGCTGCAGTGGCTCCCAACGCACGCAGTCCTGACACTCCCCCTGAGATCTCACAGCACCACTGTCCTTGTGTCCCACTTGTCCTTCCTTCACTTCTGTCTGGCCACACAGGCCTCTTGGCTGCTCTGCAAACACACAGGGTTGCTTCTGCCTCAGGACTTGGCACAGACTGCTCTCTCCACCCTGGTTCCTATTCCCTCAGTCATCCACATGGCTGACCCCTCACTTCCTTCAGCTTTTATTCAGATGCCACCTCTGCAGGGAGGCCCTCCTAGCACCCATATGGGGGTTCCAATCTGCCCACTTCCCAACCAACACCTGCTCTCCCCATGTCCTGCCTCAGTCTGCTTAATACTCACTACTTCCTGGCAAGCTGTTTTTGTTGTTGTTTTCTTTAAGCCTATTCTGAAAATTATTTTTAACTTTTATTTTGTGTTCAGGGGTACTTGTGCATATTTGTTACATAGGTAAATTTGTGACATGGGGGTTTGTCGTACAGATTATTTCATCACCCAGGTATTAAGCCTAGTACCCATTAGTTATTCCTCCTGCTCATCTCCCTCCTCCCACCCACTACCCTTCAATCGGCCCCAGTGTTTGTTGCTCCCAATGCATGTGTCCGTGCGTTCTCATCATTTAGCTCCCACTTATAAATGAGAACATGTGGTATTTGGTTTTCTATTCCTGTGTTAGTTTGCTAAGGATAATGGCTTCTAGCTCCATCCATGTCCCTGCAAAGGACATAATCTCGTTCTTTTTTGTGACTGTATAGTAGTCATTCCGTGGTGTATGTGTACCATATTTTCTTTATCCAGTCTACCATTGATGGGCATTTAGGTTGATTCCACGTCTGTGCTATTGTGACTAGTGCTGCAATGAACATACATGTACATGTGCCTTTATTATAGAACAATTTCTGTTCCTTTGGGTATATACCTAGTAATGGGATTGCTGGGTTGAATGGTATGTCTATTTTTAGGCCTTTGAGGAACTGCCACACTGTCTTGACAATCTGTATTGTACTAATTTATGGCACGTATTCTTGCTTTTTCACTAGCATACAAACTCTATGAGGGCAGAGATTTTACTGTTGTGTTCTTTGCCATATCCTCAGTGCCTAGAACAATATCTTGCAGAGTAGGCCTTCAATAAATGAATGCTATGAGATAATTGGCACTGAGTGCCGAACCCAATGCTTGGCACACAGAAAGGGCCCAAAAAATGCCGCCTGCAATAGAAACAATAAAAAAGAAAGGGAAGAAGGTGAGGAGAAAGAGGTTGGGGGAGGATGTGGATCCCTTAAGAGATGATGAGACAAGAGGCAAGTCAGCACATTCAGAAACACCTTGTGGGGGCCATCAGAGGGAACATTCTGAGGGAGCTGCACTTGTCCTTATCGGATGAGGTTTTTTATAAGCTTGTGTCCATTAAACTCTTGTATGTAGTGACAGGTGCAGTGGCTCACGCCTGTAATCCCAGCATTTTGGGCGGCTAAGTTGGGAGAATCACCTGAGGTCAGGAGTTTGAGACCAGCTTGGCCAACATGGTGAAACCCCATCTCTACTAAAAATATAAAAATTAGCCTGGCGTGGTGGCAGGCGCCTGTAATCCCAGCTACTCAGGAGGCTGAGGCAGGAGAATCACTTGAACCCGGGAGGCGGAGGTTGCAGTGCAGTGAGCCGAGATTGCGCCATTGCACTCCAGCCTGGGAGACAAGAGCAAAACTCCATCTCAAAACAAACAAACAAACAAACAACAAAAAACTTTCGTATGTAGCTGGCACATTTCACATCCCACCTAGTGCTGTTTTCTGATGGAAGTCAAAACCGTCAATTTGGGAGAGCATTGATAGTTGAGGGTGGGATAAGGGAAAACATCGAGGAAAAAAGATCAGAAAGACGATTTGAGTCCACTTCACGTTTTCCTGCCACACTCAAGCAATTTAGGAAAATTGGCACAAATAAATGGAGATTACTTTCCACTGAAACGCTTGACTGCAGAAGTGAAAGATAATTTTTCCTTGGTCGAGAGCTATGCAGTGGAAGGTCAGCCAACGCAGATGTAGGTGATGGAGCTCCATGGTGATCATCCAGTTGTGCAGACTCCAGGGTTTTCCACCTCCCTGTGGCACCATGTGTGATGCTTTTAAAACCTCAGGCCATTAACCAACTGCCCTCAAAGAGGATCATCATCTCGGCCCTGACAACTCTACTTTTGAAAACCATGTTTGATTTTTATTGATTCAGACTGGAACCCGAAATCAATACGAAACTGAATTTTGTGCCTAAAATGGTTTGCAAACAAATCGAATTTTTAAAATCTCCCTTTCAATTAATTCCTCTGCTAATTAGTTTTAGCTTTAATTGCTTTTGAGACCCATTTTGAGGCACTTAACATGAGCGGGCAGCCTCTCTCCTTTCATTTCCTTCGGCAAACTCATCCAATTAAAAACACATTGCAACATTTTCATGTAAAGAATTGGGTCCCCATTTTGTTTTTTAAAAGTCCCAAACCTTAACCACTGTAGCTGCATTGTACTAAAACTAGTTTCTAAGTTTGTGTCAACTTGGCAGTTCTTTCTCTTGCTAGGTGATAGATCCAGAACCGGAGACCCATCTTTCCAGCTTCATCTATCAAAACCTTCATTCTCCCCTTGATGCCAATGTGCCATGCTCCAAGATCTTGTCCTGCCTATTATGGGCATTCCAACCTCCAGAGAAGTATTGATTCACTTATCCATTCATGTATTCTTTTTTTTTTTTTTTTTGACAAATATTTACTGAAGGAAACTAGCCTGGCATGTTCTAAGACAGTCACCATCAGTCACAGATGGCAACTGAACCCTAGAAATGAGGCTGGTCCACACTGAGATGTGCTGGAATTATAAAATACACATCTGATTTTAAAGACATAGTGTGAAAAAAAAAAGAAATGTATCTCAATGATTACAAGTTGATATAATTTTATTTTTATTATATTGTGCTAAATAAAATATGCTAATTCCATCTGTTTCTTTTTTCCTTTTTGATGTGGCTACTGGAAATTTTTAAATGATAGATTTGGTCAAACAGTGCTGGTTTAGGTGTTGGGGACATAGCAGAAGGCAAAACAAATAAAAACTCCTATTTTTATGCAACTTCTGTTCTAATGGAGAGAACATAGACCTCAAAAAAAGGATTAAAATATATAGCATGTCAGATTGTGATAAATGCTATGGAAGAACAATAAAGCAGGAAAGGAGGCCAGAGACTAAGAGGGGAGAGACATCCCATTAAATAGGGAGGTGAGGAAGAACTCATCAAAATTAGACAATTTTGGGAGAAGAGAGGACAATTCAGGGAAAGACAAATTGTCAATAGGGTCTCTACTAGTCAGGACTCAAGCTGACAAAACTCCTACTAGGTTAAGGCAAAAAGATTTTTTTAACTCATGTAAATGAGAGTTCACGGGTGGACATAGCTTCAGGGACTCAACACAAACACACACCATTGCCATCCCCTCTTCTTTTTTTTTTTTTTTCCTTGAGATGGAGACTGGTTCTGTCGCCCAGGCTAGAGTGCAGTGGCGTGATCTCGGCTCACTGCAACCTCCGCCTCCAGGGTTCAAGCTACTCTCCTGCCTCAGCCTTCCGAGTAGCTGGGATTACAGGCACCCGCTACCACACCTGGCTAATTTTTGTATTTTTAGTAGAGATGGTGTTTACCATGTTGGCCAGGCTAGTTTCAAACTTCTGACTCCAGGTGATCTGCCTGCCTCAGCCTCCCAAAGTGCTGGGATTACAGGCATGAGCCACCACGCCAGGCCCATCCCCTCTTCTAAATCCTTGTTATCTGCAGAGGCGTAAACCAGTGGTTATCAAACTTTAGCAGCGTCAGCATCAGCTGGAGGGCTTGTTCACACCTGGATGGGCAGAGCCTGCCCCCAGAGTTTCTGATTCAGAAGGTCAGAGAGACCTAAACATCTGCATTTCTGTTTGCTGGAAATGTCATTTAAAAATTTCCAGTAGCCACATCAAAAAGGAAAAAAAGAAACAGATGGAATTAATTTCAATAGCATATTTTATTTAGCACAGTATGATAAAAATATAATCGTATCAACTCAGAATCATTGAGATATATTACATTCCTGTTCTTTCACACTGTGTCTTTAAAATTGGATGTGTATTTTAGAATTCCAGCTCAGTGCACACCAGCCCCATTTCAAGGGCTCAGAAGTCATCTGTGGCTGATGATGACTGTCTTGGAACGTGCCAGCCTAGACAACGCTTAGATTATGATGTCCTTCAGTAAACATTTGTTTTTTAAAAAAATAAAGAATACATGAGTGAATAAGTGGATCAATACTCACCAGGTGATGCCGACACTGCCAGTCCAGGGACCATCCTTTGAACACCACTGTGCTGGATAATACCTAAATTTTTAAAATCAACACATGGAGGGATAAGCATACTATTTGAAAACATGGAAATAACATGAGTGAAAAGAGCAAAAAGAAGTTCTCTCAGGGAAGTTAGGGTCAGGTGTGAGAGGAGGGGGCAGGAGACCATGATGTTTGTTATAAGCCTTATCGTACTAATATTTGTGTCATTTCGATAAAAGTAAAAGGTGAACTTGCAGAAAGTACATGAATGAAAAATGTAGCACTGCTCATTGGCCACTAGAAGTTTCCTGCTGTGCACTTCTGAGGAGTGGCCACACATCAGGCATTCATCGTCCAGGCAGACTTTGGGCTCACAGTGACCCTAGCTGGGCTGAATTCCTGGTACTTCCTGTGTGGCTTGTTACTGTACATGAAAATGCACAAGACTCTTCCCACCACTGACCTCAGTGTCTGCCCCAGGAAGAAGAAGAAAAGTTTTGGCTCGAAAATGCTCTTCAAGGACACAAGGCGGTCACCAAATTACAGCATGCAGCTTTCAGGGGATGACTAAAAGGATGAGGATGATGACTCATAGCTGGGGACAGAAGCGAATCCCTCTTGCTGACCTGTGCCCTCCTTTGCACCGGTGTTCTTTCTCAGCCCTCCTGGGGTGAGGATGTGACTGTCCCCTGGGAAAGCTTGGCAAGATAAGAGTAGGAGCACAAAGAAGGAGGTAGATAGAGAGTGGTTTGCAGTCGATACTCAGTGGTTTGGGTAGGCTTCTTTCTTCCTTGGGTTGAATTTTCTATACCTCCCCTCTGTATCAGTAAGATATGACTTCCAGCGCTCAGATCAGAGCAGGGTACTTAGATGTTAGGATGATTCCCTTTGCCCAGGATTGAGGTGGCGCCCAGGACACAGGATGTTCAGAAAGCCCCAGGCAAACAAAATAAGTTGTTCACCCTATTAGATATAATCATGCATATGCACTAAGATTTACCTGTGAGGTGTCTATGGTGGCACTATATAATACCAAACAATTAGAAAACAATTAAATTAACAAATATTTATTGGGCATTACTCTGTGCCAGGGACCATCCTACGTGCTTAGGATAGAGCTGTGAACAACACAGACAACAATATATCTAATTATACTAAATAAAGTATGGTATAGCCATATCACAGAATATTATGTAACCTACAAAAAACTGCTATGGGGAAGGAAATACAACATTACATCAAGGATGACCATGAGATAAAGGAAAATAGATGTAGATGTTCAGGGAAATAGATGTAGAAGACATCTTTTGTTTCTGCCTGCCTAGCATCTATTCACCCTTCCACGGGTGACACCTTTGCTTTGGGGAATGTTCCCGCTCCTATCCCAGCAACTTGTGAAGGGCTATTATTCAAGGATGGACGTGTATGTGTAAGGGCTATCACGTAGATTGTTCTGGCTGGGCACTGCACAATCCCAGACTACCATGAGCATGCTCCCAAGGCTTATGCAGCACATAACATGGACAACTATACCAGCAGTCCAGGCACACGACCCAGCTACTCCAATCAGACCTCTCTCCGCAGTTCAGAACTTGAGTGGAATCCTGCCCTACCAGAAAATGGTGGGAACTGAGTCTTCCCAATGAAGACACGCTAAAGAGTCTGACCTGCTACCTAGATTCCAAGATCCACCCGGGTCCCCAGCCTCCCCAAGGCTGGATTGTTTAAATTGGTATTTGAATCTTTAAACCATCTTGGTATCCTGCCCATAGCTTTCTTTTGTTAGATTAGGCAGAATGGCTTTCTGTTACTTACAACCACAGAACCCTGGCTGCTTCTGCAGTTGTCAAAAGAGTGTGTATACAATGAGTCCATTTGTATGAAAAGTTATGTGTGTGAATATATATTATACATTATATATACATTATATGTTGTATATTATGATACCTAGACTATGTAAAGGGTGTGTGTGTGAGTGTATGACTCCTACAAAGTGAGTAGTTCTCTGGATAGTCGAACTACAGATTATTTTTATGTTCTCTTTGATTATCTGTGTCTCCTGAAGTTTCTACAATGGGCATATACTACTATTTTTTTTCTTTTTTCTTTTTCTTTTTTTTTTCTTTTTTAGAGTCAGTGTCTCACTGTGTCACCCCAGGCTGGAATGCAGTGGCATGATCTTGACTCATTGCAACCTCTGCCTCCCAGGCTCGAGTGATCCTCCCACCTCAGCCTCCTGAGAGCTGGGACTACAGGTGGGTGTCACCACACCTGGCTAATTTTTTTTTTTTTTTTTGAGATGAAATCTCACTCTGTCATCCAGGCTGGAGTGCAGTGGCATCATCTCAGCTCGCTGCAACCTCCACCTCCTGAATTCAAGTGATGCTCCTGCCTCAGCCTCCCACGTAGCTGGGATTACAGGCACACGCCACCTTGCCCCAGTTAATTTTTGTATTTTTAGTAGAGATGGGGTTTCACTATGTTGGCCAGGCTGGTCTTGAACTCCTGAGTTCAAACAATCCACCCTCCCCAGCCTCTCCAAATGCTGGAATTACAGGTGTGAGCCACTGTGCCTAACCCATATACTACTTCTTAACAAGAAAAGAAAAATTAGAAACTAAAACATGCACATAGCTCACACCTAGTTAAGACCATAGGGATTTTGAGCCAAAGCCCTATTTATAAGTAACATTTGCACTTACCTGGAGGATTTTCCATGTGGTGGATTCTCCAAATGGCTGTTCACAGTTGCCTGGGGATTTGCACGTTGGCATGCTAACCACCTCCCTGAATCTGAGATATGATAAACGATAATCTTAGCTTTATACGACTCTGAAATCTATCACTTCAGTTAGAAAAGAACGCGAAGAGGGGGATAGTTCACATTTTTCCTTTTTCCAAATTGGGAAACTGAAAAGGAGGCAGTGAAATGGTGTGTGTACAAAGATTTCCTTTCTGAACAACCAAAGCCATGAGAATCAGGATGGATGGTCTTGTACAATTTTCTCAAAATATTTAAAGCTTTTGTCCTAGAGAAAACAGTGGCTACAGAGTGATTCAATGAAGGACTTTAAGTTTATCAAAGGTTCTACCTGATGTGTTCAGATCCACCATATAATCTGTGAAGGACTAACAATAGGTAGGTTGGTTTACAGTCCAGCAAAAGAGATCAGGGTTGGTTATGCGGAATGGCTTTTATTCTGTTCAACAGATATTTACTGAGTGTGTTTTGTGTGTTGAGCTTTTGGCTGTGCTGTAATGAATTCAAAAGAAAACAAAAAGCATGGTTCTACCCCTTGAGGCAACTCTCATTGTTCTTGGGGAGACAAGATGAACCTGTGAAGTAAAGACAAATCCAACAGTACACAGGATCAAAGGCCAACGTATGTGGTACAAGTGATAAGGATACTGGAAAGGAGTCAGGAATGGTCCAGGAGGGATACATGGCTGGGAGCCTGAGCCCAAGCCTGAGCCCTGCCTTGGAGGATGAGGACTCAGATGAATGCAGAAAAGTCTTCGAAGAGAGATTAAGGCAGGGGATTTCAAGCCAGGACTCAGCTTCAGCCCAGAGCCAGGCCACGGGTGGTTTTTTTGAATTTGTAGAACCTACCAAAATTTAAAAATTGATAAGTCACACATATTATTCCACATTCCATATTTTATTTCTTGAAAAATAAAATATCCAGCAAGACTAGCACAGGGCAAGATGGAGAAGCAGCTGCCCTGTCTCAGTAAAGTAGGTGCTCCACTGAGGTCACAGTCCTCACCATTCCCAAGGTCTCTCCAAATGAGGCTGAAAGATCCATTGCCATTTATCATCTTGCACTGAGCCCACTTTGTTTGTTAATTTACCCTCTAGGCCCCTATAGACATTTGAGTTTGAGACCCCTGAATGAAAGAAACAGCCCTACAGTGAAAATGAGCAAGGTACGTTCAGGGTTAAAGAGGAGATAGGCCTTAGATTATAATGTAGCTGATCAGGGGATGTGAGGTAGGGACAGCCTGGCCTGGCAGGCTAAAGAGCATGGATCTGGTAGAGTAGGCAGAGAGGAGCCATTATGCTTTGTTAAATAGTGACAAGAGGCCCGGTGCGGTGGCTCACGCCTGTAATCCCAGCACTTTGGGAGGCGGAGGAGGGCGGATCACGAGTTCAGGAGATCGAGACTATCCTGGCCAACATGGCGAAAACCCGTCCCTACTGAAAATACAAAAAATTAGCCAGGTATGGTGGCAGGCACCTGTAGTCCCAGCTACTCGGGAGGCGTGAACCTGGGAGGCGTGAACCTGGGAGGCGGAGCTTGCAGTGAGCTGAGATCGCGCCACTGCACTCCAGCCTGGGCAACAGAGCAAGACTCCATCTCAAAAAAAAAAAAAAAAAAAGTGACAAGAACAAGCCTTGGAAGAACCCCCAGTCTCCAGGATGAGGTTTCTGTCACCCTCTGGATCTATCTGACCCCTGAGTCCACTTTGGAGTCAAACAGAGGTAGGCATCAAGCTGTGGCCACTGATTACCCATGACCTTGGGAAAGCTGTTTAAATTCTCTGAGTTTTATAAACAATGATGAAAAGATTGCCTAAGAATATGACCATGAGGATTACACAGAATGAGATGCAGTGAGTGCTCGGCACAGAGCCTGGTTCCTCATTATGGCTGTCACCATCACTAATAACCTTGTAAACAGCCTAGGACAGTAGTTACCATGGAAGGGAGTTTGCTGCCTGGGAACATGTGGCAACGTCTGGAGATCTTTTGGGTTGTCATATGGTGACATGGGAGGGGACAGGAAGGGTGCTACTGGTATCTGGCAAGAAGAGTTCAGGAATGCTGCTGAATATCCAGCAATGCACTGGACAGTGCCCACCACAAAGAATGATCCATCGAAGTGTCCACAGTGTGGAAGTGGCAGAGACCTAGGTGGTCTAATGCAGTGGTTACCAAGGGTCTACTTCACAGAACCACCCAGCAGCAGTGCTGAGAATGCGCATCCCCAGCCCGGCACCTAAAGATCAGCCCATCGGGAAGCTGGCCCAGCAATCCACACATATTCTAGCAAATTTCCCCAGAGTTTCAATCCTCAGCCAGTCTTGACAGTCACCTGTTTCGAGGTTAGCGAGTTCTCATGAACATTTGATGTCCCCTGAGTGGCAGGCGTCTGTTGCACATTGAAACATGCCTTTCAGGCAGGGGTGTGTGTGGTCAGTTGGCAGGGCCAGCTTTGGGTGGTCTGGTGTGATTTTGTTGATACATAAGACCTGCGTAAAAGAGAAGAGCACAAGCCAATCAGGACCTGACCCCAGTCCCTCTCCGCAGAGTGGGCTCCAGGTCCTGAATCCTCACTCTAAGCAGCCTTTTCTTTTCCTGGCAGGTGTGTTTCTGTTCTCATCGAATCTCTGGCTTGTAAAGCTCAACATGTTCATCATTTCGCCAGCAGCCAGAAGGCACTAGAAAGAGGGGAAACTGCTTTTCTCGCTTCAGAAACTTGGGATATTTTAATTCTAAAATAATAATCAGGCCAGGCACTGTGGCTCACACCTGTAATCCCAGCACTTTGGGAGGCCGAGGTGGGCAGATCACGAGGTCAGGAGATTGAGGCCATCCTGGCCAACATGGTGAAACCCCATCTCTACTAAAACAAAATACAAAAATTAGCTGGGTGTGGCAGCACATGCCTGCTCCTCTGGAGGCTGAGGCAGGAGAATTGCTTGAACCCGGGAGGAGGAGGTTGCCGTGAGCTGAGATTGCACTACTGCACTCCAGCCTGGCGACAGAGCTAGACTCCAGTCTCAAAAACAAACAAACAAACAAACAAAACATCAGAACCAAAGACTTGGTCATTATAAACAAAGGCAGGGCCATCATCTGTGCCAGGAAATAAGCTGAGGGACGCTGCAGGCTAGTCCCTCCAAACAAAGAACAGCCCTTTGAAGACCTTTCTTTGTAGGCTCAAGGGAAGTACTCTCACTTCTGAGCTCTACCCCACAGCAAACACTCGGACCAGCAGCTAGACCCCGTATGCAATATACTTGTTGATCTGTGTACATCTTGTAAGGATTTTTATGCCTTTTAAAGTTTTTGTAATTAGTTGCTTAGTGGCTCATTTATTTTAAGGTTTCTTTTGCTCTTTTAGAGAATCATATATACCCAGGAATTCTTCCAAAGCGAAAAAAGAAAATCAAACTAAAGTAAACATGTACATTATTTTTAAATGTAACAAAAATTTTGAATGCTAAATTTAACAATTAGTGAAATTGGGGTAAGTAGCATTTTACAAACACGTGTTTATTTCTCTATTGCAGTTATCTCTTGTAAGTTGAAGCTGCAACATATTTTCAAGTATCAAATCTTTGTATAATGTTATACATCATACAAGTATAAACATTGTTTTATGCTTGTAACAGCCTTTATCATGAAAAAGATTTTTTCACATCTATCTACATACATGGTTATGTACAATTAGACACAGAATCGGATCAGCAGCATTTTTTTTTTCACTGTGGGAAGAGAGAGTCATGAACATTTGTAAGAGTAAATATTAAAGTCCTGAACTTCTCTTGGCTCCAGAGAACTGACAGAGCATTAAAAGGGCCCTTAGGTAGAGGAAATAATATAATATGGTCTTCCCTGAGTCCAGCTGAGGAAAGCCGCCTGATTCTGAATTCATTTTCTACAGTAAAATTGATTACTTTGCCTCATACTCTGAACCCTATAAAAAGCACCAAGGTAGTCTTAATTCTTCTACTACTAATAAAACCCATACTTGGGTATGCTTTATGCTTTAATGCTTATAAGGAACTTTTCACATATTATGACCAGAAACAATTTGCTCATATATTCTTTCATCCAGTAATTCCTTCAACAACCTATTTTTACATTCTTAGTCACGTGAGAGAAAAAAAGGCAAGCACAAGAGATATAATTGCAGGCCTCATGAAGCTTACAAATACCTTTTCATCAAATAGACAGACAAATAAATGAAAAATTGCATCCAAACAAGGACATTACAAGATAAGAAAATTACATACCAACATATTAAAAAGGATAATACATCATGACTGGCTGGAGTTTATTCCAGGAATGCAAGGTTTATTTAACAAATGAAAATCATTTAATGAAATTTATGATATTAACCAATTAAAAGAAAAATAGATTATGATCATTTTACTAGATGAAGAAAAGGCATTTGCCGAAAATTTAGACCCATTCATGATTTTTTAAATCCACATAACTAGGGATAGGAGGAGATTTCCTCAATCTGTTAAAGAGCATCTACAGTAATCGTGACTCCTTATGTTGAAATATTGAGCACTCCTCTTCTTAAGTTGGAGACGAGTCAAGGGATGTTTGCTTCCATCATTGGCCAAAGTCCTAGCTGGTGCAAAAAGGCAGGAAAATAAAACAAAATGATAAAAACTAGGAAGGAAGAAATAAAGCTGTCACTACAGATGACATCACTTTTTTTTTTTTTTTTTGAGACGGAGTCTGGCTGTGTCACCCAGGCTGGAGTGCAGTGGCGCGATCTTGGCTCACTGCAAGCTCTGCCTCCCAGGGTCATGCCATTCTCCTGCCTCAGCCTCCCAATAGCTGGGACTACAGGTGCCTGCCACCACGCCCGGCTAATTTTTTGTATTTTTAGTAGAGATGGGGTTTCACTGTGTTAGGATGGTCTCAATCTCCTGACATTGTGATCCACCCTCCTCGGCCTCCCAAAGTGCTAGGATTACAGGCGTGAGCCACCGCGCCCGGCCGACGTCACTTTCTATGTAGAAAACTTGAAGGGATCTACCAAAAACTCTACTAGACGTAGTAAGTGAATGTACCAATGTCACATGCTATAAAGTTAACATATGAAACATAATTTAATACTATCTTTTAGCAAGAAACAATTGGAAAGCAAAATAAAAATATCATTTAAAATAGCATTCAAAACTACAAAATATTTGGGGATAAGTTTTTTAAAGATGTCAAGATCTTTCAATTGAAAATTATAAAATATTGATGACAGAAATGAAAAAACTAAGTATAAAGATATGCCATCTTCTGCATTGGAGGACTCAGTATTATTAAGATATCAATTCTCCCTAAGTTGATCTGTAAATTCCACCTATCCTAATCAAAATCATAGCTGGCTCTTTTCCAGGAAATAAATAAGCTGATTCTAAAATGTACTTGGAAATGCAAATGCCATAGAATTTCTAAAACAATATTTAATAAAACAAGGTTAGAGGACTTTCTCTGACTTAAAAACTAACTATAAAGTTATGGTAATCACAACAGTGTGGCATTGTAGAAAGACTAAAGAGTCCAGAAATAGATGGACACATATATGGTTGACAAGACTGCCACAGCAATTCAATGGGGAATTGAAAGCCTTTTTAACAAATAGTGCTAGAACAACTGGATAAAAAAACTGCATTAAAAAAAGCCAAAAACTTTCAGCTTTTATGTTTGTCTTTTAGAAGAAACTACAGGGAAATATATTCACAATCTAAGGTTAGGCAAAGGTTCCTTAGAGAGGATGCAGAAGGATGAAAAAAAGAAATGGACAAATTGAACTTAAAACATTTTGCTCATCAAAAGACACCATTAAGAAAATGAAAAGACAAGCCAGGAGCTAAGAGAAAATTTTCACAGTGCCTACATCCAACAAAGAATTTGTATTCAGAATATGTAAAAAATGCTTATAATTCAGTAATAAAAAGAAAACAACCCAGTACAAATGAGCAAAATACTTGACTAGCAGACAGTTCATAAAAGACGTATAAATGATAAAGAAGAACATAATAAGGTGCTCAACGTCAGTAGTCATCAGGAAAATTCCAAATTAAAACCAAAATTAGTTACCACTGTGCATCTATTAGAATAGCTAAATTAGACACACACACACACACACACACACACACACACACACACACACAAACAAACCTGACAATGCCAAATGTTGGCAAGGACCTGGATCAACTGGAACACCCATATATTGTTGGTGGGAGTATAAAATGTTCCCATCAGTTTTGAAAACTAGCATGTTCTTAAAATGTTATATATACAGCTATCCTATGACCCAGCAATTCCTAGGTATTTACCAAAGAGAAATGAAAATGTATGTCTGAAAAATTATTGTACAAGAATATTCATAGTAACTTTATTCATAATAGTCCAAAATTGTTAACAACATAGATCTTCAATAATAGGAGAATGGATAAACAAACTGGCATGTTGATACAATGGGATATTACTGAGCAATTAAAAAAAAGAAATAAACTGCTGATACCTGTAACAAGGATGAGTATCAAAAACATGCTGATGAAAAAGCCCGACACCAAAGAGCACAAACTATATGATTCCACCTATATGAAATTCCAGAACCAACACAATTAATTACAGTGTTAAAAATCAAGAAAATGGTTGCTTTGGGTCAAGGAGGTCTTGACTAGGTGGGAACAAGAAGGAACTTTCTGGGGTGATATGTATATTGCATTTATCAAAATTGATCTTTTGTCAAAATAGCTCAAACTATGTGCTTAAGATCTATGCATTTTACTATATGCAATTATACCTGAATAACACAGTAATCACACAAATAAATACAAAATTATAACATTACTGGTTTTTGTTGTTGAACAATCTACATATTTATTTATTTATTTATTTATTTATTTATTTATTTATATTATACTTTAAGTTCTGAGATACATGTGCAGAACGTGCAGGTTTGTTACATAAGTATACATGTCCCATGGTGGTTTGCTGCAACCATCAACCCGTCATTGATCTACATTAGGTATTTCTCCTAATGCTGTCCATCCCCTAATCTCCCAACCCCCAACAGGCCCTGGTGTGTGATGTTTCCCTCCCTGCGTCCATGTGTTCTCCTTGTTCAACTCGCACTTATGAGTGAGAACATGCGGTGTTTGGTTTTCTGTTCTTGTGTTAGTTTGCTGAGAATGATGGTTTCCAGCCTCATCCATGTCCCTGCAAATGACATGAACTCATCCTTTTTTATAGCTGCATAGTATTCCATGGTGTATATGTGCCACATTTTCTTTATCCAGTCTATCATTGATGGGCATTTGGGTTGGCTCCAAGTCTTTGCTATTGTGAAGAGTGTTGCAATAAACATATGTATGCATGTGTCTTTATAGTAGAATGACTTATAATACTTTGGGTATATACCCAGTAATGGGATTGCTGGGTCAAATGGTATTTCTGGTTCTAGATCCTTGAGGAATGCCACACTGTCTTCCACAATGGTTGAACTAATTTACACTCCCACCAATGGTGTAAAAGTGTTCCTATTTCTCCACATCCTCTCCAGCATCTGTTGTTTCCTGACTTTTTAATGATTGCCATTCTAGCTGGTGTGAGATGGTATCTCACTGTGGTTTTGTTTGCATTTCTCTCATGACCAGTGATGACGAGCTTTTTTTCATGTGTTTGTTGGCCTCATAAATGTCTTCTTTTGAGAAGTGTCTGTTCATATCCTTTGCCCACTTTTTGATGGGGTTGTTTTTCTCTTGTAAATTTGTTTGAGTTCCTTGTAGATTCTGGATATTAGCCCTTTGTCAGATTGATAGGTTGTAAAAATTTTCTTTCATTCTGTAGGCTGCCTGTTCACTCTGATGATAGTTTCTTTTACTGTGCAGAAGCTCTTTAGTTTAATTAGATCCCATTTGTCAATTTTGGCTTTTGTTGCCATTGCTTTTGGTGTTTTAGTCATGAAGTTTTTGCCCATGCCTAGGTCCTGAATGGGATTGCCTAGATTTTCTTCTAGGGTTTTTATGGTTTTAGGTCTGACATTTAAGTCTTTAATCCATCTTGAGTTATTTTTTGTATAAGGTGTAAGGAAGGGGTCCAGTTTCAGTTTTCTGCATATGGCTAGCCAGTTTTCCCAACACCATTTATTAAATAGGGAATCCTTTCCCCATTGCTTGTTTTTGTCAGGTTTGTCAAAGATCAGATGGTTGTGGATGTGTGGCGTTATTTCTGAGTCCTCTGTTCTGTTCCATTGGTCTATATATCTGTTTGGGTACTGGTACCATGCTGTTTTGGTTACTGTAGCCTTGTAGTATAGTTTGAAGTCAGGTAGCAGGATACCTCCAGCTTTGTTCTTTTTGCTTAGGATTGTCTTGACTATACGGGCTCTTTTTTGGTTCCATATGAAATTTAGAGTAGTTTTTTCTAATTCTGTGAAGAAAGTCAATGGTGGCTTGATAGGGATAGCATTGAATCTATAAATTACTTTGGGCAGTATGGCCATTTTCACGATATTGATTCTTCCTATCCATGAGCATGGAATGTTTTTCCATTTGTTTGTGCCCTCTCATTTCCTTGAGCAGTGGTTTGTAGTTCTCCTTGAAGAAGTCCTTCACATCCCTTGTAAGTTGGATTTCTAGGTATTTTATTCTTTGTAGCAACTGTGAATAGGAGTTCACTCATGATTTGGCTCTCTGTTTGTCTGTTATTGGTGTATAGGAATGCTTGTGATTTTTGCATATTGATTTTGTATCCTGAGACTTTGCTGAAGTTGCTTATCAGCTTAAGGAGATTTTGGGCTGAGATGATAGTGTTTTCTAAATACACAATCATGTCATCTGCAAACAGAGACAATTTGACTTCCTCTCTTCCTATTGGAATACCCTTTATTTCTTTCTCTTACCTGATTGCCCTGGCCAGAACTTCCAATACTATGTTGAATAAAAGTGGTGAGAGACGGCATCCTTGTCTTGTGCCGGTTTTCAAAGGGAATGCTTCCAGCTTTTGCCCATTCAGTATGATATTGGCTGTGGGTTTGTCACAAATAGCTCTTATTATTTTGAGATATGTTCCATCAATACCTAGTTTATTGAGAGTTTTTAGCACGAAGCGGTGTTGAATTTTATCAAAGGCCATTTCTGCATCTATTGAGATAATCATGTGGTTTTTGTCATTGGTTCTGTTTATGTGACGGATTACATTTATTGATTTGTGTATGTTGAACCAGCCTTGCATCCCAGGGATAAAGCCACCTTGATCATGGTGGATAAGTTTTTTGATGTGCTGCTGGATTCGGTTTGCCAGTATTTTATTGAGGATTTTTGCACTGATGTTCACCAGGGATATTAGCCTGAAACTTTCTTTTTCAGTTGTGTCTCTGCCAGGTTTCAATATTGGGATGAAGCTGGCCTCATTAAATTAGTTAGGGAGAAGTCCCTCTTTTACTATTGTTTGGAATAGTTTCAGAAGGAATGGTACCAACTCCTCTTTGTACCTCTGGTAGAATTCAGCTGTGAATCCATCTGCTCCTGGGCTTTTTTTGGTTGGTAGGCTATTACTGCCTCAATTTCAGTGCTTGTTATTGGTCTATTCAGGGATTCAACTTGTTCCTAGTTTAGTCTTGGGAGGGTGTATGTGTCCAGGAATTTACCCATTTCTTCTAGAGTTTCTAGTTTATTTCCATAGAGGTGTTTATAGCATTCTCTGATGGTAGTTTGTATTTCTGTGGGATCAGTGGTGATACCCCCTGTTTCATTTCTTATTGTGTCTATTTGATTCTTCTCTCTTTTCTTCTTTATTAGTCTGGCTAGAGGTCTATCTATTTTGTAAATCTTTTAAAAAAAAAAACCAGCTCAGGGATTCATTGAGTTTTTAAATGGTTTTTCGTGTCTCTATCTCCTTCAGTTCTGCTCTGATTTTAGTTATTTCTTGTATTTTGCTAGCTTTTGAATTTGTTTGCTTTTGCTTCTCTAGTCCTTTTAATTGTGATGTTAGGGTGTCGATTTTAGATCTTTCCTTCTTTCTCTTGTGGGCATTTAGTGCTATAAATTTCCCTTTAAACATTGCTTTAGCTGTGTCCCAGAGATTCTGGTACATTGTGTCTTTGTTCTCATTGGTTTCAAATAACTTATTTATTTCTGCCTTAATTTTGTTATTTACCCAGTAGTCATTCAGGAGTAGGTTGTTCAGTTTCCATGTAGTTGTGAAGTTCTGAGTGAGTTTCTTAATCCTGAGTTCTAATTTGATAGCATCGTGGTCTGAGAGACTGTTTGTTATGATTTCTGTTCTTTTGCATTTACTGAGGAGTGTTTTACTTCCAATTATGTGGTCAATTTTAGAATAAGTGCTATGTGGTGCTGAGAAAAAAATGTAGATTCTTTTGATTTGGGGTGGAGAGTTCTGTAGATGTGTATTAGGTCTGCTTGGTCCAGAGCTGAGTTCAAGTCCTGGATATCCTTGTTAATTTTCTGTCTCATTGATCTAATATTGACAGTGGGGTGTTAAAGTCTCCCACTATTATTGTGTGGGAGTCTAAGTCTCTTTGTAGGTCTCTAAGAACTTGCTTTATGAATCTGGGTGCTCCTGTATTGGGTGCATATATATTTAGGATAGTTAGCTCTTCTTGTTGAATTGATCTCTTTACCAATATCTAACGTCCTTCTTCGTCTTTATCTTTGTTGGTTTAAAGTCTGTTTTATCAGAGACTAGGATTACAAGCCCTGCTTTTTTTTTCTTTTTTTTTCCTTCTCCTTTCCATTTGCTTGGTAAATATTCCTCCATCCCTTTATTTTGAGCCTATGTGTGTCTTTGCACATGAGATGGGTCTCCTGAATACAGCACACTGATGGGTCTTGACTCTTTATCCAACTTGCCAGTCTGTGTCTTTTAATTGAGGCATTTAGCCCATTTACATTTAAGGTTAATATTGTTATGTGTGAATTTGATTCTGTCATTATGACACTAGCTGGTTATTTTGCCCATTAGTTGATGCAGTTTCTTCCTAGCATCAATGGTCTTTACAATTTGGCACGTTTTTGCAGTGGCTGGTACTGGTTTTTCCTTTCCATATTTAGTGAGTCCTTCAGGAGCTCTTGAAAGGCAGGCCTAGTGGTGACAAAATCTCTCAGCATTTGCTTGTCTGTAAAGGATTTTATTTCTCCTTCACTTATGAAGCGTCGTTTGGCTGGATATGAAATTCTGGGTTGAAATATCTTTTCTTTAAGAATGTTGAATATTGGCCCTCACTCTCTTCTGGCTTGTAGGGTTTCTGCAGAGAGATCCACTGTTAGTCTGATGGGCTTCCCTTTGTGGGTAACCTGATCTTTCTCTCTGGCTGCACTTAACATTTTTTCCTTCATTTCAACCTTGGTGAATCTGATGATTATATGTCTTGTGGTTGCTCTTCTCAAGGAGTATCTTTGTGGTGGTATCTGTATTTCCTGAATTTGGATGTTGGCCTGTCTTGCTAGGTTGGGGAAGTTCTCCTGGATAATATTCTGAAGAGTGGAGCTTTCCAACTTGGTTCCATTCTCCCCTTCACTTTCAGGTACACCAATCAAACATAGGTTTGGTCTTTTCACATAATCCCATATTTCTTGGAGGCTTTGTTCATTCCTTTTCATTCTTTTTTCTCTAGTCTTGTCTTCAAACTTTATTTCATTAAGTTTATTTTCAATCTCTGATATCCTTTCTTCCACTTGATCAATTCAGCTATTGATACTTGTGTATGATTCTCGAAGTACTTGTGCTGTGTTTTTCAGCTCCATCAGGTCATTTACATTCTTCTATAAACTAGTTATTGTAGTTAGAAATTCCTCTAATCTTTTTTCAAGGTTTTTAGCTTCCTTGCATTGGGTTAGAACATGCTTCTTTAGCTTGGAGGAGTTTGTTATTACACACATTCTAAAGCCTACTTCTGTCAATTCATCAAACTCATTCTCCATCCGGTTTTGTTCCATTGGTGGTGAGGAGCTGTGATCCTTTGGAGGAGAAGAGGCATTCTGGTTTTTGGAATTTTCAGCCTTTTTGTGCATTTTTTTTTAATCTTCGTGGATTTATCTCCCTTTGGTCTTTGATGCTGCTGACCTTCGGAAGGAGTTTTTGTGTGGATGTCCTTTTTCTTTGGTGTTATGCTATTCCTGTTTGTTAATTTTCCTTCTAACTGTCAGGCCACTCTGCTGCAGGTCTGCTGGAGTTTGTTGGAGGTTCACTCCAGACCCTCTTTGCCTGGCTATCACCAGCCAGGCTGCAGAACAGCAAAGATTGCTGTCTGTTCCTTCCTCTGGAAGCTTCGTCCCAGAGGGGCACCTGCCAGATGCCACCTGGAGCTCTCCTGTACGAGGTGCCTGTCAACCCCTGCTGGGATGTATCTCCCAGTCAGGATGCACGGGGGTCAGGGACCCACTTGAGGAGGCAGTCTGTCCCTTAGCAGAGCTCAAGCACTGTGCTAGGAGATCGGCTGCTCTCTTCAGAGCCAGCAGGCAGGAATGTTTAAGTCTGCTGAAGCTGCACAGCTGCCCCTTGCCCCAGGTGCTCTGTCCCACGGAGATGGGAGTTTTATCTATAGGCCCGACTGGGGCTGCTGCCTTTCTTTCAGAGATGCTCCGCCCAGAGAGGAGGAATCTGGAAAAGCAGTCTGGCTACAGCAGCTTTGCCAAGCTGCGGTGTACTCTGCCCAGTCTGAACTTCCTGGCAGCTTTGTTTACACTGTGAGGGGAAAACCGCCTACTCAAGCCTCAGTAATGGCAGACGCCTCTCCCCACACCAACCTCTAGCATCCCAGGTCAACCTCAGACTGCTGTGCTGGCAGTGAGAATTTCAAGCCAGTGGATCTTAGCTTGCTGGGCTCTGTGGTGGTGGGACCTGCTGAGCACTTGGGTGGGAACCAAGACCACTTGGCTCCCTGGCTTCAGCCCCCTCTTCCAGAGGAGTGAACAGTTCTGTCTCACTGGCGTTCCAGGTGCCACTAGGGTATGAAAAAAACTGCAGCTAGCTCAGTGTCTGCCCAAATGGCTGCCCAGTTTTGTGCTTGAAACCCAGGGCCCTGGTGGTGTAGGCACCCGAGAGAATCTCCTGGTCTGTGGGTTGTGAAGACCATGGGAAAAGCATAATATCTGGGCCAGAGTGCACCATGCCTCACGGCACAGTCCCTCACGGCTCCCTTGGCTTCTGTTCATCCTCTGTGGGCTGCACCCACTGTCTGACCAGTCCCAATAAGATGAGCCAGGTACCTCAGTTGGAAATGCAGAAATCACCCACCTTCTGGATTGATCTCACTGGGAGCTGCAGACCAGAGTTGTTCCTATTCGGCCATCTTGAGTCATTTACCCGTGATTACTGTTTTCAGTGAGGAAGACCCACTGCCATAAGAGCACCTCGTAGGGTGAAGAAAGGCTTTTTTGAGGAAGAGACTATTGGCCTGAGATCCTCATAATGAGAAGGAAAAGTTAAGGCAAATATGGGAACAAGGAAAGGTCCTGTAGCCAGGGGGTCAATGGCACATTTCAGAAACTGCCCAAAAGCCAGTGTATTAGTTAGCTATTGCTGCATGACAATATTACCATAAACTTACTGACTTATAACAACTCACATTTATTATTCCACCGTCTCTGTGGGTCTGCTGTCCAGGCACTCTTCAAGGCAGCATTCAAGATGTCAACTTGGGCTGGGGTCTCATCTGAAGGCTTGATTGGGAAAGGACTCACTTCTAAGTTAACATAGTTGTTAGCAGCATTCAGTTTCTTGCATGTTCTTGGACAAAAGGCCTCAGTTGCTGGCTGTTGACGAGAGTCTGTCCTCAGTTTTTGTGATACGGCCTTCTTCATAAGCAACTCACAGTGTGGCAACTTGCTTTTTCAAAGCCAATAAGAGAGAGACTCTTAGCCTGACAAACATTGCAATCTTATGTGACACAATCATGGAAGTAACATTTCAACACCTTCACTATATTTTGTTAGTAGCAAGCCACAGGTCCTGCCTATGCTCAAAGGCAGGGGATCAGACATGAGGATGAATGCCAGGAGGTAGGAATCACAGGGCTGCTTAAGAGACTGTCTCACTGCCAGAGCAGCTAGAAGGCTAAGATACTCTGGCCCTATTACACACAGGCATTGCTCCAGGCTCTTTATAAAGACTGTGTAGCTTAATTCCCCCATCAACACTTTAAGATCAGAATTAGTATCCCTATTTCTTAGGTGAGGAAACCAAGCTTCTAAGAGGCTACATCATATTTGCCAAAGTTCCCACAGCAAGAAAATAGCAAATCTAGGATTCAAACTCAGACCTATTTGACTCCAAGGGGTATATTCTTTCTCATTCACTACCCTGCCAATATATATATTTGTCTCTATTTCATCCTTTGGAGTGATTTTACATATAGAGAAACTGAGGCAGGAAGGGGGCTCAGCCTCCATGAGGTCCCCCAATGGCATGATGGCAAAGGCAGCACAGAACTTTGGATCCTGTCTCCTAGCCCATGCTGTATCTCACCTCATTTCTCCTCCTATGAAGAAGCAGCTGCCTTAAATATAGACCTTCAAGAACTGGCTCTCTGGCTCTAGAAGGCTCCAGAGCTTCACTCCAGGGAGCCATGGTTGCATTTTTTAAACGAAATCCAATTCAGTGCCCATAAAAGTCCTCATCATCTTGCTAAGGTTGGCAGTTGGGGACTCTGAAATAGCTGAAATCTCTATAAACTACTCCTGGAAGGCATCCACTTTAGCCTGGTAGACAGAAAATCATCTGCAAAATGTCAAGATGATGTTTAAACATCTCCGTCTCCCACCTCACAGTCGGAAGGATGTTCTAAGGGCCTAGTAGGTGCAGCCAGCCCAGACGGAGTGTAGCTAGGCTCACACCCACCCACCCTCTGGCCGTGACTCATTTTCCCTCTAATCAAGGAAACACAACCCCAAACAATGGGCTGCTCAGACTTCATAGTTTCTCATTTGTTACATGGGAGGAACACAGAAGTAATGAACAGAATTTTGGTTTTCTGTTCCTGGATTTCTGAAACAGGTTTTCTCAGCACTGTCTTAGTGAAAAATAATACATCAAAAGTTACCTTCCATTCATGTTTCCAACTCTGTCCCTTTAGAGGGGTCAGGAAACTTTAACCTATGGGCCAAATCCAGCCAGCAGCTGGGTTTTTTATGATCTTAAAGCAAAAGATGGCTTTAACATTTTTAAAGGGTTGTAGAAAGAAAGAACAAGAGACAGTGACCATATGTGTCCTGCAAAGCCAAAAATACTTCCTGGTCCTTTACAGAAGAAGTTTGTTACCCCCTGCTCTAGATATTAGTAGTGTCCTACAAAAAAGGGTTTCTACGGTCAAATAATTTGGGGAACCACTGGATTAAACACCATAAACGGTTGTGTATTTTGCGTGTATGTGTGTATGTATTTTTTGGTAAATGCATGCCTTATCAGAGCCTTTACTCACAATATTTTTTTTTTTTTTTTTAATTTGGAAGAGAGAGATATAGCAGGTAATGTTTCTTACAATGTTTCTTACTTTTCTTTTGCCTCAGTACCGTTTTCATGTGGGATGTGGTTTAGGAACTGCGTTGTGTTAAGGCCCTTTTCATTAGAGATGTGTTGTTGACAGGATCATGGAGGTCATGCCCCCGGCACTAACTGGTTGCACATGTACCTTTTGGGTCCTTCTGCCGCTGATGCATCAGAGCTGGAAAGCATGCAGTTAAGAGTAAGGGCTCAGGAGCCAGAGTCACTGGGTTAAAACTCCCTCTACCTGCCACTTGTGGAACTAAGGGGAACACGATTTACTAATCTATGCCTCAGTTTCTTCCACTGCAAAATGGGGGTAATTATAGCCGCTGCCTCCTAGAGCCACTACAACGATCGAATGGGATAATGTTTGTGAAGCATGCAGCATGAGCACTGGCACACACAATACATTTCTGAACAAATGTTCACTACTGTTATTATTCATCTCTAAAATGGGAATAATGATGCTGGCCTAATAGAGTTATTTAGCATAACAGTATATAGGAAAGGGATCCATAAAGAGGAAACAGCAAATTTCCCTAGAAAAACATGACCACCATCATTCTAAGAAAAAAAATTTTATTTGCCTAAGGGATATATATTTATTTCCTGGGGCTGCTATAATAATGTACCACAAACTGGGTGACTTAAAACAACAGAAATTCATTCTCTCTGAGTTCTGGAGGCCAGAAGGTGAAAGACAAGTTGTCGTCAGGGACATGCTTCATCTGAAGCTTCTAGGGAAGAATTGTTCCTTGTCTCTTTCAGCTCCTGGTGTTCCTTGGCTTGTGGCCGCATCACGTCAATCTCTGCCTCTGTCTTGCATGGCATTCTCCCTGTGTGTGTCTTCACTTCATCCTTCCTCTGTTTTTTTGTTTTGTTTTGTTTGTTTGTTTTAGAGAGAGGTTCTGACTATGTTGGCCAGGATGGTCTTGAACTCCTGGCCTTAAGT
This sequence comes from Homo sapiens, assembly GCF_000001405.40. Lineage (NCBI taxonomy): Eukaryota > Metazoa > Chordata > Mammalia > Primates > Hominidae > Homo > Homo sapiens. Next base: position 14,364,981 of record NC_000001.11, read on the forward strand.
GATCTTCCCACCTTGACGTCCCAAAGTGCTGGAATTGTAGGCATGAGCCACCATGCCCGGCCCCCTCTCTTTTTTTTTTTTGTGACGGAGTCTCACTCTGTTGCCCAGACTGGAGTGCAGTGGCACCATCTCGGCTCACTGCAAACTCCGCCTCCCGGGTTCAAGCCATTCTCCCGCCTCAGCCTCCCGAGTAGCTGGTACTACAAGTGCCCGCCACCATGCCTGGCTAATTTTGTTTTTGTATTTTTAGTAGAGACGGGTTTTCACCATGTTAGCCAGGATGGTCTCAATCTCCTGACCTCATGATCCGCCCGCCTCGGCCTCCTAAAGTGCTGGGATTACAGGTGTGAGCCACCGCGCCCCGGCGCCCACCCCCTCCCCCCGGGGTGGGGGGGGGGGGGGTCTTTCAAGGTCACCAGCTGTGTTGGATTAAGGGCCCACCCTACTCCAGCATGACCTCATCTTAATTAATTACATCTGCAATGATTCTATTTCCAAATAACGTCATACACTGAGACCCTGGGGGTTAAAACGTCAACATTATCTTTTTGGGTAATGCAATTCAACTCATAACTGCAAAGTTTTGCAACCTCGGCACTACTGAAATTTGTGGCAGGTAATTCCTTGTGGTGGGGACTGTCCTGTGCATTGCAGGATGTTTAGCAGCGTCCCCAGCCTCTACTCACTAGATGCCAGGAGCACCTTTCCCCAGTCATAACAATCACAAACGTCTTCAGACATTACCAAATATCCCTTGAGGAGCCAAATTGCCTCAGTTAAGAACCTCCGGGTTAAAAAATAATACTTTCTAGACTAACTCAAAACAAAAAGACTTCCTCCAGTGGGACTGCAGAAGTGGCTAATACAGCAGTTAGGTCATAAAGTGTAGATAGATATTCCTCTTATGGCATATTGCTAATAATAACGACTCAAAATTTCGCCTTGCCCAGCAGATCTTTCTGATGAGATAGATTTCCCTACCTGGAGGCCACAGTTATTATTGTTAGTTCATACACGAGTCATAGCCTAAAATGTAAATTGCTTGGAAATACAGCAAATCTGGTGACATAATAAAAAGGAAAATCGATTTCTCCAGAAATACACATCTGTTCATTAAAGCTGTCTGGTAGTCCATTGCAGCTGTTCCCATTTAAAAACTAAAGATCTAAACATAATCCTTTACAGTGGAAAGTTAGCAGAGAAGATATTCATAAAAGTCTGTGGAAATGGTTTGGCAGTTAAGTGTGGTTTATTTTTGTCTATGGCTCTTATGGAACCCTCTGAACGTACAAATGAAAACTGAAATGTCGTAGCTCATCTTCATTGAAGCTGTTGGCTATTCAGGGTGACCAGTTCAAATCTTGCTGGGACAGTGCAAGGGGTGACAAGTTTCCCGGGCAATTAAATGGTCAGTCTTTCTCTGTATATAGGAAACTTGGAAGATTTTCAAGAAAAGTATCATAGCTGTGAAGCAGGATATCTTTCCTAAGCCCTTCACTGGCGGGAACTGGAGGGCGGGCACTGGAGCTAGCCAGCTGCTTCGGCGCCAGCAGGGGCAGACTCCATTCACTCAAACTTGCTGCACTTAACCCCTTGTGGGAGGGAACACACAAGTGTGAGCGGGTGCAGGAGCCGTGGGCGAGCACTTTTGTGTGCCAGCGGGAAGAAACGCCGCACCAGCATTTAGAGGGGTGCCCACCATCAATGAAGCCCCAGAAGGCATGTGTTACAGTGCTCTTTGAGCTCTGCCATCCACGGATGGCTTAAGTGTTAACAGCTCAGTAGACTCTCTGCCTTTTCACATGAGGTGGCTGCTTTCCACCAGCAAGGGCAGATGGTCAGTGTGACAGCCTTTTGCATCTGCACCCCTGGTACCCAAGCTCTTGTTCAGCATCCAGGAAAAATCAGGTCTCACAAACGAATGGAAGGGCAGTGAATGCAGAGGATCTTATTGCCAATGAAAATGGCTAGCCGGGCACAGTGGCTCATGCCTGTAATCCCAGCACTCTGGGAGGCCGAGGCAGGCAGATCACGAGGTCAGGAGTTCAAGACTAGCCTGGCCAACATGGTGAAACCCTGTCTCTACTAAAATACAAAAATTAGCGAGGCGTGGTGGCACGCGCCTGTAATCCCAGCTACTTGGGAGGCTGAGGCAGGAGAACTGCTTGAACACAGGAGGCGGAGGTTGCAGTGAACTAAGATCACACCACTGCACTCCAGCCGAGGTGACAGAGCAAGACTCTTGTCTCCAAAAAAAGAAAAAGGCTCTCAGCGGGAAAGGAAGCTGGAAGGGAGATGGAGCGAGAAGGTATTCTTCCCCTGAAGTCCGGCTACCTGCAGCCAGACTCTTCTCTGAGGTCGCACTGTCAAGCTGTCCCTCTGAAGGCAAGCTACTTCTCTCCAATGTCCAACTGTAGCCTCCAACGTCCAGCTGCTTCTCCTCTTCTCTCTGATGGAGCCTGGGGTTTTTATGGGGACAGGATGGGGGGCGGGCTGGGCCATGGGTGGTTTTGGAAAAGGCAACATTTGAGCAGGAAAATAGGGGTGTAAGTTCTCACTTTGGACCATGGTCCCAGGCTTGAGGGTGGAGCCCTTGCCTCCAGCCTACTGGTCACCCTTGTCGTTTCTCTGGCCATCGGACTGCAGAGCCTGGGCTGAATCAGTAACCATGTCAACATCACCCCACCCCTTCTCTTCTTGGCTGCCATGCCTACCAATCAAAAGCTGAGCCCTAGACCAGCTTAGTGCAAACACAATGTTGTCCAGCGGTGTTGCGTGATTTGATGGCAGGAGGCAAGCAGGGGAGTCCAGGGAGACTCCTGCCCCCTAAACATGCACACTCACCTGTGCTTCCATTTTCAATGTAGTCCCTAAGTGCTGCCTTCTCTCAGATCCTTGGAGACTTTTCAGTTTGATTGTATCTGAACCTTGACCCCTTTATATCTTTCAAAATGAACCAGGCTACGTAAAAATGTAAGAAGCCTGAAAGGAGAAAGTGGGATAGCGAGAGCTTGAAATCTAAGTTCACATCTTGGTTTCACCCCCAAGCTAGGGTTTCCTTACTTGCGAACGTGGGGTTTGCCAACCAGGTCTACTGTGAAGATCTGCCTGATGGATTTTTCTATCTGTACGTGCAGATACAACACATAACATTATCTAGGGGCATTCAATGTGTTTGTTGACTGCTATGAGGGTATACGGTGCAAGGAAAGAAAACAGGAGCAGGGACAAGCTTGGCTTCTCAACCACCATGTGGCATCTCTGTGTGGCTCTGTAAAGCAGTGTTGTCTTTGGAAGGCAGCAGTGACCCCAGTGTTTACAGACGGGATGCATCCCTGAGAGCCGGATTTTAGCTTTGTGCATCACTCAGATGCAAGCAGCTGTTTACCTAGAAGTGCATTTTCACTTCGTGTTTGTTGTCAGAGTGTTTATGAATGATCCATCCATTAGGCACTCCCATGATGTGGTCATCAACAAAGCTTCTAGGTCTCTGACCATTTTGCCAACCGTACAATCAGCTTTCACAATTTACACATAACTGAAGCCTGCTAACAACCCATGGGACCTAGAGAAACAGCTTTCTTGATAGCTCAGATGCAGAATGTGGGGATCTGGGTAATTTACATAGATGGGTGTCACCTGTGATGCCTCCTCCCTCCTAAGCCTCTGGCTCAATCCTACCTCAGGCTGTTGGCTCCTTGGAGTTCTTGGCCTGGACTACGACCATGCACCCAAACTGAAGAAAGAGAAGGCTTCGCTTCAACTTTCAACAATCGATTTTTATAGTGTCTAAAGCAACTCACTCAATTTACAGCCCTTTACTTGTTAAACAATCCATCATAAAAGAGGATTAAGGGATGGCCAGGTAGAGAGGTACTGGCTTTTTTTTTCTCCAAGTACATTAACGGTGCCCGTGTTAGGTAGTTCTCTCCAAGTATATTAATAGTACCTGTGTCAGGCAGGACCATTTCTGGTCCTGATCTTATCCGGGTCACCTTTCTTTGGTCCACATTTCAAACAGTGGCTAATAGGGAGCGCTGGGCTTCCCGGGAGTTGAATAAATAGTATTGACTTTCATTAGCTCACTAGCAACTGCTAGAGATGGAAGGTGTCTTACACCAAGATGTGTTTCTGCAGCGTAGCCTCAGGAAAGAATCAGATGGAGACACATTTCTAAATGCAAAATAAGAGATCCTGAATCAGAACATTTCCTCTCAGGAGAAATGTTCTCGATTTTGTGTGTGTGTGTGAGAGCAAAGCAGCCACTGCTGTCTGGGTGGCAGAAATGTCAAAAATGTATCGTTCGCTCTTCAGTTTCCTCGCTCAATGCCAGGTCATTAACTTTAACACTATCCAAGTGCTTGCACGACTGTATTTACCTTAAAGGATGTGCATGAGCCTATTGTTTAAAATGCAGCCTCCACGAGAAATCTGTGGAGAAATCTGTGGAGCTGAAGCTAGTCCGCTTCAAAGAAGGAGCCTTGAAATGTGCTAGCCAAGATTTGTGAAGCGGCTTCTCCATCTGGAGAATGGTAAAAGGGAAGAGGGGCATTTAGAAGGAAGAAAAAATGGGGAAAGGGCAGACTGGACGGGACCTTGTCTCCTGCAAGGCCATGATGGGTTGCGAATGATGAATTGCCCTTTAAGGGCAGCCTTGTTTAACAAAGACACAGCACATCTCTCGAGGAAGGTATTTAGCAAAGAGGAAAGCTGAGCAAGGATCCAAAGGAAATAAACCTGACCACAGCCCTTGTGCCAGTTATGCAAAGTAAGCCCAACGTCCCCATGCACCTGTAGGGGAATCTGGAACTGCTTTCAGGTATGCATTCCACTAAAAACATGTAAATCTCAAAGAAGCAAGCCATTGTTACAGTAATTTGTGTTTTCATGATGGTGCTTAGTCTAAGTCACTATCAATGTAATAGCTAAATAAATTAATCCAGAAACAACTGGCTCTAACACTGCCTGCTGGGATTACATGCACAGTGTAAATCCTTGTACTGTGGGTGCATTCCACCTCCCCACACGTGCATGAGAGGCCTTTTGGCCCCTCTCCAGCCCACAATCAGCCATGAATCTTTGCACTAGACACCAAGAGGGTTAGACAAAAACAACCAACCCAAATGCTGGATGGAAAGGGTCAGTGGTTTCCACAGAGGGTGGATGTCTTTCCACCCCCAGGAACTAGAGAAGACCAAGGCTTGAGGGAGAGCAGGGTTGGGAGGTGGGCAGGGAGATGGGCCATCCTGGCTAGTGAAGGAGAGGAAGAAGTGGGGAGGACTGGTCCTGGGTAGGGTGGAGGGTGGGCAAGGACCTTCCTTCAGGAGGCCCAGGCACTGCACAGAACACATGAAGGCTGCCAAGCTGTTGTTCAGTGAGTGTGGCCACCCCCAGGCAGCAAGCTGCTCAGCCCCTGAGTATCATTCAGGGATCTGAGCTGAGGCTCAGTTCTCCTCTCCCTCCCTTCCCCCAAGGAACCTCTGCCATGGAAGACCAAGAGGGTGGTTTGGGGAGGGGACAGCTATCTTGTGCAGGGCATGCTAGGAAAGCCTTGCTCCTGGGGGGTATAGACACGATTACTTTTCCCTCTGAGTGGTAAACCTGTTGCCTCTTTTACATGTGTGTCCACCTACCTATTGGGCTGAAAAACCTGGGACTGCCAGGGATCTCTGAGGTTTCTTTGGAGAGTCATGAAGTTAATTTGTATCTTCTCTTTTTTATTTAAGTTTGAGACACTGTCTCACTTTGTCACCCAGACTGGAGTTGAGATCATGGCTCACTGCAGCCTGGACCTCCCGGGCTTAGGTGATCCTCTTACCTCAGCCTTCTGAGTAGTTGGGACTACGGGCATGTGCTACCACGCCTGGCTAATTTTTGTATTTTTAGTAGGGATGGAGTTTTGTTGTGTTGTCCATGCTGATTTCAAACTCCTGGGCTCAAGCAATCCACCCACCTCAGCCTCCCAAAGTGCTGAGATTAGGGGTGTGAACCACCTAGCCCAGCCCCCAGCTCGTATCTTCTATAAGACATAATGGACACTATTGAACCAGGGGTAGGTGATGAGCTCAACACTCATAAAGAAGCTTGAGCCTCTAGCATAGTTGTTCTCCAACGTTAGTGTGCATCAGAAACACCTGGAGGGCTTACTAAAACACAGCTGGGCCCCATCTCAGAGTTCCAGGTTCAGTTAGTTGGTCTGCGGTAGGGCCAAGCAAGCTACATTTGGGACAAGTCCTGGGGGATGCTGATGCTGCTGGTCAGAGGACCACACTTTGAGAGCTATTGCTTTTCATGCCTCTTATGGGGGGCAAATGAAAACTTTCCGTCTCTTGAGTTCTTCACTGTGGTATTGAGATATTAACTACATGCTTAATCCCCTCTTGCAAAAGTATTTCACACAATGGAGACCATGCTTTTAGGGATCAAGGCTAAGCCCACCCCCTGCAGCTGAGATAGTTTGAAAATGATGTGTGAATGGTAATTATGCCTGGGGAACATTTGGCAGGAGAGTAGCAAGGGCTAAATTGGAAAAGGGTGGTCCCAGGGAGCCCCAAAAGCATCTCAGTCCCTGGGAGAGGCTGAGTGTCTAAAGAAGAGAGTTTCTTGGTACCCTCTTGGAAGATGCTGATAAAAAAAAATAAAAGTTCCATAAAGCACATGACAAGAGAGTAAGAATGCACCTGTCTGGTTCTGTTCACCTCATCAGCATCAATAAATATTTATTGACATCCTGAAATGTCTAGGATGCCAAAAGCAGAACCAAACATTCTAGAGACACGGATCTTGCCCTCCAAAGAAACCACAATCTGAAGAGAAAACCAAGAAACAGGAGAATTATCTTTGAGAGGCAAGGCAGGGATGCACTCCTCATGAAAGATGTAGTTAGTTTTCACAATGGCGGTGAGCCTGAAATGCGCACATAAATTAATGCTTTTGTAAACCGAGTTAGATTTTAAATGCATGAAAGGAGCCAACTGTTTAAAGGAAACTGGCAGAGAATCTTTCTGCAAAAAGAAGAATCACTTAGTCATGTGAATAGTCGTCATCTCATTTATGGATCTTATTAGCTTCAATTTTTCATTTTGGTAGATCTGAACAGACTGAAAACAAGTTCATAACAAGTAAAAGGAATTTTTCTGTATCCTTACTTTGGGAAAAGCAAATGACGAGTTTGTATCAAAGATTGTTAACTGTTTACTGTGTATTTAAGTGGGTCAATTCAGCCAATCCCTAAGATTACATATAGCTATAGTGTGGTTGAATCATGGATAGATCAACAGCCTGAGGTCATTTAAAAAATTTAAATGTCTCTATAATTGCCAAAGAATGCTGACTTGTGTTAAGTATATTTTCTTGGACTTTGAGTCATTGGAAGTTGGTAATTGAAACATGGTAAATATGATTACTCTCAGATGGGATTTCTCAACCTTCGTGCTAGTGACAGGCATTTGGGCCAGATAATTCTCTGATGTGAGGGGCTGTCCTGTATGTTGCAGGATGTCCAGCAGCATCCCTGGCTTCTACTCATTGGATGCTAGTAACACCAACCCAGGTGCAAAAATTGAAAATGTCCCCGTGCATTAGCACATGCCCCATGCGGGAGAGGGCAGCAAAATGGCCTCATCAAAGATGATTATTTATTGCTCTAAAATAACGGGAATATTCAGTCAGCATCCCTTCTTCTCAGATGATTCTGTATTGAGTTTTCTCAAAGCAAAGCTCACTTCCTCTTGAGTCGCACCCTGTGATTCATTGTTGATTACAAGTGGCAAAGAAACTATGCATTCATTTATTCACTCACAATACATGTATTCAGTGCCTGCTCTGTGCCTAGCTGTGGTGGTGAGCAAAATGATCAAGGTTCTTGCCCTCGAGGAGATTGTAGTCTAGTGGGAATGTCAGGTGGTCAACAAATGAACAAATTAATAACTAATTATATAAAATCACGTAACAGAAACAGGGGATAGAGATAGAAACTAATACAAAAGAGCCTATGTAGACAGAGTAACCTGAGAGGGGCCCCCTGAGGAGGTGCCATTTCAGCTACAGCCTGTAGGATGAGTAGGAGGTTGCCACGTGACCAGCTGGAGGGACTATAATTCATAAAAAGAAAGCTGGAGGTAGGTAGTACTGAACAAGGACTGTAAGAGGTAGCTTTCTGGGAAGTGGATATAGTCTCATTGCTCCAGTATTTGTTAGGGTTCTCCTGAAAAACTGAATATATATATATATATATATATATATATGCACACATATAATTATAAGGAATTGGCAAAGGAGATCATGGAGACTGAGAAATCCCACAATCTGCTGTCTGCAATCTGGAGACCCAGGAAAGCTGTTCATATAAATTCCAGTCTAAGTCCAAAGGCCTGAGAACCAGGAGTCCTGATGGTGTAAGTCCCGGTCCAAGAGCAAGAGAAGACTGATGTCCCAACTCAAGTCAGGCAGAGAGACAGAATTCAACCTTCTTCTGCCTTTTTGTCAATAAATATTCAGACCCTCACTTTGGGAAGGGCAAACTGCTTAAGTGAGTCCAATCAAGTTAACTGTTTAACTTGATTCAAATGCTAATCTCTTCCAGAAACGCCCTCACAGCCCAACCCAGAAATAATGTTTAACCAGATGTCCAGGCAGCCCATGGCCCAGTCAAGTTGACACATAAAATTAACAAAGTTAACCAAAGCAAAAGTTTGTCTTCTTTTTCTAGGGAAAGGGATGCATTCCACAGAGTCCTAGGATCCTGGGAGACAGGCCTGGAGTGGTGTGTTCCTTCTCTGACCCCAAGGTGATGTGTAAGATGAAAAGATGGCTTCAGATTTCATGGGGAATCGAGGCTTATATTAAAGATGAAAGTTGTGCCTCTTCACTAAGTAAGATGTAATTTGCTAGGGATTTGGTTGTCCAGGTTGTTACTTAAACGGATCTTACATAAAGTGGAAAACAAAATCCCTCCCATTTGTGCAAAAGGTAGTACTTTTGCCAGGGAGTGTAAACTAACATAAGCCAATCTCACCATGTGCACATATTTAGTTCTTCGTGGTAGTTACTGACGTTCATGTCCATCAGTAGTTGGAGGAGGTTGATAATTAGCTACTCTCCTGCAACTTTGCTACCAGGTTATAATAAAAGCACTTCTCAGACCAAACCCTGTGCCATATGCAGACACTTATTAGTAAGCAGACACTAGGCTCTAAAACTTGATGTTTAAGATCAACAAAATCCCAGCTGCCTGTCCTTGTAGGTGTCCTGACCACACCTCACATGGACCACTCACCCCAGGCAGTTATGACAGCACTCAAGAGGCAGGAGAGAGCTAATCTCACAATGATCATCAGGCAACCCAAATCCTCCAAACTATCAGCTGAATGAACGAATGTTTGGGGGATCAAGTCTCAAGTACCATCCCTGTGGGAGAAGGGGACAGCGTCTGCAAGCTGTTCAGATCCCCTTCAGGCAAGGATGAGGAGCTTCGGGAAAATATCTTAGCCAAACCTCTCATCTTGAATACTCACCAGTGAGAACTCACTTATTATATCCATTATGCTAAATAACGAGCCCTTTTTTTTCACCAATGAAAACCCATTTGGAACTTTCTTTGAGCTAATTAGCAAAGTCTCTAGTGATGATCAAAGTTCAGTGGTAAAGAAAGATGAAGACGCCCTTCTGGGAACAGCCTCAGGAGTGTGGCCTTTCTGATTAAATGCTGGAGTCCACTCTCAGAATGTAGATTCCTGGTCAGGACCGCGGACTGCCCCTCGAGTGTAGTTTAAGCCAATTGACATATACAAATCATCACGCTCCCTGTACTGCAGGATTTTAAAGTAAATTGCATGCATCAAAACAGGCAGACATAGCCTGAATCTGTCCTGGAAATGAGTATGGGAAAAGGAGGTCAGTAAATTTAACAATCTGATTAACCAAGAGCGATCACACAAGTCCTATTGAGCTCGTCCATTTTCAAAGAATTAAAGTCCAATTAACTATACTTTACCCAAACTCTAGAGCACCTCAGCCTTTTGGGGGCAGAGGCCAACACAGACTTTCAGCTTGGCTTGGGAATCTGTTGCAGCTACAGCTCCAGGTTAACAGCTTCCAGCCTTTTCCAAAAAGATGACTCCTAATTTAATGACCTCTATTGAAGGTCAGTTGTATTTTAGCGTCTATTAACTGAGAAAATAATAATGAAAAAATTGTTATGAATTCAGCACACTGTCTTTTATTAGTCACAATAGCATCATACACACTTCAGAAAGAGTGCAGGAGGTTAGATTCAAAAATAAGGGACCATCACAGAAAGCCAAACCACTAGGAAGGCCCCAGGTATGCTAGACACCTAGGCACTGTCTCTCCATAAGTCAGTCCAACACAGACAGCCTTCTCCCAGCACTAGAGCAGATGGCTTGCTTCTCACCCAAGCCCGAGATAAAATAGGTGTCTTGTATTTAGAGCCATACCGTAGGAATACTGTGTATCTTCAACACTGGGATCACGTGTTTCCCACAGGCAAGATGCTCATACTAAGAGGCCCTGAAAACCAAGCCCACTAAGATTAAACCAATCTGCATTTTTCATCTCATGCTCAGCATAAAGTGTAAGGTCACTGCATGAAATGACACGTGGAGGCTGGGCACGGTGGCTCACACCTGTAATCCCAGCACTTTGGGAGGCCGAGGTGGGCGGATCACGAGGTCAGGAGATCGAGACCATCCTGGCTAACATGGTGAAACCCCATCTCTACTAAAAAAATACAAAAAATTAGCCGGGTGTGGTGGCGGGTGCCTGTAGTCCCAGCTACTCGGGAGGCTGAGGCAGGAGAATGGCATGAACCCGGGAGGCGGAGCTTGCAGTGAGCGGAGATCACGCCACTGCACTCCGGCCTGGGCGACAGAACAAGACTCCATCTCAAAAACAAAAAAAAAAAAAAGAAATTACATGTGGAGAGGAGTACTCATATGTGTACAATACCCTCAACACAAAGTCATTGGAGTATGTATGGAGCCAAGGCCCCCTTGCAAATACTCCAGGGGACCCTGGCCTCGCATGACTTTGGGTCATTAGTTAACACACAGATAAGTCTGATGCAAGCAACAGAAAAGAGGAGTGTTCATGGACCCAGCACCTGAACACAGTGAGGGAGAATACCAACTGATTTCCCATTTCCTGTGGGAATGTTACCATCTCAATCATCATCGAAAGTATGCATTTAGCCCCCAAATGTGCATGGCCCTGTACATGCATCATACCCAGAAAGAATACAGTACTTTCATCAGTGATATGGCTTGAATATGTCCCCCAAAGTTTATGTGTTGGAAGCTAATCCCCAAAGCAACAGAGTTGAAAGATGGGACCATTAGGAGGTAACTAGGAGGTAACTAGGTTATAAGGGGTCTTCCCTCATAAATGGATTAATGGCCTTATCTCGGGAGTAGATTAGTTATTGTGGGAGTGGGTTCCTGATAAAAAGGATGAGTTCAGCCTTTCCTTCTCAATCTCACTCTCTCTTGCTCTTCTACCATGAAATGACATAGCACAAAGGCCTTCACCAGATGCCAGCACTATGCTCTTCAACTTCCCGGGCTCCAGAACCATGAGCCAAATAAATATCTATTATAAATTACTCAGTTTGTGGTATTATCTTGTAACAATAAAAAATGGACTAAAATGATGAGAAATAAATTCTAAAGCAGTATATATCAGCATCACTCAGAGCCATGTCCTAACTACATAACCTTGGGCAAATCATATGACCTCTGTGTGCAGTGTGTTATGGTTAAATGGGATAACCCAGATGAAACATATAGTAAGTGTTCAATAAAAGAAGACAAGCAGATTAGTCATAGTCTGGGTATAAAATAATTGCATCAAGGCAGCAACAACAAACTAAAAATTATTCTGTAAAATGAAATTGTTTTTGCTATGTATGTTTTTGTTTGCAAAGCAAATACTTCTATAATGTATTAGTTGCTGGTGCTGAGTACCAAATAGGATTTGTTTAATATCAAGATCTTTCCTATCAGCCAGACATTTGTATTTTTTATGATGGAGAAGAAATGTCTTCCTGCATAATAACTAAAGGAAGGTAGCTACTTAGCCATTCTCCCATTCTTGTTATTTCCAAGTGAAAGCTAGTGGGAAACAGAGTACTTTGTTGAAGTGCTTAAATGGAAGCCATTCTAAGTTGGCTAGCTGCTCAGTATAATATAGACATTACAAAATAACATGAGGGCAGGAATCAACCCACCCTTAAGGTCTTTTTAACTGGTAATTGGTTTCCTATCCATCAATCGACCATTCCTTAAGCTTCTGTCTGTTCCAGAGATGACAAATGTGAAGGTGCCTTGTAGAAATTGGAGGAGGCAGGTCCAAGGGGCCACCACATCAGTGGAAAGACGGTGCATTATGAGAGCGATTGGTCTCATTCGCCTTTAGCTCAAAGAAAATGTTCTCCATGGCAACAATGACAGTAGAAAACGTAAGAAATAGCAGTTCCAACAAGCAGAGAAACAGTCTCTAGCCTTTTCAATTCTCAACAATCTCGACTCCTCATACTCTATTTTTCACAATGGGCCAGGTCGCTGGCAGTAGTTAGAGCTGCTGTTGCAGCTGACATAACACTGTCTACTGGTGAGTCATTGGCAAGCTTTACTGGGCAACAAAACTAAGGTTTTCAAAATTTAATGTCTGTTTAGGGCATGCAACTGACTTTTCTAGTATGGAAAGCCTGCTGCTAACTCCATGGCCACAGGTGAGGTCCCAGGCATATAGTGATGACCTACCTTGTTTGGTTCAAGTCAGCATTTCTCAACTTCGGCACTATTCATTCTGCCAGCTCATTCTTTGTGCTCGGAGGCTGTCTACAGGTTTTAGCAACATCCCTGATCTCTACCCACTTGATGCCAGTAACATCGTCTCTTCCCAAATGGAAAAACTGAGAATGTCTCCAGACATTATCAAATGTCCCCTGGAGTACAAAATTACCCCCAGCTGACAACCACTGGCTTAAATGAAGATCCTAGTAGGCCAACCATTGCTGGAGCCAGAATTTTTAAATGTATTTTTTTTCATGTATTTGTTTATTAATTTAACAAATGTTTAGTAAGACCTTACTCAGTGCTAGGTGCTCTTCTAACCATTGGGTATTCACCAGTGAACTAGGTCCCATATGACACAACATGTAAGCAAACACATAAGACGTTTATGGAATTTCAGCAAGACCTGATAGATTTTGGAAAATATGCTTATCAGTAATGGGAGTAAACTTCAATTATTAATTCTTACTATCAAAGTTAATTTGAAGCCACCTACAATAAAAGGCTTATCCTTTAAAAGAAAAGTAAACGGGAGGAGGAGCAGAGCAAGCTGGCTGAATAGAAGTCTCCACCAATCATCCCCCAATTTAACAACTATCTGCACGAAGAAACAACCTTCATGAGAACCAAAAATCAGGTGAATACTCCCAGTTCCTGGTTTTAACTTTATATAGCTGAAAGGAGCAGTGAAGACAGTAGGAAAGAGTCTTAAACTGTCGACATTACCCCCTTTCCCATCTCCTGGTAGTGACCGCATGGCATGAAGAGAGAATCTGAGTCCTTATGAGAGGGTGAGTGCAGCAATTATGAGACATTGCATTGAACTCAGTGCTGCCCCGTCACAGCAGAATGCAAAACCAAGCTGAACTCAGCAGATGCCTGCCCGCAGAGGGAATATTTAAACCAGCCCTAGCCAGAGGGGGATATTCCATCCAGGCAGTAGGAACTTGAGTTCTGGCAAGCCTTTCCACTGAAGACTAAAATGCTCTGAAACTCTAAATAAACTTGAAAGGCAGTCTAGGCCACAAAGATTGAAACTCCTAGGTAAGTCCTTGTGCTGAACTGGTCTCAGAACCAATGGACTTGGGGAGCATGTGACATACTAAGACAACAGCTGGGACAGCTAAGGGAGTGCATGCACTGATCCCCCGCCAAACCGAGGCTGCACAGCTTGCAGCTCCAAAAGAGATTCCTTCCTTCTGCTTGAGGAGAGAAGATGGAAGACTAAAGAAGACATTGACCTGCATCTAGAATGCCAGCTCAGCCACAATACAGCACCAGTTAGTCATGAGGCCCCATTTCCAGGCCTGAGCTCCCAGACAACATTTCTAGACACATGCTGGGCCAGAAGCAGACCAACTGGCCTGAAAGGAAGGATGCAGTCCTCGTAGGACCCATCACCTGCTGACTAAAGAGTCCTTGGGCCCTGAACAACTGGCAGAAATAACCAAGTAGTACACCATGGTCCTTGGGTGAGACTCTGAGGCTTGCTGGCTTCAGGTGAGACTCAGCACATTCTCAGCTACTATGGCTACAGGGAGAGACTCCTTCCGATTGAGAAAAGTAGGGGGAAAAGTAAACAGGACTTTGTTTTTCACCTTAGGTACCTGCTCAGCCACAGAGAAGTAAAGCACCAAGCAGGCTTTCAGGGTCCCTGATTTCAGGCCTTGGCTCTTAGACAACGTCTATGCACCTTCCCTGGGGCAGAGGAGAGACCACTGTCCTGAAGGGTGAGTCCTAGGCCTGCCAACATTCACCATAAGCTGACTGAAGAGCCATTGGACCTTAAGGGTATATTGATGGTGGCCTGGCAATACTCCCCATAGGCCTGTGGGGGTGGTGGCCATGGGATGAGGTTCCTCTGCCTGTGGAAAGGGGAGGAAAGAATGGGAAGGACTGTGTCTCATGGTTTGAGTGCCAGCTCAGCCACAGTACAATAGAACACCAGGTAGATTTCTAAGATTTTGACTCTAATCCCTGAGTCCTGGACAGCATCTCTAGACTGACCTAGTGCCTGGGGGAGCTTGCCACCTTGGCTGGCTTCACCACTTGCTGGATTGTGGAGCCCCAGGGCCTTGAGCAAACACAGGCAGTAGCCAAGCAGTGGTTATAGTGGGCCTTAGGCGAGACCCAGTGTTATGCTGGCTTCAGGTCTAACCCAGCACAGTCCCGGTGGTGGTGGGCACAGAGGTGTTTATATCACCCCACCTCCAGCTCCAGACAGCTCAGAACAGAGAGACTCCATTTGTTTGAGAGAACATAATGGAAAAGAACAAGAGTCTGCCTGGTAATCCAGAGAATTCCTGTGAATCTTATCCAAGACTACCAAGGCAGTACCTCTGTGAGGCTGCAAGAAGCACATCACTATTGGGCTTGGGGTGCCCCCTAATGCAGATATGACTTAGACCACAACACTCAAGTCATTTTGAAAACCTGGAAAGCCTTTCCAAGAAGGATGGGTACAAACAAGCCCAGATAGAGAAGACTACAATAAATACCTAACTCTTCAATACCCAGACAAAAACAAACATAAGCATCCAGACCATCCAAGAAAACATGAACTCAACAAATGAACTAAATAAGACACCAGGAACCTATTTGAAGAAACAGAGATATGTGACCTTTCCAAGAATTCAAAAGTGCTGTGTTGAAGAAACTTAAAGAAATTCAAGATAACACAAAGAAGAAAATCAGAATTCTATCAGATAAATTTAACAAAGAGGTTGAAATAATTGAAAAGAACCAAGCAGAAATTCTAGAGTTGGAAAACGCAATTAACATACTAAAAAATACATCAGAGTTTTTTAATAGCAGAATTGATCAAGCAGCAGAAATAAGTAATGAGGCTGAAGACAGACCATTTGAAAATACACAGTCAGAGGAAACAAAAAGAAAAAGAATAAAAAAGAATGAAGCACACCTATGAGATCTAGAAAAATAGCCCCAAAAGGGCAAATCTAAAATTTATTAACCCTAAAGAGGAGATAGAGAAAGAGACAGGGGTAGAAAGTTTAGTAAAAGGGATAATAACACAAAACATCCCAAACCTAGAGAAAGATACCAATATCCAAATACAAGAAAGTTATAGAATACCAAGCAGTTTAACCCAAAGAAGACTACATCAAGGCATTTAATAATCAAACTTTCAAACATCAAGGATAAACAAAGGATCCTAAAAGTAGTGAGAGAAAATAAATGACATACATCTGGCAACATAGTCCTTCCCATTCTTCCCTCCCCTTCTGAGGCAGAGGAGTCTCATCCCATGGCCATCATCCCACAGAGCTATGGAGAGTATTGCCAAGCCACCACTGGAGCACCCAGGTATGTATGTGTGTATATATAGACAAAAACTGTAAGAGTCAAAGAAGCTGACTATATAATGACAAAGGGATTGATACATCAGAAAGGTATAACAATTTTACATATATGTGCACCCAACACTGGAGCACTCAGATATATAAAGCAAATATTATTAGAGCTAAAGAGAGAGATGCAACCTACAAGGACTGAACCATGAGCCATTCTAAACTCATCCTATGATGCCAGTATTACCCTGCTACCAAAACCGGACAATCAAAAAAAAAAAATTGTAGGCCAATATCACTGATGAATACTGACACAAAAATATTGAACAAAACACTAGAAAACCGACTTCAACAACACATTAAAAAGACTGTTCATTATGACCAAGTGGGATTTATCCTCAGGATGCAAGAATGGTTCAACACATGCAAATCAATTAATCTGATACATCATATCAATGGACTAAAGGACAAAAACCATATGATCATTTCAATTGATGCTGAAAAAGTAGCCGATAAATTCAACAGCCATTCATGATAAAAACCCTCAAAAAACTAGGTATAGAAGGAACATAACACAACATAATAAAAGCCATATATAAAAGACCAATAGTTAATATCATGCTGAATGGGAAAAAACGGAAAGCCTTTTCTCTAAGATCAGGAACACAACAAGGATGCCCACTGTCACCACTGTTATTCAAAATAGTACTGGAAGTTATAGTTAGAGCAACCAGAAGACAAGAGAATGAAATAAAGAGCATCCAAATTGGAAAGGAAGAAGTCAAATATCCTTGTTTGAAGATGATACAATCTTATATTTGGAAAAAACATAAGACTCCACCAAAAAACTATTAGAACTGATCAACATATTTAGTAAAGTTGCAGGATACAAAATCAAGATACAAAAATCAGTAGCACTTATATATCCCAACTGTGAACAATCTGAAAACGAAATCAAGAAAGTAATCCCACTGACAATAGCTACAAATAAAATACCTAGGAATTAACTAAAGGGAAAAATCTCTACAATGAAAACTATAAAATATTGATGCAAGAAATTGAAGAAGACACCAAAAAAAAGATATTCCATTTTCAAGGATTGGAACAATCAATATTGCTTAAATGTCCATACTACCCAATGCAATCTACAGATTTAATGCAGTCCCTATCAAAATAACAATATCAAAATACCATTCTTCACAGAAATAGAAGAAACAATTCTTTTTTTTATTATACTTTTAAGTTTTAGGGTACATGTGCACAATGTGCAGGTTACTTACATATGTATACATGTACCATGCTGGTGCGCTGCACCCACTAACTCGTCATCTAGCATTAGGTATATCTCCCAATGCTATCCCTCCCCCCTCCCCCCACCCCACAACAGGCCCCAGAGTGTGATGTTCCCCTTCCTGTGTCCATGTGTTCTCATTGTTCAATTCCCACCTATGAGTGAGAATATGCGGTGTTTGGTTTTTTGTTCTCGCGATAGTTTACTGAGAATGATGATTTCCAATTTCATCCATGTCCCTACAAAGGACATGAACTGATCATTTTTTATGGCTGCATAGTATTCCATGGTGTATATGTGCCACATTTTCTTAATCCAGTCTATCGTTGTTGGACATTTGGGTTGGTTCCAAGTCTTTGCTATTGTGAATAATGCCGCAATAAACATACGTGTGCATGTGTCTTTATAGCAGCATGATTTATAGTCCTTTGGGTATATACCCAGTAATGGGATGGCTGGGTCAAATGGTGTTTCTAGTTCTAGATCCCTGAGAAATCGCCACACTGACTTCCACAATGGTTGAACTAGTTTACAGTCCCACCAACGGTGTAAAAGTGTTCCTATTTCTCCACATCCTCTCCAGCACCTGTTGTTTCCTGACTTTTTAATGATTGCCATTCTAACTGGTGTGAGATGGTATCTCGTTGTGGTTTTGATTTGCATTTCTCTGATGGCCAGTGATGGTGAGCATTGTTTCATGTGTTTTTTGGCTGCATAAATGTCTTCTTTTGAGAAGTGTCTGTTCATATCCTTCATCCACTTTTTGATGGGGTTGTTTTTTTCCTGTAAATTTGTTTGAGTTCATTGTAGATTCTGGATATTAGCCCTTTGTCAGATGAGTAGGTTGTGAAAATTTTCTCCCATTTTGTAGGTTGCCTGTTCACTCTGATGGTAGTTTCTTTTGCTGTGCAGAAGCTCTTTAGTTTAATTAGATCCCATTTGTCAATTTTGTCTTTTGTTGCCATTGCTTTTGGTGTTTTAGATATGAAGTCCTTGCCCATGCCTACATCCTGAATGGTAAAGCCTAGGTTTTCTTCTAGGGTTTTTATGGTTTTAGGTCTAACATTTAAGTCTTTAATCCATCTTGAATTGATTTTTGTATAAGGTGTAAGGAAGGGATCCAGTTTCAGCTTTCTACATATGGCTAGCCAGTTTTCCCAGCACCATTTATTAAATAGGGAATCCTTTCCCCATTGCTTGTTTTTCTCAGGTTTGTCAAAGATCAGATAGTTGTAGATATGCGGCATTATTTCTGAGGGCTCTGTTCTGTTCCATTGATCTCTCTCTCTGTTTTGGTACCAGTACCATGCTGTTTTGGTTACTGTAGCCTTGTAGTATAGTTTGAAGTCAGGTACTGTGATGCCTCCGCCTTTGTTCTTTTGGCTTAGGATTGACTTGGCTATATGGGCTCTTTTTTGATTCCATATGAACTTTAAAGTAGTTTTTCCAATTCTGTGAAGAAAGTCATTGGTAGCTTGATGGGGATGGCATTGAATCTGTAAATTACCTTGGGCAGTATGGCCATTTTCACAATATTGATTCTTCCTACCCATGAGCATGGAATGTTCTTCCATTTGTTTGTATCCTCTTTTATTTCCTTCAGCAGTGGTTTGTAGCTCTGCTTGAAGAGGTCCTTCACATCCCTTGTAAGTTGGATTCCTAGGTATTTTATTCTCTTTGAAGCAATTGTGAATGGGAGTTCACTCATGATTTGGCTCTCTGTTTGTCTGTTATTGGTGTATAAGAATGCTTGTGATTTTTGTACATTGATTTTGTATCCTGAGACTTTGCTGAAGTTGCTTATCAGCTTAAGGAGATTTTGGGCTGAGACAATGGGGTTTTCTAGATATACAATCATGTCATCTGCAAACAGGGATAATTTGACTTCCTCTTTTCCTAATTGAATACCCTTTATTTCCTTCTCCTGCCTAATTGCCCTGGCCAGAACTTCCAACACTATGTTGAATAGGAGTGGTGAGAGGGGGCATTCCTGTCTTGTGCCAGTTTTCAAAGGGAATGCTTCCAGTTTTTGCCCATTCAGTATGATATTGGCTGTGGGTTTGTCATAGATAGCTCTTACTATTTTGAAATACGTCCCATCAATACCTAATTTATTGAGAGTTTTTAGCATGAAAGGTTGTTGAATTTTGTCAAGGGCCTTTTCTGCCTCTATTGAGATAATCATGTGGTTTTTGTCTTTGGTTCTGTTTATATGCTGGATTACATTTATTGATTTAGGTATATTGAACCAGCCTTGCATCCCAGGGATGAAGCCCACTTGATCATGGTGGATAAGCTTTTTGATGTGCTGCTGGATTCGGTTTGCCAGTATTTTATTGAGGATTTTTGCATCAATGTTCATCGCGGATATTGGTCTAAAATTCTCTTTTTTGGTTGTGTCTCTGCCCGGCTTTGGTATCAGGATGATGCTGGCCTCATAAAATGAGTTAGGGAGGAATCCCTCTTTTTCTATTGATTGGAATAGTTTCAGAAGGAATGGTACCAGTTCCTCCTTGTACCTCTGGTAGAATTCGGCTGTGAATCCATCTGGTCCTGGACTCTTTTTGGTTGGTAAGCTATTGATTATTGCCACAATTTCAGATCCTGTTATTGGTCTATTCAGAGATTCAACTTCTTCCTGGTTTAGTCTTGGGAGAGTGTATGTGTCGAGGAATTTATCCATTTCTTCTAGATTTTCTAGTTTATTTGCGTAGAGGTGTTTGTAGTATTCTCTGATGGTAGTTTGTATTTCTGTGGGATCAGTGGTGATAACCCCTTTATCATTTTTTATTTCGTCTATTTGGTTCTTCTTTTTTTCTTTATTAGTCTTGCTAGCGGTCTATTAATTTTGTTGATCCTTTCAAAAAACCAGCTCCTGGATTCATTAATTTTTTGAAAGATTTTTTGTGTCTCTATTTCCTTCAGTTCTGCTCTGATTTTAGTTATTTCTTGCCTTCTGCTAGCTTTTGAATATGTTTGCTCTTGCTTTTCTAGTTCTTTTAATTGTGATGGTAGGGTGTCAATTTTGGATCTTTCCTGCTTTCTCTTGTGGGCATTTAGTGCTATAAATTTCCCTCCACACACTGCTTTGAATGTGTCCCAGAGACTCTGGTATGTTGTGTCTTTGTTCTCGTTGGTTTCAAAGAACATCTTTATTTCTGCCTTCATTTCATTATGTACTCAGTAGTCATTCAGGAGCAGGTTGTTTGGTTTCCATGTAGTTGAGCGGTTTTGAGTGAGATTCTTAATCCTGAGTTCTGGTTTGATTGCACTGTGGTCTGAGAGATAGTTTGTTATAATTTCTGTTCTTTTACATTTGCTGAGGAGAGCTTTACTTCCAACTATGTGGTCAATTTTGGAATAGGTGTGGTGTGGTGCTGAAAAAAATGTATATTCTGTTGATTTGGGGTGGAGAGTTCTGTAGATGTCTATTAGGTCCGCTTGGTGCAGAGCTGAGTTCAATTCCTGGGTATCCTTGTTGACTTTCTGTCTCGTTGATCTGTCTGATGTTGACAGTGGGGTGTTAAAATCTCCCATTATTAATGTGTGGGAGTCTAAGTCTCTTTGTAGGTCACTCAGGACTTGCTTTATGAATCTGGGTGCTCCTGTATTGGGTACATATATTTTTAGGATAGTTAGCTCTTCTTGTTGAATTGATCCCTTTACCATGATGTAATGGCCTTCTTTGTCTCTTTTGATCTTTGTTGGTTTAAAGTCTGTTTTATCAGAGACTAGGATTGCAACCCCTGCCTTTTTTTGTTTTCCATTTGCTTGGTAGATCTTCCTCCATCCTTTTATTTTGAGCCTATGTGTGTCTCTGCACATGAGATGGGTTTCCTGAATACAGCACACTGATGGGTCTTGACTCTTTATCCAATTTGCCAGTCTGTGTCTTTTAATTGGAGCATTTAGTCCATTTACATTTAAAGTTAATATTGTTATGTGTGAATTTGATCCTGTCATGATGATGTTAGCTGGTTATTTTGCTCGTTAGTTGATGCAGTTTCTTCCTAGTCTCAATGGTCTTTACATTTTGGCATGATTTTGCAGTGGCTGGTACCAGTTGTTCCTTTCCATGTTTAGCACTTCCTTCAGGAGCTCTTTTAGGGCAGGCCTGGTGGTGACAAAATCTCTCAGCATTTGCTTGTCTGTAAAGTAGTTTATTTCTCCTTCACTTATGAAGCTTAGTTTGGCTGGATATGAAATTCGGGGTGGAAAATTCTTTTCTTTAAGAATGTTGAATATTGGCCCCCACTCTCTTCTGGTTTGTAGAGTTTCTGCCGAGATATCCGCTGTTAGTCTGATGGGCTTCCCTTTGAGGGTAACATGACCTTTCTCTCTGGCTGCCCTTAACATTTTTTCCTTCATTTCAACTTCGGTGAATCTGACAATTATGTGTCTTGGAGTTGCTCTTCTCAAGGAGTATCTTTGTGGCGTTCTCTGTATTTCCTGAATCTGAATGTTGGCCTGCCTTGCTGGATTGGGGAAGTTCCCCTGGATAATATCCTGCAGAGTGTTTTCCAACTTGGTTCCATTCTCCCCGTCACTTTCAGGTACACCAGTCAGACATAGATTTGGTCTTTTCACATCGTCCCATATTTCTTGGGAGGCTTTGCTCGTTTCTTTTTATTTTTTTCTCTAAACTTCCCTTCTCGCTTCATTTCATTCATTTCATCTTCCATCGCTGATACCCTTTCTTCCAGTTGATCGCATCAGCTCCTGAGGCTTCTGCATTCTTTATGTAGTTCTCAAGCCTTGGTTTTCAGCTCCATCAGCTCCTTTAAGCACTTCTCTGTATTGGTTATTCTAGTTATACATTCTTCTAAATTTTTTTCAAAGTTTTCAACTTCTTTGCCCTTGGTTTGAATGTCCTCCCGTAGGTCAGAGTAATTTGATCATCTGAAGCCTTCTTCTCTCAGCTCGTCAAAGTCATTCTCCGTCCAGCTTTGTTCTGTTGCTGGTGAGGAACTGCGTTCCTTTGGAGGAGGAGAGGTGCTCTGCCTTTTAGAGTTTCCAGTTTTTCTGCTCTGTTTTTTCCCAATCTTTGTGGTTTTATCTACTTTTGGTCTTTGATGATGGTGATGTACAGATGGGTTTTTGGTGTGGATGTCCTTTCTGTTTGTTAGTTTTCCTTCTAACAGACAGGACCCTCAGCTGCAGGTCTGTTGGAGTACCCGGCCATGTGAGATGTCAGTCTGCCCCTGCTTGGGGGGTGCCTCCCAGTTAGGCTGCTCGGGGTTCAGGGGTCAGGGACCCACTTGAGGAGGCAGTCTGCCCGTTCTCAGATCTCCAGCTGCGTGCTGGGAGAACCACTGCTCTCTTCAAAGCTGTCAGACAGGGACATTTAAGTCTGCAGAGATTACTGCTGTCTTTTTGTTTGTCTGTGCCCTGCCCCCAGAGGTGGAGCCTACAGAGGCAGGCAGGCCTCCTTGAGCTGTGGTGGGCTCCACCCAGTTCGAGCTTCCCGGCTGCTTTGTTTACCTAAGCAAGCCTGGGCAATGGCGGGCGCCCCTCTCCCAGCCTCACTGCCGCTTTGCTGTTTGATCTCAGACTGCTGTGCTAGCAATCAGCGAGACTCCGTGGGCGTAGGACCCTCCGATCCAGGTGCGGGATATAATCTCCTGGTGTGCCGTTTTTTAAGCCCATCGGAAAAGCGCAGTATTCGGGTGGGAGTGACCCGATTTTCCAGGTGCCGTCTGTCACCCCTTTCTTTGACTAGGAAAGGGAACTCCCTGATCCCTTGCGCTTCCCGAGTGAGGCAATGCCTCGCCCTGCTTCGGCTGGCACACGGTGCGAGCACCCCCTGACCTGCGCCCACTGTCTGGCACTCCCTAGTGAGATGAACCCGGTACCTCAGATGGAAATGCAGAAATCACCTGTCTTCTGCATTGCTCACGCTGGGAGCTGTAGACCGGAGCTGTTTCTATTCAGACATCTTGGCTCTTCCCCCCTAGAAGAAACAATTCTAAACTTCATATGGAACCACAAAAGACCCTGAATAGCCAAGGCTATCCTAAACAAAAAGAACAAAACTGGAGGAATCACATTACTTGACTTTAAAATATACTACAGAGTTATAGTAGCCAAAACAGTACAGTACTGGCATAAAAATAGACACATAGATCAGTGGAACAGAGAACCCAGAGATAAATAGATACATCTATGATGAGCTCATTTTTGACAAACATGCCAAGAGCATACACTGGGAAAAAAAGTCTCTTCAATAAATGATGCAGGGAAAACTGGATATCCATATGCAGAAGAATGAAACTAGACCCCTATCTCTAAAAATATACAAAAATCAAATCAAGAAGAATTACAGACTTAAATATAAGACCTAAAACTATGATACTACTAAAAGAAAACATTAGGGAAACTCTCCAGGACATTGGACTGGGCAAAGATTTCTTGAGTAATATCCCACAAGCACAGGCAACCAAAGCAAAAAGGGACAAATAGGATCACATCAAATTAAAAGGCTTCTGCATAGCAAAGGAAACAATCAACAAAGTGAATAGAAAACCCACAGAATGAGATAAAATATTTCAAACTACCCATTTCACAAGGGATTAATAAGCAGATTATATAAGGCACTCAAACAACTCTACAGGAAAAAAAAATCTAATAATTTGATTAAAAATGGGCAAAAGATCTGAATAGACATTTCTCAAAAGAAGACATACAAATGGCAAGTAGGTATATGAAAAGGTGCTCAACATTATTGATCATCAGAGAAATGCAAATCAAAACTACAATGAGGTATCATCTCACCTCTGCTAAAATGGCTTTTCTCCAAAAGTCAGGCAATAACAAATGCTGGTGAGGATGTTGAGAAAAAGGAACCCTCGTACATTGTAGATGGGAATATAAACTAGTACAATCACAAAGGAAAAGAGTTTGAAGGTTTCTCAAAAAAACTAAAAATAGAGCTACTATATGATTCAGCAATCCCACTCCTAGGTATATACTGAAAAGAAAGGAAATCTGTATATCAAAGTGATATCTGCACTCCGGTGTTTGTTGCAGATCTAGTCACAATAGTCAAGGTTTGGAGGCAACCTATATTCATCAACAGATGAATGGATAAAAAAAAATGTTACACATACACAATGGAGTACTATTCAGCCATAAAAAGAACAAGATCCTGTCATTTGTAACAACATGGATGAAACTGGAGGCCATTATGTTAAGTGAAATAAGCCAGGCACAGAAAGTCATACTTCACATATTCTCACTTACTTATGGGAGCTAAAAATTAAAACAATTTAACTCATGGAGATAGAGAGTAGAAGGATGGTTACCAGAGGCTGGGAAGGGTAGTCAAGAGGAGAGGTGGAGGGGTAGGGAGTGGGGATGGATAATGGGTACAAAAAGAATAGCTAGAAAGGGTGAGTAAGATCTAGCACAACAGGGTGATTATAGTAAAAAAATAATTTAATTGCACATTTAAAAATAACTAAAAGAGTAAAATTGAATTGTTTGTAACACAAAGGATAAATGCTGGAGGTGATGGGTACCCCATTTACCCTGCTGTGACCATTATGCATTGCATGCCTGTATCAAAATAGCTCATGGACCCCATAAATATACACACCTACTATGTATGCACAAAAATTAAAAATTAAAAAAAGTAAGTGGATCAAAACCAAATAAGTACGTGGGCATATTTTAGAATGTGAGAAATAAATAAATAAATTTCACTGTTTTTTTTCCATTTGCAAAAACAAAATCAGCTACATGTAAATAAAAACAAATCAAATTATAGCAAATTTTAATTGCGATTAATCATGTATTGAGCCTCTACTAGGTGCTCAACAATGATCTAGCTCTGGAGATGAAGCAGTGAGTAAAACATACAAAAAACAGGCTCTTGTACATCTGGAGCTTATAGTCTACTGGAAAAGACAGAAAATAAGATTAAGAAAAATGTACAGTATGATTTATAATGTAAACTTCGAAGAAAATATAAGTACCTCCTTGGAAAGGGCGAAATCATGAGAGGTGGATAAGAGTTAAAATGTTGCATAGGGAAGCCAGGGAGGCCTCACCAAGGGGTGCCACTGGAATAAAGATCTGAAGGAAGTGAGGAAGAAAGCTGTGCAAATGTTTTGGGGGATGAGCATTCCATGCAGGGAGAACAGCATTTGTGAATGCCCTGAGGGAGGATCATGTTTTGTATTGCTGGACTCAGTAAACACCAGAGTAGCTGGAGGTAAATTCAGAGAGGTGGTGTCTTAGTCCACCTGTGCTGCTTGAGACTGGGTGATTTTTAATAAACAAATTTATTGACTCACAGTTCTGGAGGCTGGGAAGTCCAAGCTTAAGGCCTTGATATCTGGCGAGGGCCTTCTTGCTGCATCCTCCCAGGAAGGAAGGTAGAAGGGCAAAGAGGCAAAAGAAAGTCAAACTTGCTCTTTTGTAACAGCATTAATCCTACCCCTGAGGGCAGAGCCCTTGGCCCTATCACATCCCAAAGGTTCCACCTCCTGCCACCACCATGTTGCCAAGCAAATTTCAACCTAAGTTTTGAAGGGTACAAACATTTAAACCACAGCAGTTGGCAAAGGGCCAGGCCATTGTGAAGATATTGGCTTCGACTCAGAGTGAGGTGAAAGCCCTTGAAGATTCTCAGCAGATGGGCAGGAACTGGCTTGGGTGTTAACAGAGCCACTCTGGCTGATGTGATGAACATCAACTGGGGTAGGAGACATAAGCCAGAGGCCACTTAGGAGGCAATTATAATACCCAGGAATGAGGCCCCAGTGCATTGGACTCCAGGGGAGCCTGAAGTGGTGAGGAGCAGCTGTGCCACACTCCCTGGGCTGTCTTTCCTCATTCTGCTGCTTCTTGGGCACTTTTGAGGGATCCTTTTCAGGCTCTGACTCCAAATGTTGAGGTATCCAGATTCAGTCCTTGGTCTCTTCTCTTTGCTAAAGACACTTACTCCTTGGTGATCTCATCCCATCTTTGTATCTTCAGCTAGACTTTCCCCAGGGTCACATACACAACTGCCTGCTCAACCTCACCCCTGGGATATCTTAACCTTAACTCACTCAAGGTAACTTACTCCGGGGAAACCAACAACACCTGCTCCCACATCTCAGCCAGTGCACACTTCACTCTTCTGGCTACTTGCTCCTTCTCTCACGACCACTTCTGATCTGTCAGTACATCCTATTGGCACCACCTTAAAAATACAACCAGAAAATCCATTAGAAAGGAAACATTCCCAGAAATCCCATCCCTGTTAGTTCACAGTTAACACTGGTACCAACTCCCCCTAAATAAAGTTTGTATAGATAATCATTGACACAAATGGGCTCAGGAGACACATACAGGGGCCTTGACGTCTCAGTAAGATTCAGGCTTTTGTTTATTCTCTTTGTGCTGGGGGCAGGGTATTCCATTCCTGAGTAGTTATTTTTTCCCTTTTTAAAAAAATTTTCTTGCTTCTAGAGGTGAAAACCTGAGTGTTTTTATTCCTTTTTCACTCCTCACAATGTCAACCCTGGACACACACTAGTAGATATGGGATGACCGTACTTGCACTCATAATTCTCTGTCTCACTTCTCCAAATCCCCACTTGAACTAAATCATGACTGGATAGCTGTGAACTCTGGCATCCAGGAATATGACAAGTCCTTGGGAGCTGCCACTGATTCCAGCAGGAACAACAGATTCCTTTAACTTTAAGGGAGGTGTGAAGAGTGTAGCCAAGATGTGAAAGCCAAAGGTGATAGCCTTTAAACGCAGTTTAAGCCTCTTTATCCCCTGAGCCAATGGCTTCAAAGAGAGGCTTCCAGAGAAGACCACAAAATTATTAAGAGGAAAATCCTTATGTCTTTGTCAAAAGTTTTAGAAAGAAAAGGTAAGTGTATATGGGGTGGACATGTACATATATATTACAGCATATCTAGTAATGACTCAGCCTTCTCCAGCCTGCACGATGACTCTGTAATAGGGAGCGACTGAGTGGTGCCTTCCCTTGATTGTCAGAAGTGGTGCCATCATCTCTCCTGTAGCTGGATTCGGTTCCTAGTTGGCCGGTCAGTCTTCAGATGTTCAAGGCGGGACGATTGCACACCAGACCCTGTGGAGGGTGCTGGATATACAGCATCCAAGTAGCCTGGCAGGGTGTCTCTGCCCTTCCCCAAGCTTCCATCTGGCCATGATTTCTGAGCCATGGCTCCATTATTTGGGGCCACATCATTCTTTGTTGTGGGAGTGTCCTGTGCATTGTCGGAGGTTTCACAGCATCCCTGACCTTTACCCACTAGATGCCAGTAGCACACCTCGGTCATGACAATAGAGAAAAAGTCTGCGAACATTGCCAAATGTCCCCTGGGCGGAGGCGGGTGTGGGGGTGGGGGGACAAAACTGCACTAGTTAAGAATTGCTAGTTTAGCCCAGTGGAATCAAGAGTCCTGTTTTTGTAATTCTCATGGTGATTCTAATGGCGACCAGACCAGGCATCACTGCTCCAATCCACTGAATAAGTGTATACATTTTCTAGTTGGGGTCTTCTGGTCAGGAGGGGAGGGTATTGTTTGCCTTTGGCTTTCTTTCTGCTCTAGGGACTTCCTTCCATGGTGCAGTGGTCAATAAATGTGAAGTCAAGCGCAAGGGAAAGACAGCATTCTGCAGCCCCTCCTTCCGGACTGTTCTCTGCTGGCTCATTTGTGCAAACTTGAATATTGTTTGTTTTTAAGGTTCCACCATCTCTCTGAGTTCTTTTCTTGCAGGCATTCATCCTTGTCAAATCAAACGGTCAAAGTTCACATTCATGCCACAGGACTTGTCAGGGCTCCAAACAGGCACTTTCTCAAAGTATTTTTGCCCAAGGAACCATCTCGTGTATCACCTCTTGTTGATCTATTTCACAAGTTTGAGAACGCTGAAGTCACTTCTGCAAAGAACAAAGTAAATGCCCACCAAATAATAGATGCTATATTGCTATTATCATCATGATTATCAGTATGTAGCAAGAATAAAAGCATAAAATAAAAATATTTAGGTCACGAACTCTTACAGACATCATTGCATTTTAGAGAAGCCGTTTGGTACTGAGGATCCTCTGTGTGCCTTTGGGGCCAAGGAAATCAACCGTATTCCTTCAAATATCAAGGAAATACACGCTTTGTAGAATAATAGTTCATAGTAGCCTCACGAAGAGTTTGCCATAGTTGCTTATTCCAGGGGACACATTTGCAGGGTGACAAGTGGCACCCTCCCCAGTCTCTGACAATTAATATCTGTGCTTGGATGTTTTCTTAGAAGTACCCCAGGATTATATTGCTAGCATTGAGGACCTAAATCAGAGAGAATTGCTATTTCTAAAAGTCATGGAGGGAGGCTGAAGTGGGAGGATCACTTGATCCCAGGATGCAGAGGTTGCAGTAAGCCACTGCACTCCACACTCCCGCCTGAGTGACAGAGCCAGACCCAATCTCAAAAAAAAAAAAAAAAAAAAGTCATGAAAACTTTTACCTGTAAACTCCCCAGCTGAAAGAAATGTGTGTGTTTTTTTAATGTAGTTGGAAAGCCCTTTAAACTCATTTTAATGGTATCAGGAGAATTAGAGCTTTGCTGTTAAGGATTTGATGATCAAAGGCAGGCAGCCTTGATTGGCATTTATCTTTTGCTGTGCAGCTGCTTCAGGCTTTTTGATGTTCTCTTGTCACCAAATGGGCAGGACGGAAGAAAAGAACCTTTTTTATGGTGAGGACCCCCCCACACACATGCCAGCAGTACAAAGGTGGGCTTGGTTAGTGCGTTAACGCAATGATGCTGATTTTCCTATTTGCTTTAGTGTTCAAAAGATGCAAAAGCTCCTAGGGCCATTAAGATGGCATGTGATCTTATGTCAAGGGGAATGGCAATGGCCTGAGACCCTGGGACTCTCTTGCCATCACTGCCATTTCAGCAGACAAATGGATTTCCAATATTCTCCTGGCCAGACTATTTCAAGATTGCCAATAAATAAATAATGAAGGAATCTGGGATGGGGGTAGAAAGAGTCACCTACCCAGTGATTGAAGGAAACAACTGAAAAGCTTTTTTAAATATAAATCAACATTATGTAATAATAAGTGATGGTATTTGGTTGATACTTTTATCATTTTTATAATCTAAAGCCTTACACACGTTATCACATATGACTGTCATAACACTCCTGGGAAAATATAGATAGGATCGAAGGTAGTTTATATTAACCCCATTTAAACCCAGAGGTTAAGTAGCTCCTTTACAATCTTAACACTCTTCACCACTAAGTGATATTGTCATTCTTTCCCTCCACTGAAGAAGGGAGCTAACTCCCACTGTTTCTCAGTCCTTACTATATGTTGGGCTGGTATTAGTGCTTTGCATATATTATCTTGTTGAACGCAGTAAGAACTCTGTGAGGTGGGTAGGAAGTGTTCCTCTCTTACAGATATGGGGACAGTATTGGATAAGTTAGACTGATATGCCCAAGGTCACCCAGCTAGTGAGTGACAGACAGGGATATGACCTAGCTTTGCAGACTCAGGAGCTTCTGTTCAGTCCAGTCTACTTTGCACTGCTGTGATGGCTAAGTCCTAGGCAGTGATCTCTTTGAAGGCAAAGACTGCCTAACTCACCTCTGCTTCCTCAGTGCCTAGCACAGGCCCTGGTACAGAATAGGCCCTACTGGGGCTGAAGGATGGAAGGAGAGAGAGAGGGAGAGAATAAGGGGGAAAAGAAGGAAGGAGAGGAGAGAGAATGAGATGGAGGAGAGAAGAAAAAAGAGGGAGTAAAAGAAAAGGAAGAAAAGAGGCAGGGAGAGAAAAGGAAGAGAAGGCAGGTGGTCTGCTTTAGCTGTTTCTACATATCACCTCGAATGAAACAAGAAAGAAGTCTGTGTTGATGTTGTCACTGTTTATTGTTATTTTACTAATGTACTACCTATAACATTCTGCTTTCCACCTCCACTTTTTTTTAAGTGCTTGGAATAGTCATGTCCTGGTAGGAAGAGATGGATTTAGGGTCTACTTAAAAAGGCGTAGGTGCATTCTGTCCTTGGCTGGGGCTCTTACCACCGCCAGGGCAGAAGGTAGACGTGGACCAGTGGCTCCTGGAATCACGGAGAGGGCTGTGGCTGTGGCTGGTGGGAGCTGCAGCTCCTGTGGAGGAACATAGCTACTAACTGGCTGTTGCAAAAGGCAGGCAGGGGACTAATTTACTTACCCCGACACCTCCTCTCTGATTTTCAGTCCCCTGCTGGTGCCCTTCAGTGATCAAACCCAACAGCAAGCTGTAAGACTAGGGTATCCTTGATCCAGAAATGTCAGCCTCCCAGGGAAAGATGCAGCACGGACTTGGCGGGGCAACAAGACTCGCGCTGAGTTAGAAGACGGATACTAGTGAAGACATTTAACGTGAACAGCAGGGGGCACCAAACAGGAGTGGCACTGACCAATCAGAGCAGTGCCAGCCATAATAACCCCACAGTTCTTGTACCTTTTTAAGACTTAAAGTGGGGCTAGGTGGCTCATGCCTGTAATCCCAGCACTTTGGGAGGCCGAGGCAGGTAGATCACGAGGTCAGACGCTCGAGACCAGCCTGACCACCATGGTAAAACCCCCATCTCTACAAAAAATACAAAAATTAGCCTGGCATAGTGGCGCGCCCCTGTAATCCCAGCCACTCAGGAGGCTGAGGCAAGAGAATCGCTTGAACCCGGGAGGCAAAGGTTGCAGTGAGCCGAGACCGCACCACTGCTCTCCAGCCTGAGCGACAAGAGCAAGACTCCGTCTCAAAAAAAAAAAAAAAACTGCAACAAATAAAGCAAAACAAGAAAAAACTTAGGTCTTACACTGGTCTGCACTGAATGTGGGCCTTAGAAAAGATATCTACAAACAAAAGATATCTGTATGTCTCTAGGGGGATCTGCAGGAATGTACACACAGTTTCTCTAGTTCAGCCACACCAGCTATGGCTCAGCTAGGGCAAACCCAAGTCCCTGCCAGCCAAAGACTATGACCCGTGGCTTAGACATACAGGTTCCAAAAAATGATGGGGAAATGCCCTTTACCAAAGGCCAATATCTAACTCCTTTTCTAACTTGTGAAAATTCTGGAGCATTGGCAATGCCCACCCGTCAGACTCACTCCCCTAACACGTGAGAATTTTCCAAACTATTTTGACAGATGAAATTGCAGATAATTAGCTTGGCTCTGCCAACTTGAAATTACTGGGGATGATTTCTGTGGCTGTGTACTCGAGTTTCTGGAAGATAATCTAAAATTGAGAAGCAGGCCAGTGTTATCCTCATCTTACCCCTCCATCACTTCGTTACAAGTGTGGAAGAAAACTCTGGGCTGGTCATAAACATCTACAATAAATGCAGGGGAATAAGCCACTCAATTTAAGCCATGCAGCCTGGATCTGTTTTTAGCTGTGAGATTGAAAAAGTCCTGTCACCTAAATGCCTTTTCTCTAATGTCAGCCATCTTTTTAAGACAGATTCCATTTTCTCTGCTCTATGAGTTTTTTTTTTTTACTTAGAACAAGATTGGCAACTGAAAAATAAAGTGAGATCTATAGAAAGTTTATGTCTCCATCTCTATTCCTACCTACTTCTCCTTCAGTGATGTCCATGACTTTGGATTTTGAAAGTTTGTTTCTCCCATTTTTCTAGAGGCTACAGTCAATGTATCTTTGTAAGACTGAAATAGGATTGCAGTAATAGCCCCACTTCCTCTCTCTCTGTAGCTATAGTCTTTAGCAGGTGACTTCAGAGTTCCTCCCATACAGGTGATGTATATTTTCTCTCCCTATGTGTCTTCATCATCTCAGGCTGCCAGAACAAAATACTACAAACTGGGTGGCTTGAACAATGGAAGTTTCTCACAGTTTTGGAGACTGGAAGTCCAAGATCAGGGCACCAGCATGGTCAAATTCTGGTGAAGTTCCTCTTCCTGGCTTGTAGATGGCCTCCTTCTCATTGTGTCCTCATATGGTGCAGAGAGAGAGAATTTTGTCTCTTCTTTTTCATGTAAGGACACCATTAGCATCTTGGGAGTTTCACCCCCATTTACCCCCATTTCACCCCACTTCCAAACATGACATTGAGTGTTAGGGATTCAACATGTACGTTTTAAGTGACACAAACAGCTCAGAACATCATGCAACTCACTCTGACCAATAGAATAAGGCAGAAGCGCTGGGGGCGGTGGTTCATGCCTGTAATCCCAACAGTTTGGGAGGCCGAGGCGGGCGGATCACCTGAGGTCAGGAGTTTGAGACCAGCCTGGCCAATATGGTGAAACCCCATCTCTACTAAAAATACAAAAAAAAATTAGCTGGGCGTGGTGGCAGGTGCCTGTAATCCCAGATACTTGGGAGGCTGAGATAGGAGAATCACTTGAATCTGGGAGCTGGAGGTTGCCATGAGCCGAGATCTCACCATTGCAGTCCAGCCTGGGCAACAAGAACAAAACTCCATCTCAAAAAAAAAAAAAAAAAAAAAGGCAGAAGGAAGGATGTGCCTGTTCTGAGATAAGGCTTCACGAGTCCTTGCCTGATTCCTCCTGCATTGCAGAATAAGAGACATATGGAGCCAAAATACCTCAGTTAAGGTGGCCTAGCCCTTTCCAGAACAAAGTTCCCGATTGACTCATAGATGCACAAGTGAGTCTAGCCAAGATAAGTCAAGCCCAGCCTATAGCTGCTCGCTCCCTAGCCTACTAAAATGCCTGTGTTACAGTAATATATAAAACTAATATAGTCATGAGTTAAATGATTCTGGTTTTATGCTGCTGAGTTTTGAGTTAGTTGGTTATGCAACAATAGCTAACTGATAAAGTATGGCTACCGAATAGTCACTATTATTCATACTCTTTTCCTACAAACGAAGTTAGATATAGTGATTAAAAGTGTGGAGTAGATCAGGTCTTCTTGAATTTGAATCCTGGCTCCGCCACTTACTATCTGTGATTTTGGGCAAGGCACCTCAATTTCCTTATCTGTACAAATGAATATAACAACAGTATCACATAGGGAAATTGTGAGGATCGAATGGGTTAATGCATATAATGCACCTGAAACAGTGCCTGGTACACAGCAAGCACTGTAGAAGTGTTTGCTATTATCCCTTTTAAAGGGCTTGAGACTTGGCGAGAGCAGGCTGCAGGTGAGGTTGGTTGATGCCCAGGTGGGATCAGGTCCACTGCTCAATGACAGGTTCTAAGCTCGTGTCTTCAGCAGGAGATGGGCTCACTTTTCCCAGAAGAGGAAACGTAATCAAGACTGCTTTAGAATTCTCTGAGATGACTCTTTTCTATCTTCTCTGAGAAATAAGCATTAGCATGTTAAGGGCATTATGCTTTTCTCCTACACGGAACTGATGGGAGAGAGAATGGCTATCAACAACCCAGAAGACTCCAGACCACGTGGTCAAGCACTCTGAAGGGTGCAGGACCCCGTTGTGTTTCCTCCTTTTCCTCCCCACATCCAGGCACTCAGTGTTCTCACTCTGTGACTTTCGGATTACTCGGGGGTTTTCTTTCTGGAAGTGTTGGGGCTGCCTCAACTGCCACCGATCCCCTGAATCTCCCCATTCCCCCCTCCACTCATGGCACTTGCCATCCCTGGACAAAGAAATTTTGGAGGGGGGGATTTTGTTTGTTTTGAGACAGAGTCTCACTCTGTCACCCAGGCTAGAGTGCAGTGGCGCAATCACAGCTCACTGCAGCCTCGATCTCCTGAGCTCAAGCGATCCTCCCACCTCAGCCTCCTGCCATGCCTGGCTAGTTTATTTATTTATTTATATTTATTTATTTTTAGTGGAGATGAGGTCTCACTATGTTGCGCAGGCTGGTCTCAAACTCCTGAGGTCAAGTGATCCTCCCGCCTCAGCCTCCCAGAATGCTGGGATTATAAGCATGGGCCACCGCACTCAACCCAAAGATGTTTTGATAACAGCTAATTTGTTGATAAATTACTGCTCCTAAATAATCTATTTGCTGCTTACCAACTACATGTCTTAGGTAGTAGTGTTCTATCAACAAAAAGTGAGTTTAATGATGGAAAGTCTAGATACCTTGATAGTCATTGGTAAAGGTAATTTAAGGGCAAAAAAGACATCTAGGACTCTCTCAGTAACAGGCAAGCAGCCAGCCACCCATTAGGACCAATCCCAAGCTTTGAGATGGGCTCACGAGTCACCTGGGGGCGTGTACTGGGTTTAGTCACGTAACCATCTCAAAACTCTCTGTCCTGGGTCACAGCTGGAGACATCCACGTTGCTAAGGGGTGGTGGCCTGTGTGACCCTCTTTTTCACACCTTGGAATCTTCCCACATGCTGCTCTGCTCTGAGATCAAAACCCCTACCTGTGCTTCAAAGCCGTCGTGCTCGATGCCATCTCTCAGGAAGGCTTCCCCGAGGCTCTACTCATCAATTACCTCTTCCCTCCCCATACCCTTTTGCTAGTGACTCTCTCCTGTCTCCAACTGGACCATGAACTCCTTGAAGATGGCATTTATACCCTGTTCATCTCATCATTTCCCACATGACTTAACGGAGTGACTTTTGTGTATCAAGCTCTCAGTAAGTAATTGGTGAATTAAAATAAAAAAAGAAGGAATGATTTCACAGTCATTTCATCCAGTCAGGGGTTAATGCCCACACTCCTACCCAAGCATGTAATGATCCCCAAGCCCAGTGATCTCGTAAGCTCCGGTGACCACTGGACATACTGAACCACTTCTATCCTCCAGGGATACCCAGGACAGGGACGGAATGTTTAGGGAGCTCCATTTGTTCACATGTCTTTCTTTGATGCCAGCTCAGGCAGTATTTGTCCTGAGAGAATCACAAAGGAAGAAATCTCAACATCTCTAAGAGCAATGTGAGAACAACCTGGCCAGGAGAAGTGCCATCATCATGAATTTAAAGCTTTATGGCACTTCTCGAATTTTTCAACTCTCATAAATCATAAAATTGTAGGACTAGAAAGACACTTGGAAATCATCCTGTCCAGTCTGCCATGAAAATATGCATTCCTTGGGAGGTGCTTTCTCTCACAGCACATTCATTGTGCAGATGTGTGGTCCAAGGTCACAGAACTGGTAGCAGATCTGGGATCAGAACCCAGCACTCCAGCTCTTACCCAGCATCCACTCAGCAGCCCACACTGAGCTGATATGGCAAAGAATGAATGGGTTACTGTCTCCAGGCTATGCCAGGGACTGCAACAGGTGCTGTAATTACTTGTCTTTAGAGTAATAAGCCTCTGTAATAAGTATGTAATGTGGAAGCTTTATTCAGCCCATCAACCCTCAATAACCATTGTTGCCTAGCTGTACTCTCCCAGGCCCGGCCCCTGCTGCATTGCCCATCACTTGGGATCTTAAGTAACAGCACTTCTTGTAGAAGAACAAGGCCCTGCCAGATGTGACTAGATCACAAGAATTAGCATTGAACACTGGTTAAAAATAAAAGTAGTTTTTTCATGACATTCCTATCTGCCGTGTGTGTATGTGCATGGGTGTGTTTGAAATGTGATGAACAACAGCAATGATGTTATATAGATATTCATATGACAAATGTGTGCTGGACATCTACTAACAGAAAGGCCTTGTGCTAGGAATTTTGTTCCAAAAACAAGGAAGCATAAATGCTGTAAGCATGGTGTGAACACAATGGTCTGAGGCTGCCAGGGAGAGAGCACAATGGGTTTTCAAAGGGGATAAGAAGGGGGCAGAAGAGGAATCAAATAAGGCTTCAAGGAAGTGATGACACTTGAGTGATTTTAAATTCCCAGACACCTGAGAATTTGTAAAATCAGAAATGGAGAGAATATTCCAAGTAGAAAAGATAGCTTGAACCCAGAAGATGTTAAGGTTGACTTTCAGCAAAGCTTGAAAAATAGCATATAATAACTGTTCTTATATATATAATGTAGAAGAAGCACAAAAGAGAGAAGACGACTAGTTTTAGGAAACTGCTGATATAAGGATTATATCATTCCAGGTCAATCTCGTATGTTGAACACAGAGGGAAAAATTCTAAATAAGAGCAAACGAATCCAGCAGGATATTAAAATAACTACATTGTCACTAATGAGCCTTACCTAAGGAATGCAAGGATAGTATGAAGTTTTAGAATCTATCAGTATAGGTCTGGCACAGTGGCCCATGCCTGTAATCTCAGCACTTTGGGAAGCCAAGACAGGTGGATCACTTGAGCCCAGGAGTTCGAGACCAGCCTGGGGAATATGGTGAAACCCCATCTCTACAAAAAATACAAAAATTAGCCAGTCTCACAATGTGGTCTCAAAATAAATAAGTAAAAATGTAAAAATAAATCTATCAATATAATTCATTTATTATAGGAAAAATAATATCATTAGTTCAGTAGGTACAGAATCAATCATTAGTAAGCTCCCACACTTATTTATAATTTAAAAAATAAAACCAAACACCTCTTATCAAACTAGAAATGGGAAAAAAAATTGCTGCTGGAACCTAAAAGCAAACGTCATATTAAGAGTGAAATAGGCAAGTCTTTCCAGTAAAGTTCAAAAGAGGTAAGAATGCCTGCTATCACATCTATTATCCAACATTATATTTCAATTTTTTTGTTAATATAATACAAGTAAAAGAAATAGATAGGCATAAGAATCAAAAAGGCAAACAACAATTTTAGTATTTTCAAAAGTTATGAGTCTATGTAAAAAAAAAAAAGAGAACATATATATTTTCAGAACTAAAAAAAGCACTCAAAAAGTCCAATGACTTTTAGTTCTAAAAATTTTAAACACAAAATTTACATTTTAAATACAAAACCCACATTTTAAAAAAATTTGTAAGTTTCTATAGGCCAAAAAAAAAAAAATCTTCGATGTTATAGGAAAAATAGCCTGTTCCTAATAGCAACAAATTTATGAAAGAATATTAATAATTGATAACACTCATTGAGTTCTTACCAGCGTTCCAAGCACTTGTATTTTCTACCTTATTTAATTCTCATGGAAAGTTTATGATCTAAGCTATCTAAAAATAACAAAAGCCTT
The DNA here is from genome assembly GCF_000001405.40 of Homo sapiens. Taxonomy (NCBI): domain Eukaryota; kingdom Metazoa; phylum Chordata; class Mammalia; order Primates; family Hominidae; genus Homo; species Homo sapiens. Next base: position 14,402,430 of record NC_000001.11, read on the forward strand.
GCAAGAACTTTATGGACAAAATTATAAAGTGTTATTAAAGAGCATAAAGGACTCAAGCAAATAGGAATATATATTATATTGTTTCATGGGAAAACTGAATATCTAAATGTCATAAATATAAAATATCCCCAAATTAACTTATAAATGTCAATATGTTATAATCAAAGTCCTGACAAAATATTTTTAAATGAAACTAGACAAACTGATTCTGAAAATCACACAGAAGAGTAAACATCGAAGAGTTGCTAAATAAGTTGTGAAAAAGAACAAAAAAGAAGAACCTGCTCTATCAGTTACCAAGACTAACCCTATTATAATGAAAACTATGACACTGGTGAAGAAATAGGTTAATAGATCGATGAAGGAGAATAAAAATCTCACAGACCCAAATGGATATAGAAACTTTTTTTTTTTTTGAGACAGAGTCTCACTCTGTTTCCTAGGCTGGAGTGCAGTGGCACAATCTTGGCTCATTGCAACCTCTGCCTCCTGGGTTCAAGTGATTCTCATGCCTCAGACTCCCAAGTAACTGAAATTACAGTGCATGCCACCACATCTGGCTAATTTTTGTATTTCTAGTAGAGACGAGGTTTCGCCACATTGGTCAGGCTGGTCTTGAACTCCTGGCCTCAAGTGATCCACCCCCTTGGCCTCCCAAAGTGCTCGGATTACAGGCATGAGCCACCACACCCAACCTGCATATAGAAACTTAATCCATAATAGAGGTGACATTGCAAATAAATAGAAAAAATATAAACCATTAAACACCTTTACAAATGGTGCTGGGAGAATTAGCTTTGTATGTAAGAAAAAAATGAAAGTACATCCTTACTTCACACCATACTCAAAAATTAAAACAGATGGATCAAAACCTAGATGCAAAAAGAAAACTTTAAATCTATTAGAAGAAAATGTCTTTGAAGCTTCAGGCTCAGCCAAGAGTTCTTAGTAAAGATCCCTTTACTCCCCAAACGAAAAAAAAATCAGCAAAAGAAACATTAATATTTGGTTCATTTCAATTTTATAAGCCTTTTGTGAACAAAATTGAAAGACAAACCACAGACTCGAAGTAGGTATTTGCAACATATAACTGAATTAGTATCTAGAATATATAAAGAATTTTCAACATCAATAAGAAAAGGACAAAGAACCAACAACAAAAGAACCACACTAACAAAATCAAAATAGAGAAATGACAGAAAAGAAATATGAAATGGCCAGTCTAGAACCCATGGGAGGAGAGCCTCAACCTCACTCACAGTCTGGAACTGCAACTAGTAACGAGATACCATTTCACAGCATCTGTGGAGGAAAGTTTAAAACCTGACAGTATCAAGTGTTGGTGAAAATGCTACTGCTGGAAAAGTGATGAAGTGGCATCATTTTTCTGGGGTAATACCCAACATTCATTGCCTCATACCAAGGAAATCAAGGATGCAGACACACTATAGTGAAGTTAAGAGCGGAAGTTTAATAGGCAAAAGAAAAAGAAGAGGTCTCTGCGCAGAGAGGTCCCGGAGAAAATGGGTTGCCGCTTCTGCAGTGAAATGCGTAAGGTTTTATAGAGGAACTTGAGGGGGTGGTGTCTGATTGACATAGGGCACAAAAGATTGATCGGACCAGGTGTGCCACTTGCATAGCACGCAAAGAACTGGTTATGACTAGGTGTGCCGTTTGCATAACACGGGAAGAGGCTGGTCGCCCCACCCTCATCTTTTATTATGCAGATGGGTTATCTACCTAGTTGACGCTGTATTACCTGCTTTTACTGTACCCATGGTGACAAAGAAAAGGGAAGACGGAGACTCCATGTCGAACATGCCTGAACCTCAGGTAGCCCTTTCCTATTGGCACAGCTGCCAGCATTCACTTGTGCAAGCTTCCAACTTGCTTATCTGTGTCTGCAGCTCGATTTTTCAGGCTGCTCTTTGTTAGAAAAGAAATGATTTGGGTGCTGCTTTTTGTTGAAAGGGAAATTCCACTGCGGACTCTGTTGCCCTTACTATCTGCCTAAATAATTTCTTTCTATCTCCCGTATCAGTGTGCTGGAACAACAAGGTACCTGGCAGGCCTAAACAACAACAAAAAAATGCATGCACTAGAATCCAGCAATTCCATTTCCTGAAACAAGTTCTCCCTCAGTGCCTAAGGAGATATGCATGAAGATGTTCACTGCAGCACTGTTTACTCTGGGAAAGAAAAACTTAGAAATAATTAAAATGTCTGTAAATAGGAGAAAAGATCAATGGGCTCTATTCATAAGATGCATCACTTAACCCAGTTAAGAGAATGAAGTACTGAAAATTCTCAAAAATAGTAAGAAAAACAAACTAATTGATGAAATGTATATATGCAAACACCAACATATATTGTCATTGACATGTATGTATTGTAAAAGAGTAAGAAAGGTCCACTTAAAGAACACTCAATAAATTCCTTAAGAAGGAATGCTATCTAACACCTGGCATTCTGTCACATCATTGTAAAGATGAGTGTGGAAGAAGAGCAAATGTTCACCATCCTGCTGGGAGAGCTCCTCCTGGAATTCTATGCCTTTGTGCATTCTTTATGTTTTCTACATTGCATTAAGGCAGCTAAGAAACATCTTGTCTTTGTGTGTGGTGGGGGGTAGGGGGATAGCAGTGTGTGTGAATAAACCCACCTCCTGAATACATATACAAAATGCTTTCAACTCAGAACTTTGCATACCACTGCTCAGAGCAGACCAAGGCTATGTGTTGTCATGACAACAAACTCAACGATTTGAAATGCAGATTCTTTCTCTTTTGCTCTGATGGAAACTGATGAGGAATGCAAGATACTTTGTATTGGGTATGAGCCTGTTTGAGTTCAAATGTGATATTAGAATTGGTTGTATGCCCAGCGGGGAAGGAAATGTATGATTTACAAAGCATTGAAACCAAGAAATCATATAGATTTTCAGGAAAGCCTGTACATTGATTATAAAGTTTTGACACTTAAGATCCACTTTGAGTCTTGGCAGTCCTATAAGAGTAGTTTTGCGTTGTGTTGGAGAGGAAGCGGGAGAGGCAATGGGATAAACACTCTGGTTCTAGAGTCCAAAAGACCTGCCTCAGCACTTCCTAGCTGTGTGTCATTTGGGCAAGTTACTTACCATATTAATCAGCATCCTCCAGAAAAACAGACCCAATAAAATGTGTGTGTGTGTGTGTGTGTGTGTGTGTGTGTGTGTGTGTTTATACAGAGAGAGAGATTTATTATAAGGAATTGGCACTCACAAGATTATGGAGGTTTACAAGTTCCAAAGATCTTCAGGGTGAGTTGACAAGCTGGAGACCCCAGAAAGCCCATGGTGTAATTCCAGTTCAAAGACCAGCCAGCTCAAGACCCAGGAAGGGCTGATGTTTCGGTGTGAAAGCAGTCAGGCAGGAGGCATTTTTTCTTATTTGGGGGAGGATCAACCTTTTTGTTCTATCCATGCCTCCAAGGAATTGGATGAGGCCTGCCCACATTAGGGAGGGCAGTCTGCTATCCTCAGTCTACTGATTTAAATGTCAATCTCAGATGGTTAATCGGTGCACAAAATGAGAAGTAATGAATAATAAGACCTACTAGTTGATAGCACACAATAGGGTGACTATGGTCAACAATAACTTCATTGTACATTTTGAAATAACATAAAGAATGTAATTGGCTTGTTTGTAACTCAAAGGATAAATGCTTGATGGGATGGATACCCCATTCTCCACAATCTACTTTTTTCACATTGCGTGCCCGTCTCAAAACATCTCAGGTACCCCCTACATATATACATCTACAATGTACTCACAAATTTGTTTTTAATAATTTTAAAAAATAAAAATAAAAATTACATTTAGGATACCATCAATCAACAAGTGGATAAAGAAACTGTGATATATATACACACAATGGAAGACTACTCAGCCATAAAAAAAGAATGAGTTAATGGCATTTGCAGCAACCTGGATGAGATTGGAGACTATTATTCTAAGTGAAGTAACCCAGGAATGGAAACCCAAACATCGAATGTTCTCACTTATAAGTGGGAGCTAAGCTATGAGGATGAAAAGGCATAAGAATGACACAATGGACTTTGGGAACTCGAGGGGAAAGGATGGGAGGGGGGTGAGGGATAAAAGACTACAAATTGGGTTCAGTGTATACTGCTTGGATGATGGGTGCACCAAAATCTCACAAATCACCACTAAAAAACGTACTCATGTAACCAAATACCACCTGTTCCCCCAAAACCTATGGAAATTAAAAAATTAAAATGATTAAATAAACAAGTATTAATCTCATCCTAAAACACCTTCTCAGAAACAGCCAGAATAATATTTGAGCAAATATCTGGATGCCCTGTGGCCCAGTCAAGTTGACACATAAAATTAACCAACACACTCACACTCTTTGTGTCTTGGTTTTCTCGATTGTAAAAGACAGCTAATAATAGTAGATAGCTCATAGGCTTGAAGTGAGGAATAAATAAGCTGCTGTACATAAAGTGCAAACAGAAGAGCTGAGACTTAGCAGGCACTCGATAGCTGTGTACCGAATGAATTTCCAGTTTCGCAAGTCATCTATGAGTACCCCCAAAATAGATCACTTAGTTTGCTTGTTTTCATGCTTTATAAAAATGGTAGCTTCAGAGACTTGCTTTGTTCACTCAACATTACACTAGCAACATTTGTATTCAGATATTACTGAGAATATTCATTCCGTCGATGGACATGTGGGTCATTCCTCGTTTTTGTATTTTCAACAATGCTCCTGTGAACTCTTGTCCATGGCAGAGGGCTCACCTCTGGGATTTTCTCTAAGACCTGGGAGAGGACTTGCTGGGTCATAGGATAGACAAGTATTTAATTTTATAAGATTGAGCTAAATTATGTCCCAAAGTGCTCAGTTTGTTGAATGAGAAAATAGTGATCAGATATTGTTCTGCTGGTCATTGAAAGAAGTCCTTACAAAGACTATCCAACAGGCAAAAGAATCTTGTGGTGGTAAATGGGGGGAAAAAGAGGGATATGAAGTTAAGTGTGATTGTAGCTCCAAAGAAAAGAAGGTGGAGGCAAAGCAATATAATACCAGAGTTGCAAGAGAAGATGTGAACAGGGTATAAAATCAGACAGATCTGGGGTCAAGCCTCTCCCTGTCCACAACCTGCCTGTGAGACCTTGAGCCAGTTTCCTGATCTCTCTACACTCATGTTATGTCATTTTAAAATGAGAATAATCACACCTAGCGTAGAGTGTTGTATAAACTGTTATCATGCATATAGTAAGTTCTTAACAAATGATGGACAAAAACACAAACAAAAACCATGTCTTTTTTTTTAAAAAGACAAATATGCACTTGAATGATTACTGAGGCTTATGGTAGGTCTTAAGTTATGAGTGGTTTAGTTTTTCTACTTTCAGAGCTCCTGGAAAGTGCTTATATTGCTTTCAAAATGGGAAAATTAATTTGTTTTTTAGACATTTCATTATTTGCTACTTTATGCAGGTTCTTTATGCTACTTTTATTTACTCACACACCTCTCAATTCAATTTATCACATCCATGGGGAACTGGGCAAAGTGACTGACTTCAGTTAGAGCAGGCAGCAGGTACCTGATTCACCAGGGGGCTGCCCCTCAGGTCAGGTTTTGCACAAGCTGAGAATGATCCCCAATTAGGACCTATTAAGGTGAGAAATCTCTTGATTTGGTCATAATTAAAAGTCCTCTCTGCAAATGCTTACATTTTTGCTGGGGTCTGGATTTTCTGAATATTAGAGTTTATGCATGAGAAGGAGGAAAGAATTTAGGCCCATGAGCCAAGAGGGATGTATCTTTTGGTTTTTAGAACATCACAGCCTTATTGCAAGTCTGTTGTGGGCATAGGGGGAGTCCTTTGAGCATCTGTAGCTTTGGTGTGTTCCTTCATTCATCTAGTAGATACTGCCTAGCACTGTAGATCCCATAGATTCAGAGGGGGAAAGCCAGATGTATTAGTCAGCTTGGGCTGCTATAACTAAAGCCACAGGCTGGGTGGTTTAAACAACAGACATTTATTTTCTCACCGTTGTCAAGGCTGGAAGTTTGAGATCAGGGAGCCGGCCTGGTCAGGTTCCTGGTGAGGGCCGTCTCCCAGGTTCCATCGTCTCAACTGTGTCCTCATACAACAAAGAGAACGAGTCCTCTGGCTAACCTTCTTATAAGGACACTTACCCTATCAGATCAAGGCCTCACCTGTATTAACTTAATTACTTTCTTAGAGGCCACATATGATCATGTTGGGAGTTATAGCATCAACATATGAATTTGGGGGGAGAAAGGACACAATTCAGGCCATAGCACCAGAGAAGGTCCCTGCATCATCCATTCTAGAGGGCATGACAAACCACGAACAAGTACACAAATAAATAATCAAGGCAAATATGGATTGTGATCAATTCCATGAAAGAAAAGAAGAGGATGGGGTAGAGAATAATGGAGGGGGGGCGTTGTTTTATGGAGATGGGGTCAGGAAGGATCTTGCAGAGGATATTTAAGATGAGACCAGAGGATGGACAAGAGCCAACTATGGGAAAACATTCCAGGCAGAGGGAATTTTTTCAATGCAGAGCCTTTATTCAAGAAAGATAATGGTGTGTTCTGAGAACTTTCGGAAAGACTAGCATGGCTACTGAGTGGTGATTCAGAAGGCAACCCTCTTGTACAAACAGTTACAAATGTTTGACAAAATACAGTAGGCATTGTTTTAAATGCATAGATGAGCTTTCCAGAAAAAAAGTTATTCTAGGAACCAGAAACAAAAGAGGAAGTGAAAAGCCATCTTAACACACAGGGATTAGAATTTTTAATGCCTGGAAAGGTACAGAGATTGATGTCTTAGACTCAAGAGCAATGAGTGTATCCACATGAAGCCAGGACTCTGGGAGGGCTAATATTAACCACGCCATGAAAGGTAGATGGAGGAAAACCACCTACCTGCCCAGGAAGACAACAAGAGCGCTTGAGTTCCTTGATGTAGATTCTGTTAAAACAAAATTATTGTCTGAAAATTCATACCAAGAACTTGATCTCACATAAGCTCAAATTTATATTACCCACACTACCCCAGAAGCCCCAACTTGAAAAGGAGCTCAAACACTGTTACCAAACAGTGATATCCATGGGGAATCTATAAGAAGCCAACACAAAACGGCCAGAGAGACATGCACCTTCAACCCAGGTCACACAAAATTCCCATAGAAAAAGCTCTGCTGAAAATGAGCTTTCAATCTCAAACTACAAATGTACAAGGAAAAACTTCACCATGTGCAAGAGTCAGAAATTACAGCAAACTGAGGGACTAGACGCTCCCTTCAAAAACTCCCAATAAAAGAACTATCTGAAAGATAGTATTTTCAGAATAATCATAATCATAAGCTAGACCATCAAAAAACAGAATATAACAGATACTCTAAGGAGGAAAGTAGGGCAGATTTTTTAAATAATCAAATTTCTAGATTAAAAGTCATAATTAAAATTGTCTGATGGCTTGAACAGCAGATTAATCAGATATGAAAAAACAATCAGCTGGAAGATAGATATGAGGAAATTACTCAGAATGTATTGCACAGAGTTAAAAGGCAAAAATCATGAGAGATCAGTTAAACAGAACAGAATATTAATTGGAAAAGTCCAATTTATTTATTTATTTTGAGAGAGGGTCTTGCTCTGTCACCAGAGCTGGAGTGCAGCAGCGTGATCTCGTCTCACTGCAACCTCCGACTACCGGGTTCAAACAATTCTTGTGCCTCAACCTCCAGAGTAGCAGGGACTACAGGCACATGCCACGATGCCCAGCTAATCTTTGTATTTTTAGTAGAGACAGTTTCACCATGTTGGCTAGGCTGATCTTGAACTCATAGCCTTAAGTGATCCACCCACCTCGGCCTTCCAAAGTGCTAGGACTATAGGTGTGAGTCGCCATTCCCGGCCCAGTTTACTTTTAATAGGAGTTCCAGAACTACAGAATAGAGAGGATTGGGAAGAGTTGTTATGGCTGGGAATTTTCAGAATTTAGATGACGGACATGCATAGTAGATTGAATCATGGCCACCCAAAGACAGCAAGTTCTAATCCCTAGGACAGTTAAATGTTGCCTGATAGGAAAAAGGACCTTCACAGATGTGAAAAAGTTAATGATCTTGAGATGGAATTCATATCCTGGATTACCCAGGCAGGCCCTGAATACAATCAGAACTGTCCTTATGAGAGGGAAGTAGGGGAGATTTCATACAGACACACACAGAAGAGAAGGGCAATGTGAAAGAGAACCCTGGAGAGATTTGAAGATGCTGGCCTTGGAGATGAGAGTGGTGTGGCCAATAACCAAAAGATGCCAGCGGCCACCAGAACCCGAAAGAGGCCAGGCATGGATTCTCCTCCAGAGCCTCCGGAGGGAGCACATGGCCCTGCCAACATCTTGATATTAACCCCAGGACACTGATTGTGGACTTCTGGCCTCCAGAACTGGAAGAGAATAAATTTCTGTTGTTTAAGCCGCCAAGTTTCTGGTGATTTGTTTCAGCATCCCTAGGAAACGAACACAACATATATGGATAGATTGAGAATGAACATCAAGTTACAGGAAAGATAAATTAAAATAAATCTACAACTAGGCACACTCCAGTGAAACGGGAGAATGCCAAATACAGAAGAATGACCTTGAAAGCAACCGGAAAAGGTACAGAGGGCAATGACCAGAATGACAGTATGTTTTTCAAAACTTTAATGTAGCCCAGAAGACAATGGATAATATCTTTAAATTGCTTACAGAAACAAATTATCATTCAAGAGTGAGGATAAAATGAAGTCATTTTCAGGCAGGCAAGGCCGAATTTCTTTTTGAGACCGAGTCTCGCTCTGTCACCCAGGCTGGAGTGCAGTGGCGTGATCACAGCTCAGTGTAACCTCCGTCTCCCTAGTTCAAGCAGTTCCCCTGCCTCAACCTCCCGAGTAGCTGTAATTACAGGCATGCACCATCACACCCAGCTAATTTTTGTATTTTTTAATAGAGATGGGGTTTTGCCATGTTGGCCAGGCTGGTCTTGAACTCCTTACCTCAAATGATCTGCCTGCCTGCCTTGGCCTCCCAAAGTGCTGGGATTACAGGCGTGAGCCACCGCGCTCCCCTGGCAAGACTAAATTTCCCATTAATAGAAGCTTGCTGAAAGAGCTGCTTCTAAAAGTTACATGCACTTCAGAAAGAAGGACTAAAACCCAGAAAGACACAGTGAGGTACAGGAAGAAATATTAAGTAATGAAATGAAAAAAACATGTGATTCAACAGAAAATCAAGCATCAAATGTGAGCTGGAACCATAAAAAAGGTGAAATGAAAATACCAGACAGTAATAACACGTAACATAAAAAGAAAGTCTATGAGTTAAAAAGTTCTGGTCTTTGTATTCAGAAGCAGAGGTACTGATTAATTTTAAATTGTATAAAGTAAAATAGACACAATTAGAGAAATTTGAAATGACAGACTGTCATTCTGGTCATTGCCCCCTGTACTTCTTCTGGTTGCTTTCAAGGTTGTTTTTCTGTATTCGGCATTCTCCCGTTTCACTGGAGTGTGCCTAATTGTAGATTTATTTTTATTTCTCTTTCCTGTAACTTGATGTTCATTCTCAGGGGGTCATAGGAAAGAGGAGGAAAGTGTACAAAGAAAAGACGTGACAAACAGCAAGTGCAAATTAAGATGGGCAAAATAAACCTCAATGCATCAGGGCATAAATCTAAGTATATCAAGTATCATAAAAATGTAAACAAATGAATCCCACTGTTTAAAACACAGAAGCTCTAATGAGTAAACAAGATCTATATGCTCTATGCTTTTATAAGAACAACCAAAATAAAAGTACTCACATATAGAAGAATTAGGAGAAAAAACCCCAAACTTTCACTACTTACAAAGTTATCTGCATAGAAAACTCAAAGAATTGACATACAAACTGATAAAACTGAGAACTCAGCAGTTTTGCTGAGAACAAGCTCAAGTATACAAAAATCAATTGTATACATTAGCTAAAAAAATTAGCAAGTAGTTCTAAAAAGATACTATATGCACTAGCAATAAAAACTTAAAGGTGTCTAGGAATAAACTTTTATGGAGAAATGTATGAAACTTTATTAAAATACATAAAAGAAGAGGAAAAAATCTAGAGAAAGGAAGGGCTGGGTGATAGCTCCTGTTCATTAGTGAAAAGAATCAATATTATAAAATGAAAATCCCCCTAAACCAGTCTATAAAGTTAATATAATTTTTATCAAGAATAGAATTATAATAAAATAATTTTTCATGGAAGTTATATATGCAAAAGCAAAGACACAAAATAATTTTTAAAAAGAACAATATGGGGAGGGGATTTTCTGCCTGGATATCAAGATATCATAAAATTGTAGTCATGAAGACACTGTGATATGGACTCAGAAATAAATCAACTGACTGAAATAGGATGCTCAGATTTAATCCTATATATAATACATAAATATATAAAATGTATAAATATATAAAATATAAAAACACATATATAAATATATATAATAAGTTATTTGTATTTATATATTACATAGGATTAAATCTGAGCATTCTACTTTGGGTCATTGATCCATTTGTTTATATATAATATATTACATATATATGAACTTAATCTATGATAGTAGATTAGATACCTACTAGATAGAGATTAGATATCTATTAGATAGAGGTGACATCATAAATTAGTGAGAAAAAGATGGACTGACAATAAGTAGTACTGGGGTTGCCATTTTTCCATACGGAAAATAATTAAATTAGACCTTTACCTCAATACAGAAAGAGAGAAACCTTTAAAATGCATTTGGCCAGGCACTGTGGCTCACGCCTGTAATCCCAGCACTTTGAGAGGCTGAGGCGGGCGGATCACGAGGTCAGGAGATCGAGACCATCCTGGCTAACACAGTGAAACCCCCTCTCTACTAAAAATACAAAAAATTAGCCGGGCGTGGTGGCGGGTGCCTGTAGTCCCAGTTACTCGGGAGGCTGAGGCAGGAGAATGGCGTGAAACCGGAGGCGGAGCTTGCAGTGAGCCGAGATCGCGCCACTGCACTCCAGCCTGGGCAACAGTGTGAAACTCCGTCTCAAAAGAAAAAAAAAAAAAAAAAAAAAAAAAACGCATTTAAGAGAAAATATAGGAAGACTACCTTTATGACCTCTTGGTAGAGAATTGCTTTTGGAAACACAAATGACAAAGAAAATATGGTAATCTGAAGACATTAAAATTAAAATCATCTAGAAAACAAAAGCTACTGCAAACAAAGTAAAATGCAAATCACAGAGTGAGACTAGATACATTTTAAAAATTAGCATCTGGAATATACAAAAGTTATATCCACAATTCAGTGAGAACATGACTCAATAAAATGGAAGGTAAAGGGTATACATTGAAAGGTCACAAAAGACAAAATACGAATGGCTTCTAAGCATATAAAAAATGTTTGACCTCATTAGTAATCAGGGAAGTGCAAAGTAAAACAAGGAGATCTTTTCATTCCGATCATGCCTGGCAGGAACCTTCTCCCCAGATGCTACAGGCAGGAAGCCAAGGTGGAGAAATGTCCAAGGCCCATAACATGCTTTGCACTAGATGGGCAAAAATTAAAAATGACAACATCAAGAGTTGGTGAGGATGTAGAGACATAGGAATTCTTACACCCTGTCCATGGAAGAGCATGGTTTAATTTACAGCGGAATTTGGCAATATTTAGTAACACTAGAGATGTTCATGTTCTAGTTTTCAGCATTTCCATTTCTAAGAATATACGGAAAAGACTCCCACGAGTTCCCAAAGTAACTGGTAAAGCCAAAGAGTATTTACTGCAGCACTATTTGTCATAGGAAAAAAAAAAAAAAAAAAACCTTTTATAGTGGTGGGGGAGAGGAAGGAGCCAAGAATCCACTAACCAAAAAATAAATGAGTAACTTGTAGTGTACTCACATAATGTCATACAACAGTTAAAATGATTGAACCAGGACCACATGCATCAACATGGATGAAACTGTAGAAACATAATGCTTAGCAAAAAATAAGTTTCAGAATGATTTATTCAGCATGATGCCAATGTAGTAAGTTTGAAGAAATGTAAAACAATCTTGCATGCACATACCGTGTGTGTGTGTGTGTATGTGTGTGTGTGTTATACGTATGTAGCAAAAATAGAAAACCATACATAGGGATGATAAACATCAATCCCTCTGGGAGAGTTGGAGGAGAATAAGATCAAGAAGGAACACAGAGGCCAGGAGCAGTGGCTCACTCCTGTAATCCCAGCATTTTGGGAGGCCGAGGATGATGGATCACCTGAGGTCAGGAGTTCGAGACCAGCCTAACCAATATGGTGAAACCCCGTCTCTACTAAAAAATACAAAAGTTAGCCAGGTATGGTGGTGCACACCTGTAGCCCCAGCTACTTGGGAGGCTGAGACAAGAGAATTGCTTGAACCCAGGAGGTAGAAGTTGTAGTGAGCCAAGATCACACCACTGCACTCCAGCCTGGGCGATACAGTGAGACTGCATCTCAAAATAAATAAATACGTACGTACATACATACAAAAAAGGAACACAGAGGGAGCTTCAATTGTATCTACAAAACTTTAATCCTATTAAGCAAGTAAGTAAAGCAATTAGACATCGTGTTGAAATGTAGCAAGGTCGATGATGGATCTAGTGTCAGCTACATTATTCTCATTATTTTCCTTGTCTGCCTGAAATATTTCATTATAAAATATTTTTTTAATTAGTAAAAGTAAATACAATCCAGAGGCTGTAGTATTAATCCGGACAATATGTAGATTAGGCTCACTAGGATTAGGGAAGAGGTTGAAGATGGAGAAGTAGACAGAACCATTATATATTTTGGAGGTAAAATTGAGGGTTTGGGTAAATTTGCTGTCTCAGATGTAACAGGTATGATAGATGGGGCCACTGTCCTGTCCCTATTCTGTGGACCTTTTTGGGTGCTCCAGCTGATTTCCAACAAACAGTGTCTCATGACTGGGCTGAGGGTTCTTCCCCAGTCCTCGACCCCCACCCACTGAAGTCTGTGCTGCCCCCAGGTGGTAGACCAGACCTGCTAAGGAATGCAGCCATCAACCAGTGGCCGTTAAGAATGAGTATGTGAATACCCCAGCTCCCTCGCCTCTGGACTGGGATCATGCAGAGGCTTGTGCTGTGTTGTGCAGTTTCCTATGGCATTCAGCAACCCATGGCAGCAGGTGTAGTAGTAAGTAGGACATTTTGCCTTCCCTTCCCTTCCCTGACTCCCTTCCCTACTTCCCTACCAGTATTAGCCCCGCTTCCCCCAAAGAACCCCTTGTGCTTGTGTTGTTGTCTTGGATCAGCTTCTGGAAAAAATGTACTTGAAAGCAGAAGGCGTGCTTCCCAAGCATGGCCACCCAGCACCTCCATGATGTCACTTTCAGTCTGGCAAAGGGATGAGAAAAAAGACAAACTCCAGGGGCTGTAGTCAGGTGAATGGGGAGACACCACATGCAGGAGATGGAAAATGCAGCTGAGGGGCGGAGGCAAAAATGGGCTGCTGAAGAGTTTGCAGAAAAAAGGCACTGCTCTCCTGCTTCATGAACTTAAGTGAAATTCCGAGGAGCAATGGGCAGCTGCAATTTTTTTGGCTCTGGGGCTGTAGTAGCATTTGCAGCAGTGCCTCATTCAGGGATTCCCTGGACAGAATTAGGAGCTAAGCACCCCCTGATTATGTGTCACCTTACATCTAACTCTAGGGGACCATCATTTATATGCATTCACATTCTAGACATGTCTACAGAACAGGACTTGGCACTGATGGATTGTTTGGGTATAAAATATTACGGAATGTCACTAGAGAGTGACTTCTTGATACAGAATCAAGTAACAGTTGGGTTTCTGCAAAGTGACATTTCAGCAGTAAATTAGAGAACATTTGCCTTGATAGTAATATAAAAAATGAGTTGGTGGCTGGATGCAGTGGCTCATGCCTATAATTCTAGCACTTTGATAGGCCAAGGCAGGCAGATCACCTGAGGTCAGGCGTTCAAGACAAGCCTGGTCAACATGGTGAAAGCCCATCTCTAATAAAACTACAAAAATTAGCCGGGCATGGTGGTGGGCACCTGTAATCCCAGCTACTCAGGAGCCTAAGGCAGGAGAATTGCTTGAACCCAGGAGACAGAGGTTGCAGTGAGCTGAGATCACGCCACTGCACTCCAGCCTGGGTGACAGAACAAGACTCTGTCTCAAAGAAAAAAAAATAATTGCTTAAAATTTTAATTTTATTATATATAAGCAAAAAGGGAAAAAAAACCCAGCTGCATGTGGTGGTGGCCCATGCTTGTAATTCCAGCACTTTAGGAGGCTGAGGCAGGAAGATCACTTGAGATCAGGAGTTTAAGACCAGCCTGGGCAACATAACGAAACCCTATTCTGCCTATATATGTGTGTGAGCGTGTATATGTGTATGTGTGTATACATATGTATATATGTGTATATATATGTGTGTATGTATATATATGTACACACACACACACACACACACACACACACGTTAACCAGGTGTAGTGGCATGTGCCTGTGGTCCCAGCTACTCAGGAGGCTGAGGTGGGAGAATAGCTCGAACCTGGGAGGGAGAGGTTGCAGTGACCCAAGATTGCACCTGGGCAACAGAGCCAGACTCTGTCTCAAAATAAAAAAAAAAAAAGGAAAAAACAAAGAAAAACAATAATCCTAGGTACTTTCTGCATGTTATTATTCCATTGATGAAATCACACTTCACCATTAAGAAGGGCAATTTTTAAAACGCTAAATCCATTGCACCAGGCTACTGAGTGAACCCAATTGTTATCGAGAGCAAAAGTGTTACAGTGAGGTTCTTCGCCATTTCTCTGGCGGCTGATTTGGAAGGAAAGATACTTAATTTGACTTCACCTTCACAGAAAGGTGAACTAAGAAGCCTATAAGGAAACCAATTTCAGCTGCTCAGTCTACAATGTATTTGTCCAGTGCCATGGAGTCAATGAAACACATCAGCTCAAATGACAATCACTGAAGTGAGACTGGGATATTGGCCCCTCCTGGCTGGTTGGAGTCAAACCAGAGAAACAGGTGGCTACTGTACGCACAGGCTGTACAAGGAGACCCTAGGAAAGAACAGCCTTGGTCTTTGGGGCCATCAGAAAAAGACTGTCATCTGAAATTAAACCACAAGAAACCTACATCGGGCCGGGTGTGGTGGCTCACCCCTGTTATCCCAGGACTTTGGGAGGCCAAAGCAGGCAGATTCCGAGGTCAGGAGATCAAGACCATCCTGGCTAACATGGTGAAACCCCATCCCTACTAAAAATAGAAAAAATTAGCCGGGCGTGGTGGCAGGCGCCTGTAGTCCCAGCTACTCGGTAGGCCGAGGCAGGAGAATGGCGTGAACCCGGGAAGCAGAGCATGCAGTGAGCAGAAATCACACCACTGCACTCCAGGCTGGGCGACAGAGTGAGACTGCCTCAAAAAAAAAAAAAAAAAAAAAAAAAAAAAAAAAAAAAAAAAAAAAAAAAAACCTACATCGAAAGATTTGCCATCTCTAGACATGTCCCCTCCCAGGAGATGATCCATACAGAGTTACCAGTGGAACCACGGCATATCCTGTGGGTCCAATGGAGGCAAGAATTTCTAAGAATAAGAACCTTAGATCTTACTAAAGGTAGTGTTGATGAGATATTAGGAGCTCAAATTCAGGAAGATCTGAGTTCAGATTTTTAACTCCACAAGTTCCTAACTATATGACCCTGGCAGGCTATCTAACCTCTCTGAGTGTCCATTTCCTCCCCAGGAAAGTCTCAAGCCATGCCGGCTTGCTGTGATCAGTAAAGGAGATAATATGCATAAAGTAGTTTGCACTGTGCCTGGCACATAGGAAGCACTCAGGAAACAGTGGCCACTACTTTTATTATTACTGTCAGCATGTAACCAATGGAAATAACATTCTACCTCTATGTTGTAAGTTTTCGGGTGGGAAGTGATTTTGTTCTTGGTGCAAGGAAAAGAATATTGAAAATTAGGAACCAGTCAGAATTTATCACCATCAGGCAAGGAAAATGAGTTTGCCTCTAGATAGCAAGGCTTGTTTTATAGACAATCTGATTTTCCTAGTCAGAGGCAAGGCATTTTTCAGGAGATCCAATGCTTGTCTTCTAACTGTATACTCCCAAAGCAACTTTTTGTCTATGATCTGATCTCTCAAGTAGGGCAGGCCAAAGGACTCTCCCTAGCTCTGAAGCCAGACCCTTCTCCCACTCAAAGTCATGAAATTCGCCTACAGAGAATCCCTCAGAGTCTTGTGAGTTTGGTTACCATGAGTCAGTCACCAGTACACTTGTGTGTGTGCAAATGAAAATAAGGCTTCTGCATCTGCAGAAATGATGGCTGGATGGGGGTTTGTGGGGACCACCTCGGCACCCAGAAACTGTCCCCCTGTGAACTCTTGTCTGAAAACTTCTAGCCTGCCATTCGGATACAACTGTCAACGAGTGTTCAATAAGCACATGGAAAAATACAAGGATGCTATATATTTTTATTCCTATGTGAGCCGTATTGAGCATTTTCAATAGAAAAAGTTTATCTCTTGGTAGCACCCCATCTTTACAAAGGAACTTCTATGCCAGCATAAACCAGGCACTGTAATAAATATACCTTATACATAGTCTTTGCAGTGACGCTGTGAGGACACTGTTCCTGCTGTCATTTTAAAAGTAAGTAAACTGAAGCCCAGAGAAATTCAGTGACTTTCCCAAAGTCATAAAGCGCAAAAGAAAGAAAGGCCGGGTCTGACCCCTATTCTGTCTGACGTCCGTGATCTTTCCACCCTGCCCGGCCATCCCCATCTATCTCATTGCCTGGGAAGCCACCATCCCTCCCAGCCCATTCCCTTGTCACAGAACATGAGTGCCCAAAGCCTGTGCTCTGTCCAAGCCACTCCATGAAGCACTCGCCTCTTCCCTGGACTTACCAGAGTGTTAGGCCAGTTCCCTCTGTGTGGGGAAGTGTCCGGAATTTGTGGGTTCTTGGTCTCACTGACTTCAAGAACGAAGCCGTGGACCCTCGCGATTTGAGTGTTACAGTTCTTAAAGGTAGTGTGTCCGGAGTTTGTTCCTTCTGATTTTCGGATGTGTTCAGAGTTCCTTCCTTCTGGTGGGTTTGTGATCTCGCTGGCTTCATTCAAGAGTGAAGCCGCAGACCTCCGCGGTGAGCGTTAGGACTCTTAAGGCGGTGCGTCTGGTGTTGTTTGTCCCTCCCATCCGGAGTTGTTCATTCCTCCCGGTGGGTTCGGGGTCTCGCTGGTCTCGGAAGTGAAGCCAGACACCTTTGCGGCGAGTATTACAGCTCGCACAGACAGTGAGACCCCAAAGAGCGAGCAACAATGGGATTTATTGCAAAGAGCGAAAGAACAAAACTTCCACAAGGTGGAAGGGAACATTAGGGGATTGCCACTCCCGGCTCCGGCAGCCTGCTTTTATTCCCTTATCTGGACCCACCCACATCCTGCTGATTGGTCCATTTTACAGAGAGCTGATTGGTCTGTTTTACAGAGAGTTGATTGGTCCGTTTTGACAGGGTGCTGATTGGTGCATTTGCAATCCCTGAGCTAGACACAAAAGTTCTCCAAGTCCCCACTAGAGAGGCTAGACACAGAGCGCTGATTGGTGCGTTTACAAACCTTGAGCTAGACACAGAGTGCTGATTGGTGCATTTACCATCCTCTAGCTAGACATAAAAGTTCTCCAAGTCCCCACCAGATTAGCTAGATACAGAGTGCTGATTAGTGCACCCACAAACCTTGAGCTAGACACAGGGTGCTGATTGGTGCATTTACAAACCTTGAGCTAGGCGTAAATAAATTCTCCAAGTACCCACCCGACTCAGGGGCCCAGCTGGCTTCACCTAGTGGATTCCCCCACCGGAGCCACGGGGGGAGCTGCCCGCAAGTCCCGCACCATGCACCCACACTCCTCAGCCCTTGGTCCTCAGCCCTTGGGCAGTCAGTGGGACCAGGTGCCGCGGAGCAAGGGGTGCGCTCGTCGGGGAGGCTTGGGCAGCTCAGGAGCCCACGGCAGGAGTGGGGAGGCTCAGGCATGGCCCGCTGCAGGTCTGGAGCCCTGCCATGCCGGGAGGCAGTTGAGGCCTGGCGAGAATTCGAGTGCAGCGCCTGCAGGCCGTCTCTGCTGGGGGACCTGGCGCACCCTTTGCAGCTGTTGGCCCAGGTGCTAAGCCCCTCACTGCCCGGGGCCGGCGGCACCAGCCGGCCACTC
Source organism: Homo sapiens (assembly GCF_000001405.40). Taxonomy (NCBI): domain Eukaryota; kingdom Metazoa; phylum Chordata; class Mammalia; order Primates; family Hominidae; genus Homo; species Homo sapiens. Next base: position 14,420,794 of record NC_000001.11, read on the forward strand.
CCGAGTGCGGGGCCCACCGAGCCCATCCCACCCAGAACTCAAGCTGGCCTGGGAGCGCTGCGCACAGCCCCGGTTGCCGCCCGCACCTCTCCCTCCACACCTCCCCTCCACACCTCCCCTCCACACCTCCCCGCAAGCAGAGGGAGCCAGCTCCGGCCTCCGCCAGCCCAGAGAGGGGGCTCCCACAGTGCAGCGGTGGGCTGAAGGGCTCCTCAAGCGCGGCCAGAGTGGGCGCCGAGGCCAAGGAGGCGTGGAGAGCGAGAGAGGGCTGCCAGCACGCTGCCCTCTCTCAGGAATTGGTCTTAAACACTATGCCTTAGGTTATAGCTAGAGCTACTACTACATCAATTAAAAGGATGAAAATAGTGTGTAATCAATTTGTATCAATGATAAATAATTGTTTGCCCTCATTATTCAGGGAAGAGCTCCCAGTGAGTTTTAAAATATTCCTTGGAGTGATGGGGGGAATGGTTCTTGAATAGTAGAGCATTCCTAGCACCCCATTCAGAATTTGGTTATTGACTCTGTATTATCTTACATTCTTCTTTTGGGATGGGTTTTCTTGGGGGTGCTATGCTCTATCCTCCAACAGTAGCTTTGAAGTCTCCATCCAAGAAGGACACGAGGAAAGCCACATTGGGAGAAAACACATCCCTTGATCCCTGATTAGGGCTTGGAATGTACATTCCCATAAAGACCCTACTATGCACAGTTGATTGTTCCCTTAATGTTACCACATTAGGACAGTGGCAAACTGTGATTCTGAGACATTGTGGGTTCAATAAAGCATGTTTCCCAAACCAAAGTCTTAGAAACATAAGCCGACTTATGTTCCAAACTTCTATCCACAAGTTTGGAAAATTCTGGGTTAAATACTGTTGAACAAGCGTCTTTATTCAAAACTTCACAGAACCTGATTTTGAGAGTGGGCATGTGACTGCCCAAAAGGAATCTCCCAAACTCTTTTTACCACAAAATTTCTCTCGGAGTTGGCCAAGCTCACCTTTCAAAACCCTGACATAGGCCTTAGTCCCCTCCCCTCCCCCGGCCTCTTTCACTTACTACACTGGGTCCTGGGGAAACTCTTCCCCTTGTCTGAATAACCAACTACACTGACTGCCCAATGAGCTAGTAAATGCAACAAAGTAACAAATATATCCAACAGTGCATGGGCTCATCTTCCACGCCAATGTCAATATTTTGCAAAGTGAATTTTGTCCACTCCAGTGACTGAGATTTGGAAAGTCTGTCTTGGATATTCCTGATGCACATTGGTGAAGGTTCTGAGAAATTTCAGCAGCAAAGGAGCCTGGTCAGCCAATGTGAACCAAGAAGAAAATAGGCAAATCGCTATTTTACCTTTGTTATTTTAAACTTAAATTGAATTCTGTGTTTTGGCTTTGGTTGGTGAGTTTCATATTCTGGGTTCTGATGAGATGTGATCTGAGTGTGCTTCAGAGAACATCCGTGGGCTTCCGTGTTTACTCAGCTATCTGCCCTAAAAACACTTGCTCAGCAGCATGACGACATAGATTAAATCCTTGCAACAAGCCCAGTGGGGAAGAGCTTCCCCTTTTCCTTCAATAGCACAGGCAAACTACGTAGGTAAAGTATGAGGCTGGCCCAGAACAAAACGCTACGCAGCGCATAAGACACTTCCAGGGTCAACCTGCACCACCCAGCCCAATCTTAAGTGATGTTCACTAAGCAGTCATTTGTATTTTATTTCTCTTACTACCTCTTCCATTGCACTTAGAATGGAAGGAAACAAAAAGAAAAGTCTCATTGTGTGGCTGGATTTGGTGCAGCTGCCCCCTGAAGGGTTGAAAACAGACGATGCTTTATATTCAAATACAGTTATATGATATCTAGGTAACATCCTTGCATCCAGAAGATATTAAATATAGAAAGGCTCATCCCTGGTAAACTTCTCTTTTGTGGTCCAGAAGGCAGGTGGGTTTCTAAGAGATGGCAGCTCATCTTTCTGGGGGCAATGTGAACATTCTTAGACCATTGTCTGGGTCTCAGATTCTAATCCCCAAGGCTTTCCTTATGGTTCTAGTAGAAGAATAATTTCCCTATGGAAGCTCATTTGATTATATTCTTCAGCTCTATTTGACTTCTAACAAGGAAACTCAGATTGAGGCTTCTTTGCCTAAGGGCTGACTTGTAGCAGCCCTTTGTCCACAGCAATAGTTTATTAACTTTTAAGAACAGTGAAAACTTTTGCTCAAATTATCACTTTTATAAACAGATAAAGAGGAAGCTAGTCTCATAGCAACTTGTTGGAAGATCCGAAGGCCCTGTCTACTTAGCACCTGCCCCTCACAATGCACTTCTTTGGAACCCTGGTGTTCCTTGGAACAGAATTTGAGAAACATTGTCTTGATGACAAGGCTCTGGACTGAGAGACAGGAAGCTTGGGTTTCATCCTAGCTTGACCACAAACCCTAGGCTGAAAATTGGTCAGATTTAAAAGCCTGCAGTCCCTTTATTTTCTTCTTTGTAAACTAGAGGAAAACAGCATGTACTCTATTTTTCAGGGGGTCATCACGAGCTACCAGATATACTAAAATAGCAGCATGGTGATTTTATACTTTTTATTGTGTTTTCAAATCTGTTAATGTATTTTCTTGTAAAAATATCCCTGAAACGGCACAGGGCAAATACTAGTAAGTATGAAACTCTTTGGAGAAGATTCCAATGCTATCCAGAACCCAGCTTTTGAAGACCTCAGCTCCCCACACACAGTACATGCAATAGCCGTGATAATACCAGGTCTAGAGGATGCCATGTATTGAGCACTTACTATGGATCAAGCACTACTGGATCCAAATCCTCTTCCCAGTACATAGTCACTCTGTAACCATACCTAGTGGATTGATCACTTTGGAATCCAATTCCTCCCTGATTTTCAGTCCATGTGGCTCAGATGGAACTTCCCTTAAAGACCTCACTTCCACATGGACCAGTGACCCGGGCCTGGACATCAAAACTCTCTCCTGGGACTTTTGCTGGAACTTTTGGGGAAGATACAAATTCTCCTCTGAGAAGGCAGTCACTAGAGACAATGTAAGGCTGGGACCGTCCACATCAGCTTTGCCTATAAAGGAAAAGACACTGACTGAGAATTAAGCCCAACAGAGGGAAATAAGCCAAATACAGATGGGACAGGCAGAGAGCTGGGCACGTAACTTGAGCCCCTGGATACATATGTGCCTTAAGCCCATCCTGGACACTTCTCTGACCCAATACAACAAATTCCACTTGCTTGTACTAGTTCCAGTTGAGTTTCTAACACAATCCACAGAGTCCCAACTCACATAGTAAACTTGGGCAAGTAGCTTAGCCTCTCAAAGCCTCAGCTTTCTTTTCTAGAAAATGAGAATGAGGATACACACCTCACAGATTGTCATGAAGATAAAAGGAGAAAATGACCCAAAGACCACATTCAGCAAATCGTAGTCTCATGATCATTACACTTCACGTAAGTTGCTTCATTTAATCCTCTCCATGGCTGAGCTCAGATGAGCACAGATGAGACAACCGTGGCAGGGAGAAATTAGGCCCTTCGTCTAAAGTCTACAGCAAGTAACAGCACCAGGGTATAAGCCCAGATCTGATGCCATAGTTCAGGCACTTTTCACCAATGTACACAGCTCCCCAGCAAGCGAGTGCCTTCTCCTGCAAGACTAAGCTCACCCACACATACGCAGAGCCACCATGTACAGCTGCACAGGTTGTCCACTGCACGGCCATTCACATGGACACTGACATAAATGGCACCCTCTAGAGTTGCCACAACTTGCCCCACACACCATCGTCCTAAAAGCTAGAAATGCCCACGAAAGGGACCTTGTAAGGACAGATACCAGGAAGGGATTCTAGATGTTTACATTGCAAAGAACCCATTTTCTCATCTAACTACGCTTCAACAGCTTCTGCCAGTTATTCCTATCTCCTACATCTTTAGCCAACGCCTCAAGCCATTCCTATAAAAAGCTCCTAAGCTGTAATTCCAGAGAAAAGAAGGGCCAGATAGATTCCCAGGCCCCATCTGCTTGCTGAGCCAATGCCAACCTGGTCTCTGAGCTGGTAAATATACTTTGGTTTAACATAAGCTATTCTAATATCATAGCTAAATCATCTTATATTCCTTGGCTTTCTCCAGCAAGGAAGAAAGTTATGCAAAAGCACATAATGAAAAACATAAGTCACTTTAACAAAACAGAGCTTGAAGATACCTGGCCCAATGAGTTTCTGGGGCTCACTGAAGTTGCATTGTTCAGTGGGATGCAGAGAGGAGGTTGGGAGGGGAGAGTGATTCGTGGCCTCAGTGTCTTCATCAGAGGCCAACCTGAACCCAGCTGGGCAGGGGCTGGCCAAGGCAGGCCCATGTTCTCACATTGCATTTGCAATGCCTGGCTTTAGGGTCAGGCCATGGGAGACAGAGCCTGCCCCTACATCTTACCAAGCCTCAGGAAGCTCCTGCCATAGCTGGGGGCATCTGGAACACTGGTTGGTCTTCCCATCTCCTGAGTAAAGGCTCCAGCTGCAGTGTCCTCTTGCCACCCCAGAAGCCAGCTTACCAAGAAGAAGGTTCATTGTGAGTTCAAGAGTCACCATGGAATCTCATCCTGCAGAGTCCCAGGAAAACCACTGCCATGCCCTCACATGTCCCAGCTGGGGCTCTAGAAGATACAACAATAGTGCAGTAAGATAAGACTGTGATATCCACTCAGCCCTGGCAACTGGTTATGCATGGGCTCTTGAATCAGACAAACTTGGACTTGAATCCCGGTCTCACCCCCACTAATTAATTCATCCATGGACACATTCCACCAAGTGTCCGTGAATGCATGAATGTTGCTCTGAAACTGCGGTCAGCTGGGGTCTCAGTTTTCTGCCCTGAGCTGATTGCTCCACCTGCATTATCCCACTTGGTCCTCCCAGTGGCCCTGGTGAGGGGGACATTATTTGTCCCATTTTATAGGTAAGGAGACTGAGACTCAGAAGTTGCAGGATTTATCCCAGGTCACCTGGCTAGTGGGGGTGGAAATGAGATTTGAGTCCAAGTTTGTCTGATTCGAGAGCCCAGGTGCACTCAACACATTCATCACCATCTCCCCTGCCCATCCCCCAACTTTCTAGAACATTCTTTTATCTGGATTTGGCAGGAGGACTGCAATTGCAGCGTAAATTGACAGTCTCTGTTCTGAACACAGTGACAACTCAGCTTACTCAGAGTAAAGGCCTCACAGGGCTGCCTGGGCCCCCCGGCCTCCTCTCCTTTCCTTTCATCCTGCCTGAATCAGCTCAGCCTCACTGGCCTTTAAGCTCTTCCTCAGACACACCAAGCACCTTCTCATTTCATGGTTTTGCATCTTCTGTTATCTCTTTCTTGAATGTTCTTTCCCTAGACATGCAACTGGCTCCCATAATGACCTCCTTCAGGGCTCAGCTCAAATGTCACCTCTGCAGAAAGGCCTGCCCTGACCACTCACCCCACATTCACTCTGAGACCCTTACCCTCCTTGCATTCCTGCCTCACATGTATCACCACAGGACTTACCTATGTGTTTATTGTCTTCTCCCCTCAGCCCCGTTAGATTGTACACTTCATGAGGGCAGAGACTTTCTCTGGTTAATTCATAACTCTATGCCCAGACTCTAGAACACTGCCATGGTACATGGAATTGGTTATTAAGTGTTCATGAATGAAAGAATGCTGCTCTGAGACCCCAGCTGGCCCAACTGCAGTTGCCCTACTCCATGGAACATCAGTGATACTTTGGTACCCAAAAACCATCTTGTGGCCACACTGAGGTGATGCTTTCTGATACCCAACCTGAGACTGAGACTTCTGTGCTTAAGCCTGCAGGGCCCGGGTAGTCATGAGGGAGACAAGTGAACTAGAAAGCCAAATGTCCAGCCCCTCCCGCTCCATCCAGTGCCTCCCAAGCTGAGAAGGTCAGAGCTAGGTCAGGAACAGGGAGTCAGCCCCTTCTCTTTTAGAATACCTGGGCTGCTTCTGATCACACCAACCCTGACTTCAGGGACTGCTGCTCTGAGCCCTCCTGTCCCTTTGTTTCCTTTAACTTTTCCCTTTCACATCCTTGGATTCTTCTATCACTCACCCAGCAATTGTGAACAAGGTACCTACTGTACACCAGGCACAGAGCTAGGTACTGGAGATGCATGGTGAGCAAACAGACTTGACGCTTCCTGTTATGGGGAAGACTGGCATTAACCCAGCAATCTCACAAGACCTGTAAAATTGTTTACTTTCCAGAGGGCTGAGAAGGGAAGCCCCAAGGCAGAACTGACCCAGTTTTCTAATCCAGAGATCAGGAAATGCTTTTCTAAGGAAGGGACATTCAGGGTAGGACCTCAAATGTCTGCAGGTGTCCTCAAGGCTGGGGTTCATGGTGTCGGTACACCCTTCACCTCTGGCTCCCCCATTTATTATGATATGACCACAAGCAAGTGACTTAAGCTCTCTTGGCTTCAGTTTTCTCATCTGTAAACTGGGGATAATAATAGTCCTTGCCTTCTTATGTTATGACAGTGTTTAAATGAGATAATGTACATGAAACTTTCACAAGATTGCCTAATATGGAGTAGACATTATTGTAATTGTTTTTTGTAGAAGTTATCCTACCTCACTCAGCCTTTTGGCCAAAAGTAAAGGAAAGTAAAAAACAAATACCTATAATTTAAACACACACACACACACACACAGTATACATGTAGACATGTATACTAAATTAAAGGTACATATGTGTACACATATGTGTATACATGTATACTGTGTGTGTGTATATATATGGTATATATGTGCACACATGTTAGTAAAAATACCAAGTATAATCCATATAGAATATAGGGTCACTATGAAGTGACATTTAGAATTTAAGGAGAATGTGGTTGGGTGTGAGTTTGCCGCCCACCAAGCAAGTCCATGCTCACCACAAAGCAAAATTATACAAGTTCTTTAGTCCCCTGATTGTACTTAGTTTCTAGGTTCTCATTAATGTAAATTATTACTGAAATTTATAATGGACTACCTGTAAATGAACTCCAGACTATGTTCTTCCTAATGCTTTCCATGGCAACAACTATAGCCGAAGAGTTCCAGTATGGATTTCTTTCAGGCTGACGATTGGCAACAGCTCTACTCAATGATTCTATCAATGTTTGGCCAGGTTGCTTGAGCTGGAATCCATCAAGTCTGAATGAGGGCCCTGGCAAGGTTATAGTCACATTCTATGTAAGTCTCACATTCTGATTTATGTCAGGTTCCTAAATGCTGTACATGGTAGCTCATCTTAATTAAAGACTGTCAGGAAGAATAAATTCATTTGGTGAGACGAAGTTAGCACATTCTCTGCTCTTAATTCCTGCACATTCCATGACTCTTTCAGGTGCTAGCTCAGGAGTTTGGGTTACTAAATGAGCTCAGAGAGGCCCGTGCTTTCAATCAAGGGAGTACATATGGTGACCTGGATGATTATAGGCATTCTGTAGGATATACCCTCCCCATTCAAATGTACTTTTTCTCAGCAGAAATCTCAACCCTTTCTAGACAGTCCCTGTGATTTCTTGACATTAAAAAAGGTAAAGGAGGTATATAAAAAATAGATATATTCAATCAGATCAAACAAGAATTTGATACAAATAATTCATTATACTGAGCTCAAACTGAACCCTACAAAGATCTTTTCTAAAATCTGAAAAGCCTTTAAATTATATGTATTAGTCCATTCTTGTGCTGCTTTGAAGAAATACCTAAGACTGAGTAATTTATAAAGAAAAGAGGTTTAATTGACTCACAGTCCACATGGCTTGGGAAGCCTCAGGAAATTTACAATCATGGTGGAAGGCACCTCTTCACAGAGCGGCAGGAGAGAGAATGAGAACCAAGCTAAGAGGGAAGCCCCTTATAAAACCATCAGATTTTGTGAGAACTCACTCACTATCACGAGAACAGTATGGGGGAAACCACCCCCATGATTCAATTATCTCCACCTGGTCCCTCCCATGACACATGGGGATTATGGGAACTACAATTCAAGATGAGATATGGGTGGGGACACAGCCAAACCATATCGTTTATATATATATATAGGCTTTTCAGGATATATATTATATATAGAACATATATAATGTATAGGCTTTTTAGAACATATGTATTACATATATTCTGGTCCAGTGAATTGGGCCAGGATAGTTTCAGAAAATATCTAAATATCTAGGTCCTTATTGATCTTTGGAATTCATAAGGGAGTTTTTCTCTCCCATCATAATTCAAGGAGGGACCGTGTCATATAAGTTTTATGATCTTTCAGTCAAGCTCTAGAAAATCAGGCTTTAAGTTATAAACACACTAGAGAGAATGGTCATCTCCTAAGAATAGCAGGGTGAAATCCCATCAGCATCTCTGAGGAATGAAGCCCCACAGGGCCCTCCTGGGTCTCCAAACTTTTCTCACACAAAGGGATGAGGGCCCTATTGGCAAAAACATTCACACACCGTGGCTAAGTTCTCCCCTTTTCTCTTGTTCTGGCCAGGCAGAAAATGGTCAGTCTTTTGAGTCAGTTGAACCTGGGTTCGAAATCCTGCTTGGCATTGAACTAGCTGTCGGACACTCAGCAAAACTATTCTCTGAAGGTTTGGCTTACTCACCAGTTTCAAAAGAGTTAGGGCCTCTTTCCAAAGGGCCGGGAAGTGGCTTAGATGGGATACACTATGGCAGGCACAGTCTCTGAGAAGCAGAAGGCATTCACAAAAGGGGAGCGTCTTTCCCTTTCCAAAATCAATAAACATAATAGTAATGACAGTGCAACCATGGAAACAAATGGAAAGAGCCATTGTTTGCATTTGAGGAATTACTGGGTACCTGTCTTTGGGCTTTATGTCATGTAATACTCACCCCAGTGACCTTTAGGGGAGATGTCACCGTCGTCGTCGTCATCATCATCGTCATCATCCCGACGTCATCGTTCCTATTGAGAAATGAGACCACTGAGGTTTGGGGAGGTGAACTGACTTCCCAAGTTCTTACAATGAACAGCAACAGGGCTGGGTGGGACATAAATCCATTTCACTTAGAGTAAAAGCCAAATTCTTTATTATGCTCCACATGATCCTGTCCCTGCATCTCCTGACCTCTTCCCCCATCCCTCTCCCGATCACTCACTCCAGCCACACTGGCTTGGCTGTTCCTCAAACACACCAGGCAGCCTCCAACTCCAGGGCCTTTGCAGAGGTCATTCCTTCTGCCTGGAACACTTTCCCCCAAACGACCGCATGGCTTACTTCAAGAATGTGCTCAAATGTCATCTTTTCAAGGAATCTTTTCGTGACTTTCCTGTTTAACATTCTAACACTGTCCACCTCCACCACCTCTGCCCTGCAACCAAAAAAAAAAAAAAAAAACTCTTTATCTTTGCCTACTTTTTTTTCCTTTGTCCATATCACCTTTTAACTTACAATAGAATTAACACATGTTTGCTGTGTGTGTGTTGAGCCCTGCTAGATGAGAAGTTCCTCCAGATTCACGAATGTACCCCCAACACCTAGAACAGAGTTTGACATAAAATACACACTTAATAAAGATTTATCGAAAGAAATTAGCCAAGGGTCTGGCTTTCAGGGTCTTAACCACACCACCCTGCCCCTGGGTCCTATTGATACTGACATCTTTTATGCACGATATGATTTTTTTATTCACACAGAAGTCCAGACAACAAGTGGCTCTTTTGGAATCTCTCAGTGTCCAGCATCACAATAATGAATAAGAGGTGGACAGGATAACCACTGTTTTCTGGGGCTTATAGCTGGGTTGAGAAGACACACAAGCCAGACAGAGGATAATCACATGTTCCCTTGACGGTGGTGTGGGACAGAACCTAAGTCCTGCAGGACTCACACCAGGGTGCTGAGCACAAGCAGCCCAGTTGAGAAGTGACTTCACAGAGAGGACAGGTATCGAGCCATAGCTTGAAGGCATTGCAGTTGGTGGAAAGGAGGGCAAAACCCATTGCTGACTGAGGAGTGCTCAGCAAAGCCACAAAGGCTGGAATGAGCAAGAGGCTAGAAAGCTCATCTTCCCATCCTCACATCTCAGCTCTGTCGCCACAGCCTCCTTAGGGAAGACTCCTGGAACCCATGACCTCAGACAAGCTCCACTGTTATAGACCCAGAAAATTATGTCCCTTTTCTCTGGAGAAGTTATCATGGTTTGTAATTATAAGTGTGCAATAAATGCTTATTGAGTAATTGAATGAATACATTAATGAATGGGTGACCAAATGAATACGCATATTGAAGAACAAAGTATATAATGATAGACAAGCATATCTGAATTTGGCAATAATATTATGAGTGGGGTAAATAGAAGGTATGGGCCACTTAGCATCCACCTGACATTGGCCATAGTGCTCGACAATTTCTCATTTAATCCTCAGAGTGGCCATTAGAGATGGGCATTTGGGGATCCATTTTATAATTGATAAAATTAGTTAATTTATCCAAGCCCAAATAGCCAATAAGTGTGGAGTCAACATTTTTACTCAAGTTTTTGGCTGTTCCAAGCCCCTACTTGGAGGATAAAAGGGCCCTAAGTAGAAAAGATGAGGGCAGATAATGGGGACCTGTGATGGCTAATGTTAGATGTCCACTTGCTTGAATTGAAGAATGCCTAGATAGCTGGTAAAGTATTGTTTCTGGGTGTGTCTCTGAGGGTGTTGACATTTGAGTCGGTGGACTGGGAGAGGAAGACCCACCTTCAGTGTAGGTGGGCACCATCCATTGGCTGCCAGCATTGCTAGAACAAAGCAGGCAGAAGAAGATGGAATAACCTTGCTAGCTGGGTCTTCTGGCTTCCTTCTTCTTCCTGCCTTGAATGCTTGCTTCTGCTCCTGCTGCCCTTGGACATTAGACTCCAGGGTCTTCAGCCTTTGGACTCTGGGACTTGCACCAGTGGCCTCCAGGGGCTCTCAGGCCTTTGCAACAGACTGAAGGCTGCACTGTTGTCTTCCCTGGTTTTGAAGCTTTTGGACTCGGACTGAGACACTACTGCCTTGTCTCTTCCCCAGCTTGCAGACGGCTTATCGTGGGACTGTGTCTTATAATCATGTGAACCAATTCTCCCTAATAAGCTTTCTTTCATATGTACCTGTGTCCTGTTGGTTCTGTCCCTCTGGAGAACCCTGACTAATATAGGAACCAAACATGGTGTGAAGAGTAAGGATCTCCCAGAATTGTGCTAAAATCAAAGACTATGTGACTTTCACACTTCTCATCCTCAACTCTGATCTTTTCCCCGCAAGCCTACTAGCAGCAGGGAGTGATGGAGAAGCAGCTACACACCCTTTAGCTTCCCCAAAGAACAACTTTTTCTAGAAACTATTGAAAATGTGGTAGTACTGCCAGAAGTACGTGAAATTGACTATGTAGATCATGGACCATAAGTCACAGTTCAATTCTGCAACAGTGAAAAATTGTAATTTTTTTCACCAGAATGGAAAAGAAAAGCTATGAGCTCTAGAATATAACTCAACAAGAAACGTCAGTTTAATCACACCAGTCTTCCAGACATGATTCAGTCCACCCAGTCTCACGAGCTTGTCTGCTCCAAGCAACACTGGCACGGTTTCCCTTTGGCAGACAGATATATGGGGTTCCCACTGATGGTTTGTACTGTCCTTTAGTACTTGACGAATCATTGCGATTGGCTGTGGCTTCTTTCTTTTTTATAATTTTTTTTTTAATTTTACTTTAAGTTCCGGGATACATGTGCAGAATGTGCAGGTTTGTTATGTAGGTATACATGTGCCATGGTGGTTTGCTGCACCTATCAGCCTGTCATCTAGGTTTTAAGCCCTGCATGCATTAGGTATTTGTCCTAATGTTCTCTCTCCCCTTTCCCCACCCCCAACCCCCAAGAGGTCCCGGTGTGTGTTGTTCCTCTCCGTGTCCCTATGTTCTCATTGTTCAGTTCCCACTTGTAAGTGAGAACATGCGGTGTTTGGTTTTCTGTTCCTGTGTTAGTTTGCTGAGAATGATGGCTTCCAGCTTCATTGATGTCCCTGCAAAGGACATGATCTTATTCTTTTTTATGGCTGCATAGTATTCCATGGTGTATATGTGTGGCTGTGGCTATGTGTGTGTGTGTATGTATATGTATAGTTGTACATATCTGTGTAGGTGGTTGTGCACACACACACACACAAATTATTCAGTCTCTCTGGATCTCATAACACTCCTCCCAAAGCTCTACATATTTATTTTTAATGCTGGTATTCATGGAGGTATCATGAAATAAAATACACATGTTGTAGCATGCAGTCCCATGAGATACGAACATGCAGACACCTGTGACGCCACTCCTGCCAGTCAAGATCCAGAGCTTTTCCCTCTTCCCAGAAAGTTCCTCATGCCCTTTCCAGCCAGCACCCACCCCCCACAGAGACAACTGCTCTCCTGGCTTCTACCACCATAGATTAGTTTTGCCTGTTCTAGAAATGCATTTAAAAATAATTGCATAGTGTGCACTCTTCGGTGCCCAGTTTCTTTCATTCAACATAATATTTTTGAGATTCATCCATTTTTTTTGTGGTTTGCTCTTACAGACTATTTGTGTTCCTCCAAAATGCACGTGTTGAAGCCCTGTGTGATGGTATTAGGAGATGGGGTTTTGAAAGGGAATTCGGGTTAGAGGAAGTCACGAGGGAGGGGCTGTTGTAATGGAATTAGTGCTCTTCTAAAAAGAGACAGCAGGCTGGGCACAGTGGCTCAAGCCTGTAATCCCAGCACTTTGGGAGGCCAAGGCAGGTGGATCACCAGAGGTCAGGAGTTCAAGAGCAGCCTGACCAACATGGCAAATCCCCATCTCTACTAAAAAATACAAAAACTTAGCCAGGTATGGTGGCATGTGCCTGTAATCCCAGCTACTCGGGAGGCTAAGGCAGGAGAATAGCTTGAACCCGGGAGGCGGAGGTTGCAGTGATCAGAGATGGTGTCACTGCACTCCAGCGTGAGCAACTGAGTGAGACTCTGTCTCAAAAACAAAAAAAAAGGAGACAGTGAAGCGTTCTCTCTCTTCCTCTGGATGTGCACATGCACCAGGGAATGGCCACGTGAGGACACAATGCGAAGGAGGCTGTTTGCAAACCAGGAAGGGGGATCTCACCAGAACCTGGCCGTGCTGGCACCCTGATCTTGGATTTTCAACCTCCAGAACTGTTGGAACATAACTTGATGTTTAAGCCACCGGTGCATGGTATTTTGTTGTGGCTGCCCAAATAGATGCATCCATTGGCTCTTTTTTATTTTCAATCCATTGCATTGCCAGACCCCACTAGGATCCATTTATTTATTCTCCTGTTCACAGGCATTTGGATTATTTCCAGTTTGGGGCTATCATGAAAAAAATCCTGTTATGAGGAATCTTGAACTCTTGGTTATTCTTCCTCCGCCCCCTCCCTTCTCTCATGCTGCCACCTCCCTTACCGGTTCAGAATTCAAGTCTGGGTTCTAATGGCCAGCAGCATCCAGCAGAGTTGTGCGGAGCCATGTTTCATGTCTCTTTGGTAGTTTAATGATGGGAATTCTCATGAAGGACAAAACTCAAATGAGGAAGGGGAAATTTACATTGGCATTCAGGGGTAGAACTTGTCCCATGACACATCATTTCTAGTGAATTACACACCCTTCTGCACGGCCAGTTCTTATGCTGTGGAGTCAATTAGACGATGCAGCAGGCCCTGGCTGCTTCATGGTGGATGATGGAGCTGGCTGAGAACACTGGGCCCTGGGGAGCAGGAAGCAGGACCATTTTGGGAAACCTTAGAATGGAGAAGAGTTTTTAGGATACAACTCTGGAAGAGAACTGGCCTCAGTCCACGGAGCAGGGTGCAGCTCAGGCATGACAGGAACATGTGCTGGGACCCCAGCCCAGGACCCTGCCTCCAACGCACCTCCTCTCCATGGGGCACTGTCTGCTTTTCTCACTCCTACATCAGCCACTCGCTCTCGGTGGCCTCCAGCCACTGTTTCCTTCAGAGGAAGTTAGTAAAAGGCACATCCTGCCATTGTTAAACCTCTTTATCCACTGTGCTGCTGACACACTTTGTCTGAGGCTCTGTGCAAAGAGGTCTCATCCTATCCTGAGACGCAGGTGTGTACGAGGCTGTCAGCCCTAGGAAGGCAGCAATCCCACCATCCTTACACCACACCTCAATGGGAAAGAACCTCAGCCAGGGTCTCCTTGATTAAACCCAATTCTATTCTCCTGCCAGTGCAGGTCCCTTGAGTCCTAGCCCTCTGCCCTGTCTGCCCTCCAGCATCGGTGGCGCTCGTGGTCTTCAGAGCTCTGATCCACTGTTCTCCCTGCTTTCCTTATGTCTGCCCAGGTTGGCTGAACTCCATTCTAGGCTGTTTCAACTCTACCCTTGGCCTCCCAGCTGACAGGTGCACGGTGGCCATCCTTTGGCATTTCCACTCTGGCACTCGCTAATGATGAAACTGAATACCCAAGAGCTCTCCTTCAGCCACACATAGGACAGCTAGAGGTGACCAGGAGTTGCCACTCTCAGGAGCCACCCTCAGCCAATGGCAAATGCAAGGAGGAGAATAAACACCCCAGCTCCTTTGACACTAGGGGGCAGCTCAGAGGCATGACCCGCGCCACCTGGCCAGTTTTCCCAGCTGCCCGCAGGGATGTCCTGCTCCTTGATGGACGCTGTATGGGCTGCCTCCCATTCCTTTGCCCCTGCCTTCACCCCCACCACTACCTCCTGGGACCCAATTACACCCAGACCCTGGTCCCCAGGGCTGCTTCTGGGAGCGTGCAGCTGAAGGCAGCAGTTAAGAGCCCTGCTTGAAACTTTGACCTTCGGCAAGATCTTTAAACCGCAGCTACCTCATCTTAGAATGGGGATGATGACAGGGCCTAACGATATCTTCGAATGGGGATGGTGACAGGGCCTAACGATATCTTCGAATGGGGATGGTGACAGGGCCTAATGATATCTTAGAATGGGGATGGTGACAGGGCCTAACGATATCTTAGAATGGGGATGGTGACAGGGCCTAACGATATGGGTGACTCTATGTGGAGCGTTACTGTGTGCTGCCACTGAGTCACTGTGCTTAACACAAACTATGTCAAGGAATTTGAGTCAAATACTGTCACAATGTCCATTCTACAGATGAAGAAAAGGAGATCAAGACCATCCTGGCCAACATGGTGAAACCCCATCTCTACTAAAAATACAAAAAATTAGCCGGGTGTGGTGGCGGGCGCCTGTAATCCCAGCTACTTGGGAGGCTGAGGCAGGAGACTCGCTTGAACCCGGGAGGTGGAGGTTGCAGTGAGCCGAGATCGCGCCATTGCACTCCAGCCTGGGCAAAAAGAGTGAAACTCCAACTCAAAAAAAAGAAAAGAAAATGGAATGCACACACACACAGGATTAGATGACCTACCCACAGTCACTCAGGCAGGAAGTGGTTGAGTCAGAATTAAGTGAATGAGGATGATGATGATGACCATGGCAGTGCTGGTGGTGGTGGTGGTGGTGGAGGAGGAAGTGGCAGCTAGCAATTATTGAGGGATTTCTTTGTGCCAGGCACTGATATGCATTTTCTTGTTTAAACTTTAAAACAATCCCAGTACTTTGAGAGGCCGAGGCAGGCAGATCACCTGAGGTCAGGAGTTCGAGACCAGCCTGGACAACATGGTGAAACCCCGTCTCTACTAAAACTACAAAAATTAGCCAGGTGTGGTGGCAGGCACCTGTAACCCCAGCTACTTGAGAAGCTGAGGCAGGAGGATCACTTGAACCCAGGAGGCAGAAGTTGCAGTGAGCTGAGATTGCACCACTGCACTCCAGCCTGGGCGACAGAGCGAGACTCTGTCTCAAAAAAAAAAAAAAAAAAAAACCTTAAAACAATCCTGAGAGGTAGTTACTAGTATTATTCCCATTTTACAGAGAGGAGAATCAAGGCCCTGAGATGTTAAGTTACTTGGCCAAGGTCCGACAGCTGGTCAGTGGAGCAAAGAGGATTTCACTCAGGTCTGTCTGATTCCAAAGCCTTCTTCTCAAGATACTTTGCATGCACCTCTCCAGCACACTCAGCTGATTGTAGTTCATTTTATTATCACTTTTTAAAAGTCCTGTTTCCCTGCCTGACACTTCAGCTTCTTTTACCAACTACCCTGGATCCAGACCTTTTGTCCTCCAGAGGAAATAGATAAAAACTGTGTCTCATTCTCCTCTTGTGAAGCTGGTGCTGAAAACACTGAAGTTCCCTTGATGTGTCCCAGTTAGATCCTGCATGGAAATTCAGTGAGTCAGAGCCATGTGTCTCTTCTAGATAAAACCATGTCAGTTTGTGATCTGAGAACCACTCCCCTCATTTCTCAAAGGAACCCTGACTCCCACTCATCCCCACATCCCACAGCTGGGGGCTCCAGCTCACTGCCGCTCTTAACTCCTAAGACTGGGGCATATTTACAGCAATGAGGAGCATTTTCAGAACACAGTCGATGAAACGCGCATGTTGAAGAGCTCAGCTTCCCTTTCAAGTCCTCGCTGAGGCTGGTGCACAATTTTCAACAATCACGAGAAATGATGCTTTATGCTGGACAAAGAGAATTAGACAGTGAGACCTGCGTCTTTGTTCTCGCTCTTTCTCACCTCGCCCCTGGCAGTCAGAAACAATGCATTGTAAAAATGCTTGTCCAATTTTTCCAACAGGATCAATTTGCTGTACTTTTATTAAAAGAAAAAAAGGTGGGAGCATTGTCAAACATCCTCCCTCTCCTCTCCCTTCCCCTGCCTCCACCTCTCAGAATCCGTGCCCCTGCCAGGAGCTGCAGTCGCTGCAGCCCGTGGGTCGGACATGAGAAGCCGGGAGGCTCTGCATGCTGAGAGCCGCGTGCAGTTGGCACATTGCTGGACCAGGTTTCAAAGACATGCACGGTACCTCCCCCGTGTATGTTTCTACCCTGGCTATTTAAAGGAAGTCAAAGAGGGCAGCATTTGAAGTGACAGCAACAAAGAAAATGAGAAAGAAAAAGGAGGAGGAGGAGGAGCTGCCATCATCCCATCCAGAGATGGGATGACATGTTCCCTTTTTCTCATGTCCTCTAAAAGGTGGTAGCTGTATTGGTGAACTTCTGAAAGCAACAAGCCAGCTCTCATCCCAGTTTTGCCTCCCTTTTGGGTTTCCCTTTTCTCTCCTTCTGCCACCAGTTAAACTTCAAGAAAGGTCAAAAAGTTATTTCCCTAAAGCCAAAAAAAAAAAAAAAAAGATCTGAGCAACACCACGTGCCCTGCTTCTCTGTTTCTGTTCATCCCTTTGCAGATGCCCTGGATGGTCTCTGAGCACAGTCCTGTGGGTATAGGCTTACATCAAATTACTCAACACAGATATTTACCAAGTGCCTGCCAGGTGCCCAGTGCTGTTCCCAATGCTGGGGATATGTCAATGAGCAAAACACGCTAAACAAACATCCCTGCCCTCAGGAGGCTGACTTTCTGGTGTCGGGAGAAGGGGAATCAGCAATAAGCAAGACATATGACATGTCAGATGGGGACAAATCTTAGTGGAAAAGAGAGGGCAGAATAAGGGGACAGGGAACGGGGCCGGCCAGGAAAGATTCATGTGGAGGCAAGAGAGTAAGCCATCAGGTATCTGGGGGAAGAACATTCTAGACATCAAGACACAGGGAGCAGCCAGTGCAAAGGCCCTGGGGCAGGAGTGTGGGAAATGGGAAATGGCAAGGAGGCCAGAGTGTGGTAAACACAAACAGCACGTGGTATGAGCAGCAATGAGTAGGAGACCAGATGGGACAAGTGAGAGTGTTGTGGGCACCTGTCATGGAGGGCTTGTCAGCCACTGGAAGGGTTTTGGCTTCTATTCTGAGTGGAATTTTCTCTTTACCTTGTGAAATGAATGAGAAATTACCATAGGAGTCAGGGAGGGGCTCACGATGAGCTTCCTAAAAGTCTTCCAAAGTTCCTCGTGGCTGATAGGCTAAAGTAGAAGTTTCCAGTTTCCTCCGGTACCTGCTGTTTCCCTATGTAAGCCCTTAGTGCTGTGAAGTCTTCCACCTCTTCTAACAGGTCTTCTTCTATTTTCACTCCCTTAGCAAATTCACCCAGTCTTGGGTATTTATTGCGTCTCCATTCTAACAACTGCCCATTGTAAATACCTAGTCCAGACTCATCTTCTAAACTCCAGGCTCTTACAGCCAACTGTCTACTCAGTGCTCTACTGGGATTTCCAATAAATATCACACACACAAAATATCCAAAACTGAACTCATCGTTTTTCTCCACACCCAAAACCTGCCCTGCTCACAGTGTCTTCTTCTCAGAAGATGCTGACCACAGATTTCCAGCTGCACAGGCCTGGTCATCATCCTTCCTCCTTCTCTTTTGTATTTTTCCATGCTCCCTATGTGATCCATCAGCAAGTTCTGTTGGCTCTGCATTCAAAATACCAATGCACTGAGCACTTCTCACCACCTCCTCTGCTGCCCTGATCTGAGCCACCATTAGTGATTGTTGCTTTGAAAACTATAACTGCCTCCTAACAGAGTTAGGAGTTTTTACCTACTTAGACCCCCTCCTCAATATAGAAGCCAGAATGTCTCTTCTCTGCTCAAACTCTCCATAGCTCCCCATTCCACTTGGAGTAAAAGCTAAAGTCTCTAAATTTGCTGTTCACTTAGAACTTTTTGCAGTGATAGGAACGTTCTAGATGTACACTGTCCAGTATGGTAGCCACTGGCCACAGGTGGCTACTGAGCACTTAAAATATAACTCATGTGACTAAGGAACTACATTTGCAATTTTGTTTCACGTTAATTAATTTAAATGAAAATAGTCACATGAGGCAGTGGCCGCCATATTGGACAGTGCAGGCCTACAATGCCCAACATGAGTGGGTCCCTTCATAACGCTTTGACCTTTTCTTTTCTCCCCTACCTCTTATAGTTACCCCACATCACCAACGCTGACCTCTCACTGTTTGTTCCTCAAAAGCACAGGCTCTACACTCTGTTGTCTGCTCCTTCTTCCCGGAGGGTCCTTCTTCAGCATGTTTAACATCTCACCTCCTTCAGCGCTTGCCTTTTCAGTTCATCCCAACCACGTCCCACCCCCATCTACTCCCAACCCCACTGTTCTGGCTCTACTTTTTTCTTTCTCACTGCACCTCTCCCCCTCTAAGAGGTTACATAATCTACTTATTCGTTAGGTCTGTTGTTCTATTATGTCTGTTTGCTAGAACACCAGCTCCACCAAGGTGAACATCTTTATCTGTCTAGTTCACTGCATGTCCCCAGCACTTTAAAGAATTCAGCCACAAAGAAGGTACTCTGTAAAAAATGTGCACTAATGACCATGACTTTGACAAATGCTAACCTTGGCAGGAGGGTGATATTCTAGGTGACGGAGACTGCCCGCAACTCCTCTCCGTAAATTACCTGGCGGAGGATTCCAGTCCTCCGTGGGTTGATAAGAGATGCAGAGCTTTGTACTGACAGCTGGAGAGACTTTGGCAGAAATAAATTCTTTGCTGTAGACATGAAGGATCGGGCGTGTTCTGCTCTCTTCCGGGAACTACCATATTGGATTGTCAATTCCCATTCATATGTCTGTCTTCTGCATTTAGTGACTAGCTCCTCGACAGGAACCCCATCCTACTGAAGCAAGAACCTCTAATGCCTAATTCAGTATATGACACTTTGTGGTTGCTCAAAAAGATGTTTGAGGAATGACTGATTAAGTCATGCTTAGAACTGGCTACATAATTTGCAGGGGTCCCAGTGCAAAATCAAAACATAAGGCCCCTTGTTCAAACATTATTAGGAATTTCAAGGCAGCCACAGCAGAGCATTAAACCAAGCATGGTGCTCTTCTGTTTTGGCAGAGGGGATGCCGTGCATAGGTCACTCATCCATGAAGCCTGTCCTGGTCACCTGTGACATTCTGTGAATTCCCAAGGCACACTACACATGTTAAGTCAGGTGTCCAGGTCTATGACTTAGCAATAGAAAAGGCATCACGTTCAACGCAGATGAGTGACGCAGACAGGTTCTGAGGGCTGGCAGCAACCTTCTTCTCTCCTGCTGTTGTCTCAGTGAACCACAATCACCCCCAGTCCCCAGATGACTAGCACTGATCATATGCAGGACAGAGTATGCAGTCCATTAGGATGTCATGGCCTGTTTGCTTCTCTGAGCACCTGATGGACTGACAGCTCCTGGAGGACAAGGACCAGGCCTCTGAAGCCCCAGGGCCTTGAGCAGCCCCTGGACCATCTTCAGCTCTTAATGATTGTTAAATGACTGGAAGATACATTAATTAAGCTCAGAAAGCAACTTTGGCTTCTTATAGCTTATGATAGGCTTTTTCAAGTCTATCTTCTGAATTAACTTCCATGAGAATACTCATATATATATATATATATATTTTAAACCCTGAAACTAAAGTTATGCTGAACTTCCATTAGCATTATCTGGAACTGGACTTCCCAGTATGTTGTTCCGGGCAGCAGCGGCAGCGGCAGCAGCAGCAGCAGCAGCACCTGGGAACTTGTGAGAAACTCAGATTCTCATGCCCTACCCTGGACCTGCTGAATCAGAAACCCTGGGCGTGAGGCCAGCGACATTTTACAAGTCCTCCAGGTGATTCTGAGGCCCCTCAAGTCTTGAGAGTATTTGTGTCCTAAGGAACAGAGTTTGGAAAGCAGTGACTTATGCTGTTCTCATCAGATACGTTTGGATTTTAACACAAATTAATTGTTTGCAGCTGCAACCCTCAAATGTCTCAGAGGATTAAAATTTTTTGGTGCAATTTTACATAGTGAGTCAAAATCCCATAAAGCTGGCTCATGATGGGGGCATTTATTCAACTCAGCAAGAAGGACATTTGGGTGAGAATGAGAAATAATGGTGTATGCTCACATTAAATATACTTTTTTTAACAAAAAAGAAATTGTTGAAATAAAGCAAAAAGGAGAGTTGGGAGGATAGATGTGTATGGTAAAGGCAACACTGGACCCGTAGCCAGAAGATCTAAGTTAAGTAAGCTTGAGCAAGTCAAGTAACCTTCTGAGCCTTAATTTCTTCACCTAAGAAATTGAGAGACTACCCAGGGCTGCCATGTAGGGTTGAGCAGGTTGTGCACTACACAAGGGAACCCAGCTGAGGAGCAAGTGGGAGCTGAAGTCCAGCTGAGCTAGGCTTTGTCCCCCTGCAGGGGAAGGGACATCTTTCTAATTGACTTAGAAATGCCTTACAAACCAGATGAGGTTCTGACAATACTCCTGCCCACCTCACAGAGTTGCAAGGATCAGAAAAGATGATGATTTAGAAAGCCTCATTTGAAAATTACAAGGTGTTATACAAAGAGAAGATTGGATATGATTTGGATTGCGGCTTTGGCAATATACTTATACTTTTGACCATTTCACTCAGGCTGACCAAATGCCTGATATGCTAATTGGACACAAATCACTACCCATCTACCAAGGCTTGTGCTTTAAAATTGGGGCTCAGAGAAATCAGCAAGACTTTTAGCTGCAGGAACAGGGACTGTCATAGAAGCTCACTATGCCCTTGGAGGTTTTGCTGCTGTATGAGATCGTCACAGAGGACCTGCTGAAACCCCTAACCGTCTATAGCTGTTGCAGCTACACCTTCTCAACCAGCAGGCTTGGGTGCCCAGAAGTAGCTCTGTGGGGACTCAGCTTGTTGCTGCTGGGTTAACCTGGTGGGGTGCACCCGATAGGAAAAGGGTCAGAAGCACCAGAGGCCACAGACACTTGGAGGTGAGCCAGGCCTGGAATTCCATTTATTTTGTGCCTAAGAGGAAAGAAGACCTGTCCTGAAATTTCCATTTGGGGGCTGAAACTTTCTTGTTAGGACACTACAAAAATCCCTGTTGGCCTGATTTCATAAGTGTCAGTACCTAAAACTGAGCACCGAAAGCACTTCCCATAAAAGCAAAAGTGGTCTTGTTCATTGCCGCCTTGTGGCAGTTTAGCCCTACAGCACCAGCCAAGGTGAGCTGGCCCCTGCTCCCCGACACGTGGGTCATTTATAGGATCACCCTTCTCAGGAATGCCACATCTGTTTTCTTTTCACCAGTCTTTCTTTTGGGAACTCATGCACCATTAGCTTGTCTCATTGAGCTGTTTGGGTGAACTTGGCCAATCAGTCAAGTCTTTCTCTGGTCCCCATTTCTCTTTTCTACCTCAACCCACCCTCCTTGAATTACATAACCTTTAAGATTCTTGCAACCGTGAAATGTTTTGGCTCTTCCAAACGTGATCTGGGCTTCCCAAGTAATATATTAAAAGAAAGGTTTTATTTTGTATTGTTTTGTTTTGCAAATCAAAAAATAAATCTCAAGTCTCTCCCGAATGGGCCCCAGTGCTCTGCAAGAACAGCTCCCCAAGGGATTTCTGCACCATGAGATAAGGTGGCTGGCTGCCAGAGGGGCCACTGGATCTTCAAAGGCTGCCTAATTAAGTTCCAGCCAGCAGTCTACCTCTGTGGGCCAGGGGCTCTTGGGAGATAAGACACGAGACACATCCAGAGATGGAGGATGGAGCTTTGCTCCAGTAATGAAATAAATCAAGAGCAGCCCACCTCGTTTGCAAATGGAAATCATTCTAACAGGAGGCCTGCAGTCATCTGAGAGAGCAAGGGAGAGTCTCCATTGGATTGGAGGCCCCTGGCCTTCCTGCCCACTCTCCAGGGCTCTGATGGGGTACAATTATGGTGTTAACTGGGATGGGAAGATAAGGCAAGATGTCATTAATGGAGGAGAGCATGTTTTCTTAATTCCAGAAGCTAATCCCCAGTGACTCACTCCTCTCGAGCCTCCCACAGGGATGTGGAGGCATTAAAGGTGCATTGTTTATTCATGTGACCTAAGTATTTTGCTGCTTTCCTTAGACTTCTGATTACATTCTGTGGTCTTCCTGCTGCCAAAATGGTATAGCAGCATTTTGCTATAATTTTATAGCAGGATTGTTCTCCTTTTTTGCACTTTGAATAAAAGAGTTCCCAGGGCTTCGACTATCCTTCAAGTTTCAATTTTTTTTGTAAATCCTAAGCAGAGCCACCACCTGAGAGATCACAAGATTTGCTCAACTTAGAAGACAGGTAAATTGAAAGTTATAAAACAAGGAATCTGGCCACCTCAACTCCTGTACTAACTGCAGAGTATATATTTTTTCTCATTGAACCTACCTGGATTATAATAGTAGAGTTTTCTTTAATAGACTTCAAAGTATGGGTTCAGACACAGAGTAACTCTCAAACTTTGAATTGCAAAGGCTTTCACTGCAAACCTTCATGAGATGTACATATACCCCTTATGGAAAATGATATCAAAATCCACTGCAGCAGTGATCCTTACCTGATGGTTTCTTTGGTGTCACCCGCCCTCCAACTCGCTCATCTCCAAAATAAACTAAATTCATGATTTTTTTTTTTTTTTTTTTTTTTGAGATGGAATCTCGCTCTTGTCACCCAGGCTGGAGTGCAATGGCACAATCTTGGCTCACCGCAACCTCCACCTCCCAGGTCCAACTGATTCTCCTGCCTCAGCCTCCCGAGTAGCTGGGATTACAGGTTTGAGCCACCTTGCCCGGCTAATTTTGTATTTTTAGTAGAGATGGGGTTTCTCCATGTTGGTCAGGCTGGTCTCAAAACTCCTAACCTCAGGTGATCTGCCCTCCTTGGCCTCCCAAAGTGTTGGGATTACAGGCGTGAGCCACCGCGTCCGGCCCGATTCTTTTTTCTGCTCTATTGGTGCTCGCTTCAATTCACCCCGACGTCTGGGTAGAATCGGGGTTCTTCAGTGGATGCAGCTTGGGTATTTACTCCTGGAGTGCATGAGATTTCTTCAGGACCTCGAAATTTAAATTTGTTCTACACCAAAGCTATCACATGTCTCACCTTTAAATAAGAGCCCAAAACATTTATATATCTAATCACCGCACTAGCCTCATATCTACCCTGAAAACATTAGGTTTTAGTTACAAATAGTTTCATGTTATGGGTTGAATTTGTTCCCCCCAAAATTCACATATTGAAGCCCTAAACTCTGGTACTCAGACTGTGAATTTATTTGAAGAGAAAGAGGTCTTTAATCAAGTTAAAATGAGGTCATTAGGGTGGGCTCTAATCCAACATAACCCGTGTGCTTTTTTTTTTTTTGAGACGGAGTCTTGCTCTGCCACCCAGGCTGGAGTGCAGTGGCGTGATTTTGGTTCACTACAACTTCCGCCTCCCGGGTTCAAGCTATTCTTCTGCCTCAGCCTCCCAAGTAGCTGGGATTACAGGCATGGGCCACCATGCCTGGCTAATTTTTGTGTTTTTAGTAGAGGCGGGGTTTCACCATGTTGGCCAGGCTGGTCTCGAACTCCTGACCTCAGGTGATCCGCCCATCTCAGCCTCCCAAAGTGCTGAGATTACAGGCATGAGCCACTGCACCCGGCCAACTGGTGTGCTTTTAAGAGGAGAAAATGTGGAAACAGACACATATGCTCGGGGAGATCAGCACACAAACACACAAGCCGAGAAGGAAGTAATCCATCTATGAGCTAAGGAATGTCATAGATTGCCAGGAAACCACCAGAAACTGGGAGAGAGGCTGGAATTGATTCTTCCCTACGGCTTTCAGAAGGAGCCAGCCCTGCCCACACCTTGAACCTGGGCTTCTGGCTTCCAGGACTGTGAGACAATAAACTTCTGTTGTTGAAGCCCCCCGACTGTGGTATTTGGTTATGGAACACCAACATGGTGGTCTGGGAAGCCTGGCTGGTGATTAGGAAAGTGAAGGCAGTCAGTAAAGGTGCTGTATTGACTGGGATTGTACTGAGAACACCTGAGGCTCAATGCCACTGGGGAACTCTGGGAGACAGCATAGAACACACATATTGGAGTGATCCCAGCCAAGATGAGAGGGAGCCGGGGTATTCACCTTCCATCTCCCATTTGTCTCTAGCGCAGGCTCCCAGGGTTCCCGCCAGCAGGGAGAAAACCCTTACGCTGAGCATTGCATGTGTTTGAAGTATGAAGCGGTTGAGGCTGGGCACAGTGGCTCAAGCCTGTAACCCTGCACTTTGGGAGGTCAAGGTGGGAGGATCACTTGAGGCCAGGAGTTCAAGACTGAGCAACATGGCAAGACCCCATCTCTACAAAAAAAAAAAAAATTAAGTTAGCCAAGTGTGCTGGTGCACACCTGTAGGCCCAGCTACTCAGGAGACTGAGGCTGGAGGATTACTTCAGCCCAGGAGGTCCAGGCTGCAGTGAGCTATCATCATGCCACTACACTCCAGCCTGGGCCACAGAGCAAGACCCTGTCTCAGAAAACAAAAAAAGAATTGGTTGACATTACTGGAATGCTGCGTGCTAATTTGAGCAGGGGAATGACAGCATTGGCCACACACAAAAAATTAAAAAATAATTGAATCCCACCCTAGATACCTTATTCCAAGCCCAGTGATGTTCCCAGGGCCCAGTACATAGCAATGCAGACGGACTTTCTGTTGCCAAAGACTACAGCAGGGATCTAGTGGTATCTAAGAAAAGGAGGATGAATGGAAAATATCTTGGTTTTAGCCTCCCTAGGATGCTAGTGGGTCAATAACTATAGTCTCAATCTATGTGGACTCTAATTCAATTGGGAAAAATCTCCTCTGCCATGGTTAATTCCAGTATGAGCTAAACCATGGAGGCTAGGGTTGGCAGCGGTGGTGGTCTCAGTCACCTATCTCACTCGAGGTACCATTCTTCCCCATCCAACGTATTCAAAATCTCTTCATTTCTTTTTCCCCTTGAACCCTAGGTGAGAGGGCTCCAGTTCTTCATTCGCAGGTAGCTCAGTCTAGTGCAAACCTCTCCACAGTGGCAAGTCCAAGTCCTTTGCCACCATCACAATTGCTGGTGCAGCAGCCTGTCCTGTGGGATTGCTGGGGCTTGACCCTGCCTCTAAGGAAAGATCCCCATCCCTACCCCATATTTATTTCAGCTGGAAAATTGTGCTCCATGGATTCCTGAATGGAAGCACCTTTAAAAAAAAATTCAACTTTTATTGCATATACAGAGGGCACATGTACAGGTTTGTTATATAGGGATGTTACATGATGCTGAGGTTTGGGGTACAAATCCCGTCACCCAGTTAGTGAGCATAGTATGTGATAGGTAGTTTTTCAACCCATACCTCTCATCTTCTTTCCTCCCAAGTAGTTCGCAGTGTGTAATGTTCCCATATTTATGTCCATGTGTGCTTTATATTTAGCTAAAGCCAGAGCCTCTGGTATCCTAGTGGGAACCCATAATTCTTCTAGTTCTCCCTTGGAACATGGCGTTTCCACCACATTATTATTATTATTATTATTATTATTATTATTATTATTATTATTATTGAGGCAGAATTTTGCTCTGTCGCCCAGGCTGGAGTGCAGTGGCGTGATCTCAGCTCACTGCAAGCTCCACCTCCTGGATTCACACCATTCTCCTGCCTCAGCCTCCCGAGTAGCTGGGACTACAGGCGCCTGCCACCACACCGGGCTAATTTTTTTGTATTTTTAGTAGAGACGGGGTTTCACCGTGTTAGCCAGGATGGTCTCGATCTTTTCACTCGGTGATCCACCCGCCTTGGCCTCCCAAAGTGCTGGGATTACAGGCATGAGCCACCGCGCCCAGCCCTCCACCACATTTTAACAACCTAGACATTTAGAATTACCTGGGCAATGTCCATCCTCTGCTTCATTTTCCCCTGTTTTTCCTCACTTTTAATTTTTATCTGCTGTATTTATTGGCTATGGTTAGTCATCCTAAAGCTGAGATTCTGGCTCAGGAATTCATCTCGTCTCCTCAGCCATGGGGTTGGGGGTCTCTCATTCTGGGAGGGGGCGCTGTCCTAAGTCCTTTAGATGCCCTGACTACTTCAAATCTCACAACAACATCAAAGGGTGGATTAGATCAGCATTTTGCAGCTAAAAAAGAAAGAAGCTAAAAGAAGTTAAATAATGTGCCCAAGAGCTTCCAGCTAAAAAGTACCTGAAAAGAAGTTAGAACCCATTTCTGTCACCACCACATTATAACCTAAAACCTGGAACAGAGGCAGGACCAGGAGCTGCAGGATAGCAGGAGAGAGTAGGGGACCTGTGGTTTGAGCTCTGCACTGTAAGTAAACAGGATACCCACTCAGAAGCTTGTCCACAGGACAAACTGTGGTTAAGATTGTTCTCAACAAGCCCTGGTAGCATTGACTGAATAGCAGCCATGCGCTGAGACCTGCTGTAAGCACTTTGGACATCTCCCCTTTCAATCTTCATACAACACTCCATCTTACAGAGGAGGGCACTGAGACTGAGAAGACTAGGTCACTAGCTCAAGATCACACCATTGGTAACTGGCAGAGCAGGGACATGACCTCTGATCTTTCTGGTCCAAAGCCCAGGTATAAGGCACCACACAGTGCCATCGTCACAGCTATAGAATGAGAAAGTGGCAAAGGCCAAGAGGGAGAATGGGAAGGAGCAATCCAGCAGGACGTGTTCAGATACTTTCTGTGTCTGTGCTAACCAACAGATAACTGGAAGGTGTCCTCCATCACCAAGATGAATCTGCAGAGTATACATGGTCATCTGACTGTATTGCTGGACTCTTTCTTCCCTTTTAAAAACACAAACAAAGAGGAGCCAAGGCAAGGGCTCTGGATGCCACTGGCTTAGCAAATCTACTAAATGCACATCCTGGATTGAAGTCACTGCTTAGGGATTCCCAACAACTCTTGACTGGACACCAGCCCCAGAGAGGAAGTAATAGATTATTGGCACAGGAATGGCCCTGTACAGAATAGCAGGCAACAGAAGCAAAATGGTCCAACACGGAGTTGGGCGAGGGCAGGCACAAGGGACCCCAGGCAACCCAAACAAGACGCCTGACTCCCTCACCTCTCCAGCCCTGCACAGGCAAGCACACTTCTTTGCTTCTCAACCCCCATGACATTCACACGTGACTGATGGGCAAGGTCATGCTTCTGCCTCCTGTCATGGAGTTTGAGAACTGGAGGAAGCTAGAATGCATCTTACCCAATCCCCTTATTATACAGATGGGGAAACTAAGACCCAAAGAAGAGACTTGCAGGGAGGTTTTCGTGGTAGAATCTGATCTGCATTGAAGACTTCTTAGCTCCTGGCCTGACACATGGTCCACGACAATGTTGATGACTATGTGGGTTGTAAGTAACAGAAATCCAATTCAAATGAGCTTTAACCAAAAGGGACTGATTAGCTCCCATAACTAGAAAATTCAAGGAGGTGATGGCTTCAGTAATGCCTGATTTCAAGAACACAGACCATGCCATGAGGACTTAGTCTCTCCTCCTTTTCTCTGATGTCTTCTGGTTTGGCTTCATTATCAAGTAAGCTGCCCCACGAGTTGCTGGAATGGCTGCTGGCCATCCTGGATTCCTCTCCTTGTATCTGGCCTTATCCACCTCTACCACTTTGCTTTAGTTGTTTGCGTCTTTTCCTAGAGACTTAGAAATTTTACAGAACCAGAATATTTTGCCATCACCCTCAGAAACCTGGATGATGCTCTTGCACTGACCTTGAGCTTAAAGCTTCTTAATTTGGGTGGTGATTGGGGTCCATGCCTCCCTGGGCAGCAGGAATAGGAATATTGTCCTAAATGAAACTCTATGCAAAATAGTGTGTGCTTATACATATGGAATTTTTCGGGAGGAGAGAGTAGTATAAAGCTTTTCACACCTTGGAACACATGTTCCCCAAGAGGGAAAGAACTAGTAAAACCAAAATTCACTATGGAGATTGTTTCAATAATTTCATGTAGGATGAGGGCTGACTTTGAATTTTATGGTCTTCAATCAGTACTACCTAGAAACAATGAATGTTTTCAAGATCAGGGATCATCCGGTTTGCTGCTTTCTGAACAATGGGCTGATACCAAGCGATGATTCCTCCCTGACTTCATCTCGGTTATTTCAAATGCATTTGGAGAAATTTGTGAGTTTAATGAGCCCCTTCTGACTCTAAGTTTGAGAAAAATGAGGGGATACATTCCCAGATTCAAGTAAAATCATGGTAAAAGGAATTTTACCCAGTTTTTAACTCTTAATGGCCCCTTTCAGGAGGGTTTTATGGTTTTGTGCCTGTCTCCAACTTGGTGCTCCAATTTGCTCACCCTGTGCAAATGCTTTCATGCAAATCTTAGCCACAGCATGCTCTGGGAGCTTCAGGAGATGCTGGGGAGAGTGCTGCCCCCCCGCCTGCAGTCTCTCTCTGCCTGTCATCCAACCACACCTGTCCTTTCTTTTCTTGGCCGGTCTTCATCCCTCTTGCTTCACATTTAATTTCTGTTTTCTGAGCTTCCAAATGATTTGAGGAATAGGATGCTGTTTCATGATAAGCTAGCACAGGGCACCTGATATAAACAGAGCTGCTGTGTCTGGGCGCAGTGGCTCATGCCTGTAATCCCAACACTTTCGGAGGCCGAAGCGGGTAGATCACCTGAGGTCAAGAGTTCGAGACCAGCCTGGCCAACATGGTGAAACCCCGTCTCTACTAAAAATACAAAAAATTAGCCAGACGTGGTGGCAGGCACCTGTAATCCCAGCTACTCAGGAGGCTGAGACAGGAGAATTGCATGAAACCAGGAGGCAGAGGTTGCAGTGAGTGGAGATCATGCCATTGCACTCCAGCCTGGGACACAGAACAAGACTCCACCTCAAAAAAACAAACAAAAAACAACAACAGCAAAACAGAGCTGCTGCATGGTAGTGCCATTGTGATATTGTGACGATGGTGGGGCGTGGGAAAAATGATGTCAACTACCACTTTGCCAAGTTTTACAAACCCCGGACATCAAGTGTGGGGAAGGAGGGGTAGGCTGTTTGAAATTGCAAAGGAAAGACTGAGAAGAGGGTGCTTGGCTGCTGATATAGTTTGGATGTCATCCCCTCTAAATCTCATGTTGAATTGTAATCCACAGTGTTGGAGGTGGGGCCTGGTAGGAGGTGACTGGATGGTCGTCCTAGGTTTCTGATGAATGGTTTAGTGTCATCCTCTCGGTGCTGTCCTCCCGATAGTGAGCCAGCTCTCACAAGATCTGGCTGTGTAAAAGTGTGCAGCATCTTCCCCTCACTTTCTTGCTCCCTCTCACACCATGTGACATGCCTGCCCCAACTTCACCTTCTGCCATGAATAAAAACTCCCTGAAGCCTCCCCAGAAGCTGAGCAGATGCTGGCACCATGCTTCCTATACAGCATGCAGAACCACGAGCCAATCAAACCTCTTTTCTCTATAAATTACCTAGTCTCAGGCCTTTCTTTATAGTAATGCAAGAATGGCCTAACACAGTTGCTAAGTACCCCACAAGGACTGTCCAAAACACAAACCCAGCCCCCTCAGAGACTAGGCTCTGAAACAGTGTCATCTACCCATGATTCATACCTACTGGGTGGGAATTATATTGGTACCTCAAAAAGGCAATCAGTAAGAATGTAGACTTAGATTGCTTATCTAAGCGCCCAGCTCAGGGCTTACTTTCTGTGGGAGCACATGGTTACAGACAACAGAAACCAACAGCTGAGACTGAGTTTCTGGAAGGTCTCAGGCCCACAGAATTGATGGGAGGCGAGATGTATCAGTCTGGGTTCTCCAGAGAAACAGAACCCACCTATGTTCTCCAGAACAGAACAAAAACAGACCAGCAGTTTCAGAAAGAGAGAGAGAGAGAGAGAGAGAAAGAGAGAAAGAAAGAGAGAGGGATTATAAGGATGTTTTAAATACTTGCTTTTAATTGTGATGGCTGAGAAGTCTCAAGATTTGCAGTCAGCAAGCTGAAGACCCAAGAGAGTGGGCGGTATAGTTCCAGTTCAAGTCCAAAGACCTGAAAACCAGAAGAGCTGATGATGGTGTAAGTTCTAGTCCAAATCCAAACCCAAGGACCAGAGAAGGCTAATGTTCCACCTTGAAGACAGTCAGGTAGACTGAGTTCTCCCTTCTCAGCCTTTTTGTTCTGTTCAGGCACTTGGCAGATTGGACGCTGTTTTGGGATGAGATTAACTCTTTTTTGTTTTGTTTTGTTTTGTTTTAAGATGGAGTCTCGCTCTGTCACCCAGGCTGGAGTGCACTGGCTCCGTCCCGGCCCACTGCAGCCTCCGTCTCCTGGATTCTAGCGATTCTCCTGCCTCAGCCTCCCAGGTAGCTGGGATTACAGACACGCCCCACCATGCCTGGCTAATTTTTGTATTTTTAGAAGAGATGGGGTTTCACCATGTTGGCTAGACTGATCTCAAACTCCTGACCTCAGGTGATCTGCCCACCTCGGCATCCCAAACTGCTAGGATTACAGACATGAGCTACCATGCCTGGCCAACTTTGAATGGGTAGACTAAGGAAAGCTGATGGCCACTGACCTGGCCAGGCAACCTTGAAAAGCACTCTCTGAACTTCCATTTTCTTTTCTGTTTGAAATCCTTACCTAGGGCCTCTGGTGAGCACAGGCATCTCATTACACATCTAGTCACTTTACAGTGAGTTCCATTTTTAAAAAATAAGTTTGGTTTTGCTTTTATCCAAGAGAATGCATTTATCAAAGCCTGGTCAATCTGGGCTGCAAGGACAGGCAAAAGGCGCTCAGTCACAATATACCTTGAGGGTTTGGATTTATGACTCTTCATCAAGACCCTCCAGGTATATATAGCAAGTGGCCATTTGGCTGAGGCAGGACCTTGAGTGGCAGGCACTGTGGAATTGGCATACAGGGAAGAGTCAGATGGAAAGTGCCTAAACCTAGAAGACAGCCAGCGCAACAGCCTCACTCCTGGACTCTTCTCTATCCATGTGTGAAGACACTCTAGTTAAGTTGCCCTTGACCGCATTTTATGAGGAAATTGATATGCTACGGTGAGGACCAAGCATCAAGGGATTCCCAGGAGTCTTGGGAAATAGCCGCCTTTCTTGAGCTCTGCTGCTGGGGTTGTAGACTCAAATGCATACAGGAGCCAGACAAGCCACAGTAATGAGTAAAGCAGGCCAGGAATTAATGTGTTCCAATCCACACTCTTCTTGAAATAGGCCTCTTTTGTTGTTGCTGTTGTTGTTGTTTGAGATGGAGTCTCCCTCTGTCACCCAGGCTGGAGTGCAGTGGCGCAATCTCGGCTCACTGCAAGCTCTGCCTCCCGGGTTTATGCCATTCTTCTGCCTCAGCCTCCCAAGTAGCTGGGACTACAGGCGCCCACCACTACACCTGGCTAATTTTTTGTATATTTAGTAGAGACAGGGTTTCACCATGTTATCCAGGATTGTCTCGATCTCCTGACCTCGTGATCCGCCCGCCTCGGCCTCCCAAAGTGCTGGGATTACAGGCGTGAGCCACCGTGCCTGGCCAAAATAGGCCTCTCTTTTACTCTGCTTTTTATTCTCCCATTTTTGATAGCAACATGAGTAAAGGGAAATGTGTCTCTATTATAAGAGATTTTTTTAAAAGTGTTCCTTAGCTGTAATACAAAGGTAATAATCAAGAGTACAAATTTTCAATTATTGCTTAATTAAAAACAATAACTTCAACAACAAACACAAGGTGAATGCCAAATTTAGTCTAAAAAAAGTACTACTCTAAGACATCTGGGATACTATGGATATAATGCCTGCTCCACCATGTGCACGCCACATTCAATAGTCTATCTGCCCAGGCATGGTGTCTCATGCCTGTAATTCCAGCACTTTGGGAGGCCAAGGTGGGCGGATCACTTGAGGTCAGGAGTTTGAGACCAGCCTGGCCAACATGGCAAAACCCCATCTCTACTAAAAATACAAAAATTAGCCAGGTGTGGTGGCATGCCCCTGTAATCCCAGCTACTAGGGATGCTGAGGCAGGAGAATCGCTTCAACCTGGGAGGTGGAGGTTGTGGTGAGCCGAGATTGCACCACTGCACTCCAGCCTGGGCAACAGAGCAAGACTCTGTCTCAAAAGAAAAAAAAAATAGTCAATCTGCCATAAGCCCAATCCAAGAATATAAATGGGGGTAGGAGAGAAACCACATAGAACTTCCACTATGGCATCTTCTATTACCATATTCAACAAAGACATAAAAGGCCTTGCAAAAAAGAACTTTTACAGCATGTATTTTTAGGACAATATTATAGTGAGGTTCTGGTATATTTCACAGGCAATGAGCCTTTTCTTTCAACTGGACAATAGGGTGGTATAAACCAATATAGGAAATCCTCCATGGAGCTTTACAGAAGTGAGAAATTTTGGATTAATTTTCTCTCTGTGCAGCAAGGAGCTAGGAGAAAGAGATATCACTTCTCCAAGGCATGGAAAGAGAGGGGTTTGATTGTTATTTTGTTTTGTTTGGGAGGTGTTTTTCTCCAATGAGTTGTTGAAATCTAGAGAACATAAAAGAAAAAATGAGGATCTGATTTACACTTACACACATTCAACACCATTTAGTATTTATTAACAACCATATATCCATTCAATTGTCAAATTCTAACCATGTGCTGAGAGTATCATCTTTATTTGTTTCTGATTTACAAGTTTTCTCTCCTCAATTAGAGTCCAATAAGCAACTTGAGGACAAAGATATCATGTCTCACTGTCTTCAGAATTCCCCACCTCTTCTGGAACTTTCCATCCTGCATTATAATCACATGTGTAATAGCTGCCCCTTGAAGAGAGGATGCATTTGTTCATCTCTGTGTCCTATCCCATGGGCATTGCCTTTACCATAGTTAGTGAGAGGCCAGGAAATGTTACTTGGCTGAATACATAAATGAATTCTACTGACCTTGGGGCATATACATTATTGAGGATAGCAGTGGTACTCATGAATGTTCACTAACAAACAAATAATCTCTGGACTGTGAAGGTGTTGGCCATGCTTGGTCAGGGAAGAAAATAAGAGAGGTGTGTATTAGTTATCCATTGCTTCATAACACATTACCTCCAAGATCTTAGCAGCTTAAAACAACAAGCATATATTTAATATTATCTCAGAGTTTCTGAGGGTTAGGAATCTGGGTGTGGCTCAATGGGATGCCTCAGGCTCAGCATCTCTCATGAGGTTGCAGTCAAGCTTGCAGGCACCTGAAGGCTTGACCAGGGCCAGAAGCAGGAAGCCTCCATTCCTCACCTTGTGGGCTTCTCCATAGAGCTGCTCATGACTTAGCAATGAGCTTCCCCAGAGAAAGAGATCCAAGAAAAAGCGAGAGAGGGTCCAGGATGGAAGCCAACATCTTTTATGCTCTAGTCTCAGAAATGACATCGCAATGTGGGAGGGAGCTGCATAAGGAGTGAATCTGATTCATACTTACACAAATTCCACACCATTTAGTATTTATTAACAACCATATATCCATTCAGTTATCATAAAAATATCAAATTCTAACCATGTCCTGAGAGTATCATCTCTATTTGTTTCTGATTTACAAGTTTTCTCTCCTCAATTCAAATCCAATAAGCAACTTGAGGACAGAGATATCATGTCTCACTGTCTTCAGAATTCCCCAGCTCTTCTGGAACTTTCCATCCTGTATTACAGAATACCGGGATGCGGGGATCACTGCGGGCCATCTTGGAGGCTGCGTTTGTTAAATTGGGATACTCAGTGTTCCAGTGTTGTTTGCAAAGAGGCTTTGAGACCCCTACCTTAGGAAACATAAAATTATCTTTTCTACCAGAATTGGGAATTTTGACATATTTGCATGAATATGGACAGTGATCTGAAAGAAAAAATAATTCTGTAAGTTGACCTGGCATGTGGTGTTCCAGAAGAGACACTGAGGTGACAGCCTCTGCCTCCAACCTCACAGGACCAACCTGAAGCTCTTGATCTACCTGCCCCTTCAGAAATAAGCTTGCCACTCAAACATGAGGAGTTACTCTAACCAGAGGAATTCTTCAGGATCCAACTCCTCAAGGAAAGGACTGTGCCCATTTATGCCCCTCTGGCTCAGAGGGAGTTTGACTGTGAATGCAAAATGGTCATTTTCTGTGAACTTTCTGAAGACATATTTTGCTGAAAAAGAAATGTCCCTTAGAGATAGCACTCAGTGAATTATTGTGGAGTGAACAAGAGGCCACAAGTCAGATGCTATCTCAACAGACCAAAATTGCAGATGTTAGTTTGGTCCTGAATATTGGTGCTGACTCAAGAAGATAGATTTAAAAATGAATATCACCAAGATTTCAAGACAAGCTGTGAGTTTAAAATGCCTCATGAAAAGTGCATGAGCATGCGTTTATATAAATGTGCACCTTCGTATTTGTGTGTTAGTTATCCATTACTATGTAACACATTGCCCCCCAAACCCTAGCAGCTTAAAACAACAAGCAAGTATTATCTGACACTTTCTGAGCATCAGTGTTCTTCTACTTCCCTTGTGGACCTGATCAGATTTCGTGATAATTACATGTTCATTAAAGTCTTTTCTGATAGCCTGGAGATTCCCTGAAGACAGAAATGGGTCTCTCTTGTTTACGGAGGTCTCTCCAGTATTTGGTAGGAATAGTACTCTTAGTAGATATTCGAAAAATATTTGTTGAGTTTTTTTTTTATGTTGAAGCTTTTATTTGTAGACGTTTATACCTGTTCTTACAAGATATGTATTGTCTGGCATGTATAGATTTTTAATTCATGTAGGTGACGTTGTATTATAGATCTCACAGTTTCTTATTTTTTAATTCAGCACAGTGTTGCAAGATCCATCCACATTGCTATGCGGCCTCCATATGTTACTTCTAATATCTGCAAAATATTACATGGTATGCAAGCACTGTATTTCACTTAAGCAGATTATCTCCCTTCTTCTCCACAAACAAAGCACCGATGAGCATTCTTATATGCACCCTTTCATAGGGGTATGTTAAAATTTTTCTTAAGGTTATATGCCCACAGGTAAAATTACTGGGTCAAAAAAATATGCAGCCGGGTGTGGTGGCTCACACCTGTAATCCCAGCACTTTGGGAGGCTGAGGCGGGTGGATCACTTGAGGTCAAGAGTTCGAGACCAGTCTGGTCAACATGGCAAAACTCTGTCTCTACTAAAAATACACAAATTAGCTGGGCCTGGTGGTGTGTGCCTGGAGTCCCAGCTACTTGGGAGGCTAGGGCAGAAAAATCGCTTGAACCCGGGAGGCGGAGGTTGCGGTGAGCCAAGATCGCACCACTGCACTCCAGCCTGGGTGACAGAGCGAGACTCTATCTCAAAAAACAAACAAACAAAAAGAAGCATATATTTAATTTGACTAAATACAGCTGAATGGCTGTCCAAGGCTTCCACAAAGTGGTTCATGAGGCTTCACGTATTTCCACTTTACCACCAAACTCGGCATTATCCAAGGCCTAAATTTTGCTAATATAGTGATAATTCACTGTGGTTTATTTTGCCTTACTAATAAATTTAAGCATCTCTTCATATGCATGTTAACCCTATAGAGTTTCTCTTCTCTAAAATACCTGTTCGTTCCTTTCCCAATTTCTCTACCAGGGTTGCCTGTTTTCTTCTTGATTAGTAGAAGTTATTTGTACATCTATATTCTATATGTACAATTCAAGATATTTGCAGTTTTACTCAATACAAATTTCTTCTTTCTGTCATCTGCTAACTTTATTCATAATGTCCATTTTTGAACAGAAATAATTCATGCACGTGGCCCTTTCTATTTTATTTTATTGGTTTCATTGTTCTTGTACCTTACAGCTTTTATTATTTATTATAGTACATTTTAAATTTTTCAAGTAAGTTATCAAGTTCTTGGAAAAAAATCAAACTGAAATTTTTATTGGTTTTCAATGAATTTATAGATTAAGGAGGATTGTTATCACTATAAGATTAGTTCGGCCCAGCTAAGCATGGGACAGATCATATTGCATGTTCTTTAATTACAGCGTTTTTAAATTTTCTTCATGGAAGTGTAGAATATTCTTTTTTGTTGTTGTTTTTTGTTTTGTTTTTTTTTTTGAAACGGAATCTCGCTGTGTCGCCCAGGCTGGAGTGCAGTGGTGCAATCTCGGCTCACTGCAAGCTCTGCCTCCCGTGTTCACGCCATTCTCCCGCCTCAGCCTCCCAAGTAGCTGGGACTACAGGTGCCCGCCACCATGCCTGGCTAATTTTTGTGTGTGTGTTTTTAGTAGAGTTATGGTTTCACTGCGTTAGCCAGGATGGTCTCAATCTCCTAACCTCATGATCCCCCTGCCTTGGCCTCCCAAAGTGCTGGAATTACAGGTAGAGCCACCACGCCCAGTTGACGTATAGTATATTCTTAAA
Organism: Homo sapiens; assembly: GCF_000001405.40. Classification (NCBI taxonomy): domain Eukaryota; kingdom Metazoa; phylum Chordata; class Mammalia; order Primates; family Hominidae; genus Homo; species Homo sapiens. Next base: position 14,458,142 of record NC_000001.11, read on the forward strand.
CAAATTCTCAATTATGTTATAGTTTTTGTTGATATTTTGAATGACATCTTATTTTTTATAAAACTGTCTATTTGATTATTGATGCTATAAAAAATTCTAATGGTTGAGAGTTTATCATATTTCTAGCAACCTTGCTAAACTCTTTATTCATTGAGAGCTTACCATATTTCTAACAACTATGAAAAACTCTTCATTAGTTCTAATAGTTTGTTGATTATCATGGTCTTTCTAGGTATAAAGTAATCTCTTCTGAAAGTAATCGCAGTTTTATTTTTTCCCTTTCAATTCTTCCATCTCTTCTTTCTTTCTTTTCCTTGTAATCTTGGCCAGTGCTATGACAAACAGCAATGGTAATGGTGGTTATTCTCGTCTTGTTCTTGTCTTAGAGATAGAATAAATTCTAGCCGCAGGATGGTCTGAGTAGCCCCTTTTCTCCGGGGAGGCTCTTGAGGAGAGTCTGCTGCTGTAAAGGTGCTGGGACCTCCACTTATGGCTCATAATCTTTCTAAAAACTTCTGTTCAAACATGTTAATTTACATTTGCTGGTGGCGTTCAAGGGTTCTCATTTTGTCAAGAACATTTGGAAGTGGCAGACACTTCATTTAAATTTGTTATTCATGGGGTCAGAGACTCCGTGCCCATGATGGGATATTTTAGCACAACGGGTGCCATGATTATGAAGAATTTAGGCAAAATGATACTTTTTTTCCATATTCAATAAATATTTGTTGAATGAATGAGTGAAGAAATAATCCTAGAAATACATCTAACTTAAAATTGGACTCAGTCTTTGGAGGGTCTTAAGTTAGCCAACTCTGAAAAAATCTCAACTTGAAGAAGAGGGAAGCTATGGCAACCCTTGTTTCCTTTTTGTTTGTCAAACTGGGTGGCCCCGTTACTTGCTTCCTGCCTGGCAGCTTCAGTGATTGGACTCCCCCAAGCTTTGGCCCATTTCCTCAGCTTAAATCCAGAGAGAAATAGACACCACTGAACACGCAGGCTTCCTGTGCTCACTAGGAGGGTATCTTCATATACTTTGCCATTTCCCCCTACCCTGTTATGTCAGACCTCCTGCTGGCCTAGGAGTTAAGATTCAAGGGGGATATGGTGTGTGTGCGCGTGTGTGTGTGTGTGTGTGTGTATACATGCCCACACACATTTGCACAAGCCCATGTGTGTATGAATGCAGTTTCCAGCATCTTTTGCTTCTCCACAGTGAGCTAAGGCTCTTTGTGTGATTAATGTGAGGCAGAAATTGTGGCCAAGGGGAAAAAAAAAAGGCAGCTCTGCACTCTTCCCCCAATCAGATTAACGTGGGGTAGAGAGGATTTAAATCAAAGATGGCGCATCGTTTTTATCTATTATCCCAGTTGCAATCAATTGGTATTGGCTGCCTGGACTGCTGCGTCATGAAGGATTCTGAGGCTGGGTTCCAGCCTATCTGGAAAGCATGCCACAACCAATTAACCATGTCTCCCCTGGGCACAGGACGGGTGAGTAGCAACTCACAAGCCAAATGTAAGCTGCAGCAGGAGATGTTGGTCCAGTATGCCTAGAGCAATGGAAGAACTGGAATGTTCTAACCTCCGAGGGCAAACAAGGGCCCTTGTCTATTGCAAAAGAAACATATACTTAAATAGCATCTGTAAACAGAATCATTGGGTGGTATTTTCACAATAGAAAGGAAGAAAGGAAAGAAAGGCAAGATTTTGGCTGCTGTCACCCATGTTTTAATTTCTGTGGGATTTTTTTTCTCTTTCTTTCTTTCTTGCATTCATGTGAGCCCATGGAAACCAAAGCCCCCTGAGTAATAAATACTTAACTAGTAGAGTAAGCTTTAGGCAGGTGATACCGTCAGAGCAGAAATAGCAAATCAGTATTCCCTTACCCACCAGCTCCAATCAATTAATAGAAGCTTATCTCCAGCTCCTGGATTTCTGATCCTGGAAGGTGTTTGGATGCCCAAGCCTGGGCCTGGTCGACTGGCACTGTGTCTATGCATTGGTGTAGCATCACCATTCTGACAGGTATCAAAGGGCACCTATAACCCACAAGACACCATCTGGCCAAGAACTCTGGGACACATAGTTCCCCTCTGACTTTTCTAACCAACTCCATGCTGGATGTCGGGCTTGGGCATCCCCACCAAGCTGCCCCCAAGGCACTGGGCATTGTCTGAGGCTTCCCTTATTCACATGGGCAAGTGTGCTAAGCCCAGCTGGCAGGCCCTACACACAGCTTGGCAGCAGCCGGGAGCTTGAGCAAGGCGGTGAGGATCCAGGCTTGGGGCTGTTCACTCCCTGGGGATGTTGGCTTCTCTCTCTGGTTCTGCTCAGCCTTCCAGGGCCACCAGCACCAGACTCATCTTAGACCCCAAACAAGTTTCCCCAGGCATGTCTGTGAACCTGTGCCCTGATCACTCAGTAATTACTGCAGGCCTGGGATACTCCTCTCCTCCTCTATGACAATCTTTCCCCTAATGTACTTTAAGTCACTGTCTGGGATACCCCATCATCCCCACACATCAACCAGAAGTCCCATGGTTGACTGAAGAAGATAAGGAGTCCCTTCCTCATCAGGGTCCTTTGGTCAGAAAATCAGAAATAGAGGCTCCTTGGGAAAACAGAGATACTTCACTTTCCCACGGCATTTTACAGTTCACCAAGAGCATTTTAGCAAGTGTGATCTAATCACAAATTTGATCTCATTAAAGCACAAAGTATCTTCAAGATAAGGAGTTTATACTCATTTTTCCTTCTGAGAACTGAGTCTCAGAAATGTGAAAGAACTTTCCTGAGCCCATGCAGCATGCTAAGGACAGAGGCCAGGCTCAAACCTAGAGTATCTGGACCCTGCGCTGTCGTCTGCCTGCCATAACCAGGCTGGCTAGTTGGACTTTTTATCTGTCGCTATGGTGGCTATAAGTTTTGGAGCCTTGTGAAATTTGTCACTGCTTTTTAAACCCACAGAAATCCCATTTCCTCACTGGGACCTGGAATCCAGCAACAGCATCCGCCCTTGAGTTCAGCATTACCCTTTCCTGGCTGTCATCTCTTTCACAGGGTTCAAAATTTCTGGGAGGGTGATGTGGTTTGGCTGTATCCCCACCCAAATCTCATCTTGAATTATAGCTCCCATAATTCCCTCATGTTGTAGGAGGGACCCAGTGAGAGATGATTGAATCATGGGGGGCAGTTCCCGCATACTGTTCTGTGGTGGTGAATAAGTCTCACGAGATCTGATGCTTTTATAAGGGGAAACCCCTTTCACTTGGCTCTCATTCTGTCTTGTCTGCCACCATGTAAGTCGTGCCTTTCACCTTCTGCCATGATTGTGAAGCCTCCCCAGCCACATGGAACTGTGAGTCCATCAAACCTTTTTTTCTTTATAAATTACCCAGTCTCAGGTATGTCTTTATCAGCAGTGTGAAAACGGACTAATACAGAGGGATAAGACATTAAGATAATTAGAATTTAAGTGCAATTAGTTTATTTGCTTCCCTCTTCTGAACTGAGGGGACAAGACATGACTAAAGCCAGCACTGCCGAGAGGGGTGGTGACTGGCAGGTGGTGTGGTTACACAAATGAACCCCACCTATTTCTTCACCTTGCCCTAGAAGTCACCATCCAGGTATATCCAAAATTGTGTATACCCTGCATGTAGCCAGGAAGGGGTTAAAATAAATTAAGAAAACAGAAACTGAAAACATTCCTGGGAGGGACCTGCTTGACACTGAGGCCATCAGCCTAAGATACTCTCCCAAAAGTCTCCCCTTGGGAAAACAAAAATATGAATTCTCTCCTGGGTGATATGGTTTGGCTGTGTCCCCACCCAAATTTCATCTTGAATTATAGCTCCCACAATTTCCATGAAAATGGGAATATTTCCTATTTCCAGTTTCCTAGAATATTGTTCTAGGATTGTGGGAGAACAATAACATTCAAAGCTAAAAGTCTCCTCTTGGGAAAGCAAGAGGAGACTTTTAGCTTTGAATGTTGTTCTCCCACAGTTTCACAAAATGCTAAATGGCTGTGCTCTTTCACTCTTTGTAAGAGACAGGAGTAAACTGCATTGGTTTCTCTTGTTTTTTCACCAAAATTCCTGGCCACTAGGACAAGGGACTAAGAGTGGAGACCGTTTGTGGTTTACACAGGGAGCCCCTAGATTTCCACCATACAAACCTGGGTCCTGGAAGCTTTCCTGTGCAGGAAGCAGATTTTCTTCCCCTGTCTGTTCACCAACTGCTGTTCCACTTGTATATTTCAAAAGTAATAAAGGTCAACATTTTAATTAACCCCACTGATAGAACCTCATTCTGTCAGACCTAGAATATTGTTCTAGGATTTCATAACCTTGATCCTAAAGTCCTTTTGCTTGGGGGGCTTAGCCTGGGAGAGTTTTTGGCTTTGACCAGTGTACTAGTTTGTTCTCATGCTGCTAATAAAGACATACCTGAGACTGGGTAATTTACAAAGGAAAGAGGTTTAATGGACTCCCAATTTCACATGGCTGGAGAGGCCTCACACTCATGGTGGAAGATAAGGAGGAGCAAAGTCACATCTTACCTGGATGGTGGAAGGCAAAGAGAGTTTGTGCAGGGGAACTCCTCTTTATAAAACCATCAGATCTTGTGAGACTTAGTCACTATCATGAGAACAGCACGGGAAAGACCTGGCCCCATGATTCAGTTACCTCCTGCAGGCTCCCTCCCATGACACGTGGAAATTGTGGGAGCTATAATTCAAGATGAGATTTGGGTGGGGACACAGCCAAACCATATCACCCAGCAAAGAATTCAAGCGTGAGCTGGTGGTGTTAGACAGCAATCTTTTATTGAACAGTACTGCTCCTTGTGGAGCAGGGCTAACTCATAGGCAGTGGGCCCAGGATTGGCAACTTACGAGCTCTTGGCAACTGCATTTATATTCACTTAAACCCACTTTTAATTACATGCAAATTAAGGGGTGGGTTAATGCAAATTGAGGAATGGATTATTTAGAACTTTCTAGGAAAGGAGCTTTAACTTCTGGATCATTGCTACGGAAAAAGGTGGTAGCTTCAGGGTTGTTGCCATGGCATTCTTAAACTGTCATGGTGCTGGTGGGAGCGTCTTATGCTAATGAGCAATGAGGACAGCTAGGGATTGGTTTTTTGCCATCTGCTGGCTTCTTCACTTTATCTTGTCTGGACCAGATTCTGTATTGGTCAGCAGGGTTGTGAACAGAAAACAAGTCCTGTGGGTCTCCTATCTCACTTTAATCCCAACCTCTTCACTCTCCTCCACATCAAGTTTCCTCAACCAGCCCAGGTTTACCTTATTGAAATTGCTCTATTAAGATTAGTATATTTCTATAAGGTGCTTCTAAAACAGTTGCTGACATACAGTAAGCACTCAATAAATGTTAGTGATTATTATTAGCAATATAGTCCTTAGAATTGGCAGCCTGTGTGTTCTTCCTTTTAATTATACTCTCTCAAGATTTTGATATATACTATGACAATTTCCAAATGATGTTCTGTAATCAATTACTGTGGCTTCTAAATTAAAAAATGAGATGAAATCCAGGCACCGTCCTCAGCCCAAGCGTCTCTCAGGCATCAGTTTATATGCTTTCCCTTACCATAAAAAATGTGGGGTACATATCAGTGTTACTAGCAAGCAGAAATAAAACAGAAAAAAGTCCTGCTACTCTCAATGAAGCCCTGGTGTGGAGTCAGAGATACCTCCCCTGCCCCATCCTATGGTGACCCAGGCATTCCCAGGAGTCACAGGCTGCAGTTCTGTTAATTCTGGGAAGTTTCATTCTGAGAGCTTGGAGGGGCCCTTAGGCCGTATCATTTTCACTTCCGTGAAACCTAAGGAACACTAGGAAGACCATCTGTCTGGGAATTCTGTCTTGACCAAGTAGTGTGGGGCAGTGACAAAAGTCCTGAGCCAGGAGGCAAAGACCTGTGCTCCGGGATCTTTCAGAACATTAATCCACGGTGGAACTTCGTGCAACACATGCTCCCTCCCTGGACTACTGTTTTGTCATGTATAATTGAGAGAGTTGAGCCAGATCAGAGATCAGAAACTAGTAGTAGCTGGGGAGAAAGTACAGACTGCAGATGTGAGTTACTTGGCTTGCAAAGTAGTGTTATAATTTTTATTAATTAGTCCTCAACAGTTAAAAATTCAGGTTTTTGCATGAAATCTGACTGCTCTTGAAAAGTCTGGCAACACTCAGATTGCGTTTCCTTAGAGAAATAATTGGCCTTTCTCTCCAGACATGACATATGCTCTTTGGTTTACCCAAGTCCTCCCCTTCCCTCCAGATCATTCACTTACATCACCTGCTTAGTTAGCACTTATTGGCATTTGAGTTTGAGACCCCTAGTCTAAATAATTTCTTTTTTTTTTCTTTCTTTTTTTTTGAGATGGCGTCTCACTCTGTCACCCAGGCTGGAGTGCAGTGGCGTGATTTCAGCTCACTGCAACCTCCACCTCCTGGGCTCAAGCAATTCTCCTGCCTCAGCCTCCTGAGTGGCTGGGACTACAGATACATGCCACCATGCCTGGCTAATTTTTTTGTATTTTTAGTAGAGACAGGGTTTCACCATATTGATCAGGCTGGTCTCAAACTCCTGACCTCAAGTGATTCACCTGCCTCCACCTCCCAAAGTGCTGGGATTACAGGCCACCATACTCAGCCTAGTCTAAATTATTTCTAGTGGTCCCTCCTGCTTGGGCCAGATGAATGGGGTCATATCACCTTGTTACATAGCATGTTGCTGCATAACAGCTGTGTACCCAATACACAGTGACTTCACATAACCAGTGTTTATTATATTACATCTCCTGATTTTGTGAGTCAGGAATCCAACAAGGAGGATTAGGTGAACATTTTTTCTGTCTCACACCATGTCTGCAGAGGTCATTTGCTGCTATTTAGCTGGCAAATGAGCTGGCACGGATGGTCCAAGACAGCTTCACCCAGCCAGGTGTGGTGGCTCATGCCTGTAATCCCATCACTTTGGGAGGCTGAGGCAGGTGGATCACGAGGTCAGGAGATCGAGACCATCCTGGCTAACATGGTGAAACCCCATCTCTACTAAAAATACAAAAAATTGGCCAGGCATGGTGGAGGGCGCCTGTAGTCCCAGCTGCTTGGGAGGCTGAGGCAGGAGAATGGCGTGAACCCGGGAGGTGGAGCTGGCAGTGAGCTGAGATTGTGCCACTGCACTCCAGCCTGGGCAACAGAGCGAGACTCTGTCTCAAAAAAAAAAAAAAAAAAAGCTTCACCCACAAGTCTCTCGCTTGACAGGGATGGCTGGAAGTCTGGATTCTGCTGTACCTATCACTTGGAGCACCTGCATAGCTTCCCTAGCACAGAACCAAGGTAGTAGGACTCAAATGGTAGCTTAGGGCTCCCAGAGCGAGCATTCCAGGGGACCCAGGCCCAAATCACAAAGCCTCTTGAGACCTAGCCTCAGAAATTGCAGAACATTACTTCTGCCACATTCTGTTGGCCAAACAAGTCACTGAGGCCAGTCTTGTCAAGGGGAGGGAACTTGGACTCAACAGGCAGAGTAGAAAAGAATTTGTGCCAGCTTCACTTTACGACATGTCAGTTATTCAAATTCTGCTGTCCTGAATTAAAGGATACTGATTAGGCCAAATAAAAAATGTCTTATAATAATCCATTATATAGTTATGCACCATATAATGACATTTTGGTCAACAACAGACCACATACACAACAGTGGTCCCGTATGATTATAATACTGTATTTTTTCTGCACCTTTTCTATATTTAGGTATGTTTAGGTACACACAAATACTCCTCATTATGTTACAATTGACTGCAGCATTCAGTACAGCAACATGCTATACAGATTTGCAACTTAGGCACACACAAGCGGCTATACCATACAGTTTAGGTAAATAGGAAGCTATATCATTTAGGTTTGTGTAAGCATGCTCCATGGTGTCACCTAACAACATATTTTTCAGAACATATCCCTGTCGGTAAGCAACACATGACTACACAAGAATTATGTCCCTGCCGCCAAAAGCAGAAAGACAGGTTTGTAGAAGAGAGAGCTCACTCTACACTGTGCCCACTGCTCATTTTAGTGGCTCCCTATGACATGCAGTATCACACAGGACACTTTGAGTTATAAGGAATTGAACTTCAAGTTTTTATAAGGAAAACAAAAAAGGAGACGTGGATGGAGCTGGAAGCCATCATCCTCAGCAAACTAATGCAGGAACAGAAAACCAAATGCTGCGTGTTCTCACTTATAAGTGGGAGCTGAACAATGAGAATGCATGGACACAGGGAGGGGAACAACACACACTGGGGCCTCTCAGGGAGTGGGGTGAGGGGAGGGAGAGCATTAGGAAAAATACCTAATATGTGCTGGGCTTGACACCTAGGTGATGGGTTGATAGCTGCAGCAAACCACCATTGCATACGATTACCTATGCAACAAACCTTCACATCCTGCACATGTACCCCAAACTTAAAACTAAATTTAAAAAAAAAAAAAAAGAAGAAGAAACGGCCAGGCGCGGTGGCTCACGCCTGTAATCCCAGCACTTCGGGAGGCCGAGGTGGGCAGATCACGAAGTCAGGAGATGGAGACCATCCTGGCTAACACGGTGAAACCCTGTCTCTACTAAAAATACAAAAAAATTAGCCTGTTGTGGTGGCGGGCGCCTGTGGTCCCAGCTACTTGGGAGGCTGAGGCAGGAGAATGGCGTGAACCCAGGAGGTGGAGGTTGCAGTGAGCCGAGATCGCGCCACTGCGCTCCAGCCTGGGCGACAGTGCAAGACTCTGTCTCAAAAAAAAATTAATTAAATAAATAAACCGAAGAAACTATTGATTCACAGCAACAAAGGTAACTACATTAGTAAACATAAAAGACAGTATAAATATATTTTTGTAATTCCTTCTATCTGATTTTAAAAATAACTACATAAAGCAATTATGATAAAATTGTGCCAATGCCTTGTAATGCATAAAATGTAATTTGTATGACATTAACAGCACAAAAGAGGAGGGAGGGTATTGTGCTTTATTTGAAGCAAAGTTTCTGTATACTGTTAAAATTAATTTAGCATTAATTTGAATTAGATTGTTTTAAGTTAAGATGCTAATTGCAATCCCCAGGGCAACCACTAAGAAAATAACTTGAAATATATTATAAAAAAAAAACAACAAGGAAAATAAAATGGTAAGTAGAAAATATCTATTTAACACAAAAGAAGTTAGTAATCGAGAAATGGTAGAATAAAAAAGACTTAAGATATACAGAAAACAAATAGCAAAATGGCAGATGTCAATTATATCCTATCAGTCATTATATTCCATGTAAATGGGTTAAACACTCTAAGCAAACAGTAGAAAGATTAGCAGAGTGGCTTTTTTAAACGACCCAATTATATACATTCTACAAGTGACAAACTTTATAATCTAAGACATAAATCAGTTGAAAGCATTAATAAAAAGATGGAAAAAGAAATGCCTGATTCATGTATCCAAAAGGCAAAAAAAAAAAAAAAAAAAAAGTAGACTTTACATCGCCCTCAGTTGAATCCAGGAGTTCAAATGATGCTGTTGGGATTCAGCCTTACTCACCTAAGGTTTCTTCTCTGTTAATTCCACTCTCAGGTGTTTCAGCCTCTCATGATGGCCCCCAGAAGCTCCAGGCTTAGCAACTCCAATAGAACGTAAGCTTCTTTTTCTCTACTGTACCAGCAAACTTCCTGGTTTGAGTTTCATTGGCCTGCTTGGGTCAAATGTCCACACCTGAGCTAGTTTCCAGGCCCACGCATAAATCACGTGCTCTTCTCTGGAGAGCAGTTTGGCTTAGCTTCTTCTGACCAATATGGTCTGAGAGGAAATGAGGTGTGTTCCTACAATGAAGGCCAAGAGGCTATCACCAGAAGACAGGAGAGTGGATACTTAGCTGGCTAATAAACCACAAGCGTCTACTACACATGGTTTTTGGGTTGGAGGGACATGGAAAAAAAGTCAAGCTAAAAAATCTATGAGGTGTTCAAACGTTTGTCTTTATGTTCATGTTTTAATTGTCCAAAAGAATTTCCACACTAACTTTAAAAATCTTTTTAGCTCTTTTGATACATGAAACATGCTTGAATTGAATTCTTAGAGACTGGGAAAAGGGAAAATGGAACCTCACATCAAGAAGCACTTGCTCTGCATCAGGCCCCTTTATATACCCGGTCTTACTCAAGCCATGAAACCCCAGGAACTACATGGGGCTCTCAGACTTTTGAAGATGAGGAGACTGAGGCACAGGAAGATCAGCGATCTAGCCAACGTGCCCACTTTGCAGGAGGTAGTATGGATTCAGCACAGTCCCAGAACCTAGGGTCCTTTTCCCTGCACTGTGCTACCTACGTCATATTGCACATCATGCTATAGCTATGAGTCTTCCTACATGTCCACATTCCAGGAAGAACCGGGAAGAACACATTTGCCCTGGGCATGAACATTAGAATCAAAGCTAAATTAGGGGTATTGGAGATTGAGTGCAGGCAAGGCACAAAGTTAGAATTTCTTGGTTTTCACTTTACTGGAAAGTTATTTCACCATCAGTGTCTGGTTGGTGGTGGTTTGTGTAAGCTGTACATTTATATTTTGCCCGCCCAGGCATCTCTGCGGGTAGGCATCGTCAACCGTTTGCAAGATGGTCTCGCCTTGGTGATGGGTCATGATTCTCGCTTTCATTTGCCTCTTGGTTCCAACTCAGGTCACACCCAATTTTCAGTCTTTGGCTTCATCTTGGTATCAGGGATGAATCATGATGAATACTGGGATTGTTACAGTTTACTGTCTCTTTCTATCCTCATTCTCCTGCTTCTTCGTTGGCAGAGGCTGACAACCAATGTTGAAATCAGATTGTTCCCTTCATCCAGATCTTTCTTTGAAAATGCTTCTCTCATTTCTGGTGGATTAAGGCAACAGTTTCCATAATGTGTGCTACTGGACACAACCACTCAGAATCTCAGCCATAAAAAAGGTGGGGTGCTACAACCAGATTATGGGGGAATGTGTGTCACGCAGGTAAAAAAAAATCTGCTATATTCCCCATGAACGTATAAAGTGTTCCAATAGATCTTTCCTATTGACATTATTTAGCCAGTAGTCTAAGGACAGCAATAGTCTAAATGTAAAATGTAGCACTTTTATTTATCAGGAATGAAAAACCAGTCCCCACACACAGCTAGTGAAAACTAAAAATTAGGAACTTGGCTTTGTAGGAGACATGAAACCTCTTTCACTCCATTCCATTCCAGCCCATTTTTAAAAAATGAAACGGAAGGTTATTTTGCTAGCAGAAAACTGTTATTGTTGCTGAAGTTGCTAAGAAAATTGGGCAGTTTATCAGTGAAGATGGCAACAGCAAATATACAGCGTTGCCAGAGGCATTATTTTGCCATCCTAGGCAGCATTAACAAGTTAAAAAAATTCTAGGTTCCAGGATGGCAATAATGAATTTTGGTCTCATGGGCAGGAAGGCAGATGGTAGGTATATTTTCCCTTGAACATGTCCTGATGGATAACAGGCTTTTCTGGAAAAGAGGCCACGATGTCAGATTCTTATTAGCATTAATGATGGGTTGTTCAACAAAATCTCTGCACCTTGCACTACGAATATCCCTGGAAGATTTGGGACTAACCTCAGACATAAGTGACTATTTGCACTTGCCAGGTTAGCTCTTCTTTATCGGTATTCTGTGTTGGTTTTTGGCTTTGAATAATGTCTTGTTTTATAAAACACAAAGAAATAGTGTCATGGTTGGGAGCCAAATGGATGGTGTTGCATTGATACAGCGAACACTATTAGGAGGGAGTAAGTGAGTCTGGGTGGTGATAATGTTGAGGAGCAAAGCTGTTGTTATTGACCATTTTATAGGAACAGGTTCTTTTTAAGGCTGCATGCCTACATATTTCAAACAATGCGCTTGAGAAATGTCCAAAGACATACAACAAACAGAATGAGAATAAGTGCTGAGTTGAGACAGATAGCCCAGCTTGAAAATTCTGTTATGAAAAACAGGAAATATAGATACAGGCAGAATATTATGTCAACTAGACTGATAAAACATGAAGCAGCCTCCTTAGAAGAGGTGTTTTCACGGTCCCCTAAGTAAACCCTTAGCACTTGGGGATAGCAACAAATTACCGGGGAAGGTAGTAAAAGGTGTGGCCTTGGAATTAGACCAGGGCACAAGAAAGAAGGCAAGAGGAAGGGAAACTAACCACTCTACATACACCAAAGCAGAGAGAAAGGTTATGCCAAATCCACCATTTGACAGTCTGGTCATGTCAATTACAGTGGGCAGTTTTCTTGGGACAAAATGTTGCACTAAGTGAAGAGTTTTTTCTCTTAGATAGAAGAGCCACATTAGCCAACAATTTGGACCCTATGCAGAGAGAGAGAGGATATATTTTTCTTCTTGGAAAGCCTGCGTAAGTGAGCACCTTTCTCTGTTGAGCAGAGTTTACTTTGTTTGCAGGAAAAGGAAGGTAGAGGTGGATATGAAGAGTGTGGGCAAGCCATTTTCAGTTCCTTTGTGTGCTCCTCCATGGCCTGCACCATATTCTGCTCTGTAGCCAGTCTCCAGGATGGCTCCCCAAGACCCCTGCTCCCATGACTCTCGGCTTTGGGTAGTTCCCTTCCACATTGAATAGAGTATGACTTTTGAGACTAGGCTAAAGGCTGTGGCTTCCATCTGGCTCTCTTGGATCATTTGCTCTGGGGGGAGCCAGCTGCATGTTGTGAGGACACTCAAGCAGCTTTTTGGAGAGGTCCCATGGTGAGGTATTGAGATTTCCTGCCAATGTCCACATGAGTGAGCTCCCTTGGAAGTGAGTCTTTCACACGCAGTCTAGCCTTCTGATGGCTGCAACTCCAACCAATATCGTGACTGCAACCTCATGAGAGACCCGGAGCCAGAACTACCCAGCTAAGACATTCCCAAATTCTTGACCCACAGAAACTGAGAAATCATAAATGTTATTGTTCTCAGCCACTATATTTTAGGGTAGTTTGTTATACAGCAATAGCTAATGAATACGGCTGGCTATCATTCTTGATTAAGGATTTGCCTCTATAATTATAATTTCAAAGTATTTCAGACTTTTATATTAGAATATAATAGAAAATAACACATATTCAGGCATAAAAGGTAAAATTACATGTCCTAGCACACTATTCTATACAATAAAAGTCAAAGAAAATGGTGTTTTTGTGTGCAATTTCATCTGAAGGGCTGAAGCTACAGCGCACACACAGGGACATTGCATCGACTTTGGCTTTTGCTCTGATTGAGCTATTGGCTTTTGCTTCCATTGAGCCAATGGAAGAACCATTGGGGAACGTTGAGTAGAGGCGTGACAATGCTGAACTGATGTTCCAGAAGACAGTCTATGTACCCAGACCACCATGTACCCAAGTACGTGCCAGGGAATACAAATGACCTGCCCCTGCCCTCAAGGTGTTTTCAGGCTCATTTATACTCAGCCACACTGGAAAAGCTATCAGTCTTCCCTCCCACTTAGTCTGTATCTTGGGGTTAACCCTTAAATAGGAAGAGAGAGCTAGGAGGAGAGTCAGAGCATTCTGTTTGCCCACAAGTGTTCAGAAAGGCATGAACAATTTGTTCTTTGGCTGTGAAACTGCTTAACTTAGGTCTAAAGACCCGTTTGAATTGTTACCATGTTACAGAGTCTCAGAAGCTCTAGGACTATGTATTAGTCTCTTACCCGCTGCTATCACAAAATACCTTTGAGTGGGTAATTTACAATAATGGAAATGTATTACTTATTGTCCTGGAGGCTAGGAGGTGTAAGACCAAGGCACCAGACGATTCAGTGTCTGGTGAGGGCTCACGTTCTGCTTCAATAGATGGCACTTTCTTGCTGCTTACTCACATGGCAGAAGGGTGAACAAGATTCCTTTGGTTTCTTTCATAAGGACACTAATCCCATTCATGAGGGCTCTGCCCTCATCACTTAATCAGGTCCTGAAAGGCCCCACCTGTACTACGGACACATTGTAGATTAGGTTTCAAGATATAAATTTTGGCCATACAGAAACGTTCAGACCATAGCTAAGTGTATCAGTCAGTTATGCTATGGTAACAACCCCAAAACTCAGTGCTTCAAATGACAAACATTTTACTCTTGTTCATGTTCCATGTCCAATGCAATGGGGAAGAGTCTATTCACGGTAATCATTCTGGGGCCCAGACTGATGGAGGCTCTACCATCTTATGACAATGCCATATCAACATGAGGCTGGAATTAAGTGTTTTGCCCAAGGAATGGAACAGGGCCTTTCTTTTTTATCTTTCGTTGGCCAAAACAAGTCACATGGCCACCCCATCTTCCAGGAGGGTAAGAAAGTGTTATTCCACACATACCTGGAAGTAGCAGAAAACAGAATATTAATGAGCATCAGTAATGCCTACAGCAAAGAAGCTTCTTTTTTTTTTTTTTCCTTCACAATTTGCTGGAAAAAGTAAGGAGAGAGAAAGACAGGAATCACAGCTTGATTCCCTGAGATCTTTGTCTCTGTGAGATAGGAATACAGTGAGGTGAATCCTAAACTGGCTTTCCTTATTCTCAGTAAATTTGTGTTTTTGTTTTTGTTTTCTTACCAAAGACCTATATATGTTCCAGGTGCTGTGCTGGGTGCTATAGAAGAGATACAAAGTCGATTAGATATGGGCCCTCCCTTAAGGGAGGCACATGGCCTCTCAGTTTTAACATAGTTAGGAGAGTAAATTGCCTGGAATAATTATTTAGTATGTTCCAGAGATAAATACACCTTTCAGTTTCCTAATGTCTTTTTTCTCCAAGTAGATGGTAATGGAATGATCATTCCATTAATTACCAGTTCAAATTTCTTCTCCGAATTATTCTCCGTGATCAGGGAATGGAAACATGGTCCAGAGTGCTGAGATATGCCACACCTTGATTAGGTTTGAGATGTTATCTTTAAAAAGGGCTGCAAAATAAAATACAGGATACTCAGTTAAATTAGAATTTCAGATTAACAACAAATAACAAATGCTTAGGACATACTTATCTAAAGGTTTATTTCTTGTTTATCTGAAATTCTAATTTAAATGGGTAGCTTATATTGTTATTTGCTAAGCCTGGCAACTTTATCTTAAAAACTCTTGGCTGGGCGTGGTGGCTCACGCCTGTAATCCCAACACTTTGGGAGGCCGAGGTGGACAGATCATGAGGTCAGGAGTTTGAGACCAGCCTGACCAATATGGTGAAACCCCATCTCTACGAAAAATACAAAAATTAGCTGGGCATGGTGGCATATGCCTGTAGTTCCAGCTACTTGGGAAGCTGAGGCAGGAGAATCGCTTGAACCGGGGAGGCAGAGATTGCAGTGGCCGAGATCGTGCCACAAGATCGCGCCACTGCACTCCAGCCTTGGGACAGAGAGAGACTCTGTCTCAAAAAAAAAAAAAAAACACAAAAACAAAAAAAAACTCTTCATCATCACAGAAGCCTCAACCACTTCTAATCTCATTCTGTTCCACTTCCCTCACCATCTCCACATGTCTATGCCGCACCAGCCCTACTAGCCTCGTTTCTACTCCATTGAGAAACCTGGCATGTGTCTACCACAGGGCCTTTGCAAGTGTTGTTTCCTCTGTATGGAACCCTCTGGTTATCTGGGAGGCTGACTCTTCCTCTTTATTCTCCTCAGCTCAAATGCTGGCACCTCTGAAAGGCTTTCCTTGATCAGGTGATCTGAAGTTGCACCCTCTTGCCCTGTTTCCATCATTCCCGGTCACATCACTGCATTTATTTATAGAAATTGCTACTCTAAAATTATCCTAGTTCTATTGTGTGTGTCTCATTCTTCATTACAATGTAAGCTCAGTGAGATCAGGGACTATGTCTGTCTTGTTCTTTGCCAAATCCCAGCACTGATAAGAGAACCTCCTAGAAGGTAGTGGGTGAGAAATAACCATTTATGAGTTGAGTTATGCTTTAGTTTGCTGAAGGCTCCTATTTTCTAGTACATGCAAATACCTACACATAAGGGAGATAAGAGTTTAGGGAAAGGAGAATAGACAACCAAATGATATAATTTATGATAGGGGTAAACGTACTTTAAAAAAAAAAGTAGAACAGTGAACTGAAGACCAACTACTTTCACTGCGTTCTACTTTCGTTGAAGTTATTAGAAAAAGCACTTCTGATTAGGTGATGTGAGCTGAGTTCTACATAATGAGAAAGAAGGAGCTATCCAAGGGGAGACTATTCAGGGTATAGTAGCAGTTGAAACACTCCTGAAATAAGAACGTACTTGGCTTATTTGAGGAATAAACGAACAGTTGACCGGCATAGCTGGCATAGCATGAGCCAGAGAGTAACCTGTGTGAGAGGTGGTCGGAAGGACAACCAGAGCAGTCTTAAAACTTTTATTGGAGTTTTACTTTAAATACAATGACAATATATTTAAGAGCTTGAATTTGGGGAAATAATATGCCCCTTGGTAGCTGTGATGAAAATGGACTCTAGAATAGAAAGCATGGAAGTAGGAATACCAGATAGGAGGCCATTTCAGTCATCCAGCCAAGAGTGGGATGGTGGGTTCGTCTAGGTTTTAGCATTGACAATGAAGAGAGAAGGGGGCAAGTTAAGATGTAATAGTGAGGCATCACCAACAAAAATTGATTATTTAATTAATGGAAAGAATGGAAGAATGCATTGGTGGATGTGAGGGTGGATAAATAGATTCATCAATGGATAGTGGGTGGATATTGGATGGATGGATAGATGGATGAATGGGTGGATGAATGGTAGATGGATATTGGATGGATGAATGGATGGAGGGATAAATTGTAGATGGATATTGGATGGATGGATGGATAGATGAATGGTAGATGGATATTGGATGCATAGATGACGGATGAATGGATGGATGGTAGATAGATATTGAATTGATGGATGGATGGATGGATGGATGGATAGTGGAAAGATAGACAAAGGAAAGATATTGGGTGATGTGTGGGTGATGAAGTAGAAAATGCTTATTAAATTCTCAGGCTCCAGACCAATCTCCTTTTGAACCTTATAGCTGACACCCTTATTAACAGAGAAATCTTGAAGAAGGAATTAATTAAGAAGCCTCACTTTCTTCATCTGAAAAGAGGACTTTAATATATACGTTCGGAAAATAATGTGAAGAATAAAAGGTATAATACCTACTGATCCATTACACCAGTGCCCAGGACACAGTAGTCATTGTTATTCACCTCCCGTATCTTGTGTATCGATTTGCAACTTTCAAGTTGTCTTTTCGTCAGTCTCTCCATCAGCTAGTTTACACTGCTCAGACTCAGAGACTTCACTAAAACCCAGCAAAACAATAACATTTATATCAAATGTTTAGATTTTTTAATGAAAGGGAGAAATGATGGAGCGTGGGAAGTGTTATAAACTATTCAGTATTTCAATTTTTTAATTCACAATCCTGAATTCCCTTTGATGGTTTTTTAATATAGGGAGGGCTCTTGTGAGTATGTGTGAATAATTAAACTTTTTAGAATTTGAACATAAGTTGGAAGAAGCTCATTTCACTGTCAATGATGTGAGGCAAAGGAAAGCCCAATGGGCATCTTTTTTACGCTAAATAATTTTGTGGGATTTTTTTTTTAATTCCTGTCTTCTCAGATAGTCTGAGAAAGAAAGCCTTCGGAAGGTTACT
Organism: Homo sapiens; assembly: GCF_000001405.40. NCBI lineage: Eukaryota > Metazoa > Chordata > Mammalia > Primates > Hominidae > Homo > Homo sapiens. The sequence continues at coordinate 14,475,903 of NC_000001.11, forward strand.
TGTCATGCTCTTCTTTTGTGTTATCTTGATAAATCCTGATTGAAGGGGAAAGAAGAGAAGGAGGATTGAGACAATAATGAGGTTATCATTGTTTGAGCATTTACTACACAGACTCTCTCGCCTTTGGTCCCTCAGCAGCCCAACAGGCAGGTAATAGTACTCTGCCCATTGTGCAGATGGGTCATCTGAGGTTTTCACAGGTTATGTGGCACGTACAGCACAGGTGCACATTCGGACTGGTTTGATTTCAGTGCTGGGACTCTCTACTATTTCCCTAGGCTGCTCCTTGGTTGGTTGGTTGGCATCAAGCCATTTCTCAGCATTATTTACTGTGTTTATTCATTCTCCTCCCTCCCTGTTGGCTGACAGCTATTGATTTCTGTGCGTGATTCTGCCCTTGGTCTCAAATAGTTTTGCAATTTCTTGCCCAATTTTCAAGTGAACTTTATCATCCCTTTGCTTAGTGAAGCTCGTCTTTGTTCCTTGGGCAATAATGGATGATACCATAAATGGCATGTCACAGAACAGAAGTGAGGGCGACCTTTATTAGATTAAATATGTTTCCCCACCCAGTGCTCTGCAGATCGTGGGATTTCTATCAGAAGACAGACAACAGGGACTGAACTGCATGCAGCCAAGAGCTTCCCAAAATTGTACTGGTAATTACTTTTCTTGATATAATAACAATTACTGATAATGATTTCCTAGAAATTTTAAGAGTTAGTATATCAATGCAATCCAGATATTATATATTCAGTTTGCTTAAAAGCTCCTTAAGATTGTCACTGGATTCTTGGATGCTGTCATCCCCCTCGTAGAGGGAAGACTGATAGGAATTTGTGGCTATGATGATTCAACTCACAGTAGGATTCCAAATTCTTTGCTGCACCCACAGGATCTGATTCCTGTCTACTTCCTTTCTTCCATTCTCTTCTTTGTCCACTTCTCTCTAGCCGTGGCGATACCTTTTTGTTCTCCGACTATACCAAGCTTGTTCCTGCCACAAGGCCTTTGCACCTCATGTTCCCTCTGCCTAGAGTGTTCTTCCTGAATACCTGTGCCTGGCTGAAGACTTTTTATCATTCATGTCTCAATGTAAATGTCACCAACCTGGAAAGGCCTAACTAAAATATCTCACCCATTGATATGGTTTGGCTGTGTCCCCACCCAAATCTCATCTTGAATTGTAACTCCCCACAATTCCCACATGTCGTGGAAGGAACTGGTGGGAGGTCATTAAATTATGGGGGTGGGCCTTTCCTGCACTATTCTAGTGATAGTGAATGAATCTCACAAGATCTGATGGTTTTTAAAATGGGAGTTTCCCTACACAAGCTTTCTCTTTGCCTGCTGCCATCCACGTAAGATGTGACTTGCTCCTCCTTGCCTTCCGCCATGATTGTGAAGCCTCCCCAGCCATGGGGACTGTAAATCCTTTAAACCTCTTTTTCTTCCCAGCTTCGGGTACGTCTTTATCAGCAGCATGAAAACAGACTAATATACACTCCCAGGTAATTCATTCCCTCTCTCTCTCTCTCTCTCCCCCTCTCTCTCTCTCTCTTTCTCTCTCTCTCTCTCCAGTCTCTTAAATGTGCTTTTCATCAGGGCAAATTATTTGTTTTGTTTATGCTCTGCCTTGCATCGTGTACAAGGCTTGTGCGTCTCTTCTGATTCCCTCGGGGCTGCCAGCCACTTGGTTCACATAGCCTGCAGCACAAGCTCCTGGGCCCACTTGAGCCACCTAGTTCTGCCTTCCGTAGCAGACGAATAGTCACAGACCCAGAGTCCCTGCCACTTCCAAAGGGGAAAGAAGTGCCCTGGGGTGAAAGGCATGCAACCTGGCTTCCTGAGCAAACCCCAAAGTGGCAGTGCACCTGGAGGACAGGACGTCCAGAGGAGCTGACTCTCCCCAGGGCCAACGCTGCCCATTAGAAAGAGGAGATGAATGGGGCCGTGGAGTCGGCAGATAAATTACCTCCTCCTTCTTGCTCCCATGGAGTACTTTGAGGCATGGTTTCTTCTCAGATGCCATCCAGAAAAGCCCTGTATGCCAAGCAACGCCTCTGCTGCATGACCAGCCTTGTGTCTCCACAGCTCACCGCTAGGTGAAAATCACCAAGCAGCACATTGTGTACAGTCTCACTCACCTCACTCCCACCCTCATTCTCACTGCCTTGAGCTCACACTTCCCAAATGAAACATAAGCATGTTAGCCTTTGCCTCGAGCTGCTTTCTAGAGAATTCAGGACAAGAAAAATCCCTAGGACTGAGATGGGTGGAGAGATGGATGGATAGATGGATGGGTGGATAGATGGATGGATAGAAGGAAGGAAGGAAGGAAGGAAAAGAAGGAAGGAAGGAAGGAAGGAAGAAAGGAAGGAAGGAAGGGTGGATGGGAGGATATATGGATGGATAGAAGGAAGGAAGGAAGGAAGAAAGGATGACAAGTGAATACACAGATGGAAGAATGAATCTATCTAGGTGGATGGAAAAAAGGATAAATGAAAGGTTGGACGGATGGGTGGATGGCAGTTTTGGACACTTGAGACCCAATTGGATGAATGAAAAATCACAGAGGTCACTATTTTGTTTCCTTCCATAGGACAACCTATTCCTACAAATGCCTCAAACTCAACATGTCCAAAACTAAGTGATCATCATTTTTCTTAATATTTTCCTTCTTCCTTACTCTTCCTTCACAAGCCATAAATTTGTCCTCGCCCATCCTCAATGAATCTGCCAACATATTTCACTTCTTTTATGTCCCATGTGTCTCTAGGCTTCATCCCTACCTCGTGCTCCATGGCTACTGCCTTCGTAATGTCTCACACAGACCCGTGCCCCATCCACCAGCTGGCCTCCCTTGTCTCTTGTCCACTGTCAGCAACACTTGGGCTCTGCTGTGGTCAGAGTGTGTCCTGGTTTGGATTTCTCTGAAAGCAGACCCTGAGGCAAAGGCTTGGATACAGGTAGTTTATTGGGAGCAGATCCAAGAAAACAAGAGTAGAGAAGCAGGAAAATAATTCAGGGAAGAAGGAGAAAACAAGATACAGGTATATTATAAAGGTTGTTGTTATGGGCAACTGGGAGTTGAGACTCCTGGGAGCTTCTGGGAAGCATGCAGAATGCCTCCAGCAACTGTCCATCTGAAGGATTAGAAACTGAAGTGTTTATCCGCCGGCTTCTATCCTCATTAGTTCAGAGTCGCCCCTGGTGGCATTAACAGCTCCACACATCCAGGCTGTGTGTGAGGGCAGGCCAAGTGGGCCCCTGTGGCAATGGAAAAGGCCCTGGGACAGAAAGGGACACACAGTCCAGAGGTGAGTCTGAATTCCTGTGAAACTGTCCCCTGCAGCTGCAGCTTAAATCAGACATGGGCTAAGGGATGTGACACAGACCCCTAGAGACACCTGCTCCAGAATGATCTACAAAACGCATATGCAGCTATGGTTCGCCATGGCCAAAACTCCCTGATGGCTCTCCTGAGCCTAGGGGAAAATGTCCAACTTTCTTAATAGCATTCATAAGAATCAATGGCCTGCCCCAGCTTCTGTTGCAACCTCACTTGTGGCCGCTCCCTGCTAGTGGTTTGCTCTCTGCATCATTCATTTTCTTCCACCTCCACCACGTTGCCTATGCTGTTCCCTCTGCCTGGAATTCCCTTCCCATTTGCATTCCTTTTCTAGACTAATTCATCTTTTGAAACTTTTCCCTGACAATCCTAGGCAGAGTTAGACATGCTGCCCATATTTCTATCATCGCTCCTATTGTACTTTTTGCAATTCCCCTCCCCCACCATCTCACACTGTGAGCTCACTGAAGACAGTGGCATGATCCCCTTCCTCTGGGTTTTCCAAACGCCCAGGGAGGACCTGGGACGTGGGAGGCGTTGCCAAATGGATGGCTGGTTGCATCCATGTGTAAACAGAACCCCTACTTCAGCAGGTGTCTCTATTCAATGTCTTACTAGGTCCCAAGCTGAAAAGTGTGGAGCATCTGTTCAAGATTGTTGAAGGACACATAAACCAAGTGTCCAAAAAGGAAGTGACAGCCCCGGCAATAAACTCAATCAACAAGCATTTGTTGAACAGCTAAAGAGCTGAGTCACTGCTTTAGACACAGATAAGGGGATGAGATAAAAATCCTGACATGACTTGGGGCATCCATGTGACCAGTGCTGGGGAATCCCACAAGGACGGAGACCAGAGAATCAAGATAAGACTACCAAGGCAGCCAGCCTTCCCATGTCACAGATGTCAGCCTCTCCTCCTCTGTGCCCGCAGGCAGGCACCTGCCATGGAGCAAGGGTAGCAAACGTTCACCTGTACTCTTGTAATCTGCAAAGGGGACCTTCTATAGGTCAGGTGGGCTCTGCGCATATGCAGGTAGCTACAGCCAACAACAACAAACATTTACTGAGCCCTGGGCAAGTTCCTGCCACTCTGCTCAGAGATACTTTCTCTGGCCTCAATTTGCTTACATTCTAGCAGGAGTGACAGGCCCCTAAACATACAATAGCAGTTTGGTGTCATGATGACAATAAGATGTACTATACAGAGTTTGCATAGATGTATAAGGGACGAGAGTTCTAAAAGGCCTTTACGTTGACAAAATATTCTAGTGTATATATAGCATATATAATTTATATATTTATGTATATTTATAAACATAATACATAATATTCATATTATATATTATATTTTATATAATGTATAAAAATATATGTATATATTATGTATTATAATATATAATATTTATTTATAATATATAAACTATATATAATATATAAAATATATATTTTTATGTATATATAAACAGATACATAAATTACATATACTATATATGTATTTATATATGTAAAAAATATATAATATATATAATATATATAAAATGTAATTTATTTATATATATTTATAAATTATACCAAGGAAACAAGGAACAGATTCTCACCCACTCCCCTTAGCTGCTCACATCTTCGACCTACCCAACCTGAAAGAAAATATATATTTTATATATAATATATTAATAGAATATACATTTTATGTATTATTTATTACTTATATATATTTATATTACACACACAAGATGGAAAGGCAATGATGACTATACACTTGATCAGTTGCCTTCATGTGTGTATTTTCTGTCTTTCATTCCCTAAGCATAGCTTTGCTCTGTTTTTTCTAACCCAGTTCAGTAGGTGTATAATGAATAGATCAATCTCACATGGTCAGGAGAGGGCTGCAGGAGCCACCATCTAAGTTCAAATTCTACCTCTGCCTCTTATGTGTTGCATCTTCTTGGGCAATTTTCCTGCCCACTCAGTTTTCATATCTACAAAGTAGGATTGATAAAAGTACCTACTGCCTGGGATATTGTGAAGGTAAAATAAGTTAGTATATGAAAAAGCTTTTAAAGCACTGGACATATAATAAGCCCTCAGTAAGGTTAGCCATTATTAATAATGGTCTTCTTGTTGTTTAAGATTATTATAAAGTAGCTCAGTGTTAGGGCCAATTTTCTAGAAAAAAAACTATCAAATATGAATGCTTAGTCTAATTAAGTAAGAGAGCAAGTTCCAAGTTCTATCTCCTGAACCTCAGAGGTCAGCAGTAGCCCTCATACATGATTCCTAAAATACCTATTTTTGATCTCTGGCTCTCAGATGGCAAGAATAAGGACAAGGAAAGTAATCTTGCCTGGGGCCTCACATAGCAGGGCACTTCGTTTTTTAAAGTGAATAATTTATCAAGTACTTATTGTGGTTCTTGATTGTTTAGGCAAAAAAAAAAAAATCTCAACTTGGAAAACTGGGAGATGTATACACAGGGCAACTAGAAACCGAGAGAGAGATTGTGGAGAGGTGGAAGTGGCATGCTTAAAAGCGTAAGAAGAGAGGATGCTGGAGATGCCTGTGAAGGAGACCTTGGCCCTGCCTTCCTGAGGAATGTTCTGGAACTCTCATCCTCAGAGCACCAGAGTGTGCAAGTCAGTCAACAACCATGCAGGCCCAGTGGTACAAGAGCAAACGGCATGCCTGCATGGAGTGTCCAGGCAGATGGGCCCAAGACAGACCCGTGGCTTTCCACAGCTCAGAGTGGCTTAGGGACATGGTAATGCTTCCCAAAGGCTTCATCCACGTGGACCAGAGAGCCAACAGGTGCCAGGCAATGTCGGACAGCTTGAGGAGCATGCAGCGGTGAGCTGCATGGATAGATGGCCAAAGGCCAGATAGGAAGAAGGCCACCTCCGGGACAGGTGCCATCTACCAAGGAACAGATGCTCACCCCCTCCCGCTAGCTGATACCCCAACCTACCCAACCTGAAAGAAAAAGCAGAGAACTTCAGACCAAGACAAATTTCTACCATGACTGGGGAGCCAGGGCCCAAAGAAAAAGTAGGTTCAGGTCTAGAAATGAAAAGTTATTTCTTGCAGACAGCCAGAGTTTGAATAAAATCAGAAAGTCCCATGTGAAGGCAGTCACTAGAGCTCACGGCTAAGAGTGTAGGTGATCTGGAGTCTGGCTGACTCTGGTCTCTGTTCTGCTTCTGGGAAGCCATCTCTGACCAGTTACTTACCTTCTCTCAGACTCTATTTGCTCATCTGTAAAACAGAGATAATATTAATATCTCCTAATAGGTTATATGTGTTCAATAAAACATTACATGTAAACCCCCTGAGGGGTTGTTTCATGCTAAGCATTCAATCAATGCAGAATAATGGCATCATTAGAAAGGGAGGGAGTTGGGGAGGGGTCTTGGGGCAAGGGCGGGTGAGGGGTCTTTATGGAGTTCCCTGTGGTAGAGATTCAGGAGAACACTCTCTGAGAGCCAGCATATGGCAGGAACTTCCCAAGCCTGCTGAGGGTGCGGGAGAGTGGGCTTTACCTATGCACTAAGCACATGGTCCCCATGTGATCCAAGTCAACGGGAGCTAATATAACTTTATGGTCAAGGGTGTGGATTCTGGCATCCGACTGCCTGGACTTACATTACTTACTAGCTGGGCAAGTATCCTTAGGTAAGTTACATAACCTCTTTATTTATACCTTAGTTTTGTCATCTGCACAATGGGAATAATCGTTCCTGTTTCACAGAGCTGTTCCGAGACTTAAATGAATGAATATATGCAAAGAGCTTTTCTAAGCTTTCCTTCCTGGCATGCTGACTGACACACACTGTAAATATTAGCCATTATTATTCTGATTTTGCTCCCATCCAAGTTTACACTTCAGCTGCTAGAATCCCTCAGGATCTCAAATCTGATTTATCTTCCAACAATAAAACCCATCCAAACTCCAAGGCCATTTTCCAGCAAGGGAGAGTCACATCAAAATAAGAACGCTAAAGCTACCAATATTCAAATGAAGATAGAGAATGGGGCCCTCCTCCTCCATGCAACCCTGGAATAACTCTCACTTGTGCGTCAGAGGGGAGCAAAAACATCAGCAAGAGGGCCCATTACCGAAAGTGAGGGACTTACAGCATCAGGGAAACCTCACTGACATAAGACATGAATCAATCCAAGAAGGAACAAAAGGGCAGCTTGTTTGCAGAAGATATTCCATGCTTCTTATATATTTTGGATATAAACCTCTGTTAATGGAAAAACCAAACTCTGTAAAATATTTTAAAGAGGTTTATTCTGAGCCAATATGAGTGACCATGCCAAGGGAACAGAGTCTTAAGAGGTTTTGCGAAAGTGTGTCTACAGCAGTTATGTTACAATTTGGTTTTATACATTTTAGGTATGTATAGGTTTACATCGGTTTTATACATTTATACATTTGCAAATATTTTCTCCCATTCAATAGGTTGTCTCTTCGTTCTGTTGACTGTTTCCTTTGCTGTACAGAGACTTTTTAGGTTAATCCTATTTGTCTGTTTTCACTTTTGTTGCCCCTATTTTTGGGGTCATAGATCAAAAAATCATTGCTCTGACCAGTGTCATGGAGCCATTGCCCTATGTTTTCTTCCAGTAGTTTTATAGTTTCAGGTCTTACATAAAGTCTTTAATCCACTTTAAATTATGTTTTTGTATATGGTGTGAGATAATGGTCTAATTTGATTCTCCCGCATGTGGATATCCAGTTTTTCCAGTACCGTTTATTAAAGAGATCGTCTTCTCCTCATTGTACTTTCTTGGCATCTTTATTGAAAATTGATTGACCATAGATGCATGGATTTATTTCGGAGCTTTCTATTCTGTTCTGACGGTCTATGTGTCTGTTCTTATGCCAGTACGATGGTGTTTTAATTACTCTAGCTTTGTAGTATAGTTTGAAATCAGGTAATGTGTGAGGCCTCCAGTTTGGCTCTCTTTGCTCAAGATTGCTTTCAGTTAGCTAGGAGAAATAAGTTCAAGAGATCTATTGCACAACGGTGTGGCTATAGTCGATAACAATGTATTATATTCTTGAAAATTGCTAAGAAAGCAGATTTTAAGTGTTTACACCACCAAAAAAAAATATGTGAGGTAATGTATATGTTAATTATTTCAATTTAGCCAGTCCACAATATATTCGTGTTTCAAAATATCAGGTTGTATACCATGAATATGTACAATTTTTATCAATTTTTTAAAGACAATATTCTGTGCTCATACTTCTTCCTTGAACCAAGTATAAGAAAAAAGTAACTTCATCTTGTATCAGTTATCTATTGTCCCAATAGTGCTGCATAACAAACAACCTCAAAACTTCAGTGGCAGACAGTAAACATTTGTTTTTGTTCAGGGTCTGCAGGCTGGCTGCCTGGTTCTGCTCATCCAAGACTCGGCTCCGCAAGGCGCATTCACATGGCTGCGGTCAGCTGCAGGGAGTTCAGGCAGCCATGCGATCTTGGCTGGTCTCTCTCACATGTCTGGGGCATCTCCTGGGATAACTGTGTTGATTCAGCTTTGCTCTGGGGTCTCATTCTCCAGCAGGTTAACTCAGACATGTTTCACAGCAAAAGCCAAAAAAGTGAGTGGAAATGCCAAAATGCTTTGTCAAACTTCTGTTTGTCTCATGTCTGCTCTCATAGCCTCGGCCAAAGCAAATCACACGCTGAGCCCAAAACTAAGAGATGGGACAAAATTCTCCCCCACACCACCACATACAATGAAGAGGTTGTGCAAACTTACATTGCAAAGGGTTTAGATTCAGGGGAAAATGAAGAATTGAGGCCATATGTCACTCAATCTATCACGTATCCAAAAGAACTTGCTAACCTTTATTTCAGGGAAAGAAAAGGGGAAATTATAAAAGAGATCAAGTCTACTGAAAGGAAGGCCAGAATCACCCACAAGACAAGCAACCCTGAGGATATCAAACAGCATTTCCCTTTCATTGACCACGTTGCATTCAAAGAAACACCAAATTCTCACATTCCACTCTTTGCAAGGGACATCTTAAAAGCTTGTCCAACATTTCTAGTGCCACCCACTTTGAATTAATCCAGATATGTCTTTATGAGGTAGGAGGTGGGACTCAACTCCAGAGGTGGGGCTCAGACCTGGACCAGACTGAGGACTAGCTGACTAGCTACAACAGGGCCAGGGGCAAAAGCAGCTTTCAATCAGGCCCACCTACCAGTGTGGCTTGTCAATTTACTGTTGCCATGGCAACACCCAGAACTTGCCACCTCTTTCCATGGCATTCAGTGATCCAAAAGTTACTACCCCCACCCTGCATAAACTGCCCCTTAATCTGCACGCAATTAAAAGTGGATCTGGACCTGCGTGGTGGCTCACACCTGTAATCCCAGCACGTCGGGAGGCTGAGGCGGGTGGATCACAAGGTCAGGAGTAAAAGACCAGCCTGACCAACATGGTGAAACCCTGTCTCCACTAAAAATACAAAAATTAGCCGGGCATGCTGGTGCGTGCCTGTAGTCCCGGCTACTTAGGAGGCTGAGGCAGGAGAATCACTTGAACCCCAGAGGCGGAGGTTGCAGTGAACCAAGATCACACCACTGCACTCCAGCCTGGGCGACAGAGCGAGACTCCATCTCAAAAAAAAAAAAAAAAAAAGTGGATATGAATATGACTGCAGAACTGCCCTGAGCAGCTACTCTCTGCCCACAGGGTAGTCTTGCTCTGCGGGAGCAGTCATGGAGCTGTAACACCACCAGACCTATAGCACTGCCTGTTCAGTAAAGCTGTTCTCTTCTACCTCTGGCTTTCCCTTGAATTTTCCTGGGCAAAGCCAAGCTAACGTGGCTAAGCTCCACTTTGGGGCTCGCCTGCCCTGCATCATTTAGAGTTCACTTTTCCAGCCATCCTGCCCCAAGACCTTAATATTTCAGGAAATATATATCTAGATGGAAAAAATGAAAAATAAGTTTAAAGACATTAAGATTTCTACCCATTCATCCAGGTTTGACTTGGATGAAAGTTTGAAAGCTCTCCCTTTACTGTTCCTTTCCACCAACTCTCAGTTAAGACCAATGAGTACTTCACAAATGAAATTATTTTTAACATAATGTATGTTGTGGGATGCTTAAGTCCTCACCAACTGTGGCTTGTGGTTAAAATCCTGGTGCCTACTCTAGATTCCAGGAAAATAAATTGAGGAGGAAAAGTGAAATTTCATAATGAAAATTTAGCATCATAGTTCATTACTCTACCGTTGTATGTTACTCATACAGAAGCTATCTTGGAAACATTCCTGCTTTTCCTCTGTCTTGTTTTATAAGAGGAGCTGGCCCACTTTAATAGCCTGTACATTTAAGATCCACAAAAGATAATGCGTAGTGAAGATGGTTGAGTCAGATAGACTCAGCAGATAGACATTTTGATAATCAATTTTTAACTAGGTAATAAGAGTTGACACCATGCCACTAACACCTTCAGGCTTGGGAGGAGAATTCCGTTTCTTGTCCTCCATGGTGAATTTCACAGACTAGGCGGGCTGGATTCCAAAGTACTGACCACTGGGAAGTGCCAGGCATAATATTATACTTGCCAGGCCATCGGTTTGACCTCGAGCCTAAATTCCTTGGTAGCTCCCTGTAAATTACGGGTTCTGTCTTTTTATCTGAAGCAATTATTCACATTCAGTGTGGTTTTGCTTGTGGCCAAGTTAAACAGAGGCATTCATCAGCTGTGTGTATTCAGAGGACCAGCTATTTTTTGGTAGGGCTGAAAATGGTCTAGATGAGATTCCATAAATCAGTGCTAACAGCTACAGTGGTGAGTTCTTTCCTGGCACGTTAGGACACTGGACTAAATCAACAGGGTTGCACTTTTCTTTTCCACTTAGTTGAAAGCTCTTGGTCCAACACCAGCATGAGTGCTCAGGCCCCCTCCTTACCTCCTGTTTTGTTTGACCTGGTTTTTTGGGGACACCATAGGGAAGGAAAAGGCAAACATTACAGTAAAGTTTTCCATATAGCTAACTAAAAGACTCTCCTTCCTTAAGTAATGGACAATATGTAAGCATACTTTATTAATTTTCTTTGCTAATATTACAGAGTTAACTTGTATTCACTATAGCCAGTGAAACAGTTCAAAGATACATGAGAAAAATCTCCCTCTACCCACCTCCTTTCTCATCCCCAGCCTCACACCCCAAAGTCACCAATGTCACAGCCTGGTGTCCAGACATTCACTTATTTCCCCAGCTTCATATCCACATACAAAGGGAAGAAGAGGAGAGATGAAGAAATTAGCTAAGTAGGGGCTGGAGCCAAAGACTTTTATTTTGTTCCAAAGATAAACAAAAAACCCAGAGGCTTTTAAAAGTGGAGGAAAGGAAAGAGTTAAGTTCTCTCTGTGTGACAACTGAACCAATGCGGGAATACCTTTCGGAGGCTAGAGTGGTTGTCCAGGAGAGAGGATGGTGGCTGCAACTGAGGTGGTGGCAGTGCTGGTGGACAGCAGTAGATATTTTTGAGGGGTGAGCCTGGACAACATTTGAGGATGGATCAGATGCCATGGGGCAGAAGGTCATTTGTGGCTTGCAGATCTGGGTAGATAGTGCTGCCTCACCAGGAAAGGATCCAGAAGGAATGGGAGGCTTGGAACGGAGCAGTGATTCAGTTGGGATGTGCTGAGGGTGAGGCCTTCCAAGGAAGGAGGTCACATGGGCCACTGGCTCAGAGGAGAGGTCTGTAGACTGGAGGGTTTTGACTAAGGAGCTTTGAGAGTATCCCCAGCACCTAACACAATATCCTAGCATATTGGATGCTCAGCAAGTATTCATTAAACTAATAACTTACAACAGGGATCATAGATGAGTCTTTGCAGAAGAAACCTGTCTCCCTTTTGGGCTCTCCAGAGGCCCAGACTTAAGACTCTTCAGTATCATGTAGAGGCTAATCATTTGGCACACCTTCAATACAATATTCTTGACATATCTGTCTCTTAGTCACTTGCTTGGAGGAGAGGCTCAAAGCTGCCTGAGATGTTGGGGAGAGAGGAAGAAAGACAGGAGGATGCTGAAAAAGAGAACGGTGACCTCTCATCGTCGCTAAGGTCTGAACAATTCCACTCTGGCCCAATTTGCAAGCTCCACTCTGTAGGAAAAATGAGTAAAGGCTCTAAGGTGAAATTGCTTGGACTGAAATCCTGGTTCTACCATGTGCTGTGTGCAGACACAGGCACATTATGTAACTGCTGGGCCTCCACTTCCCCATCTAGAACATGGGGCTTGTAATAGTGGCAACCTCATAGGCTCAGTCTGAGGATTCAGTGAAAGAGCACAATTAAAGCATTTAGCAGAGCGCCTGCCCTCCTGTAAGCGTCTTCAATCACAGGCTGCTTTTTTCATTCACCACCCCTTCCTCCAACCACACAAAATGCTGTCCCTGAAAGGAATTCCAGAAAAGAAAACTTCCTCCATGGCATTGTAATTCCTGCGATGTCTGAGAAGTGCAAGAAAGTTTCTTCCCCCAGGGATCCTTCCCGTTAGCCCTCTCCATCTGCCTCTGGCTTCCCATCACCCCTTGGCCCCGTGCGCCATGTTTTCTGGCTTTCCAATTTGGGGTCCATCTATTTTGACTTGATGACTGTGTTTGGAGGACAGGATTCATTTCTTGTCCATCTTTGCATTGTTTCACTGCCCTCAGCACTGTGCCTTATTCACGGTAAGGGTGCAGTAAATGTTTATGGCGATTAACTTAATTGTATTTTCCCTTTATTGGGCCTTGAGAGAAAGAGAAACAGAGATCACTAGAGTTAACTTCTGTCCCACACCTTGGGAGCCAAATTCTTTGGCAATTGTTGTTTTCGTCTTTTTAAAAATAATCTTGGGGTTTCTTATGATTGAGGTCATTTCTACACGTTGTAGAAAAATTGGAAATGTGAAAAAAAGAAGAATATGACAAAAATAATAACTAACTGTAATTTGACTAGAGATAATCACGGGTAACATTTTGGGACTCTATATATCTATTATACACATCTATATAAGTTCTGTGTATCTGTATCTATATAAATTGAGATCAACTATATCTATATAAATCGGGATAAAATTATATATATATAAACTGTATCTACATAAAATGTATCTATATAAATTGGGATCAATTTATTGTAATTCAGTGTAAATTGAATACACCGTTTTGGGCTGGGCACAGCGGCTCATGCCTGTAATCCTAACAAACACTTTGAGAAGCCAAGGCAGGCGGATCACTTGAGGTCAGGAGTTCAAGAGCAGCCTGGCCAACATGGTGAAACCTCATCTATACTGAAAATACAAAACTTAGCTGGCCATGGTGGCACATGCCTGTAATCCCAGCTACTTGGGAGGCTGGGGCAGGAGAATCACTTGAACCTGGGAGGCAGAGTTTGCAGTGAGCCTAGATTGCACCACTGCACTCCAGCCTGTGTGACAGAGTAAGACTCTGTCTTAAAAATAATAATAATAATAATAATAATAATAATAATAATGAATACACTGTTTTGAAATCACTTTTCAATCAACATTATTTAAGGAGAATTTTTCCTTAATTTAAATATTATTCAAAATAGAATTTCAATGTTCATTTCTCTCATGAATAAATATTCTTGTGTATAAATCTTTGCCTACATATCTGACTGTTTCCCTAGAATAGACTTGCTGGAAATGGAATTCCTTTGTCAAAGGTTGTGAACTCATTTTAAGTCTTTGTTACCCATTGTCAAATGCTTTTGAGAATGAGCATGCCACTTCAAGCCACCAACAGCCTGAAGAGGAAGGCACATCCATTCTCATCCTCTCAGCATTCAGCATCTTTTTGTGCTGGACAGTTTGGCATAAATGGCAGTGACTTGCCTTGTTAATTTGTTTGATTACTAGTCAGGTTGGCCTCTGTGATTTGTCTGCTCTTATCTTCCACCCTTTTGTTCTACTAATGGGTGAAGGTCCTTCTTTTTGATCTTTGAGACCCTTTTATATCAGGAAAAAATTTACCCTTTATCTGCGTTAGTTACAATTTTGTTTTCTTTGAAGTTTGGCTTTTGAGTGTGTTTGCTTTTTGAGAGACACAGTTTAATTTTTGTACAACCCACTCCATCACATTTCTTAAGATGATCTTAATTGTGTGTATATTTAGAAAGTCTTTGTATAGCCTGAGATTAATGAACAACTCATCTGCATTTGGTTGTTTTTTTTGTTTGTTTTTTTGGTTTGTTTGTTTGTTTGTTTTTTGAGATGGAGTCTCGCTCTGTCACCAGGCTGGAGTGCAGTGGCGCGATCTCGGCTCACTGCAACCTCCGCTTCCCAGGTTCAAGCAATTCTCCTGCCTCAGCCTCCTGAGTAGCTGGGATTACAGGCGTGTGCCACCATCCCCAGCTAATATTTCTATTTTTAGCAGAGACGGGGTGGTTGTTTTTTAATGGTTATATTTTTGCAACTAATTCTATTTCTATGTGAATTTTAGTATGAAATGTTTGCATTCTAAAAGATTTTTTAAATGTAGAAAAAATACAAAGAGGAGAATAAAATTCACCTGCCATGATGCTTCCACATAATCGATTTCAACATTTTTGAAACATTGTTCTAATCCTCTTAGTTTTTTCCCATCTGTTCATTTTTCCAAATAAACTTTAGAATCATTTGGTCACATTTCAAAAGAAAAATAAATCCAAAGACTATTGATTGAGAAAATACTAAGTTTATAAACTAATTGGAGAAGAATTGTCATTGTCACAAACTTTAGATTCCTTCTACAGAAATGTTTATACATTTGTTCACATCTTCTTTTGTATCTCAAAAAGATTTTTCCAATTTTCCTCATGTCGATCCTACTCATTCCTTGTCATGTTTATTCCTAGGTGTCCTGGGTTTGCTATTGCAATTAAGAAAGTGGTTTTCTTTCCCATTTCATCTTTTAACTGGTTAATGCTGTTATAAGCAAAGCTATTGCTTTTTCTCTATTTGATAGTTAATCCACCTACTTTATTAAACCTCATGAACTCTAAGAGATTTACAAGTTACTCTTTTTTTATTATTGTTATACTTTAAGTTCTAGGATACATGTGCAGAATGTGCAGGTTTGTTACGTAGGTATAGACGTGCCATGGTGGTTTGCTGCACCCATCAATCCGTCGTCTACATTAGGTATTTCTCCTAATGCTATCCCTCCCCTAGTCCCCTACCCGCCGACAGGTCCCGGTGTGTGATATTCCCCTCCCTGTGTCCATGTTACTCTTTTGATATTACCAGGGACACTTGGATTTCTACTGATTTTAATGAGAATACCTTCTGTATTCACCATTAAATATGATGGTAGTTGCTGGTTTTAGCTCGATATTATTTGTCATGCTGATTAAGTGGACTTGCATTCCTAGCTTTCAAAGAGGTTTTCTTTCCTTTTTAATAAGGAGTGGGTGTTGCATGTTATCTAATACATTGTCAGTGTGTGGCTATTTATAAGTTCTGTGTGATTATACCATTTATCTATATAAATGTCCCCTTTGTTCTATTTAATAATGCTTTTCCCCCTTCTGAATTCCACTTTGAATTTGAATTCTACTTTGTCTGAAATAGATCCTGCCACCCCTGCTTTTAAAAAGAAAAAAATCTTTTTGCTTGTATTATTTAACTTTTTTGCCTATCCCTCCCTTTTTAATCTTTTCATACCATTGCTTTTCAGTGTCTCGAGCAGTAAGACATTTAACAATTATCAGCCCCATGCTTACTTTGTGCCAGACACTGGATTAAACAAAAATGGAAAAAGAGGATAGAATGTGCTGGAAGGGGTACATTCAAACCCAGTCTGAACTGGCCACTGCTGTGAGCAGGTTTGGGGACAGCAGTAGATCCTAGAAGGGCCTGACCAGCTGGGGAAACTGGCCAGGCTGTCCAGAGGTGACAAGAGGATTGTCACCCAGACTTGCCCAAGAAGAGTGAATCTGAGTCTTGGAGAGAACAGGAGTTTGGGTTCTTCTGGGCCCAGATGGCCTCAGGGCTCCCTGGAATTTGGGGACCCCACAGTTGGTCGCCACCATGAATTGAGGAGCCTTGCTTCTCTCCACACTGTCTTTTCCCTGCCTCCTCGTGGCTTCTGCTTCACTCATTCACTCATTCTGTCAGTGAATGATTCTTCAGCACCTGCCCTGCATAGGATGCCATTGTAGGTGCTGGGAAATCAACGGGAAGAAGATGGAAAACGAGACTTCCCTTATGAAGCTTCTGTTCTACAGAGGTGGGCAGACATGGCCAGAAAAAGCACAAGGCCATTTCCAATGGTGGAAGGGCCAGGACTGCTGCCCTTTCTGATAGCTTCTCTTTACACTTAGGAGAAAATTCAGGGCCCCATAATCCCTAGGCCCTACATAACCACACATGCACACACCACAAATACACACTACACACCACACACACACCACACATACACAGCGCACATACACACACCACACACACCACATACAGCACACACACCACATGTGCACACACATCACACACACCACACGTGCACACACATCACACATATGCACTCACATCACACATATACCGCCCATATATCACACACGTACACACACCATACCCATGTGTGAGCACGCACAGCACACACACATGCACACCACTACCTCTGCCATCCCCCACCACTTGCTCGCTGCAGCCTCTTGACCTGGACATTCCTTAATCAGGTCCCGGCCCTCTTCTCCTCAGTGCCTTTGCCCTGGCTGTTCCCTCTGCCTGGACATTCTTCCCTAGACGTTCGCACAGCTTGTCCCCCACCTCTCTCAGGCCTGTTGGAATGTCACTTCATCCACGCAGCCTTTCTGGACCACCTCTCTAGGAAGGCGTGCCCCTCCCTCCCACCTGATCCTTCGGCCCTTTGCCTTGTTTTATTCTGCCTCGGGGAATCTTAGGACTGCCTGCCCCGTGCTGTACACTCATCTGTGTCTTTGCCTATTGTCTTCTCAATCAGACTTTCTCTGAAATCCCCAGCATGGAAACCAGGCACAACACAAAGTAGATACTCAATGAGTATTTGCTGAAAGAACGGAAGATGAAAGCAACACCTGGTGTGGGTTGTGATGGTTCTACAGAATGACTTGGACAAGGGGGCTCCCAGAGAAAAGGAGAAGAGAGGAAGAGCTGAGCTGCTCAGGTCCCATCCATTCACATCCGACTCACCACTCTGTATCTCATTCCACCTCCTTGGGGAGGAAGATGGGGTGGGGAAAGAAGAGTGGGGAGAAGCCCTCCCTCCCACAATGTATGTTGTTTCATCTTGTTTCAGACTCATGCTTGTATGATTTTTGTCTTTATCCTTATAATTTGAGTTTTGCCAGAATGTGCCTGGAAATGGTGCCCCTTTCATTAATTTTGCCTGAAATATGATATAATATCTCTACGTGCTCCCTACATCTTCTCCAATTCCATGAAGATGTCTTATTTCTTATATTCTTATGTCTGATTTCATTATAGATTTTCTTGTTCTGCATTCTGGGAGAGCTTCTCAAATTCATACTCAGGCCATTGATCAGGAATCAGTCATTAATCTGCAATGATGATTGTGTTCTTTTTGGCCTCATGGCTGAATTTTAATTCTGCAACTGCAACTTTCATTTCCTTTCAATACTTCTTTGTCTCCTCAGTCCCATCTCCAGGTCAGGGTTGTGTCTCAAGACAATTCTCTTTCAACCTCAACCCCTTCTCTCCTAGGATGTTCTATTCTTCTTCTCCTTGGGCCATGTCTTCTGGCTTTGTCTTCTAAACTTTTCTTCTGGTTCCTAGAGTAAATCATTTTCAGAAGCACGTATTTCCCCTGAATATTATGGATGTTTCATTCATTCATTCAACAATGCAATTTATTGACTGCCCATCCAGGGCTGAGCACTGAATTAGTCTCAGGAGCAGCCCAGAGCCAGCAAGTCCCTGTCCCCATAGATGATAGAATCAAATGGGGAAATTAGGCAATTATACAGGTAATTTTAATTAAGTGTGACAAGTGCCATAAATAAGATGTGGGCAGGGTTATAGCACAGTGTATAGTATGAGCACACAACCGTGGCTGGGCAGAGAGGGAGTGGGTAGGTAGAGGTTGCTACCTGCTCTTATGCTGAGCTGTTGCTTTTTCTTAATACTCATGTTTTTGAATTTGGGTCCCTCCACCCCCATCTTTGGTCACTGTCAATGGCTTCTTGTGTGATGACAGTTGGGATGTTGAGTTCCCCATGTACTTCCTCTCACTGTCTATTTGGGTGTCATGCCAATCCCCCTTCAGGTCAATAGGCAGGTGACATGTTGATGTACACAGCCTCTGGTCCAATCTCCAGTGTGGCAAGGCAGGTCCTTTCGTGCCTAGCTGCCAACATTAGGTGTAATAGTCTATCCCCACTGCCTTACTTCTGACCTCCTGAACCAATCTGTAATGTCCAAGCAAAACCAAAATCTCCAGGAAGCATTGTTTTTTGCACCCTTCAGGAGTAAATATGTCCAGAGTGGACAATTTAATTCTAAAATGTGACCCCTTTCAGTACAAATTAAAATGCATTCGGTGCAGCATTTATGGGAAACTATGGAAGGCATATTGCATTTCCAGTGCTCTCTGGTCATTGGGAGAGATAGCCTGGGTGATGTGGGGAGGTAGAGAATTCTGGGAACTTCCCCCACAGCTGACCCACTAGAATGTGGAGCACAGAGAGCACCAGTGAATCTGATTCTAAGGAAGGAAAAACAAAAATTCATTTCTCAAAGGAAAGAAGAAGAAATGAAACTCAGGCTAGTGGAGAAAGAGAATACAGCAAGGTTTCAAGGAGTTCAGATAAATATTTAAACTTGGAAGGCATTATGAGTCTCCCAGAACGGTATGCATCATTAATTCCCAGGCAGTCAGGTTAACAATGAGCTGCTAAAGAGATGACCTCTTGAATTATTCTTTTAATGGATTTCCCAGGTTAAAGTAGATTTCATTGAAGGTCAATCAATAGACAATTTTACCCAGGCCTGGTGATTAAAAGAAAACCATAAAGAAATCCTGTGACAGTAATCATTTTGGCTCAATCAGACCTTCCTTTCAACCTGAAAAGCCCTAGATGAAGGCCACAGCATGGATTAGGGCAGGGGCTCCTGGTTCTATTTTCCATTAATCCCCTCATCCTGAGTGAGTTTTAACTACCCCTGCCCCTTTAGCCAGATGGCTCACTCCACACCCCCAGGCAAAGAGAAGAAATTCATGCTCCTTTCCTTTCTGGTAGATGAGGCACACTGGAATAATTTAAATTAACAGTGTAGATCTAGCTTATTTCTTGAATTCCCAATGATTGGTCACAGTGAATTAGCATGAGTCAGAATTTTAGTTTGACAGAAGTGATTATATTAGGATCCCTGTGAGTCTCTGGGTCTCTCCAACTCTCCTTCTTTATTAGAAGTAGCCTCGGGAAATCAGGAGGAAATGAGATGCCCAGGAACATGTATCTCAGTGATCCACCATTGACTTGGTTAGGAAATTTGGGGTAGAGGAGGGCTTCTCGAAAATGAAATTGCCTTCAGGTCTTGCCAGTTGATGCAAAATGCATCGAGGAATTATAACATTGGAAGGAAAGGGGGCTTTCCTTTCTCCATCATTTATCATCAGGGAGTCAGTGGAACCAACGTTCTTTCTTTGAAAGGTGGGTCTTTAAGAGTGAAATATTGAATCTTTCTTTCCTTTTTCTTTCTTTTCTTAATAGTCCACGACTTTTTCTAAAAGTGTGTTTTACCTGATCCAGCATTTTGAGTTTATTAGACAGGATTTTTCCAAGGCTTGCTATTTATTTTCACAGTCTCGCTTTTCACCGATTCAAGACAATGAAGAAGAAAGATCCTTGTTGCCATGTGGTTATTTTGAATAAATTAGGCTTTAAAGGGGCTGCTGGTTTTCAGTTCACACACACAATCGAACTCTGCTGTAGTTTCCATATTTATAAAAAATCCCTGCTGTGAAGCTAACAAGGAAAAAGCCTCTGAATCTCTTCTTTCTGCTTATCAAGAATCAAAATAGAAACAAGGAATGTTTGAAATAATACAGAAATGGCACTGAGGAATGTGAACATTCTGGGGGGAAGGGAATAACTTATGTGTTGTTGGGGGTGCTTGTGCATGCGAATATAAAAATTGATATTCATAGACTCGTTAACCACAGTGTTAGGGGGCTAGAGATTTGATTTAATCCTTGATATTTTTATTTTCATAAAGGCCAGAGAAAAAAGGTGTTTCCTTTGGAGACAAGAATAGCTTCTTGAAAGACTTTAGTTATTATTGCTGTTGAAAAGGTTCGTGATCACTTTTGAATACATTATTATAATGATAGATGAGGAACAGTGACAAAGAAAATAGAAGCCTAATTTTTGATTCCCTTGAAATTTTCAGCTCTGAAGCAGCTCGGCAGCGACTCTAAGAATACTACTGGGCTCTCTCAGTCACACTGAAGCATCTTTTCTGAGTTGAGACATAGGTGAAAATGTGTGCGCGCCTACATGCAAAGCGTGATATTCACATGTACATTCTTAAACATGTAGCATCAGCATTTGAAAGGCTTACCAAAAAAAGAAAAAAAAAAAGCTGGAATTCAAACCCAGAAACCAGGAAGCAGCTGCAGAAATACCTAGGTGTGACTCTACAGAGATTCTGGCTCCCTTTCCAGATGCATTGATCTTAGAACTTGACAACTGAGAAATGGATCTTTACCATTCTTTTTGCCTAAAGTATTATATATACTTGAATGCAACATTGTGTTTTATTTTCCAACTCTGCCAAGATTCAATCTACTGGTATTGAATATCCACCAAAAGAATGCTAGACTATTACAAAGCATGCACAAAAGAGGTACAGAAAACCCATACGCCTTATTCTCTCTCCAACTCTGATAGCGATAAAACACCGACTTCACCCTTTACACTCAGAGATTCTGACTAATAAGCAGAGACAGATAGGAGAAAGTGAAATTGAATCTCAATTATAAGAGATATAAGAGAATGACTGTTTTTATTGCAGTTGTAGAGTTTGGTCTTTTCTATGCTTTACTTAATTCTGTTACTAAAAAAAAAAAAAAAAAAAAAAAAAAAAGATCTTTTTTGTTTAAATTCAGCTGCAAGAGCCTAAAGAGGTTTGAATAGTGGCAAACTGTAATAAATCATTTTAAAAGGGAAAAGATTTCACAAAAGTAAATCAGAGTCATTTCCCTACCTTAGAACTTGAGTTTCCATTACTTCCAGGAGGTTTTCAACTTCAGGATGAATAGAGTCACCAGAAGAATAATTTATTTCAGTTTAAAGTTGGCCATATGAATGAGTATGGAATTTGAAACAGAGTAAAATAATAGGACATTTAATACTGCTTGTCAAAGACTACTTACCCATTCAGCCTATGAAGATATATACTTGGAGAACCAGATTGTCAACAGAATTAAGAATCTGGAAGACTTAGAGGGTTAGGGCTTGGCTTCCAATACAGCCACCCGATCAACATATTGACTATTGCTTGGCCCTTTGGGAACTATTGGGTGGCTGATCCAATTTGAGATGGAAAAAAAAAAAGAGGAAGAAGAAGAATCTTCAATGTAGAAGAAAAGGCAGAGTGACAAAAACCCATCATTAGAAAGAAGTCATGTTAATTCCTTGCCCATGGTCTCGTAACATATTTTAATGACTTCCTATGCCTTCTGGTTAAAACTCAAGCTTTGCAGCCTGGCACCAATTTCTATCCGGTTTCCCTTGCCTGTACTTTTACAAGCTGCTTCTCCTTCACCTCATTCGTATTCAATGTCTGGGACTCAGTTCAAGGCTCTTACTTTGGAAACGTTCCCTGACTTTGCTCACTGATCCCTTCTCCAGTTTTCTTCTTTCACATTACCATAGCACCTTGAATTTACAAGGCACAAAATCCATGGCTCGTCAGTGTTCTTTTATGCCTCTACTCCATCATAAGCTCCTAGCTCAAAGGACTCGTTCCTCCACCTCCTATTGGTAGCACTGTGCCAGGTCGTGTCCACTCACCACTGCAGACCCTTTCTCCAGCCTTCTCCTGCCTGCTCTGTGCCCCAGGGTGAAGCCACAGGCAGGCAGTGCTCTCTGGCTTCTAGCTGGGAAGATGCCAAAGAAAACTGGAGGGTAGGCCAGGCACGATGGCTCATGCCTATAATCCCAGCACTTTGGGAGGCCGAGGCAGGTGGATCACTTGGGGTCAGGGGTTTGAGACCAGCCTGGCCAACATGGTGAAACCCCATCTCTACTAAAATTACAAAAATTAGCTGGGTGTGGTGGTGGGTGCCTGTAATCCCAGCTACTTGGTGGGCTGAGGCAGGAGAGTCACTTGAGCCCTGGAGGCGGAGGTTGCAGTGAGCTGAGATCAGGCCACTGCACTCCAGCCTGGGCGACAGAGCAAGACTCTGTCTCAAAATAAAAAAAATAAAATAAAGGAAAAAGAAAAAAAATGGAGAGTGGAGGGTGGGAAGAGATAGGAGTCTGGGTACTTATTCTCCTGGGTCCCTCCCTCCAAGCCATGGGTTGGCCAAGGCAGCAAGCCCCTGTCTAAGTAGCCTCTTCGCTACAGTGACAGTTCCCCAGGTTCTAGAACCCCTTCTTCCCCTTCCTGTTCAGGCCTGGGGACCTGGGGACAGTAACAGCTTCCCACTCTTGCCTGTCCTCGGTGCTTTGTCATCCTTTATTGATTTTCTTAACCCTGCAGCAGCATGGTAAACAGTTCCCTCGTTAAACCCTCCTCAATTAACCTTATTGACGGTACCATTGCTTTTCTGCCAAGATCCTAACCAATGCATTGCCAAGCAGAATCCCCAGCAAATCTAGGAATCTGTAAATATTTGGTGAGTGTGTTTATAAAACTAAGATCATGCCAAAGTGGACATCGGGTGACTGGAGTTCTGATGCTAGCTCTAGCTCAGGCAAGTCGTGTGAGTTCAGGCAATGCTAAAAGCCCCCACCTCTCAACTTTTCCCAAACATAAAAGAAAGCTTAGATGCAGAGACCGCTTCTACAATCCCCATCACTGCTAAGTGCACTTCTCTTGCACATCTCACTTTTTGGGGTGGATGCTCACTTCTCTCCCCCACCCAAGTCTTAGATAGGGAGAAGGCTGCCTTGAGGCTCTGCCATGGGATCGATTCCTCCTAAGCTAGAAGATATTGATCCCGTGACAATTGCTGTCCTGCCTTTCTTTCTGGGAGGAGCTGGCTGTGGGCGCCAGGATTGTGCAAAAGGGAGGTGTTTCTGAATAACAATGGTGCATTGTCTCATTATCGATTGTTCTGCAGTCTAACTGGGTTAGATGGGTGCACATTTCAGACCCCTCCCAAGCAAACCAAATCCTTTAAAGGGAGAGAGGCAGGTGTAGACAGGACAGGGTTATTTTATTTCATATGAAGATGCTGAGCTCCTGATGAGTTACATTTTTATTTCTTTTTGAATGCTAAAAATGACTGATGGCCACAGTCCTGGCAGTGACCCTGGCTTGGCCCTAGTGGCTTGGGCCTCAGTTGTACTCCAGGTCTTGTCCTTGCCAGCCTGTCCTGAAACCCTCACTGAGCTTAGCGGTGTGCTCACATCTCCTGGGAATGTTCTGCCCCTGGCCGAGCTCTGCATCTGGCTAACTTCTCCAGCAGGCGCAGTAGCAGAGGCCCACCACGCTGTTCAAGGCACCTGATGTTTCATTAATCAAAAATGTTTTAATTTCTTTTAAACTTAGAAAAACGTGAATAGAATAAGTGAATTCATATAATAATGAATTAAGTTGCATTATATGTCTTTATGTCATTGTGTTTGTAAAATATAATTTTTAATACTTTCTATGAAAGAGAAGGCCACAAAGGCAAAAGCACCCAGGGCCCCCAAGTCATGATGCTACCCTGCCCTGCAGAATGCCAGCAATGAAGTATTCCTTGGGCAAATAAAGTCTGGGAACTCAAGGGCCACACCTCCCCTGGGAGAGTCATATCCTACGCTGGCATGTCAAAGAGCCAGAGCCGTGCTGCAGTGGGAAAATCTGTTTCACTTCCTTTAAGCCAACTATTCCCAAACGTATTTGCACACAGAACACTTGCAGAAACACCGACCTAAACTTTACTTGTTTTATTTCTCTTTTCAGCCTAGATAATTTCTCAAAACTTAAGTAGTACAACCTTGTATTTATTTTGTAAATGTCCCTTGGGAAATTTATAGTTATAGATGCCTATTTTTTAAAAGAAGCAAGATCTCAAATTAATAACCTAAACTTCCACTTTAAGGAATTAGAAAACCAAGAGCAAACTAAACTCCAAGCAAGCAGAAGGAAGGAAATAATAAAAACTGGAACCGAAACACATGAAAGATAGAATAGAAAGATGATAGAGAAAATCGAAGAAACCAAAAGTGGGTTCTTTCAAAAGATCAACAAGATTGATAACACTCACAAAGAAAAATGAAGACTCAAATGACTTAAACCAGGAATGAAAAAGTAGACATTACTACCTACCTCATAAAATAAAACAGATTATAAATAAAACAGAGTATGAGGAAATACTATGCACATTGTATGTCAACAAATGATATAGCCTAGATGAAATGGGAAAATTCCTGGAAGACACAAACTACAGAAACTGACTCAAGAATACATTGAAAATCTAAATTGACTTATAACAAGTAGAGAGATTAATTTCTAGTTTTAAAAAGTTCCCACAAAGAAAAGCCCAGGCCCAAATGGATTCACTGGTGAATTCTACTAAATGTTTAAAGAAGAATAAATACCAATTCTTCACAGACTTTTTCATAACCTAAAAAGAGCATCTGCAAAAAATAAATAAATAAATAAATAAATAAATAAATAAATAAATAAATAAATAAAAATAATAATAAAAGCCCACAATTAACATGATACTTAATGGTGAAAGAATGAATGTTTTCCCTCCAAGATCAGAAATAAGACAAAGATATTCATTCTCACTACTCCCATTTAACATTGTACTGGAGGTTCTAGCCAGCGCAATTAAGCAAGAGAAAGAAAAAAGTATCCAGATTGGAAAAGTAGATCTATTTGCAGAAGCCATGGCCTGGTATATAGGAAATCCTAAGGAATGACTCACACACATACTCAAAACCATCAGAATTAACAAATAAGTTCAACGAAGTTGTAAGATACAAGATCAATCTTGTATCTTCCATCAAGATATAAGATGTAAGATACAAAATCAATTCTATTTCTATACATTAGCGATGTACTATCCAGAAATAAAATTTTAAAAACAATTCCTTTTAGATTGGAATCAAAAAGAACAAAACACTTTGGTATAAAGTCAACAACAGAGGTGCAAGAATTCTACACTAAGGACTACAAAACATGTTGATGGAAATTAAGGAAGACTGAAATAGATGAAAATAGTCTTCCATGATCATGAATTGAAAGAGTTAATATTGATAAATGGCAATACTCCCCAAAGTGATCTATGGATTCAACACAAGCACTAACAAAATCCCGGCTGTAATCAATCTAAGCAATGGAAGATTATTCAGCCATAAAAACGAAGGACTGATCTGTGCTACAACATGGGTGCACCTTGAAAACATTCTGCTAAGTGAAAGAATCCAGTCATATTGTATGATTTCACTTATATGCAATATTGAGAATAGCCAAATCAATAGAAACAGCAGATCAGTTCTTCCTGGGACCAAGGGAGGGGAGAATGAAGAGAGACTAGTAATGATTACAGATTTTTGAGGGTTGGGTTATGAAGAAGTTTTGAAATTAGTTAGTGGTGATGGTTGCACTACTCTCTGAACATACTAAAAGCCACTGAACTGTAGACTTTAAAAAAGGTAAATTTTATGATATGTGAATTATATCTTAATAAAGCTGTTTTTTTTTTAATGTCCCCTGAGAGCCACTGCCAGGAATGCCCCTCGTGGGTCTGTTCCAGTATGTAATGAAATCTGTGCTTGTCCTCTCCAACCCCTTCGGGACTTTCCTCTGCTAACTCTGCATCTTTCCAGACTGAAGAGTCTTGATATCTTCATTCATTTATTCACTGATTCATTCATTCACCACATATCAACTGAATTGTGCTTTGTGCTAGACCTGAAGGCAATAGTTTTGAAGAAGACAGACCTGGTCCTTGCCCTCAGACAAGCTTACAATCCAGCATATATGCATTTAGAATTAAATTCTCAATTTCTGGGTTTTTTTAGGTCATCTCTTGCAGGGTAAGGGCAGGAGTAGGGGGTAGAGAAACCATGAGCTCTCTTCTTTAGAGCCCTCTGTTCAGGTCTCCAGTAAACCCTACTCCTGGGGGCCTACCAAAATGTTATCTTCTGGCAAACGGTCAGTTTAAAAGGTTTACTTTTTATGCTTCCTCTATTTTAGTTGAGGACTGAACTAAACTAAACCTCCAACGTCTGCTGGGCTCCTGGTATGTCCTGAGCACTGTGTGATGACCACAGCATCCCTGCAAGGTGGGTCAGAGCAACAGAAAAAGTAAAATACAGACATTGACAGACACTTACTATGTGCCTGGTACCATGCAGGGCTTTTACAAGCATCATCTCATTCCATCCTCCCACTAACTTTATGATCCCTATTTTATGAACACCCTTCAGAGAGAGTTGCTCAATGACACAGTTAATGAGTTGACAGCCAGAACTTTCACTTCAGCTTCACCTGGCTCTAAAACCCACAATCATTCTTCTCTCCTGTGCTTCTTCTTGGATCTGCTTTCAGAATACCTAAATGTCTTTCAGACCCAAATGAATGAACCTCTAATGCAGGCTCAGGGGTCCTGGGGCAGGTAGGTGGAATATGGGCGGTTCACATTTCTGGCTCCTGCACCCACCAGCTAAGTGCTTTTGCCTCCATTTCCTCCTCTAGGAAATGGGTCAATAGCAACGCCAATCTCAGAGAGGTATTATTAAGATTCAATGAACTGGCCGTGCGTGGTGGCTCGTGCCTGTAATCCCAGCACTTTGGGAGGCTAAGGCAGGCGGATCACAAGGTCAGGAGATCGAGAGCATCCTGGCTAACAACGGTGAAACCCCATCTCCACTAAAAATACAAAAAATTAGCCGGGCGTGGTGGCGGGTGCCTGTGGTCCCAGCTACTCGGGAGGCTGAGGCAGGAGAATGGCATGAACCTGGGAGGCAGAGCTTGCAGTGAGCCGACATCACGCCACTGCTCTCCAGCCTGGGCGACAGAGCAAGACTCTGTCTCAAAAAAAAAGATTCAATGAATTGATATGTGTAGAGTGCTTACAGCATATCCTGGCTATACTAGATGATCAATAAATATTCATTGTAATTCCACATCAAAACACACAGACTTAACAGCAGTTACAATGAATCCTCCACCTGATTGACTTACCAGATGCTGGCCACCATGCTGGACATTCACCGTCTCCCATGTCCAACCCTCCTAACCCCTATGCAAGCAGAGAACAGTTATTATTCCCATTTTACAGATGAGAAATCCAAGGCTAAAATTGCAAAGGCTAAGATGTAAGCCAGATTTGATGAACCTATGCTAATACCCTCCTCCTCTTAGGGCCAGGGGCTCACTGCATTCCTCAGGACTTGGAATCACTTTCTTCTCCAGAAAACTTCCCACCCCCTGGTCTGATCACATCATGGTATCTAAACAGCCCTGGTCATAGCAGTGAGCTGTAACCTGGCCCAGTACAAGGGTGAGGCAAGAGAGGCACGTAGGACAAAACATTTAAGGAAGCCCTCACTCTCAAGGTTGCACAGGGGTAGGGCTGGCCTCCGAATTTTCACACCTCCTTAAATGTCGTGCCCTAGTCGCTTTGATTGACTCACTCTAATCCAGACCCTGAATGTATCTCCAATCAAGAAGTCCCCAGAGCTTGTCATAATGAGGACAAAGTATCACGGTTTGTGTTTGTAGCTGACAATTACCTTGTCTCTGAACAACAAGATGGAAACAGACTTGGGGGTAGTGTAGAAGGAAGACTCAGTGGAGTCTGGTATAATTTGGAGGCTGGCACTGGCCACATTTACCGTTAATTTAAAGCTGGGGGAGAGAGAAATTCGAAGAAAGCCGATGGTCTTGAGTTAAAATGCTACAGGATGTTAGAAAAGATACGGGAATTCATGGAAACAAGTGAAAACTAGCATAATGAGGATTAATGAAATGCCAGGCATTTTCTCTTGTGGAGAAAGAAGCTACTGAGTAAGCACTTCCAACAAGCGAGTTCTCGTCGGCAAACTGAATTGCAGAAAGGAAGCCAGGAGAAGGTGCAACACGGAGTGGAAGCAGCTGATACGATGGGATCTGCTACTCGAGGGGAGATGAGAGCTATCTGGGAGGAATAATTTTTGTAGGAAGAGAAGCTAATCAGGGGCAATGGGCTTCATCAGGTAAGTTGCATCAGCAACGCCCATCTTCCAGTCAAAGCTTTGAATTAACATAATCCTCTGTAATCGTCTAAATTCCAGAGTTCTTTGGAAACATTAATGAAGAATTTCCTGCTCCACCCTCTGAGGTAAAGTGCTGTAGGATAAATTTGTTCTCCCTTAATGGCCAAACTCATGTTCAGGTGGAGGCCAACAAATTAAAGGTTTTAAGTTCTTCTTGTATTAACTAGAATTGTTTAGGTTGCAAGTGATAGAACATGACTTGAACTAGCATAGACAGAATGGAGACCTGATTAGAAGGTTACAGGGTGTCCCTGGAAACCCAAGGGCAGTGGAGAGCTGAGCCTTAGGAAGCAAATACCACCGAAAAGTGTAGCTCAGGAGGGAACTAGGGATGCCTTCTACTTCCTCATCCCTTTTCTGCTTCTGTGTAAAGGGGTTTTTCTGCTTCTCTGCCCACCTCTTAGGAAATGGCCACCTCGAATAACTCCCCACTTGAAGCCTCTCCTATTTCCAAGAATAGCCATGCTGATGGGCATCTCTTGGTCCCATTCTAAACTCCCAGAGAAAAGGCTCATGGGCCAGCCGAGGCCAGTGGCCATCCCTGAACAAATCAACCGTGGCCAGGAGGGTGGGTCTGAACATGGTTCCGCCCCTTCTAAGCAAGTGGATGGAAGGAGGAAAGGGCAGGTTCTAGAAGACAGGTCCTAGGCAGACAAGCCAATAGATGTCTACTATGCTTCTTCCTTCTGTGACATGTGATATCATCCACAATTGTGTGGCAATAATTGACTAAAGCAACGAAAACCTGAGATTGAATGCTCGAAAGTTCACTAGGGTTGAAGACATCATGCTAAGTGAAATAAACCAGACACAAAAGGACAAATACTCCATGATTCCACTTATCTGAGATCAAATAAATTTGATTACTCTAGAGTAATCAAATTCATAGAGACAGAAAGTGGGACAGTAGTGTCCAGCAGGAGGGGAGAATGAGAACTGATTGTTTCATGCACAAGGAGTTTCAGTTTGAGATGATGAAAAAGTTGGCTGGGCGCGGTGGCTCACGCCTGTAATCCCAACACTTTGGGAGGCCGAGGTGGGTGGATTGCCTGAACTCAGGAGTTTGCGACCAGCCTGGGCAACAGGGTGAAACCCTGTCTCTACTAAAATACAAAAAATTAGCCAGGCGTGGCGGCATGATCCTGTAGTCCCAGCTACTCGGGAGGATGAGGCAGGAGAATCGATTGAACCCGGGAGGTGGAGGTTGCAGTGAGCTGAGATGATGCCACTGTACTCCAGCCTGGGCAACAGAGCAAGACTCCATCTCAAAAAAAAAAGTTCTGGAGGTGAATGGTGGTGATGGTTGCTCCACAATGTGAATGTACTTCATGTCACTAAACTGTGCACTTAAAAATGGCTAAGATAGCAAATCTTATGTATATTTTACAACAACAAAAAAATTACATAAAAAGTGACCTAGAGGGTGAGGAGGACAGGCCAGAAAGATGATACCACTTGGGCAGATAATGATGTCTTTTTGTGCATCTGTGCCACACAGTGGGTTATTCTCTTTGCTTAAGAGGACATGTTTTTTCTTCTTTACTTGGAAAACTCTTAGTCTTCAAGGCCCAGCTGATATAACCCATTTCTGTTAAACCAGACTTCACTCTCCCATGGTGACTTAATCACATCCTTCCTATATTTCTATAGCAGTATATATGTCATACGATGCTATTACTATACATCACATGCCATGATCATCGTTTATACCTTTGTCTCTCCCACTGGCCTGTGAATTCCAGAGCAGAACCATGAGAACAGTATCATATGGTGGTTCAGACATCAGACTGCAGAGCCCCAAATCGCAGTTCTGCTGCGCACTCACCTGTAACCTCGAGCAAATTGCTTTCTGTGCCTCAGTCCTTTCAACTGCCAAAGTGGGGATCATCATTATATTTATCTGGGTGGCTGTTGTGAGGATTGAATGAGGAAGCCCACATAAAGCATGGTATGGATTGCTGACACATCATAAGTGCCCGATAAATTTTAGCTCTCATTGTTATCACTTACTGTCAAACACGGTGCCAGGGACAGTGCTTTAGAATGCATGAACAAAATAAGAAAAGAAATAAAACTGTGTGTATGTATATATAAATTGTCAGCTATAAGAAAAACAAATGGAGCCAAGATTAAATAGGAAAAGATACGGTGGCTACCGATTGGACTTGACAGTGGTCTCAGCTTTGCAAAGGAGGCTGTCTGTATTGGTTCCAAATGCCATTCAGGAAAGATTAGGCTGAGCCCTAGTGAGAACACTAGGAAGGTTGACCAGCCATCCCATTGTGGTGCATCCGCATAAATTAGGCACCCAGATCATCCCTTCCAAACATAGATTTTCGTTTGCCTTCTTCCACAATCTGCAGAGAACAGATTGGCACTAAATATGTACATTGCCTTTATATTTCCCCAGAGAAAGAGATCGATAAAGCCCCTGTTGGTTTGCAGAGCATGGGTTTCATTGTGGGCCAGGTCCTTATTTTTAGTACTGGATCTCTTGCTTTCTGGACCACACTGCTGCATAAGATCCCTCTCCGAACCCCTTTTATTTTTATTTTGAGCCACTCTGACTTTGAGGCCCATAATGATGCTAAACAAAATTCTCATTTCAGTAGAATGGGGGCTTTGTTCCCTATCACAATCGTCCATCTTGGTAAAATGACTTACAACAGCTGCTCGGAGAAGTAAAATCTGATAGAAACAGAGTGTGCATAGATATAAACATAAACATTAGTTTCTATGGAAACAAAAGTTGCCAAGCGATGGCTAGAAGACCTAAAGAGCCTGTATTCCAGGAATCAAGTGCTAAATATATAGTCAGTGCATCCGCCAGGGATCACACCAGTAACGCAGAATTCTTTCTGAGAGTGGAACAGAGTGCATATAAGATTTTGGCTAAAATAGACACCACCTAGCAGAATCAATATGAAGGAGAGCTGTCTTTTCTTCCCCAAATTGAAACCGTATTTCTTTTCTTAATTGAAAGCCTTGGGGCAATGAATCAAACACTGATGGAATTCAGTCAACAATTACATCCATGGGCACCTCATTCTGATCTCCCACCGAAGCTCTGCAGGTCTAATAAAAATTTGATGTTAAAAAAATACAAAAAAATTAGTCGGGCACGGTGACGGGTGCCTGTAGTCCCAGCTACTCGAGAGGCTGAGGTAGGAGAATGGTGTGAACCCGGGAGGTGGAGCTTGCAGTGAGTCGAGATCGCGCCACTGCTCTCCAGCCTGGGCAACAGAGCGAGACTCGGTCTCCAAAAAATAAATAAAAAAAAAAAAAATGTGACGTTGCAGTACTTGGAGCAAAATCTTCCCAAGACTCTCTCAGATGGACCCAATTCTTGTGACCCCCCAGTACCCTGCCTCCACATAGCCACCTGCTTTCCCATCCTCCTGCCATCATTGAGGAGTCCCTGAAGCAGTTGTTATTCCTGGGGCTGAAGGACTCTGGCTTAAATGACATTGGAAGTGCTACCCCAAGAGAGCCTAGGTATGTTCGTGCAAAGCCATCAGGCTGGACTAGAAGAGATAGTTCTGGGCTCCACGCTGGACTTGTTGAAGCTCAGGTGTTCCCGAGACAGCCAACCAGAGAGAGCTCATCTGTTCCCGTCACTATTGCTGTGCAACAGATTACCCCCAAGACTTCATGACTTAGAAGGATCTTCTCATTAGGCTCGCAGATTCTACGGATCTTCTTATTAGGCTCGCAGATTCTACGGGTAACGTTGCCACACCAAAGTTAAAAATATAATAATAAACTACGGATGAATTTTAAGACCTTCCTTAAACAATTTCAAATTTTTAAAGAAAATTCCCTACTAGACGGATAATAGTTTATGGCCTCATCATAGCAGCAACCTGGTGGAATCACCTGGTTTCAATAGAGGCGCTCTCCACTAGTCAGCAAGCCCACATGACATCAAGAGTTGCCGTAAGTGGAGGGCTTAGAGGACCCAAGGGTCCAGGCACACATCATCCAGCATTTATGTAGAGCGCTTAAAGCCCAGTATAAGAGTAATTATGTTTGCTCTTTGGACCTCGCCCGTTCTCCCTTCATGGTTTCAGAAAAATCTCGGCCATAATAGTCACCATGGTAACAGCAACATCTGCAGTGGATCCAGCCTGGAGGATATTTAAGGATCAGAACCCGATCAGACAGGAACAGGTCCCATCCTGGGTGCAAGCAGGAAACTAGGAAGGGCATTTCTGGGATCATTGCTTGCCTGTTCTGTCCTGTAAGAAAGCAGAGACCACAGCACTGTGCAAACAGAGCTAAGGGCTTATTGGAACCAGTGGAAATTTAGTGCAAGGATGACAGGGAATAGGTTAACAGGGCAGTGAGAAAGGAAAAGCGTATAGTGTTAGCACGGAGGTACTATGATGTGTGAAGAGTTTAAACAGTCTCTGAAGCACAGTGTACCACCAAGGTATTCTAGAGAGTGCTTTGCCATGGGCAAATTCAACTACTATTTATTAAAGGCTGACCGTGCTCCAGGACCTATAATGGTGGCTTACACGTATCATTGCATTTAGTTTTATACTATATCCCTACAAATATGGTAGAAATGTGGTATGACTATCCCTGTTATATAGATAATGAAATCCAGGCTCAAAGAGGAAGTGACTTAGCTTAAGTCAAAGCTGGGATTCACACCTAGATCTTTCTACCACTCAAGCGCATGGTCTTTCCACCAACCAGTGTGGCATGTCCATGATGGATGGAGATGTGGCCCAGCTCACCAAATGGGTGAAACTGCCATGGCCTTTACGCATGTGAAGCCTCCTTTGACAATGTTCTATCTGAAATGACATCAGAGAGGTAGGCGAGGAGCCTCGTAGGGCCGTGGAAAAAGATTAAATTTCATTCTAAGAGCAAAGAGACACACCTAAGTCCATTCTCTCATTCACAAATGATTCCGTGAGCTTGCATCACACGCCAGGCCTGTGTCTGACACTGGAGATACAGCAGTAAACAAGACAGACAATGCTGTGTCCCCCTTTTCCTGGAAGAGGCAAAAACCAAGCAAGCAGATGAAAAATAAATACACACTCATCTTATGAAGAAAACAAAACAGAGTGATGCGGTATAGAGGTCTGAAGGATGGAGAAAGGGCCCTTTTTGGATAGAGAGATCAGGAAAGGCCTTTCTGAGGAGGAGATATTTGAACAGAGACCTGAAGAAGGAGATGGAGCAAGCCATGCAAAAGCTGAAATAACATTCCAGAAGGATTCATTAGTACAAAGGCTCAGAAGTCAGAAAGGGCTTAGTATTGAAGGCCAGTGTTGCTGGGGCAAGTTACAGGGACACAAGTGTGAGATGGAGTTAGAAAAGTAGGTGGTGCCAGACATAGATCTCCGGTGAGTACAGTTGCCAAATAAAATACAGGACTTGGCCAGGCACAGTGGCCTATAATCCCAGCACTTTGGGAGGCCGAGGTGGGTGGATCACCTGAGGTTGGGAGTTTGAGACCAGCCTGACCAACATGGAGAAACTCTGTCTCTACTAAAAATACAAAATTAGCCAGGCGTGGTGGCATATGCCTGTAATCCCAGCTACTCGGGTGGCAGAGGCAGGAGAATTGCTTGAACCCAGGGGGTGGAGGTTGCAGTGAGCCGAGATGGCGCCATTGCACTCCAGCCTGGGCAACGAGAGCAAAACTCCATCTCAAAAAAAAAAAACAAACAGGATGTTCAGTGCAACAAATAGGTCAGCAACAAAATCTTTTTTGTATAAGTATGTCCCAAATATGCATGGGATATACTTTATACTAAAACAAAGGTATTCATGGTTTATCTAAAATGCAAACTTAACTGTGTATCCTGTACTTTTATTTGCTAAATCTGGCAATGCTATATAGTGAGCTCTCTCAGGAATTGATTCTGAGAACACTGTAAAGTCATTGAAGGGTCTTAAGCAGGGAGTGACATGAACTAATTTACATTTTTTAAAGATTATCCTGGCTGCTGTGTGTAAAATGGATTGTGGTGAAGAAAGAGAAGAAGCAAGAGAGAGTCAATGTTGATCAGGCAAAGGATGATGATGGCTTGGCTTAGGGGGTGGCTGTGAGCTCAGAGAGTAGACTGATGCAGGATACACGTTGGAGGCAGACTCAACAGAGCTTCTAATGGACTGGGAGGTATGGACAGAGGGAAATTGGAAAATCAAGGATGACTCTGAACAATTCAAGAGCAAATTCTCATCTGCTTTTTATGCCTAGGGAAGCTTCTTAGATGTCAAAGTTGTCTTAACTAGACCAAGAGGTCTCTTCGTCGCTCAAGATACATGATTAATCTTGGTGG
This sequence comes from Homo sapiens, assembly GCF_000001405.40. Lineage (NCBI taxonomy): Eukaryota > Metazoa > Chordata > Mammalia > Primates > Hominidae > Homo > Homo sapiens. Next base: position 14,511,012 of record NC_000001.11, read on the forward strand.
CCATTGGTGATCCTCCTCAATTCTGTAACCTTCACCAATACTGTACAAGTTGACCACTTACATTATTAACACCATGGGCTTTAGAGTTATCTGCGGGGGGTGGGAGGGTGGTCCCAGTTTCTATGTTGCATGTGATATTCATTCATTTCCACTCACTCTGTTGGAAACCAGAAATAGCAGACAGCTGAGACTCTAGATGTTTCCATTTGTCAAGCCAGTTTTGAAAGATGAGGTTGCTTTAAACCTGAGCTACAACAAACTTTACCCAGGAGAGACACAACAGTTCATTAAGTTCTTGTGGGCTTAACTAAGAGAGACACATATTGGAGCCAAGAAGAATTTATTAGCTAAACACAGCCTTCCATTGCCAGCCCCAATCACTTCAGGGAGTAGAAACTAGTAAAAGAGAGTTTGGGGAAAGAATTTAGGGAACAAATTCTAAGTATGGCAGAACTAAACAAAGAAGCCCTGTGTCCCACTGATCTGTGTATAGCTTTCAAGACACTATCCCTACTGTATGCTTTCACAAAAGCAGAAGAAATAATCACAACACATTTATCATTCACCGGGCAGAATTATTTTGGCAAGAAATCTATGCCCTGGAATACATTATACTAACGGACAACATATTCTGAACAATGTAGATTTTCAAACCTGGTAGGTGCTTATGCAACCATGTCAGGCTAAGGGACTGAGTGATTATGTTATTATATGTGTATCAAATATTTTGGATAAATATTAAATGATCCACAAAGTCAGATCTTGTTAACACAGGAAATGGAAACCAGCAGCTTCGACAATCATGTACTAAAAAGCCAGACTGGGAAGAAGAATTCAGAATGTTCTGGGTGGAAAGCTGCATTCAACATAAATAAACGCATTAGTTTAAACATCAGCATTCTAAAGACTGAAACAAAGCTGCTTATCCACTATGCATAACTCACACGGCTGGAGGAGGCCATGGAAGAATTTTTCAGGGGGTGGAAAGGGAGGTCAGGATGGAATTCTTCTGGAGAAAATGTGGAGGGCACGCTGCTGTTTTCCCTACTGGCACAAATGCATGTTGACATCCAGCTTTCTTCTCAGATGCTACGAGATTCATAGAGTATCTTTCTCCCTAGGAATCCACAGTAGACCACAGCACTTAGGATGATTTGTGTGTTCGCGGGTCAGGAGAAAGGAGTTTGTCCAGGACATCTCCTGTGGCCGCATGTTAATTTGGAGGGACGATGTGAATTTATGTCTAATTGGTAGTTGAGGGCAAAGTTTCTCCACCTTAGCACTATTGATATTTGGGGCTGGATCATTCTTTGTTGTGGGGCGCATTGTAGGATGTCATTGTAGGATGTTTGGCAGCACCCCTGGCCTCTACCCACGGGATGCCAGCAGCACTCACCGCCCACTGTGACAAACAAAAATGTCTACAAATGTTGACGAATGTCCCCTGGGTGGCGCAGAGCCCCCCCACCCCCACCCCAACCCTAGTTGAGAACCACTGAATTAGGCTGCATGGGTAGATTCAGGACATTAGCCTATTAGCAAATCTACTGACTCAAGAAAGCACCAACTAGCTCCAATTCCCTAATTTCACAGGCAGGAAAATAAAGCCCCAGAAAAGCTAAGGCCCATCCCCAAGGTCACACAGTTCGCCGGGGTCACTAGAACACAGCCTGCCGGCTGCTGTTCCGACACCCACTGGCACATTCTATGCCCAGATTCCACCCTGCTGGGTTTATGAGCGAAATTAAGATGGAGATAAAGTCAAAGAGCAGATTTTCTCATTCCTATTCATGGCAGTATTTGCAGAGAGGTACAGGTTTATTCAGATCTGACAACCAGGACGGTCCTCTTCCGATGACACCTTCCTTGGACGATCAGGCCGGCTCTTCTCCTGCTGAGAGAAGTAGCGTCCCTCTCTTTCTCGGGTCTGAAAAGCAGGCAAGTTTAGAGTGCATTCCCTTACCAGGTTGTTTTCCTCATCAGCCCAAGTAACAAAAAGGGTTCCAAAATATCACATATGATTGAGATTGCTTATAAAAGATCTCTTTCTAGTTTGGTTTCCCCAGCTCATTATCCACAGCCTTGGGAAAGCTGGCCTGCTTGGGGATGTCTCCAGGCACACTCCCTTTGGCCCTTTTCCTTAGAATCATGTCCAATTTCTTCTGCCTTTAGGAAAAGGATATTAGGGCAAACCGGCTTCTCCTTCAGGCGTGGTATAACTTATTGTCTTAAGCCTCTGTGTTAGCCGGTCCCTCTCCTCCAGCCTTTGGGAGGTTTCTCCGACTCCCACAGTCAGAAGCAGCATCAGAGAGAAATTGCTCAAGTTACCGATAAATCCCCATTCTTTTGTTGATAGACTTCTGTTTAAACCTGGGCCCAGGCTCACTGGGTGGCTGGGAATAGCAGCCATTTTCATAATCCTCAATCACAAAACCCAACAAGCTTGTGTTATGTGTACGAGTGTTTCTGACTAATGAATTGCCAAGCTAAAGAACGGGGAATCTCTAGGTCTAGTTTTTTCCGTCTTTCTAAGGTACAGCAGAGGGCCAAAGAGAATCAGATTCATGAAATAGAAGAATTGCAAACCTGTCTCTTGAGCTCTGATTAACAAAAGAGAAAACATGCCCTAAATGCCGGATATTTTATACAGACTAGATGTTGAAAACATATCATAGTAAGCATTTTAAAATTGGGACCTTATTTCAACTTTACATCCTAAAATGCTGCTGTTATGGAGGGTAATTACATAATAAATTTGTTAGGGGAATATACAGCAATAAAAATGGTGGTAATGGTTTGTCATTTAACAGCTGAATTGTAAATGAGTTTTTCCGCATTAATGTAGCAGGTTGCTACAATTAGAAGATCATTCTTAGAGGTGTCTTTAATTTCTAAAAAAAAAATTTCTGAGATTCAATATCATTAATTTTCTCATTTAAAGATACTACATATTTAACCATTTGAAGTCAGGGACATTTGAGTTTTTGAGGCATAAGCACCAGCTGAGCCGAAAAAAAATATTTTTTAGGCCGGGCGTGGTGGCTCACGTCTGTAATCCCAGCACTTTGGGAGGCCGAGGCAGGTGGATCACGATGTCAGGAGATCGAGACCACCCTGGCTAACACAGTGAAACCCCGTCTCTACTAAAAAAAAATACAAAAAAATTAGCCAGGTGTGGTGGCAGGCGCCTATGGTCCCAGCTACTCGGGAGGCTGAGGCAGGAGAATGGCGTGAACCCGGGAGGCGGAGCTTGCAGTAAGCTGAGATCGCGCCACTGCACTCCAGCCTGGGTGACAGAGCAAGACTCTGTCTCAAAAAATTTATATATATATTTATATATATTATATATATATTTATATATATAATATATATATATTATATATATTTATATATATAATATATAAATATATATATAATATATATAATTGCAAAATATATATATTATATATATTTTATATAAATATTTTATATAAATATTTATATATGTAAAATATATAATATATGAAATATATATTTTAGATATATTTTATATATAATATATGAAATATATATTTTCTATATATTTTATATATTTTTTTATATTTTATATATATATATATATATATATATATATATATATATATATATATCTCAAATTGCAAAAGTATAGCAAGAATCTGTGCCTGTATTAGTAATTCCACCAAGGGAGTCAGGTAGCATAATGGTTAAAAATACAGGGTCAACCACCCACTAGTTATACGGTCTTGACAAATGACTTCAACTTCCTGAGCCCCCTTCCTGAACCTCATTCATAAAATGGAACTAATAAACCAATGCACCTGATACAATTGTTGTTCCATACAGGACACTGTTTTGTGTTGATGGATGAAGTCAGATGACATATGCTAAAGACCTAGCAAAGTCCGTGGCTCACAGTGTGAGCTAAAGAAACAGTGGCTGGGACTTTTGCTGATGTCATCATTCACATAGAGTATCCCATTCCTCTATGATCATCTTACTCTTTTTATCCTTTTTATTTCACACTGTGCTCCATTTCCAAACCTTTGTCCCCATGTACCCAGTTCTTCTAGAATGGACAAAAATTAGAAGACAGATTTTTCCCTAAATCCACCTGACACTAGGTCATAATTCTCTCTCTTACCAATGAAATCAGGAAAATGAACATTTAATGACCTTGTGCTATCAACTCTCTCCTACATGATCTTGCTTAATCCTTAAAGCCCCCGACACACCCAGATTATCCTATTTTCAAGTGAGAGGACCGTGAATTTAAGCAACTTGTCCAATGTTCCTCAGCTAGAAAATGGCATAACTGGGATTCCAATCCAATCGCTGTAGGAAACAATCACTGAATGCCTGATACTTGCGAGGCAGTGTGAATGCAGCAGGAGGGATGGGAGCAGGGCATGTTCATGACATGGAAGCGGCTGTCAGTCCCACCGTATGTGGGAACCACACAGGCCCATAAACAAAGCACTTGGGAAACCCGGAAGCAGCAGAATCTTCAATGCAGGAGCTGGCTTCTGCCTCCCCTCCATCCTTCTCCTGTTCTACCATCCCGGCCTCACTCACTGAGCTCCAGGCCACTAACCTCCTTTCTGGTCCTCAGCCACACCCTGTTTAGGGGCTGCCTTAGGGGCTTTCCCTGGAGCCCTTGTCCCCATGAGACCTTCATTGCTGTTTTTTCTCAAGTCTTAGCCACTACCACCTCACCAAGTCTTTGTGACTGCTTGACCAAAGGGCTCTCCCTTCCACCACCAGCCGTTTTATAACCTATCAGTCTGCTTGGTTTTCTTCATGGCTCAAATGGTTCTTACTTCTCCTGGAAATGCTTCTGTTCATGCATTGGGTCCCTTGCTTATTTTGCATTTCTCCCAACTAAAAAGAAATCCTAGACCCAGCATGGTCTCACGTAAGCTCCATGAGACCACAAAATCCTGTGTGCCTTCTTTACTCCTTCTTTACTCCTGTATCACTAGGGCCTAAACAGGAGATTTTTCTTTTAACAGAAAAATAGTAAATTAGTAAGATGGTACTCCAACTGCCTGGCCAACCAGGTTCTAGAAACTGTGTTCTGGTCTGAATTCTCAGGTGTTTCGCTTGAGCAGCAAGTCGAACGTAAATTAACTGAAAAACAGCAGGATTTAGTCTTTCTGTCTGCTTCTTTGATGGTGCTGAAGGTTAGAGCAGGTTACAGAGCAAAATAACCAGCTCTGATGTCATTCCCTGCTCTCTCTCATGATCTCTCTGCCCTCCTTTTCTCTGTGTTGGCTTTACTCTCTAACAGGCTCTCCCTCGTGGTGGTAAGATGATCAACAGCATCAGCAGCATCTCTTCTCACCGGCAGATCAGAGTGGTTTAGGTGAACTGACCCAAGCCCTTGGATGTAGAGAGAGGAACAAGACCTAGGCCTGGTCAACCAGCATTTCCATGCCCTTGACCACAGTGATTGGCTCAGAGATGAGCACATGACCCACGTCAGGCTAATGAGACTCAAGTCTATGAGTTTATGCAAAGTGTTAGGAAGCAGAGTTCTCTTCTGCGAGAAACAACAGACTCTTAACAAATATTTACTGAGTCAAGGGTCAATGAATGAGTGACTGATGTTGGAGTCATTTTATTGTATCAAGGTATTTGTCTTGTATGTTTGAAGCTCTGACTCTGTTCCCAACTGTCAGCTCCTTGAGGGCAGGCACCATGCCATCTCCCTTCCTATTTCCAAAGGGGGAAAAATAAATCAGTCCTTACCTATTGGTTCCTGTCCTTTTCCCATCCACAGCTCCATTTCTCTAACAAGAACCAGCCTTCTTCTTCTTTTCTATCACCTTCAATTTCTGCACATAGACTTTCTCGGTAAGAAAAGGCAGTCAACAAAATGTGTGTTTTAAATCATCTGTGTTCTCCTAGAAGTAAAGAATCTCATTGTAGTGGTGGTTGTTTTGCCTGCCAGGTACCCATTTACTAGTTTTCTGATATAAAACATTGCTCTTACTTTAGGGAACCATCTCTTCTCACTGGCAGGTCACAGTGGTTTAGGTGAACTGACCCAACCCCTTGGATGCAAAGAGACAGAGAGAGGCATAATACCTACACCTGGCCAACCAGTGTTTTCCATTACCTTGGCCACAGTGATTGGCTCAGAGATGACCGTGTGACCCATGCCAGGCTATGAGACTCAAGTCTATGAGTTTATGCAAAGTGTTAGGAAACAGAGTTCTCTTTTTCTGTGGGAATCGTGAAGCTCGTAGAATGTAAGCAAGTTGCTGCTGATGCTGGTGATCATCTTACCACCAAGAGGGAGAGCCTATTAGAAAGTAAAGCCAACACAGAGAAAAGGAGGGCAGAAAAATCATGAGAGAGAGCAGGGAATGACATCAGAGCCCCTTGATCCAGCCACACCCGAAGCTAAATCTGCCCCTGGACTTTCCAATTTGTGAGCCAGTAAAAATCCCTTGTTCTAACTTACTCAGTTTGAGTCATTTCCAACCAAAAGGTTAATGCAGAAATCAAACTGACAATAAGAAGCCTGGAACACATGCCTTAGCGCCATTTGTGACTCACAGCATGAGCTTAAGCTCTTCCAGTCCTGCACAGACAACAAGTCGGGCTACAATCATGAGAAACACCTTAGAGCAAAAGCTGGAAATATTTGGGTAGAAAAGAACATTTGTTTATCTTCCAGCTCATACACAGTGGATGTGCAATCCTAATCTCTTTTTAAAGGGCAGTTCTTTGGAACAGGATGCTGCTTAAATACCAGGTCCACACAGCTGCCAAGAGGAACATCATCCAGTTATTATTTTTCAACAGCAGTGAAGTGGATGGATGGCTCCACATTTTCTCATTGCCATAAAACAAAGCAGAAGAATATAAGCCATTTTAGCTGTAAGTGTGTGCTCAGCCCCTGGGAACAATGAGAAGGAAATAGAGTACAGGAAATGAAGCTAACATTGCCAAGCACCTACTGTCTGTTTCAGAATGAGTGATGGGTGTTTTACACTCATTTTTGGGATTGGAGTTCTGGGTTCAAGCCCAAGGTCTGCCACTGACTGGCTACAGGACCTTGAACAAGCCACTTATTTGCTCTGGCCTTTCACGTTAAATGGGGTAGTTAGTCTCTGTCATTATCAGAGAGCCATGCTTGGTAACTGGAGTCTTTTTGAAGGCTTTTTTTTTTTTTTTTTTTTTGGGCAGAGTCTCGCTGTGCCACCCAGGCTGGAGTGCAGTGGCACAATCTCCACTGCAACCTCCATCTCCCAGGTTCAAGCGATTCTCCTGCCTCAGCCCCCTGAGTAGCTGGGACTACAAATGCGCACCACCACGCCCAGCTAATTTTTGTACTTTTAGTAGAGACAGGATTTCGCCATGTTGGCCAGGCTGGTCTCCAACTCCTGACCTTAGGTTATCCGCCCGCCTCAGCCTCCCAAAGTGTTGGGATTATAGACATGAGCCACTGCACCCAGCCTGTTTGAAATCATTTTTAAAGAAAAAGTAAGAAAGCATTAGGAATGTCAGCTGATTAGAGTCCCAGGTGATGAATTTGCCAAGGAAGAGATGATCTGCTCTCGTCGCTTCATCTACAATATTTGGGCTGATGAATACAGCCTTCCCATTGCTGTTGAGCTGTGTGACAGTGCTCGTAGGAGCTCCTGCCCTGACATCAAACAGCCCGGCTTCCCGTCCAGGCTCCAGCACTACCACACTGTGTGTCCTCCATCAAGCCTCCATTTTCTCATCAGCAAGATGGTGAAAATACAAGGCTATTAGGAGAATCAACATAGATACTATATTTTGAGAGCTGTGCACAGTGCCAAGCACGTAGGTGCTCAATAATTGCTAGTAGTTAATATTTTGAGAGCCAAATCTGATGCTTTTATTGGAATGTGCTAGATCTGAAAATGCTAGAAGCAGGGATGGAAGGCAAGTTTCATCTGCATGGGGACCCAACTTCGGAGATCCTGTTGCTCTAGGGACCCTGAATAATGAGGCAAGTATTTTGCCTTCTTTGGGCCACCATTTCCTTAGCCATAGGTGAGGGGTAGGAAGGGAGTAAGGGAAGCGGAGTTTAGAAATAATCTGTCCCTGAGTCCCATTCAGCATGGACTGCCTATGATTCTAAAATAATTGGAAATTTTTAAAAAAAAATTTAAATAATAAAAACAAAAAGTTTCTGGAATCAAAGAAATAGCCCCTGACTACACAGCTTGAAATGGACCCTACAGGCAAGGAGAGGAGGGCCCAAGGCACAGGACTGAGCTGCAGTTTTGTAGTTTGCAAAGAAAGCAACCCTCTGCTTTGCTTTAGATGGCCTCCGAGGCCAGTTCTTTGGGCAGAATCCAGAAACAGGAAGAAGTTGCAGAAGAGAAGAGGCAAAGAAACAAAGAAAGGACTTGTCTGAGAAAAGCAGCCAAGAGCAGCATACATGTCAGGGACAGTGAGGGTGCTGAGCGGCAGATACTACCCTCGTGGGTATCCTCCCTCAGTTGAGGCTCTTCCCCTCTCCCAGTTTTTCTTACCCCCAGTGGCACAGATTGCCTTTGGAGAGAGCTGACCTGGGAGAAAGAAAGTCCACTTTTGAGTTTCTAAAGCCTAGGCCAGGGCACGAGAGAGATATGAAAGCATAAGTGGTGAATATCCTCCCATCTGGAGGGAAGAAAAGAGAGTAAGAGGGAAAACAGAGAAAATGTGGATGCCAGAGCACCCTGGACCCTGCATTACCCCAAGAGACTTTGGGGGATTCCAGCCCATGGATGACCTGAGAGATGCAGGAGGATCCCCAGAGTCCCATGTGTCTGGCATGACCCAGCAGCAGGAGAAATGTCTGAGCTAGAAGTGGATAGGCCTGGGTTGGCCTCACAGGGTTCCCTGTGCCAAGCATGAAGTCAGAACATAGAGTGTCCTCAGGCACCCAGAGGGCCCCATGATGGTGTGGGAGCTGTGGATGCTTCCCACGAGCCCAGGCATCTGTCACACATGTGTTTCCTGCCATTGCACAGATCGTGCCATAGGTGGTGGCAAGAAGACGCCTTATAATTGGGGCCAAGGAGCACATAGCAGTCACATATACAGCCTGTAGACAAAAGTCAAGATGGAGAGAGAGATCTTCAGGAAATGAGGCCAGTATGGCTCATGGATGACACAAGGCCCAGTGGTGTCCAGTCCTGGCACTTGTTCATAATCACAGACATTTCATTTATACAACCCTATGATCCATTGGGTGTGGCCAAGCTGGAAACAAAGAAACTGAAATGACCACACATGGCCACAGGATTTCTCTCCTCCGGTGGCCACAGCCCAATGGAGGAGACAGACCTCCCGAGAAGGGTGGGCATGGGGTGCCATGATAGACGTAGCAAGCAGGAACAGGGGTTGGGGTCACCATGTGAATGAGAGAGAAACAGGCACTGAAGCTGCAGGAGCCTGGGGGACAATTGTGCATGCCAGGCACCTAGAAAGCAGGAAGAGGGGAGATAGCAGATGAAAACACACACACTAATCCAATGCCCATCTCCATAAAAAGCAGTGGCTCATGGGACAACCAAGAGAGCTCCTCTGACTTCCTGCCCAAGCAAGAGCATAACTAGGTGATGGGGGCAGAGGCTCTGAGGAGCCCAGGCAAGAGCTCAGCACAGCTTTGCTAAGGTTCGCCTCTGGAAGCAGCCACCTCTGGGAATTTCCCTGGTATCTGTTTGGGCAGAGACTGAAACTGAACTGAACCATTAATAGCCTGTGATCATCCTCCCAAACTCCCCCCAAACCTTAATTCTTTTGCACTAAACCAAAGATGGTTTTGTTTTAACATCTGATTCACCGGACTCAACTAAAAAATGAAAGAGCTGAACCAAAGGAGCAGAATAATCCCAGCACCTGCAGCAAACTGTTCATCCATCCAGCTCCATTCCCTGGGCAGGGCAGGTTCCCCTAAGGCATTGTTCTATTGGGAAGAAGGCCCATGAGAGGCCAGAGCAGGGAGAGGCATGCAGTGGCATGATCCAGAGGGAAAAGGAAGAGAAAGTAACCATCCGAGTACTCCCCACTCTTGGAAGAGCCAATAGACAAAATCCAGATGAGCTTATGAGTAATGGATGTCCTATGTGCCACAGGGTGTTACAGGCAGATGCTGAGGGAGGGGTGCAGCCAACGTAAGGAGAAATGCAAATAAAGATCAGGCTTGGGGGCAGGGGTCTGATGATGCCCCCAAAACGCCAGTCAGCAGGGACTCTGACATTTAAAGAGGCACCATAACCACTTGAGCCAAATCTCTTTTCACTCAGTGTGCCCAATGTGATATTTAAACAGAAATGTCGCCCTCACTGCATTTATGCCCCTCCAACCCTTCAGAATTGGGTCTGCTGTCCAAATGGCTCATGTGTGTCCACCTTCCAGAGCCAAAGTGAAAATTTCTGATAAAAACAGAAAAAGGTAAATTTCGGCTTTATGAACTCAGGATTAAATCAGGCCAGGCCTTTCTGTGAAATGTGAACCCTGTAATGCTGAGAAATTGAAAAAGCCCTTGCTTTTTGAAGCTCTGGCCTATCTTTAATTGAACCTTTTGCATGAAATCATGAACCATGGCCGATGCCATGAAACAACTCAAGGAAGAAACCAGCAAAGCAACTGGCTTTGAACTGAGACCTGCGAACTGAGAACCGCCTACAGTCCGTAAAAGACCAGCCTGGGCCCTTGGGTTGCCCTCATCCTGTTTTAGAATCGTCTCTTTTCTTTGAAAACTGGGGAAAGGGAGGAAGTGTGGTTACTGAGGATTAAGCTTGAGTCGACCTTGAGTTAGGGGTCAAGTTACCACATCATGGTTTGGGTCAGAACTGATTATTTTTGGCAAATGTACACCAAAAAATCACATTTTTTAAGTGGATAAAAGTGCACCATAGGAAAAAATTCATTTTCGGAGACATCAGCACATTTCAGTGAGTACTGTGGCTAAATTTGAAAGAATGTGAACTTTTGAGATTACTAATATACATCCAAATGTGTGTTAGGGAATGTACATTGAGCTCTGTTATTCCTAATCTTTTACACAGGCCCTCTCCACCAAATTTCATAGACACATTAGAAAAAGGAAAGCCACTCACACTCCTGCTTGCATAGAAGTCCCCTGCCTTTTGCCAATGAGCTTTTCTGCTCCCAGATCAACTTGATTAAGTAAGATATAATTTTCTGCTTCTCTCTCCTGGCATAGGCACGGCTGTATAATGTCTTCGTTCTCCCCAGTGAGATGCCTGTAACTGACCTAACTTAAAGAGAAATATGTTCTGCCTCCCATCTTCAGAGGAAGAAACCCTCTGAGACCTACATGTGATTTGTCTTGTTGCCTGCAAAAGTTTGCTCTTTATGGTGACAGCTAGGCTTGCTTGGGAGATTTGAACAGATACAGCTTCTTGGTGCAGCTGCCTCTGCTCTCCTAATTTGATCCTGAGCCTAACAATTACAGTTATCAAGGAGCCAGCTCTTCCAAAAGGTTTCCTGCAAATCACGTCATCATCTGTGATGTGTACAATTTGGTCTCTTGGATTATGCAATGATTCTGGGTGTTGTTTTAAAGCCTGACTTTAATAAAAAGCCCGAGAAAAGAACAAATGCAAATGGGTGTTGACGTGGACTGCCCATCCTCTGGCACCAGCAGTAGAATACAGACAGTACCTACAGCAACACAATAGATAATGCATCTGCAATTACCGGGATACTTAACATGTGTTGTATAACTCATCGGAGAAAATATAGATCTTTTGTGTGTGTTTCAGATGTAGAAGGAATGAATGAATCACAGGTCATAAACTCAGGCGTGGGACAAGTATCAGATCTTTGTATTTTCTTCCAAGCAGCTTAATTTCAATCGTGACTACTCCATGCCAACAGGTAGGCAGGAAATTCCACCTCATTGATTCTCTGGGTGCCCCTGTTCCCACCCAGAGGGTCTTTCTCTAGCACCAAGGTGCTGGGAGGGCTCCCTGTCCGCCTGTAATTCCCCCAACTCCCCAGCATGTACGAGCTATGAGTCACTAGGCCACACTGGTTGCCATGGAGACACTCATCGTCCTAGTCTACTGGTCCCTCCAGGTTGAGGCTGCGGCTTCCACACCAGGCATGGAGGCTTCAGGATCTTGGTGAGGCTGGGAGGCACCTCACCCTTCCCCACTGGCATCCTCACCAACCCCCTGAGCCTGGCCAGAGAGCAGGGTGCTGCCTCCCCTAGCTGTCAGAATACTTTTTGGCTCCCAGTCCAGGGCAATAAACTTTTCTTCAAAGATTCTCTCGCTCTTCATGTCCCTCCCAGAGTTGCTCCCTCTCCACCAAACCCATCCACCTCTGTGATTGTAAGCTTTGGCAAACCAAGGCCAGAAAGGGAGCTGTCCAGTGGGCAGCTCCAACTCTCCACCCTGCCTGGAGCCTCCCAGCTCGGAGCTTGTGGCCTACCAGAGACATGGAAAGGGCGGAAATAAAGAAAAGCAATGCCCAAATAGATACAAATGTGTCCCATCCCTGCAAATGTCACAAAGTCATGAATAATTACCACGAGGGACACTTCCCCAGCTTTTTTGCTGCTCCATCACCAGCAGCCCTCTAGTGAATCCCAGCACTTCCTTCACTTTCTCTCCTAGTTCCATTCCCAAGCCAATATTTCTTTGTACATTCCAGCTGCCTTCTGAATCCCTTACTTCCTCTTCAGTGTTCCCACGCAGGTGACAGCAGGAAGAAGCATGGTCTGGTTGATCCGATGGTACATGAAGCTAATGGCCATGAGCCTCCCATGTGGTCCTGGGGCTGCACAGAATGTGCTGGTGGCCACAGGAAGGCTCAGAGACCATGATGTTGAGGAAGGGGCTCAAGGGGGCTTACAGACATGGCAGAGACACATGAGATGGAATAAAAATGCCACATATGTCAGTCAAATTGAATAGCTAAGGGAGAGCGAGGTGTTGTTTTGAAAGCGTATATCCACGTGGCTTAAAGGCGTGTCACTCGTTTTGTTTTGTTTTGTTTTGTTTTGTTTTGTTTTGTTTTGTTTTTATGAGACAGAGTCTTGTTCTGTCACCTGGGCTGGAGTACAGTGGTGTGAGCTCGGCTCACTGCAACCTCTGCCTCCCAGATTCAAGCGATTCTCCTGCTTCAGCCTCCCGAGTAGCTGGGATTACAGGCATGCACCACCACGCCTGGGTAATTTTTGTATTTTTAGTAGAGACGGGGTTTCACCATGCTGGCCAGGCTGGTCTCAAACTCCTGACCTCAAGTGGTCCACTCGCCTCAGCCTCCCGAAGTGCTGAGATTATAGGCATGAGCCACCGCACCCAACGAAGGTGTGTCACTTGTGTGCGTTTGTGTGACATCCTGGAAGCATGGAGGCAGGGTCAGGGGTCTGGAGCCAATGACCCACATTCTAGACCCAGCTTTTCCACAAAGGAGCCTGTGCCCTTGAGAAAGCCCACTCCCCCGTCTCATTTCTAAAAACAAAAGATTAGACCAATTTATCACCAGGCTCTCTTTGACTCTGAGGGTCTTTGACGCTAATTGATTTTTTAAAAATAAACAATATTTTAAACACTATTTTATGGTGATTAAGGTACTTGCTCATTATCTAATGGCCAACCTGGATGAATTTAACCCCCCAGGCATGTCAGTCTGCCACGACTGTGCTTTCACCGTTCGACTCCATAAAACCCAGCAAACTTCATGTATATTAAAGTTTAATAGCAGCTCAAGAGTGAGAAGCTGAAAGAAATGTGAACAGTACCTAAGGGGTGTTTTATTCATGTTGATTCTCATATGTATGATAAATAGTTCCTGTGCCTGATTTCGTGATGAGAACAGGTTCTTTAAAACACCAGCAAAGGAAGCCCATAAGGAAAACAGAAATCATCTACCATAAAGAAAAAGCCAAAATATTCATATATTTCTTTGGAGACCCAGCAAGGTCTGGAGAGAGCCAGACATTTGCACCTTGGCTAGATGTATTTAACACCAGTGATCTACTCCAAACCCCATGTGGGGCAGGATGCCAGCAAGACAGCATGGATTTTGGATAGCAGCTCACCCAGGAAGGACACTCAGGTTCAGAGCAGATGACACATGGACATATGTATCAGGGTTGTCCCATGTATATGTATGGACGTGTGTTTGAATATGTGCATGCATGCATGTATGTGTATGTAACAGAATAGAGTGTAAATGTACATATTGTACAAATGTGCAAATGTAAGCAAGCTATTCTTAGCTTGCCAGCCATACAGAATTAGCTTGCCAATTATGCAAACTGTGCTCTAATAGGTAGTTTGTGCATTAATTTCTTTTTTATCATGTAGAACATAAATTACCAACTTTTTTCTGTAAAGGGCCAGTTACTGTGTGAGGCTTTTGAACCATGAGGTGTCTGTTGCAACTACTCAGCTGGCCGTTGCAGAGTAAAAGCAGACTTAGACAACACATAAACAAATGAGCATGCTTGTGTTCCGATAAAACTTTATTTATGCACACTGAAATTTGAATTTCATATAACATTTGCATGTCAAACAATATTATGATCCTTTTGATTTTTTCAACAATTTAAAAATGCAAACACTATTCTTAGCTTGCCAGCCATACATAAACAGGTGACAGGCTGGATTTGGCCAAGGGCCACAGTTTGCAATATTTAATTTAGAATGCATTTCCCATAGGAAAAAAAATGATTGTAAATGTTGTTTGGCTTACCAGATCAATCCACAAAAGTCAATTCAATCCATAAAGAATCAAAATATGGCATATATAGCATGAATATTTATGCTAGCTACTGTTAGTGCTCTCGATAATCATGAATTTCTTTAATACTCAGTGCAATCCTATGGGGAAACAGGTTTAGAGAGTTTGAGTCACTTTCCTATCTCAGCTAAGAAGCTGAATACCTGGGATTTAAACCAAGGTCTTGGGATCTCAGAGCTGTGTTATTCACAGCAAAAGAACCCCACTTGCTCATAAATTAGGGGGATGATGCCTGGTACCTAGGGAATCCTCAATGGATCTCCGCTACCAGCATTGTCGTCATTATGACTAAGTGTACTACTTCAACTCTACTAAATCAACATTTATGATACCATTTCCTAAACCTGGGTCTCAACCTGGGATGCCCCCACATTTTTCCCTTCCCTGGCTTTGAAGCCCTCCTCATTGTCATTTAGCAAGAGAGAAAGGGAATTCTCCTAAGTAGGTACGATTGACTCTTTAATTTTACACATTTTTGCCTCTACATAAGAGCAGATGTGCCAATCATTTCCCATTTGCTCCAAGGGAACAAGGGTGAAAGAGGACTCCCTTTGCAGCAGAGTCTGGGGCAGCCATATTTGGGCCTCTTTGTTGCCCATTCATGTTTCAGAGCCAGTCATGCATCAGAGGATCAAGGTGACATGCGTAGACCTGGGTTACAGCCATGTGCCAAGTGCCCCGGAGGTTTGAAATAAAACATTTCCCCATCCATCTGCATCATCAGTAATATTTTAGTAGCCACGTAAGCTACAAAGTTTGCTGAGAACAAAGAACCCTCCGGGTCATCTATAGCTGAAATTGACAAATTGAAATAGACAAAGATGTAAGTGAATATTTTTGTTCCTCCTTCATTCTTATCTCCCTGCTCTTGACTTCAGCCATTTTCCAGTTTCATAGTGGTCCATATTTTTAAACACATCCCTTGCACCGTCTCTCTGGATATCAAAAACCTCATTCCCCTGGGACCATTTTCATACATCAAGAAACCACTTCATAGTAAGGTACAGATACTTCATTAAACATGAGGTGTTCTCCCCCGCTGCTCAATGTCCCCCTTTTGTATCCATCTTGAAAGAGATCACCTGTCACCCAGAAGCGATTCTCTCCTGGTGTAATTTGGGCAACAGGACAGGCCACCAGAGGAGATGTTATAGTGCGGAGTTCTTGCTAACATCTTTCTGACAATAGCATCTGATTTGCCTATGCCTAAATTCAATCCTCCTCTTATAGGTAGTTAATTAAATTATAAACTAAAATGCTTGTGGACCAGTACCTATTATTGCATAAGAAACATCCCCGAATTCAATGGATTAAAACGATGTATTATCATGTCTCATAGTTGGACTTGTTTAAGCTCATCTGGGTGGTCCTCACTTGGGGTCATTCATGAAGTCGTAGTCAGACTGCTGCTGGGCCTGGAGTCATCTAAAGACTTCCGGTCTTAGTCTATTTGTGTTGCTGTACAAGAATACCTGAGGCTGAGTAATTTGTAAAGAATAGAGGTTTAGCCGGGCGCTGTGGCTTACGCCTGTAATCCCAGCACTTTGGGAGGCTGAGGTAGCCAGATCACAAGGTCAAGAGTTCGAGACCAGCCTGGCCAACATGGTGAAACCCCGTCTCTACTAAAAATGCAAAAATTAGCCAGGCGTGGTGGCGGGCACCTGTAATCCCGACTACTTGGGAGTCTGAGGCAGGAGAATCACTTGAACCCAGGAAGTGGGGGTTGCAGTGAGCTGAGACCATGCCATTGCACTCCAGCCTGGGCAACAGAGTGAGACTCTGTCTCCAAAAAAAAAAAAAAAACGATACAGGTTTATCTGGCTCATGGTTCTGCAGACTGAGCAAGAAACAAGAAACACAATGCCGGCATCTGCTCCTGGTGAGGGGCTCCAGCTGCTTCCACTTATGGTAGAGGGGAAGAGAAGCCAGCATGTGCAGAGATGGCAAGAGAGGAAGTAAGGAAGAAGGCAGGGAGGTTCCAGGCTCTTTTTAACAGCCAGCTCTAGTGGGAACTAATAGAGTGAGAACTCCCTCATTACCACGAGGATGACACCAAACTATTCATGAAGAATCTGCCCCCATGACCCAAATACCTTCTATCAGGCCCCACCTCCAACAGTGGGAATTAATTTCAGCATGAGATTTGGAGAGGACACATATCCAAACTATAGCACTTCATTCACTTGTCTGGTGCCTGGGCGGGGATAGAAGGAATAGTAGTGTCTGGTCTAGAATCCTATCTATCTATCTATCTATCTATCTATCTATCTATCTATCTATCTATCTATGTACCTACCTACCTATCTATCTTCCTCTCCACTCTATGCAGCCTCTCCATGTGGTTAGCACAGGCTTCCTCACAGTATAGCAACTCATGTCAGCCTGGCCAACATGGTGAAACTTCATCTCTACTAAAAATACAAAAATTAGCTGGGTGTGGTGGTGCACACGGGTAGTCCCAGCTACTCAAGAGGCTGAGGCAGGAGAATCGCTTGAATCTGAGAGGTGGAGGTTGCAGTGAGCCGAGATCATGCCACTGTACCCCAGCCTGGGTGACAGAGCAAGACTCCATCTCAAAAAAAAAAAAAAAAAAAAAAAAGAAAGAAAAAAAGGAAAATTATTTTCACATTTACTGAGAATCTGCCACACGCTGACCTCTAGTTCTAGTTCTTGGAACTACAAAGAACACTCCTCCTACCTATCCACGTGATGACCTTTCATATTTTTAAAGACAGCCCCCGACCAGTACAGTGGCTCACGCCTGTAACCCCAGCACTTTGGGAGGCCGAGGTGGGAGGATTGCTTGAGCCCAGGAGTTCAAGACCAGCCTGGCAAAACCAGGTTGGCGTCGTGGCACATGCCTGTAGTCCCAGCTATTTGGGAGGTTGAAACGGGAAGATCGCCTGAGCCCAGGAGGTCGAGGTTGCAGTGGGCCATGATGGTGCCACTGCACTCTAGCCTGAGTGACAGAGCGAGACCCTGTCTCAAAAAAAAAAAAAAAAAAAAAAATAGACAGCTCTCCTCACTCTCCTGACTCTTCTTTTCTCCAGGCTGCACATCCGCAATTTCTTCATCCATCTCAGGCAACATTGTCTCTCCTCTGAACAAACTCCACTTTATTCATGTCCCTCTCGCAGCCTCATTCCACGTGCAAAACAGGAAACCAATCAGCCAGAGGGAAATAGACCTCTTCCCACCCCCCATTCCAGTTATCTTTATTCTAACAATTACTGCAGTTATAACAAAATAATTGTCTTTCGGCCCGGCGCGGTGGCTCATGCCTGTAATCCCAGCACTTTGGGAGGCCGAGGCGGGCAGATTACCTGAGGTCAGGAGTTCGAGACCAGCATGACCAGCATGGTGAAACCCCGTCTCCACTAAAAATACAAAAATTAGCTGGGCGTGGTGGCAGGCACCTGTAATCCCAGCTACTTGGGAGGTTGAGGCAGGAGAATCGCTTGAACCTGGGAGGCAGAGGTTGCAGTGAGCTGAGATCGCGCCATTGCACCCCAGCCTCGGTGACAAGAGCGAGTCTTCATCTAAAAAATAAATAATTGTCTTTCTTGTGCTTTCTTGTACATTACCATCCCGCTATCCAATGGAAGCATCATGTGTCTCTGAGGGGGGATTAGGATTGTGATTTGGATTCATGCAAAGAGAACGAAAGAGTCACTGTGCAACTTCTGACGTCCAGTTTCAGATGTTTTAGCCCACAGTAAATAACGATCTTGGAATGTGCACTTTGTGTGAGAGAAGAGTGTCTTGTAGATTCCAGAACACCAAGCATGTTGGATTCAGAGCATGAGGTTTTCTTGAAGCCAGTGTGGAGAGGACAGAAAAAATGAGGGAGGAGACATTCTCAGCAGTCAGGAAGAGAAAGGCTGCCCCAATAGAGGAGAAGGAAAGAGAAAGGAGAACCAGTGAATAGTGGACACACCTCCTGGGATTAGAAACAGCCAGATGAGGGTGGAGAAATGCCAGGCCTCACTGCTCATCCTTGCTGCTCAGGCACGGACCAGGGCATTGCAAGCCCTGTTGGAGACACTCCATGTTCTATGTGGCATGACTTGGGCAGAAGGTTAAATATGATCACAGAAGATACCCAGGTGAGTGGACCAGGGGCTGCTTATGGAGCCACATGCTTTTATGACAAAAGCACCTGGGCAGCCCAAGAGAACTTGCAGAACACAGCATAGGAAAGGTGGGCTCTCATAACCAAATCCTGTGGCAGGGATCACAGACTTCAGTGGCAGGTGATAGCACAGTATCCAAAGTACCCAGATGGCACCAGCTGCTCTCTGGAGCACCTAATACTGGAATCGCAGGGGCCAGGGGAAGCCAGTGATCCTGAACGGAAACCAGCAAAAAGGCAGAGGACAGTAGAGAGACCACCTTCCCCCAGTGCCAGGAGGGCAGGTGGGCTTCCTTCTACCAAGACACATTCCAGGAAGAGAAAACGGGAGCAGGAAATACAGTGAAAAACTTAACACCCAAAGCAGACTGAGCTCACCCCAAAGAGCCCGCTCTAATCCAGGAGAGTCTGAGCCACCTCTAACAGGGAGGGTGTAGGTTTTATCCGTCTCTGCCATCAGTGGACTGCAGCCTTCCTAAGCCAGAAAAGGACATTTGAAGAAAGCTACATTTTCTTTACACATCTCGATTTGGTTTGGATGTGTGTCTCCTCCAAATCTCATGTTGAAATGTGATCCCCAATGTTGGAGGTGGGGCCTGGTGGGAGGTGTTTTGGTCATGGGGGCAAATTCCTCATGAATGCCTTGGTGCCCTCCCCATGGTAATGAGTGAGTTGTCACTCTGAGTTCACCTGACTTCCGGTTGTTTAAAGAGCCTGGCACCTCCTCCTCTCTCTCTCTCTCGCTCCCTTTCTCACGATGCAATGTGCCTGATCCCCCTTCACCTTTTGCCATGAGTGGAAGCTTCCTGAGGCCTCCCCAGAAGCAGATGTCATCACCATGCTTCCTGTACAGTCTGCAGAAATGTGAGCCAATTAAACCTCTTTTCCTTATAAATTACCCAGTCTCTGGTCAGGCATGGTGGTTCATGCTTGTAATCCCAGCACGTTGGGAGGCTGAGGCAGGAGGATCACTTGAACCCAGGAATTTGAGACTTGGGCAACATGGCGAAACCTTGTCTCTACAAAAAATTAGCCAGGCATAGTGCTGTGCACCTGTAGCCCCAGCTACTCAAGAGGCTGAAGTGGGAGGATCACCTGAGCCTGGGAGGTCTAGGCTGCACCGAGCTGTGATCGCACCACTGCACTCAAGCCTGGGTGACAGAGTGAGACCCTGTCTCAATCAATGAGTCAATGAATCAATCAGTAACCCAGCCTCAGGTATTTCTTTATAGCAACACAAAAATGGACTGACACGCATCTCAATTGCAGAGTGTAAACATCCCATCCACTACAGAGCCCAAGACTCAGCTGTGCAAATTGTCACTTATGGAAACTTCTATGAGCAGATCCAAGCAAATCTATCTTGAGCTGAACTTTTCCCAGTCCGCCAAAGATCAAAACAGTCATAGAATGCCCTCTCCCATATACTGGAGATCCCATGAGATTACCCAAGTAAGCCAACAGGAAGCCGAAAATGTGTGTTCTCACTTCTATGCAGATTGATCACTGTATTCGCAAACCCCACCATCATTACTCTCACTAGACAATGGCACAAGAACTCGGCAGAACCCATCAGGATCACGTTGTGGGGACCAGCATTTTAACTGGGTCTTGGCTTTGGGAAGGCTCTCAGGGAGAGGGTGTAGAATGTGGGGAAGGACTAGAGGGGCTTGGGGATTGTGGGGTTGGGATACAGTGGAAAGATGTGGTTGACAGCCTGGGTTTGGGTCCCAAATTGCTAAATGCAAAACCTTGGTTAATTTACTTTATCTTCCCAAGCTTCTCAATTTTTCTTATCTGTACAATATTTCATCATCATTATTGCTGTTCAAACCACCAGACATGTTCGACTGAACAGCAAGGGAAGCTTTGAAATGGAAACTAATATTAGCAACAAAGATTTCTATGGGAGTCTTACTATTTGCAAAATGTTTCCACGTATATTTTTTTCCTTAAAGCATTTTAGGCAGTGATTTTTCAAACTCTGCTCACTGAATCCCCAAAGTCCCTGGAGCCTCCCCGCGGGAGAGAGGACCAAGGTAGGGAAGGTGCTGGGATGTGCTGGACTCCCATCTCTCATTTTGATTTTAATCTGAATGATGGTATGAGTTTCACTGGTTTCACGTGCTCTTTTTTCATAGAATGGATTCCCGGCTTAAGACAAAAGAAGTTGGAAACTCACTGATTCCAAGAAAGTGGTGCAAGAAGGAAGGTGGTGACTGTTGTGGGCATGACAGCCTCCCCTCTTGCTCAGAATGGTTCACCCATCCTGCTCTTTCTTTCCCAGCTGCTTCTTGACTCCCTGGGTCACAGCTCAGCTACTAGAAACAATGTCCCATCCACCCCCTCCAAAGCCCAGAGTCCAGGGTCCTCACCCTAGTTCACCAAAACCCCAGACCCGCCCTCACTCGTGATGCTTAAGTCCTGTCATGACTCAGACAGGCATTGGAGAGATGATAAAATTCACAGTCCGAGGACATTCCGGAGACTTGCTGCCTTACTTCCAAAGGGCAATGATTGTCATTATGCTAACTGCTTTCCTGGTCAAAAAACATGTGTTTTTATTATTATTATTATTATTATTATTATTATACTTTAAGTTTTAGGGTACATGTGCACAATGTGCAGGTTTGTTACATATGTATACATGTGCCATGTTGGTGTGCTGCACCCATTAACTGGTCATTTAGCATTAGGTATATCTCCTAATGCTATCCCTCCCCCCTCCCCCCACCCCACAACAGTCCCTAGAGTGTAATGTTCCCCTTCCTGTGTCCATGTGTTCTCATTGTTCAATTCCTACCTATGAGTGAGAACATGCAGTGTTTGGTTTTTTTGTCCTTGTGATAGTTTGCTGAGAATGCTGGTTTCCAGTTTCATCCATGTCCCTACAAAGGACATGAACTCATCATTTTTTATGGCTGCATAGTATTCCATGGTGTATATGTGCCACATTTTCTTAATCCAGTGTCCTGTTGTTGGACATTTGGGTTGGTTCCAAGTCTTTGCTATTGTGAATAGTGCTGCAATAAACATACGTGTGCATGTGTCTTTATAGCAACATGATTTATAATCCTTTGGGTATATACCCAGTAATGGGATGGCTGGGTCAGATGGTATTTCTAGTTCTAGATCCCTGAGGAATCGCCACACTGACTTCCACAGAAAAACATGTGTTTTTAGAAAGCTTAATTCCTCTCCTTTCTCCAAAATGAGAATCAAGTTATAACTGTGGCCCAGCACCTTGAGAGCTTTCCCTGTTTTTATACTTCGTAGAATCCTTAATAATACAAAAATTGCCCAGAGCATTTCACACTGAGTTATGAAGTCATTAACATTTCTGGGATAAACACAGTACCCCAGGACAAGTTATTAGACATAGAGTAGTGGGGGGAAAATGAGATACATTGAAAAGGCTCCATGTCTAGCAACTAGAGACAGAAAAATTCACCTGTTTCTAGTTAAAGGCAGCAGAAACTTCTCTCCAAATCCCACATGCAGGCAGGGT
Source organism: Homo sapiens (assembly GCF_000001405.40). Taxonomy (NCBI): domain Eukaryota; kingdom Metazoa; phylum Chordata; class Mammalia; order Primates; family Hominidae; genus Homo; species Homo sapiens. The sequence goes on from NC_000001.11 coordinate 14,533,403, forward strand.
AGTCTTTTCTCAGCCAACCAACTTGGCATATTGGATATTGGTAGATTTTGAAGAATCAGCACCTTCCTGTCCCAAGGCCAGCAATCTTTCCAAACTCACGGCTCTGCATCTGCCTCAAGGTTCCCAGTATTTATGATTGTGTCGGCAACAGGATGGCTGTTCCCCCACATCACAGTCTAGCAGACCCATAATAAATTTTATCTGGCTGCACTGTTTGCTTTTAACTTAGCAGAGGGATCCATCCCGTTTGCTCCTTGCTTGCCCCCCACCCACCCCACATCTCCTGTGTCCACCTGTCCTTCACAATTTTGCTCAGGTGTCACGTGCTTCATGGAGATTTCCAGTCTACAATCCACAATTTCTCTCCTTTTGATAAATGACTCTGGTATATTTTACCGACATTTTTGTTGGGAGACTTAAGCAAACAGTACCTTGATTATTCTCTAATTCTTTGACCTGTCTGCTCACATACAAGAGTCAGGGTTATAGAAGGAATCTGAGGGATTATTATCCAAACTTGCAAAGAAACATCCTTGCCTCTCTGACTGCATCCCCAGCTAATAAAGATAGGCACTCATAAAGTTTATAAATGATCTCAAAAGTTCTATTTCTTTATGAGTTTTCCTTAGCCTAAACCGTCCTGGGGTTGAGTCCTGCTCAGTACCCAATGAAACCCTTTCTGAAAAGATGAGACCAAGGACGGAGGTGCATCCAGGCAAGAATAACCCCACTCTCCCATCCTGAATCTGCAGCAGACACTAAGGATTCACACAATGCCCTTTCCTTCTGAGGCTAGACTCAGCTTTGGAAAACTTCTCATTAAACTTCTCCAACAGGCCATTTCCAATTGCTGTTGACACATGAATAGAAACATATATTCCATGTCCAGGGCAGTCTGTGGGAAGCAATTCAACTCCAAATGCATGTGATTCTTGAAACATCCATTAAAGCTGTAGCACTGGCTGGGTGCAATGACTCACGCCTGTAATCCCAGCACTTTGGGAGGCCGAGGCAGGCAGATCGCCTGAGGTCAGGAGTTCAAGACCAGCCTGGCCAACATGGCGAAACCCCATCTCTACTAAAAATGCAAAAATTAGCCAGGCGTGGTGGCGGGTACCTGTCATTCCAGCTACTGGGGAGGCTGAGGCAGGAGAATCACTTGAACCCAGGAGGCGGAGGTTGCAGTGAGCCGAGATCGCACCACTGCACTCCAGCCTGGGAGCCAGAGCGAGACTCCATCTCAAAAAAATAAAAAATAAAATAAAAACTGTAGCACTGTTCAAGGCTCAAATTTTCACCTCTTAGGATATCCTCCCTCTGCCCCAGACACCAGGCTGTCTTTCCCAGGGTGAGTAGCCAGTGATAAGGGTTTTAGGCCACGGAATCTTTAGCAAGTCCCTGTGCAACTCAAAATCTCTGGTTCTATCAGCGTTTTGAAACTCATCTATGGAGAAGGCTGTGTTCTACCTTCTCCTCTGAGCCTGGCAGAGCCAGAGCTGACCTCACTCTCCTAAGCTCCACTGACCTCCACCTCCATTTCATACCAGCCATATCTTGAGACTCTCATCTTCATGCAACCCTACTCGTCAAACTAGATCTTGAGTTTGGGGCCTACCTCTTCTGATTCCAGCCCCTTTCTCCCTTCTTCAAGGAACAAACTCTTTGTCTTCCCTCTCTGGGACTTCCCATTGCTTGACTGGCCACCTAGTCCATTGTCTCCTCCTCAGAGTCCATGAATGTCCTGGGCTGCCTGAAGTCTAGAACTGACCTCTTCAGTATTTCTCTCACCAGCATTACAGGTTCTATTAGCCCTTTGGCCATTTGCTGTGACAATCCCCAACCCTGAGCCACCCCTATGCCCCTTCTCCTCCCTGTGACAAGACCTTATAAATAGGCTTGCATCTTACACTCATTGCCTGCAGCAAGAAACTGCAATATCAAATTCACCAAGTTATCATAATGCAAAGAAATACACTGGACTTGGCTGGGTGTGGTGGGCTCACGCCTGTAATCCCAGCACTTTGGGAGGCCAAGGCGGGTGGATCACAAGGTCAGGAGATTGAGACCATCCTGGCCAACATGGTGAAACCCCGTCTTTACTGAAAATACAAAACTTAGCTGGGCGTGGTGGCGCATGCCTGTAATCCCAGCTCCTCGGGAGGCTGAGGCAGGAGAATCGCTTGAACCAGGGAATAGGGGGTTGCAGTAAGCCAAGATCACACCACTGCACTCCAGCCTGGCCACAGAGTGAGACTCTGTCTCAAAAAAAAAAAATAAAAATAAAAAATAAATTTAAAAAAGAAACACACAGGACTGCAGCTTGCATGCCACGGAAAACTGACGGCTGCTCTTCCCTGTTCCACATGTCTGAAATGCTTCAGCCTGGACTTTAACCCTCCCTAATTTGTCTATCACAATGTCAACAGTGATCATCTGTGGCCATACAGAACTCAAACATCAACTGAAAATAAGGAGAGCTGGTTTTCCCATTGTGGGACCAAATCAGGAACCCAGATCACCAGGGCAACTTGTTGAAAATAGAATAGCCTATAAATATGTGTTCAATGGAATGACCAAAAGCTCTCTGGGGCAGCCAAAGCAATCTCTTAATTAACTTGAACTAGGACTCCCTAATTACTGGAGCAGGCTAGAGAAGGCATCAGCTGTACAGGGCCTCTCCAGTTGGCTTGGGTAACATGCAGGCTAGAGCATGGTCAACCCAATCCGGGCATGAGTCACAAATAATTTGTTATTAGTAATGACCAAGGGTTCAACACTGAGTAACGACTTCTGGTCTTCCTGGTTTAAATCATTTGGAATGGATTTGAGGTAATCCATACCAAATGTCCTCTGACTCTCATTTCCCTACGTTTTTATGAGTGGGGAAAGAAGGGGTCTGCCCGTGCAAGACAGCTGCTCATGTGAATGTCCCTCACCACATGTGTCTGGGGAGAGTGGATGAGGTCCTGGAGGCTCTGGTACTATTTTGATTTTTCAGATCTGTGATCCACTCTTTGAGAAGAGACTAATAGTTGTCAGATGTGTATGCCTTCCAGCAAGGTTCCACTGGAGTCACAGGTGGTGGCTGTTGACATTGGGATAGGCAGGTTGAGGAGTGTTAAAGCTCAGGGCTGAGACAGCTCAGAAATGAAAAACAGGGAAGAACATCAATTGGCCCTCCACAAAAAGTTGAAGTCGGCTGCGTGTGGTGGCTCACGCCTGTAATCCCAACACTTTGGGAGGCTGAGGTGGGTGGACAACCTGAGGTCAGGAGTTCAAGACCAGCCTGGTCAACATGGCGAAACCCTGTCTCTACTAAAAATACAAAAATTACCCAGACATGGTGGTGCATGCCTGTAGTCCCAGCTACTTCGGAGGCTGAGGCAGGAGAATCACTTGAACCCGGGAGGCGGATGTTGCAGTGAGCCGAGATCACGCCATTGCACTCCAGCCTGGGTGACACAAGCGAAACTCCGTCTCAAAAAAAAAAAAGTTGAAGTCGGCCACTCTGGTTTCTTTCTCCCTCTTTGGTTCTCTCTTCCTTCCAGTCTCTGGCATCTCCTGGTACAATAGATGTTCACTAGACTGTGAGCTCTGAGACAGTAGAGATGGCACCTGACTTGTTCTGTGTCATAGTCCAGCACTAGCGTGGTGTCTTGCATCCAGAAGGTACTCAGTAAATATTTGTTGAGTGAACATTTTTCTTATGCTGATGGATAAATATCCACAAACCTCCAGTTTACACTCCAAATAACCGTCCACAGAGCCTGAATTTTGAGACAGTTCCTAAATCAAGATGTTTCCAATTCTCTCCAAACATCAGGGAGCCATACTCCTTCAGGACCCTGCTGAACCCATGCAGGCTACCACTATCCAGCAAAACGTTGAGCAATGATGGAAACGTTCTACATCTGCCCTGTCCAATACTGTAGCCACTACCTTCATGCCACTCTTGAGCATGTGAAACATGGCAATGTGACTGGGGAAATGAATGCTGAATTTTATTTCATTTTAATTTTTACAACTTTAAATTTAAATGCATTGCCATCACGGCTAGTGGGTATGATCTTGGACAGCACAGACTTAGTCTGATGGGCACTAACCAGCTGTTTCCTAACCCATCAGGGAATCTGGCTTCCAATTTGATCCCTGCCACTCATTCTCAGTAGCCTGAGTGTGGTCATTTGAATTTCCAAGCCTCAGTTCCTACAGTTCCTGAAATGAGGATGATTATATTGCCTGTTCCCCCTACCTCGCCAGGTTGGTGGGAAGATCCTATAAGATGCTGAAAATGCTTTGGAAAGTTGGAAGAGCTGTTTGGATCTCAGTTATCAGTTTCCCCATCCTTCCCAGTTCTTGTATTCACATTTTCACCCTTGTCTCATGATAGCACAAGGCTTAACTTCAAGGAGCAATAGAGGGAAGATGAGTATCTAGCCCCCTGGTAACCTGATGGAGGCCATGCCCTCATGTTCAAGCCTTTTTTGGTTGAAAGTAATGAAAACTCATGCAAACAAGCACAAATAATAAATAATAAATGGGGGTTATTATGCAGAAAGAGACATCTGGGAAATCCAAGGGCAGGCATCTTTGGGTGGGGACAAAGGTAGATTTGAAGTCCATTTGGATCACATTGAACCCTCTGCTATGCGACTTATTCATTGATGACCGGCCAAGGACCTGAGGCATCTGAACTTAGATCTTGATTTACACCCACTGCATCAAAGATATGTATCTGAGAACAATATATGGAGCAAGAAATGACAATTTTCCATCTAGACACAACTGTCTGATTACTATATTAGACAAATTACTTTTCTGTGTGCCTTGCTTCAGTTTGTTTTTCTGAAAATGGGTATGACAAAACATATCATGAAATTGTATGTTTTTCTGAAAATGGGTATGATAAAACATCTCACTAGAGGGAGTGTGTGATAGAAGAAGAATATATTAGAATGTCATCTATTTTTGTGCTATAACAACATACCCAAGACTGGGTAATTTATAAAGAATAGAAATGTATTTTCTTACAGTTGTGGAGGCTGGAAAGTCCAAGATCAAGACGCTGGCAGGTTTGGTGGCCTAGCCAGAGCTGCATTCTCCGAGGGGAGAAATGCTGTCCTCACATGGTGGAAGGTGAGAAGGACAGCCTCTTTCATAAAAGCCTTAATCCCAACCATAAGGGAGGAGCCCTATTGGCCTAACCACCTCTTAAAGACCCCTCCTCTTAATGCTGTCATCTTGGCAACACGTAAATTATGGAGAAGACACATTGAAAACATAGCAGAGGCCCTGATGCGCCAAGCAGCTGAAATGATTTTATAAGGCTACAGGAAAGAAAAGTTCTCATTTTTTTCAAAGATATTCATCAGTAAACTGATCACTTTTGAAATTAGTCCTCCTTCTTACTTAACACCAGAATGATAGCCCAGATATTTACCATCCAGTATAACACAGCATCCACCACCATTCACAGGGACTCTTTCTACATGGAATGGGGTCCTGGGTGCCCCTTGCTGGCCAGGAATTTACCCTTTAGTTGCTCCATTAGGGGAGGCGAGTGGATGGGGAGGAGGTCCTCGGCACAGTTATTCACTAAAACTTAGAGCGTTATTTTACTATTTTAACAAGGGAAGGACTATACCAGTGCATATGGATTGAAAAGCAACCTGGCTTAAAGCATTAAGTCCCATTCCTCTATTTCCCCCAAAATGAAACTACAACATTTTACTGTCACCCTCTTGCTAAGGGGAATTGCAAATATTGCAACTGATATATGATTTCATAAAGTCAATGAAAGTGATGTAGAAGAATTACATAAGTCCCATTCCCGGCAATACACTGACAAAGGATATGGTAGAATTTGACCAGTCGTTATTGACAAAGATGTTGATAAGAAATATGCTTCAAATGAGAATGACTGCAAAATGTAATGTTGTATCCTCGACTGGATCCTGGAGCAATATAAGGACATTTTTGGAAGAACTGATGAAATCTAAATAAAGTCAGTAGACTTGAGTTAGTAGTAATGTACCAATGTGAATTTCTTAGTTTTGACAAATGTACCATGGTTCTGTGAGATACTAACATTGGGGGAGACTGGGTGAAGGGGTCTATGGAATTCTGCGTCCTCTCTCTGCAACTTTTCTGTAACTCTAAAATTGTTCTAAAGAGAATGATTGAATATCAAAGAATTAAGAGACGACTTTAGAGTGGTTCATAAGACCCCTAGATATTTTTGTAAAACTTGGCTTCCTTCATGATATTGCAGTGTGTATCCAATGTGAAATGAAGAATGAGTATGTTCTAGTTTGATGAAAAAAAAAACGCCAGACGTTTTTAGGCCCTGACTTGATTCATTTTCTGTTATCTCCAAGAATTAGTGCCTATTTGCCATCAGAACCTAAATTTTGTTAAATGTAAGATAACAAATTAACTTTCATAATTTTTAGCTTCATTTTTCAAGGGAAAGTCACCATCCCAATTAAGTGAATGCACTTAAAGTCATCTTTTCCTGATCTCAATGACATGTGAATAACTGGCTATGTAGACTCCCGCCATCCCCATCCCATTGTGTATAAACTCGCTCACCATCCCCAGCTTTCTAAGTAGAATTCTCTGTATTACTAGGGGAGAGAGGGATGTGAAAAGTCCAAAGGAGACGAAATTGCTTTACATAATAAAGGAACTGACAGCCCCTGGAAGTGCTGCTAAGTGAAATATGATGTCACTTCACTTTATCATCCCCAAGAGACTTTCAGGGAAATCAACGTTTCGCATCAGTGCTTTGGAGGAGGAGTTGGTTTTGCTTTGAGTTTTTATGAGACCATACGGTGACACTGGCCTTCAAGCCAAATGCCAGAGTGGTCACTTAAATGTTGAATACCCCTGCAGTTGGTAATTCCTGAGCCCCTTCCTCTCTTAGGTGAGCCTGCAAGGAAAATGGGGCAGACATTATCACCCTGTTTTGTGAAGGTGAAACTGAGGCCCCGCGGGGTTAAGCAGGCTGCCTCCCTTGTTTATGGACTGTAAACACAAATGCCTTCGTAGCCAGGGAGAGAGCTCTCAGGCTGAGTGATGCAACCATGGTGAACAAGAAAAGATATGCCCCATCCAAAGGGTGTTGTCACACAGAAAGTGTGTCCAGTGCAGCCCACTCTTCTGATTTTTCAAAAGAGGCCAGGACTCTGGATTTTTAGATCATACTGCCCCATGACTCTTTGTTCTGTTTTGTTTTTAACATAAAAAAGAGTTACCAAGTAAGCCAAGTCTGTGGTCTATATACTTCCATGGGATGCCACTTTGCAATTTCTGGATGGGGAAAATATTAAAACTTAGGTTAAGCATGCAGAGGTTCCTGACACGTTGGAAAATAAATTTGCTTTGTCCTAATATGAGTGATCTCTACCTTGTCCTCTACATGTTAGTAAATTCTGGGTCACCATGTATTTATATATCCATAAATGCATGCATATCTCCATAGAGAGAGATTCTAGCTCCCAGCTGGGTTTTTCAGTCCTGTCCCTTCTTCATTCTTTAAAGCTGCATAAATAATTAGATGAACAAGGACAGGAGCTCTAGGTAGAGATCAAATGCAAATTCTTTACAAGAACTTGCACAGTTTCTAAGGAGTGGGCAACAGACCCCGGCACAAATATTTACCCCCCTACTCAAGTGTATAAGCTAATTATCTTTTTCAAAGAAAGTATTCAAGTGTAGCTCTCCCAAGATCCTGCTACTTCCAAGAGTTCTTGAGTTTTCTGTCAACCGATCTCACGGAAATGTTAACCATTTATCCTACGCTTCAACTTCCCCCAAGGACGAAGGAAATAGCTGCAAATTAGCCAGTTTTTTGAGCTAGCAATGGCAAAGGCAAAATAGATACCCAATGTAATTTATGGGACAGACCAATGAAAAGGAAACATTTCTATGACGGTGATTTGTGGATATACAATAAGTTCTTTCCTGGGGCATGTGAATATGTGTTCTTCCCATTTTTATTAAGAAAAACACTGAGGTCAAGGCAAGTTCAGTCCCAAACAGTGAAGGTGAATCTTGAGCTTGCATTTTCCAGAGAGGCAGTGTGGAAAGGCACCCGGGGCCAGGACATTAACCCAGAATTCACTGATAAGCCAGGTAGCCTTGAGTAAATTGCTCAACCCTTCGTGCTTCCTCTAAAACTGGCCAAGCGTTAGGAGAATAAATGAGATTTGCTCTGGGGAGGGCTTTCGGCATTTCAGAAGATCTGGTGCCCATCTGGGGCAAAGCTTCGTTGCTATCTGAGGCTAAAGTCTCACTACTCTTACAAGTGTTTCTGTCTGTTCCAGCCCCTGAGTTATGGGTTCTAATCTCTCTTCATCCTCAAGTTTCAACTCCACAAGAAAAAGACATTTGTTTTCCTTTCCTTGGGCTGAATGGTTAGATAACTCCTCGGTCTCATCTTTAAAGGCGGCCTTCTATGTCACATTGAGGTGTTTCATCTGATGATCGGGAGCAGCCAGTGGAAACGTCCACTTACTCGCCTTGACAGCCCACAAATCGGACTTCAGGGCAGAGGCCTGTTGAGGCGATTGTCAGCCTCTCTGATACAGCATAGAACATTTCCTCCAAAAAGCAGAGTTTGACAAATGGGCCTGGCTTACGTGACCTTATGCTAGAAACCAGTGACTCCACAGTCTGTGTCTCAGGGGTATCCTCTCAACCCACAGGCTCATTTGCTCACGTAAGACCTGTGAATTCATTGGTGCTCACAAATACGAAGTCCACCAAAAAGAACTAGGGTATAACAAGGACAAAAAACCAAACACCGCATGTTCTCACTCATAGGTGGGAATTGAACAATGAGAACACATGGACACAGGAAGGGGAACATCACACACCGGGGACTGTTGTGGGGTGGGGGGAGGGGGGAGGGATAGCATTAGGAGATATACCTAATGCTAAATGACCAGTTAATGGGTGCAGCACACCAACATGGCACATGTATACATATGTAACAAACCTGCACGTTGAGCACATGTACCCTAAAACTTAAAGTGTAATAATAAAAAAAAAGAACTAGGGTATAACAACTACAAATATTTATACATATACTTCAGATTTTAAGGACCCAGAAAATCAAACATAGATGAAGCTATTTTTCTGTTTGTTTTAAATTTCAAATTGTCATTTAGATACAGGAAGTACATGGGCAGATTTGTTACATGGGAATATTGTGTGATGCTGAGGTTTGGAGTGCAGATCCCGTCACCCTGGTAGTGAGCATAGTATCGGATAGGTAGCTTTCACCCTCCCTACTCTCTACTAGTCCACAGTATCTATTGTTCCCATAGTATGTCCATGTGTGCTCAGTGTGAAGCTATTTGTCTTTACCTCCTGCTCAACTTCAGTGTCGACTCACCCCGGGCAAGCGGGGGAACAGCAAAGTGACATGTTGCTTAAGGTCATAGTCATCACACTGCACGACTCTAATGGGAGCTGCTCACATTGTCTGGAGTGGTGCTTTGCTCAGCCTGCCCAGCCAGAAGTGGCAGCCCTGCTCTTGGGTATGGAAAAGATGGAAGGAATGGGAAAGGAAAATAGCATTGGGTTGGGGGGGTGGGGTACCTACTTGCAGGGTGTTTTCACATGTTATTGGCTGGCCAATAGCAGGATGAGAAACACAGGCTCCTAACTAGCTGGGTCACCGTGGACATATCTTTATTTTTCTAAGCCTGAGTTACTCACCTTTAATTGGGCTATATGACCTGTGTCATAATGTACTTTAAAAATGCTTTATCACAAACAATGTGACTCAACATATAATCTACATCCTAGGGGCAGTGGCACGAACATAAGTGTTCAAGATACGTGGTTGGCTGGAGATATTGAAGGGAACTACCACCCTTGCATTAATAAGTTGCATGAAGTTGGCCTGCCCTCTAACACAGTCCCTTGCAGAACAATGCCCCAAGCTTCACTGGTCTTCTAGCTCTGCTCTGGGAGATGCTTGCCTCCAAATCTGTGAACTGTGAAGTTGGCTGGTCCTGGAGTGTGCCAATCATGCCAGGGACACATTGGAGAGCTAGAAGACAGAGTGCAGCAATGCCTGTCCATCCCATGCATTGAGTGACTCATCGGTACCTTTAGAAATTTATATCAGCTCATTAAAAGGTGACCTTCTTCAGATGGAGGGGTCCCTTTAAAGTTTAATAGCACCCCTTTTCTGTTTTGCTACAGAAGTTGCTTCATACTTGCTGCAGTGATTCAGCAGGAAGCAAATCACAAGATTATGAGTCTTGTGCAATAGTTATTTCCATCCTAATGTGAGAACCATCCATTTTTGCAGCGTCGGGTCATTGGAGACCACCGTATTATGAGTATTTCACACATTAGAAATTGGCAAACAGCAAGTTACATACATTAGCGCTGCTCCTGTAAGCAAATAAATCAAATAAGGAATAAGATTATTAGATGACCAATTAAATGAAAGGACTACCCAGGCATTGTTAGTAAGACAATTAATTGTAGGTTTCTACTCATCTTCATACACTTTGTTGCCTATTAAGACAATGAATGGATTCTCTAAGATTGTGTCTAAACACATGTTTAATAAGATAGCAAAGAATCATTATTTTTATGACTTCGTGAAATGCATATTTTTTCCAACCAATTTTGAATCAGGCTTTTCAAAGTTTAGGGGAAGGGAGTGCAAAACCTTTCACAAAGCACCAATTGAAATCAGAAATTTAAAGAAAAATCTCATTATAAAAAGAATCACTTGGGTAAATTAATACCCAAATCTTCCTTTAATTTGGAAAATGCCTTGAATAGAGATTTCTGAGTTGGGGGATTTTTTTTTCTAGATTTTCTCAAGGGATCTCAAATTCTAAGAACTGACATGCAGACAAACCACAAATTACCACTTTGAGATTTGGGGTTTTTTTTTTTCTTTTTCTTTCTTTCTTTCTTTTTTTTTTTTTTTTTTTGGTCTTTTAAAGAATCTTCTCAAAAATGTGAAAAAGTGGGCTCCTTTAATCCCAAATGACTAAGAATATGGGAGGGGAGGATCAGAATGTATAAAGACCATAAAGATATGCAAAGGAGAAACATAGACTTCTTATGAAATTCAAAAGTGCTAATGTCTCCCTTCGTGCCTGGGAACTTAAAAGAGACTCTTTTAGGATCAGTTAAAGGAGGCCCTATTTTAAACAACTTTTCTTTGTGCCAGAGGTGGTATGGGCTAAAAACGCAACTAGCTTCAGAAAGGGTTTAGATAAATCCCTGGGAATGTATTTATGCCACATTATTAAGGGAAACTAAGGATGCTCAGAAGACATCCCTTGGCTTCTTTATTTAAAAAAAAAAAAAAAAAGATTGGGTCTCACTATGTTACCCAGGCTGTTCTCAAACTCCTGGGCTTGAGTGATCCTCCTGCCTCTGCCTCCCAAAGTGCTGGGATTATAGGTGTAAGCCACCTCGCCTGGCCCCCTTGGCTTCTGATGCCCAGCCCAGCCTTCTTGGACCCCCAGGCCATTCAAAGTGCCCAGCCCTGTGCTCTGTGAGTCTCCCTCCCACCACACAGAGCACATTCTTCTACTCATCCATCTCCCACACTCGGGTGTATGCAGGAGTGGTGTCACCTAAACCTGGCAAAGGGCCATACAATAAACTTGGAACCAAACTAAACATTGATATCAGACATTTTCCCCCACAAAATGCTCTAAGATCTTCCTTATAATCTTATTTCTCTTCAAAGCTGCTCCCTAGAAAGAAGCTCAAGATGTTCCTCCTGGGGCAGAGCAGCTCCCCAACCATTCTTTTGTCTGGATCATGTCAATTTCCACGGTGTTACTGACTTTATTAACTTGATGCCTTTGTCACAGAGGTAGCCAGGAGGTGGTCAAAGGTTGGTTTTAAAGAATGTCCTTTCTTCTCCTCCATGTGCAACACCCACCACTTTTCCAAACAGTCTATAGAGTGCTGTGGTTTTAATTGCAAGCTCTGGAGACAGATTGTCTGAGTTGGAATCCTAGCTCCACCACATGCCCGCTCCATGACCTTGGGACAGTTATTTAATGTCTCTGTACCCACAATACTTCATCAGTAAAAGGAGGATAATTATAGTGTCCTTTCTACAAGATTGTCATAAGGTCCTCCAAATGAGATGACCCATATGGAGTGTTTAGTGTATTACCTGGCCTCTGGTAAGAGCTTAATAAGCATGTATCTGTCCGTATAGGCTAGGATATGCTGCAGTAACAAAAGAGCCGAGATCTCAGTGGCTTAAAAAAACAAAGTTGTATTGTTCATCCATGCTACATGCTCGTCCAGGTAGACAGGGGTCTCTGTTCATCAAAGTCACTCAGGAAACTCAGATAAAGGAGCATCCACCTATAAGTCAAGTCAGAGGCAGGGAAAGAGAAAGTGGTGAGTCACACTGGCTTTTAAATATCCCACCAGAAGTTATACATGTTACTTTAGCTCATATTTCATTGACCAAAGCAAGTTGCCAGATAGCCCCACTTAGCCCCACTGAGACAGGGAAGTATGATCCTACCATGTCCCTACCATGATCCTCCCATGTCCCAAGTTAGGAGAACCAGAAATATTTGGTGAATAAGATTACTGACCACCACCAGAGCTACTTGATATCATGATGGTGGATCTTACATGATGTACCTTCAGGGTTTCACAAGCATAAATGTAAAATGCCAACGATGTGAAAAAGGGTAGGTTCCTGTGATTGAAATCAGTTCTCTACCCTACCCCAGCATAGACTGCAGCAAAGCATATTTTCTCTGCCTACCACAATTATTCTTTCCAACTACGATATTCTCTTATAATACACACTGTCAATAGCCAATCATTTCTGAGCAAGCTTAATGCAACATTTCAGTCGGGTTGTATGACAGATGGAGAGAAAAGCTTCCAGAGAGAAAATGGAAACAAATTTCTCTCTTTTTCTTCCAAAGCTTAAGAAACAACCATATAGTACTTAAGAAAAATAACCCCCAAGTCCTCAGTCCTGTCAACTAGTTTAATGTGAGGGCCTTTTTTTTTCCATCCTTTATGGGGGTGAGAGGTGCCAGAAGAAGAGAAGAGCCTTTCCCCAGTTCTAAATTGTTTCCTAAATGTTTCTCGGTGATTTACGTAGTAAATAACTAAAACACACAAGGAAGCTGGCAACTTCTCATTTGATCTTTCCTGCAGAGAAAACGAAAAGGAAAGACTGCTTGGAAGACTTCAGAGGCCACTAAACTGCTTTCTATTGATTTTATACTAAGACACTTTATCACTCTTGTTGCTTTAAAAAGAAATGCAATCTGTGTCAGGGTCTAAATAGACTTTCCTAGGAAAATCAGACCCCATACTCCTACATGAACAGATGTGAAGGATGTTTATCAGCTGTGGCAAATCAACTTTGGGGAATTTTTTTTAAAGAAGCATCTTTCTTGCTGTAACATCCCAGTCCTTGAAAACATTGTAACTGAAGTCTTACTTCCTGAGATTAAACTTTCCTGGATCTGGAGTTCACCTTAAAAAGCATCTTGTCCAGTCCCCTTCCTGTGCACCTGGGAAAACAAGGCTGAGAGATGTCGGGAACTCACATATATTTACTGAGTGAGCTGGGGACAGAATCCAAGCTTAAATCAACTCTATGGCTCCCAGTCAGAGAATTACAGAATCTCAGAATTGGCATAAATTTTAAACCCCAGGTGTCTTTTCCTGCATCAGCCTCTTCCCCTGTGAACCAAAATGTCAATAGGTCTCTCCCAATGTTACCAAAGGGAAGAATAGAATGACATTTTTTTTTCCTTGACCTTCTCAATGCAAGCTACCTTTGGCCTATGTCCTGCCTATATTTGGAATACCATTTCTCCCATTTTAAGAAATTCAATAAATAGAAATGCTAACTTATAAAACTAGTAAATTACAGAGTTTTTTACTTTATGAAACAGTTCTATACAAGGTAAGGCCTGAATTCTAGTCTTGACTTTGTCATTAACTGACTATGTGTTCATAAAAAACTGAATTCATCATTCCTGGTCTGAGTTTCTCCACCTATTCAATGGAGGGGTTGGAACAGATCGTTTTCAAAACTCCTTTAGACTGGAAATCATTTGTAAATTGACGACATGAATCAAAACAAGGTTCCCTGATGTATTTTTTAGTGTTAAGGTTTTTAAAATTTATTTTAAAATAACGCTGTTGTTGTTGTTACAGAGTCTCGCTCTGTCGCCCAGGCTGGAGTGCAGTGATGCAGTCTCGGCTCACTGCAAGCTCCGCATCCCGGGTTCACGCCATTCTCCTGCCTCAGCCTCCCAAGTAGCTGGAACTACAGGTGCCCACCACCACGCCCTGCTAATTTTTTGTTTTTTGTATTTTTAGTAGAGACAGGGTTTCACCATGTCGACCAGGATGGTCTCGATCTCCTGACCTTGCGATCTGCCCGCCTCAGCCTCCCAAAGTGCTGGGATAACTCATATTTACAAAAATGAACAAAGAATACCACAAGGACAATCCATGCAACCACTACCAAAGTTAGGATCTAAAACAGTGGTGTCCAATATTTTGGATTCCCTGGGCCACACTGGAAGAAGAAGAATTGTCTTGGGCCACACATAAAATACACTAATGATAGGTGATGAGCTAAAAAAAAAAAAAAAAAATTGCAAATTGCAAAAAAAGATTTCATAATGTTTTAAGAAAGTTTACGAAATTGTATTGGGCCGCATTCAAAGCCACCCTGGGCTGCATGTGGCCTGCAGGCCACCGATTTGTACAAGCTTTTTCAATGCTTTTCCTCTTCGTGCATTTTTTTTTTTTTTTTTTGAGACAGAGTCTTGCTCTGTCCCCCAGACTGGAGTGCAGTGGTGCGATCTCGGCTCACTGCAACCACTGCCTCCTGGGTTCAGGCGATTCTCCTGCCTCAGCCTCCCAAGTAGCTGGGACTACAGGCGCCCACCACCATGCCTGGCTAATTTTTATATTTTTAGTAGAGACAGGCTTTTGCCATCTTGCCCAGGCAGGTCTCGAACCCCTGACATCAGGTGATCCGCCCACCTCTGCCTCCAAAAGTGCTGCGATTACAGGCGTGAGCTACCGTGCCCAGCCTCCACGCATTTCTTTATCATTTCGCCATATATGTTTACTTCTCTAAACAATATATAATTCTATTTTACATATCTTGAATATATAAGCAGAATAATATTGTATGTTTCCTTCTGTGACTTGTTTCTAAGCTCAATATTCTATTCCAGAACCCATCCTTTTGAGCACGTTGGCTGCAGTTCATTCATTCTCACTATTATAGATTATTTCACTGGATGAATACACCAAGTTTACTTATATTCTCTTGCTGAGAATATTCTCTTTTCACCATTAAAACAGTCCTGCTGTGAACATTCTTTCGTTGTCTGCAGTACACATGTGAGGGATCTCTAGGGCATTACACAGGCACGGAATTGTTGGGTGTTAAGATATTAGCTCCTTTTATCTCTATGCTATTGATGTTTTCCATCCATGAACATGATCCATCTCTCCACTGAAGTCTAATTTTATGTTTTGGAATAATTTTATAATTTTATCCATAACCGGCTTGCATATATTTTACTTAGTTTATTCCTAGACACTTCAGTGTTTCTGTTGCTATCCTAAACAGTTGCCTGTCTATAGGAAGGCAGTTGATTTTGGTATACTGATCTTATAAAAGAGCGTACATGCTGATTTCACTTATTAATTCTAATAATTTTTCGGTAGAGTCTTTGAAGTTTTCTGTGTAGATAATCATATTATCATGTTGTTTTAGTTTCTGTCTTTCTTGCACCTTGGGTCTGACAACACCAGCTGCCTAGCCATTATCGATGCCCCTCCTTTCTCCTTCACAGAATCCAGAATTCTATCCTCTGTACTGTGCCCAGCTAAAAATACTCAACCCACAGTCTCCCTGCAGCTGGGAGAGGACAGATGCATAGGAAACAGTCCTGGCCAATGGAATCTAGGTTTAAGTCTTCAGAGAGGAAGTCCCTTCCCAAATAAAAGACCAAACTTTGTGAGAAGAAAACTTCTGGGCCCCCCCTTATCCATACCTGTGGCCCAGACACAGGATGGTATTGGCCAGAGATTACTTTGTGTTCATGTCTCATCCTGAGGTTTCCAGGACCAACATGGGTAATGGACCCAAACTTACGAACAGATACACTGTGGTTAGGAGTTCTCCAGGCAACCCCTTTTTTTTTTTTTTTATTCAGGACAAGGAACTTGCTACTTTCCTTGGACAATAGGTAATCCACCCCCACCCCCACCTCCGCCCCCTGCCATGATTTGCAACTCTTCCAGAATCCTGGCTTTGGGCAGTGGCCTCAGTTCGGTCTTCCCACCAGCGACAGGCACAAGGCCTGTATCCTGTCTCCACTAAAAACCATGCCTCTTGGATGCTATGATTGCCAACTTCCTCAGCAGCCATGGCTTTAGCCCCCATTCACCACTCTGGTTTTCTCTTTCTTTATTTTTGGTCCCTGGAGATTTCCCTTACTTTTTTGCAAGTTCAGTGAAGCATCTGAGAGGATGTTTGGTATATATTGTCCAACATTTCTAGATGTTTTGTAGTGGAAAGATTTTCAGATTCAAAATGAGGGTCCCTTCTGCAATTAATTTAGTTTCTGGTTCCGTTGACAACATTCCCAGGTACGCACACCTGTTGTGGAGCACATCTGTTGGCTAGAGGGAGCCACTCTCATTCAACACATGTTTACTTAGACTTCTCTGTGCCAGGCACTGCCTAGGATCTGGGGATACAGAGGTGAAAAAGGAAAACCAGTTCTCTACACTCATGAAATTTACATTTAATGGGAAGGCACACAATAAACAAGAAAACAAACAAGATTTCAGAGAGGTGGAAAAGCTAGAAAGAAAATGAAACACAGTAATGCAAAAGAGAATGGAACGGGGGAAAAAAAATTAGCCAAAGGTAATCAAGAGATTTGACCTGACAGCTGCAGGTTCAGAAGGCAGCCAGGCAGAGATCTGGGTGAAAAGGTTCCAGGTGAGAGATCAGCAAATGCAGGCTGGAAAAATATTGGCATGCTTCTGCAAGGTCAGTGTGGCTAGAGTGGAGGGAATGAGTGAATCTGTTTCTTAAATTTTCTATTATTTTCTTTCTTCCCAGGGTGCCAGAGCCAACAGTGGGCACAATTTACTCTTCCTGCTCAAAGGAGTGTCACTTTAGGCTAGGGAAATTTTGGATTTTTTTTTAACGAATAAGTTAATTAGCAGCAGACAAAACCTAAACAATCTAAGTTCCCTGCCTCTCTCCTCTTTTCTCTCTCTCTCTCTCTCTCTCTCTCTCTCTCTCTCCCCCACCCCGCCACCCCCTCTCCCCTTCCCCCTACTCCTGCTTATCCAGGCACAACCCTCAGGATCAGACTGAAATTCTTCAGTCAGGCCAACCCCCAAACCAAGGGGACAGTCCTCCCTTCCCATACCCAATTCCCTTGAACAGTGAACCACCCCCATCCCCAGCTCTCTCCCCAGACAACTCTTCTCCCCGGCAGTCTCCCCTCAATCCTTGTAAAGCATTCTCTCCTCCCCTATCCCGGCTACTTTGTTCACACTTTTCTGCTCCCCAGAAATATTACTTTATCCAGCAAATGGCCTGGTTAGAAATTGAAATGCAAATAGCTATACATGAATCAGAATAGTCATTATGTTACATATACTACAAATACGCAAACGTGAGGCCCCATAGATCGCAACCCCTCAGCCCTACTGGCCCTTGGCAGTCAACTTCAGACACACTGCCCCAACAGTATTCACTAAACCCACCTCTGCACCGACTCATATGGATAGATTTCACCTGCGCTGCTAATTAGGGTGGGAGGCCACTGATCACAGGGAAAATTATTCGCCTTTCCTCTTCCTTGCTATGAGGAGCAGTTACTGATGTAGGGCTCCCCTCGTATGATAAAACTTTGCACAGCTCTCTAGAATGGGAAGAACCAAATTAAACCCCTGTAGAGAATTTGGGACATCTCTATTTACGCAGCTAGGCTCGGGACAAATCTAATATTCTGTAAAGATGCTAAGCTCTGTGCAATTTGTGTGCACACCGGGCCTGGTACAAAAGCACTCAATAAATATCTGTTGGCTGGTTGGTTACAAATAACAAAGCACCACTATATCAACTGTGTACTCATGTTATCTGCTCCACGTGTTCGTTCCTTTCTAGGTCAAGGCCTCCCATATGTTAATAGCGACCTGGCTTGAGATATTGGTGAGTTAGTGGGTGGAGGGAGCGAGGTGAAGCGATTCACAGATTTGAGACATCTAAGCCTCCCAACCTGGTCCCCATGCTCAAACCCCAGCAGAAACAGCAAAGCCCTTCACTAGTGATGTTGAACCACAGAGTGGGCAATTACCAAAGGAAGGTAGTATCGGTATAATCCACAGGGGAATTAGGAAAAGAATTAATGGCTACCTAGAATCCTTCTCACCCCTCCTTGGCCCCGTGGGATGAAAAAGCAGCCTGATGTCATGTACTCTTCTCTACTCATTACCGTCAGAGATCATTAAAGTCTCTCTCTCTTCTTTTTATTTCTTTCTTTCTTTTTCTTCCTTTCTTTCTTTTTTTCTTAATGCTATCAATATGTCTGAGTGCCCTTGACCAAGATTTCTAGGAGTTGGTTCAAAGCTGAGATCTTAATTCTTCCTTTGGTGCCCCTAAAATATAATTTACCCCTTTAGCCTAGAAATAGTTTAAAGTATAGATGGCTGAATGCTTCCAGCCCAAGAAGCAGAGCAGGGTTTCTGAGAACGGGCAGCATCTCTCCCTTTGCCACCATCCTCCTGCCCCCTATTAATGTATCCTGGGAAGGAAGAGATCTTGAGCGGTTCATTTCTGTTACAGAAAGATCCGGCTAGCAGAGCCTCCCTGCAGCTTACCAGGCTCCACGGAGAGCGGCCCAGGCAGGAGGGCTGGGAGCCGCCTGCAGGGAGGAGGGCAGCTGCCTCCCAGGCCCAGATCCCCACCCTCCGTACCACGGCTCCCCTTCCGGCAACCGGCAGTCTGATTCCAACTGCAGAGTGTGCCAACCTGAAGCTGCAACTTGGCGGTTGCCAGGGAAACTGCTCCCTGTATTTTCTGGTGGAAACTCAGAATTGGTGTGTAGCAGCTGGGTCTTGGGGAGCTTGTGCTATGTTCAAAGGAGAAGGGGTTCTCTCCTCCCATCACAAAAGCTGGAGGAGACCCCCATGAATGCCTCCATGCAAGTCTGGGCATGAGCATTCCAAGGGGGTGAGCAGCTGGACTCAGGCAACAGTTGGGCAAAAGAGCACAATAGTAATCATAAAATACAGGTAAGAAGAATTTCCCTTTATAGACTATTTACCATGAGTCAGGCAATGGCTTAAGCATTTTAAAATATATTATCTAATTTAGTGCTCACCAGGGGTCATTAATTCACATGGTTCTGGGGCCAGTTCAGGGATGGAAAGGAGTGACTCCAGCTTGTGTGAGACAATAAGGCTGGTGGGGACAGCAGCAGACTATGATGGGCTACAGCGGACTGGGGCAACTGCAGCCCATCAAACTGGGAAGCTAAGACTCAGCACAATTAGCCGTGCCCATCAGAACCACAGGCCCCATTATACAGACAAGGAAACTGAGGCTCAGAGGCATGCCTCTGGTTTTCCAAGACAAACTGAAAATACAGGCCAGGCACGTTGGCTCATGCCTGTAGTCCTAACATTTTGGGAAGCCGAGGCGGGCAGATCACTGGAAGCCAGGAATTCGAGACCAGCCTGGCCAACATAGCAAAACCTTGTCTCTACTGAAAACACAAAAAAATTACCCAGCCATGGTAGTGCACACTTGTAATCCCAGCTACTCTGGAGACGCTTGAACTGGGAGGTGGAGGCTGCAGTGAGCCAAGATCGCGCCACTGCACTCCAGCCTGGGAGAGAGGGAGACTCTGCCTCAAAAAACACATATATAGATTTTGATATGCAATCTCCTGATTCTTAAATCTTGGTAACTAATTCAAAACCATGTTCCGCCCCATGCAAGTGAAACTCAACATGTCAGTGCACCCAGGCCAGTCCTTGGTCACCTATGTATCACCTTGGCCTTAGAACTCTCTGAAGGAGAGGGCGCAAATCCCATTTTTCAGATGGGAAAACTTAGTCTCAATGCATGGACGTGGCTGGACCAGGGCCATGCGGCTAGTGAAGGTGCCCCCTTGCTGCTCAGTGCGTGAGCTTATCTGGGCTGTCAATTATCTGAAACCCCCCTCTTGGGCTTGGGGCTCCCAGGTGCCATGGCTTGGCACCATTGCCCATGTGGAACGATGGGGCTTAAATCCAAACACTACCTCCCAACCACCGGGTGGTTGTCAGGCGCCAGGGCAGCAACTGACACACTTGGCCAAACATCAGACTTTCCTGGTGGAGCGTTTTGAAATGACCAATCCTGGGCCTCACTGCTGGAAGATTTAATCAGTCCAGCGTAGGTTCCGGGCATTGGTATGTTTTAAAAAGCATCCCCCTGTGATTCTAATGTGTAACCAAGGGTGACACCACTCAGCCAGCTCCTTGCGTAAGTGCTGAACCCAAGCTTCTGGGAATTAGAGAATGTAGAAGAGTAATTAGGAACAAGGCTACTGGAGCCAGACAGACCTCAGCTGAGTCCCAGCACTGGCCCTCCCTAGCTGAGGAACTTGGGGAAATCAGTTCACCCCTTTGAGCCTCGGTGACCTCATTTCTATAACTCATGTCACTGGGTTCTCAGGGGGAATAAACATGGTTCTGTGGGGAGATATGAAGTGGTAACTGGCATACAGGAAGCACCCAATAAAAGTCGGTCTTCAGCTAGTACCGTCTCCACCTACAGCCACACAAATACAGCAGCAAAACGCAGTGAACCTGGGCAGAGCTGGGGGCTTAAACTGCACCCCTGTATCACCCAGGCATCCCCACCTAAAGTCAGTTCACAGCTCAGTCCCAGGAGGCCTTGGGTTCACACCCAGATGCATTTAGTTGCCCCCTGATGGACGGACCCATCATCTTCTAGGAAATGTGGCAAAATTTCACTTCTCATTTCCCTCTCCTTTAAGCCAAATCAGGAAGAATCTGGCAGGATAACCTGACCCTACATACGCGTCCCCTTTGAAACTTTCAACAGACAATGTCCCTCCTCAACATCATCATTTCCAAACTCTTATAACAGATATGATCTGAAACAGACAGAGGCAATTTAGAGGAAAGCATCTTAGAGATATTAATCCGGTACTTGACATCTCTAGAAAGATCTGTATTGGAGTCCATGTTTTCATGAGCAGGTAACCCTGTAAAATTAAGATCAAAACTGTCATATCTTCTCCAAATTGAGTTATCTGGGAGAAATCCTCTCCTATTTTCCTAGACCCTATAAGTCTTCCCTATGATAACAGATCGTTATTACCAATCAATTATTCACACACCGACGTCGAGTCACAAACCATCCCAGTGCTACACAAACCAAAACATTGCTTCTTCAAAACACATTTGATGGGAAAGACCAGTGCCCCCACAACCATTCCTGTTCCCGTAAGAGTTCCTTAGCTCCTTTTAGAGCTATGATTCCGAAGAACAAGTTAATGGTTACAGTTACAGCCGTGGAGGGACTGTCATCAAATACCTCTCCAAGAGTTCTGGGCTTGGGTCTCCTATCTGCTGTCATAATTGGCAAGTGTGACTTCACTGTGTCTTTACCCCAAGGATGGAAGTCCCCCTTCCAAATAGCAATTGAGTGGGGACACAGAGCTTGCATAGCAAATCTGCACTCCACAAAGTTTCATTTAAAGGAAATTTGTAGTTGCTTTATCCACACGTGCACCCTTGATGCCTACAGATTTTAGGAAGTGACTCAAGGCACACAGTCTTTCAGCAACACCAGTGTAGAACAATAGGCAAAAGGGACATTTAGCAATTACAGTAATAGTGATTTGCCATTGGCACATTTGTCCAGTAAAAGGCATAAATACGGGATCTCCAAGCTTTCTACAATTGTAGTTTCTCAGCATTTTGTTTAATTTGATAGGAAATGCCCCCACTCTTAAAGGTGCTATAGGAAATAACTTTACTTTAGAAATTACATTGAATCTACATTTCAAGATGTTTTAAAAACAGGAATATTTTTGACATCCCTGGAGATCAAAATGCCGTGTAGGAAAGTTGTGGTTGTAAATCTTCACTGGAAGAAAAAAAAAGAAGATCCCCAGGCATTTTAGAGTCATTTGCTTTATTTTACAAAGCTAGCTAGTGATAAAAGGGCAGATAACTCAGCTGTAAGATACAGGATTCTGTTGATTTCTGTTTGCTAGCCATTCCTGAGTCCACCGTGCCTTACCCAAGATCAGACACAGATTAAGTGCCCATCAGTGTTTGCTGACTGACTAGTCAACTGACCCCGATGTTTGTACAAAGGTGTTTGATGTGGGCAATAGGCTTGCCCCTTACTTATGATGTATTATATCTACAGAGACTGGACAACTTGCCTTGAAATCAAGATTTAGGTGGCCTCTGAACAGTACATGTGCAAAAACAATTACATCAGAGAGCAATGGTGTGCTTGGTTTCCCAACTCCCCATTCGGTGATATGTTGTTTACCTGAAACCACAGTAGGAGTACACCATGGAAACTGGCAAATCCTACAAGCTAGGAGGCTCTTTTCGGGAGAAGAGCAGTTCTTTTTACTTTTTTTTTTTTTTTCAGTCGGAGTCTCACTCTGTCCCCAGGCTGGAGGGCAGCGGTGTGATCTGTGCTCATTGCAAGCTCCGCCTCCTGGGTTCACACCATTCTCCTGCCTCAGCCTCCCGAGTAGCTGGGACTACAGGTACCCACCACCACACCCGGCTAATTTTTTGTGTTTTTAGTAGAGACAGGATTTCCCTGTGTTATCCAGGATGGTCTCGATCTCCTGACCTCGTGATCCACACGCCTCGGCCACCCAAAGTGCTGGGATTACAGGTGTGAGCCCCCGTGCCCGGCGGGGGAAGAGCAGTTCTTAAGCACAGCACCCCATTAATTCATAAGCACATGAAAATTAAATTTTTAGACAGGGACTCATGGAGGTGTGGAGCTAGAAATTTGTGTCTTCAAGCCAAGTCAACTGAGGGTGAATTTTCCAGCTGCCTCTTTCCATACTTCCCATTAAAAGAAGACAACATTTTTTTCTCCAGGATGTTTTTTTTCAGTTTGTATTCTGTTTTATCCAAATTGATAGTTGTTCACTGTCAAACAAGTAACCATTCATGCAAGAATTCCCACCTATATCTGCCTCTTATCATTACCATAACCTTAAGGGAACCCCTCTGCTCTCTTCCTGATCTGAGATTCTCCATCTCTAAGAAGAGGGAGTGAGATTAGATGAGCTTCAATGGCCCGTTTGGCTCTGACATTCTATCCCCGATTTTACTAACAGACAGCTCTTAGTGCCCAACTTTAAATATTCCCGAGGACCCTTGCATGGCTGATCTGGCTTGCTTTAAGGAACAGTTTGTCGCCAAATTCAGAAAGCAATAAATGGCAGACCATTTGGAAGCTGAAAGAATTCATTCTGTGCTCAAGAGCTGTAGGTGGGTAGGGGAGTTTCCTGGGGATGCCTGAGTCTACAAATAATCCACACAGCAAAATAAAGCTACACAAGAAATAGCAGGGGGATGAAAAAAACGAAATCTGCCCTAGGACCAACAAAAGCAGAAATAACGTGGGCAAATAGTAAAGTCAAAATTTTAGCAGACTGCATGAAAAATATGATACAAAAAAATTAATGTGAATCTTAAGTTATCCCCAACACCTGGTAACAGCATTCATTTAGAAATAGAAAATATGGGAGACATTTGCATTGACCAATGGCCAAACCTTTGTGCATTCATTAAATCAAAGTTATTTTTAAAAGACTCCTTTGTGTATTCCAGCTATCTAAATGGGTACCAGTTAAAGGAAAAATCTTTGCAGTCCCTGGACTAAAAATCAAAATCTCCAATGTCCATAGGTGCCAGATACATAAATGAGAGAATGGCGTAGGTGTCAGAGAAGTTGGCATAGGTACATTTTTTCCACATTAAATATAAATATATTTGTAATAAATAAACAAATAATCGATATTTATAAATATATAAAAAATATAAAAGTTAGTCGTCAGCTTCCTGAAGAAATTTGGCCTGTGTTAGGGTTCTCCAGAGAAACAAAACCAATAGGGTGTGTGTGGGTGTGTGTGTGTGTGTGTGTGTGTGTGTGTGTGTGTGGTGTGTGAGAGAGAGAGAGAGAGAGAGAGATTTGTTGTAAGAAATTGGCTCACATGACTAAGGAGGCTGGCAACTCCCAAGATCTGAAAGGTGAATTGGCAAGCTGGAGAGCCCATTGTGTAGCTCTAGAATGAAGAGAGTGATGGTGCATGTCTGATTAATATTTGTCTTCCCAGCTCCTGCTACAGAGCCTGGAATTCAACAGTTGGTGACTGGTTGACTCCAAAGTAGAAAACCAGCCAGTGCACTAATATTATTGACCTTCATAAACCCCCTCCATTTAGAAGACCCCAAACACCTTTGCAGATTTAGCCTGAGCTGATGTGAAAGCCACCAAACTCTGATGTCCAAAGGGAAAGCAGTCTCCCCAGATCACAGTGCCACTCTTGTGATAACATACCAACATTAGAAAGAAAGAATCCCTTCTTCTTTTCAAGTTCTACAGTCACAGATTAAAACAATGCCAGCCTCCCCTTCCTAAATTCTGCAGAGAAGGCCCAGCTCCTCTCTTTGAAGGCAAAGAACTTGTCCCCAGTTGTTTTCAGTAATGATCCCACAACAGCACAAATGCTATTTGATCATCTTGTTACACTAGTCGCCAAAATGAAACACCACCAGCAAAATTTAGAAGGTAAATGGACCAGCTGGGCTCAGCTGCAAGTACCAATACTGTGTGTGTGTCAGGAGCATGCAACCTCCCAAGAAGCAAGTAAACATCTTTTTTCTTTTTACTGCTTGTCACTCATTTACCTCCAAGATGCTTAGCAAGGATTATCGTTTGTTGGGAGGTCCTTGGATGAGCCAGCCATTGTGATAAATACAGATTGGTAATATTGATAGATTTTTAAATGCTTTCTCAGCTGGGTACATCCAATTTCTTATTCTTTTTGAACATAGAGTCATGTTCTGTTTCTTGGTCAGATATTTGGCTGGAAGGGGGAGTCTCAGAGAATATATCTTCAGTATAAAAGAGTATCAGGTATATACAGTAGCATGTGGGCTTGTGAGCGTTTGCATATGGGAAGGAACGGTCTTCTGCCTCACGCTGGGATGTAAGCTTCTTGACGGGCTTTGATCCGCAGTTGTCTGTATTCTATCATCTAGCCTAGAGTATCTAGGTCTAGAGTAGGCTGTTCCGGTTAAGCATCTTTTTGTTGCACAGAACAGAAATCCTCTCAAATGAGCTCAAGATAAAAGTGGGGCTTATGAAAGGCATCCGCAGTCTCATGGGGCATGGAGAACCAGGAGTCTCTCTCTTCTTTCTTCATTTCACCTTTCTCATCTTTCCTCCTCTCACCTTCTCTCTGCCTCCTCTGCCCTTTGATCTTGCCCATGGCCCCAAATGGTTGCTCTAGCTCCAATGAAATGAAATGTAACCCAAGGATAAGTGATCTTTTAGCTCAAGCACCTCCTATAAACTGGAGCTTCCTTTTGTATCTCTTGGCTCAAAAGGGATCTAATTGTCCCAAATGAGTCCCTTGGGTTTTATATTCCAATCAACTGAGCTGAGCCTTGGGGGAGGGTAGCAGGATACTGCATGTGTAGAGTTGGCTCTTCTAGTGCTGGAAGAAGACAAAGGAAATGTAGCTATTATAAAGGTGTTTGACGGCAAATGCATGTTGAATGAATAATTCACCAACTAGAGGGCCTTTTCCCCTAACAAACAGAAGAAAAGAAATGCCTAGTTGGAGAGGAGTTAATGCCATTCCATCCTCGGAATGATGGGTCTCACAGTCTATGCTTTAGGATGGCCAGGTTCTGGCACCTCTGGGAAAACTGCCTTCAAGCCACTGATGCTATGATCTGGAGCAAGTGGCCCATAACTCCTCTGTGCCACAGTTGCTCCATCTTTAAAATGAGACCAGAATTATCTGCCTCTCAATGTGTTTGTGAGAATGGAAACAGGCCAGTAGACGAAGAAGAAGATACTGTAAATTCCCAAGACCGGACTGCATTCTCGAGGCCAGAGCTTCCAATCCATTTCCATTGAGGGCTCAGAAAGCACATTTGTAGACTTCAGTCCTTCCCTAGTTAGAGGTAAGGATCCCCCACTGTCTCCACCCCACTCTCAACCCTGAAATAATACCCTTCAGCTGAAGGAGTCAAAAGACCTGAAACCAAGTTCCAAATCTGCGTGCAACTCCTTGTGTGACCTTGATGAAGTCACTCACCCTGTCCAGGCCTCTGTTTCCTTACAAACAATGTGAGAATTGGAGGAGAGCAAGTGACACTCACCAGTCCAAGACCTAGGGCTGGTTCAGGGCCACATTTTAATTGCTATGCAGCAAAATTAGAAAAATAAGTCAATATGGTGAGTTTTCATAATGCCTGACTTATTCAGTTCAAATGTCTGTACTTTATTCTGAGGTTATGCCCTCCCTTCTCTTTTTGTGGTGAATGGCCTTTCTTTAATGAAGGTAAAGACATCTTTTGTTTTAACATTCCCACTGTCCTTTCTTGAAATAAGAAGGTGGCCACCCCATATCTGCCCTCACTGCTTATTTATTTTTCATCGGTCTACAAAATCCCAAAGTATGACAATTAGTAGAGAAGGTGACCTCAGTAGTCCTTTTAAGCTCTGACAGGATCAGATTGTAAGGGCGGCATGAGGATTCCCAGACCCAGAGCCAGATGGCCTGGGTTCAAATTCTGACCCCTTCAATGATAATAGCTACCTGCGAGTCAGGTGGATCACTTGAGGTCAGGAGTTTGAGACCAGCCTGGCCAACATGATGAAACCCCATCTCTACTAAAATACAAAAATTAGCCAGGCGTGGTGGTATGTGCCTGTAATCCCAGCTACTCAGAAGGCTGAGGCAGAGAATTGCTTGAACCCAGGAAGCAGAGGTTGCAGTGAGCCGAGATCGCGCCACTGCACTCCAGCCTGGGCGACAGAGCGAGACTCCATCTCAAAATAATAATAATAAATAATACCTACCTGACAAGTTGTTGTGAGGATTTAGCAGGTTCAAGGATATACAGTGCTTTTGACAGTGCCTGGCACAAGGAGAGCGTCCATTAAATAACAGTGGTGGTGGTGATGATGATGATAATGATGATGTGAAGAAGGAGAAGATGGGAAAGAGGAAGAAGGAGTAAAGATGGAGAAGGGAAAGGGAAGGCAAAGGCAAGGGAGAGAGGAGTTTCCATACTGGATTCGGCTTTCTGGTTGTTATCTCAGGTATTGAATAAGTAGAAGTAACACAGCCAGGCCTTACATCCGAAATGGCAAGAACAGGAAGTTGGATGGTACCTAAGGCAGTTCTGGCTAATGGCATACTATGTTGCCCCATCAGGAAGAGAAGTGTGTGGCTGTCTGTGCCAGGGTCCCACCATTAACACAAGCCCTCCCTGTCTAAGCTCCTCTCTGCATCAACTCCTGAGTGCTCACTCTGGAGGGAGCACCTGCTTGGTTCCATCGGCACCATCAGCCTTTCTGGGAAAAACTCCCAAACCATATTTCCCATACACTGTGGCCAGCCTGTGGATTGGCTGCCCCTGGGTCAGGTGCCCTTCACTGACCCAAACAGCTCATGGCTGAATCAGCTCATGGCTGAATCACTGAGCTATTTTAAAACTCCCAAAGAAATGGGAATATTCCGAGTGGGTAAACACTCTGGGGTTTCCCAATAACTTCTAGCTAATGGCACAGCTGATAAGAGATGGAAGGGACAGAAAAGGCATTGAGGAGGCCTGGGAAGGACATGACAGACCCGAGACTGGCGAAAAGATAAAGAAAATGATGATTGAAAGGCTTGTTTCCCAACACTGGCTTGATTGGCTGCTTTGGGTCCAGTTCTTACCCCTGGGCCAATCAGCTTTTGGGGAGGGGTGGCCCATGTGACCAGAAATGCAGATCAGTGGCTGCAGGTGGGAAACTTTCACATCCCGGAAGCTGGAGTTACAGTCAATACTGGGAGGAGACAACCATAGTCCTCCCATGTCGAAAGTTCTGCTGGGCGCAGTGGCTCGCACCTGTAATCCCAGCACTTTTTGGGAGGCCAAGGCAGGTGGATCACCTGAGGTCAGGAGTTCAAGACAGACCTGGCCAATATGATGAAACCCCATCTCTACTAAAAATACAAAAATTAGCCGGGCGTGGTGGCGGGCACCTGTAATCCCAGCTACTTGGGAGGCTGAGGCAGGAGAATCGCTTGAACCCAGGAAGCGGAGGTTGCAGTGAGCCGAGATCGTGCCACTGCACTCCAGCCTTCATGAAAGAGCAAAACTCCATCTCAAAAAAAAAAAGAAGAAAAAAGTTTCAAAAAGCCTCTGAAATTCCTCCTAGTTGAAGAAAAGTGGCTCCCCAGAGAGAAGGCCTTTGAAAAACCCAGGAACCTGGGAGACCCGTTTGCCTCCCCCTGGGGATGGACCCATCAAAGGCACAGAATTACTTACCAGGCAAGTGGAAGTGGCAATCTCTTAAGCTTTTATTAGGTAAGCCTCCACCCCTTTGAGGACACACGACTGCCATTCTGTTTGGCAAATAAATTGAAATCTTCCAGCTAATTTGGAGCTATTCATGCTACTAACTTCTAATTTGGAAAAGGGTGAATTAGTTGTGAGCAATTGCCTGGGAGTCAAAGCATCTGAGACCAAATTCCAACAGCAAGGGAAGTGGAGGGAAACCAATCTGAAATATTTGGGATACGGAAAAAGTATGCTTGCTTTCGTATTCTGGATGATTGACACTAGTTCTGAAGTTGTAGACATTTTGTAGCTTGACTCACCTGGATAAATTTGACTGTATAAACCTTAGCAAACTTCAAGATTGGCTCCGAAAGACCCATAGTCTCTTCAAGGTAGTAATAGTTATTGAGACCTATTGCGGTGGATTGTCATTGATATCCTAAGCTAGTTCTGAAATCCTCTGATTCCCTGGCTGACTTTTCTTCTGTGAGGTTTTCAGTCTCTGAAATAGCAGCAAGTATTCAGCAAAATGTATTTCTCTCCAGTCTTGTGGGTGGTGGAACCATGAGATGGTGAAACATGGGTAGTTTCAACCTATTTCTGCAGATGTTGGGTAGTTTCAGGCTATTTCTGCAGATGTTCACTGAGCACCTACTAAGTGCAAGGAGTGCCCTGTGTTTATTTTCCAATCACTTACAGTAGATGTTTATTAATGACAGAACTTTAATTCTTCCCACACATCCACATGGCAGTGCCTTCCAGAGATTCCCGTGGAAAGCAGGAGAAGGCTGTTTTAATGATGGGCAAGCCAAATACTCGATTGCATAGCACTCTGGAGTGCGTTTAGTTAAGACAACTCATCTCCGAGGGGATTTGTGGAAGACAGCGTTGTGGATCATTTAAGAGGCCTTAGAAGTGGCACTTTGACATGTTTGTTAAGTGTCAGGCAGAGGAGGACCAGGATGAGCTGTCAAATCAGAAGGACAAAAGCATCCCCACAGCTGCCAGAAGAGTCAGAGGAGGCTGCTCCCTGCACAGATGTGAAATCTGCCACTGTGGACAATTTCTGCTCCAAGCACCAAGGCCTCCAACCATAGGGTTCTCCCAATCCAATGAGAATTACCTGCAGTCACGCCTGGATCAGCCTTTCTACCAAGTGCATTCAATCACCAGTAGCTCCTGGAGCTCTCCTTTGACAATCCACAAGGGTCATCTGGGGAGCTTGTTAAAAATGAAGATTCCCTGGCCTCACTCCCAGAGACTCTGATTCAGTGGCTCCATGGTGTGACCAGTAAGATGTATAAACCCATAACCCAAGGGACTCCAGTCAGGCCTTTCCCTAGACCACATTTTGAGAATAATGGTTCACAACATGCTTCTATCATGGTCTGTCTTCCAAACTCCTGGCTTGAATAGTTAGCATTTGTACCCAGCTGTCCCAAACCTATCATGGCGAATTCATCACCTTCCTGGATTTATCTCAGTGGATGATGCCTCCGCTACTCCCATACCTAAGTCAGAAGCTTAGCCATCACTCCCAGTCACTCATCCCCATCAAGTCCTTGCTTTTCCTTACCCTCAACTCTCATCAGCTCCATCCCCTGGAGGGCAGTCAGCTCTCACCACTCCTCCCCATCCTCTCAGCCCTGCCACAGTTCAACTGCATCACTTCTTACCCATTGACTGCAATAGCTTCCCAAATGGTCTCCTTGTCTTTAGTTTTGCTTGTGTATTTCCATATGGCTACCAACATGAGGCCTTTGGTGCCTGATTGCACTCAGAGTATGGTTCAAACTCCTTTTTTTTTTTTTTGTCTGAGACAGAGTCTTGCTCAGCCACCCAGGCTGGAGTTGCACAATCTTGGCTCACTGCAACCACCATCTCCCGGGTTCAAGTGATTCTCCCATCTCAGCCTCCTGAGTAGCTGGGATTACAGGCACCCGCCATCATGCCCAGCCAATTTTTGTATTTTAGTAGAGACAGGGTTTCACCATGTTGGCCAGGCTGGTCTTGAACTCCTTAACATGGCATCTGAGGGCCTTAGTACTTAAGTCCTACCTTCCTATCTATTCTCAGGCCCCAGCGCACCTCTTCCTGGTTGTGATGTTCTGAACTTAGTATTTCATTCTACAATGTTCCCTTTGTATGAATGCCCTTCCACAGTTTGTCCACCTGGTCAACTCCTACTTACTTTCTTTCCAGAATAAGAAATAGGAAAAAATAAACCTGTGATTGTGAATCCAGGTAGCACACAGCCTAACATAGTGCCTGGAGACAGATCTTCTAGGTTTAAATCTCAGCCTCACCACTCAATAAGTGGGCAGCACTGGGTAGGTTTTTTAATCTCCCCATGTCTCTGCATCTTCATCTTGAATATGGGATGATAATAGAAGCTACCCTGTGGGCTTGCTGTATGAACTAAATGGGTGAATGTATGTTAAATGCCATAAAAGCCACAGTGGCTCATGCCTGTAATCCCAGCACTTTAGGAGGCCGAGGTGCGTGGATCACGAGGTCAAGAGTTCAAGACCAGCCTGGCCAAGATGGTGAAACCCTGTCTCTACTAAAAATACAAAAAAAAAAAAAATTAGCTTGGAGTGGTGGTAGGCACCTGTAATCCCAGCTACTCAGGAGGCTGACGCAGGAGAATTGCTTGAACCTGGGCAGCAGAGATTGCAGTGAGCCGAGATCATACCACTGCACTCCAGCCTGGGCAATAGAGTGAGACTCCGTCTCAAAAAATATATATAAAATAAAGTAAAATAAAAATAAAGTAAATGCCATAACAGTGCCTGGCACAGAGTAAGTGCTACAAGTGATTATTTTTGTTGTTGTTACATACAATATCTGTGGGAGCATAACCAAGACAGACACTATCGACAGTATTTTCTACAGGAAGAGAATTTGGATACTGGGGGTTCAGGTTGAGAAGGAGAAACGAAAAAAATTATTATGAAGCTTTGCATACACCAAAAGTGTATAAAAAATAAAGAACATTGGCCTACCCACCTCCTAGCTTGATAAATAGAGCATTACCCATACAGTTGGAGACCCCTAGGTATCTTCCCTAATTGTAGCATCCTTTCCTCTCCCTCCCTGCCCTTCCTTAGAAGTCAGGCTTCATGTGCAAGCATACTTTGATAATATTGCAGGTTCAGTTCCAGACCACAGCAATAACATGAATGTCATCATAAAGTGAGTCACACAAAGTGTTTGTTTCCCAGTGCATATAAAAGTTGTATGTACATAATACCATAGTCTATTCAGTGTGCAATCGCGTATGTCTAAAAAGCAATGTACATACCTTAATTAAACATTTTATTCCTAAAAAAAATGCTAATGATCACCTGAGCCTTTAGCAAACTGTAATCTTTTTGCTGTTGTAGGGCTTGCCTCAATGCTGATGGTGGCTGCTGGAGGTTAGCGTGGCTCTGGCAATTTCTTAAAATAAGACAACAATGAAGCTTGACACATTGATTAACCCTTCCTTTCGTTAAAGATTTCCCTGTAGCATGCAATGCTGTTTGCATTTTGTCAAAAGTAAAACCTCTCAAAATTGGAGTCAATCCCTTCAAACCCTGCTGCTGCTTTATCAACTAAGTTTATGTAATATTCAAAATTCTTCATTGTCATTTCAACAATGTTCACAGCATCTTCACTAGGAGTAGTTTCCATCTCTAGAAGCCACTTTCTTTGCTCTTCCATAAGAAGCAACTCCTCATCTATTCAAATTTGATCCTGAGATTCCAGTAATTCAGTCACATCTTTAGACTCCACTTCTAATTGTAGCTCTCTTGCTATTTTGATCACATCTGCAGTTACTTCTTCCACTGACATCTTAAATTCTTCAAAGTCATTCATGACTTTGAGGGTTGGAATCAGCTTCTTCCAAACTCCTTTTAATGTTGATGTTTTGACCTTCTCCCATGAATTACAAATGTTCTTAATGACATCTAGCATAGTGATTCCTTTCCAGAAGGTTTTCAATTTACTCAGGCCCATCAGAGGAATTACTATCTGTGGCATCTATAGCCTATGAAATGTGTTCCTTAATACAAAATAATAATAAGATTGAAAGTCTAAATTACTCTTTGATCCACAAGCTGCAGAAAGGATGCTGTGTTAGCAGGTATGAAAATAGCATTAATCTCCTTGTATGTCCCCATCAAAGCTCTTGAATAGTTAGGTGCCTTGTCAACGACCAGTAATATTTTGAGAGAATCTTTTTTTCTAAGCAGTAGGTCTCAACAATGCACTTAAAATATTCAGTAAACCACGCTGTATACAGATATGCTGTCATTCAGGCTTTGGTGTTCCATTTATAGAGCACAGATGAGTACATTTAGCACAATTCTTAAGGGCCCTAGGATATTCAGAATGGAAATGAGCATTGACTTCAATTTAAAGTCACCAGCTGCATTAGATGCTAACAAGAGAGTCAGCCTGTCCTTTGAAGCTTTAAATCCAGGCATTAATTTCTCTTACCCACTTATGAAAATCCTAGATGACATATTTTTCCAATATAAAGCTATTTCATCTACACTGAAAATCTGTTGTTTGGTGTAGCCACCTTCATTAACGATCCTAGGCTGGATCTTCTGGATAACTTGCTGC
Organism: Homo sapiens; assembly: GCF_000001405.40. Lineage (NCBI taxonomy): Eukaryota > Metazoa > Chordata > Mammalia > Primates > Hominidae > Homo > Homo sapiens. The sequence goes on from NC_000001.11 coordinate 14,566,691, forward strand.
AGCTTCTCCATCAGCACTTGCTGCTTCACCTTGAACTTTTATGTTACACCAATGCCTTTTTTCCTTAAATCTCATGAACAAACTTCTACTAGCTCCCAACTTTTCTTCTGCAGCTTCCTCCCATCTCAGCCTTCATTGAATTAAAAAGACTCAGGGTCTTGCTCTGGATTTTAGGCTTTGGCTTAAAGGAATGCTATGGCTAGTTTGATCTTCTATCCAGACCACTCAAACTTTATCCATATCAGCAACAAGGCTCTTTTTCTTCCTTATCATTCATGTGTCCACTGGAGTTGGCACTTTTAATTTCCTTCAAGAACTTTTCTTTTGCATTTACAACTTGGCTAAGTATTTGGTGCAAGAGGCCTACATTTTGGCCTGTCTTGGCTTTCAATGTGTCTTCCTCACTAAGCTTAATCATTTCTAGTTTTTTATTTAAAGTGAGAGATGTTAAACTCTTCCTTTCAGTTGAACCCTTAGAGGTCATTGTAGGGTTATTAGATGGCATAGTTTCAATATTGCTGTGGCTCAGGGAATAGGGAGGCCCTAGGAGAGGGAAAGAAATGGGGAAACGGCCAGTTGGTGGAGCTGTCGGAACACACAAAATTTCTCAAGTTGGTTCACCATCTTATATTGTTGTGGTTCATGGCACCCCAAAACAATTATAATAGTAATATCAAAGATCACTGATCATCATAATAGATATAATGATAATGAAAAAGTTTGAAGTATTGCAAAAATCACCACAATGTGATACAGAGACACAAAGTGAGCACATGCTGTTGGAAAAATAGCACCAATAGACTTACTCAGCACAAGGTTGCCACAAACCTTGAACTTGTAAAAATATGTAATACCTGCAAGGTACAATAAAGCAAAATGCAATAAAGTGAAGTAAGTCTGCATTGCTCTTTGAACTGCTTAAATATTTTTAATGTTTACAAACCTCTCTTTTAAACCTAAAAATGGTGTTTAGTACTGTAATTATCAAATGCTCATATTCAAAAACATATACTTAGAAATGTTATTTTGTTTCTGTTTTTGTTTTGAGTCAACCATCTCAGTCTATTAAAACTCATTCCCTCTGGGTAGACTTCCTAGATGTCACCTCATCTCATTCAGCAGCTAAAAGACCCCTCCTCTGATCTTTCACAGTTCTTTTACTCCCCCATTTTACTTAATATCCTGTGGTAGGCAGAATTCTAAAACCACCCCTAAGATTCTCACCTCCTGGTGTACACAGCTATATAAACCCCCTCGCTTCAGTATGACAAAGACTTATGAATATGGTAGGATTTCACATATGTGATTAGGTTACATTCTGTAGCAAAAGTGTAGGGATTTTGCAGATGTAGTTAAAGTTCCTAATCAGTTGACTTTGAGTTTTAAAAGGGGGATTACTGTGGGTGGGCCTGACCTCATCAGGTGAGCCCTTTCAAAGAGGATCCGCTCATTCCCTGAAGGAAGAGAATCCGTGCAAAAGAGGTCCTCCTCCTGGCCTTGAGGAAGCACAAAGCTACGATGTGAACTGCCTATCATGAGGGCCACATTGAAGGGAGTGACAAGTGACCTTTAGGGGCTGAGGACAAAGATTCAAATTCTGCCAACAATCACGTCAGCTTGAAGAGGACCCCCGCTTCAGAGGAGAACATAGCTGTATTAGTCCGCTTTCATGCTGCTGATAAAGACATACCTAAGACTGGGTAATTTATAAAGAAAAAGAGGTTCAGTGGACTCACAATTCCACATGGCCGGAGAGGCTTCACAATCATGGTGGAAGGTGAAAGGCATGTATTATATGGTGACAGGCAAGAGAGAACATGTGCAGGGGAACTCCCGTTTATAAACCATCAGATCTCGTGAGACTTATTCACTATCATGAGAACAGCACAGGAAAAATCTGCCCCCATGATTCAATTACCTCCTACCAGTTCCCTCCCACAACACATGGGGATTCTTACAATTCAAGGTGGGATTTGGGTGGGGACACAGAGCCAAACCATATCAACAGCCAACTCAGCCTCTTGATACCCTGAGCAGAAAATCCAGCTGAGCTGTACCCAGGCTTCTGACCCACAGAAGCCATGAGATAAGGAATGGGTGTTGTTTTAAGCCACAAAGTCTGGGATACTTGTTTCCTGGCAGTAGAAACTACGACGGATCCGATGTGTCTCCCCCACCAGATTCCGATCCATTCAGCCACAAACACTGATTGTGGACCTACTATGTGCCTTGCATTTCCATTAGCCCTGGGGAAATTAAGGCAGTTACACAATACAGTAACCCCAGCACTCCATTCGGTTGATGCAGAGTCACTCAATGAACGTTTGCTGAATGAAGGAGCTGAAAATATCCCACAAAAAATTCACAAGTATTTGCTCATGTCCCAGATGAACTTCTGACAGCTCCCATGTTTTTCCTAAGGCTATCCCATTTATAGTTGTGTGAGGTTTTTTTTTCTATTTCTTGTGTAACAATAATAGTTGTTCCATATGGGAAAGGATGTATTTAGAAAATGTGTTGGATATTATACAACAGATTCAGAAGTCCTGCCATACAAAAATGTCTTGATGCAAGTTTCCAAACTTACTTAACCACAAAACCACCTCCTCTACCTCCTCTACTTCCTCTGCTTTTTTTTTTTTTTTTTTTTGAGACGGAGTCTCGCTCTGTCACCCAGGCTGGAGTGCAGTGGCGAGATCTCGGCTCACTGCAATCTCCGCCTCCCAGGTTCACGCCATTCTCCTGCCTCAGCCTCCCGAGTAGCTGGGATTACAGGCGCCTGTCACCATGCCTGGCTAATTTTTTGTATTTTTAGTAGAGACGGGGTTTCACCGTGTTAGCCAGGATGGTCTCGATCTCCTGACCTCAAGATCTGCCCGCCTCGGCCTCCCAAAGTGCTAGGATTACAGGCATGAGCCACCGCGCCCAGCCACCTCCTCTACTTTTTTAATGGAAATACTCGATAATATTTATCATCAACCAGTTTGGGAAAATTTCTGCTTAAAATCACAAGTCATTAACACCTGGAAACCTCTCATCAGCCAGGAGGGCATCCTTAGCTCTGGCAACTGCAGCCAGAGGGGTGGGACCAGTTAGGAGCTGAATCCTTAAATCAGTTTCTGATGAAATCCAGGATGCCCCACCAGGCGTGGTGGCTCACACCTGTAATCCCAGCACTTTGGGAGGCCGAGGTGGGTGGATCACAAGGTTAGGAGATCGAGACTGTCCTGGCCAATATGGTGAAACCCCGTTTCTACTAAAAATACAAAAAAGTTAACTGGGTGCGGTGGTGGGTGCCTGTAATCCCAGCTCATTGGGAGGCCGCGGCAGGAGAATTGCTTGAACCCAGGAGGTAGAGGTTGCAGTGAGCCAAGACTGCACCACGGCACTCCAGCCTGGGTGACAGAGCGAGACTCCGTCTCAAAAAAATTAATAATAAAAAATTTTTAAAAATCCAGGATGCCCATCTCACGCTCCTCTCTCCTCAGTCAGGTTCATAACCCCATTTTGTTAACTAGGTTCCTTCATTCCTCAGCTTTTGTGTTGCTTTTTAACAGCTTTATTAGGGTATAATTTATATGCCATAAAATGTTCCCAAGTGTACAATTTCATTTTATCTACAGAATTGTATGTCATCACTCACTAATTTCAGAACATTACCATCTCCCCAAAAACAAACCTTGTACCTTTTTACCCTCCTCCTCCTCCCAATTCCTATCCCTAGCCCCAGATCACCACTGATCGACTTTCTGTGACTAGTTCTACTCATTCTGGATATTTCATATAAGTGGAATTGTACAACTGGTGTTCTTTTATAGCTGACATTTCTCTAAGCATGTTTTTGGGGTTCACTCCTGTTGTAGCATTCACTAGTACTTGTTTTATTGTGAAACAGTAGTCCGTGGTATTGCTAGACCACATTTTATTTAACCATTCATCAGTTGATGAACGTTTGGAATGTTTCCATGTTTGAACTATTATGAATAATGCTGCAGTGAATATTCATCGACGAGTGTTTGTGTGGACGTATGTTCTCATTTCTCTGGGTAAATAACTCATAGAATCGCTGAGTCATATGGTAATTTTATGCTTAACATCTTGAGAAATTACCAAACTGTTTTTGCAAAGTGGCTGTAGCATCTTATATTCGCACCAGCAATACGGGAAAGTTCTAGTTTCTTCACTATACCTCTGTTTCAAACGACTGTCCTGGCCTTCATATCTCTTACTTACTCCTGACCTCTGAATCCTTACCTACCTACCTGAATTTCTCATCTGCAGCTTCTCCCTGTCCTCTAGAAACTTAAATTTTTGACTTCTTGACAATTTTTTATATAGGAACGACTTTTCCATGCCCCGACCTCAACGGAATGACCTCCCTAACCTTGGCTCCTCTGCCGCCCATGCCCTATGACAAAAACCCTTCACTATATTTGGATTTTTTTATTTGTTTTTTTATAACAAGACCAAATATAACCTTGTAGAAACGTACATAGAATTCAAAACTAAGAACTGTGAGCACAGTCAATTTTTTCAGAATGCTTCTGCTTTTTTTTTTTCAAACTACTATTGAGGAATAAAATTAGGTCTAGGGTTAAACGGCTTAGTATAATGCTGACTTCATGCAATAATTACACCAAAGAGAAAGAAACGAGTTATTATTGGCCATAATTGCTCACCTTTTTCATATATTGAATCTCTGTCGTCTGCTCACTGAATTCACTCTGCAAAAATTGCTAAGTACTCTTACACTTCTGTTTTTGCTTTGGCCTAATTCAGTAAAATGGGCTTTTTAGGGGGTTAATCTCTCTTGGCAAAGCTTTTTGAGTTCCCCATGTGGGATCAATGGCTCCATGCGCCTATGCTGTTTGAACCTTGCAAGTGTTCTGGCAAATTGGTCAGAGGCTAAGGAAACCAGCATGAGAGCAGGGAGCGCCCCCACTCCATCCCCCTATAAAGGCAGCCATCACGTTTGCATTTATCTGTGCTACTTGAATCAGGAACAGTATGGACTGTGAGACTCCGGGCCAGGGTGAATGGTGGTACCTCCCCTCCGCCAAGATTCCATAGAGATTTACCCTTCATCAAATGATCCATCCCTCTAACTGGGCTGGCAACTGGAGCTAAGTAATGAGGATGGCAGGGAAGGAGAGGCAGGGCTTGCATTGAGTTAGCACCAGAGTGGGCTGACAGTGAGGGCAATGTAACTACTCCATCTGGAATTGAACCAGGAGCATCCACCTGGTTCTCTAGTGCAGAGAAACTGGAAGGATGTGGTTCTGATCTAATGTAAACCTCTGGGGAAGCCCCGCTAGGGTAACAGGATCCAGCCAGTGCTATGGGAAGGCTGCCCCCTGCAGCTTCGGGGGAGGTACTTCTTGCATCGTTCCCACCGCCGCTCTGGGATCAGCCCTCAGGAGGCAGGCCAAGTCATTTTCATCATTTAATGGGTAGGTGGGAAACTTTAGAATAACTCAGTAGGTAACACTTTACATTTAAGCATGGCTCTACAGGTTATTTCAGTGGTGGCCAAGGGAATATTTGGGGGCTTCATATTTCTTGATGCAGATTAATGATGCAGAGTCCGCTGGCACGGCATTGTACAAAGGCTGTGTGTTCACGTGGCCAGCATCAGACTAAGGGGCCTCAGGAGGTGCTGGCGTGGGTTCAGAACCCAAGGGAAGAAGAGAATGAGCTGGGCAATCCCCAGTCCTTGAGGCTTCCTGGGTGAAAATAGCCCCAGGCTTCAAAAGGTTTTCTTTGTAATCCAGTCTCCCTGGAGGAGACCCTCTACAATGCCTCCCTGTCCCCAGATCTCTGATCTGTATGACTCTGGGCTCAGAGCTCAGGCCTGGGAAGCAAGAGTATAAAGCCTTCCAGTACAGTTTGCCGGCTGGCTTCTTGTGCGCTTGGCCTGGCTTCTTGTGCACTTGGCCGAGCGGCTCTGTCGCATTGAGCCTATTCCTGAAGCTTTGACCAGGCAGAGCATGTAGGGGCCTTTAAGAAGGGGTATGTGTACCTCATTTGTGACTTCCTTGGCCCCGCGGAGCGGCCCCCCACTCCCCTGGAAGAGAAACAGGAAGAATCAGAAATGTGGAGGATGTCTAGACTCATAGAAAAGACCCCCTTCTTGGACTCATTATTTAGTTTGTTAAACCTAAACACCTAACGGATTAAACATTTATGTAAGTATTAAGTACTTACTATATACCTAGCACTCTTCTGGACATTGCTGAGTCAAGACAATAAAGAAATAAAGTTTTCCGTGCTACCCAGAAAGCTAATGTTCTATCTGTGGAAACCCTTCAGGAGCAACGATGTAACAGACCAGAAAAATGTAACCGATCACTCATGCTCCTCAGCTCTGAGGAATGGGGGAGAGGTTTGAAGTCCTATTTCATGCATGAGAAGCAATACACTTCTGATTCATTAAGTTCCTCCCTCCTAGGGGTCAGTAAACCCATTTCTCCTAAACTACACAGTGCTTCCCACACTCTTCCTTTAAGCCCCATGTGTATTTAGGGAAATTTAGCCAAACAATTCCCAATAATGCATAGCGCACTCATCAAAAAGAAATTAAGCAGCTTTGCTAAAAGCAACTACATTTTCAGGAATCTACTTGTGGCTTTCCCATACACCTCTTTTCTACAAAATGGAAGCATTAGAATACACTAAAACCCGGGCACGGTGGCTTATGCTTGTAATCACAGCACTTTGGCAGGCCGAGGCGGGCAGATCACAAGGTCAGGAGTTCGAACCAGCCTGGCCAGCATGGTGAAACCCCGTCTCTACTAAAAATACAAAAAATTAGCCGGGGATGGTGGTGCACACCTGTAATCCCAGCTACTAGAGAAGCTGAGGCAGAAGAATCACTTAAACCCAGGAGGCAGAGGTTGCAGTGAGCTGAGATCATGCCACTGCACTCCAGCCTGCATGATACAGCAAGACTCTGTCTCAAAAAATTTTTTAAAAAAGAAAGAAATACACTAAACCCCAAAGAAAATGAGTCCAGGTCAGAACTTTAAAAGAAACAAAGCTAAAATATGTTATAAATCAGGCACATAGCATTCTCAGGCTTTTTTTTACTCAAGCTGTCCAGTGTACTTTACCCCTAAGATTGTCACTTTTGAGGATGGAGGAAGAAGGAGAAATTCAGGCATATGAATAGTACCTGAAACAAGAAACATCTTAATAAAGAAAAAAAAGTCTTAATTAAGATAAATATGTTACCAATGCCAGAGGTGGCTAGGAGCTCAGATTCTATTTTCTCAGTCCAACCATTCCTATTGATCTAGTCAATTTTCCCCTGAAAATATAGGCTCTTATTCCAAGCAGCAGTGATTTCATGACATAACGTTTCCAATGAATAATTTTAGGTGTGCATCTCAAAAACTCTGAAGAGACTCTAGAAAATCTACAAGGATTTTTCTTGCTTGGAAAAATAAAATAGAAGGCTGAACAGGAAGGAAGAAAGTGACTGTCATTCCCCTCACCCCCACCTTGGTTTCCTCATGTATAGCTTGGGGAAGTTGAACTTCATGACGTCTCCCTGCACTTCATCAATGGCCTTGAAGTAAAGTTCTCTTTCTTACAAATCCAGACAAGTAATCTCTGTCTGCAGGGAGCTCTGCCTACTGATATGGTTTGGCTATGTCCCCACGCAAATCTCATCTTGAATTGTAGCTCCCATAATTCCCACGTGTTGTGGGAGGGACCCAGTGGAAGATAATAGAATCATGGAGGCGATTTCCCCCATACTGGACTGTGGTAGTGAATAAGTCTCACAAGATCTGATGGTTTTATAAGGGGAAACCCCTTTCTCTTGGCTCTTATTCTCTCTTGTCTGCCGCCATGTAAGACATGCCTTTCATCTTCTGCCGTGATTGTGAGGCCTCCCCAGCCCATGAAACTGTGAGACCATTAAACCTCTTTTTCTTTATAAATTACCCAGTCTCGGGTATGTCTTTATCAGCAGCAGACTAATACACCTACATTCATTCAACCATCATTTGTTGAGCACCTGCTGTTGGCCAAGCTGAATGCTTAGGCACTGAGCATGCAAAGGTAAGAGAGGTCTCGTCCTGCCCTTGTGAGCTTTCAGCCCAGTGGAGGAAACTGACAGTGGCAGGATCATAGAGGAAGTGTGGTGGTGGAAGGGCGTCAGGGATGCTCAGAGCGCACAGAGCAGTGGCTGTCTCTGTTCAGCCAAGACTTCAGAAAGGAACTTGCTCTCCAGGGCATTGAGGAGGAAGAACAAGAGGAAGATACAGCCAGGTGAGGAGCTTAAGCAGCAGGTAGAAAGGCGCAGGTGTGGGAGCTTATGGCACATTTGAGGATTCTGGTAGGTAGTGGCTGGTTCAGATGGACCCTTTATTTCACACGAAGGAATTTAGGCTTAATCCTAAAGATATTAAGGATCCATTGAAGGGGTTCAGCAGAAAGACCTGATTAAAATAATAGGTCATGGAGGTCACTCTGGCAGCAGAGTGGGATTTCAGTTGGTTGGGGGAAGGAGATAAGAGTGGGGTAGTAGTGGATTAGTCTGTTCTCATGCTGCTGAGAAAGACATACCTGAGACTGGGTAATTTATAAAGAAAAAAAGATTTAATGGACTCACAGTTGCACGTGGCTGGGGAGGCCTCACAATCACGGCAGAAGGCAAAAGGCACATCTTACATGGTGGCAGACAAGAGAGAATGAGAGCCAAGAGAAAGGGGTTTCCCTTTATAAAACCATCAGATCTCATGAGACTTATTCACTACCATGAGAACAGTATGGGGGAAACCATCCCCATGATTCAATTATCTCCCACCAGATCCCTCCCAAAACACGTGGGAATTAAGGGAGCTACCATTCAAGATGAGATTTGGGTGAGGACACAGCCAAACCATGTCAAAGAGGTAGTCAGGGAACCAGTGAGGAGGCTGTTGCAGTCATCTAAATGACAAGTAACCAGCACTTGAACTAGGTCAGTGGTCATGATTAAATGGAGGAGGAGACACAATTAAAAGAGTCAGGAGGTAGAATCTTCAAGGACTAGTAACACATCATTGAGGAACCTGGTCGTTCATCTATCCTATGGATATTTTTCGAGCCACTGAACAATGCCACTAAATAATTGTCTATGACCTGTCTTTCTGCTAGCCTGAAAGCTTCTGGGATGAGGGGGACAGTGTCTATACCTTTATTGTCCACCATTATATCTCTAGGCTTTAGTATAGGGCCTGGCACGTAAGAATAAAAATGCATCCCCTTAGGTGAACATTTTGTGGGGGTTGTGAGTCATTTCTCTTTTCAGATATTAAGCTTGTCAAACTTTGACAATTCCGATTCTTACCCAAAGCATCCAGGTTAGGAGTGGTAGGAAAAAGAGCCCATAACTTGGAGTTGGGAGATGAATGTGAGTCCCTGTTCTTCTCCTGTGATCTGTGTGACTTGAATAAGTCACTTAACCTCTCAAGCCTTAGTTGTCACATTTGTAAAATGAAGACGATATTAGTATTGGACCTCACAGATTATAGTAAGGACTAAAAGAGGTTATCAGTGGCAAGAAGTTAGTGTCTGACACAAAGTAAACACTCAGTAAACTAGAAGGATGGAAGGATGGATGGATGGATGGATGGATGGATGGATGGATGGATGGACGGACAGATAAATAGATGGGTAGATGGATGATGGAACAATGGATGGCTGGGTGGATGGATGGATGGATGGACAGATAAATAGATGGGTAGATGGATGAATGGAACAATGGATGGATGGATGGATATATTAATGGATGGATGGATGGATGGATGCACTGATGGATGCATGGACAAATGAAAGGAACATGCTGAAAAGGATATGAAGTCATGCTCCTTCTCTAACCAACTTTATTCCCATTTTGGGGGCTTCTATGTAATAAATTGATTAGTGCTAAAAATTGAAAAGCCATCTGGTCTTGGTTTCTGTGAAAGTCTTATGGCCTGCTGCCATTGAACGCTAAAGATTTAAAGTTCCTATTTTAGGCTCTGTCTAGACACCTCTCTAAATAGGAACTTTATGTTAATCTGCAGGTGTTGCTTATGAACAGGTTATTTCTAAATAGTAGCTGGTACGTTACCAAAAAAAAAGGAAAAAAATCCAAGAGCAAATAATACTTATTGAAACCAAGGTGTCCAATGGGAAAAGTCCTAGTCAATTTGTCTACTCCTCCCATACCACCTGGTTCCTGCCTATATCCTACCCAATTACTGGTGAATCAGATATTCACAGTGGGCATAATTAATTAAATGCATTTTGACTAATTAATTTAAGAACTGGTAAATAGGGCTTCCCTTTGGTAGTTTGAAGACGCAGCTACTGGTGCTACTGATTAAAATGTGAGAGGAATCTGGTTAGAAACCAGCGTGTAATGGATGAGAACACTTTTGCAACATTTCTTTTAAGGTTTGTCAAACTGCATCCTACTGATATTGCTAACCCCCTTTAATCAGTAAGAATAAAATTCTTCTGAGAGCATAAAATACATCTGACAATGGCATACATCAGATCCCAAACTGAACATTCAAAATAAATTGTATCGAGATTTTGTCACAATCATTGATTTCTGCTTTTCAAGCTGGTTTCTGGGGCAGCCACATAAAAGTTAAATACAAGCTATCTACGGGCTCATTGGATTGCGGTAATTCATTAAGCCAATAGTGGCTTTAATAAATCTGAGCATAAAGATTGCTTCCACAGACACCCTCAGCTTGGAAATGTGCCACTAATCAAAGAGGGTGGCAAAACTAATCTCTTTGGCACAGAGGGGAGGTGAGAAGTAGCTTTGGAGGGCTGTCGGGGCTGGCTTCCAAGGGTAATATTGTGCTTCAGCAGCAAGATCAGGCTGCTGGGGAGATGGGAGCCCTTCTGGAACCAGCCCTTCAGCTGCTAGTGGTCAGCACATGGTCATCACAGGCCACTGGTTCTTTGAACAAAGCTGGTTATAGTCTTAAATGTGAGCCCACTCACTGAGTGATCTTAGGCTCCATTGATTGACTTCCATTGCATTCCCTTCCCAATCGTGATAGTGATCATTGCATTCCTGACCATTGACAAAGCTTTTTCACATCCAGCAACACTTTGAATTTCCTGACAACCCTAGGAGAGGCAAGGCCAAGATATTATCATGCCCATTTCACAGATGAGAAAATGGAAGTTTAGAAAGCAACATGATTTGCCTGAAGTTCCATGGCTGGCAGAGCTGGGACCCACGGTCTAACTGTCAAAAGTCCAAACCCTGTGTTCAAACTTCCCCTCTATGACCTACTAGCTCTGTGTCCTTGGGAAAGTGTTTAACCTTCCCAAACTGCAGTCTTCTCACCCGTACACTGAGGATAATAAGTGCATCTACCCCCTACTTGTCAGGATATTCAATGAGCTCCTTCGGATTGGACGCATAATGAGCACATAATCCAAGTTTGCTATTATTCGTATAGAATATCGGGTCATATCCAAAATTTCCATTAATTACTTTCCAGGCCTTACCCAAGAAAAACAAGTTGGATAGGGCCTGGAAAGTAATTAATGGAAGTTTTAAGTTCCATTTCATACGGTAGAGGAAAATCTCTCCCCTGCCTTACACTAGCCTTTACCAACTGTGAAGCACCCTTCTTGCTGGCATGTTAAAGGAGCCCGTGATATTTCAGTCCCTTTCAGCTGTGACTCATTATTGTAAATAGTGGTGAAATGAGGAGAGGAGAAAAGAATTTAAATACACTAACTGACAGAATTTTTAGGGAAAGTGATACACAAGAAGATAAAAAGCAATCAGAAAAATTTACATAAACCCTTGTGATCGCAAAGGTCATCTAGTTGAGAGTCTACTAATGGAAATATGTCCTTTTAGATTCTGGGTGATTATTTAATTGAAAAGGGAAGAATTTAAATGAATCAAGTCTTGGGAGCAGGGTAGATTTATGTCAGCCAAAATTTAAAAATGCATGTTTCTTTGGGAGGAAATGGGTCCATTCATATACAAGTGAAAGTGTAGGATGGAGTAGTAAATTTGGTCACACTTAGAACTTGACTGAGCACTTGAAAATATACTGATATTAATATGCCTTATAATTTTTTTAAATCAGCTTCTGGTTACAGCCCTTATTCTATTTAGGAAAGAGGATGGTTTTATAGCCATTAATTTACTTGAACTTTACAATAACCTTTGGAGATAGGCAGATGAGTATTATCATTACCAGTTTATAAGAATATAATATATACTTCTTGAAGCTGAGGACCAAAACTTTTTGTCCTTTTCTTTTCCCTATCCCCAGCACCTGCCTAATAAAAATGTAAGTTGAATATTGTAGCAGAACCCACTAAATGCTCTGTTTGAGATGTCAGTTTTTTCTTAGAAGTCAGCACAGAAGAGAAACGTAGCACTCCAGCTTTACCGTCAGTCCTCCTGGAGTTCAAATCCTGCCTCTGCCACTTAGGGATTTGCCTAAGTGACCCTTGGAACTTATTTCTTGAAATCTCAGCTTATAACAGTGTTTATAATACCTACCTCATGGAGTTGTTGTAATAATTAGATTTCTATGAGATAAAATGAGAGGAGAAATGCAAGGTAGTTAGTACAATTTCTGACACCCATTAATGCCCCCAAATTGTGGTTTTTCCATATCTCCTGAGTAGTCTGGGCGTGGTGGCTCACGCCTGTAATCCCAGCACTTTGGGAGGCCAAGGTGGGTGGATCATGAAGTCAGGAGATTGAGACCACCCTGGCTAACACGGTGAAACCCCATTTCTACTAAAAATACAAAAAAGCAGCTGGGCGTGGTGGCGGGCGCCTGTAGTCCCAGCTACTCAGGAGGCTGAGGCAGGAGAATGGCGTGAACCTGGGAGGTGGAGCTTGCGGTGAGCCGAGATCGCACCACTGCACTGCAGCCTGGGCAACACAGCGAGACTCCGTCTCAAAAAAAAATTAAAAAAAAAAAAAAAGAAATGCTACAGTAAGCATACTATTTGACCACTGCTGAAAAAAAAATTTTTTTAGCATGCCTTAATCATCTGATTCAGAACGAACGGGAACACACTGAGTGGCTGCTGTATTGCTGGGTAAGAAGCAGCATCCAGGGGGACTCACATGGCAGCCAGGCAGAATGCTTAGCACTCCTGTGAAAAGGCTCTTCTCTAATTTAATGCAATGTGCTGGTATTAATAAGCGGCAGAGAACCCAGTGTGAGGCTGCCCGCTGCCTTTCATACCGGGTTCATTCACTTTATTATTTTCTAGGACATCATATAGACCTTTTGCCAAGTGGGAGGGGGGTTGGGGAAATCTGCTCATTTAATTTCTGAGTAAGGGATAATTAGTACCCATTGTCACTCACAGCTACAGGAATCCGACATCTTTTTTGTGGCATATTATTTAGGATATTTGCAAATTCACTGACCGTCACTGGGACTTCCAGGGTAATTAATTTGTGTTGCAGTCAGCTTAGGTTTCACCATTGCTGGCGAATGTATCTTTAAAGTATATTGAGGCCAGGCAAGGTGGCTCACACCTGTAATCGCAGCACTTTGGGAGGCCAAGGCAAGTGGATCACCTGAGGTTGGGAGTTCGAGACCAGCCTGACCAACACGGGGAAACCCCATCTCTACTAAAAATACAAAATTAGCCGAGCGTGGTGTCGCGTGCCTGTAATCCCAGCTACTCGGAAGGCTGAGGCAGGAGAATTGCTTGAACCCAGGAAGAGGAAGTTGCGGTGAGCCGAGATCGTGCCATTGCACTCCAGCCTGGTCAACAAGAGCGAAACTCTATCTCAAATAAATAAATAAATAAATAAATAAATAAATAAATAAATAAAGTATATTAATAGCGCAGCCATGTGTAATGACGAATGTGTGGCTGACGTTAGTGGATATGGAGGGGCTCAGGATAAGAGGCCTATAGCTGTGAGTTGGACAAGTTGTGTGGTGGGTGAGGATTAGGAGAAAAGGGACTAACATTTAATGGACACCTACTCTGCTCTGGGTTTTAAGCAGGTTTTATGCTGCTTTATTTATGTCTGCTATCTGACTTACTCCTCCCAACCACCCTGTGAAGCCCCTTCTTGCAGTCACCTTTGACCTCTGCATTCCAGATTCTTGGTCGATCATTCGATGTCATCAATGTCATCAACCAATGTCATCAATCATCAATGTCATCGCTTACTCAGCCTATTAGAAAGTTTTAACAGGGCCTCCTTCAAACACTTTCTCTCCACGGCTTTCGGGACACCACTTCTCTCACTGCTCCTTCTCGGTCTTTTTTGCTTGTGTCTCCTTATGACCTTGACCTCTAAATATTGGGAGACTCAGTCCCTGGGCCTTTCCCTTCTCTTTCAACATGGATTTGTTAGATTTCATCCACTCTTGGGCCTCTGGATAACATCTACATGCTGACACCTTCCAAATTCATATTTCCAGCTCAAACCCCTCCCCTGAACTCCAAGCTTGTGTATCCAACTGTCCACCTGATATTGCCATTTGGATGTCTAACACGCATCTCAAAATCAGCATACACTCTATCCCCAAACCTGCTCCTCCCACCGCCTTCCGCATTCGGGAAATGAATGTTTCATTCTTCCACTTGCTTAAATACAAGCATTCAGGTCATCCTTTTCTCCTCTTTCTCTCACATGTGTTGCATTTAGCCTGTCAGCAAAACCTGTGGCTCCACCTTCAATACTGATCTAGAATCCATTCACCTTTCCATACTCTACCTCTCGACTCCATCACCACCTTTTAAACCACCGTGGTACCCTGCTAGATATGGCAACAGCTGCCTACATGGTTTCCTGCCTTCACTTTTGTCTCTGGACAGCCTTTGCCACACAGCGTGCCAAAGCATAAATCATCTCGTGTCGTTCCTCTACTCAACACCGGTCAGTGTCCCCCATCTCACTCAGAATAAGAGCCAAAGTCCCTACAAGACCTCACAGTCCCCAAGGGGACCTGATCGGGTCCTACTTCTCTCTGGCCTCATCTGCTGCCCACACCTCCCTTCATTCCACTCCATGCCTGCCCCACTGTTTCTCAGACAAGTCAGGGCCTCTCATATCTCTGAGCCTTTGCCCTCCCTAGAAATCTCCCTGGCTTGTTCCTGTGTGTGATTCAGGTCTCTACTCAATGTCACCTTACTGGATAAGTCAGGTTCCCCAACCATCTCATATAAAATAGAAGCCAAATGTCATCCCCAGTTCTCCTTCTCCCCCTTCGTCCTTTAGTTCCTGTTCCCCTCTCTTTCCCCTTCCCACACATTATATACTTACATTTGTATGTAGGCATGTCTACCTCGTACCACCCAGACTAGAATGTAAGCTCCAAAAGGGCAGGGACTTTGCCTATTTTTTTTTCACTGCTGTATTTACAACCCCTAGAATAGCATCTGACATGTATTAGGTGTTCAGTACCTATCTGTTAGTACAGATCACAACATCCCTATTTTACAAGCAAAAAAAACCTAAAGTTTAGAGAGGTCAATAACTTTCCCAGAATTCCATGGAATCTGTTGACTTTCTAGATCAAATGACAGGAACCCCAGCCAGGTCTGCCTGACTCCAAGTCCTGTGTTCTCACCACCTCCTCCAGAAAACGCTAAGGATTTGCCATCTTAAAGTGGGCATCAAGAAGAGCTTCTTGGTGTGGAGCAAAATCAGTTTTGGGCAGGTCACTTCCCAATTTTAGCTTGTCTCTTCCTCTACACAATGAGAGGGCTGAACTGGGAGACTTTTAGAGACCGACTCTTCAGCTTGAAAACCTGGGAATTTTTCATTCCATCTCACACAAACCCTGATGGCACTTTGGGTCAGTTGATCCATGTTGCAAAGGTGGTTCTCAGACAACAGGATGAGACTGTCCTTTACAAACACTTGTTCCCAAATCTGGGACATGTGGATGGGCACTGGAGGAATGGAACCTTCAGGTGGGGCTCATCCCCTTCAGCAATTCTGCTCAGCAGGAAGGGGTGGGAAGCACCACTAACCTAGACTTGGAAAAGAGATTTGAGACTCTTGTATTGTGAACTGGTCTCCAAGGTTGTTTTAATCTTAAGAATTTTCTTGATGAGAGAAATAAAACATAATTTTCATTTTTAATGGATCTTTATTATGTGAAGTTAAAAGAATCAATGAATGACATATCTTCACTCAAAAACACGCTCTTAAAGGGGCACAGAATCAAGCTCTTCCTGGCATGAATGTTGATTTGTCTGTCTCAGCCACTAGACCATGAGCACCGTTAGGGCAGAGACTGGGCCTCCTCCATCCCTGCAGCCCCATCACATAATATACTGCCCAGGAGAAAGCAGAGAGGTGAACATTTACAAGCATTTGTTCCATGCCTGGTGAGCTTGTCAATCCTTTACCCTTATCAACTCACTTAATCTTCACAACAAACCTATGCGACAGAAACTACACTATTATTGTCATTCCGCAGATGAGAAAACTGAGGCACAGAGAAGGCAAGTTCCTTACCCAACATCAGAGACCTGGTGGAGGTCAACCAGGGATTTGGCCCCAAACATTCCAGTTCCAGAGGCAAGTCTGCAGTCTAAGCTAGTACACTATCCTGCCTCTTGTAGGTGTATGCTTAGCAGAGGGTGGTGGACAAATGAGTGAATAAGTACAAGAGTGATCACGATGATTACAACTAGCACACATGAATGCTCCTTGTGTGCCAGCCACGAGAACACCTGCAATCCAGTTTCCTGCATGCAGACATGGGAATGCTCTAGGAGATGCACGTGTAGGAGTGAGGAAGTCAGGATTAGGTGGACAGAGAAGCTGGCAGGTAGTGTGCTTTGTCATGATGCCTTGAGGGAGCTCCAGAGCTGGCCTTTCAGAGGGGTCCCAAATGGAGGCAAAGGAGCTGGGATTTTCTATCCAAGTCACTGGCCCAAGGCTGGTTCCTGGGTGGGAGCATAAGCTTGGGTGAGGCAGGCCCCTGCTCTTGCAGCAGAGGGTGATAGCTGGTGAGGGGGCAGCTATGGGACTTTAGTGGCTGATATTCCTGGTCTTGGCAGGTGACCCTGAAGAGGATGGCTAGAGGAAAGCTACAGTATCCACTCTGCAGGCTAGGGCTTGGTGTGATGATCGCGTTTATTCCTCATCACCATCTTGAAACAAGCTAGACATTTGTATTCCCCCCTCCCCTACCTTTATAACAGAGAAAACTGGAACTCTGGGAAGTTGTGCAGCTCACCTAAAGCTGCCATCTAGGAAGTCAAGGCTGGATGGAAGCCCAGTGTGTCTGATTAATAGTCTGAATGAGTGGCCTAGATCATCATCTCCAAGTCCCCGCCCAGGCTGCAGGTCAGGGCTCATTATCTTGTTGTTGGGGCAGGGATGTGTTGCGTGTGGACATGCGTTGCCTGGTCTGCCCAGGATTCCTTCTCCTTCTGCTAAATCACTCCCCCAGCCCTGGACAAGTGCTCCTCCCCACTCCATGCACCTCTGGTGGGACCACCAACCCAGTTCCCTGGGGTCGTGGGGCTGGGCGTATACACAAGGCCTGGTCAATCAAAGGAGCATGTGCCCTAGTCTTGGTGACTGACCGAGGGATAGGCCCAGTTGTCCAACAACCGGAGAGAGAAGCTGTCTTTTTCCTTTGAGGCAGCTAAGGTAGAATGAGGTAAGCCCGGAGTTGCCTTTGGCCGTGTTGTTCAAGCCTTCTCTGGGTGGAGAAAGGCCAGTGGCACAGGAGAGGATGAGAAACAAGGCCACTCCACAGAGAGGAGCAAGAAGGCATTGCTGGAGCTGCTGGAGTTCCTGAAGTCAGCTCTGCCTCTAGACTTCCCAGTTGTGAGAGCCATAAATTCCCCTTGGTATCTAAACCAGTGCTTGCCAAGTTTCTTTCACTTGCAAGCAATGTGATGGGCCGAAGTGTACCTGTTCAAAATTCATAGATTAAAATCCTACCCCCAGTACCTCAGTGTGCAATTGCATTTGGAGACAGTCTTTTTTTTTTTGAGACAAAGTTTTTGCTCTTGTTGCCCAGGCTGGAGTGCAATGGCACAATCTTGGCTCACTGCAACCTCTGCCTCCTGGGTTCAAGCGATTCTCCTGCCTCAACCTCCCGAGTAGCTGGGATTACAGGCATGCACCACCACGCCTGGCTAATTTTGTATTTTAGGTAGAGATGCGGTTTTCCACATTGGTCAGGCTGGTCTCAAACTCCCGACCTCTGGTGATCCTCCTGCCTTGGCCTCCCAAAGTGCTGGGATTACAGGCATGAGCCACTGGGACTGGCCTGAAGATAGGGTCTTTAAAGAGGTGATGAAGAGAAAATTAGGTCATGTGGGTGGGTCCTAATCCAACACAACTGGTGTCCTTACAAGAAGAGGAGATGAGGACACAGACATGCACAAAGGAATGTGCATGGGAGGATACAGGGAGAAAGTGGCTGTCTACAAGCCAAGGAGAGAGGCCTCAGAAGAAACTAACCCTGCCAACCCCTTGACCTTGGACTTCCAGCCTCTAGAACTCTGAGGAAATACATTTCTGTTGGTTAAGCCCCCTAGTCGGTGGTTCTTGGTTATGGTTGCCTAGCAAAGTACTACAGGCAGGATGGCACCCTTGAGGGACGGTGCTAATTTCAATCATGTGTTAGTCAGCTTTTGCTGTGCAACAAACAGCCTCAGAATCTCAGTGGCTTGCAACCATATTCATTTTTCTCATTTGTGGATCTGCACAATGGCAGGACGTGGCTAGGGCTTGGCTGGGGTTTACCTCAGGCCAGGTTCAGGTTTGCTCCATATGTCTGCATTTCAGAGCTGAACATTAAGGCAGTTACTTGGGGCACGTTCTTCCCACGCAGGATCACAGAGCAGAGGAGGCCAAGCCAAAGAGTGTGAACACATTCAAGGTCCCTGCTTGCTGCAAGCCCACTAGCAATCCAGGGGCCAAAGCAAGTCACATGCCCAAGCCTAACATCAGGGGGTCAGGGAAAGGTACTCCACCTACTTCAAGTAACGAGGCAAAAGGCAAGATAGATGGGTAATACTATGAATGGGAAGGAGTGAGGAATGACAAACACAAATCCAGTCTACCACCAATAGTCAAGGGGAATGAGGAGAGGGTGCCGAAAGATTCCTGAGGCAGCAGAACGTCCCAGCCCACCGCACCGATGTCAGCTAAAGTGTCACATCGCCCACATCCCCGAGGGAAGATGGGCTTCTGCTGATTGTCTGTTAGAATTACAGCAGAGTCAGCTGAACCCCAACACCTTCCCAGAACTGCACACGCCATCTCGAGGCAGCAGCTCCGTGTGCAAAGAAACCAGGTCCCTCCTGGGAGATCAAAATCAATTTTAAACAGACACAGCTGTTCCCTAGTGGGGGTGTTGGAAGGGAGAGGGGGAGATGCTGTAGGAAATGTTTCATTTCTTTTTGTTGTAAATTGTTGGGATAACCAAAGAAGACTTGTAAAGTTTGATTATTAATTTCTGGAAGACTCGGTTGCCAAGTTTGCTATCAGTTTCAAGGAAAGGAAGTGTAAGATCAAAGGAATGCTTCCTAGTGGAGGTTTTCACCTCATATTAAGCTTAGAAGCTTTTCAAAACAGAGTGATCAGAAGTAGAGCTGGTCTGTTTTTGTGATGTGCCGCACAGATGGATCAATCAAACGCCACAGTTTAATACGGTTCAACAAATGTTTACTGAACACCCACCATGGTCCTGGGCTCACTTAAACAAACAGAAACAAATCATAGTAATAGTAAGAATTGCTACTCCATGTGTAGGTCATCTGGGCAAGTTAAATTGTCTCTCTGGGTCTCAGTGTCTTCATCTGTAAAACAAGCCTGTTTGACTAAGCATGAACTTTTTTCTTTCTGGTTTTTTTTTTTTTTTTTTTTAGAGATAGAGTCTTATTCTGTTGCTCAGGTGCTGGAGTGCGGTGGCACAATCATAGCTCACTGAAGCCTCAAACTCCTGGACTCAAGTGACCCTCCGGCTTTGGCCTCCCAAAGCACATGCCTAGGACTGCAGGCATGTGCTACCACACCCAGATATGTTTTTTTTTTACTTTTTGTTCAGATAGGGTCTCGCTTTGTTGCCCAGGCTGATCTCAAACTCTCGGGCTCAAGTGATCCTCGTACCTTGGCCTCTCAAAGTGCTGGGATTGTAGGCATCAATCAAATGCCAGTTTAATACAGTTCAACATTTAAGTTCAAAGCAAGCATGAACTTTGAGGTTCCTTCCAGATATAGAATTCTAAAATCCACAAATTGGGTGATGTTTTTTCCTCACTTGCTGACAATTAAAATTAGAGGTGTGCGTAAAGGAAATGAAATCCACACTGCTGAAGCTATGAGAACCACAGAATGCTCAAGATTTTTCCCAATGGTAAAGCTAAGAATCCCTGAAGCAGAAGATTAATAATTACACGTATATTCATTCTTCCCTGTATTAGTTCTTGCAGTCTCTACAAAGAAATACCTGAGCCTGGGTAATTGACAAAAGGGGCCAGGCGCGGTGGCTCATGCCTGTAATCCCAGCACTTTGGAAGGCCAAGGAGGGTGGATCATCTGATATCAGGAGTTCGAGACCTGCCTGACCAACATGGTGAAACCCCATCTCTACTAAAAATACAAAAATCATCCGGGTGTGGTGGCATGCACCTGTAATCCCAGCTACTCAAGAGGCTGAGGCAGGAAAATTGCTTTAACCCGGGAGGCAGAGGTTGCAGTGAGCCGAGATTGTGCCACTGCACTCCAGCCTGGGTGACAGAGCGAGACTCCAACTCAAAAAAAAAAAGAAAAAAAAAAAAAAGAGGTTTACCTGGCTTACACTTTTGCAGGCTGTACAGGAAGTGTGGTGCTAGCTTCTGGTGAGGCCTCAGGAAGCTTACAGTCATGGTGGAAGGCAAAGTGGGAGCAGGCATGTCATATGGCCAGAGCAGGAGTGAGAGTGGGGGGCGGGTGAGGAAGAGAGAAAGGGAGGAGGTGCCGTACTCCCGGAAACAACCAGATCTCGTGTGAACTAACTGAGTGAGAACTCACTCATCACCAAGGGTTTGGTACTAAGTCGGTCATAAGACATCGGCCGCCATGATCCAATCACCTCCCACCAGGCCCCACCTTCAACACTGAGGATTTCATTTCGACATGAGATTTGGAGGGGACAAACAACCACACTATATCATTCCCCTTCTACGCACCTCCCCAGAAAAAAAGATGACTGTTCCAACATCATCCTCAGTTCAGGTGTGTATATGAATCCCATCTTCATTACATTTTTCAACTCAGTAGCACCCATGTTGCGTTTGAGTGGAAGGAGGCCATACAGAAAAGTAGTAAGAGGGGGGCCACTGGCATCCCTGTGGCCTGTGGCTGAGTCTCAGCCCTGCCACTCTTGAGCTGTAAGACCTTGGGGGAGTAAATTAACCTTCCTGAGTCTCAGTTCTCCTCTCTGTAAAACGGGGATGATCATGGTAGCTTCTTCCTCATAGGGTTGACATTAAGTACTTAGCACCGGGTGTGGTGTAAGAATCATTGCCACTTCTCATTTTCATAGCACCCCTTCCCACAGCACTTTCAAGCAAATCTGGATTTTGAATCTACCAGCTCATTTAGCCTCTTCTTGGATAGTTGAGACAAATTCAAGAAAGAAAAGAGGTATATGGTTGCTGAAATTTAATGTAAAATATCTTCATTCAGTGTTCTTCATGTAAAGGCATACATAGATTTGTGAAGGTACATGTTACTTTGAATTAAAACGCTAGCAACAAAATTATCTTGAAAATAGAAACTAGATACCCTCTGAGTGAGGAAGGTGGAAATCCCACTGGTCAGTGATATGTATGATCATTTCCTGCTTAGCTTCCGAAGGGAACTTACGCACCTGAGTGCCAGAGCTCCATCCTCTGAGTCTGTGCCCCCCAGCAGGGCTCCGTTTGCCTGAGAGAAGGGGGCAAATATTTTTCTAATTTGCACAAAGGTGTCCGTGAGCTAGCCAGTCCGTCTTTTGAGAGACATTGAAGTGCACACTTTGGTCTGATGCCTCCTAATGAATGACAGGACAAGAACCTGGATCTGTCTTTCTTTTCTTCCCCAAAGCTGCCTAGAAGGTATCAAGCTCCCAGTGTTATAACCTGGCTTTCTGCAGGACTCCCTCGGGGTTCCTCACTGGCAGGGGAAGAATGAAGCTCAGTTTCTTTTCTTCTAGACAGTTTCATCTCTTGAATACATGACAATTGTTTCAGAGCCTGGACAGGTACGTTCTTGCACTTGCGGTCCCAGTGTTTTGAGGACCTAGGCGTGGAGCCAGTAACTGGAGGAGAGTTTGGGGCCATGGGCACGGATGCAGAACACCAGAGCAGGCAAGGGAAGGGCAAACTTGAGCCCCTCCCCTTGGTACTTGTTTTTACCTCCCAACCTGCCCTCTTCTAAGTCAAATCTACTTGTTTCTTTCTCAAAAGGAAAGACATCGGCAGCTGGCTGTTCCTGGGTGAAGCTGTCAGAGTACCTACCATCTTGCTACCAAGATGGCTGAGGATATGATCAAAAGCAAAATAGCTGATACTGCCATGAGCAACACAGCTCCCTCTTGAACTGCAGAGACACCTAATAATGTGGCCTTGGAGTTCCAAATATGATATCGTAAATTGCTTTACACCTCCTCAGCATAAAACAAGGCAGGTAAAAAAAAAAAAAAGGGAGGGGGGGCAGTCAATTAAGATAAACATGACAGCTTTGCACCTGGCTGGCTATAGACACAGCATCCTAACAAGTCGGCCATTGAACAAAATATCTCCCTTCCAATTATGCATACAACTGGACAGTGAGTACTGAATATTAGGGCAGATGGCTGCAGGAACAGCCCTTCATGGCACACTGACTTATACAGCGTACACCATTTGGCAAATACAGATTTTTCCCGGGGCACTTTGGTGTTGGAATAATTTAGTATTGGCTCAAGGGACAAGATCTACGGCCGCTTCCTACTACCACTGCTTCCAATTCCTGAAGAAAGATGGTGCACCTTGTCAGATCTGAGACCCCTTTGCAATAAATCATCAAGGGATGTTAGAGTCTTCATTCCTCTGGTCTTGTGGTACCTAATATAATGTTTCCTCTGTGGCCTTGAATGGGGGCTCACGCTGTTCTTTGTGACATATTTGGGGGAGAAAGTACTTTTCGTAAGAGAAGAGGACTTATTCGGTGAGTAAAGCATCCTGGGAGTAGAAAGAAATGAACTCAAGGAAGCAGAAGTCCATAAGAATCTGGGAAAAGAATGGGGGCCTGAGTAGAAATGAGTGGAAAACTCTCCTCCTGAAGATACATTTTAGTTAAATAAATAAATGTGAAAGAGCAAAGTAGGGCGATAAAGGCGTCCTGAGATGCCTGAGTTTCATCTTATGAAACTCAGCTCCTCACCAAATCGAATGCACCTCTGTTTAAAAATAGCCCCCTACCCTCCAAGAAAGCATCAAAAACAACTTTTATAGAATAGAGATCACAGGAATAATAACACTACCAGTGAGCAAAAAAATAAATTACCCATTTAGGGTAGGTGTGTTAAGTGTTTCAAATCACTGGGGTACCATTTTATGAGCCAAAAGAACTCATTTACCAAATGGGTCCCCAGGGCCTGGAATAACAAATGCACCAGCCACAGAGGAGTAGCTCCCTCCTCTGCTTCTGCCTCAGATCTGAACCTTTTGCAGAGAGTGAAGGGGATTGGGTTGGAAGGGACACAGAAGGTCTCTCACTGCCTCAGCGAGTGCAGGGATGACTTCACGTATTAGAGGGGGAAATGAGAAAGAAACAAAAGGTGGAAACCTTAGAATTGGGCACACCTAGGTGTGACTCTGGTTATTCTACCTCTTAGCTAGGTGAATGTGAGCAAATCCCCTGAGCCTGAGTGTTTTACTCATGGTGACCTCAGTGTTGGGAAGATTCAGCCTGAGTTAGTAGAAATAAATGGTTGAGCAAACTGGCAGACCACAGTGGATGCCTGAAGAATGAGAGCTACCATCACAACTATTACAGCCACGGTCTTCATCACCATCACCATCATCTCCATCACCGATAACATCTATTAATTTCTTTCTAGGCACCAGACACTCTTCCAGATGGTTTCCAATGCATCATCTCTCTTAATTCCTCAACAAGTCTATGAAATCAGCAGCAATATTATTCCCATTTTCCCAGTGAGGAAGTTGAGACAGTAAGCAACTCATCGAGTGTCTCAGAACTAGTACGTGGCAGGGCTGGACTTAAACCCATGCCTAACTAAGTCTAGAGCCTATGCATTGGAGCTACCCCTCCCCCGACACCAAAGGCGGGATGAGATCATTGATGACGTCAGCTAACATCCTCCTGCTAGTAGGCTGTAGAGAGGGTGCCTTCGCTAAAATGGGAAATTAGAGCAGATTTAGGAGAGTGTAGGAGTGGCTAGAACACTTGACCCTATCCTCTTTAGCTTTGTTGGGGGGACCTCTCAGAAACTGTTCTGGGTTGCTGGAAAATCAAATAGTGCCCCCCCCCCATGGACACAGCCACCGCATGAGAGGGCAAGAGGTCAGTCAGGCAAGATGCCCAGGGGTTGAACCAGGTCTTTGGAGTGTAGTGATATTTCTCTGAGGGTGGAAATATTTGTCTCTGGGTTATATATTTTGCTTGGCTGTGGTTGTTTTTCCCTGTCACTTACAGAGGCTGTGACAGAGTCGAGAACCCAGGCCAGCACACATATTCTCTTGTAAGGCCCCGAACAGGGAAAGAAGAAACACACACACACACACACACACACACACACACCAAGAAAGATTCAAGGAGGGAAAAAAATGCACTTGCACTTCTACCAAGGAATTAGAGACTTTAAGTATATATGCTTATGTGTTTAAGTCTGTGGTTAGAATGTCTATTAATATTTATCAATTTCATACCTAGGAGCTTCTGAATTAGAAGTGATTATTAAAGGACTGTTTGCAAATGAAAAATCTGCAGAAGGAACTGAGTTGGTTAAATATATACACAGAAGGGATGCGCCTGACCGACTTTCCCAGCTTTAGATGAGAGATTGCTTGGGAAGACAGGAGGAGCTTGTCATTCTTTACACTAATAACTCTGCTGTGTGTCCACACTGATATATACTAGGGGGTGTGTGTGCATGCACGCGCCCATGTGTGCGTGTGTTTCATCAACACTGAACGCATAGATTTCCATCTTATAGCTGCTGGCTGTCTCTTTAAGCCCCACACTCCTCTCCCCTGTTTTTTCCTCCTGGTATCTTTTCTTCTCCATCTTTTCATTTCATAGCTGTGGTTATGAGGGTGATGAATAGGAGAAGGATAGCTGTTGGGGTTCCGCGGCCTGCACACTTCTCTACGGCTCTGTTCCCTGCTCCTGGTCCTCTCACTCACAGCCCTGAGCCTTGGCCGCTCCTGTCTGGAGATCTGTTGCCCTTTTCCCCAGAGCACATGTTAAAACCCACTCAGACAAAGTAAACCATGTAAATGTACAAGAAATTCATCTCCTAGATAGGCCAGGATTCACATGTGACAATTTGAATAAACAGAGACTCCGTCTGTGGAGAGGGAGGGTAACTCCCCAAGGACTGTCTCTTGGAGGGGGATGAGGAGGGCACACAGGACAGATATGATCCAGAAAACAGAGAGCAGGAAGCTCTCACAGCCACTCCTGAGGCTCAAAAGGCTCCTGGCATATACATATTTCACACGTGCTCAGTGTTTTCTGGGCATCTGGGTGTCTGGACCGGTGAGTCTCCAACTTCATGACGCATCAGATTCTCCTGGGCAGCTTGTTGTAAATGCAGATATCGAGACACTGGGCACCACACCAGGGATTCTGGTTGATCAGGGGTGGGGCCTGGGCTTCTGCATTTTCACAAGCAGCTTCTGAGAATTCCATGTCATGTGGTCTTCATCTTCGCTTCGGGAAACACTGAAGACCAGAGGCTTGTGGCTAGAGCCTAGGAAGGGACACCGTTTGCAGGAAGTGGCCTTCAACATTGGCTGCAGGGAGCAGGACCCCATTCGTGGCTCTCTCTCTGGCTCCTGCAAGCAGCCACTTGCCAACCCAAAGAAGCATGAGAGTTTCTCAGGGCACTGACTCCAGGGTCAAGAAGTTCATCACTCACTGGCTTCCCTTTCAGCCTTCCCCCTTTCCACCTTGTCCCACGTACGGATTCCTGGAATCCAGGATTTATCACTCAGCCTTACCAGGTGGAATGCATGAATGCCGCCTCTGGTCTCTGAGCTAGGCAGAAACGATGCTTCTGATAGGATAGGAGAGAAAACTGGGCTTTATGTGGGAGTATCTGAGTCCTGGCCCCCAGCTTATCCACTCAACAAGTATGTGCTGAGCACTGAAGGGATAAGAGGTGGAAGGAAGTGCAGGCAGTTTTGTGATGCTTGGACAGATCTCTTAACTTCAGTGTCTTCATCTGCCATGTGCAGATACCAGTACCCTCTCTACCCAACGGAGTTGTCGCAAGAATAAAATAAGAGAACTGTGAAAGTGCTTTGCAAAATTAAGATGTGACTAGAATTCCTGGAGAAGACTGAATGAATATGAGAAGGGTTTTAATGAGAGTAGCGAGAATATTTGTGGATATGAATTTGTAGGGGACAAGGAAGATGAATTTGTTCAATCAACCACAAACTCTTTGGAGAAGCATCTATCACACCAGACAGGGGGAGCAGAAAGCAGAATGGGATATAAACCCTGCCTTCCTGAGGCTCACGGTCTGGCTCATTGGGTACATGCGGGGGAGGGACGGAGTAGTTTTAGCCAGGGCATTTTACTGCATGCAATAGAAATAATCAAATTAGCTCAAGAAAAGGGCATTTATTCTTGGGAATTCCATGGAATCCAAGACAAAGAAGAATAAGCAGGATTGTTTTGGAAACCCCAGGAGTTTAAAGACCTTCACCCCAGGGAGCCAAACTCTTGGGGACTTATCTCTCAAATCCTTCAGTCTGTATTTCAAATTCCCAAATAAATAAACAGAACAATAACCAATGGCCATATACGCTATGAAATAAGTAAATGTTGAATGTTAAATCTGAGGGATGAAAAGGAATCAGATGCAGAGAGCCAGGGGGAGAATGTTCCAGGGAGAGGCAAGGGAAAAGGCAAAGACCTTGAGGTCAGAAACAATTAAGTGGCAAGAGAGTGGTGAGCAAGTGGTGTGGTGCAAGAAGTCAGTGGCCAGTTTATGCAAGGCTGTGGGTGTAATTTAGGAAGTGCCACGTGACACACATCAGTGGAAAGATGGGCCATTTTCTGAAGACCCTGGTTAAATTCTTCCCAGCCCCTTCACTGACAAAGCTGCGTGGTTCATTCCTAAATCTGGGGTCTCTCTTTCTCTGTCTGTAAATAAGGAGGGCACTAGAGTAGACAATCCCCATTGCCTTCTAGGACCAAATAGCGTCATTCAATCATAGAGTAGGGCAACCATATATACTGGGTTTCCTGGGACAATTCCTATGTATGCCACTTGTTTTAGCTTAATTCAATTACTCATTGCGCCCTCTTTTGCTCTCAGCAGCATCCCAGTCTTGACGTTATATTATGAGGTCACTCTATTTCTGGGAAAAGGGAGGTGCATACGGCTGTGCTGTCAGCAATGGGTTAGGCCCTTAGCCTTGATTCTTGATAGGAATTTCCTTTCTCTGAGCTACAGGGAAGCTGGTTTTGCAGACTTTTCAAAATACCCAGGCAAGCTTTGATGGGCAACAAACACACACGGCACAGTTGGCTTATTCTGCTCAGAAAGATCAGACAATGTACGTAGAGGCTGGTGACCACATATGAGCCGAGGCCTGGACCTTGGATGGGGTTGGGCTGGTTGAGAGTGATAGCAGCAGTGACAGTGGAAAAATGATAGCAAGTCCCTATGAAGTGGACCCATTTTCTGTCTTGGTTCTTAACATCAGCCTACTGGGGTGTGAGATTGGGACTATTTGGGGAACACGCAAAAGGGGGAACCCTGAAACAGAACCCACAGTACTGCCAAATTCTCATAGCTGTGAATCCCATGGAGAGACAGCTGTGGATGACAGACTTCTCTGGAATCCTTCTCCCAACAGTTTGCAGGTGTGTCCCAGGACACCGGCGGTAAACGCCTATCAGCCCCCATAGACAGGCAAATGGGCTTGCAGGAGGGGGTTAGGCCAGTGGGAGGGGACACAGATTCCGCTGACCAACTGGACCAACCAAGGCACTTAGAACTGCTTGGTGTAACTTTGGGAGGCCAAGGCAGGTGGATCACAAGGTCATGAGTTCAAGAGCAGTCTGGCCAAGATGGTGAAACCCCGTCTCTACTAAAAATACAAAAATTAGCCAGGGGTGGTGGTGGGCACCTGTAACCCCAGCTACTCGGGAGGCTGAGGCAGAGAATTGCTTGAACCCGGGAGGCAGAGGTTGCAGTGAGCCAAGATCACACCACTATGCTCCAGCCTGGGAGACAGACCAAGACTCCATCTCAAAAAAAAAAAGAACTGCTTAGTATATCTGCAAACCAGGATTCAGTTCTTTGTAGTCTTTCAGTTACCTTATGGGGGGGCAGCATCAAAACTACAGAGCTGTGTGGGTCTTGAAAAGGGGGATGCCGTGGTGCAGCCATTGTGGAAAACATATTAGCTGTTCCTTGAAAAGTTAAACATAGCAACCGTTTTGTTCCTTGAGGTCACCTCCGGAGGAGCGGTGGTAAAGCCTGGGGATAAGAAACGTAGACCCGGCCGAGCGCTGTGGCTCACGCCTGCAATCCCAGCACTTTGGGAGGCCGAGGCAGGTGGATTGCTTGAGGTCAGGAGTTCGAGACCAACCTGGCCAACCTGGTGAAACCCTGTCTCTACTAAAAATACAAAAAAAAATTAGAGGGGTGTGGAGGCCTGCACCTGTAATCGCAACTACTCAGGAGGCTGAGGCAGACAATCCCTTGAACCCAGGAGGCGGAGGTTGCAGTGAGCTGAGATGGCGCCACTGCACTCCAGCCTGGGCGACAGAGCAAGACTGCGTCTCAAAAAAAAAAAAAAAAAAGAAAAAGAAAAAGAAAGAAAAAAGAAAGGTAGACCTTTTTGGTTTAAATCAAGTATACCCGCAGAGGCTAATTGATTGCAGACTTTCTATCTAAGATCTAGTCCTTTGGTGTGTGGGTGAACATAAGGACACACAACTGGAAAAAGCCCCTTTTTTTCATGTTAGGAAAAAAAACTCTCAAAAAATAAAATTCTTAAAATCCTAGGAGGCACCCCAGGAGTTTCTAAAGCAGCTTCTTGAAACCTCAAAAATAGAGGGATGAGAAGGGGCTCAAGGAATGAGTCTTTTCTTTTCTCCTTATTAGATTTTTTTGTTTTGATTTGATTTGAAGATTCCGGTGTGTGGGAATAATCTCACTGAAGAGCAAAATGAGTAACACTGGGTCACTTTGTTTACTACACAAACACACTCACACGCATTCATTTACAGAACACTTACTACGGGCTAGGGCGGCAAGGACGCAAAGATGAATGACATAAAAAGCCGGATAACCCTCCTTCCCCCACCCACAAGTTCCCAGTGAAGTGGGAGAGAGACATATAAACAGATAAATTACTGTTTCTTCTGCTGAGTGCTATACCAGAGGTGTGAGTGCACGCACACGTGTGCGCACACACACACACACACACACACACACACGGCCCTCTAAATAGAGCTACTCTTAACTGTTTGCTCAGAAGCCCTAGTTCCAAAACATTCCCATCCTCTCTATTTGTGTATTTGCATATATGACTTTTTGATTGAGGTAAAATTTACATAACATGAAATTAAGCCCTTTAAAGTGAACAATTCAATGGCACTTAGTACATTCACCGTGTTGTGCCACCACCACCTCTGTCTAGTTCTAAAACATTTTCATCAGTCAGCACAAAGTAACACCCGGCACCTATTAAGCAGTTACTTCTCATTCTTCCCTCCCCACAGCCCCTGACAAACACCAATCTGCTTCCTGTTTCATGGATTTATTTATTCTGGATATTTCATATAAATTGAATCGTATAATATGTGACCTTCTATGTCGGGCTTCTTTCAACTAACATAATGTTTTGGAGCTTCATCCACGTAGTAGTAGCATGTATCAGTACTCTTCACGGCTGAGTAATATTCCATTGCATACTGCAATTTGTTCATCCAATCATCTGTTGATGGACATTTGGGTTATTTCTGCCTTCTGGCTACTAATGAACAGTGCTGCTATGAACATTCATGTACAAATTTTTGTTTGGATATTTGTTTTGGACATATACCTAGGAGTGGATTTGCTGGGTCGTATGGTAATCCTATGTTTAACTGTTCAAGGAACTGCTAATATGTTTTCCACAATGGCTGCACCACGGCATCCCCCTTTTCAAGACCCACACAGCTCTGTAGTTTTGATGCTCTCCCCATAACGTAACTGAAAGACTGCAAAGAACTGAATCCTGGTTTGCAGATACACTAAGCAGTTCTAAGTGCCTTGGTTGGTCCAGTTGGTAAGAACTTGTGTTAATGAGGTTAAGGTCAGGGTTCGATCCCCGAACTGACCCATTAGCTGAGCAGAGCGGACAGAGTGAAGAATTGTGTCTTCCTGCCACATGCTCCACCATCAAATCCTGCCCTCTTGCAAAAGCTTGTTAGTGGTCACAGGGGAATGGAGCAAGACTGTTTTTATGGTTCCACAGAAAAGGGGGGAGAAATCTATCATCCAAGGCCTCCTGAAGGCGCAGCAGGAGGAACTTGCAATCAGATGATTACTTTCTTCCAGTCCCGCTGTCACCTGGTTTCTGCGGGCCCCTTAAGTAAATTGCTTAACCCTATGCAGAGCCTCAGTTTCCTTATCCCTAAAATGGGAATAATAATCCTCACTCACAAGAGATAAGAATGCATATAAAAGCACTCTACACGCAGTTTTTGCTTGGTTCTTATGGGCTTCCTGTAAGAACCTGAAGGGTGGGCAGCCTCATTTTTCCTCGCAGCACCCCACTGGCTTCTGCAATCTGCTCTTTGCTGCTCTCCGGAGGTTGACTGAGCTGGAATGATGGCGCCCTGTTGACCAGAGGGTTGCTGGCTGTTTTAAATTGTCCTATTTGCATGGAATGAAGTTTGCTATGGTAACAAGGTCTGGTGGCTGGAATCCAGGGCCCCAGTGAAAAATGCAAAGCCTGTGGTCTGGGAGAGAAAGAGGAGCTGGAGAGGGCATATCAACGTCAGGTTACCTCAGTTCTTCTGTGAAGAGGGGATGGGTAAACTGAGGCAGCAGGGCTCAACTCTTCTGCTCCCAGTAGAAGAAAGGGAAGAAGCCCCATCGACGCCTTCCTTCTTATCTCTCAACCTCATCTCTGTCCCCGCCAATATTCAGCCCGGCTAAGAAGCTTAGGAGCTGGCTAAGGCTGCTCCTCCACCTGGATGCACACACAGGGCTAGGGCTGTGGAGAGGCGGGAGCACCAGCGGCCCACGCCGAGGAAGATAGGCGCTCCCTCCTGGGGTGGGCAGCGCAGGTCTGGCCTGCGGGTGGGGGGTGGAGAGTGAGAGGCACGCGGGGCACCAGCTCAGCTCCCCTCTGGGGATTTCGTACTCGCAGTTTAAGGAACCGGTGGAGCACGAACTCCACTCCTGAGCTGGCGCAAGCGTCTCCCTTCCATGGAGATCCACCCCGGCTCCCCTCTGAGGCCCCCTTTCCAAGCACCCTCTCTTCCGAGCACCCAGCACCTCCCCAACCTTAGCACGGCTCGGGGCACCAGTTCTCCAGGGCGGGGGCTGCCCCACCGCTCAAGGGAGGGGACAGAGGGCCGGCCTCGGTCCAGGCGACCCCTGCCCCTCGCCAGGGGCGCCACCTTGGCCCCCTCCCGACTGCCGTCCGCCGCCTCCGCCCCCCCGGGGGGTGTGTCTCCGAAGTACGGGGGCGCGGGAGGCCAAGGGTGCCCCCAGCCTCCGACCGAGACCCCCTCCCGAGCCGGCGGCGAATGGTAGGCTCCATTTAAAGAGTGCCTGGTGGCGCGCGGTGTCCTTCTTGGAGCAGCTCTCGGCGCCCGCCCGCCGGGGTCTCGGCGATCGCTGCTCCTCCTCCTCCTTCTCCTCCTCTTTTTTCTCCTCCGCCTCCTCCCCCCGCCGCCTCGCCACCGCCGCGGCTAGGGCTGGAGGCGCCGCTGTCATTCCTGTGCCGGAGGAACCGGCGCTGCCGGTGCCTGGGGGTCGGGGCGCGGGCGAAGCCGGGCCGCGGAGGACACAACAGGTAGAGCCGGGGGTGCCCGGCCGCGCGCCCCCCGCGCATCATGCAGCTCTTTGTCACCTCTCTCGCCCCCAGGCCAAAATCCTGAGCATGATGGAAGACAATAAGCAGCTCGCGCTCCGCATCGATGGGGCGGTCCAGTCGGCCAGCCAGGAGGTGACCAACCTGCGAGCCGAACTCACGGCCACCAACCGGAGACTGGCGGAACTGAGCGGCGGCGGCGGCCCCGGCCCGGGCCCGGGAGCCGCGGCCAGCGCCTCGGCGGCGGGGGACTCGGCGGCGACGAACATGGAGAACCCCCAGCTTGGAGCGCAAGGTAGGATCGCCCCGGCGCCCAGGGCGGAGGAAGGCGAGCAGAGCACGCCCGGCCTCGGAGGTGGCCGGGGACCCGGGGTCCCCCACACCCGGGGCGAAATCGCTTTGCATTCTGGCTTGTAACCCTTTCCGCCCGGCGGTGGCCACCGCTGCTCTCCGGCTGGGAGTTGCAGGCTGCTGTCATTCACGAAAACCCGAGCGCAGTGTGCACGGGGTCACACGGTCACACCGGCCCCGGCCAGCCTGAGCGAGGCGCAGCCGGCGGGTCCCTTCCGGCATCAGAAAGTGCCCTTTCCGTGGCACCAGCCCCCTAGCTCCGTGCAAACTTTTCATGCCGGGGCCTTTTCCCCACCCCCCGCAGGGGTGAATGGCACAGTTCCCCCCACTTCCTTAGGCTCCTTCCCAGAGAGAGCTCCGGGCTCTGCCGCCGTGGTTGGGATAGAGGATTGCACTGCTGTGCACTTTTCTCCGCGGATGCCAAATCCCTTGGCTCAGTTGCATCTGGACTTTATTTTCTTCTCATTTGAGGTCTCTCAGGCATTGGAATCTATAGATGCAACAGTAGATGCTCAGCTCAGCAGGGAGTTTAAATTTCCGCAAATATAAACACCGAGAGCACTTTCCAGGGGGATACTGTAGACCTCAAAGGTTGAGCGGTAGAGAAATGAAGGCTTAGGGTGGTGGGCTGCAGGGAGCCCGTTTGAAGGGACTCTGCGGTTTAGAGAAGAGGAAGAAAAAGACAGTTGGTTTGTGTTCACATTGACAGAGATTAAGCTCTGAAACCCCCTGCAAGACATAAAGGCGGATGGGGCATTCCCTAAAATGTACTGTTTGGTTTCTGTGACTTAGAAAGTAAAAGGGTAAGCAGGCTTTGGGGGATTTTTTTTTTCTTTTTGCCTAATTGCCCTTTAAGAAACAGTATCACTGGTTATTAATATCATTTGAATTGCAAATTAAACTGCTGAAATCCAGAACAGGACAGAAACAAATCTCCAGTCCATGAGGTCCACTTGTCTAAATATGTCACTTGAAGTGCAAGGTACCAATTGCTCAGTGGCTCAAAATGATTTTCTGGTTCTGTTGTCATTTCAAGAGCTTCTCTTGAGGGTTGAGAGAGTCTGTTTTCCTAAGAATCTGGTTCTCTCCATCAGTCTCTGTTTCCACCTTATCTTCCTGGGAAGGTGTGCTTTCTTTGAGGTGAGATGTGAAGCCTGCCCACGTGCAGTTTTATGTCGAATTCCAAGTCAGATCTTAACTTGGTACTCCCGGAGCCTGTTGGAAGTCTTAGGAATTGGGGGGAGTACTTTGGTAAGGAAGTAGCCATGACGTAATGGTGAGAAGGTGTTGTGGTCCTAGTGCTTGCTGCAAGCTTGACATGTGGTTATTCTTGTCATCCTTGCAATGTCATTGTGTGCGAAAGAACATTCTCCACTGGAACCTGTGCAAAAAAAAAAAAAAAAAAAAAAGACAGACTGCAAGGTAATGCTTCACTTTTTATAGGCAGAGGCTCTGCTAACATTAAAGAAATAGCTAAGAACTGGCATTTTGCTAAGAATCAAAAGCTGTATAGTAAAGGACACTGAACAATGCTCGTTTATTTCCCACTGTCTGCCCCTTTCTCCGCGAAGGAAAAGTTAAGTGGCTTTTTATCTGAGTCCTGGGTCTGGTTGTAGACTGGGCAGGCTAAGGCAGTCAACGCAGTAATGATGTCCACATGCTCAACTTGAAAACTGACATACTCGCGGATGGTTAAATTGTTGTAGTGGAGCAACAGGGGGCTGATTCCTTGTTCTTTTTTCCTACACAAATGCACAGGGCTGTGGAAATGAAAATGGCTTTTGGATCTCTTGGATATCCTTAAAAACACATAAAACCAGCAGCTCCCATACGCTCTCAGGACTGTGCCTGCCCATGTCAGTGGCTGGCTGTGGGTGGTAGGATGAAGGGTGGTCTTGATTTCTCCTCTTTGTACATTGGTATGTCTCAAAATCTTTCCTAGGGGCACTTTGTGATTTTTATAATCAGAAAATAAAATGTTCAAAGGTTTAAACTCTACTTGATTGTTGGCCGCATAACCGTCTAAACTGATATGCATTTCAACAGATGTGATGGTTGAAAAGAAAACAAGCCCCCGTATAAGTTCAGTGGGGTATCATTTACTTGTCTGTAGCAACAGTACTTGATACATTATTTAGCCTCTGTAAGTTTGGGGGATTTTTTTTTTTTGATGGGGGCGGGAGTTGTTTTTGTTTGTTTTTGTTTTTTTCATAGCCTGTGGCAGCATCCTGCTAGCACAGAAACCCTCTGCAGAGGTGGTCTGGTAGTTTCTTTTGCCATTGCTTTCATTATCCTAAAAAGAAGCCTTGAGTTCTCACACAAGTTAATTTTAAAGTGCAATTGATTGGGTTCCACTTGATTCTTCGTAATACACCTCCAGGGAGGCTCCCAGAGGCTCAGCTCCTCAGGGTTTCTGACTGTTCTTCCAAATTAGTCTTGTGTTTTCATTTTGTCTGTGTTGGTGCAGTTCAATGGGCCCAGACCCTAAGAGTGTTTAAGTGCTATTGAGTTATCAGTTTTCAAATCAAGGTTTTGAATAAAACGAGTATCTTTGCATTTCAAAATGCAACCGTGTAAGTCATCTTTTAACGAAAGGGCATTATGCACATATTAAATGCATGCTAATGTAACTTTAACAATATTAGTACAAATGGTTTTGGGAAAGAGTCACCTTTTGCTTCCTCTGCCAAGAGACTGTTAGATTCATTTTCAAATGTTTTTGTTTTTGTTTTTTAAATTCTTTTTTTAAATGAATGAAGCAAACTCATCAATCCATCATTGGCTGTTTTGTTCCAGGGATGACAACGGGCAGTAGGTAGGTTGGTATCCCCTTTTGATGAAGAAAATTTGGGTTTTCCTAGCGGGTTAATGCAGTGTGTCATTTAAACAAAATATTAACTTGGTTGGTACTCCCTGTGAGCTGGCATGGTTGCTATGTAACAGAATCTAGAAAGTGAACTGCTGAAAATCTGGGCTTTCGGCACTTCGGAGGATATTCTTTCGGAATCTGTGTTGAAAGAATTCCTGGCAGCCAGCCCATCTTGTCTCTCCCTCCTGCAACTGAGTTGGATAATCCTTAATGAGAATGCTGGCGTACAGTGCAGAGGGCGTCCGTGCAGGGTGACACATTTCAGAGCTCCAGAGGCTGCCTTTTGGGTCGGTGGGGTCACGGCAGCCTTTGACAGGTGGACAGAAGGAGGCTTGGAAAGAACAGAGCCAAGCATTTGTTCCAATTCATCTTGTTGTTGGTAGCCAGAGAAGGGATTTGTTTAAAGTAACATTTCTAAGCTGTTTTCCTCAGCATAACATCTCTGGGAAAATGTGTTTAAAATGCTTGCTGTTCTTTGAGGGGAAAATGTAGCAGTTTGTTTCTCTGAAAAAGTTTTATCAGCTGATGAATGACTAATATTAGATTCAGTTGGTTGCTTTGCTATGCATAGAACAAAACAATTAAGTGCTATGGTACCCAATTCAAATAGGTGTTAACTGTATATAACAAAATACTTAATGCCCAGTAGGATGTATGCCTACTGTCATTAGTTTTCTTTGTTAAAGAAATAATTGTATTTGTATTCCTATGCAAGTGGACGTGCTGATAGCATCTTTCTTTGGTGTGGAGGACTTCCTGCCTACTGCATTTGTTAGAAGGGGATGGAGGCAAGGGTCGGTTTCCTGTACCTTTGTACATTTCCATAAATGCGTGCAAGTTGTATTTTTCTCTCCAGGCATTAAAATAGGCTGTTACTTAAGGCCTGACAGCTCTCATCTACCATTACTACAACACTGGAAACTCTTTCGTGAAGTATAAATTACCTTTGGAGTGAATTGAATGTGTGAGTAGTCTGTGGAGACGCTAGACACTGTCGCTTTGCAAAGTAAGTTCTGTCTTTTGGCATCCCCTTCTCAATTCATTCTGCCTCTGCTCTTGTTTTCCTAAGTAGACTTTTATCTTTTTTGAGAAAGAGAATTTTCAAATGGCAGAGAGGATGGAACAAAATGTTGGGGAATCTCGGGCCTTCTGTTAGCTTGCCACTAAGTTACAGAGCTCAGCAAGTAGCCTGCGCCATGGTTTTCCAGCCAGATCAAGGGGTTAAAATAGAGTGTGTCTTTTCCTAACCTGTCATGGGATGGGGATTCAGTCTTCTCCCTGAAAATTGTCATGTGTGGTCACAAAGAGATTACTTACAGATCAGTACAGTGTGGTTGAAATTACTTATTGATTGGGGATTATTTACTATCTTTCCATTGTCTTTGGAAAATGCCTTCAAAGGACCTCTTAAGTCAAGTCTCTGATTCTGGTTAATTTCATGCTTCCATTGTGCACTTCATGATTTTTAGTGGTTTTCCAACACCTCTTTGATGCACCCCAGAAGTCTGAGCTGACCTGACTCATCTAACAGGAGCCTGGTCACATATCTTTCCAGGGTAAGGCATGATAGGCCCTCTCTCCATCCCTTTACCCTCTTACTCCTCAAGAAGACTGTTGGCACTTTTTAGGAATCCTATAGGGTTATAATGTGTGACTTCCTGGCTGCCAGTGTGTTTGTAGCAGATGGGCTTGGCAGGTGGCAAGAGCTCATTGGAACTTTGCCTGCTCACCGTGCATATCATATGGGGCCCAGAAGGTCAAGCTTGGGATTTGGCCACATTCACTGCATGTTTTCTTTATGTATTATAAATCTATATATTCATTCCTGGGCTATGTAGGTAAGGACAGTGAAATCAACACGAACTCCTCTGTTCTTTCCATACCTTAATGGTTTGCCTGAACATTGGTCCCTGGCTTCTTACCCCCTGCCATATATCAGGGGGTTCTGCCTGCTGAGCCCAGAGAATGGGTTTTTAAGTGATGTTGCACGTGGAAATAGGTCTCAGTGTTTGGGCTGCATATTAGGGTGAGTAGCACAAAATATGGCAGGAGTGTCACCGCCAGCAGTCATTGCACTGCCTTGGTGCCTTGAATTGCAGGCATAGTGGGTTCAGAAAGAATGATTTAGGAAAAGACATCTTTCCCGAAGCCAACAGGGTGGCCATCCACAGGGGCAGATCATACCTGACGATTCATAGCAGCTAAGAGTTCTGCTGACCCCTGTCACCACTCTCCAGTTCCCCTGCCACCACCCTCCAAATCCCCTGCCAGGCCCATCTCAGTTGTGGAGAAGCTGGAAGAAGATCAGGGAAAGGAACGCCTTCTTCCTCCCCGTGTGGTTGCACGACACCAGAACATTCTTGCTTGTTTGATGCAACCTTGATCCAAGTGGTGGAGGCGAGGTTGTGCTCTGTGGGCACTCCTGCTACCCCCTTGGAGTCCTAGGCTGCTGGAAACATGAAAGAAGCTGAACATAGTTTTAATGAGTTTGGCAAGAACAACTGTTTGAGCAGGTGGCTGCTGTGTGGTACAAGATCATTGGGGCTAAATTTATTCTGCGGGCTTTGTTGGCTGGGTCATGTCAGACCCTTGGGTCAGGCTTCTGAAAGGTCCCTGCCCCTTTACTTTCTGATGAATTGAGACCTCAGCACAGGAGCTCAGATGGAGCTTGGAACAGGCAGTCCTGCAAGCAAAGAGCCCCAGGGCCTCTGCCCACTTCTCCAGTCAGGCTGGAGAGGGGAGAGAAGTTGGGGAGAGGAGGTGTCCTGCCCAGCTCCCTTCTCCTCTGTCCTCTTCCACCACAGCAAGCGCTATGTTACCTTTGTGGGGATGTAAAGGCCTTCCATTCCCAATATTACCTCTGCTCTACAGATTGTGTGAAGTAATGAGTCATTAAGAACAGAGCGCCCCTTTTAAAGAAGCTGATATTCTCCACTCATCTTTGCATACCTCACTATTATTATTCTCAGAACTTACCTTTTGGGCATGCCACAAGACGCTGGGGATTCTGGGACCATCTTGAAGCCTGTAGTTTCTTTCTCTTTGGTCAAGGTGAATAGTTTAATGTAGCAGTAAATGAGAACTGGTTTCATTGCTTTGGTCAAACTTTTTAATAAATAATAATATGCACTTACAATATATCAACTTCCCTGGCAAGCGCTTAACATGCATTATTGAATCCTGAGGCCAGCGAGGTGACAACTATAGCTGGCCCCCACCCAGCACAGTAAAAAATCTGTCTATAACTTTTGACTCCCCCAACACTTAACTCCTACTAGCCTACTATTGACCGGAAGCCTTATGATAACGTAAACATAGCATAATATAAACAGTTAACAGATAACATAAGCAGTTGACTTATACATACTTTTATGCCCCATGTATTATGTATTTTATAATTAAGTAGAGAAATCAAGTAAGCTAGAGAAAACAAAATATTAAGAAAATCATAAGGAAGAGAAAATATATTTGCTATTCATTAAGTGGAAGTGGATCATCATAAAGGCCTTCATCCCCATCATCTTCATGTTGAGGAGGAGGAGGAAGAGGAAGGGTTGGTCTCGCTGTCTCAGGGGTGCCAGAGGTGGAAGAAAATTCACATATAAGTGGACCTGCACAATTCAAACCTATGTTCTTCCAGGTCAACTATGTAATGCCCGTTTTTCAAAAGAGGAAACTGAGTCTCAGAGAAACTAAATCACTTGTTTGCAGTGAGATAGTGATGACTACAATGGGGATGATAGTAGCAGACTTCAGCATAGTGTGTACTCTGAGCCAGATACTGTTCTAAGTGATTTTCTGGATTAATGCATTTCAGGAATGCATTCAGTCTTCATAATGACTTATTGGGCAGGTACCATGCTCGTACCCATTTTCCATAGGAGAAAACTAAGGCACAGAGATGACACATTTACTTGCCAAAGGGCATATGGTCAGGAAGTGACCAAGCTCTGGCTCTAGAGTCTGTGTTCTTATTCATTCCACTTTGACATCCAGGATCACTCAACTGCCACATGACTGAGCCAGGAATGCAAACCCACTAGGTCTCTCTGCTGTTTAAACCTGTGTATGCTTCTCTGCCCTGCCTCCTAAGTCAGAAGCATCCTTTGGCTTGTTGCATTAGGGAGGTTCAGGGAGCTGTAGCCTTGTCTCTACTCCTGATTAAACTCCTGTTTCCCTAGACTGGTGGTAGTTCCTGGGTCCTTACGGTAAAGTCTTATGCTTGAGAGTTAGGCAATCAACCAGCCTCTCAGCCATCAACTGACAAAGAAGGGACTGGATTCTGTTTGCAAGACTGGCAGCCCAGGGGCCACTTATCACTAATAAAAAGGACTATTTTGATCCTGGACTTGGAGCCTCCAATTTCTTGGACTTCGTGTGTTTCATCTCTCTTGGGAAGGATGAGTCCAGGCAAAGCCAGAGTCTTGTGGCAGCCTTATTCTCCATCCATCCCATGTCTTTTCTTTTGCCTGAGTTCTCTCTCTGTGGCCTCAGTAGCCTCTAGCACCCCAAGACCATGCCCAACAGAGGACTTATTAACCTCAAACAGATACCTTCATGCTAGGGTTTCTTAGCCCCAGTACTATTGACATGTGGAGCAGATAATTCTGTGTTCTCAGGGGGCTGTCCTGTGTGTTGTAGGATATTTAGCAGCATTCCTGGCCTCTACCCACTAGATGACAGTAGAACCCTTCACACTCCAGTTGTGACAACTAAAAATGTCTCCAGAAGTTGCCAAATGTCCCCTTCAGGTCAAAATTATCCCTGGTTGCGAACTGCTTTTTATGCAGTGGTGTTAGGGGAGACTTCAATTGTTAGTCTTGGAATGACAGCTCTGTGAGGTCAGGGAGTTTTATCTATATTTTACTGTATCCTCACCACCTAGAGCAGTGCTTTGTACATAATGTAAGAGCTCAGTAAATACTTGCTGAATGAATAGATGGATGGATGGGTGAATACTAAATGATGGGGTGTGTGGACTTTGGTCTACTTTATACATGGTATCATGAGGATCATTGATTTAATGATAGATGATTTTAATTGAGTGCTTACATACCATATAACAAGCACTGTTTCAAATTCTTTACCTATAATACCTCAACGAATCCTTTAAACCACCTTATGAGGTAAGTACAGTGTTTGTCATTTTACAGATGAGAAAGTTGAGGCACACAAAGGTCACATGACTTGCCCAGGGTCACCGAGCTAGCAAGTGGCAGAGCCAGGATACAAACACAAGCCAGTGTGATTCCAGAGACTGCCTGGCGTCTCCACCAGGATGCTCTGGAGCTTGGCATCCTTTTTCCCATTACTGCCCAAGAAACTGTTATTGTTCTAATGTTGGCATTGTGGCAATTATAATTAGGATTTGCATGTCAGACACTAACTCATTCATCGTCAATCCTCAGAGTTCTGCTGGACAAAATATGCTCTGTCACTTCTGAAGAATCCGTAGCCAGCAGGGACTCCTGTCTGGCCAGAGGTAAGAGGACTGCTTAGTGCTGAGCCATGTTCAAACGTGAGAATCTCTTCTCTCTGCCTCACTGCTGGGCTGTGACCAAAGAGAATCGCAGAGGGGACTTGACTTTCCTACCTTTATGGGAAAGGGAACAGTGGACCCCAGAGCTTCTTAGTGGGGTTATGGCTCATTTTTAGCAAAAGGGATGTTCCAGGATCAGAACTGGGGAGGCAGAGTGACTTTTGAGATCATCCAAGGGGGCAATAAGAGCAATAGCCAGTGTTCGTTGAGGCTTTCCCAGATACTGTGATGAGCTCAACAAACATTTCCTCAATTTACCTTCATATTACAGAGAGTTAGATATTGTTATCCTCTCCATTCCACAGATGAAGACATTGAAGCTTAGAAGGGTTAAGTTGCTTTTCCAAGCTCTGGAAAGTAGTCCACTAGTGAACAGAAAAACAGGGGATTAGAACACAGGTTCACACGTTTGACTGACCCTGAAATCTGCTCGCTTCGTTAAGACGAGAATATCCAGATGTCACTATCAGGTAGCCCAAAGACATGCCAGTAGGACGGTTTTGCTATTTTGCTTAACGCCTTCCCTTCCTCTTTTTTTCTTCCTTTCTTCTTCCTCGCTTCTCTCTGTCTCCATCTATTGTGAGAGATTGGGCACATAGGCCCAGAGACCACAGATTTAATAAGATGGGGACTGAGTTATCTTGGACTCACAGCCTCATAGGTATAACTGACATGAAAACATAATTTTCTAATAAAGGTCTAGATGGGTGTAATGGAAAAATAGACAATGAAGTGACAAATACAGGAGCCTTCACAGATGTGCATGACAATGGTAATACGTAATAAAAACAGGCTGGAAAATACACTAATTTCACCACTAGGGGTTAAAACTGGCTGTGATAGATTATTAAAAAGTACAACTGTTTGGATAGATTGGAATTGGACACTGCAGAGAACAGCTACTACCTGGGACCTTCTCCCCCAGAGAAAGAGCGCGTCTTAAGGAGAAGGAAGATGTGGATGATACTGGGTTTAGATCTTGAATAATAGCTTTTCTGTCCTCTTTTCAAAGAGAGTTAAAAAAAAAGATGTGAATTTCAGGACAGGCATACCTGCATCTTTTAAAGTAAGCTCACCCGTTGTATCATCTTCGCAGCCAGGTCTCAGACTTCTGGTCAGCGGCAACAAATGAATTCGTTCATTTTCCTTGATTGACTTAAACATGGTGTATTTAAACCATTGAACATGGCGTATTTGCTTTAATTTGGCAAGTGCAACCTGGAACACAGTGGGATTAATGTCATCTCTTTTTTTTAATCCCCACTCCTGCCATTTGAAATTGGCAAGAATACGCTCACCGTTT
Source organism: Homo sapiens (assembly GCF_000001405.40). Taxonomy (NCBI): domain Eukaryota; kingdom Metazoa; phylum Chordata; class Mammalia; order Primates; family Hominidae; genus Homo; species Homo sapiens. The sequence continues at coordinate 14,608,991 of NC_000001.11, forward strand.
CTTGATGGTGGCAAGGTAGGAGAGTTAGAAATTTGATACTGGGCCTGGAGAGTGCAGTTGTGGGACCATAGAGCGTGACAAATGACACTTGGGGAAACATGACCTGGAATTATATGTGTATTGATTATCTTAATTAATGTGCTCATCAACTGGATTGCTTTTCCTATTCCTATAAAGTTTACTATGTAAAGCAAGAAAAAACAGGACTATTCAGTGCATCTTGAGATTTGGGAGTTAACAGAAAGGCAAGGCTTGGGTGCCATTTTGTGTGGATGGTCAGCCTGTTCTCGGGCAAACATGCTCAGAGTGCCCTGTTTGCAATTTGACATGGTACCAGGCAGCCCTGCTGGAGGAGAAAGGCATGTTTAAGTTTTAATGGAAGTCCTGTAGAGAAGGATCATGATCTCATGGTCAGCTTCCACAGGCTGGGTCATTCTCATCAGCAACTACTAAAACAAAACAAAAAGCAACCTTGTTTAAACTCGGCTGATCAACACCACAGTTGGTTCTACCATGAGTCAACTCAAAACCCACCCTCTAACTTTTTCAGTGTTATCGCATTTATTCTAAAACAAGAGCTTGGTGGAACATCAATTTACAGAGCTGATGCTCAGCACCCTTTTTTCAGGATTCTCCTGCATTTATTCACTCTTCCTCTTTTCTTGGCAATCAAGAAGGTTCCTGGGAAGCGCTACAGTCTCTCTACCTAGACATCTCTTTGCAGAATCCAAAGACTTTCACAGGCATCATCCCAGTGGACCCTTCCAAGTGGTCCATGTGATTGAATTGAGGTAGACGCAGCAATCTATTTCTCAGCTCAGGAAACTGAGGCACAGCAATTTAAGTTGATTTGTCTAAGATTGGTGAGCTGGTTATTGAACCAACTTCCCCTCCCTTTCTCCACACTAAGATCAGGCCCAGCTGCACAGTGTGGGAAGAGAACTGCCCCATAGCTCATGGCTGGGTGAAGTCTGACCTTCGCTGGGCCACGCCCTCTTGGGCATGGGCCACTGCATCTTGTAAGGCCTGGATGGAGACACCATCACTTCAAGACTGTGCCCTCATACTCTGAGCCTCCTGTCCAATGAGTGGCCCACGATGAAAGGGGAATCCATTTTTACAAATGAATACAATTTTTTACACTAGATTCTTTCCTCATTTCAGTGGGGTTTTACAATCATCTGACTTCTCTTCCAATGACCTGTTTGTTTGTTTGTTTGTTTGTTTGTTTGTTTGAGACAGAGTCTCATTCTGTCACCCAGGTTGGAGTGCAGTGGCACAATCTCTGCTCACTGCAAGCTCCGCCTCCCGGGTTCACACCATTCTCCTGCCTCAGCCTCCCGAGTAGCTGGGACACGAGTGGCTGGGACTACAGGCACCCGCCACCATGCCTGGCTAATTTTTTTGTATTTTTAGTAGAGACAGGGTTTCACTGTGTTAGCCAGGATGGTCTCGATCTCCTGACCTCGTGATCGACCCACCTCAGCCTCCCAAAGTGCTGGGATTACAGGCGTGAGCCACCATGCCTGGCCCTAGTGACCTGTCTTCTTAATGCCTGAGCTTAGAGTTTCTCCTCTTCTAGTTTCCCTAACAAGCAGTTAGGGATCTGTAAACAAGGTCAGGAATTACACCAGGAGAATGTCCTGTTTATTTCAGTGGCCTAGATCTGACAATGGCTCCCCTGTGGAGAATTTTTTTTTTTTTTGTACTCTATACCATCATAATTTAGGATCTTTTACTCTGGAAAATACACCTGCATGGAGACTAGTGGATGTGTGTATTCTTTGGGTACCGGAGCCAGGATGTAGCAATCACAATAAATCTGCCTGATTTCTCTCTCTTTTTCACTATCCCTTTAGGGAGATCCCATTAGACCTTTAGAAGCTCTTTTATTCGGGTCTTTGGGTTAATATGCAACCAAAATATGTTGGTTTGAATTCTCCAGCTAACCCGTTGGTTGTTTAGATGCCTGTGGTCACTTTCGCTGTGGCTGTAACTGCCTGGACAGCAAGTGGTCCAGCTTCATGCCCAGATCCTGGACTCAGGTGAATGGAAGTTTATCCACAGATCACAAGCCAGCCAAAAGTATGGCAGAAAACTCAGGGAGATGGGAATGGGGCATTTTTTTCTGTGCATCTTAGAGGAATGGAAGGGGAGGTATCAACCCAGTGGTCTCTGCAGTGCAGCAGGTGACCTGCTGAGGTCCACTGACTCCTAAGTGGCAAGTCCAATGGCTGGGACTCTGATCTCTGTTTCAATTCCAGAGCAACAAGGAACGTTCTTCTGGGCTTTCCCAACTTCTGACAGCAAAATAGAAATAATAGACCTTGGAACTTCATTTGAAGATCTATTTATAATGGATTCTAGAAAAGTAGAAAGTATTTTTGAGGATCAAAATGTGTTGGGGCTTTTGAGTTTTAGGTTTGTATTAGAATGAAATGCATAAGATTATGCACCCTCCCGAGGTGGGAGGATTGCTTGAGCCCAGGAGTTCAAGATCAGCCTGGCCAGTATAGTGAGACGCTATCTCTACAAAAATCTTAAAAATTAGCTGGCCTTGTTGGCGCACACTTGTGGTCCCAGCTACCTGGGGGGGCTGAGGCAGGAGGATCAACTTGGGACCAGGAGTTTGAGGTTGCAGTGAGCTATGATTGCATCGCTGCACTCCAGCTTTTGTGATAGAGCAACACCCTGTCTCAAAAAAAAAAAAAAAAATTAAGATTTCCCCAAACTACTGGATATTATAGTTATTCATATAGGCATAGATGAAAGTGCTTCTTGTTTTGGTGTGAAGTTCATTTTAGTGCTTCCCCTTTGTGGCTTCAATAGTGGAGCTAGTGTGGAAGTTGGCAAACTTTTTCTATAAAGGGCCAAATAATAAATAGTTTAGGCTTTGGGCACCATAAAATATTGATTGCACTTCCTCAAATCTGCTGTTATAATGCAAAAGCAGCCATAGACAACATATAAATAAATGGGCATGGCTGTATTCCAATAAAACTTTATTTATAAAAACAGGTAGCTCTGAGGTGATCATTTGCCAACCCTTGGACATGTATTAATCGTTCTCGTTTATTTGTATCTGACCCAGCTCGACACACAGGAGGAGCTTAATAAATGGTGATGAATGAGTGAGCTAGTGAATTAAACATGAGCAATAAAACTACTAGATTATAGTACTAAAGGAGCAAAAATGAGAAGTTAATTACTAGGGGTGTTGTGGTTAATGGACAGGAGAGGAGACACTTGCTGCCGCTCAGTGGTTTGAGATGGAGTCACTTGTGTTCAGCCTTTATCACTGACTTCCCAAGACCCGCGCTCTAACCCCTGAGCTGTAGAGCCCTTGCCTTCATCACTGACTTCAAAAGAACTGAGAAGGGACAAGGAATCATTGGTCATGGTGAGATGCAGGGCGGGACACTTGACATCTGAGCCTCAGTTTCATTGTTATGAAATGAGGTCACTTCTATCTTCCAGATAATGCAGCAAATAAATCTGGGTTCAAGGGAATGAGCGAGGCCTGATTCAGATCCTGGTGATATGATGTAGGTACTGTGGGACATTCCAGCTCTCAGCTTCCTCATCTGGAACATGAGGCCGATAACACCTCTGTGGTAGAGTGACTGGGCTGGTTTCATGCAGGGGTCCTTGACCTCAGCACTGTAGACATTCTAGGCCAGATAATTCTTTGTTGTGGGGGCGGGGGTCTGTCCTGTGCATTTTAGGACATTTAGCAGCATCTATGCCAATAGCAACCCCATTATGTGACAGTCAACATCATCAGATAATTGCCAAATGTCCTTTTGGGGATGAAAGCATTCCCTGCTTGGGATCTGCTGGTTTAAGGGACTAACATACTGTGCCTGGCATGGAGTTTAGCAGACTTTGGGATCCCTTAGATAGAACTCTTGGTTATTAATAGTGCGTTGTATTATTGAACTATGAATTCTCTCCCCTTTGACTTACTAATAAAACCACTTTATTTCCTTAGCTGATTTCTGTCTCCCAAAGACAAGATTGGGTATTTTTTTCCAGAACCCAGGTCTTTCTCCTGAACCTTCTATGTTGCTTAGAAGCCTTGCTCCCAGGATGAGCCGAACTTCCTATGATGTCCTGTTGAGTGTGCGTCCTAGCCTTTTAATGTATAGGTACTCTAGACTTGCATTCGAGGTTATGGTCAGTATCACAAGTGATTCATACAAGAAATCATCCAGATATCTTCACCATGAACCAAAGGGAAGGGTACAGACTGAGAAGCTCAACTCACAGAGGCTGGCAGGCTGAGGCCGGGGATTGTACTCTGAGGGAAAACAGATAGTATGCCGCAAACTCCCACCAACAAAATGATCATTTCCCTGGTGAGCAGGCACACAGTATTAACATTAGCCAGGGGCCAGTTTTCAATAGTTTAAACTTTAATCAAGATGGCTATTCCATACCACAAGTTAACATCTGGATTTCATGTTTCTGCCATCCATATTCCCACTGAATAGTGATTCCTAGTGTTTTTAATGAAGAGAGAAAGAAAATTTTGGCTCCTACATTTTAGTAGTCATATTTTTGCTATCTGTTGGAGAAAATACATAAATGCAAAAGATTACAATGAATTCAGTAGCTTTGTCAAATGGTTACAGCTTCGGTATTGCATATATTTGAAAACTAATGGTACATACATGCAAGAAAAATAATTCATTGTGCCCATAGGCAGCAGGTTGGAGATGTGTGGATTTTGGACTTCTCGTCACCTTCTCTGGCCACCCAGAGTCTCTGCGGCCCACAGGTTGGGCCCGGATCAGTGCAGTGCTGAACAATGTCAGGTGCAGTGAGGTGCTTGACAAGTGCCTTGGAAAACTATGGCCTCTGCCCTGGGACTTTGAGTCTTCTGCCGATTTTAAGGGATTCCTCTGTTCTTCAAACCCAACTCTGCCTCCCTGTGACACAACTGATTAACCTGTAATTTGGGCCCCTGGCTTTCAGAAAACTCTGCAAAATTTCTGCAGAGTGACTTCCTGGTATGAATACCAGAAAGCACCAGTTATGGTCAGAATAACAGAACTGGCCCCATGCTAGATTTCCGGGAATACGATGCAATTGGCCAACTGCCATCACTAACTAGTGTCACCCTGCCTCATCTCCAGCAATGTCCTAAAACCCCTCAAGCATGTGATCCGTCATATCATTTTCTCATTTATGCCAACACTGGATAATGGCCTAATCTCTCCAGCAGCATTCAGATTTATTAGAGAAGATGGCATTTACAAAACCATTTCCCTGTTCCTCTGCAAACACCCTAAGCTGTCTTATAATAAACCACTCTCTTTATAGTAAGCCTTCCTTTTAACAGTGGTTTATTCCCTGCAATTAAAATCACCTGGAAGAGTCCAGAAACTGGTTTTCATTTCTCTTCCTTCGTGTTTGGTTCATCTTTGGCTGGAGGGCTCTGCAGGACTTGGGAGTGAACATTAGAGAGAGGCAGAGGCCAAACTTTGCTAAGGATGAGAGCTCTGCAGCAGGACATGGTCAGTATGAGGCTGGACCCAGCCTGGGTGACCATCTGCTGGGCCTGCTGGCAAAGCACCTCCCGCGCTGGGTTTAGATGTTCAGGAGAAAAATACATGCGCAAAACCAAATGTGATCTGGTTGGGAGGACTTTTCCGTTCATGGTGTTTTGCTTTCAAGATTGACCACTAAAGAAAATGACAAGTTTGGCAGCCACGGTATGTTGTCATTTGAATACAACCCAGAGAAACATTGAGAGACAGTAATTTCTAGGACAAGGGCCTCCCGGGTTTTTGTATGAAAGATTTGTTTGAACAAACTAAGATGCTGATGCAGGGAAGTTCAGCATCTATAGCACAGGACAGAGATCTCTGGAGTCCATTGCCAAGTGCAAATGCTGTCTCTTAACACTTCCTAGCTCGGTGAGGCGGGCAAGTTGCTTTACTAAAATAGGCCTTGGTTTCCTCGTAGGGATAATGCTGGTCCTGACCTCCCACGGCTGTTGTAGGATTCAGGTAGAATGTGTGTGATGTGCAGAGCACAGTACTTGGCACTTGCCAATTCCCCTGTAAATGTCGTTAACAAATGTTCACAAGTCTCCAGTATCCCTGCAGGCACTGAGGAAGGAAATTGAGTTTATTCTTTGGTTTCTTTGTCAGCTAACATTCATGAAGCACTCTATGATTGACAGAGCACTGTGATGAGCGCCCAGGATACCCGGACAAGTAAGGTGCCGACCACCTGCTGGAAACCAGAGGAGGGAAGAGCAGCAGAGGAAAGCCCCATTGTGGGATCCAGAGACCTGGGTTCTAGCCTCGAGCCTGCAACTAAGAGGCTAAAGAAGAGCAGAGTGGGCCAGGCATGGTGGCGCTCAACACCTGTAATCCTAGTACTTTGGGAGGCCAAGGCGGGCAGATTATTTCAAGCCAGGAGTTCGAGACCAGCCTGGCCAACATGGCAAAACCCTGTCTCTACTAAAAATACAAAACTACCCAGTGTGGTGGTGCACACCTGTAATTCCAGCTACTTGGGAGGCTGAAGCACAAGAATTGCTTGAACCCGGGAGGCAGAGGCTGCAGTGAGCCAAGATCGTGCCACTGCACTCCAGTCTGCATGTCAGAGTGAGACTCCATCTCAAAAAAAAAAAAAAAGAGGAGCAGAGGGGACTTCTCACTTCCATGAGGGAAGTGAGGCTTGTGGTTCCAATCGTATGGCCAACGTGTAGGCTGTGGCTTCGCCACCAGCCTCCGCAACTTGCAAGAGGCATCCCGGGAAGTGGCGTAGGAACTGAGACACTGGTTCAGTCAAAATGAGGGCATTTGGCATTTGGTAAGACTTCTCTGAAGTCCCTCCCATTTCTGAATTTCTACAACTTCTGACTATTCATAATATCACCCAATCCATCAGTTCCACCTTAAAAAATTTCTTAAAGGACAGGCAGTTCGTCTTGGGGAGTGTGGTCTCACCTGGCTTGAGCAGAGGTGATGTCAGCCTCCCAACTCTGCCAGAGACATGCGCAGGAGAGACACTTGAAAGCTGGGGTGGAGAGAAGGTGGCACCAGAGGGAAGTGCCCATGTGGGTTATGGAATGACGCAATGCCTATACAATCCAGGAAGGGACACTGAAGACAGCCTCATCTGGTCTTTACTTTGCAGTTGGAGAAACTGAGGCTGGAGAGCGCAAGTGAGTCTGCTGAGGCTATACAGCACTTTATACCAGAACCTGGGCTAGAACAAGACCTCTGGCCTCTTGGTCCAATTTGTGTTACCCTGACCCCCAAGCTTCCTCATGCGGTGTCCCAGCTGCTACACAGATCTGTGCCGCAGATCCCAGCAGAACCTTTGTGTGCCATCAACTCATCCTTTCTGTGCCCTCAAATAACTTAAATTCTGAAACAGACAAGCTGGAAACAGAGGAGTCCTCTGGTATGGAGTTTATGGCTTGGTCTGACTTTCTAGGGAGCATAGAAGAGGGTGATTTAGAAAAAAAAAAAAAGTACAAGCCAGATGCCCAAATTAAAACACTATAATTTTCTTGGAGTTTGTGCTCCAAGCAATGTAAATAAAGGTGAGGGCTGGGCCCCTCTGCCCATAAATCAGCGTCAGCGAAGGCTCATTCCCCTGTTGTGTTTAGATATTTCAGCCCATCACCTATACCTCTTGGCATTTCTGAGATACAAGGGAGAGGGTTCCATTTGTCATCCTGATTGTTCTCCCTAGGGTTTCTTGGAGCTGCGATCTCAGGGTTGCCTTTTGCATGAAATACGAAGCTCAGCGATAGAACCAGGACATTTCAATGCAGGCAGGATACACTTGGGAAGGCTGGGTTTCTGCCCTCGTGGCCTCATTTGCATTCACTCTGCTCCTGACCGTTTGTAATACAGTGGTGGGTGTCCATCAAATCGCTATTAACTCCAGCCAGCTCCTAAGGGGCTGTCTATGCTGTCCCTTACAAGTCCAGGGGATGGCATGGCCCATACCTTTGGTCATTCAGTGAGTGTCATGAGCCACTTCCATTGTTGTTTCTATTTAGTCTCTCAAGGATCCTGCAAGACAGCAACCTTGGTTGTGTGACTCCGTTCCTTTCACTGGATTCAGACACCTGGGTTAAACCAGCAGCCCCACCACATCCTAGCATGCCTTCTTGTTGGGTCCCATAACAGATGTTTTGCTATCTATGTTATGCGGCTGTTCTATGATACAGGCATATTTCAGAGATATTGCAGGTTCCATTCCAGACTACCACAATAAAGCAAATATCGAAATAAAGTGAGTCACACAAATTTTTTGGTTTCCCAGTGCGTATGAAACTTATGTTTACACTACATCGTAGCCTATTAAGTGTACAATAGCATTCTGTCTGAAAAGTCTACATACCTTCATTTAAAAATGCTTTATTGCTAAAAAATGGTGATACAGAGACACGAAGCCAGAACATGCTTTTGGGAAATTGGCGTTGATAGACTTGCTGCATGAGAGGGGTTACCACAAACCTTTGATTTGTAAAAAACAAAAACAAAAACAAAAAAGCCTTGGTATCTACGAAGCGCAGTAAAACAAGGTTTGCCTGTAGCTCGTACCTTATGGGGTTTTTATAAAAATAAAGTGAGTAAATATACGTGAATCCCGGTGATAAGTGCATGGGACATACATGCTAAGGATTCAATAAATATCAGCTATGAATGTGGAACTGTGTATTCAAGCTGTCCAGAGTGTCCCATGGAAGACCTGTAGTGCTGAAGAGTGACCTTTCTTGGGAGTGACAACACGACCATTTGAGGAGGAGCTAGTTAAAATTGGAGTCTTGGTTTTTCAAATAAAAATCCCAAAGCGCAAAGTGTATGAAGCCTTAATGTCCTCATTTATTTTGTGGTTTGATCTATGGGCTTTCCCATTTGGCAGTGGCAGAAGGGACTTCCCAAGTGCCCACTGCTATCTGCGCTCACCTTAAATATGCCCAACCAGAGTCTTATCTCCGACAGCTCATGCATCACCCTCCCTGGGAGAGGGAGCCCCGCTGACTTGCTGACAGACCCTCAGTTAATTTCTGGATTCTTTTTTTTCTCAGTTATTTATAGCTCAGCTGCTGATATTTCAAGCTCTCATTGCTAAGCAAGGAAAGGCTTGAATGCTGCGAGATGGCAGCTGAGTCCGGCGCTTGCTTCACTCTTCATCTAGTTTGTAAGGTGTGTCCCATGTCCATGGAAACACACTGGGGCATGGCCCCAGCCCCGGCGTGTTCTAGTGATGAGAGTGAGGATTTGACATGAAAAGGCCAAAGTTCTAGACCGTCTTCTGCCTCGAGCTGGTGACATGACTTTGGACTAATCACTTTGCCATTCAAGTCTCCATTTTCCCATCAGGAAGATGAGAAGAATGGAATAAAGGGATCATAATTTTATTCTGTACATATTTCTTGGGCACCTGCCCCATGGCTGGCCCCATGCTGGGCTCATGGAGTTCATGAAGCTCCTGGGGCAGGGAGAAGACAATGGCAATGATGAAGATAATAAGTGACACTAATATGATGGAGTACCTAGAAGGGACAAGGCATCCTTCTAAAAGCTATATATGTATTTTCGTGTTTAATCCTCACATTGTTTTATTAGTAGTCCAATTTTGACAGGTCAGGCAACTGAGGCATAAAGTGATTAAATCATGTGTCTATGATATGACCACACTGTGGGTATAGTTGACATTTGAACTCTGGCCCACTGACCCCAAAGCCTATATTTTTAACCAGCATGTGTCACTCTTTTGTCCCAAACCATATAATGACAATACACTGTGACAAGTACAGTGATAGTAGTATGTGCAAGGTATGTAAAAGTGTTGACAAGGGACACTTTGCCCAGGCTGAAGGAAAGGTGAGGGGTTCCCTGACAGTTTCCAAAGGAGCCTTCGCTTGAGTGGAAGTCTGGAAGGGCAAGTAGGTCTTCTTTGGGTCAAGAAGGTGTAGGTGGGTCTTTGGGCAGAATTTGCTGCAGGATACAGACACGGCAGGACGACAGCATGGCTTGTTGGAGGAGCAGCCAGTGTTTCGGTTTGGCTCAAGATCTGGGTGGGATGGGAGAATTAATGGGGCATTGAGATGAGAGTAAATGAGATTGAGAATGCAGGGGTGGAAGACAGATTTAGAAGGTTCTGATAAACTAAGAAAAGGAATCCAGTTTTACTCCATGCACAATGAAAAAGGAATTTAATCATTCTTGGTTTTTTTTTTTTTAAGACAAAATTTTACTCTCTTGCCTGGGCTCAAGTGCAGTGATGCAATCATAGCTCACTGCAGCCTCAAACTCCTGGGCTCAAACAATCCTCCCACCTCAGCCTCCTAAGTAGCTAGATCTACAGGTGGGTGCCAACACACCTGGCTAATTTTTTAAATTTTTTTGTAAAGACAGGGTCTCGCCATGGTGTCCAGGTTGGTCTCTGAACTCCTGGCCTCAAGCAATCCTCCCACCTCAGCCCCCAAAGCACTGGGATTGCAGTTGTGTGCCACTGTGCCAGGCATTGAATCATTCTTTTGTTATTGTAGTGAAATACACATAACGGAAAATTTGCCATTTAAATCATTTTAAAATGTGCAATTCACTGGCGTTAAAAGTACTTTCACGATGTTTTGCAACCCGTGCCACTATCTAGTTCCAGAACCTTTTAACCACCCCACACGGAAACCCTGTACCCATTAAGCAGTCACTTCCCATTCTTCCTGCCTCCAGCTCCTGGCAACCACAAATCTGCTTTCTGTATCTGTGGATTTGTTCATACTGGACATTTTATATAAATAGAATCATGCAACATGTGACCTTTTGTGACTGTCTTCTTTCACTTAGCATGATGATTTTAAGACTCATCCATGTTGTAGCGTGTATCAGCACTTCATTCCTCTTTACGACCGTATAACATTCCAGTGTGTGGCTATACCACATGATATCCATTCATTTATTGATGGGCACGTGAGTTGTTTCTGCCTTTTTGGATGTTGTGAATAGTGGCATTGAATCACTTTAAGTTCAGTTTTAGCCTCTTCTCAGCTCCCCAGGTCAATGCACATGAGCCTTGCCCCTGCTAGGTTAACAGTTACCCATCTGTACAATAGTAAGTACAGTTACCCATCTGTACAATGGTAGGATCTATGTATATATGCGTATTTTACACGTGTATGTATAGTCTCTACAAAAGTATACCATCTGCTTCTCCCTAAATTGTAAGCACAAGAGAAAAATTAGATAATTTTGAAATTGTTTGAGACAATTCTATTTAAAACTAAAGAGCAGCTTTCCTCAAGTGTTAAATGCAGCTGATAAGATCACCCATTTCTGAAAGTTGTTGAGAGTATTCAATGCGTTCATTCACACAAGGCTCAGCAATGCCTAGCACATCAGAAACACCCAGAGAAACTGCTTGTGATCATTCCTATAATTATCACCGTTGTTATTATTGATGCAACCTCCACTTTGCCACATCTTCTCTGGGTGGCAAGAAGCTGGAATAGGTTTCCAAGATTCCAGGGCTCGGCCAGGTCATTAGGGAGCCCTGTTGGATAGATTTGGGGCACATGTTGTCCAGAGGAGATTTGTGACAGGGTAACCATGGAAACTTTCCTCTTCTTTCTGCTGCTTCTTTCTGAAAATACCAAGAAGTTTGTAGGGTGGCAGAGCCAGCTGGAATACCACAGTGGGCAAGAGGCCTTCTCAAGTAACAGTCATGAGCTCAACTCCGAGCCCTGCCACTACTATAATAGCTGTGAGTGACCTTGAGTGAAGTGCCTCATCTCATTCAGCCCCAGTTTTAGCATCTTTAAAATGGAAATAATAGAAGCATCTGCATTTTAGGGTTGTTGTGAGGATCCTCAGAGGTGACGCCTTGGAAATCTCCCAGCGGAGCCTCTTGTACAACCTAATTTCCATGAAAGTGTCCCCATCATCATCTTCAGTGTGCCCATTTGTTGGGATAGATGGTCCTCATCATCTCTGCTTGTCCTGGAAACTGGAGCTGTCACATCAGCCTCCCCATGTAGGAACTTGCTGGCTGGCCACAGAGCAGATAGGCAGCTCCAAGGAGGGGACATTTTCCTGGAGCTTCTACTTCCCAGGGGAGCTGCCAAGTGAAAAGACAGTTGCTGGAATGGAGGCCAAATCCTTCATGTGCTGGTCCACCAGGACTGGAGCAGGGCCACCCAAGGCATTTGTTATCTGCTAATGAGGCTAATCAATGGCTGGAGGGTGGAAAGAGTGGGGCTTACTGCTCAGCAGCCAGAGTCATGCCAGGCTTTTCCAGACAACTGTGCTGCAAGTGTATTATTTTCTCACAAATGGATGTGGCATTTTACAAGTAGGTCTCTGTCACTTCTGAATGCAGAAAGTATGTGTGTTTAATCCACATGCTCGTTTAAGAAAAGCTCTGACTCTACTAATTCTGCTGTGCCTTTTAATGAATCTCTATTCTGCTAGACTCTGGGCTATAAGGAACCATAGAGACAGGTCTCCTCAGAGCCCCCAGGCTACCTCTTAGGACCACACTAACTCCCCAAGGTCACTTTGCTTTGGGGAACAAGACAGAAGACAAGAAAATAGCAAGCATGGGTGATATGGTTTGGCTGTGCCCCACCCAAATCTCACCTTGAATTGTAATAATCCCCATGTGTCAAGGGTGGGGCCAGGTGGAGATAATTGAATCATGGGGGTGGTTTCCCTGTGGTAGTGAATAAGTCTCACAAGATCTGATGGTTTTATAAAGGGGAATTCCCCTGCACAAACTCTGTTGTTTGCCGCCATGTAAGATGTGACTTTGCGCCTCCTTGCCTTCTGCCATGACTGTGAGGCCCCCCCTCAACCATGTGGAACTGTGAGTCCATTAAACCTCTTTCCTTTAAAAATTACTCAGTCTCAGATATGTCTTTATTAGCAACGTGAGAACAGACTAATACAATGGGAAAGTTGCAAACCCTAAGAAACCTTACAAAGCCTGTACTTCCGGCTTGAACAGGGCATAAAGTATAAGAGCCCTGGGACCAGGCTGTTCTAACTTGCACATTGCAGACAGTCAGCTACTGAGGCAGCATCTCCTCTTCCCAACACTAGTTGAAGAGGCCATTTTAGAAGAAAATTACACAGATTCATTTCCTCCTTTACCTTGTGAGCTGCTTGAAGTCAGATGTGCTCTGACTTCTTTTAAGACACAGTGAACATATAGTAAATTGTAAATGTTGACCGATCCAAAGTCCCTGAAATCAGCCCATGGAGACTCCATTCTGGAAGAGGAGAGTGCATTGATCAATTCTAATTGGAAAGTATGGGTTTGCTTAATATTAGGCCTTCATGGGAGTTTGGAAAAAATACAACAGACAGTGATAAATAATATTATGTTTAGTGAAATAAGGTATCTTTGAGATTTCTTGTGTTTTTTGAAAATATTAAGGCCAGGCGTGGTGGCTCATGCCTGTAATCCCAGCACTTTGGGAGGCCGAGGCGGGCGGATCACGAGGTCAGGAGATCGACACCATCCTGGCGAACACGGTGAAACCCCGTCTCTACTAAAAATACAAAAAAATTAGCCGGGCGTGGTGGCGGGTGCCTGTATTCCCAGCTACTCAGGAGGCTGAGGCAGGAGAATGGCATGAACCTGGGGGGCGGAGCTTGCAGGGAGCGGAGATCGACCACTGCACTCCAGCCAGGGTGACAGAGCGAGACTCCATCTCAAAAAAAAAAAAAAAATTATGAAAATGTGTCTAATCTCTGCTTCACCTTTAAGCCTCACCTGAAATGAAATTCAGATTATGCATTTATCCCTTCATTCTGATTCTTTTATTAAGGAGGTGTCAAAAACTTTGTCTTTGGAATCCAATAAGTCTGGTTCAGATCTTAACTCTGATGCTTAAATACCTGTATGACCTTAGAAAATTTGCTCAACTTCTTTGGGTATCAGTGTTCTTAATTTTTTTTTTTTTGAATTTAAAAGTCAAAATAATAACAGATGGCAAGGTTGTGGAGAAAAGAGAATGCTTATACACTGCTGGTGGGAATATAAATTAGTTCAGCTATGTGAAAAGCGGTTTGACAATTTCTCACAGAAAATCGTAAAACAGAATGACCACCTGACCCAGCAATCCCATTATTATTTGGATATATTGGTATATACCCAAAGGAATATAAATCATTCTGCCATAAAGACACATGCATGCATATGATCATTGCAGCACTATTCACAATAGCAAAGATATGGAATCCACTTAAATGTCAATGGTAGACTGGATAAGGAAAATGTAGTACATGCACACCATGGAATACTATGCAGGCATAAAAAAGAACAAGATCATATCCTTTGCAGCCACATAGATGGAACTGGAGGCCATTATGCTCAGTGAACTAATGCAGGATAGAAAACCAAATGCCACATGTCCTCACTTATAAGTGGGAGCGAAACATTGAGTGCACTTGGACACAAAGAAGGGAATGACAGACACTGGGGCCTACCTGAGGGTGGAGGATCGGAGGAGGGAGAGGAGCAGAAAGGATGATTATCGGGTATTGAACTTAATACCTGATTGATGAAATACTCTAGATACTAAATGCTCATGACACACAATATACCTAGATAACAAGCCTGCACATGTACCCCTGAATCTAAAATAAAAGTTTAAACATAATAATTTAAAAACATCTCTCTTCTTTTCTAATATAGGTGTTTAGTGCCATGAAATTTCCTGAAGTATTGCTTTGGCTGCATCCCACAGATTTTGATACCTTGTATGTTCATTTTCATCTTTTTTTTTCTCTTTTGATATCTAATTGACTGATAGTTTATTAGGGACTCTTGTTATTTATTTTCTAAATATTTTGTGATTTTTTTCACAGATAATTCTGTCTGTTATTGATCTCTGATTTTATTCCCTTGTGGTCAAAACATATATTTTGTGTAACTTAAGTCCTTTAATAATTTTTGAGACTTGTTTTATATCTTAGAATATGGTATATCTTGGTAAATCATTCCACGTGCCCTTGAAAACAATGTGTATTCTGTTATTTTGAATAGTGTGTGCTAAAAATATTAATGAGGTCAAGTAGGTCTATACTGTTATTCAAGTCTACCATGACCTTACTGATTTTAGTCCTACTTGTCCTATCAGTTATTTAGAGAATATTAAAACCAGGCCGGGCACAGTGGCTCATGCCTGAAATCCCAGCACTTTGGGAGGCTGAGGTGGGTGGATCACAAAGTCAGGAGATCGAGACCGTCCTGGCTAACAGGGTGAAACCCTGTCTCTACTAAAAATACAAAAAATTAGCCAGGCTTGGTGGCATGTGCCTGTAGTCCCAGCTACTCTAGAGGCTGAGGCAGGAGAATCGCTTGAATCCGGGAGGCGGAGGTTGCAGTGAGCCAAGATCGCGCCACTGCACTCCAGCCTGGCCAACAGAGCGAGACTCCGTCTCAAGAAAAAAAAAAAACAACAAAAAAAACCACTAACTATTATGGATTTGTCTATTTCTCCCTGCAGTTCTCAGCTTTCGTTTACTGTATTCTCAAGTTCTGTCATTATGTGCAGAAATATTTAGGTGTGTTATGTTCACTTGACAAATTGACTGCTTTATCATCATAAAAAAAAAAGTTTAGAGGATTTGACAAAATCTCCAGCCACCATGCATGGCCCACACTGTGCCTTAGACAGCTAAGGACTCGGTGAAGAGAGTTCATTCATTTGTTCAACAAACATTTATTGAGTCCTTTCAGTGTGCCAAGTCATGGCTGAACACGACCTGGTCACTATCTGCAAAGAGTTTATACTCAAATGTTGGAGCTTACAGTTTTGTGGTAATTAACACGTCAAGTGCAGCCTTTCACAAGAATATTATAATTTGAGTTGGGTTAGTGACCCAACAGCAAAAGACCTTATCGCTCTCTGTCTACCTACCCTGCTTGATCTCACTAGACATTACCAGAAACTTCACCTGAACAAACAGGGACAACATTTGGTTTTTGATGAGGTGATGTCTGGTTTTTAAAATTAAGTATCCCAGATAAATTGCTGGTCTGTGCCAGAAACCAAAATACAGACATCGCCACTATTTCTAAGAGAACTATGTGAGCTCATCCTGTGTCCCCTGGAGGGTCCCCCCCGACACCGCGTAGTCATCATGGAAGACATTAGCAGCGGTACCCAGGGTGATGAGCGATATTCTATTAGGCATTCTTCTCTTTTTCCTTGAGCGAGTTTTCTGCATGTGTGGAGTTTCTTTTAAGCTTCAGTACACAGTTCAGAGGGTAATACCATTAATTAAACCAACAAGGTAATGTAATGAAAGGTAGGAGCCTCCACAGTATACTAGATTTAGCCCTGATTAACAGGGTGGCCCCCCTCACACTGCAAAGCCTCGCTCCCTACTATCCGAGGATAAAGCCTCAATTGTAATTAAAACTAGGGAAGAAATTTCACTCTTCTCTGCAAGTGGAAAATGAACAGTTTAAAAGCAGAGGACCAAAGGAATCACTTAGAGAAGTCAAAGAGATATCCCAAAAAAGCCCCAAAGAGGCTTGACTTATAATTAGCAGCTAAAAGATTTCCAGTCATATTTCATCAATTTCTGTTTAAGGGGGAAAAAAACTTTAAGACTATTTTGACAAGATAGAGTTTTGACTGAGGTTGGGGGAAGCTAAAAGCGTTACTTTAAAATGTAATTATGTGAAACTTCAATTATCATCCTGCCTTTCAAAAGTCTCTCGATTCAGCAGGCAATTAGCAGACATGAAAGAGGGCGGGAGGTTTGTGCGTTGGACGATGTGATTTCTTCTCAGGGACAGATGCACTCGGTGTAATTTGCTGTTTGCAATTTCCCCGGAAACGAGAGGTTGTGGGAAGTGGTAGTCATTTGGGCTGGCAAAGAAACCTAGTCCTTTTTAGCAATGTCTTTTCTCCCTGGCCGCACCCATATTCATACCTGGATGTCTACTTGTTTCTCGCTTTTCAGGGGACCTACGGGATTCTGAGGGATATTTGATATGTCGTGCAGATTTATATCTAGAAGCTCTTCTCCCCTGAGCATGAACTTTAGTTGAAAGAGCTGGCACAGCTCATGAGAATTCCTTCCTTCGTTCTCATACCTGGTGGGGCTGCGGAATTCTGGCCCCAGCCAACTGGACTGAGCCCTGCTGAGAGTTTGCAAGCGTCATTAGAGGCCTTTTATTCTGTCCTCTTTCTCTCCTGCTGCCTGTACACATTATACGGAATTAATGACTTCTGGCTGTCAATCAATGACACTGTTATTGAAATTCATGAGTTTAGATTCTGACATATGCACTAAGTGCTAAGCATGGATGAAAATATAAAGCTTCAGCCATTAGCTGGTAAAGCTAGTCTTCCTCCTAACAGCGTGCTTTTGTAGAACACTTCCCTTTGCACTCCAGCAGAAACAACATTGTGTGCACAGATTCTTACAACAGCCCATTGTGTTGTTTGGTGTACCTATTTCGCAGATGAGAAAGTGGAGGTCCAGATGGGTCCAGGTCAAGTGCCTTGCCCGGGGTTACCATCCCGGCTGGGGGTCTTAGCATCTCTCATGAGCCCCTACAGCAGCATCTTCCAGCCTCTCGTCCACTTTCTCCAAGCCACAGCCTGAGTGAACCTTCTGGAATGCAAGTTTCTCTGTGTGATTCTGCTTCTGAACACCACCTCGGTGGTTCTCTGTGGTTCCAGATCCAGCCTCAACTCCTTACCGTGGCTCCTGAGGCACCTCTGTGCCTGACTCTGCCTCTTTCCCTTGTCTTATTTCTTGATGTTGCCACGTGCAGCCTACTCTCCAGCCACACCAAAATCCTCGAAGCCTTTTCCAGACTTCTCAAGGTTGTTCATGCTGCTTGCGGCCCTGTTCCCTGCTTTTCATGCAAAAAAACATTCCACTGATCCTTAAGTGCCACTTCTGGGAAGCCTTCCAGACTCTGCCAGGGACTGTGCTCCTACTGTGTGCCCCTTTAGCACTCTGAAGTCGCTTACCAGGACACTCGGTAAATATTTATTACTTGGTAAATATTTATTGAGCACCTACTATGTTCCAGCCACTGTTGGAGGCCCTGGGATAAAGCAGTGAACAGACAGACCAGTAGGGGGAAAGACACAGTAACCAAATAAAACTGTAGTGCACTGGGGCTGCTAAGGGAAATCAGAGTGGCTGGGGGGCTTGTTTTGATGGGGGCATCAGGGAAGCCTTCTCAGAGCGGGAAGGGTGTGAAGGAGCCAGCCATGGGATGTCAGGGGGCCAAGCGTCTCAGCATCCAAACAGAAGAAAGAGCATGTGCAGAGGCCCATGAGGCTGCAGCCTGCTTAGTGTGCTTGAGGGATGCAAGGAGGCCTCTGTAGCTGGGGCCCAGCAAGTCGCCCAGGAGGTCAATAAGAGATGAGATCAGAGGGGTGGCTGGGCCAGAGAGTGCAGAGGAGTGAGCCCTTGCAGCTGGCGAGCTGGGAGGCCCGAGGAGGCATGTCTGCACAGGCCTGATACGATCTCACTCAGGACTTAAAAGGCTCGCTCCTCACTCCCCTCCTATCACTGTTGATTTAATCTGCTTTCTTCCTGCTGCGCTGTAAGCTCTGTGAAGGCAGGGGCTGCGTCTGGTTTGCTCACCATTGTATTCCTAGGGCTTAGCACAGTGCCTGCCTTCTGAGGGTACCTAATAAATATATGTTCAATGACTCCCAGCCGAGCTAGTTTCCCGTTAGAATCCACAGCAGCTGACAAACAGAGAGCCAGGGTATTCATGTTCTGGGTAGCATAACCCCCGACCGCCAAACAACCAGCTAAGTTTAGAGAAGCTCCACACCTAGGCCTGATTTGCATTGTGCAAGGAGCACCCAGTTGTGTTGAGGAGGCTGTTCTTGTGTGGGGTTGAGGGGTAACAGGTTTATTCTCTGCCCATCAGGCGTCTACTTGGCATTTGGGTCACGTGTGAATCACAGATGTTTCCGACGGCTGATGACAGTGTGGGCAAGATGGATATGGAACTCTCTCTCTCTCTCTCTCTCGTCTGTCTGACCTTCTCACCCTCTCTTTCCCAAGAAATAGGCAGCACCCATCCATCCACTTGCAAACAAAATCAGTGTGTTCTCTGCGTTATTTTCTGCCTTTGCAATGGGACATCTCAGTCTCCATTGCTACAGACCGGGTACAGATTACACCTGATCTGGTCCTGGGGCAGTGGATCCGGGTGCAGTTCTGTGTAGCATGCATGCCTATGGATCCTGTGAGTTTGTTTGAAAGGACGACCTTTTGTCGGCGGAGTAATTTCAGTTTTAGTTGGCACCCTAGACAAAGCAGTCTTTCAACACACCCGCAGCATATAAGCAGCCAGGACTTTTTCAATGAGATTGCAGGAAATTTGCCAAGTCGTTTGGGGCCTGTAAATTAGGCCTTGTTTAAAAATTTAGATAAAGCCCAATGTGAGAGAGAAATGCTTTCATAACATTAAATGTGAATTACACTGAAAACCCCTTTCAAGTTAAATGGAACTGTTCTCTGGAAGCACAGAGACATGAAATGCTTCAAATGTCAAAAGAGTTTTCATTTATTGTCCCAAGTAAAAGCGAAGGCATTTTATGTGGTTTAATAGTTCAGATGCACATGTAAATGGAATTCATCTGGAGAATGCCGGGCCAGATACAGAATCTATTTTCACAAACCTGAATGATTTCATTTTATCTTTGCAGTAACCTTACAAGGGGTGGGTCCCACCGTCCCTGTTTCAGAGATGAGGAATCCAGAAAGCTGGACGGAGACATTCATGTCAGCTGCAATCTTGCTACCAACACCTCTTGCTTCCATCATTAACACTTAACAAAACCGGAAGCACTGTCACATCTTTCACATTCTTTTTTTTTTTTTTTTTTTTTATAGATGGAGTCTTGCTCTGTTGTCCAGGCTGGAGTGCAGTGGCACCATCTCCACTCACTGCAACCTCTGTCTCCCGGGTTCAAGCAATTCACCTGCCTCAGCCTCCCGAGTAGCTGGGACTACAGGTGCCTGCCACCACACCCAGCTAATTTTTGTGTTTTTACTGGAGACGGGGTTTCACCATGTTGGCCAGGCTGGTCTTGAACTCCTGACCTCAGGCGATCCGCCTGTCTTAGCCTCCCAAAGTGCTTGGATTACAGGTGTGAGCCACCATACCCGGCCTCACATTAATTCTTAAAGAGATCAATTCTCATACGGTGGCAGGGGGAGGATGGAGTGTCTTATGGATAACGAGTAGTCCCCAAGAAAGGTGTTGGGGTTGGCGTGTGTTTATTTGTTAGTGCCTGACATTGTAAGAAACATGTTTTTCTCTCTCCAAGAGCCTTTTGTGAACATCAGTTTGCCATATTCGTTGCTGTATTCCAGCAGCAGCTCCTGTCTCAGTAGGCTGTTCCCTTTGCTCTTCTACTAAGTCACTTAGGAGGTGATTTGTTGCAACGAACAGAAACCCACGTTAAACTGGTTGAAATGGTCAGGGATGCTCATGATGGAAAACCTCGCAGGCTGCGAGCACCCCAGCACGGCCCATGCAGCAACTCGGGTGAGGTGGCCACGCCCTGCCTCTTCTTTGCTCCCTCCGGTTTCCTCTGTCCATAGCAGTCTTCCTCTTCTGGTCCAAAGATGGCTGCCACGGCTCCAGGGCTCGTTGCTTCCTTGTTCACATCCACTAGGTAGGAGCTCACTCTGTCTAATCTTTGGGAAAAAAGTACTGGACTTAGATCTGAGGGATCAGTTGGGTCGCATGCCCACCTCTGAGTCAGGCACTGAAGAAGGGTGTGGTGGGAGTGGAGCTGGGGAGGCACTAGGGCCGGGTTGTTCTGCTGGGTTCTACTCTTAAACTAAAACCTAAGGAAGCTGCACACCCTGGGGCTAGGGCTGGAGAAAACCCGGCAGCCTGCTGGTGGATGTTGATCATTTGGCTCTCTGAGAAGCAAATAAAGCCCCACCTACCCGCCCCCCTGCCACGCCGCCCCCAAATGCAGCATTTGCCAATTCCCATGGTGTAAATACATATTTCTGCTAGGGTTGATTTTCAGCTACGAATGCAATGTCAGTGAACATGGCATTGGGAACAGAAACATCATTGGCCCTCAGGCCAGTCCCCCACTGTAACACTGTTCCTAAAATCTGTGGGCTCTATAGAGGGAATAATGGCTCTTCAAACAAATATCAGAGAAGGGGAAATGAATAAATGCAGGCATGCTAAAATGAGCATCCCTAGGGATACCCCAGCTCGGTCCTGATGCCGTATTCACCCTAGTTCTTCATGGTCCAGCTTTAAGCCAACTGCTAGTAGTTGTTTCCTGTCCCTTCTGTGAAAGTGTGGATGGTGGGGGGAATTTAACTCTTGAGCTGTTGTTCAAGCTGGGGCCTTTCAGCAAATTCCTTAACCGTTGTCTGTATACTCAACTATGAAGATGGCCAGGTGAGGTGGCTCATGCCTGTAATCCCAGGAATTTGGGAGGCCAAAACGGGAGGATCACTTGAGCCCAGGTGTTCAAGACCAGCCTGGGCAATATAGTGAGACCTCATCTCTATGTTAATTAATTTTAAAATAATATTTTTTAAAAGATTATAGTAATGACCTCTCCACCAAAGGGCCATTGTGGGAGTTAAATGAGATGCTGACTGGGGCCATGCTTTGTAAGCCATAAAATGCTGTGTGTATATAAATGTAAGGCATGTGCATTATTCTCTCTAATGATTCCCCTACCCCAAGTGGACCACAGTTCAACAGTGTAGCCTAGCAGAGAAGTCATGAACTCTGAAATCAGACAAGCCTGGATTCAAACTTCAGGTCTGCTGCTTTTGGGCTGTGTGACTGTGGGGAAGACACGTAACCTCTCTGAAGCTTTGTTTTCTCATCAATAAAATGGGGGTAATAATGCCTTATTTTGAAGGGTTGTTGCAAAGATTGCTATAGGATAAAGTCAATAAGGGCACAATAAAAGTAAAAATCAATATGTTTAAAACATAATTTCATAACTAGTATACGTTGATTACCCCTTCATCCAAGCGTATTGATCTTCTAGCAGCAGCCTCCAGTTTTGCTCTGGGGATCCATTTTTCCCTGACTCTTAGGCTGAGAGGTTCATGGAACATCCCCTACCCTGCTGCCTCATCCTGTATTCACAGTTACTAGTTCAGAGACAGGTCCATCAGCATCCAATCAGAGTGAATCCAACAGCTGCTATGGAAAGCTACTAGGAAGTGACCCCCTCTGCGCTGGGATCTAAGAGATTAAAAGGGCGGAGCTGCCACGGCCATCTTGGCATCACAAGGTAGGGAGCACCAAGTATGAGCCAGGAAACAGTGAAGGCTAGAATAATTTGAGCCTGGATCAAGCCCCCATCCTTGGACATTTTAGTTACATACACCCATACGGTCTTTTTCTGAGGCTAGGGCTGGGAATTACCATCAATCACAACCAAAATCCTATCTGATTCATGACACCTGGAGAAACTGAGCCTCAGAAAGGTGGCACAGGTGGAAAGAGATGGCACTGCTGGTGAGTGGTGGTGTAGAGACGCAGGCCAGGCCCTCCAGCCCCGATCCTGCTACCTCTCACCCCAGGGCCTGCTGCTACCTTGGGAGGATCACATTCAGGTGTCCAGCTGGTGGCCCCGCCACGGTACAGCAGAGACATGTGACTCTAGATTATGCACGTTGCAGCTTCTCGCATCACACTGCATGCTGGAGAGAGGGCGGGAGCACATGAGCCTTCATCCTTCAGCTGCTGGGATTTTTCCCAGGGAATGAAGTGATGAACATCCCCAGGTAGCTGCTCCCCTCGTGTTGGCGAGGAAGCTCTCGGGTGAAATGTACCTTTGGGGGTTGTGTATCTGAAGCTCTGTGTTGTTTTTATACCAGAAGAAAGAAAAAGCAGTGAGAGACATCTGGGGTCAGCTCTCTTAATATCACACAACAAATTCTGGCAAGCACCCCCCAGCTTTGAATAAATGTTATTTTGATTGGATTTAGAAGTTTGGAGAAGACAAAATGACACATTTTCACACTTCCCTGTCAAACCAAAGTATGATTGCCAAACTGCTAAGTTTTTAAAAAGCAGGAAAGGGAACAGCTTATGTGAAACACCTTCATTGCAATTCCAGGTTTCTGGGGGGCTTTGCTGTAATTCTCATTTTCCCCTTATCGTGTACAGGTACACCTCACTTACTGGAGCTAAGGCTTTCTGGGGTGGGGACGGGCTTGGAGCCTCAGGGGAATGCTTACAATAATTTTATCAGTCAAAACATGTTTTGAATGCATTAAAGGTCCTTGTTTTTATTTTAAAGCAAACTTTGTATGAAGCATAACATCCCTTTCATGGTTGGTTTTTAAGGGAATTCAATGGGAATCCTTTTGTATAGAGAAGAATCCTTCTGCTGTGGAAAGAATTACCCTGCTGTCAACATGTCAACATCAGAAAACGCTTCTATGGTAAAAGTTAGATTAGTGACATATAAATAATGAAGAATAGTCTGTGTTGAGAAGAGTAAGTGCACTGAAGATTTATGGTAGAAGTTCTAAACTTTTCTGAGAACATTAAACAAGTGCCCAGCAGGAGAATCCTTTCTTTTGGGCTTTTTTTTTTTTTTTTTAATTCACTCATTGGAATTCTACTCATTTTCCTGCCCACCCAAAGGCTACAGGTAATCATCTCCTTTCTTCCAAATGAACTTGCACTGTTCTCAGCTAGGACTAACAAAGGAAACTGAGACCGCAAGTGTAAACCTGGCAGAAATCCGCTTGTTTGATTTCATCCCGCAGGTACCCTCTGCAGCCCTAACCTTGGCCACCTCTGTTGATGCTCTTCTTCCACACTGAGCCAGGTGTGGACCGTGGCGTGACCTGAATACATTTGTCACCAGTACAGGATTGGAAGAGTCACTGTAGACACTCTCCTGTTTGGGAGGAAGGACAAAATGCACTTTATTTATTTTTTTTTTGAGACAGAGTATCACTCTGTCACCCAGGCTAAAGTGCAGTGGCGCCATCTCGGCTCACTGCAACTTCCGCCTCCCAGATTCAAGCGATTCCCCTGCCTCAGCCTCCTGACTAGCTGGTATTACAGGCACCTGCCATCGTGCCTGGCCAATTTTTGTATTTTAAGTAGATACAGGGTTTCACTGTGTTGGCCAGGCTGGTCTCGAACTCCTGACCTCAAGTGATCCACCTGCCTCGGCCTCCCATAGTGCTGGGATTACAGGTGTGAGCCACCGCACCCGGCCAAAATGCACTTAATATTGTCAGATCTTCTGGTTATTAGATACTGGTAGGCTCAAGTCCCCAAAACTTTGTATGGCAGATGGGATTGTTAAGGATCTTGAGATGTGGACCCAATGTCATCACAAGAGTTCTTGTAAGAGGAAGGCAAGAGGGTCCGAATCAGAGAAGGCCGTGTGACAGCAGCAGCAGAGGTTAGAGAGATGCCATTGCTAGAAGGGGCCTTGAGCCAAGAAATGTGTGGGTGCCTCTAGAAGCCGGGAAAGGCAAGGAACTGGATTCTCCCCTAGAGCTTCTAGAAGAAACACAGCCCTGTCTGCATCTTGATTTTAGCCCCCAAGACCCACTTTCCAGCTTCTGACCTCCAGCACTGTCAGATAATAAATGTGTGTTCCTCGAAGCCGCTAAGTTTGTGGTGATTTGTTGCAGCAGCCTATAGGAAACTTACACAGCCATTCACTCTGCTGAGCATTAGAATGACACACAGTCCTCGACTCTCAGACTCACAGAACATTATCCATCCTCTCTCTGAGGATTCAGAAGATACTGAGGCTCCTACAGTGCCTTGGGGACATGATTATGAAAATAAGTACCCATTATATTGGTTAAGAGAGAGCCTGGCTCGACACCTGGTAGAAACAGCATTTGCGCGCGCACTCTCTCTCTCTCTCTCTATATATATATATTTATTTAAAGGCTGACAATTTGGAGAGAGATGAAAAATACCACAATTGCTTACAATAGAACCTGACAAAATGGGGTTGTTCTGGTGCCCTGGTGCCTACCTGTGTTTGAGGGTCTCAATAGCAGGGTCCAACAACTGCAGAGAGCTGGAGATCATGTTAAATATAAATATAGGGTTTGCAGAGAGGGACCCATTCTTTTCCCTCTCTTTGCATGCCTAGTTCCTATTACTGTCACAAGGAGTTATGTGTGTGTATCTATAAGGCAATGGATGCCGTTTATCGTAATTCAGCTAGTGCACAAAATACCACATTTACACCATATTGGCACTTGAACTATTCCTTCCCCAAGAACCCTGTCCCCACGAGTATGTATCAAATACCTCCCAACTTCATTTTTTATCAAGCCTGGCCAATAAAAGCTGAAAGATCACTGAGGATTTTTCTCTTTTGTCTTAAAAAATTTTCATTTCATAACCGTACACGGAGAATCTGTCTTTAAAAATGGATGATACGTTAGCAGGAGGTTGTGTAAATATCCAGTTATTTACACATACCTAGCTGCATCTGGAAGCCTGCAGCACTGCAAATAAGGTCCATCATTGCTTCTCATTTCTGATCATTCAAGAGAATAACAATACAATAGCATGGAGTAGCTCAGCTCTTGTCAGCTGTGGGGAGTTCTCGGCCACGTTCTGTGGGTCTGGACAGCTCAGCTGCTTCCCCTACCCGTTCAGTAACATCCTGTTTATGTGGCTCCTGGACAGGCTGGCTTTGTTACTTGAGTTGCCTTCTGAGAGCTCATGGTAGGCTTTGGAGAGGCTCCTGAGGGTCAAAAGGTGCTGACCAGCAGAGAAGTTTCCCAGGGCAGGAATGCACAGAATGCACAGTCCGTTTTTCTTCTGCAATCAGTGAACACCTCTTCCTCAGCAGGAATCCACTCAGGGGTGGGTGGGTTTTAGGATTTGCCCTTAGTTATTATATGCACGTAAAACATGTCTCGGAGGTAAATGGCTCAGGAATTGGGCTGAAAGTGTGACTGCACAGGGTAGAGCTCAGCTTTGCCTTCTAAAGGCTGAATGCACCTGGACAAGTTCCCAAACAGCAAATGTCATTTTCCCCGTCCATAAAATGATGAGGGGGAAGGGAATGGTACCCACCCCACAGGTGTTGCAGGAAGGGCATCAGGGGGTTAGGTTGAATGCCAAGTTGTTTGTACTGGTGCAGACTAAGTATTCAGTGAACGTGAGCTTTGCGTTGCTGTTAATTCAATGAGGTGGTGGAATGGATTAGGGAGGTGCACAGTTCTGAAATGCGGACATCCACGCTGCTGTGCCCTAGCACTGGGCGTTGTTGGGCTAGTCCTTCACCTGCTCTAAGTGTCCTATTTGGGGTAGGGAACTGTCCTGTGCACTGGCATAGGGGCTTATGAACATCCCTGGTCTCCACCCACTGGGTATCACTGGCACTTGCCCGTGGATGTGACACCCAAAAATGTCTCCAGACATTGCTGTGTGACAGTGCACGGGATAGTCCCCTCATACCCTATGAGAGGTGCAGGGAGGTCCCTGTCCAGTGCCTGGGTCAGTGTTGGGTGCCTCGCGGCTCTAGGTCCAGACTGGCTTCTGCTGTTCTACCTCTGTACTAACGCGATTACGATGACTGCTACTGCTGCTGCTGTTACCAATGATGATGTCTCTTAGGCTGCCCCGAGCAATTCTTTCCCTCTGCCACGTTCTCTCAGGGCATCATTGGAGATGCAACACCACCTGCACTTAAGAGAGCTGCGTGCTTCAGGTATAGCGATCTGTGTGTTGTAGCTGGTCTGAAATAACTAGACCAGTGGTTCTCAACTGGGGCCATTTGGCCACATCTGGTGCTGCTGATATCCAGTGGGTGGAGGCCAGGGAGGCCCATAAACACCTAAGACAGTGCACATGCCAGCCCTCTACCCAGCATGCCAGTGGTGCCAAGGTTCAGAAACCCTGAATTCCATGCTATCTCATGACACATCAGTTCTAAACACATTGACTGGTTTTACCCCATTGGCAGTTTCTGTTTACACCCAGGTCTGTGGGCATATGGAAAATCACGGCTGTTGAGTAAAGGATGGAGTAAAAATATACTCTACTCCCCTCCTCCACACTTCAACACCAACCTCAATGAAACAATTCCAACTGAAAGCGGGGAGGACTGGGAAAAGAGTTGAAGAGAGGGTGTCAGTAGAGCCCAGGCTTGGCCACCAGAACAACTGGGTTTGGTTCCAACCCTTAATGCTTATGAGATGGGGTGATTTGGGGCAAGGCACCTCCGTCTCTTGGCTTCAGTTTCCTCATCTGTCAAGTGAGGGGGTGGGGCTAGATGTAAATTACCATTCTGCTCTGAAATTCCTAATTGTAACTTTGAAATCAAACTCAGTGGTCCCCCTCTCTAGGTGCTGGTGGAGAATAACTTGGATTCTGTGACCTCTAGATGGAGAGAGTGTTGTCTGACCCCCAGCTCAGAGGAAGGTGAGATAGACAGACATGCTTGAGCCCTTTGGATAGAGGGCTCTTTGTGTTCATCGAGCATTTCTGCCTCTCCTATGTCGCTTAAAACTGTGTTAATTATGACAGTGACAGCAGCGGCTGACACGGAACACTCACTGGGTCCCAGCACTGCTCTGGACACATCTCACCTGTGTGGCATCATTTGATTCACCCCTCAGTCTCTTGAAATAGGGACCGTCATTTCCTCCACCTGACAGGGAAACTGAGGCAGCCTGATGCATGAGGCCACAAAAGAAGTGAGAGACGCTCGCTCCAAGTTGCAAGGAGGCGAGTTCTTTCCTCAGCAGATCCCAGCCCTGGCTTTACGGCTAATCATGAGCAAGGGGAATCTAAACAGCATGGTAATTTGATTTTTGAATGAAGCTAATTTGTGAGATACCATCCTCCTTAGGAGGGGAGAAATAAGACCAAAGGGAATCAAAAGAGGAAATAACCAAAGTGATCTTACCCTCCTGCTCCAAATGCAAGCTGATGTGTTGGAGGGGAAATTCGACCTGAAGTTCAGACATGTCACAGCCAAAGGAAACCTTAAAAGCTATAATTTCCAAGGAGACCTCTGGAGGGCTGGACATGGTTACCCAGGAATCTGAGCTGACAGTTTATGCAGGCTGCCCAGAGAGCCCAGGGCCCCTTTTCTGACTTTCTCATTCCTGTGGTTGGCCGTTGCATATTCTCTCCCTCCATACCTTGGGTGTGTAATGGGAGGTGCGCAGTGAAAATGGAGCCAGAAAAACGCGTGCAGCAGCTCATCAGAAAGTGTAAGGGGTGATGTAAATGGGAATGATGGGCAGAGGCACACTGTTGACATCATGGTATTCAAAGGAATACAATAATATTTGTGTTCACTTTACTGAGAGCCTTCTAGATGCCGGGCACTGAGCTGAGTTCTTTGCTTACATTAACTTATTTCAGTGCCACAGCAATTCTGGGGGCCGGGAGGGGGCAGGTAGGATTATCATCCCCATTCCACAGATGAGGAAAACTGAGGCTCGGAAAGGTCACATGACTTGCCAAGGGCACACAGTGGAGAAGGGTGGGGACAAAGGTGGCTTGACTAAAGATCCTATCCTTTTGATCACCACCCTCCTCAGATAATCTCTTCTCAAGGCTGGCCCTCTGTAGAGTCGTCTGGTTCCAGCTACCAAAGATTCTGGTTTAATTACTCCTGGATGAAGTGGGAGTGTGTGTGTGGGGGCGGGTGTTATTTTTAAAGTTCCTTTGGTGATTGTATGGGGAGTGAGGGTTAAGAACCACTGTCCTGCATAAATATATGTGTGTGTGCTCTTGTGGGGACCTAAAAAAAGAAAAAAAATATGTATAGATGTACATATATATGTGTGTGTGCATATTTTATCATTTTATCAGTTTCTGAGGGCTACTGTGACAAAGTGCTACAAACTGGGAGGCTTCAAACAACACAGATTTATTCTCTCACAGTCCAGGAGGCCAGAAATCCAAAATCAAGGTGCCAGCAGGGTTGGCTCATTCTGGGAGGTCTGGGGGAGAGACTATCCCACACCTCTCTCCCCGTCTCTGGCAGCTGCCAGCATTCCTTGGCGTCCTTGGCTCACACTCTCATCACTCTAGTCCCTGTCTCTGTCTTTACCTGGCGCTCTCCCCTATGTGTCTTCGTCTCCGTGTGTCCTCTCCTCTTCTCACAGGGACACCAGTCATTAGACCAGGGCCCACCCTCATCCAGGATGGCCTCGTCTCAACGAATCACCTCTGCAAAGACCCTGTTTCCAAATACGTCCACATTCTGAGGTTCCCTGTAGACATGAATTTGGGGGGGACACCATTCAACCCACAACGTGTGTGCACGTGCGCAAAAAATAACTGGGGTGGTGGGGCGTGGTGACTCTTGCCTGTAATCCCAGCACTTTGGGAGGCCGAGGCGGGCGGATCACCTGAGGTCAGAAGCTTGAGACCAGTCTGGCCAGCATGGTGAAACCCCGTCTCTACTAAAAATACAAAAATTAGCTGGGTGTGATGGCTCATGCCTGTAATCCCAGCTACTCGGGAGGCTGAGGTAGGAGAACGGCTTGAACCTGGGAGGCGGAGGTTGCAGCGAGCTGAGATTGCACCACGGCACTCCAGCCTGGGCAACAGAGCAAGACTCCGTCTCAAAAAAAAAACAAAAAAAAAAAAACAAAAAGGGTTGTCCTGTTGAGAACTCTAAGGGGAAGACCCTGCCCGCAGTGGGAAATGACCGTGTATGTTTGTGCAGGCAGCAGGGAGATGGGCCTCTCTGAAGGATGGGATTGAGTGTGCCGCTAGAACGGGTCTTGCCTCCTTCCGCTTCTCCATCTTCACCGCCACTCTCCCAATCTAGGCCGCCATCAATTGTCTCCTGGACAGACAGCAGCACCTCCCCTCTGATCTCCTTGCTTCTTGCCTTCCACACTCTGCAGTCCCCCATCCCACCCATTTCCACCCAGCTAATCCTCAGCCGGCAGCCCATCTTCTAAATCAGTGACCTGTGCTTGTTACTTCTCAGCTCAACACCCTTCAGTGGCTCCCTGTTGTCCTCCAACCCTTCCTCAGTTTACCTCTCTGGCATCATCTAGTGCTACCTTCCACCATACACAATGGGCTGCAGCCATCCTGAAGTTGCCTCAGTCCCTGAAACGCATCTTTCATGTCTTTTCTTCCGTGCACCCTTGGTGTGGCTCCACCTGCCAGAAAGGCTGGACAGACACCACCCCAAATCCATGGACCCCAGAGGCTGATGCACTCGGTCAGGGCTCTGGGCCCAAGAGAGTCCAGCAGACAGAAGCCAGAGTGAGAAGGGGAGACCTCCCATTTGGACCTCCCATTTAAACCTTGAACAGGGCAGGGAAATCTGTCAATATCCCCACTGAGAGTCCCCAGCCCTCTCCAAGCGGGAAACGAATTGACCAGCTGTAAAAATGCGATGCAGAATACAAACCAGCTTAATGGTTTTCTGAGACATTAAAAATTAATGTTGAACATCAACACTTTGAGTGGTCAAATGTCCCCTGTGGTGCTGAATGTCTGGAAATTGTCCCCATAGGGCACAGTGGGGACCATGGCCATAGACCTGTTTGAGGCAGTATAAATGCCCTATGGAGTAGAGGCCATTTGTAGGGTGAGCCGGGCTTAGAAGGTTCACGGGAGAGGCCGAGTGGCTTCCTCCCCTTCTCAGTCCTCTGACCTTTGTTCTCACAAGCTGTTTGTAAACTTCAGCAATTTTTTTTTTTACCATCTCTACTGTTTCTCCTCCCCTAATTCCATAGGCAACACCTAGGATAGACTTGTAGATGGACTGCAGTTGATCAATCCTCGTGGCTACTGAACACTCAGACCCATCTCTTTTGATTTTTTTAGCCATCCAGGGCATGGAAGGGAGGTGCACACCCGCTGTGGCCACCAGCTGCTGCCTGCAGGGCTCCTCGTCTCCATCGAGCAGCTGTGAACCTCGCCGACTCCCAGGATTTGTAATCCCCACTTTCCCGTACCTAAGAGGTCAGAGAAGGTGGTGTGCAGCCACAGTTGAGGACTTCTCCCTGCGGCATGATGGTGGCTCAGCAACGCTAGGTGGTTGTGGAGAGGGAGGACCATGGGCACAGCTTGGAAACTGGAAATCCACAAAAGGTTGTTCGAGAAATGCTCTGGGTTTGTTGGGCCTGAAACAGCAATATTTTTAAAAACCCCATCTGCTGCTCAACTAAGTTTAAAAATACCCCTTTATATTTTAGATAATAAAGCTCAAAATTATTCACTATATTAGATACTGCTTAATAAAATCATGGCCTAATGAGCTGCCTAATTTGTGTGTGCCAGGTTTCAACCGTCTGGGACCTGCTGGAATATGCTCTGATACTATTGATTCCATTGCAGGTGGAATAAGCCTCCATTCTGTTGCCATGGAGGAGGCAAGAAGTTGAATTTTCATCACTCCATATAGGGCCTCTAACATGTTCCTGTCTTTTCATGATTGCACAGGGTCCAGGGCAGCCTGTGGTCCCAGGGCAGTGGGTATTCAGGTCCCTAACTGTAGCCATTAGCAGGGGACAGGCATTGGAGAGATTGGCTATACTTGGTTTCTATCCTGGGTTTCCAGTGTCACCTCCCTCCATGCTTAGTAACTTCCTGTCTTAGTTCTTTCCAGAAGTACTCATCCAGCACTCTGCAGGGTCCTTAGCAAGAACCCAGAGAGCTGCAACTTGGTAGGGATCCCACCCTTTCCTTGCAAAGCACAATCCAAACTAGAAGGTGCAACCTGGGCTCTAGCTACTCCTCCCTGGCAGTCAGCCTGCCCCTGGGACTTTGCACATGCCATTTGTTCTGCCTGGATAACTCTTTGCCTTCACTGTCCATCCCCTCACCTCTGACCCCTTTAGCAGCTTAACTCCTCTTCTTGCTTCAGGTCTCAGATTCAGCGCCTCTCTGTTTGGAAAGGCTTGCTGACCTCCCACGTCCCTGATCAGAGTCTCTTGCACTTCCACCAGCACATCCCTGTGCACCTCTTGGCTCTGCTCTTCTTTGAGCTGGCTGTATTCTTGGGCAGGCCCTTTCTTCAGTGGCAAAATGACTGCTGGTAACCATGAATGCGTATCCCCAGATGAACCACAGGGCATCATTCCCAACAGTCCCAGCAGAAGTCCTGGGTCATTCATTTGCAGAACATTGAAGCAATTCCACTGTAAATCTGATTGGTCAGGCTGGGTCATGGAGCTAAGAAGTAGAGTCAGCCTCTCTCAAACCATATGATTTTATCCCAGCAATATAGGGAGGTGGGAATACCAGGATCAGGAGGAATATTTTGATGTTATCAAAATAAGGAGGTAGACTGGCCAGGCAAAAGCCTCAGATGATCAGTTTAGCTCCCATGGTCTACATGACACCTAGATGAGTTTCATGAGATATCCCTGCATCCAGTTGGTCTAGATTTGGCCCAGGATGATGGAAAATAAAAAATAACAGTAGTCTAAGTAAAATGGAAGTTTCTTATTCTTCCCCTAAAAGCCAGTAGCAGGCCATGCAGGATTGGCATGAGGCTCGGCTCCACAAGCCCTCAAGCACACGATGACTTCCGTCTCCCCACCAGACCATGCCTGCGGTGTGGCCTGCATCTCTGTGCCTCAAGGTGGTGCTCCAGCTGTCACCACCCCACCCCCAAAAACAAAATGGAAGAGACTAGAAGAAGCAGCCAGGGAAAGTCTACCAACCAAAATTTCAGGAGGATTTCTGGAACACAACACCCTGTTCAGTCTATTGACCAGAAAACTTGGTCACATACCACCCTTCGTTACGAGAAAGGCGAGGTGTGGCCATGAGCCACTTGAAAGTTCCATTACACTTGGACACGACACCAAAAGCACAACTCATGACCAACAACATTTATTAAATTGGACTTCATCAAAATTAAAAACTTCTTCTCTGCAAGAAACACTGGTAAGAGAATGAAGCAACAAGCTACAAACTGGGGAGAAATATTTGCAAGTCACGTACGTGACATAGGATATGTATCCAGAATATATAAAGAATTCTCAAACTCAGACATCAAGAAGACAAGTCCATTTTAAAAATTGGCAAAAGACATGAACTCAAGAGGATACTTTGCAGAAGAGGATATATGGATGACAAAGAAGCTCGAAAAGATGCCCAACATCATTAGCTATGAGGGAAATGCAAATTAAAACCACAGTGAGGCCAGGCATGGTGGCTTAAGCCTGTAATCCCAGCACTTTGGGAGGCCAAGGCGGGCAGATGACAAGCTCGGGAGATCGAGACCATCCTGGCTAACACGGTGAAACCCCGTCTCTACTAAAAATACAAAAAAATTAGCCAGGCGTGGTGGCGCGTGCCTGTAGTCCCACCTACTTGGCAGGCTGAGGCAGGAGAATTGCTTGAACCCGGGAGGCGGAGGTTGCAGTGAGCTGAGATCACGCCACTGCACTCCAGCCTGGGTGACAGAGTGAGACTCCATCTCAAAAAATAAATAAATAAATAAATAACCATAGTGAGATACCAACACCCATCAAGTTAACACGGCATGTGCTCACTCATGTGTGGAAGCTTTAAAAAGCTGATCTCATAGAAGTAAAAAGTGGAACAGAGGATACTGGAGGCTGGAGGGGTTGGGGAAAGGGATAGATAGGGAGAGATGTGTTAAAGGATACAGGTAAATAGGAGAAATAAGTTCTAGTGTTCTATGCCACTGTAGGATAACTATAGTTTACAATAATATATGATACAGTTTCAAATAGCTAGAAGGAAGATATTGAATGTTCCCAAGACAAAGAAACGATAAATATTTGAGATGATTGATATGCTAATTATTCTGATCTGATACATTATATGTATAAAAATACCACTGTATCCCCTGAAAAAGAACGATTATTGTCAGTTTAAAAACAAAAATATAAGGGTTTAAAAAAAATGGCCTAAATGAAAAAGACAGACAATACTAAGTGCTGATGAGGATACAGAGCTACTGGATCTTTTATAGGAACATAAATTGGTGCAGCCACTCTGGAAGAGATTTGGCACTGTCTTATAAAGTGAAACATCTATCCACCATGTGACTCAGCAGCTGCATTCCCGGGTACATAAACCCCTGTGTTCACACAACAACCTGTATGTTGTGAATGTTTTTAGCAGCTCTGTGCATAATAACCCCAAACTGGAAACAACCCAAACATTCTTCAGCAAATGAACAGATGAACCATGACTCCACAATAAAAAGGAATGGATTTTTTTTAACTTTTATTTTAGGTTCAGAGGTACATGTGAAGGTTTGGTATATAGGTAAACTTGTGTCACAACGAGGGGGAGTTGCCTTACAGGTTATTTCATCACCTCGGTATTAAGCCCACCCAATAGTTATCCTTTCTGCTCCTCTCCCTCCTCCCACCCTCCACCTTCAAGTAGACCCCATTGTCTGTTTTTCCCTTCTTTGTGTCTATGTGTTCTTATCATTTAGCCCTGACTTATAAGTGAGAACATGTGGTATTCAGTTTCCTGTTCCTGCATTAGTTTGCTAAGGATAATGGCCTCCAGCTCTATCTATGTTCCTGCAAAAGACATGATCTCGTTTTTTATGGCTGCATAGTATTCCATGATGTTTATGTACCACATTTTCTTTATCCAGTCTGTCAATGATGGGCATTTAGTTTGATTCCATGTCTTTTGCTATTGTGAATAGTTCTGCAGTGAACATTTGCGTGCATGTATCTTTATGGTAGAATGATTTATATTCCTCTGGGTATATACCCAGTAGGATTGCTGGGTTGAACAGTAGTTCTACTTTTAGCTCTCTGAGGAATTGACATACCACTTTCCACAATGGTTGAACTAATTTTACACTCTCAACAGCAGTGTATAAGAGTTCCCTTTTCTCTGCAACCTCATCAGCATCTGTTATATTTTTACTTTTTAATAAATAGCCATTCTGACCAGTATGAGATGGTATCTCATTAAGATTTTAATTTGCATTTCTCTAATGCTCAGTGATATTGAGCTTTTTTTTCATATTCTTCTTGGCCACATGTGTGTCTTCTTTTGAAAAATGTCTATTCATGTCCTTTGCCCACTTTTTTTTTTTTTTTTTTTTTTTTTGAGATGGAGTTTTGCTCTTTGTTGCCCTGGCTGGAGTGCAGTGGCGCAATCTCCGCTCACTGCAACCTCCACCTCTCGGGTTCAAGCAATTCTCCCATCTCAGCCTCCCAAGTAGCTGGGATTACAGGTGCCCACCACCACGCCCAGCTACTTTTTGTATTTTTATTAGAGATGGGGTTTCACCATGTTGGCCAGGCTGGTCTTGAACTCCTGACCTGAGGTGATCCACCTGCCTCAGCCTCCCAAAATGCTGGGATTACAGGCATGAGCCACCACGCCCGCCTGCCCACTTTTTAATAGAATTGTCTGTTTTTCTCTTGTAAATTTGTTTTTTTTTTTTTCTTCTTTTTTTGAGACTGAGTCTCGCTCTGTCACCCAGGCTGGAGTGCTGTGGTGTGATCTCGGCTCACTGCAAGCTCCGCCTACCAGGTTCACGCCATGCTCCTGCCTCAGCCTCCCGAGTAGCTGGGACTACAGGCGCCTGCCACCACACCCAGCTAATTTTTTGTATTTTTAGTAGAGACGGGGTTTCACCATGTTAGCTAGGATGGTCTTGATCTCCTGAGCTCGTGATCCGCCTGCCTTGGCCTCCCAAAGTGCTGGGATTACAAGTGTGAGCCACCGTGCCGGGCCTTCTCTTGTAAATTTGTTTAAGTTCCTTATAGATGCTGGACATTAGACCTTTATCAGATGCATGGTTTGCAAATATTTTCTCCCATTCTATAGGTTGTCTGTTTACCCTGTTGATAGTTTCTTTTGCTGTGCAGAAGCTCTTTAATTAAATCCCATTTGTCAATTTTTGCTTTTGTTGTGATTGCTTTTGGTGTCTTTGTCGTGAAATCGTTGCCTGTTCTTTTGTCTAGAATGGTGTTGCCTAAGTTGTCTTTCAGGATTTTTATAGTTGTGGATTTTACATGTAAGTCTTTAATCTGTCTTCAGTTAATTTGTGTATATGGTGTAAGGAAGGGGTCCAATTTCAATCTTCTGCATATAGTCATATGCCAGTTACCCCAGCACCATTTATTGAATCGGGAGTCTTTTCCCCATTACTTTTGTTAGTTTTGTTGAAGATTGGGTGGTCTTGGGTGTGCAGCCTTATTTCTGGGCTCTCTATTCTGTTCCATTGGTCTGTGTACCTGTTTTTGTACCAGTACCATGCTGTTTTGGTTACTGTAGCCTTGTAGTATAGTTTGAAGTCAGGTAACATGATGCCTCCAGCTTTGTTCTTTTTGCTTGAAGTTGCCTTGGCTATTTGGGTTCTTTTTTGGTTCCATATGAATTCTAAAATAGTTTTTTCTAGTTCTATGAAGAATGTTGGTGGTAGTTTGATAGGAACAGCATTGAATCTGTAAATTGCTTTGGGCAGTATGGACATTTTAATGATATTAACTCTTCCTATCCATAAACAGGGGATAGTTTTCCATTAGTTGTGTCTTCTCTGATTTCTTTGAGCAGTGTTTTGTAATTCTCATTCTAGAGATCTGTCACCTCCCTGGCCTTCCTGATTTGGCTCTTGCCTTGGCTATTGTTGGTGTATATGAATGCTAGTAATTTTTGTACATTGATTTTGTATCCTGAAACTTTGCTGAAGTTGTTTATCAACTGAAGGAACTTTTGGGCCAAGACTATGGTGTTTTCTAGATACAGAATCATGTCGTCTGCCAACAGGGGTAGTTTGACTTCCTCTCTTCCTATTTGGATGCCCTTTATTTCTTTCTCTTGCCCGATTGCTTTGGCTAGGACTTCCAATACTACGTTGAGTAGGAGTGGTGAGAGAGGGCATCCTTGTCTTGTGCCAGTTTTCAAGGGGAATGCTTCCAGCTTTTGCCCTCTCAGTATGATGTTGGCTGTGGATTTGTCATAGATGGCTCTTATTATTTTGAGGTATGTTCAAAAGGAGTGGATTATTGATACATGAAACAATGTGGCTGAATCTCAAAAGCATTATGCTGAGAGAAAGAAACAGTCCCAAAAGGTCACATAGTCTGTGGTTCCATGTATATGGCATTCTTAATAAGACAAAACTCCAGTTGATAAGAAAAGATCACTAGAGGGTAGGGGTTGGGGTGGGGAGTGGGGGTTCTGGCTATAAAGGGACAGTCCAGGGAGTGCTTTGGGTGATAGACCCCGGCCATATCCTGACTGAGTGCAGGTTACGTGAATCTATACATTGTTAAATTCATGGATTTATACATCTCAAAAAACATCAGCTTTACCATAAAAAGCTCTGTTCCTAGGCTGGGTATCGTGGCTCATGCCTGTAATCCCAATACTTTGGGAGGCTGAGGCAGGAGGATCACTTGAGTCTAGGAGGTCAAAGCTGCAGTTGAGCCATGGTTGTGCCACTGCCCTCTAGCCTGGGCAACAGAACAAGACTGTCTCAAAAACAGAACAAAACAAATAAATGATTACTATGGCAGAAAAGAAGCATGGTGATAGTGAGGGAAGCTGGGGGTAACTGGATAATCATCTGTACCTCATTTACCAAGGTATCCCCTTTGTTGGGCTATGGCAGGGTTTCTCAAACCCTGGCACTGCTGACATTTGCAGCTGGATGATTCTCTATTGTGGGGCTGTCCTATGCCTTGTAGGGGGCTTATAGCATCCCTGGCCTCTACCCACCAGATGTCAGCAGTGTCCCCCAGCCTGCAGTTATGAGAAACAAAAATGTCTCCAGACATGGCTCCATGTCCATAGGAACAAGGCGTCACTGGTTGAGAATCACTGGCTAGTCTGAGTATGTTTCAATTATTTACAACTAAATAATTTCCCATTAGTTGTTTCCTTTCTCAGAGACCCCTTTGCTTTCTGTCTCTCTCCCTTGCCTCTTTGTGACAACTGCCAAAGAATTAGCACGGTGTAAGCTGAGATGCCTGAGGACAGGGTTCCCCAGGGCATGTGAGCCTGTGCAAAGGAGCTTCTGCTCCAGCACGTGGATGGGGGAAGCCCTTACCTTCTCCATATCCTCTCTCCACACCCATGTTACCCCATACTCATGACTTGGCAGAGGAAGACCGAGTCCAGGCAGTTATTGGTTCCAACAATAGGCCGACATTTTACTTACATCTTAAACCCTGGGTATTTCCCTTGGCTCATTTTAGAGCTCAGAAAAGCCATTCCACTATTTAAATATGGAAGAGTAACATATTTTAATAATCATACCCCGGGGCGCAGTTTTTCCGTTGCATGAAAATATAATGGTCAAAACAGCCCGCAGCCAATTGCAGAATTATGTAAAAGTAATGAAAAGAAATCAAAACCCACACGCCTTCCATCACGCTAGACCACCTTTGCTGTCTTGCTAAATTTTCTGCTTCACACACTTTCTAGCCCAGGATAAAGATTGTGGAGTAGTTCATATCTTTATTTCTAAAGAGCTTTGCCTATTCCAAAGGTGTTTTAGGAGGCTGAGTTACAGAAGGACCAGTCAATTGTTACAGAAGGACCAGTAGTGGAGTTTCCTGGATCATCTTAACATCAGGGGAAGATCAGGGGTTACTTTAGGACAGAGGGTTGCAGACTCTGGGCTGGTAAGTAAATGATAGAACAGGCTGCAGTCAGGTAGAGAGCCTGGGCCCACTCTGGAGACTGAAGTGCCTTCTGTCATCTACATAATTGTTACCGTGTGGGAATCGGGGCCTGGTATTGGCAAATTTTATGTTTTCAATGCAACTCTTAACCGGAATCTTTATTTGACCCCTTCTACTTTGTAAATGCTGCAATAAATTCAGACTGAAAAGAACAAATCTGTAATCTAGGTATATTCTGGGGTTCACCAATTTGTGATTTCTCCCGCACCTTAACCCCCTAAAGGTCAACTCTGCAGGAACGAGATGGTTGGACCTAGAGAGGGAATCTTAACAGAAAGGGTGGTGTGATCATTCTCCATTCGTTTCCTGTCTCTTCCTGATCTGCCAAGGTCCTTCCCAGCTGACCTTTCTGTTTCCTCTGTTGCCCAACTATCCCAGCCAAGGTCAGGGTCATTCCCTTCTCTCCACTGTTGAACTAAGTTAAGAAGGAACTTTTCCTTAGGAACTTTTTCAGTTTAACTCTCATCACAGAAGCACAGAAAATATGCTTAAGCCAAAAAGCCCAAGTAAAGAAAGCAGGGTAGGAAGGTTGTCTGGACAGAATGATCACATTTATGTAAAGATCGCAACCAAGAAATTGCACACAAAATTACAGGGAGAAGGGAACACAGCAAACTATTGACAGTGATTAACTCTGGGCATGGGAATAGAGACTGTTTATCCCCATCAACTTTCTTGTATGTTTCATGCTGGGAATGTGCTATTATTAATTTATAATGGAACACATTTTTTAAAGGAAATCTTACTTGGAAACTAAATGAGAAACATTTGAAAACAGAATGTTCAATAGTGACATTTAGTGAGCATCGATTCTTTGATCAATAACCACAAGTGTTTTTTTTTAACTTATGCAATGGTAGGACATCTGATTTTAGCTGATCTAAAGGAAAAAACAGACTTGTCCCCTCCTCTCTGTCCCTTAGATGAGATTGTTGGCAGGAAAACTAGAGCTGCAGAGAGGCTGGGCTTGACGTTTCTCCTTGGAGTTGTAATAAGGAGGGATTGGAACTTGGACACTTGACTTAGGAGCAACTTCCAAGTTGACCATTAGACACAAGGATAGAACCTTTGCTTCAAGGGGTGGTTCCTTCCGTGAATACTTAAAGGAGTTAGAGATTGGGAGTCCCTGCTGTAAAAGTGGAAAAATAATAGTGCTCACTAATGTAGTTTGTGTGTTTTGGGTCATGTCCCATTGGGAACCAGCCCCTCCCCTGGGTGAGCTGCAAATGGCTATGGTCACTGGAGTCTTTGGGGCATGAGACGTTCTGCCCTAGGTTAGACAACTGCATTTACATCTTCACATTAAATATAGGCAGTTTGGTGCACCCAGTTCTTTTAAGCTGGCAGCAAAGGAATTTGAATGAACTCATCAGCTCTGTCCACATATTTGGATTTTACAGGATGATTTCCCAAACCACTTGGAACAATGAAGTGTGCCCTGATTTGTTTGCCACTGGATCTCAGCATGGAAGACCAGAGACTGGTTGGTTGCCCTGGTGCAGGCACCACATTAATGCCCTGGTGGTGGCCAGGCCCTGAATTTTTTAGCTGAGTAAAGATTTGTTCTCTTCCCAAGGATTGATGGCTAAGGAGCTCTGATTCACATCCTTCCAGAAGGCCGAATCCACATACCATTGATAGAGAACTTGCTTTATGCCAGGACTATTTGTTGACTTATATTTTAGGGTTGAGGGAGGCACTATTGTTGTTTGCATTTTACTGATGGGGAATTAAGCACAGAGAGGTTAAGTGACTTGTGGATCGTCACACAGCAGGTAACCAGTAGAGGTGAAGTTTTAACCCAGGCAGTGTTCTCCAGAGTCGTTGGTCTTGGGAAAATGGCTAACGGTTCACGTTACACCTCAAAGCCTGATTGATCCATTGTCATAGGCCACGTTCACATTTTACTCATTACAGTGACCAAGGATGTATATAAACACATGCAGCCGAAAGAAGGTCTGAGGGTTTGCCTGCTGGTACATTTCCAGACACACAGCTTTAAGCAGTATCTGCTTTGAAACAGACCAAATGTCAAGGCGACCAACAAAGCCTGTCAATTAGGAATGCCTCCCAGTGTGTGGTTTAGAGCTCAGAGTTAGGGGAAAAAATGCAGCGTGAACTGTGATAAGCTGAGATGGAGAGAAAAACCAGAAACCTCACTCCAACATCATCTTATTTTAATAATTATCATGATCCCATTAATCCAAGAATATTTGGTACCTAATTATTTTTTATTTATACTTTGTAATGTAGTGTGCGTTGGTGGAATGACATTAGAGGGAAGAAAGTAAAGGTTAGGGAGACACCATTTATAGAAAAGCCAGGTACAGGGCTTGGCACCTAAATTCTACCTCATTTAGTCTTCTTAACTGTCCTGTGACAGTGGGTGCTGGTATCTTTCCCCCTCCACCCATCTTTTTTTTTTTTTTTTTTTTTTTTTTGCTGATAAGGAAACTAAAGCCCAGAGAAGTTTAGTAATTTTCCCATAGTCACACAGCAAGTAATTGACAGAAGTTACTGTATTTATGGGTGTGGGTATGTGGAAGGAAGTAGGCCAGCAGGTTTTGTGGGCCATGCTCAGTCATATAAAATTATGTCAAATACATATTAAAAATTTACAAGAAACATTAAACCAAATACATATTAAAGACTTACGGCTGGGCACCATGACTCACACCTGTAATCCCAGCACTTTGGCAACCCAAGCTGGAAGGATTGCTTGAGCCCAGGAATTCAAGACCAGCCTGGACAATATAGCAAGACCTCACCTCTACTAAAAATTAAAAAATTAGCCAGGCAGTTGTCCCAGCTACTCAGGAGACTGAGGCAGGAGGATGGCCTGGGCCCAGGAGTTGAACCTGCAGTGAGCCATGTTCGTGCCACTGCACTCCACACTCCAGCCTGGGGGATAGAGTGAAACCCTGTCTCAAAAACAAACAGATAAACAAAAAAGACACAATGGGACCAAGAGCCAACAGAAGGGTTTTCTGATACTGTATATGAGAATGTAGATCTACTTTCAGTATCTTTTGACTAAGAAAAATCCAACTAACATGGAGGCTATGATAATTCAATATTGCTTTACATAAATCTGCATTTTATTAGTCAGCAGGTTCCTGATGCATTGAAAACCATGCACATGTTTCTATTGCATTTAGAAACACTACCTATAGGTAGGGTAGTGCTTGGTGCTTTTCTGGGTTTCTGGACCATGTAATTAACACCAAGGGCCTGATGGGGTCCATGGCTCCCCAGGTTGGAAGCAAGTGGTTTAGGAAATCAAGGAGAAAACAAATTGAATACTGACTTTCCCAAATGCTACCCATGCATATAGAGCAAGAAAGTGTGGTAGAGGGAGAGGAGAACCTACCTCCGCAGTGACTTTCCTAAAACTCCATGAATCTCAAGAATTCGGAGAAAGTCACTCAAGCTCATTCAACACATATTCAACCCAAGAGCATCATTAAGATAAAATCGTTTGCTCTCTAAATGACCAAATTAGGCATTGCAATTAGAGCACAAACACTTCCTGGTAATTCCTCATCTCATTTTCAACTTGCCATGCTTGGCTCTGTGAGCCTTTGAGAGAAAGAAGCCATTGTTGAAAATGGAATGTGATTTTCACTAGCTCCAGTGTTTAGGAGAAATATTTAGACTTATTTTGATGGCAGGAAGTCATATAGCCTTCTCCATTCTGAGGATGGAGGGGTGAGTGGGGGATCTCTATACCTGTGAGTTTCTTGTCAGTTTGCCTGTAATGATTGGGGAGGTTTTCTTTAACTTTGACATCTGTCTTCCCTGGTATTTAGCAGGGATCAGAGGAATAGTGGATAATATGTGAGAGGTCACCCTGTCTCCTCTTAACTTTTCCTACCAGGTTGGGGAGGTTATTTGTGAATCATTAGAGGTCAGAGTTTAGCCCCATAGTGGACCCTGGAACTACGAATGTTTCTACAAGCAGGAATCACCTGGTACAAAACCATTGACTCAGTCTTGAGGGTTTCATTCTATGGAAGCATTGTTGAAAAGAACAACATTTGACTGGATTTATTTTCCAAAATTTTGACTGGGGCTTTTTTCCCCCCACGAGAATAACTGCAGGGTCTAAGATGAACCGTGTGAGCTCTAGCATTAGAAGAAAAGACAAAGCATAATGTAGCTCATGAAGTTTTTATGGCTGGTTAATGCGTCTTAGTCTGCTGTGATTAAATGGCCAATGTGGCTCAATCTGGAAGCTTCCTACTCGCCTTCTAACTTCTTCACATAATAGACAGGTAGTTCGAATGATACCCATGATCCCACACAATCCTTTTGGGATGGAAATAGTCCCTGTAAGGGGAAAATCATTGAGCAGTTTGTAGTTTTTCAAATTTTACCTTCTTTTGCTTTAAATTAATTCCTACAGAACAGGACATTTTGGTACTGAAATGAGGTCTGTACAGGGCAGATCACCAGGCCATATGTGAGGGCCACCTTCAGGAATGAAAAATCAAAAACAAAACAAGCTAAGCAGCAGAAGACAAATTCTGTTCAGGACACTGCATCTTTATGTTTGCAAGGACTTAGCCCAGGCATGTAATTTTGATCCTGTTATAAATCTGTGACAAGTGCTCTTCACTTTAAACAACTGGAGGCATCCCTGAAAAGTTGTGTGATATTTTTACCCAATTTGCTTTCATTTAAAATTGCCATTTCAGAGTCATCATATTATCTTCATTCTTCATTATTTTTCACTTGACTGCAGCTTGGAATTTTTTCTACCTTCTTCCTCCTCCTGTTTCTCTGTCTCAGCATCATATATTTATGTGTTGGTTCATTCGACCACCCACCCACCCATCTGCCTATCCATCCACCCACCCACCCGCCCATCCACCTATCCACCTATCTACCTATCCACCCACCCATGTACCTATCTACTCTCCCCCATCCACCTATTCACCCATCCACCCACCCACTCATCCACCTATCTACTCACCCACCCATCCACTCATGCACCCACTCATCCACCCATCCACCCACCCATCCATCCACCCATCCACCCACCCACCCACCCATCCATCCACCCACCCATCCATCTACCTATCCATGCACCCATTCATTCATCCACCCATCCGTTAATCCATCCATCCATTCATCCACCCATCCACGCATCCAGAAAACATTTCATGCTTATGTGCCAGGCCATACACACCAGTTTAATGATTTTCAAGTTGGGGAGATTTTGCTACCCCGCCCCCATGGCAATTGGGGACATTTTTGGTTGTCACAGCTGGGAGAGAGGGGGGTGCCACTGGCATCTGGCAGGTGGAGTCCAAGGATGCTGCTACTCATACTGCAGTGCCCAAGAAAGCTGGCCTAAATGTAATATGTCAAGCTGGAGAAATTCTGCTGACTCCGGGATAAATAACTGAGTTCCTGACCATATGAAACTTACCGTCTTGCAGGGGAAGTGGACAGATAAACAGGGAGATTGTGCTGATGCTGCTGTTGAGGTCATAGGTGTTTGTGGTCATTTCTCCTTTGGAGGGTGGTTCAGAAACAAGTCCATTCATGGATCTGTGAAAAAATTCTTCTCTGGAGAGGTCCAGTAGGAATTGGAAAGTGAGGGAAAGAGGCTGGATGAACAAAGGGTCACAGGTGTAGGTTTGGGACACATTGTGGGGCCTGAAATTTGGAACCTTAAATGAGGCAGAGGTAATAAGCTCAGATGCCTGCAGGTGCCAGGTATGGTGGCAAGGGTAGCAATAAGTGGCAGTTGATCCAGCTCCCTGGGGCGTGTTGGGGCCCGTGGGAGACAATGGGGTCCCTGAAGGAGGCAGTGGCCACCCAGCCCCAGTCAGCTGGCTCCATCTGAGAATGTAGGCCCGGGGCGGCCAGACCGGTCTCAGTTTTCCATAAAAGCTGGAAGCCCGGACTTTGTAGGAAATCTCCTGAGTTTTAAATGTGTATAACTCATCCCAGATTTGTTTAAAAGGATGAAAAACAAAAAACACTGTTCAAGCCAAACAAAACACACCCGTAGGCCACATCCCTCGGGGTTTTGACCTCTGTTCTCAGGATAAAATGAGTCAAGGCTTGTAATACCAACATGGTGCCTGGGAGACAGTAGGCATTCAATAAATATTGGTTAAGAGTGAATAAAGGTTAAGTCAAAATCTGGCAATAAACCCTGAAGAGCACCTAAGGGTTCTCTAAAATGAATACTTTACCTAAATCAGGCTTTCTCAACTGCAGTGCTATTGGCACTGGGGCCAGATACTTCTCTGTTGCGTGGGGCTGCCCTGCACACTGTAGCATGTTTAGCAGTATCCCTGGCCTCCGCCTACCAGATGCCAGTGGCATTCCCTTTCCTCTCCCCACAATT
The DNA here is from genome assembly GCF_000001405.40 of Homo sapiens. Classification (NCBI taxonomy): domain Eukaryota; kingdom Metazoa; phylum Chordata; class Mammalia; order Primates; family Hominidae; genus Homo; species Homo sapiens. The sequence continues at coordinate 14,653,982 of NC_000001.11, forward strand.
ATAACAACCAAAAATATCTCCAGGCCAGGCACGATGGCTCACGCCTGTCATCCTAACACTCTGGGAGGCCAAGGCGGGCGTATCGCCTGAGTTCAAGAGTTCAAGACCAGCCTGGCCAACATGGTGAAACCCCTGTCTCTACCAAAAATACAAAAATTCTCTGGGTGCGGTGGCAGGTGCCTGCAATCCCAGCTACTCAGGAGGCGGAGGCAGAAAAATCGCTTGAATCCAGGCGGTGGAGGTTGCAGTGAGCCGGGATCGTGCCATTGCACTCCAGCCTGGGCAACAAGAGTGAGGCTTCGTCTCAAAAAAAAAAAAAAAAAAAAATCTCCAGATATTGCCAGCAATGTACTTGAACAGCAAGTTACAGGTTAACTCAATGCCATGAGGAGTTTGCTGTAGTCTGTTGGTGGACAGTCAGCCGCAGGTAGAGAACCCAGAAAGAGGTCCCTAAATCCCCCCGCTGCCTCTCATGCTCTGCTGTATCAGTCCTGGGGAGGAACCAGGAGGAGAGGAGTTTCATGCAAAATAGCCCCCGCTTTAAGACTCACTCACCTAAATTTACCTGTCTCCTTCCCACCCCAGCCTCCCACATTTCCAGGTCACACTGTGAGCCTCCTCTGCAGTGGAAAACAGGTATGTTCACCCCAGGATGGGCATCCACCTCCTCCTCCCTGGACAGAGATCACTTTGTGGCTGCTTTTGAGGCCTTTGGGATTTCGTCTTGGGCCTGGTTGCTTCTTTGGTTAATGTTTACAGAAGTACTGTGCAAGACTGGACATGCTGGCAGCTTCTCACACCTCCAGCCCACCTGTTGGAAAAGGGCTGGAGGAATAGTCCCCTCCTCTCCAGGGATGCCAGCCTGGCCCATGTGTCCACAGGTACAAGGAGGACACTCTCACCCAGGTCTTGGATGGAATCAGTAATTAAAGCAACTGGGGGATTCTGGAGCAGCTGTTCATTTTGTTGAACAAGAGTAGCTGGGGGGCCCACTGACCCAGGCAAGTGGTTCTCAAACTTGAGTGAGCCCGAGAACCTCCTGGAGAGCCTGTTAAGCTGTTGGGCCCAGCCCCAGAGTTACTGACTCAGAAGGTCTGGGCCAGGGGTCTGAGGATTTATGTGTTCCGTGGTGCTGCTGCTCCTGGCCTAGGGGCTGCACTTTGTGAACACTCATCTGGCCTCTGGTGAACACTCATCTGGCCTCTGGTGAAGACTCCAACCCCCTTCCTCTATCCATTTTCTCCCCAAGGCAGAGAAAGGAGGATGGGAGGCTAGGGGGTGTTTAGGAACCCACCTCCTCTGCTCTTTCTGGATTCTCTACCTGTCCACCAACAGACCACAGCAAAGTCCCATGGCATTGGGTTACATTGTAACTTGCTCTGCAAGTATGAGGCTGGTCCGATAAATTTATATCCCTACCAGCTTCTTCTTTTCATAATTATCTTTCTTGTCCCTTTGATAATGTGGTGCATTCAGGTGGGTCTCCGGGTCATTACAGTGAATTAGTGAAATCCCTCTTTATGGGTTTCTGTTTGTTGGAGCTTAACGGAGGTGGTTTAAATCACCAGCCGTCAGAATTGCCTTCTCCAGCAAGTGCTTGGATAATGCTTCATTATAAGCAGGCTTAGCTGCTGCGACAGATATAGATTAGAACAATTTGCTTCTCTGCTGATGGGGAAACTGTGACATGACATTTTGGTGGCTGTGGTACAGAGCTGTTTTCCAGAAAGGAAAAGCCTCTCGAACTTTTGCATCTACCGAATAATTCAGCTGTGTATGCTTACATGCTGCTACGGGTCTAGGGGTGGGAAGTGTGCCGAACCCCTGTCGACTCCAGTGGGGATGGCACCAGGTTCAAGCGGCCAAAGAAGGGACCCAGAGCCAGCAAATGAGACACAGGGTTTTACTGGGGGCTTACATACAGTGGAGAGAGCCCAGCAGTGGTGTGCTGGGCAGGGGAGCCGCAACAACTTGCTGAAGGCGTGCAGCTTATACAGCGTTTTCACTTGGCACCCTCCCCTTAACAACCTCTGCCTGGCAACCTTCATTCAACCCACACTTGGGACCTCCATCCCCTGTATAGCCTGTGTTCCATGGGACAGGATGGGGGCTCAGATGTTCCTCAGAGACAAGGAATGAATCTCTGGGATGACCACTCCCAGATTCCCTAGCTCAGGACACACGTTCAGGCGCATCTGCCATACAAGGTCATTCTCGGGGTAGGCTTAAGGTATTGCTGTCAGATGCATTTGCCATCAGGGAGGGAGCTGCTCTCTCAGAGTCGGATGACCCACTTATCCCAATTTGCTTGGGACTTTTCTGGTTTCAGCAGTGACAGTTTCCGGTCCCAGAAGCCTTAGTTCCACCTAACCCAGACAGTGGGGTCAGCCTAGCTCAGAGGAGGATGCTGGCTGGAAACCCCAGGCAGGCAGAGCTCAGAAGTCTCAAGATACCAACAATTGCCACCCAGTTTTGAGTACTTACGTGCCAGATGCTCAATCCTCATGTCTCACATTGTATTAGTCCGTTCTTGCATTGCTATCAAGAACTACCTGAGACTGGGTCATTTCTAAAGAAAAGAGGTTTAATTGACTCACAGTTCTGCAGGCCCTACAGTAAGCACGGCTGGGGAAGCCTCAGGAAACTTACAGTCATGGCAGAAGGCAAAGGGGAAGCAGGCACAGTCTTACATGGCCGGAGAAGGAGGAAGAGAGCCAAGGGGACGGCGCTACGCGCTTTTAAACCACCAGATCTCGTGAGAGCTCACTCACTATCACGAGAACAGCAAGGGGGAAATTCATCCCCATGATCCAAGCACCTGCCCACCAGGCCTGTCTTCCAACACTGGAGATTACAATTCAACAGGAGATTCGGGCAGAGACACAAATTCAAACCATATCGCATATCATCCTTCAAACAATGCAAAATCGTGCTATTATCACCATTTTACAGGCCAGGAAACTGAAGTTGGCGGAGATTCCTCTAGCTGGCAGAATGATTCTGGCCACTACACAGTCAGGCCACCAACCTAGGGCTGTCTTCTTCAAAGCCCATGGTTTTAGGGAGCACCTCCTAGGGTGGGGTGAAGAGAGAGGCTTTTTTTTTTTTTTTTTTTTTTGAGACAGAGTTTCACTCTTGTTGCCCAGGCTGGAGTGCAATGGTGCAATCTCGGCTCACTGCAACCTCCGCCTCCTGGGTTCAAGTGATTCTCCTGCCTCAGGCTCCCCGAGTAGCTGGGATTACAGACATGTGCCACCACACCTGGCTAATCTTGTATTTTTAGTAGAGACGGGGTTTCTCCATGTTGGTCAGGCTGGTCTCGAACTCCCGACCTCAGGTGATCTGCCTGCCTCGGCCTCCCAGAGTGCTGGGATTATAGGCGTGAGCCACCATGCCTGGCTGGGAGAGGCTTCTTAAAATGCAGATTGGTGGACCTAGAGCTTCTGCTACAATATATCAGGGGTAAGCTCCAAGAATTTGCATTTCTCACAAGTTTCCAGGTGATGCTGATGCTAGTGGCCCAGGGACCACACTTTGGGGACACTTAAGTACTACCCCACTTGGGCTGTGTGAGTTGCCGCCTTTGCCGCACTGAGGACCTGAAGTTTAGGAGGCATCTCCCTATCATGAGCATTCCTAAAGGGTGGGATTTGTGCAGTCCTGTCATGAAGACTGGGGGCTCTTGGGCTGTGTCTTGGGCCCAGGACCAGACATGAGTTAAGCTCCTTGAGACAGGGACAAGTCCTTCTTGATTCCAGGTGAACCTTCCCCATCCCCCCAGAGCACAGCCTGGAACCCAGTAGGCTCTCAGCAGAAATTGTGGAATGAATGAAATTCTCCCTGTCTCCTGCTCCTAGTGTTTGTTTGTTTGTTTTTTGTTAGTCTCCTGCTCCTAGTTTTTTGTTTTATTTTGTTTTGTTTTTTTAGTTAGCCCAAGACAAAGCTGGATTCTTGCTCAGGTGACACTCATGCCACGTGAAGTGGTCTATCTTGAGACCAAGGCGTGGAGTCCATAGGCACATGGCAGTGCAGGCACCTGGCGCTGGTGTCCCAGACCCTGGAAAAGTCAGTGTCCTTAGGCAAAGCAATTGCACCTGGAGTCTTGTAGCGACCTGTGTGCAGTAGGGCTGGGGAAGCCTTGAGAGGATCTGGAAGGGGGAATTTCCAAAGCACTTGTTAGGAGTGGAATCACAGCATTTATAAAACCCCGACAGAGCTGGAGCGGGACCTGCCACATCTTAGCTCTGTGACCTTGGGTGAGTTTTTTCAAATTCTCAGTGCCTAGTGAAGATCATAACTAGGAGGGACCTGGGATACAGATGATACAGAAATTGTGTTTGGGACATAGTAAGCACTAAATAAATGTGAGCTGATATTTTTATGTATCATCATTATTATTCACTGTTTCACCAACTCTGAGCCTCAGTTCCTCTATCTGTGAATGGGAGTAAAATTCCTTCCCTGTAGGAAGGGGCAGTTATGTGAACCAATGTGTGCAAAGTATTGTGCACAGAGCCTGGGTCCTAGAAAGTCCTCGAAAAATGTCAGCTGGCCTCAGTACCTATAACCTTTCTACATCAAAGTCTTTTGAGAATCTGATAAAAACTGTGGACTTGGAAAATATATGTATATATATATATGACAACATTTTCCACTTTGGGACAGGGAGTTTGGCTCTCTAAGCCATCTCTTGAATCAGATTTAGAATCTCTGCAGTGGAAGGGAACTCACTTAGGCTAGTGTCCACTGGTGAGTTCTCTGCATCCCCACATTCCCTCGCCCCACCCTAGACTCCCCTACATGTGAAGCCTCCAGTGTCTTCACTACCAGGTTTCTCCACTGCGTGCTGCTTTAGGGCACTCCCAGCAGGATGCAGTTTACTGTAATTCACACAGGAATGTTTAAGAGACTGGCAAGAGCTTCCACTTTCACCTGCTTTCACGTTATTTATGTTTTAAAAGAGGCTGCCAGGGCTGGGAGCAATGAATGGCTCACGCCTGTAATCTCAGCACTTCAAGAGGCCGAGGTGGGAGGATCACATGAGGCCACAGTTCGAGACCAGCCTGGCCAACATGGTGAAACCCCATCTCTACTGAAAATACAAAAATTACCTGGGCATGGCGGTGCACATCTGTGATCCCAGCTACTTGGGAGGCTGAAGCACAAGAATTGCTTGAACCCCGTTGTAGTGAGCCAAGATCCTGCCACTGCACTCCAGCCTGTGTGACAGATCAAGACTCTTGTCTTAAAATAAAATAAAATAAAAATAATAAATAAATAAATAAAAGAGACTGCCAGGAAAGGACAGAATCTAGCCAAAGGAATGTATTACAAATGGTGGAATTAGAGATAGTTCTATAGGTCACTCAGGCGAGGAGATGGCCTTTTAACCTTAATGAAATCTAGGACACTCTGGGGTTTTATGGGGGAGTCACATGGGGGGAAGTATTGGGAAGATAAGGGAATAAAAATCATCACTTACCTAGCCTCTCTGCTCACCTTTAAGTCCAAAGAGTTCCTTTTCCTTTGCTATCTCCGTAGGCAGCACTTTATGTTGTGTTTTTTATAATCAGAGGAAACCGATGGCACCATAAACTTCTAGAAAGTCAACTACCACCTTGGTTCTGTGTGGGAAAGTAAAATTTTATGTTTTCCATAAATACAAGATGAAGACAGCATTTAAAGCCTATCCCTGAATTGGATAGATCATTTTAAAGTGAGTTTGTTGCATTTAGAAACCATGATCCCTATTGGCCCTACAACAAGGCAATTTTCATATCAGGCAGGTCCTGGCATCTGGGGAGACTGGCTGTTTCCTTTGTTGCCAGGGAAATCATTTCAAAATGGAAAAAACCCTGAATGCCAGCCCCCAGCAATCTTCAAAACAATACACATTCTTTAAAAAAAAAAAAAGAAAGCCAAACAACAAAACAATAGGTAACACAAAACCCAGTACATTACTGTACACTAGAAAGGTTTTTTTCTTTCCCAACTGAAGGGATGAAAGGGCATCATAATTTTGTTTTCAAATGTGTTTAAGAACCTGTTATTAAAACGGAATTAAACCCAAGTCCCAGGGCAGCCGCTCTGCAACTACCGGGAGATAATCTTGATAATGCGATTAGGGCCTGCTTCAGTGGGGCTGGGAGGGGAAGGGAAGTCGAGATGCCCAAGCGGGAGCTCTACTGAGTCACCTGCAACTGCCCGTGCCCGAACACAGATGCCTCGATCTCCCCATAACCGGGCAATGGACCCCTGCTCTTGGGAGCTACTAGGGGCCTGAAACAATAAGACGAATAATAACATTTATTGATGGCTCCCTATAAGCTGTGCTAAACTTTCACATGTATTTTCTCATTTCTATCCTGCAAGGCAGATACTGTCATAGACACACCTGCACACACACCCATGTTCAGACCAGTGCAGAAATCATCAATGCTGATGCTGTCTTGATGGACAATTTTGAAATTTCCTTCATCACAGATCTTTTGCACCCATCGGAGTTCTTAAAATATTGCTTGAAAATATTCTTTATCTCTCCAAGTTTCTCTCTCTCTCTCTTTTTTTTTTTTTTTTTTTTTTTTGGCTTCACTGAAGCCACACGGCTGATCAGCACCAGAGCTGGGATTCAAACCCAGGTCTGCCGATGGCTGAGCCTTGCCTTTCACTGCTATGATCTATCTACAGGATTGTGTGGTTTGGTACCTAACTGCAAACGACTCAGATCTCTTGGAAAACTTTTATGTACTAGCAATCTCCACTCCCACTCCACAGCGAAATAACCAGGCGGCTGTGATTGCTGCTGAAATCGTGGCCAATGACGAACAGAAAGTGGCTGTGCAAATAAGATCCTCCTCATTTATGTTACATTTTAGCCTTTGCTTTTTTATCCATCTGGAAAGCAATGCCCACTCTGCACCTCTATCTAATGGGCCCGTTCACCAGCAGGCTGTGACAGCCGCATCCTCCACAGCACTGTACTTTCACCGGAGACATCTGAAGTCGCAGAATAACGTCACTGATTAAGAGGCCAGAGGAAAGAAGGAAGTAAGTGTTCGTTGAGCTTTGACTCTGTGCCGAGCCCTGTATTAGGCCTTTTACTTACTAGATCTCATTGAAATGTCACAAAAATTCTGTGAGGGAGATGGTGCTCTTCTCCCCATTTGTAGATAGGAGAACTGAGGCTGGAGAAGCTGAGCAATTCTTGGGCCAACAGGAAAGGGTGATGTTACTTGCTAGAGGTCAGAGGCAGTGAATAAAGGCTATGAGGACAGACCTACTCTCTGATAATTCCATCTGAGCGGTCTGTAGCCCTTTCTGCCTGGTTGAGCCATCTTTATTTTCTCATGGATGGTCTCTTGAGGCCCCATGGACCTGTGGCCAGTTGAACATTATTCTGGGTTAAGAGCAGAGCTTGGCAAACTTTCTCCACAATGGGCCAGATAGTAACTATTTTAGGCTTTGAGCAACATATGGTCTCTGTTGCACTATTCAACTCTGCTGTTGTAACAGGAAAGCAGCTGTAGACAATATGTAAATGAATGGATTTGGCTATGTTCCAATAAAACTTTATTTACAAGAACAGGTGGTGGGCCGTAGTTTGCTGATCCTGGTTAAGAGCATAGTTTCTGGCCAGGCTCTAGCTCACACCTGTAATCCCAGCACTTTGGGATTGGGGGACGGGGGGGCGGGAGGGAGGGGAGGGAGGGGATCACCTGAGGTCAGGGGTTTGAGACCAGCCTGGCCAACATGGCAAAACCCCCGTCTCTACTGAAAATGTAAAAATTAGCTGAGCATGGTGGCACATACCTGTAATCCTAGCTGCTTGGGTGGCTGAGGCGTGAGGATCACTTGAATCTGGGAGGCGGAGGTTACAGTGAGCCGAGATCACGCCACTGCACTCCAGCCTGGGCAACAGAACGAGACTCTGTTTCAAAAATAAAAGCATGGTTGCTGAAGTCGGATAGGCCTGGGGTAGAATCATAGCATCATCATCTGTTAGCCGTGTGATCTTGAGAAACACTTTTTAGATTCTGAGAAATGTTCCTTATACCATGAGCCTCAGTCTCTTCATCCATAAAGTGGGTCTGTAGTCACACCTACCTCATCTGAGGTGTCTGTGTGCCCTGGGTCAGGAAGGAGGCAAGAGGAGGCTCCCAGGGGAGTGGTCAACTCCATCAGCTTCATTATTTCCTCTCCCCCAGGGGCAGGCTTTAGCCAGCGGCCGGCAGGACTGGACAGCAGCTGTTTCCTTTGAGCGATTGCCCTGTTACTAGGTGTCAGTGTGGGCACAGGTCCAAAGGAGGCTGCTGGGACCATCCGCAGTGTCGGGGAAGTGGGTTGCTGACACCATAGGCCAGGGTGGTTTACTTGATACTAAGCCCCAAGAGTGGGCAGAGACACCCCATGAAGCTTCTCACTTCCAGTCTGAGCATGTTTGGGTCGGCTCCATCCCTTGTCTTCGGGACTAAACAGGAGGCCGATGTTAGGCTGTGGGAGGACGAAGTTCAGCTAACACATCAGGTCCCAGGCACCATTCCTAGCAGCTCCTCCCTCCAAACCATGAGTATTTTGGTTCTTAAAAGCTAAGTACATTTCTGTTTTATATGATGTGATTATCTTTACCTCTGACCAATACTGGTCTTTCTTGATATCTTTCTTTTAATGGGGTGTGTGTGAGTGTGTGTGTGTGTATATGAGTGTTTGCCTGTGTGTGTGTATGTGTGCATGTGTATATGTATGAGTGTGTGTTGGGGAAGGGAGGGAGGCAATTCACAAGAAACACCTCTCTCTCCTAAACTTCTCATTTTTCTAAGAAAGACACTATTTACTGATCACCTGCCATGTGCCAAGTACTAACCTGAGTGCTTTTCATCCATTATTGCCAATACTTATATATATATGTATATATTATATATGTAAATATATATATACACATATATATGTATATATTATATATGTAAATATATATATATATGCACACATATATATATATATATATTTTAGAGAGGGGGGATCTCACTGTGTTGCCCAGGGTGGAGTTCAGTAGCACAATCATAGCTCACTGTAGCCTTGACCTCCTGGGCTCAAGCGATCTTCCTACCTCAGCCTCCTGAGCAGCTGGAACAGCAGGCGTGCATCACCATGCCTGGCCAGTTTTAAAATTCTTTTTTTCCATACAGACAGAATCTCACCATGTTGTCCAGGCTGATCTCAAACTCCAGGACTCAAGCAATCCTCCTGCCTTTGCCTCCCAAAGTGCCGGGATTACAGGCACACCCAGCAATGTGTGTATATCTTTTAAGTAGTACATGGGAGGCATTCTTACTCCTATTTGCACATGATGAAACTGAAGACAGGAAGGGAACTTGGTTCGCCGGGGCCACACAGGCAAGAGAGGGAGAGTCAGGAGCCAAGCCCAGACCTACCTAATACAGAAGCACTTTTTTCCTTTCTCGATTGCCAGCTATCCCTTCTCTCTTTAACCCATCCTCTGCAGAGTCAGTGTTCAGAGGTGTCTTTCTAGTACATATTTTGGAGCAGAGTTTGACATTCCCTGTCAAGTTAAAAGGACACCAACGTATTTCATATCCTCATATTAAAAGCCAATGAGTTATACCAATTAGGATGGCTGCTGTAAAAAACAAAACAAAACAAAAAACAAACAACAAAAAAACAAACAGAGAAATCACAAGTGCTGATGAGGAAACACTGGAATCTTTGTGCACCGTTGGTGGGAAAGGAAAATGATGCAGTTGTTACCAATGACAGGATGATGATTCCTCAAACATTTTGAAAATAAAATTACCTTATGATCCAGCAATTCTGCTTCTAGTTATGTACCCAAAAGAATGGAAAGCAGGGTCTTGAAAAGATATTTGTACACCAACTTCATACTAGTGTTATTTTCAAAAGCCAAAAAAAGCTGGAAACAACCCAAGTGTCCGTCAACAAACGAGTGGATCAGCAAAATGTGTTCTGTCCACACAGTGGAATATTATTCAGCCTTGAAAAGGAAGAAAATGTTGACACATGCTACCAGATGGGTCGACCTTAGGGATAGTATGCTAAGTGAAATAAGCATCCCAAAAAGACAAATATTATATGATTCCACCTATATGAGGTAGTTAGAGTAGTCAGATTTATAAAAACAGAAAGTAGAGCTGACTGGCCGGGCGTAGTGGCTCACGCCTGTCATCCAAGCACCTTGGGAGGCCGAGGTGGGCAGATCACCTGAGGTCAGGAGTTCAAGATCAGCCTGCCCAACATGGCAAAACCCTGTCTCTACTAAAACTACAAAAATTAGCTGGGCATGGTGGTGGACACCTGTAGTCCCAGCTACTCGGGAGGCTGAGGCATGAGAATTGCTTAAACCTGGGGGGCAGAGGTTGCAGTGAGCCAAGATTGTGCCACTGCACTCCATCCTGGGTGACAGAGTGAGACTCTGCCTCAAAAGGAAGTAGAATGGCGGTTGCCAGGGGCAACCATGTTGATATTGGTTTGACCAATCTTTTGCTTTAGTGAAAAAAACAATTTAGTGATTCCTACCTGATTATGCATCAGAATCTTCTAGTAAGCTCGTTAAAAATTGGTCACTGTGACAAGTACAATATTCCAACCCTACTCCAGATTTCCACTGGCAGTGGGGCCCAGGGATCCTTTTCTTTTTCTCTTTTTTTTTTTTTTTTCTGAGACAGAGTCTCGCTCTGTCACCCAGGCTGGAGTGCATTGGTGTGATCTCGGCTCACTGCAAGCTCCGCCTCCCAGGTTCACGGTATTCTCCTGCCTCAGCCTCCCGAGTAGCTGGGACTACAGGTACCCACCACCACGCCTGGCTAATTTGTTTTGTATTTTTAGTAGAGATGAGGTTTCACCATGTTAGCCAGGATGGCCTTGATCTCCTGACCTCGTGATCTGCCTGCCTCAGCCTCCCAAAGTGCTGGGATTACAGGCATGAGCCACCGCACCCGGCTGGATCCATATTTTTATTTGGCTCCTCTGCTGGTTCTAATGCAACCAACCCAGTGTTTGAGAACCAACAGCACAAATGATCCTTCTGCCCAGGCATGGGACTGGTTCGATATTTTTACATTTGGGGTTGTCCATGTACCCCTCTTTATTCCGCTGCCCCAACAAAGATGGTCCTTTCCACTTAGATACCTGTGACCAACCTCATCTTGTGTCACACCACCAGCATCCAGCCAGATCCTGCGGACAATGGGGTATTCAAACAAACAGGAGATCCATGGGCACTGAGCAGACCTCTCTGTCCTCTTCTAGCAATCTTTAAATATGTCCAGTGGCTGCCTCTTTTTTTTTTTATTACTGCTGTTGCACTGAAAATGTGTCATCACTGTTTGCTGTGCAACCTTTTCATCCCATGGACTAGTTTGGCATCAAAGGAATGACATTTATCGACTCTGCTGATAGAATGATTGATGAGTAAGTCATGCAATGGTTTCAGTCCCCGTCAAAATCAATTATTTAAGGGCTATACATTTATATTTGCTGTCAAGAAGCCTGACGTCACCAGAGTCAACCTTCAGGTGCGTGTTAGGGGCTGGGGTGGGTGTGGGGAGGCAGAATAGTGGCGTGGTTGAGGGCACAGGTTCTGTAGGCCAACTCCAGGCCTGGAATCAGGGCCAGAACCTCTCAGTGTATCCGTTTCCCTGATATGAAAAGTGGAGGGGCTAACCATCCTTACCTCCTAACGATTCAGTTAGAGAAAGCCCGGAGACCATTAGACACTGGACTTGGCCCACTGTCAAGCCTGAATCTTCACCATTATCATCACAGCTCTCCATAGCCTAGTTGTTCTGTTAAAGCACACGGCTGCCTAGTTCGGGACAAAGTCAGCCCCTCCCCACTAAAGGCTGAAGTGCACCACCAGTGTCCAAGGGTGTCATTTTCCTTTGGCAGTTTGGAGGCTACAAGAAGGAGAAGCTTTGCTCAAAAAAAAAAAAAAAAAAAAATAACATACAGAAAGGTCAGGAGATGGATAACAATGTCTTCGGAGATGAGTTGAGCTGAGACCTCAGCCATCTCATCCTTGGAATTTAAAAAAAAAAAGCTTTACAGAGAAGCATATATTTTTTATTAACAGCCCAGCAATATCTATAATGACGGAGAGGGTCTGCCGAAAGAATAGAGCCTCCTACCCCAACTTCTGGCCCCCTTTCCCTGCCGTCTCAGCGAGGATCTGTGTATCTACCAGAGAAGATCTCGTGTGTGGTTATTATAGAAGTGATTGAATATGGGACAAAGCATTATGGTCTTGTTGGGTGAGTCGGTATCAGCAGGATTTGTAGAGGGTTTTGTTTTCTTCTCCTCGCCCCCTTTCCCTGTTCTTTGTAATGTCTGTGTTTACAGGAATAGGACTTGCATTTGCTTGTCTATAATAAAGAAGTTATTAATTGGATTAAAAAGAAGGGAAAGGTTTTCAAGGAGGGAAACCAAGAGATTCAGAATTTGGGGAGTTGCATGTAATTAAAATATTCATTTCCTGTGGCTGCCAGAACAAATTCCTACAAATTGAATCACTTAAGGCAGCAGAACGTTACTGTGTCTGTTGAGAAAGCTGGAAGTACAAGATCCAGGTGTCCACAAGGATACACGCCCTCTGAAGCCTCTGGGGGAGGATACTTCCTTGCCTCTTTCGGCTTCTGGTGGCTCCAGACACTCCTTGGCTTGTAGCAACGTCACTCCAGTCCCTTTCTCCCTTTCACGGGGCCTTCTCCGTGCCTCTGAGTCCTCTCCTCTTCTTTTTTTAGTTTTTGAGACAGAGTCTCACTCTGTCGCCAAGCTGGAGTGCAGTGGCATGGTCTTGACTCACTGCAACCTCAGCCTCCTGGGTTCAAGTGACTCCTGCCTCAGCCTCCCGAGTAGCTGGGACTACAGGCGTGCGCCACCACACCCAGCTAATTTTTGTAGTTTTAGTAGAGATGGGGTTTCACTGTGTTGGCCAGGATGCTCTCGATCTCTTGACGTCGTGATCCGCCCACTTCGGCCTCCCAACCTGTCCTCTTCTTATAAGAGAACCAACCGTTGAATTTAAGGCCCACCCTAAATCCAGGAAGACGTCATCTCAAGATTCTTAACTAATCCCATCTGCGAAGATGCTTTTCCAAATAAGTTTTCCATTCTGAGATTCCAGATGGATGTGAATTTTTTGTGGACACCATTGAACACACTCTGGCTGTTTACTCCATCTGCCAGCTGGGATACTCACAGGACAGATGAGGAAAGTGAAGCATACGGAGCCCTGGCTGTCCATGGAAATAGAACAGAGTCCATCAGCATCCTCAGAGCACATGGTTTTCAGCTCTCCTTGAAGGCGCGGACCTCCAGAAGGGTTCACGTCACCTTGATGAGGGGACTCGAAGGTGAATTTGCACTGGGTTCCCTTTCAGCCAAGCATCAGTTTGCTCCAACCTCTTGAGCACACAGAAGTTGAGAAAAATTGTTATTTTAGCAAGAACACTAGAGGACTGTGCTGTTCTCTGAACCACGTTCATCTGATTATGCATTTGAGGGTATGAATTAATCCACGACACAGGAACACTGAATAAGTTGTGCTTTGCCAGTCGGGCTGCCTGTGTTTTATCTGAACAAAACATCTGACTTTAACCCCAGGCAGATTTCTCTTCAGGTTGTAATTATTCTGGAACAAACAGAGAATTTGGGAAGGGGCATCCCAGTGGGAACAATGATACCTCCTGTGTGGAAGGATTCCCACTGGAAATTTTCAAAACACAGTGTACTGAAGTTGACCCGGATAACTGCTGGCTGCAATCCAGCTTACCCTCTTTTATGTAGATGAGTTCTCAAAAAAAAAAAAAAAGAATGAAAATAATTTCATTTTCAGATTAGATACCATTCTATACAACTCGGAGTGATCAAATCGCTCCTTGAAGCCAAACCGGAACAAAACCCAGATTCTCTACACTTAACACCTTAAATCCATCTTCTTCATCTTCCTTTTGAAAATGAAAATCCTTTAAGCTCCAGGCGCAGGAATAAACACTGATGTGACTGTTGCTCAGATAGGAAGATTACCAGGGAAAAAAACACCAATTCTGAGGTTGCTTTCAAATGCTATGATTGTATGGCCCCAAAGGGACTCTTCTACACCTCTAAATAAATTCTTCCACTATTAACGAGAAGGAAAATGAGAGGGAAATGAAAGTCTCCGAGAAACCTGGGAACTTCATATGTAATTTCCTTTCTTGCAAATAGAAGGCCCTTGAATCAAAACTTTTCATGCAGGCCCCTTTCACTCTGGCCTGCTCTGTGGGAACCTATTCTGCTTCAGAAGTTTATTGAACTGAACGTCCCTGGGTGAGTCCATCAGCGGTTCATGGCTGTCCTTTGTCCCAGCTTTCCAGTCCTATGTGAAGTGGCAGGAAAAGGAATTTGGGCCCGTATCTCAGATGAGGAAGCTGAGGTCTAAAGGCACAAAGAGACCTCAGAAGGTCTCCTCACCCAAGTGCTGAGTTCTTTCTCGGGAGTAGCCAGTGGACTTGAAAAAGGGTCGATTTTGCCCCTCTCCCAGAGCCCACCTGGGGAAAGGGCCGAATCCCTTCTTCCTGTTTCCCCTCCTCCTTCCCCACCTGTCCCTCCCCACTTCCTCTCTCTTCTTCTCTGTGAAGCAGGAGGTGTTGCCTCCTCCCCTCCCTGCTAGGATGTTGATGCTGCTTTAAAAATCTGTCAGCAGCTGCTCCCCAGGCCTCCGTAAGGTGATAGTTTGTCGCAGGAATTCAGACTGTAAACGTCATCTCCCCTTCTGCGACATGCATCTGAGAGCTCCTATTTTTGAAAAAATAATAGAATAGGTGCATGCTAATGGCATGAAGCCGGCTGCAGCTCACGCAGCTTGACATCAATTTGTAACTGCAATATGTTATATATTGAAAAGGAGTTTGCGTTTGGAATTCTCTTCTCCCAGAGCAGTACATAGAATAGAAACCATGCAGAGACCCCGGAGACCCTTTCAGACAGAGAACATTTATCATGGCCTTGGACAAAGGGGGATTTTCAAAGGTTTATGCTATTCGTAAACATCTTTTAACCCATTGTTATCAAGGTGTTTCTTCTATTGCTTGGAAATGATGGGAAACTGAAGACACAGAGTGGGACCTTTATTCAAGGCTAGGAGTTGGCCTGGGGTGCAGCCACCATCCACCTCCACCCCAACTTGGGAAGCCCTGGCTCTCTTCTGTGAGAGGATGGATTTTGTTAGCATCTCCAGTCTGCTGAAAAGGGGCCGTCTGGGCTCTGGAGCTTTCCTGTGAGCTGGCTGAGTGCTCTGGGTTGCTATTAGGAGCCAGTAGGTAAAGGTCAGGGGAGGCTGCCAAACATCCCACAATGAACAAGACAGTCTCCCCACAACAAGGAACTATCTGACCCCAAATGTCCACAGTGCCAAGGTTGAAAAACCCTGCTCTAATTCAACCCTTTTGATTTCCAAATAGTAGAACCAAGAGCTGGGCGCGGTGGCTCACACCTCTAATCCCAGCACTTTGTGAAGCTGAGCGGGGAGGATTGTTTGAGGCCAGGAGTTTGAGAACAGCCTGGGCAACATATCAAGACCCCATCTCTACACAAAAATGTTTAAAAATTAGCCAGGTACAGTGGTGTGCACCTATAGTCCCAGCTACTCAGGAGGCTGGGATGGGAGGATCGCTTGAGCCCAAGAGTTTGAGGCTGCAGTGAGCCAAGATCGTGTCATTGCATTCCAGCCTTGGTGACAAAATGAGAGCCTGTCTCTAAGAAACAAACAAACAAAAAACAAATAATAAAACCGAGGCCCTGTGAACCTCGTCTCCAATATTAAAACCTCTCCCAGCTGAAACCATCCTTTGTATGTGTATTTTAAAATAGTTCAGTGCAATGAGAATTAATGAACAACTGACCAACTTTTCCTGGGTACCGCCAATCTATCAGAGGCTACCAAGAAGTACAAATCTGCCCTCAAGATTACCATTGACTTGAGGAGTCATCTTTAAAAGAGAACAGCCATATAAGATGGCATCCCCTGTACAATGGCAAACTGGTGGCCCCTAGCTGATCTGGTCTATGTAGATACTTTATTTGGCCCGAGAGTCTTCTCCCTTCCCTTCCCTCCCCAGCCCTCCCCTCCCCTTTTTCATTCCCTTCCCTTTTTCCTTCCCTTCTTCCATCCTGCTTTTAGGCAAAAACTTAGACTCTTTAGTATACTATAAGTTTCTCTCCCCACAAGATAGTTCATCTTTACCAGCCCCAGAGGTGCAAGCCCACCTCCTGAAGGCATTTGTGTTTGTGTCCTCCTAGTCAAAGGCAGGGGTATTCAAGCCTGAGCGAGCCTCAGAGGCACCTGGAAGCCTCGTTGAAAACAGGTTGCTGGGTCCCACCCTAGAGCTTCTGCTACCTTCTGCTTCAGTAGGTCTGAGGTGGGGCCTGCTGATTTACGTTCCTAACACGTACCTAGGTGATGCTGCTGCCACTGCTCCAGGGGCTACACTTTGAGAACTCAAGGATTCTCAAATGATAGTATGCATCAGAGTTACCTGGGGAGCAGGTGAAAGCCCCGGATACCATGAACTCATCCCCTCTGATTCTGATTCAGTAGATCTGGGGAGGGGCCTGGGCATCCCTACTTTGAACAGGCCTTCCAAATGAGCCCGATTCATACCAAGAATTTGAGAATCATTGCCCTTAAGAGTCCAATAAGTGGTATAGGCCAGTGCATGTGGATTTGAATCTCTTGTTAAAACACAGATGCTGATTCAGTAGGTCTGGGCTCAAGGCCTGAGATTCTGCATTTCTGGTTAGTTCTCAGGTGACCCCTGTGCAGCTGGTCCAGGTGCCACACTTTGAACAGCAAGGGATAGTCCAGTGTTTCTCGACAAGGGGTGACTTACCTTCTGAGGAACATTTGACAATGTCTGAAAACATTTTTAGTAATCACGGCTGGAGGGTGGGGAAAATTCTACTGGCATCCGGTGGGTGGAGGCCATAGATGATGTCAAACATCCCACAGTGCACAGGAAAAACAAAAGATTCAATCCCAGAATTGGAATAGTGCTGAGGTTGAGAGGTCCTGTGGTAGAAAAAGGCATTGAGAAGTTGCCTAATCACAGATGTTGAGCCAGGGTGGTCAGTGAAGGCTTCCTGGAGGAGGGGGTACTTAAATGAGGGCTGTTGTCCAATATTTGGTTTATCTAGGGTCTCCCTTCTCCACAGCGCATGCTGCTATCTAATATATATTTAACTTACATGTCTTACTTACAGCATTTCCCCTGCTAGAATGCAAACTTCAGAAGGGTTAGAACATCTGGTTGGTTCATTTAGGTATCTGCAGTACCAAGAACAGTGCCTGGCACATAGTAGGTGCTCAGTAAATAGTAAATGAATGAGTGAATGGCAGAGTCTTTGGAGAAACAGAAAGGAGGCTGGTGCTGGGTCACGTACTGGGGGAGATGGCAAAATTATTTGTGTCATCATTCTTTCACTCCCCCATTCACAAAACATATTAAAGACCTGCTTTGCACCAGCTCCCTAGGCACAAACCCTTGATCTGTTCTTCGTCAAGGCTATGAGATAGGCCCACCACTTATTTATTGCTTTTCAGACATTGAGAGAAGGGCAGTAGAATTTCCCCCCGTGGGCAAAGGGCCCATCCTTTTTTTTTTAAAGGACTGTTTGAAACATCCTAATTTTATGATGCCAGCAAAGGAATCTCTGTATATGATAAAGAAAAGTAAAAATGAAAACAAATGTTTATATCTCTTTTCAATTCACTGCTTTTCTTTTTTAACCTCATTTCCATCCAGAAAGTTCTTGCCCCGTATTTTTTGAAAATTGGAAAATCAGACCCTTAATTTATGTGTCTGCATTTGCTAGAGTGAGCGGAGGAGTGTGGATTCAAAGGGCCTCTTTTTAGAACATTCCATTTTCCCATTAGCGCAAGCCTCTGAGGCACCTTTGTGCTACTCTCTTTAGAAAAGAGAATATTACAAAAACACGTTCTAATTATTGTTGGCCTTTCATTACTTTAGAGCTTCTGCACAGCCTAGAAATGAACATCCTTGCCTCAGAATTTTGTCCTTATTTTTTTTTTCTTTTGGGAGATGTGTCATCCCTACAGGGCTATTTATGAAGCCCAAGCTGGCAGAATTTGTCTAATGTGCGTAATGTAGAAGAGGCCAACACCATAATGAAAGGAGCACCTCTGAGCTCATTTGCATTCCCCCAGCTGGTTGGGAAACAAAAGCCCACTCCGTGCTACACTTCATGGTTCACTTATTGTGGTTCATTTCCTCCAAATCGAGTGGTAGGTTAAAAAGAAAAGAAAGTCAAGTCTTTTCTGCAGTGTCCTCTGCCCGGCATTCACAGCTGGGTTTTAATGTGGACAGGTTGTTGTTGCATCTGGAGAAGGAAGAGTCTTTGAACATGATGTGGCCCGAACCCTCCCTTTCGACAGGTCAATTCCATAACAGTCTGGCTCTTTCTCGAAGAGCTCCCAAGGCCGAGGATCATTGAAAGCTCAGTCGTTTTAGATCCCGCCCAAAGAATCAGCTCTCTCCTCTCTGGCTGTGTCCAGTGTATTACCTGTTGGTATCCAGGCACTTAGGTGTGGGTGGAAGAATTGCTCTCTGACAAGTTTCAGCAGACACAGAATTTATCAAAGGCTGTCAGGGGGCTCACAGAATCCAGAAGGTCAGAGAACCAGGTTCGGAGCAGCTACACAGCAGGAACAATGCCCAGACCCCATTGCAGGATTGCTTTGCGGAGACAGCAGCACTGCCATTGCTGAGCACAGGCACCAAAAAGTGTGGCCCTGACACCATACACCAACAGCCACCTCTAAGCTGCTGTCACTGCTGTCTCTGGGCACAGGATAGGGCTACCATAGCCTTCTCCGAGATCTGTCTGATGCCCTCTTCTCTGAGCCACAAGCTTCTACCTCAGAGTCTGGCTTAGGCACAGCCTGATCGTTGGATCCCAGGCCACGTGCAAAAGAGGCCGAGAACGTTTCTGGCTTTTAATTTGGAAAGATGTAGGCTTATAACATTGGGGAACTCCTGAAACAAAAATGGTGTTCAAAGATCAGCGTGGCCCAAAAGAATGACAGATGCCCATTAGCCTAGGAAGGCCTTACCTTGGTACATTATATCACAGCTGGAGGTTACAGGGCAGCAAGAGACGGAGGCCCTTCAAAGGATTGCCACTGTCCCTGTGTCCCATCACAGGCTCAACTGCACTGAGATTTTACCAGCCCCCCTCTTCCAGTCCTTGACTGAAGGTGGATTCTGCGAGGAACTGACCAGGGCTGGCCCTGGATGGACACATAACCATGCCTACAACCCACAGCAAAGCTTCTTGGACACCCAGGTGGTGGTTTCAAAGTGGCCCATTGCACTGAGCCTTTGTTTCCTTCTTGGAAGCAACAGCCGTGGGCTTGTGATAATTTGATTGTTTTGAAATGGGAACAAGTGACTGCCTGAAGAAGGGCATGCATGATGTGAAGGCAGTTTGAAGAATGCCTGAAATTCAGAACGTCAGGGAGGAAGCGTCCTTCGAGATCATCAGGGCCAGCCCCTGCATTTCACAGTAGGAGCAGCTGGAGAAGGAAGACGTGTTGTTGGATCCATCAGCTGCTGTTGGATCCATTGTGCTGCCTCAAGGATGCAGGCTGTGGAAACAGGGAGCTGCAGATGCCTGAGTGACTTTGACAGAAACTTACCAGGAATTGACGTAGTTTAACATATTTATCAAACAAAATCTTTGCTGAATTCTTGGCGCCGGTCAACCCCTTCCCCTTCCCTCCGTGTGCTTTCTCTTCCCAGGCTAAGGAGTCTTAACACCTTAATGTTCAGAATCTCAGAGAAGGTCCTGTGTGTCATCAAGTCCAGGGATTCTCAAAGTCCTCAGTCCTCCTTTGTCAGATTCACCACTGGACTTTGGTTAGAAGCAAAATTCCTGAATCACTCTGCAGTGATGCCCAGGGATGTGAGTTTTTACAAAAGCTTCTCAGGTTATTTGTAAGCACGTTGAAATTCAAGAACCCGTAGATCTAATCCAAACTCCTCATCTTATGCATGGGGAAATGGAGACTCAGAAGAGAAGTACAGAAACTTGCTCAAAGGTGAACAGATGGCCACTAGCAGAGCTGAGCCTAGAATTTTCTTATTCATATTTCTAGTCCTTTATTTCTGACTCTGATCTTCTGGCTTCTCCAGCAGATCTCTTTTTTTGTATCTAAATTAGGTGGCATTGAAAGTCAACAGCAGAACTGAAAGTGAGCCCTGTTTTATGCCAAGAAGATCTTTCCTGCAAAGTTGTGAGATGCATTTGCTCTTAAATGCAGCTGTGGTCACCAAAAGAACCATGAACCAGCTCTGTTGAGGATTTGATCAGTTTAGTGGACTCGTTGCTGAAAGCAAAGGTCACCCTGGGCTCCTGGAAGGAAGGGGCACTTTCTACATGCCAGATGAGTGCTTAGTGGCTTACACACCTCCCCTGTAATACTCTCCACCTTCTTCAGGGATACATGCTACCTTCCCCAGGTAGATTTTATTCATGCAACCCTAGACCTTGCCACTCACCAGGACGAGTTAGGCACTTCTAAGCTTAAGCGGAGGACAAAGGCCAAATGTCTTGACCACTTGTCCTTGTTCACTCTGGGATGCTGCTATTGATGTTTCTTTGGCAGTGTAACTGGGTCCTGTAGCTGAAAGTAGACAGAGATTCAGTTTAAAAGGAAAATTAACTGGAAATCATTTTATCTCCAGATGTGCCCAATGCAATTTTATCTTGTTTTCTTTTCTTTTCTTTTCTTTTTTTTTAAGACTGGGTCATTCTGTTGCCCAGGCTGGAGTGTAGTGGTGCAATCATAGCTCACTGCAGCTGCGAACTCCTGGGTTAAAGCCATCTTCCCACCTCAGCCTCCTGAGCACCTGGGACTACAGACACGCACCACCACACCCAGCTATTTTTATTTTATTTTTGTAGGAACAAAATCTTACTGTGTTGCCCAGGTTGGTCAGGATAATTTTATCTTCAAGGCTCCCACATTCCCTCACTCCGAGGTGCCCTGTGCTGGCATTGAGGTCAGTCTCGTGGTGTTAGTTATTTAGATGTGACTACACTGTTTGGTGTGGCACATTGGGGCAGCTGGTTTATTCCTCCTACCAAGGATGTCCTGGCTGCCTGGAGCAAGAGCCACAGGCTGCCACCAGGCCCCACTGCCTTCACACCAAGAGGGCAGCAGGATGGGGTTGTCTGACGTTGAACTTGAAGTAGGATTGGGTTGAACTGACTGTTGAACTGGAAGTCAAGTTCTCAGAGTGCGTCTGGGATACTCAGCATCAGGAGAGGGCCCGCAGGGCAACCCTCAGACATCTGGTAGGAAATGAGCTCCAGGGCACTTGGGGGTGTTCTCTTTGAAAATATTTCCCTCTTATTTTCACTGCTATTTTTTGCAATGTTTGTCCTTCTACTTGGAAGATTCTCCTGGGTCTTTCATGCCTGTGTCCTCAGTGCCTGGACAAGTGTGTGGCATCCAGTCAAGGAGGGCAGGAGGCTGATATCCCCCACCTGCCTCTCCCCACTCCAATCTACCATCTCATTTCTTTATTATGTCCTGTTTTCTCTTTTTTGGCATGCCTATTACCCATCTCCATCATTAGAACTTACATTTCAGAGCTGAACTCGGTCTTCTTCTAATCATTCCATGCCTGATACCCTGTAGATACACAGTAAATATTCTGGGGAGTGGATGTTAAGTAAAAGTACGTGCTCAATAATTGTTTGTTCATTGCTTGAGAAATGGGGACTTTGGGGGAATAGCCAAGGTTGTTCTCAGAGAACCTTCTGGCCCTGTGTTTGATAGAATAGAGAGTCCCCTCTTGCCTTGTGGATTATTTTCATTTTCTGTTGCTCTGAGTGGCAGTGACTTTCCCTTTGGCCCTGCTCTACACCCCGAGTATGGTTGGCCCCCTCCAAGTCTAAGCACAGGACATCTGAAAAAGGGGCCAAAATATAGGGGAGGTGAAGGAGATGCTGACCGGACGTGTTGGGAATGAAGGGGGAGAGTGACCAGCACCTGCAACTTGAGAATCCTCAGGAAAAGACCCAGGGATGAGATTTGGTTGTTCCTGGTTTTTTTTCCGGTTTGAAAGAGCTGTTTTCCCTCCTCGGATGCTGGCATTGATCCACTTTGAATTAGCTGTTGACTCCCTACTGGGATTACCAAGAAGATGATCTTTAATTACACTCCTTCCCCTGCCTGCAAGGCCAAGCTGAAATGATCTGTCATATTCTGTTGGATTCCCTCTATATGCAAAATGTCAGGTCCTTCTTGTCTAACCCAGAGACATTGAGCTTGAGGTTAGGAGGATCGACTTTGATTCCCTAGCCTGTGTCTAGCCAGCTAAGCAGCCTTACCTAGGGAGGCCACTTCACGTCCCTGAGCCTCAGTTCCCGTCTCTGTGATAGAAAAGATGATGCTTGCTCTGTCCTCCTGCAGGGAAGGTTGTAAAGACTGAATAAAATAATGAATGGGAGCTAAAAAGTGGAGACAACCCAAATGTCCATGAGTTGATGAGTGGGTAAACAGAATGTGGTATATCCATACAACGGAGTATTATCCGGCAGTGAAAAGGAATGAAGCAGTGATTCATGCCACAGCATGGATGAACCTTGAAAACATCATGCTAAAGGGAAAAAGCCAGACACAAAAGGCCATATATTGTATGATCCCATTTATATGAAATGTCCAGAACAGGCAAATCCATAGAGTTGGAAAGCAGATTGGTGGGTGCCAGGAGCTATGGGGAGGGGAGAATGGGGAGTGACTGCTAATAGGGATAGAGTTTCTTTTGGGGCTGATGAAAATGTTCTGGAATTATGGAGTAGTGATGGTTGCAGAACTTTGTGAGTATACTAAAAACCACTGAATTGTATACTTTAAAAGGGTGAATTTTAGGGTATAAGTATTATATCACAATAATAAAATTAACACACATATAGGAAAGGACTGAGTAAGCTATAGGATCCATAGCATTGGAGTGTTACCATCATCAACAGCATCCTCTTCATATTCTAGCATTTATTTAGTGCCAACTGTGTGCCCAGCAGTATGACAAGAGCAGTGCATACCTCTCTTTGTGTCATCTTTGTTTTGTAAAGAAGACCGAGGATTAGAGAAGTGAAGGCCCATGATCAAGGTTACAGGTTACAGGGCTATTAAGGGGCTGCCTGGACCGCAAAGCCTAGACCCTTCCCATTATCCCATGCTGCTATCTCACTTCAAGGGCTTCTGAGGGATAATGATATAACTTATTTTTTGGAGACCTAGCCATTGTTTAACTTAAAATGGTTCTTAGGACTTCACTGGTGATACCCAAGACTCCCATTGGAAAGGCAGAAATATCTGCCTGGTCAGTGTAAGTGAACCTTCCAAGCTGTAGAAATTGACTGGCTCATGAGTGACTCACCCATGAGACTAGCCAGTGGTCTCTTTGGCCTGTGGGGTAAGAGTGGACTCCAAGAATTCTGAGAGGTGATGACAGACTCTAAGACACCCCAGGGGCCCATTTTCAGACCTTGGCGATGACAGGCACCTACCCAGAGGCTTAGGAAGACCATCCCAGGGTTCCTCTGGGAAGGGTTGAAAATCAGCTTTGCAATCACATCATGTGGAGAGGAGGACACTTCCAGGCCTTGGGAATTATTTATTGATGGGATTCCCTTGAGCCTGCTCCCATCTGTGAAGAGAGACCGAGGATGTGGCCTGCTAAGTCCAGAATAGCCAGGGTCTGCACCAGTATATCAAAAAGCTGCTGAGTGGAGACAGAAAACTCTGTAACTGTCAATGGGGTATGCAGAGTACAGCAGCCCCTCAGGGGAGGTCCCAGAACCTCCCAGGTGTCCATGCAGCTGGTATGTGTGCTTTACGGAGAAAACACAGATAGCTTGTGCAGAAATGGGCTGTTTGGGGGCCCTGAGCTGCTCCTCATGCCCTACGAAGTCTGACCCCAGAATTGGGAGTGACTGTCTGGTGTGGCAGAAGGGACTGAGAGGCAAGGGGCTCTGGCACCTCTGATGGTTAAATTAAGTGTCGACTGGATTGGACTGAAGATGCAAAGTATTGTTTCTGGGTGTTGCCGGAAGAGATTAACATTTGAGTCAGTGGACTGGGAGAGGAAGACCTGCCCTCAGGAAGACCCACCCACAGGGTGGGTGGGCACTAGCCAATCAGCTGCCAGCGCGACTAGAAAAAGCAGGCAGAAGAAGGTGGAAGAAGCTGACTTGCTGAGTCTTCCGGCCTTCATCTTTCTCCCGTACTGGAGGCTTCCTACCCTCGAACATCAGACTCCAAGTTCTTAGGTTTTTGGACTCTTGGACTTAACACCAGTGGTTTGCGAGGGGCTCTCGGGCCTTTGGCCACAGACTGCAGGCTGCACTGTTGACTTCCCTACTTTTGAGGTTTTGGGACTTGGACCGAGCCACTGCTGGCTTCCTTGCTCCTCAGCTTGCAGGCGGCCTATCGTGGGACTTTACCCTGTGATCGTGTGAGTCAATTCTCCTTAATAAAGTCCCTTTTGTATATACATATGCCTATTAGCTCTATCCCTCTAGAGAACCCTGACTAATATAGCACCTTAGCTCCAGCTCCCATGGGCTGTTTGATGCAGGGCGAGCCCCTTCCCCTCTCAGGCTCAGGTTTCATTATTTACTACAGATGGTGTTAAACTGCAAAACCAGTGAGTCCACCTTTACTCAGCAAGCCTTTGCTATGGCCCTACTCTTTGCCTGGCTCTCAGCAAGGGGATGGGGATATAATGGTGGATATAATATAGCCCTTATGTAATATATCCCGTATGTAATAGGGGATATATAGATGGGGATATAATAGGACCGAAAAAGGGCATCAGCCTCACCTTTTTGGAGCTTACAGGTTAGTGAGGGAACCAGAGATTAATTACATAATCCCAAAAACGTATAATTACAGATTGTGGTAAATGCTGTGAAAAAGCAGCAAATGTTTCTGTTAATGCACAGACTTTACCTTTTGCAAGCCTACTATGTGCCAGACACTCGTCACGCTTGTATAAAATGTACCTGGAATTTTGCCTTTATTCGGGTATGGTGAAGTCCATAAATCAAGAGACAATTACCGTTGAAAATATAGTTTGTTACTTACAGTTCTCAAGAGAAGCGGGCAGGCCAGGCCATGTAGGGCCGCATGAGGAAGTACCAGGGTCGGTTAGCAGGCTGAAGGAGGCAAGGGGAAAGCCTGGGCCAGAGCTTTTGTTGGGTCTTTTTTTTTTTGGAAGGAATAGGCAAGGCAGAGTAAGTACACCAAGTAAGTTTAGGATTGGATTGTTTGAATAACTTAGTTGAGCTCTGGGGTGCAGGGGTGGTCCCTTTTTGTTGAATGCCTGGCCCTGGGGTGATATGGGGTAGGGGGAATATTGGTTTGGTATGTGACAGTTTGATAAAGGCAGTGGTAGGGGCTGTGGGTTCCGGATTGGTTGATTTGCATAGCAAAGGTGCGTTCACAGGCAGGTTGTTTGCTGTCTCTAGGAACTAACACTCCCTCCCCAGGTCTGAAAGGCACCAAGATGTCCAAGCATTGTAAACTCTAGAAAATAAAAAACATGACCAATCAGGTGCCTTACGTGTTTGTATTGACCTTTTAAATCCTCACATTTGCCCTGTGAGGTAGGTACTAGTGACAGCAGCATCCCCATTGTTCAGATAGGGAAACTGAGGCTTAGAGAGGTAAGAAACATGCCCAAGGTCACTTGGCTAGTCGGATAGGCATCAGGTTTTGAACCCAGACAGTCATGCTCCACCACTGGGGCGCCTCAGAATCTCATTCCTGTCTCGGTCTTGTCTTGTTGAGCATAATAAGTGAGGAGTGATTTGTGGCTAAGGCTCAAGGAGGCACCACTTGTGTCAAGGGTGAAGGATGCAGTGAGGAAGGAAAGGCTTTGAGACCAACAGGACAAGAGGGAGAAGGTGGCTGGGGCACAGCTGACCATGCAACTCGCCTGTGGAATGTTTAAAGCCGGCAGATGCTGGGCCCCCACTCCAGACCTACTAAACCAGAATCTCTCTGGGAGGTGATATTTTTAATTAAATTCCCTGAGTGACTCTTTTTAAAATTATCTTTTTAAAAAAATTACGGTATGATTCACATACAGTGAAATGCACAGATCTTAAATGTACGGTTTGATGAGTTTTGACAAGTGCATACACTGATGGTAATTCACACCCCTACCAAGACACGGAATCTTTCCCTCATCCTGGAAAACGCCTTTGTGCTCCTTCCCAGTCCGTTCCTACGTAGCCCTCCCCCTACTCCTGCAGCTATGGCTCTGAGTTCTATCAGTATAGATTAGTTTTGCCTGATCTAGAACTTTATCTACGTGGATCCTAGAGTATGTGTACTTTTATGTTGGGCTGCTTTCACTCAGCAAAATATTTTTTTTTATTATTTAAGTTCTGGGATACGTGTGCAGAATGTGCAGGTTTGCTACACAGGTATATATGTGCCATGGTGGTTTGCTGCACCCATCAACCCGTCACCTAGGTTTTAAGCCCCACAGAATAGGTATTTGTCCTAATGCTGTCCCTCCCCTTGCCTCCCAACTCCCAACAGGCCCCGGTGTGTGATGTTCCCCTCCCTATGTCCGTGTGTTCTCATTGTTTAACTCCCATTTATGAGTGAGAACATGTGGTGTTTGGTTTTCTGTTCCTGTGTTAGTTTGAGATTCATCTAAGTTGTTGTGTGTTTCAGTAGTTCATTCATTTTGTAGCTGAGGAGTATTACATGGTATGGTGTGTTTTAGGCTGTTGTTGCATTGCTGTAAGGAAATACGTGAGACTCGGTAATTTAGAAAGAAAAGAGCCTTCATTGGCTCCTGGTTCTGCAGGCTCTACAAGAAGCATGGTGCTGGCGTGCTTGGCTTCTGAGGAGGGCCTCAGGTAGCTTACAGTCATGGCAGAAGATGTAGAGGGAACAGGCACGTTACAGGCAAAAGGAAGAGCAAGAGAGAGAATTAGCAGGAGGTGGCACACATTTCAAGCCACTAGATCTCCTGTGAACTCAGAAGGGGAGCTCCCTCATCATCAAGGGGGCTGCCCAAGTCATTCCTGAGGGATCCGCCCCCATGATCCAAACACCTCCCACCAGGCCCCACTTCCAACACTGGGGGTTACATCGCAACATGAGGTTTGGGTGGGGACAAATACCTACACTATATCATGTGGCTATGCCACAGTTTATCTATTCATTCTCCTATTGATGGACACTTGGATTGTTTCCAGTTTGGGCTACTCGGAGTAAAGCTACTATGGACATTTGTGTTCAAGTCTTTTTGTGGACATATGTTTTCATTTCTCCTGGGTAAATATCTAGGACTGGAATGGTGAGGTTGCCCGTGGGTGACTCATTGCAGCCAGCCCAACACTGACATTTCAGAAACTCTGGACAGACCAACTCATGACTGTAATTCTTTTGAGCTCCAAAACTCCATTTTCAGCTTGAAAGTGGCATTTGCAGTTGCTACATTTTTTTTAATGGTGGTAAAATAGACATAACATAAAATTTGCCATTTTAACTATATATATATGTATATGTGTATATATATATATATATATATATATATATATATATATATATATATTTTTTTTTTTTTTTTTTTTTTTTTTTTTTTTTTTTTGAGACGGAGTCTCGCTCTGTCGCCCAGGCTGGAGTGCAGTGGCGCAATCTTGGCTCACTGCAAGCTCCGCCTCCCGCCTCCCGGGAGGCGTTCTCCTGCCATTCTCCTGCCTCAGCATCCACGAGTAGCTGGGACTACAGGCGCCCGCCACCACACCCAGCTAATTTTTTGTATTTTTAGTAGAGACAGGATTTCACCATGTTAGCCAGGATGGTCTCGATCTCCTGACCTCGTGATCCGCCCAGCCTCTCAAAGTGCTGGGATTACAGGCGTGAGCCACCGCGCCCGGCCCATTTTAACTATTTTTAAATGTATTGTTCAGCAGCATTAAGTTACATCCACATTGTTGCGCAACCATCATCACTATCCATCTCCAGAACGTTTTTCATCTTCTCAAAGAGCAGCTATCCCCATTAAACACTAACTCTCCATTCCCCCTTCCTTCCAGGCCCTGGCATCCACCATTCTACTCCCTTTCTCTATGGATTTCACTGCTCTGGGTAACTCGTAGCAGGTGAATCATACAGTATTGTTCTTTTGTGACTGTCTGGCTTCACTTATAATACCTTCAAGGTTAAGACATGGGTCAGAATTTCCTTTTTTTTTTTTTTAAGACAGGGTCTTGCTCGGTTGCTCAGGGTGGAGTGCAGTGGCATAATCATGACACATTGCAGCCTCGACCTCCTGGGCTCAAGCAATCCTCCAGCCTCAGCCTCCTGAGTAGCTGGGACCACAGGCATATACCACCATGCCTGGCTAATTTTTAAAAATTCATTGTAGAGACAGGATCTCCCTGTTGCCCATACTGGTCTCAAACTCCTGGGCTCCAGTGATGCTCCTGCCTCAGCCTCCCAAAGTGCTAGGATTACAGGCATGAGGCACCATGCCTGGCCAGAATTCCCTTCTTTTTTAAGGCAGAGTAATATCCCATTGTATATAGAGACCACATTTTGTTGTTATATTTTTAATGGAAAAAAAAATGTATTCTAAAAGAAAACAGAGTTTTTAAAGGAACGTGGAATTACCTTGCCCTAAACTATAAATTCTTCCCTTCCTCACATATTTACCTGTTAATGCTCATGACACTCTAGACCCAGGAGGTCTTTAAATGCAAACAAGTCCACACAAGGTAGATGCTACCATCTTTTTATTGTAAGAGATGGACACATACAGGATCAGCAGCTGCCACTGGCAGCTCTTCTCTCCCATTTGAACTGGTTTCCCAGGAAGTCTGTTAAAAATCCTCTCTCCTTTTCTTTTTCAAGAGCTTCAGTTCCTACCAGAGTCTGAAAAGTAGATCTCTTTGTTTATATTTCCCTTGGCTGTTTTAAAGCCTTATTTGTCATATCTGACATAGTGCGAGTTCCCTATCAGATATGAGAGGAGGCGCCTGCTGACAGCGTGATGGGATGGGAAATGTGAGCTGAAAGCCATTTAGACTCTGACCCTCAGTGCCTTCCCAGGAACTGGAAGCTGCCAAGAGTCTCAGTGGTAGGAACGACCCTGATAAAAACAGGCGGAGTTAATTGCCTGGGTGCTGAGTCGCTCCAGAAGTGCAAGGAAACAATAAAGGTCGTAATTAAAACTCAGTTGCTCGAATTTGAGAGTTACAGCCTGTCTCAAAGAAGATGCGTAGGTCAAACACACGAATTATATTAATGGGACGTGACTGCAGAGATGAAGTGCAAAGATATTCCACCCATTCTCCTCCGGGGGCTCCTACTGAGCCTTTCAACCTCAACTCAAGATGCTATTAGGCATTCTTGGACCCTCCAATGACCACTCTCTCCTTCCAGCCTCCACTGCTTCCCCTACGTTTTCTCCACTCCAGCCCCTGTGACATGGTGTTGACACACTGAATGCAGTCAATGAATAAATGATAAATGGATGCACATTGCGTGTCACTTATTCACGACCCATTTATTAACCTCATTAGAGTATCAGCTCTGTTAAAGCAGGGACTGTCTCATCTTCTCCCCAGCTCCCAGCCCCCCTATCTGGTACCAAGGAGATCCTCAGGAAAGGTTCCCAAACTTAGAAGCATAGTGCACATCCTGTAGTATCCTCATTAGTGCTGTGCAGTGCGTGCTTCCTCTCCACCCTGTATCCTCAGCATTGCTGAGACAGCCATTATTTCTTCTTAGTTATTATTTTTTGGATCCTCGGCATCTAGCCCCTACCTAGCACATAGTAGGAGTTCAGTGCAATACACACTGATTCTTGAATGATATTTCAGCAGCAATTCCATTTTTCTTATGCACTGGAGTATTTGTATTTCTTCTGAAATACAACAAGAGTTGTACTCCAGTACCTTGTCTATCCCACTTTATTCTAGAATAGAATTAGGGAGGCTGTCTTGGGCTTGGGCTGTCTACGCAGAGTTTTATTACTCAGGTACCAAGCTAAGCCCTGGCCCCGTATCAAGCTCCTATAAGTGTCTCTTATCATCTTCACAAGGCTTGATGTGCTTGCTTTTTTGTTGAGCCTTTTCATGGACATTGTAGACTCCAGGAATACCAATCTCAGGGCAGTGGCTTTGCAGGTTTACCTCGTGGAATCAGCGTTGGGGCTGTGGGCAGAGGATACTTGATTGGTATTAGGGTTGCACAGACCAAGTTTGATCCCAGCTCCACCACTCATGGGTTCTTTGACCTCAGGAGCAAGCTATTTCACCCTGAATGCCGTTTTTCCCATCTGCAAAATGGGGATAAATCCTGCCCACTACTACATGATGCAAGGGTTGGTTGGTGTGTTCATTTCCTGTGGCTGCTGTGGCACATCACCACAAGCCAGGTGGCTTGAAACAACACAAATTTATTCTTTTATGGTTCTGGAGGCCAGAAGTGTGGACTGAGTCTTATGGGGCTAAAGGCAAAGTGTTGGCAGAGCTGGTTCCTTCTAGAGGCTCCAGGAGAGATGTTTCTTCGCTCTTTCTAGCTTCTAGAGGCTGCCTGTTTTCCTTGGCTTGTGGCCCCTTCCTATCTTCAAAGCCAACAGTGTAGCATCTTCTCTCTCTGACTCTGCTTGCCTCTGTTTCTGTTGTCACATGGCCTTCCTCCCAGTCTGACTTCTCCTGCACTCATCTTATCAGGACCCTTGCAATGACATCAGGCCCACCTGGATAACCCAGGATCATTTCCCCACCTAAAGATCCTGAATCCCATTTTCAGAGTCCCTTTTAAATACTATGCAAGGTAACATATTTGTAATTTCTGGGGATTTAGGATGGGGACATCTTTGGGGGCCATTATACAGGCTACCACAGATGGGATTGTGTACATGGTGACATTCATGTAACTGAAGTGCCATATTGTCCTATGTGCTCCATCCCGAGAGTAAAACTCGTATCTGAGGCTCTCTTAGTTTGGGTTCCACCAGAAGCAAATTCTGAGACAAGGATTCAAGAACAAATAGTTTATCTGAAAGATGCCAGAACACCAGTAGGGCCTCAGGAAAGTGAGATATGAAAGGGAAGGCAGCCACTCAAGGGTGAGTTTCCATGCCAGCTCCCACTGGGAGAATGGAGCTTAATCCTGCCGGAGAAACTCTGGGAGCTGGTATAGAGCATGCTTCAGAGCTACACAACCTTAGGGGTGAGGGAGCTGGGGTATTTATACACCAATTCCCATCAGTCGTTGGTATGGGAACTTCCCACAATTCTGTGCCACTGGTCTGATGTACAGGTGGCAGGCTGAGCTCCAGCAGGAGGGGAAGGCCTCAGATGAAGAAATGCGGGCAGTGGTAGCTAGAAGTCAGGCCAATGTGCACCCATGTACTGAGGGCCAGGGGACATGGGCAGAGGATTGGCAGTGTCTTCTACAGAGGACCAGGGCCTCCAAATGCTCTTGGCGGCATTCGGCTCAGCACCTGCCTGAGCATCTCTGCTCTTGCAGTCAAATCGTTCGCCTGCTCAGAGTCACTTGTGGTTAGTTTCAAGCCTGTGTATGCCAGTTGTACTGTTATTTAATGAAACTAAGGTGAAAACTTGTTAGGAGTCAATTGCTTTGGGAGAAATGCTGTTTAGTTAGATACGGTCAAGACAACTATAAAAGATGGTGGCAGAGGATAAGGAACCACAGAACTCTAGAAAGAGTAGTTGTTTCTCACTCACTTTAGAGAATCCCCAGCTGGAACTCATAGATGATAAATTACAGCTATGGCTTCTGTGTGTGTGCGCACGTGTGTATTCAATTCCCATAACTCCGTGGGATGGGTATTATTCCCATTTTACTGATCATTGGTGAAGAAACTGAGGCCCAAAGAGATGGAGTAAACTCCCCCAGGTCCTGCAGTGAGTAGATGGCAGAACTTGAATTTGAATGTCTTCCTCTTTTTGTCCTACACAACCTCCATCAGCCTCAGTCTGCCACTCTTTTGTTTGTTTTGTTTTTTTGAGACAGAGTCTCTCTCTGTTGCCAGGCTGGAGTGCAGTGGCGTGATCTCAGCTCACTGCAACCTCCACCTCCTGGGTTCAAGTGATTCTCCTGCCTCAGCCTCCCGAGTAGCTGGACTACAGACGTGTACCACACCCAGCTAATTTTTGTATTTTTGGTAGAGATGGGTTTTCACCATGTTGGCCAGGATGGTCTCTGTCTCTTGACCTCATGATCCACCTGCCTCGACCTCCCAAAGTGCTGGGATTACAGGCGTGAGCCACCACGCCCAGCCCAGTCTGCCACTCTTGAAGATCGTACTGGAATTTCTAGAGCTGATACCATCCCACATTGCTGGGAGGGATTCAAGGCAGATATATGTGGTCCCCTCGCCTCTCCAACTTGAGAGAATTCCTTCATGGAAAAAGAGAAATTATGTCTTTATTCTACTTTTCTTAACTTATTTTTACAATGAACATCATTGCTTCTTAATGGACTGTGGGAACACCTGAAAATCATAGCAAAATCAGCCTGACCCTTCACCTTCTGGCAAAAGCGACCTAGCAGAAACTCTAGGCACCCTCCCTCAGCTTTGCCTAATATCGGGTGTAGCGGGAAGCCCAGAGGAGAAGGGCCTGGCACTGGCCCTGGCTTCTCAGAGACCTCTGTACCTCTGGGACTACGACAGCCACAGGAATCAAACATCCACACAGAACATTTGCGGTGGGGCTGCATGGCCCAAGGCTTCCATTTCAGCCCTGAGTCCCTGGGCCTAGGCTCCCTCTGGAATTCTATTGTTCAGAAAGAGGGAAAAGCCTTCACTGATACAGAGCTTATTAACCAAGCTATTAACGCCCTGGGCTGGCTGGGTTTCTTCTTCTGTTTTCATGGTGCTCCCTGCAGAGGCGGCTGGGAAACAAACCTTTCCCTAGGAGGGCTAGATCCATAACAGCTGCCTGGAGACCTGTCAGGACACTAATGTGGGGGTGGCTGGTGTGCTGCACTTGCTCCCCTCTGAATGAAAAATTGACCAACTTATACTATGGTTACCAGCATTCAAGGTACCCTCCCTTATTTTCACTGAGGTGGCTGGTTGGCTGGTATGATAATTACTTCTGTATTAAAATGGCAGCCCCCATAAGGCTGGGTCGAGGAAGTCATGGACCATGTTTACTCACCATGTATTAAGCACCTGCTGTGACTGGCCCTGGGCTAGGCACTGTGGGCACAGAACTAAGATGCACCCCTTTGCTGGAACAGAGAGATGACGTCAACAAGCATTGGTCAGTGCAATGAGAGAGGTGAACTCAGAGAACTGGAGGAGCCCAGAGAGGGGACAGCTTCTGCGGCTCCAAGGGAGGTGTAGTAAAGAAGGATATGCATAGGTGGTCACAAGGGAACTGAGATGGGGAAGATGAGGCTGGATGAGGCAAGTGGAGAGGGGGAAAAGCGTGTGTGCTCTGGGCAGCCCAGGCCCCAGCAAAGAGTCCAGAGGTGCATTAGAAGAACTTTCCAGGCCAGCGTGTAAGACACAAGGGGGGAGGATAAGTCTGTAAACAAATGCCAGTCAGTGGATCTTGCCAAGGAACTGGGATGTGACTCTGTGAGTCGTCACTAGCTGTACCTGCACTTTACAGCATGAAATGTAGCTGCAAGTGGGAAGCAGGGGACTCGGATGATTTATCGGGGCAATAATGAATCATATCTTAAGAGTTTTCTGTGCACTTTCATGGGGCTCACGTTGATAGGCAAATTCTGTTCTGCAGTTTTAATTATGCAAACCCAGGAGGCAAGAATTATTCTTTTTCATTTTCAACATGGAGACCAAAGTCCGTGCACTGGACCCACACCAGCAACTTGTGCTGTGGCTCAGTGGTGCCCAGTGCCCACGGCACAGGGTGGTCAGGGGCTTGGCATCCTGCAACATGGACTACAAGATGTCACAAGTTCCCAGCATGCACTTCTGATATAGGAACACGCCAGTCATAGTTTGGCTCTACCCCCACCCGTGCCCTAGACGTCTCTACTCCTGGAATTTTCTGCTGCCACCATGTCACTCCCCTCTGCTTTTACTGTCTTCATACCCAGCCTCTGGGCACAACAGAGCTGGGTTACAGACAGGCTGCCATTTCCCAAGTTGCGTTCTAGCTAGCTGGCCATGGAAGGGAAGATCCTGAGATTGGGTTTGGTTCCAGCTGTGACTGTGGGCACTTTCCCTCGCTGGGCCTGTTTCTCATTTACTAAAAGACAGTGTTGAGCTAGATGGCCTCTCAAGTTCTTCCAGAGGCTGCATCGATTGTGCTCACCACCGTATTCCCTGTGCCAGGCAGCAGGTGCTGGGTCTGAAACTGTAAAATGAAGGCATGCACACTCATCACGTGCCCGGCAGCATCTGCCCTGGGGTAGACATCAAGGAGGATAAAATGAGACCTCTGCCCTCAAGCATCTTGTGTTAGAAATCTATCAGGAAGTGGGTAATTAGAATATGGCATGGGCAAGTATAAAACACGATGAAGTAAAAAGTACAAAAGCAGCAGCAAGGGAGGGGCTGTTCTGTGGATTCTTTAATTCTGTTTCTTCTCAAGGGAGAAGTCTTAGCAAAAGAAGAAAGCTCAACATGATTGCCCACAGTTCTCAGTGCACACGTACTAGAACCTTGCCAAGGACACTGAATGGTCAGGTGTCTGCTGTCTTTTAATTCACGGATGTATTGTCTTGTTATTCTGTATGCAGAGAAAAAGGCAAATAATATGCATAGTCCCTTTCACAGCTGAGAGGACAAATTTGGACAAAATCATATGTAGTTTTTCTTTTTTAAAAATGCCAGTAAGAGTTGATTGGTAAGGCTGGGCGCGGTGGCTCACGCCTGTAATCCTAGCACTTTGGGAAGCCAAGGTGGGCGGATTGCCTGAGCTCAGGAGTTGGAGACCAGCCTGGACAACATGACAAAACCCCATCTCTACTAAAAATCCAAAAAATTAGCCAGACATGGTGGTGCGTGCCTGAAATCCCAGCTACTGGAAAGGCTCAGGCACGAGAATCCCTTGAACCTGAGAGGCTGAGTTTGCAGTGAGCCGAGATCGTGCCACTGCACTCCAGCCTGGGCGACAGAGTCAGACTCTGTCTCAAAACAAAACAAAACAAAACAAAACAAAACAAAACAAAACAAAACAGAGTTGATTGGTAAAACCATGCTGGGTCTGGTTTGTAGTATCTCATGAAACTTACAGAGAGCTACTCAGGGCCTGCCTCTGTCTGGCAGTGACTCCCACCCAAGTGATGACTAACAAAGGGCGTGAGGGTCTTTCTCCCATTCGCTCCTGATTGTAGAAGAGGCCTCTTCCATATGCTGGACAAAGCTGCCGGAGGATGTTGATGGGGGTGGAAATACCCTCTAGCCCAGCAAACCTTTACCTTTGGAACACCTGTGTTTATGGCAGCTGGAGAGTTTTACTAGATGGTTGCAAGATGAAGTGTAAGAGAATTGGTCTGTTTGGATTACTCCTAGGCAGGATTCCGTTGACACTGATGGAAGAATCAGGAGTGACTTTCCCAGTGAAAAGCCAGAGTGACCAAGAGAAAAAAAGAAACAGGTGCACTACCCTGCTAGCTGCCAGAAGCGTCATGGAAACTCCTGCCCAGATGGCAAGGGGCTGCGAAGCTAGAGAAGCCCACCCCTCAGGGGCTGCTTAGACCCTGGCAGGGATGTGTTCATCTTGTCCCGGGGCAGAGGGCGTGGTGAGACCCTCAGATGGCAGGAGACCCGTGGAGACCATCAAGGACCAAACAGATGTTACATGCAAAGCTAGGCACCTGTGTCACTGAGCAAAAGAACATCATTTCCCAGGGTTATTCCCAATTAACAGAGTGAAAGGGGCATCTGAGTGCCTGCAGGGTTTCCATCTTCTCTGTGGGAATCAGTCACGGGATAAGCTGGTTGGGGTTCCTAAGCCCTGCTCTAAGGCTGCAGAAATCTCCCTTTATGGCCAAAGCAACCTGCTGCGTCAACACCGTCACCTCCTACAATCAGGTAAATGGCTGCCCTCCATGAACAAATGAAGACGGGCTGCACATCTCATCCGGCAGACTCGCCACACTCCGCCGCGGCAGTGCTCATCATGAATCATGCATCTGCGGTCCTGCTGGCTTTTTTCCTTGTCTTTTATTTCTCAAGCGCTGGTAATATACAAGGCCCTATAAAAACATGTACTTGGTGCAATCCCACATAACAGTGAACCTGAGATGGCCCATCTGATGTTTTTACATGGGAGCCCCAGATTTAGGGAGGCCACTAAGCTGAAGTAGATGTCAGGGAGAGAGAGGATTCACCACATTTATGTATTCACGCTGCAGACCGAGCTGGGCGTTCTCTGCGGCCAGTCTGAAATGGCACATAATGACAGTCCTCCTCCTTGTCACCAAAACAATCGGTGGTTCACATGACTGACTTGGGGTGACAGCAGAGGGAAGGGTTTTTTTTTCATGCTCTTCCCCCCATTTCCAGTTCTATTAAGTCAAAGAGGAAGATCACATTCTGCTTTGGGGCAGAGCCATTCACCAAGAAGGAATGCTGCTTCTAAAACAAATCCAAAGCTCTTAGCAGGACAAGATGCTTTTATTCAGACCACTATTGTATGCCAGCCATAAAACCTCCTTAATAACTTTGCCTTAGATAGACCTCTAATATCCATAATTCATTCAAGAAGACTGACTCTGGAGACCTCACTGTGGTTTATCTTAGTTTTGTGTAATTACACTCCCCGCCCCTCCTCACCCAGGGTATGTGCTGTGATTTTCACAGATGTTGAGATACCTGGTTTTATTGTTCCTCACTCCTGATCCATTCTTATTCTTCCTAATTTTGCAGATTCATTTGCTGGATAAGACCACTTGGAAAACAAATGCATGTTTTCATACCTAATGTTGAATTTACATTTTTATCTCAGGTGTATAGAGATAATTATGTGGCAATTAAAGGCAAATGTATACTTTTTCAGTCATGACTAGGGATTACTCTGCTGACTAAACAAGCGCTGACTTAGATATTTAACTGAATGTTAAATTTTTTAAAGCTTTGGGGATTTTTGACTATTGATGGATGGCTCGGTACTTTTAAGTTTCAGGTGGGGAAAAAAAAATCTCCTGACTTTGCATCTTATATTTAGGTGTCCTGGTATTATGTGGTCGATTTCTTAACTACACTTGCAATGTATTGAAAGTGAACCCAGTAAGATACAAGCAGTATGTAC
The DNA here is from genome assembly GCF_000001405.40 of Homo sapiens. Lineage (NCBI taxonomy): Eukaryota > Metazoa > Chordata > Mammalia > Primates > Hominidae > Homo > Homo sapiens. Next base: position 14,691,317 of record NC_000001.11, read on the forward strand.
ACTATGATTCCACACATGTACACACATGCACACAAACTCTACAAATATATTTATACATGTATATATACATATGTTCATTTTTCCAGACATCTTTCAGTGCATGCATGAAAGAATAACAGTATTAACAGAGATGAACTCTAGGTTTATGGGATTTTGTTGTCTTCATCTTTTTTTGTTTGTTTGTTTTTGAGACAGAGTCTCATTCTGTTGCCCAGCCCGGAGTGCAGTGGCACAATCTCGGTTCACTGAAAATTCCGCCTCCTGGGTTCAAGTGATTCTCCTGCCTCAGCCTCCCGAGTAGCTGGGATCACAGGTGCACACCACCACGCCCAGCTACTTTTTATATTTTTAGTAGATACGGGGTTTTGCCATGTTGGCCAGGCTGGTCTCAAACTCCCGACCTCAAGTGATCTGCCCGCCTCAGCCTCCCAGAGTGCCGTGATTACAGACGTAATCCAAACAACCTCGCCTGGCCTGTCTTCATCTTTAAACATCATTGTTTCCTATCTTTAGGGAGAGCTCACCTGCTCTCCATCCAGCAAGCACCTGATCCAGGCCACCTGAGCAGGTAGCAGAGCTCATCACAGCTTATCTTATCTGCCAATTTCTTCCTTTTTTTTTTTTTTTACGATGAATTCATTTATTTTATGTATTAAATTAGACAAAGAAATAAATATGCAACTGGATAAAAACAATCACATTCTTATACTACCTGAACACACAGTAGTGGTAAAAAAAAAAAATAAAATAATGAATTGTAAAATGGGCCCCAGGATTTAATGCAAACATCACCCTGTACAAGAAAAGTTTCAGGCTTCTAGCTTCACCGAATCTAGTACTAAATGTGCTTCTTTATATTCCTCAGTGTCTTCCAAGTCTTTTTCACTTTCTAACATCTGTTGAAGATCCAAATATGCAGCTTCCAACCTGCGCTGGCAATCTGGGATCATCATCTGGGATTCTTGTAGGATCTCTGCCTGCTTTTTAATGGCATAATTTTCACCATCTTCGGCTCTCATTTTTTCGATCTTTTCTTCTTGTTATTTTGCTTCTTTTCCATACGTCAGTTTTTCTTTGACCGACCTGCAAACCTCTGATGGCTCTCTATTACCAAGCAATTCAACTTTTTCTTGTAATATCATGACTTTTCCCTTGCTTCTTTGGAGCACTTCCAGCATCACTAGTGGCACTCCGTATGGGTCTCGTGGTGTTATTTAAGATTTACATTCAAGGTTTACAAGATTGCACACTTCACCACACTAGTCTTGATCTTGGTTGGCCTCATGCAAGGGTTGGCCGTGGTCCCTTGAGCACTGCAAGAAGAAGGAGCAGAGGCTGGGTGCAGTGCCTCACGCCTGTAATCCCAATGCTTTGGGAGGCCAAGGTGGGTGGATCACTTGAGGCCAGGAGTTGGGAGACCAGCCTGACCAACATGGAGAAACCCTGTTTCTACTAAAAGTACAAAAATTAGCCAGGCGTAGTGGCACATGCCTGTAAACCCGGCTACTTGGGAGGCTGAGGCATGAGAATCGCTTGAATCTGGGAGGTGGAGGTTGCAGTAAGCTGAGATTGCACCACTGCACCTCAGCCTGGGTGACAGAGCAAGACTGTTTCAAAACAAAGAAATCGAAGGACAGGCAGAGACACCAGTTTCTTATTCAGGTCCTCATAGCAATTTGACCAGTTCTGGTCTTCTCAGGGGTCGTTTTTAAAGGGAATGGAAATATGTCCCTGCTTCGACCCTAAGCAACTACCCTTGACTTTGACTTTGGTGTCCAAAAGCTCCATGTTGATTTGTTAAGTAGGGCTGATTATGTCTCGCCTTCTTCAGGGACAGTGGTCCTCAAGGTTGTTTTGGCTTTCGGACAACTTGGATAGGACAAAAGGACTGTCCGCCTCCTTATCACCTCCTTCGCATTTGCCGTTCTTAATAGAACCCCTTCTGAGATAGGGAGGCAGTTGTTTCTCCCGGCAACAGGATGCTAAGGGAGGGGTAGCAGAATTAATTGTATCTTCCCACCAGGAGGAAGGAACCACAGTGCTGTCATTCTAAATGTTGGTATTGCGTCTCTGGGTCTAGCCTGCGTGTTGAGAGCCATCACCTGGAAGAGGAGGATCCTAAGCTGAGAGAGGGAAATTCTTAAATCAGCTCATGCTGGACTCGTCTTACGTTGTTTTACCCTGAATCTGGAAAGCATAGCAGAGTCATGGGGTGGGACTGCCTGAAACGGCGGTCTAACCACTGCTGGTATAGAAACTTAGATCTTGCCCATCACCTTACCCTTGACCTTCCCTCTTCTTCCATAAACCGTCTGTGGGATGAGTGTGTGTTGTGCGTGATTCAGCTTACACCAGACTTGTCACCTGTCATTCAACAGGGTCTGTAACTGTTGCTTTAGTTTCAGAGGCACCCGTTTTTCTTGGGTGTTTGGAGGCGAGTCTGGAAGTATGTTTCAGGGAAGGGACCAGATATGTATTTCAAGGTTCAGCATGTTAAGTTGTGCTTGCTCTCCAGGCGCTCAGCTCAGCCCCCATTAAAAAGGCTGAACTGGAGAATTGTAACAACATACAGAGGGGTCCTGAGAGCCTGCCCCACACTGCGACCATGATGGTCTGTTACTGGAGAAGGTTTAAAATGTAGCATGCAGTCTAAGCATGATTTTAACTCGAGGCAGTGGTGTGGTTTTAGCACCAAGCTAGAAGGAGATGGGTTATTAATCCTTTTGACATTCCCTTTGAATAGCATCATATTTCAATCCTGTTAAGCTGTGGGGCCGTTGTTTATCGGACTCCCTCCAAAAGCAGGACCTCTGCTGTGCTGAAGCTGCAAAACACTGCCCAGCTCTGTGCCTTTCGGTCGACAGTCGGCTTCAGCCTTCTCAGCTGACCCCTCCACCTCATCAGCTCTGAGATCAACTCAGGCAGCTCCCAGCTGCCTCAGCTCACCCATCTGTCACTGGCCAAGGAAGGGTCAATGGGCCTGGTGCCCTTTAGTTGGAATGTCGAGAAAAGGAAGAAGGAAAACTGCATCTAGAAAATACTTTTTTAAGTTGGAGGGTAAGGTAGTCAGGCATGCTGAAGAATCCAGGATTCTAAATGTGACTATCTCCATGCCTTCAGCTGTCTGTGTTGATCTCCTCAACTGAAACATTCATTCATTCATTTATTCATTCATCAAACATTAATGAGCACTTCCCAAGTATAATATGCAAGGTGCCACAGACACAAGGATGAACATAGAAGATGAATCTTCTGCTCTTATCAAATGACCATCTAGGAGGAAGGGGCATTGGCCAGAGGAAAGTTGGTGTCAGAGTACAGGATCTGGAAATAGATCATCTGGGCTTTGAAGCCTGACTCTGCTACTTATAGGCTGGGCGACTTAGGGAAAAGTCATTTCACCTCCATGAGCCTCAGTTTTCTCCTCTGTAAAATGGGGCTAATAATGGTGCCCTTCTTACAGAGCTGTTGAAAGGACTCAATGCATCACTGCAAATGACACACTTAAGAGGCATTCGGTAATTGTTGGGTTTGTTATTAACTAATTTCTGTGTAATCTATATTATACAAGGGCAAGCACAGGGTGTTAGGGGAACATATTACAGGGGAAATTTGCCTTATATCGGAGGTCATGGAAGGCATCTCCAATGATGGCACATTTAAGCTGGGAATTGGAGGTCAGTCCCTACTCTCTTGTCCCTAAGGGTTGACTGCTCACTTCAAAGTCTGCCAAGATGAAGCTTAATTGGATCTCTGTCTTCTCTCAGCTTAGACAGGGAGGCTTTCAGGCAAGGTGTATACCTTGAACATCTTTCTAGAACTTTCTACTGCAATGATGCTATCATATTGCTTTGCCCTTCATTGAACAACCAAATAAGTGAGCAATCAATCGATACCTCCACACAGACACTGGAAGATTTGAAGATTTGGGTCTGCTACAACATGGCCCTGGGGATAGCTCCAGCTGGCCTTATAGATCTGTAAGGTTCTCCTTATTGCCCTGCCTTAAAATTGTCTCAGGAGTTAGCAGTTGGTTGAACCCAACACTCTTGGACTGTCAGCAAAAAGAACACTTGCCCACAGGCTGCCCTCTGCCCAGAAGTGAAAGAAATTATAGGAGAAGAATAGAATGCAGGGAAGAAGGGTCTCAGGTGACTTTGGAATGCCACCTCTTTCCCCAGACTACATTCCATCTTTTTTTTTTTTTTTGATGGAGTCTTGCACTGTCACCCAGGCTGGAGTGCAGTGGCGCAATCTCGGCTCATTGCAACCTCTGCCTCCCAGGTTCAAGCGATTGTCTTGCCTCAGCCTCTCGAGTAGCTGGGATTACAGGTGTGCACCACCATGCCTAGCTAATTTTTGTATTTTTAGTAGAGATGGGGTTTCATCATGTTAGCCAGGCTGGTCTTGAACTCCTGACCTCATGATCCACCCATCTTGGCCTCCCAAAGTGCTGGGATTACAGGCATGAGCCACCGTGCCCGGCCTCTCCACCCTGTCTTCTATACCACTCTCCCTCACTGGCCATAGCTTTTAGGGGTGCTATACCTCCCACTACAGCCAGCATACATATGTCTTGATTTATACAGAAGGTGTGATCCTGAAAATCTGTTTATAAATCTTGCCTGTTTTGGTGAATACAGTAAAAAGCCTTCCAGGAGACGTGTTGATACACAACATGTTATATATAATTCAGTTTTCCTTTAGCTACTATATTAATTTTGTATGCAGAGTATTTTTAAATTGCTATCCATGCTGTGCTTGCTCCTGCCATGTGAACCTGAGACCCCCAGAGGACCATCCACTCATCTCCTTCCCCCTAGTGTCAGTATCTCAGCCCTTTATTCATCCTGAAAGTATTGGTGAGCAACCCTCTGTGCCAAGTCTTGTGCTAGTGAACTCTGGGAACAAGTGAACCACGCAGCATTTACCTCCAGGGAGCTCATAGTCACAAACAGGGAATTATTACACGGTGTGCTAACAGATTGGCATAGGCAATTAGTGGGAACACCAGCCTGAGGGCATCCAGGGGAAGGATGCAGACGTTCTGGGCAGAGGGGACAGTTTAACCCCAGTGAGGAGGTGGGAAACTGTATCGTTAAGTGGTTAATGCTGCTGAGTGTAAAGGGTTAAACAGGGAGTGGGCTGGTGGAACCAGGTCATGGAGGATCTTTGCCCATGGAGATGGGCAGGAAGAAGCCAGGAAAGGAGTCAGGCAGGTGAGGGGTTTGGCAACATTGCATGTTTCCTGCCTATTGCATCCTCTTGGGAACAATTCTGCCATTTACAGCAAGAGCATCCCCATAGGCCACTGGTTCTCCAACTTAAGCATGCTTCAGAGTCATCTAGAGGGTTTGATAAAACCCAAATGTCTGGGTCCCACTCCCAGAGTTTCTGATTCAGCAGGTCTGGGGTGGGACTGAGAGCTTGCATCTCTAACAAGCTCCCAGCGAGGCTGATCCTGTTGCTCCAGGGACCACACCTTGAGAACCACTGGTTGGGCATTGATGAGGTCAACCAGGAGAAGCAGTGTCCCCTAGAACTGGCAGGAGAGAAAGGACAAGGCTAAGAAACAGTGAACAGGAGTCAAGTAAATGCAGCTGCCAACAGGCGGGGGTCCTTGAGTTCACATTCTTGGTTCCAGGTGACGTTTCCTGGGAGTCAACAACCCTTCTCCTATGAAAAAGAAAAGGGCCAGACACAGTGGCACACGGCTGTAACCCCAGCACTTTGGGAGGCTGAAAGCGGGAGGATTGCTTGAGCCCAGGAGTTTTAGACCAACCTGGGCAACAAAGCAAGATCTTATCTGTACAAACAAACCAACAAAAAAAAAAAAAAAAAGAAAAGAAAAGAAAAGAAATAATTGACCAGGCAGGGTGGTGCATGCCTTGTGGTCCCAGCTACTCCAGAGGCTGAGGCAGGCGGATTGTTTAAGCCCCGGGGGTCAAGGCTACAGTGAGCCATGATCACACCACTGCACTCCAGCCTGGGCAACACAGCAAGAACCTGTCTCCAAAAAAAATAAAAAATAAAAATAAAGAAAAGAAAAAGAAAAGGATGGAAGGGTCAAAGCACATACTGGCCACAGCTATGTTGAGGAAACAATGACCTCCTGTCCGTAAGCATGCACAACTTTGTTTATTTTTAATCATCTCTGTTCTTCTGGAGAGTAAGTGCCTCACATTGAAAGCTTTATTATGGAATCCCATTTCTCATTGATTTACATTCTCCTCTCTCATGGCTCTGTGATCAACGGGGCTGCGTCGTCAGTGGGCAGCAGCTCACCATGCCCCCATCTCTCTTCCTATTCCTGCCTCCCACCCCTTTAATTTAGTGAGCCATAAACACTTCAGTCCACTGAAAGAGTATTGGTTTAAAGGGGCCTAGAGACAAAGCTCTTTTTTGATAAAGGGAAGACCTGCTCTTAAGCTTTGAACTTCACGTTTTCCTATGTTAAAACTGTGGTCTCAGGGGCCTAGCCCCACTGCCCTATGACTGTGGCCTCTGGCCTGGTCCCCTGGCTATCACATGCCTTTAATTCCATCTCGAGCTCCTCACACATCTCATTCTAATGTAGCTCTTGCCAAAGGATCCAGCAGAGAGGCTGCTTCCCAGAGCATAGAGCCCTTGGAAGTAGGAGAAATGGGGATCACTGAGGTAGAGTAGCCGGAAAAACTGAGTCTCCCTTCTCGGGAGTATAAGGCAAGATTGGCCAAGCCTTGGCCAGGTTCCTGAGGTTTGCCTATGTCCTTAGTTCTCCAGTATTCTACCCAAGGACTGTTCAGAGTCTCCTATGCTGTGGCTCTTCATTCCTAGGGAACGGGTGTGAATTTCCATCTGCAAAATTAGTGACTTTTTTGGTCCACATGTTAAAGGTTCTCCTCTGGCACATGCAGCTTTGATTTCAGCTTCAGGTCCCCATTTAGCCAGAATGGTGGAAGTGAGCCGCCACCAGCCAGTTCAGGTGGGGGTGGGGAGGGGAATAAAGTGCCCAGGGGTGGAGACCCAGGTGGGGTGGGATGGGGGCATCTGCCGCTTGATGCCATCTGTGCACCCAGACATCTGCTAAGACCTCCACCGTCCCATCTGGCCCTCGGCCGTGAGCCACGCAGATTCTGCTGATTTGCCGTTGGGGTCAGGTGGCTTGCTGCTTCGAGGCTGTCCCGTGCATATGGAAATAATTCCACTGCCCCTCCCATGTGGGCCTTCAGCAAACTCATCTCCCAGGGCCCAGCTCAAATGCCATCTTGCCACAGAGCCGCCCAGTGTTTCCCCTTTGGAGCTATTCTTTTGTAGCTAGGAGACCCTCATTGGTGAAAGCACTTAGCATGAGCTGTCTCCTGGCAGAATCCTTTGTGTAACGTCTACCTCTGCTGCTAAAACACCGCCTCCTCAGCGCCAGCACCAGCCCGTTTCATATCCCTGCTCCCAGAACCCTGAATGGATTAAAAGCATGGGTGGGAAAAGTTTGCTGAATTAAAATGCAAAGAATGTCCAAACACCTGAAGTTGGCAAACCCCAAGTCTGGCAGGAAATCGCAAACAAGCTCCGCTGGTCTAACCACTAGTTCTCCTTGGAAAAAGAGAAAGTGGACAAGTTTAGCTGGCTCCTGGGAGAGCTATCTTCATTGATTTGGACTGACCAGGGACAAGGACATAAAGGCTTCCCAGGTGAAATGGCAAGAGTTGCAGAAGGGAAGCCTTATCCACCTCTGCTCTTCCAGCGTCTGGCTGTAGCACATAGGAAAGCCCCAGTAAAGAACTCCTGGATACCTTCAACCAGAGCAGAAGTGAAACACAAACCCCCAGGGAAGTCCCAGACTGAAGGTCCAGGATCATGAGATCCTCCAAGGACAATGAGGAGACAACAATTTAGCTGGCTCCTGGGAGAGCTGTCCTCGTTGATAAACTGAAAAGTCAGGGATGATTTTGTGGATCTCAGGTGGCACCCAGGTGGGACCCAGGGAGGACCTGGAATGCTCTTGGACTCCATGCCTGGAAGGTTCTGTTTTCCCATGGAGATAGGTTTTTCCCTTTCCATTTAACCAGAGGCTCAAAAGAAAGAGCTTAGTGATACTCTGTGTTCATTTCAACAAATATGCATTGAGCATTATGCCCGGCCTTAGGCTAGGCGCTGGGAATACGATGGTGAGTGGAAGCTGACTGGTGGCTGCTCTCTCAGAGGCTACAGTGGGACAGGGACATACCATCCGAAGACTTAGCATCAAAGAAATAGCAGAGTTATAGGCTGTAGAAGTTACAACAGTAATAAAAACAGGCACTGCAAGAGAGAAAGAGAGCGATGAGGAGCATGAAGCTTGTTTACATTGGGTAGTAGAAAGGCTTCTTCAAAGAAGTGCCATTTGAGCCGAACCATGCATGACAAGAACGAACCAGCCAGCGGTGTGCTAGTAAATGTTTGACAGCCATCTCTTCAAACAAACAAAAGAATCAGGTCTGATTTGCGGAGTTTGCCAGTGTCCATGGTGTAAATGCTCACCATGGCTAATTTCAAACTGTCTCTGTGATGTCATGCTGATATCATGGGAAGAGATGTGCACAGTCAGCTCTCATGAGCTGGCATAATGAGTTGGCCCGACACTCACTAGAGTGGGCCAGACAAAGCTCTAGAGAGTGCGCAGTCCAGGCAGAGGAAATTGCACGTGCAAAGGCTGTGAGGCAGGAATAAGTATGGTGCGTTCAAGGAACAGAGAGGAGAACATGACAGCCTCCATCACAAGCAAGGGGCAGAAAGGGTTATGCTGAAAGAAGGCCAGATCACATAGGGCGTTATGAGCCATAGGAAGGACTTATGGTCAAGAAAGTCTTTGAAAACCCGAAATGGCAATGCCTGTGTACTAGGATGGCACTGCCAGCAATATCATGGGAAGGAGGAGGACTTGCCCACGTCATTCTTGAAAATGTGCTGTAACTGATCACGAGGTCAGGAGTTTGAGACCAGCCTGGTCAACATGATGAAACCCTGTCTCTACTAAAAATACAAAAATTAGTTGGCCATGGTGGTGTGCGCCTGTAATCCCAGCTACTCAGGAGACTGAGGAGGAGAATCGCTTGAACCCGGGAGGTGGAGGTTGCAGTGAGCCGAGATCACGCCACTGCACTCCAGCCTGGGCTACAGAACAAGACTCTGTCTTAAAAAAAAAAAAAATAGTCAGAGGCTGTGCTCACTGCTCCAGTTTATTTGTTATTCTCCCAGTCTCTGATGGAGTGAGTCATTGGTTTACTACTTAAGAAAATCAACTGTTTCCACAGGGAGAAAACAAATATTGTAGTGACAAATGTGTCCACACACCCACCTTCTGCTTGAAAATGTCAGTGGCATGGAAGTTGAGCATGTATGCCTCTCTCGTGTCTAAAAAGGCAATGGTGTGGCTTGCCAGAGGCGTCCAGGACACAGAAAAGACTCTGGCCAGGGTGGCTTCCTTGCAGCTGTGCAGTCTCTATTTTAACAGTCCTGGTCACGGAGCCAGAAAGGATCCAGTGAGAAAGAAGTGAGAGCAATAGCCACCTCTTAGCATGGAATAAGCCCCTCTAGGAGTTGGATAAAATGGATCCAGATACATTCTTGGATGGTTCTTGTCTCCTGGCTCTGCTCTCAATGGGAAACTTCAACACAATTCAGAGGAGCAATGTGAGTGGGCTTCAAAGGGAAGCCTTGCTAAATGAAGAAGCCGGAGAAGATTTCAATTAAGCCTGCTTAGTTCTGTATTGGACATTTCAAAAGATGTGGCCCCCACCATGCTCATTAGTGATGAGTGTATAATGTAAAACATATGACATTAGTATAATTTTTTTTCTGAGACAGGAAGTCGCTCTGTCACCCAGGCTGCAGTGCAATGGCATGCTCACAGCTCACTGCACTTAAGCCCAACCTCCTGGGCTTAAGTGATCCTCCCACCTCAGCCTCCTGAGTAGCTAGGACTGCAGGCATGTGCCACCATGCCTGGCTAATTTTTAAAATTGTTATTATTCTTAGTAGAGATTAGTTCTCACTATGTTTCCCAGGCTGGTCGTGAACTCCTGGACTCAAGCTGTCGTCCTGCCTTGACCTCCCAAAGTGTTGGGATTACAGGCATGAGCCACTGTGCCCAGCCTAGTATAATTTTTAAAAACAAGAGCAGTACCCTGCACACACTCTCCACCAGGAGTCCACACTCAAACAAGAGAGGCACAGAGCTGGGTGCCATGGCTCATGCCTATAATCGCAGCACTTTGGAGGCCAAGGCAGGTAGATCACTTGATCCTAGGAGTTTGAGACCAGCCTGAGCAACATGGTAAAATCCCATCTCTACCAATACAGTTTTTTAGAAATTAGCCAGGTACAGTGATGAGCACCTGTAGTCCCAGCTACTTGGGAGGCTGAGGTGGGAGGATTGCTTGAGCCCAGGAGGTCGAGGCTGTAGTGAGCTGTGATTGCGCCACTGCATTCCAGCCAGGGTGACAGAGTGAGACCCTGTCTCAAAACAAACAAACAAAGCCACAGGAAGAAGGTGGCACCTGCCCTTCCCTGACCGTCTCACACTGGCTGCATTTCCTTACGCACTTCCCCTCCACCTCACCTACATGTATCTGTGCACACCCCACCTAGCCTCTGGTCTCAGTATCTCTGCCTCCCTGATTGTCAGCATACCCTGTGTGTGTCCCCTCTCATTACTGGAGCGGAGGCCCCTTTCCCTACTTGTTGACGTGCTAAAGCACATCTTCGCCTCTGGTCCTTTCTCATATGAGTACATGGGTCTGCTTTCTGGTTACTCATCACCAGTGCTCAGAGTACAAGCCAGAGGACAAGAGGCAATGAGTGGGGCAGAGGGGCTATGTTCTTTGTTTACATCTCATTTCTCTTTGGGTCTTAAGTTTGCTGTTTTGAAAAGGCCCCATGGCCTGGGCAGCTCAGGAGGTTGAAGAAGCAAACCTCCGTGCAGGAGTTCTGAACTTAGAAAACTTGGATGGGCTCTAGGGTTTCTGGAAAATGCTGATATTTTTGCAAAACTGTGTGTGTGTGTGTGTGTGTGTGTGTGTGTGTGTGTGTGGATTTCTCTGTGAAGAGGGTTTGTGGCTTTCACCATGTCCTCAAAGAGGTTTTATGGCTTTAGCAATTCGCAAAAAGGTTATCAACCAAGTGCCAAGATCCCCTCCACCACCAAACAAGATGAAAACCCAAAAACTTTGCTCAGGATCTCAGAGCTTCACTGACTCTCCATGAAACCCCACTCACAATCCCTGTTTTGTTTTTTCTCAAGGCAGGAATTGGGAACGTGGTATGTATCGTGGGTGATACACAATACACAGAGTATCGTGTATCGATAGATTAGAGTTGGTGATACACCGAACTCAACTCACAGTCTTCAGTCTTCTGTCTGGTATTCTTTTTGAGAGTCACCTGGCGGCAAACCATTGTAATTGAAATGTAACGTGGCCCTTTCGCCATGCTCTGTGAAAGTGTTTAACGTGTGCCTTTGGTCTGTGCCCACCTTTTAGTATCACCGTCATTTCTTACTGTTTTTTCTTTCTTCCCCTGAAAAGTAGAAAAACAGGAATTAATACCTGAGATCTGTCCTAACCCACTATCCCCCTCCATTAAAGAAATTTTGGGGGTAATTTTTGGCTTACGATGTTCTAGAAACTGGCTGTGCTAAGCACATAGGATTTTGTAAAAATAATCTGACAGTTAAAGACTATTGTTTATTCTCATGTTACAGATAAGGAAACTGAGGCTTTGAGAGGGTAAAAATTTTCCTAAGGTCAGGTGGTATGTAAATAGTAGGGCAAGGATTTGAATTCAGGTATATATTGGGTCTTTGAGAGTACTCCCTGAAAACTACAGGTTCCTTACACTGCACACATCATGGAGGAGATTGGTCAAGAGTAGGTTGACCAGGCTGGGCGAGGTGGCTCACACCTGTACTCCCAGCTGATATGGTTTGGTAGTGTCCCCACCCAAATCTCATCTTGAATTGTAGTTCCCATAATCCCCATGGGTCATGGGAGGGACCAGGTAGAGATAATTGAATCATGGGAGCAGTTTCCTCCATCCTATTCTCATAATACTGAGTTAGCTCTCACAAGATCTGATGGTTTTATAAGAAGCTTCCCCCTTCAGTGGGCAGTCATTCTTCTTCTCCCTGCTGCCATGTGAAGAAGGACATGTTTGCTTCCCCTTCTGCCATGATTGTCAGTTTCCTGAGGCCTCCCAGCCATGCTGAACTGTGAGTCAATTAAATCTTTTTCTTTTATAAATTACCCAGTCTCAGGTATGTCTTTATTAGCAGCATGAGAATGGACTAATACACCAGTGCTTTGGGAGGCGTAGGCAGGAAGATCACTTGGGGCCAGGAGTTGGAGACCAGCCTGGACCACATAGTGAGACTCTGTCTCTACAAAAGCACAATAAAAATTAGCCAGGCATGGTGGCACACACCTGTAGTCCCAGCTACTCAGGAGGCCAAACCAGAGGAGTTGTTGAGCCCAGGAGGTCAAGGCTGCAGTGAGTTGTGATGGCGTCGCTGCGCTTCAGCCTGGGGCAACTCCAGCCTGTGAGACTTTGTCTCTAAAAAAATGAAAAATAAAAAAGAATAGATTGACCAGTCCTTCAGAGAAAAGGAAGCAAAAGGGCCAGGAGAATGTGGCTTACATATGAGAGTCAACTGGGCTTTTCTCCTACCAAGTCCAGGATTAGACAGACTCACCCACCCAGCGTCAGCTCTTGGAGGAGCAAGAAGGCAGCAGAAGAAAGTAGTAGGCTATGAATCTCTTGTTCCAAACTTATCCTTCAAGTAAGTCCCTCTACCTCCCCTGGGATGGAGTGGAAATAGTAAGGAGAGACACCTAGAAGACTGTACCAACAGACGGTCCTCTCTGTGAAAGGAAATATCAAGAATAGGGAAGAAGTGTCTCCCATTCAAGGGGATTTTGTTACCCAACCATAAGGATCCTGTTATGCAGGGGCTCTGCAGTACACAGTCCCCATGGACAAACTTCTAGACCTTCCATCATACCATGAGGTCAAATATAACATCTCTGGAAGGGACAAAATGAGCCAGGCCAATTTGGAATGCCATTGGTGTCACCAAAACCCAGCATTATCACAGGATCCACTGTGTGCGTTAGAAAAATTGAGTTATTTTTCTGTATAACCAAAATGTGTGCCCAGGGGGCACAGAGGAGTGACTTGACTCACACCTTGTAGGAAGCTGGTGTGGACCTTGGCTCTCAGGGATGACCTGTCAGGCCACTCTGAGTGACAGATCTAAGGCTTCATACTCTCTAGGACAGGCCGTGTGGACATGACATCACGGGCTTCAGGGATGAAGTCTCCACGTCCTGCATCTGGACGTCTTTTCCATTTACTCCTCCCAGATCCTCTTTCTACCCTTGTGTTCTGCTCCCTGCCACAGGAGGGAACCTGTACAAATGACATCGGGGTTCAGCCAGTGCAGAGACATGGCAGGAGGGCAGGAGGAAGAGGAGAGTGAGGTCAAGTTACCCATTGCCCTGGCTCCTTCCCTGTGTTGTGGTCAGGGACTGCTGGCTATGTCTCTCCACCAGAGCTTTCTGCAAGGCAGCCTTCTCTGTATAACCCTTTCCTTGGTTTTCCTTCTAGGTGCATAGGTGGACAGTGTTTATAGCCCCCAGTTAGTGCACTATCTAGCCACATGGTTTCTATATTAGTCATTTGCCATAACAAAACACCACAGACCAGGTGGCAAACCACAGAAATTCATTTTCTCCCAGTTCCGGAGGCTGAAGGTCCAAGATCAAGGTGCCAGAAGGGTTGGTTTCTCTGTATGCCTCTCTCCTTAGCTGGCAGATGGCCTCCCTCTTGCTGCCTCTTCCCATGGTATGCATATGTGCACACTCATCCCAGGTGTCTCTTCCTCTACTTATTAGGACATCAGTCAGATTGGATTACAGCCCCACCCTCACAGCCTCATTTTAACTTAATTACCTCTTTAAAGGCCTTATGTCCAAGAGAGAACTGTTATACACTGTTGGTATGAATGTAAACTAGTATAACTACTATGGAGAACAGTATGGAGGTTCCTCCAAAAACTACAACTAGAACCACCGTATGATCCAGCAATCCTACTACTGGACATTGATCCAAAGGAAAGGAAATCAGTATATCAAAGAGACACCTGCACCCCCATGTTTATTGCAGTACTATTCCCAATAACCAAGATATGGAATCAACCTAGGTGTTCAACAGCAGATGAATGAACAAGGAAAATGTGGTGTATATACATAATGGAATACTATTCAGCCATAAAAAGAATGAAATCCTGCCATTAGAGGCTACATGGGTGGAACTGGAGGACATTATGTTAAGTGAAACAAGCCAGGAACTGAGAGTTAAACACCACATGTTCTCACTCATGTGTGGAAGCTAAAAAAGTTTATCTAAAAAAGTGAAACAGAGGATGCTAGAGGCAGAGAAGGGGAGTAGGGAAGGAGGCATGGGGAGGCATTTGTTAAAGACTACAAAGTTACAGCTAAATAGAAAAGGAATACCTTCTAGCGTTCTATACCAGGGTTCTCCAACTCCCGGGGCCACAGACTGGTACCAGTCCATGGCCTGTTAAGAACCCTGGCCACACAGCAGGAGGTGAGTGGCAGGTGGGCAAGTGAATGAAACTTCATCTGTATTTACAGCCACTCCCCATGGCTCACATTACCACCTGAGCTCCGCCTCCTGGAGCTCAGGATCATCAGCAGCATTCGATTTGCATAGGAATGTGAACCCTCTTGTGAACTGTGCATGCAAGGGATCTAGGTTGTGAGCTCCTTAGGAGAATTGAGAATCTAATGCCCGATGATCTGTCACTGATTCCCATCACCCTCAGATGGGACCATCTAGTTGTAAGAAAACAAGCTCAGGGCTCCCATTGATTCTATATTATGGTGACTTGTATAATTATTTCATTATATATTACAATATAATAATAATAAAGTGCACAATAAATATAATGTACTTGAATCATCCCCAAACCATCCCCCCACCCCGCCAATCTGGGGAAAACCTGTCTTCCATGAAACCAGTTCCTGGTGCCAAAAACGTTGGGGACCGCTGTTCTGCACCACTGTAGGATGACTATAGTTTACAATAATATATTATACAGTGTCAAATAGCTAGAAAGAAGACATTGAATGTTCCCAACACAAAAAAAAAATAAAGATTTGAGATGATGGATATGCTAATTACTCTGATCTGATCACTATACATTATATGTATCAAAACATCACTATGTACCCCTTAAATATGCACAATTATTGTGTGTCAACTTTTAAAATGAAATTAAATTATTTTTTAAAAGACGTTACTTCAAAATATGGTTACAGTTGGAGGTACTGAGGGTTGGGACTTGAACATATGAATCTGGGGGGAAAGGAGACACACTCAGCACATAACAGTTTCTCCACACCTTTTAGTAAGCACTTTATCCTCATTTGAATGTGCCATCTGTTTCCTGCTGCCTGACTGACAAAGGAAACCCTTTGAGCTGTTTCTCTTGTAGAGATGTATACTAAATTGCCTACTTTCACCCACCTCCCCGCCACCCCACCAGGAACTGGAGGATGGTGTGTAATTTGGGCTGAATCGTCTGTAGAGTCATCATATCCGTATTTAGATGAAATCTTCACTCTCAGCCTCTCTTTGTTACCATGCTCTTGTCTCCCGGAAACTTCAGAGGCCACAGATGGCTTGGTGTATTCTAAAGTCTAGTTCTCCTTCCCTAATGGTTTCAACCTGTGTGTGTTGGCATTCGAAAACCTTTGCCTGGGTGTCACCAGGTTAGGATCAATGTGTAAAATGGATTTTCAGTACAACTGAGGGTGCAAACTATGACGGTGAGGTCTGCTGGGTGGCATTGTGTCAGCACAGGGCATGGATCACCAAAGGTGGGAGGGGACATGCTGGCTTCTCTGAACCAGGTGAGGATGCTGCATTTGGAGGTAATAAATGCGTGAGAGGATAAAGGCAATAACAGATCCACTCCAACCACGGCACCTAGTGAAGGGCCAGAGAGTGGCCTTTCTGTCACAATAACCAGAGATGTAGTATCTTCTCAAGTGTGGGAAACCACTGTCCTGTCCCGAGAGCTGCACCAAGCTGGGAGTTTCTCTCCGGCCATCAACTTTCTTGTCTTAAAAGGTCTCTTTCTGGAATTCTCCAGAGTCATTTGCTGGTGGTGTGGCTCTTCCTTTAAAATCTTTATTTCCTTTCATTTCCCAACGTACTCTCCAGCTCACCCTGTAATGCTACAGAGGAGCCCGGGGATTTCTTTAGCGTTTTGAAGTCCTTGGCTGCCATTTTGGTTGCTTGAAGATTTTGCTCCAAGACCCACTGCTCTGCATATTTGTTTGTTTGTCGTGTCAGTCATCAGGAAACCTAGACCATATGTTTCTGACTCATTTACGCCGAAGTCATCAAACAACACTTGGAGTAGTTGTTTTAAGTCCATAAAGGTTTTACATCCTTAGGTTTCATTTCTCGGCACTCTTCTTTAATTAAATATAATTTATCCAGCGTTTACCAATGCTACATGCCAAGCACTGCACTGGCTCTGGAAGTGCAGAAAAGAATAAAACACAGATCCTTCCTTCACGGAGTTTGCAGCATGAATCACCCGGCCAAGCATTAATGAGATTAAACCAGAACGGTAAGAAAGTGTTCATTTTGAAATCCCAGGTCTGTGAGTTTGAGCAGTTTCTAGATCTAGCCAGGGTGACACCGGCCTTCTCCTCACTGGCTCGGCTTTTGGATTTTCCTCTTCCCAGAGGTGGATACTTTAGTGATGCACCCATAAAGTCTTGATTCACTCCGTTTGAAGCCTTTTTTACCCTGATGGACCTGGCTGTGCCTTTCCATGGATGAGGAAATCCATTGCTCCCCTGGAGAGCCCAAGTTTGCATGGATGCCAGAGGTGTGGTTGGAATCAGGACTTTTCACTCTGAAGTTCCAGTAAGGAGAACTCAGAGGTGATTAACAGGAACAAGTGATATTTTGCACTGCTGATTCTATTTCACAATCTCAGATGCTAATCCTCGCCAAGGAGCCGATTTAAATCCCAGTCTCTTCAGCACCTGTTAATTTCACCAAAGCACAAAAAAAACTTTTTTCTAGATACGGGGGCAATATTAGGATTTTGTTTTCCTAAGTGGTTCCCATGGACTTTTCTTTTCTTCCTAACTGTGCCAAGTATTAAGAATTGCATGAGGTTGACATCAGAGAGTTTTCACACAGTCTTTGGACAGAGCTACACAAAGGTACTTTTTAAGCCTCAGTCAGTGGCATACAGAGGCCCACAGCTCTGCTTACACATGGTGGCATGAACAGCCCCGGCTTCAGATCCCTGAGTAGCACAATGCAATCAAGAGCAGCTAATTCTCACCCTTTGGCATCTCTTTTTGCTTGAGTATTCAGCTGGTAGCAGCCAGCAAGGATTGTTTATTAAAGATTTTATTTTGGCCCTGCAGTGTTGGGTTATATGCAGACTGTCACCTGATTTTGGTTTATCGTTTTGTTTGCCCTCATCAGGTCCTTGAGTTTAGAGATACTTTTTGAGCTTTAAAATAAGCAAGTCCATGAGTGGTCTCAATGACCAGGACTGTGTTTTATTTCCTCCTTTCCTCAGAGTCCCTGGCTTGGCTCCTAGGAGGTGCATGGTACCTGTTGGATGATGATGGTGATGACAAAGACAATGAGGGCAGATACCACGGTTTTCATGCTTAGTACCCACCAGGCATGGTGCTAGGTGACACACCTGCGTCTGCTCACTGCATCCTCACCACCACCCTAACGGCACAGATGAATCGGAGGCACGAAGCCTTTGTTATTTCCCCAAAGGCACACACCAGCAAATAGAGAGCTGAGATCCAAACCCCTGTGAGTCTCACTCCGGAGCCCAAACTCTTGGCTTGAATTCTAGAATGAAAAACCCAATTAATAAAGTGCAAAATGTTTGTCTTTCCAGTTACGTGTCTTCCCTATCCAAAGGCATTTAGAAGGAAGAATTCAGCAAAACAGCTTTTGTGAGTTAGTGAAGCCTCCACAAATGTTGAACTCCTGAGTCTCGGTCAAGAAAAACTTAAGACTGAAAATTCCAATGAGGCAGCTCTGAAGAGATGGTTCTCAGCCTGCCAGTGGCCCAGAAGAACCTTCCAGAAAGACTAAAGTGCCCTCTAAGAAGGACCAAGTGCTTCTGCAGGAAGTAAACTCTGTGCCAAGCAGACGGTCCACCTAGGAAAGCTTTTCGGTTGGCTCAGCAGAGAAAACCAGGGCTGGTCTTCCTTCAGCAAGTTGGTCATCTTCACACCAACTCTCCTGTGAGAGGCCACTGCTCCAGGATACAGTATGAAGAGTGGGCGTAGTTGAGGGATGGTATGAACTCATGTTGTTCCTGTCCTCCCCATCTAAGGGGAGACAAATGACACCTGAGGTCAGCAGGAAAGTGAGCTCACCTGTGTGAGTGTCACCAGGTGCCTTTTCTTATGAACATTTCCTACTAACTGAGATCAGGTTTTCTGCTCTGCAATTCACAGATGAGGAAAACAAGGCCCAGAGAGGTTAAGATACTTACCCAAAGTAAACAGAGAATAAGAGGTGGAATGAGAGCATCATTCAAGGGAAGTTTCTGGTCTTCACAGTATCCCTGCTGTGTCTGAGATCACGTGTCATACGCCGTCACATAATTCCCGTCCACTGATGTATGCCACACCCCAGGCTTCAAAGAGAACGTGCTGGACACTGCCTCTGCCCTGGTGGAATTCATATTCAAGAGGAGAAACAGATAATAAACAATGAACATTGCAGGATGAATGCCTGATTTACAACTGCAGTAAGCGCCAAACAGAAAGGCTGGTCTCTGAGAGCATCTTCAGAATTTACCCATTTCCCCCAACTCCATTGCTACTTCCCTTCTTCCAGCCACCATCAACCCTCTCCTGGATTCTCAAAGCTGCCCCGTGCTGGTCTTCCTGCTTCTCCTCTGGCCAGCCAGAGGGATCTTTTAAACTGTAAATCAGATGACATCACTGTACTGCTCAAAACCTCCCAGAGGCTCCCTCTCAGAGAAAAGGCCGATGTCCTACCGTGGCACGTGGGGCCCTAAAGGCCCTCCAGCTTCTCACCAGCCTCACCTCTCCCTCCTCAACATCCCTCTCACCACTGCGTTAGAGCTTAGCCATACCAGCTCCTATATACTATTCCTGCACACTCCACCCTGGGTCCCACCTCAGGGCCTTTGCACTAGCTGTTCCATCTTTCAGGGCTCTCTCCCCACCCCCCGGTACCAGCATGGATTGATCCTCACTTCCTGCAGGGTTCTGAAGGGGAGAGTCCTTTTTCCATTGCCCCAGCCCTCGCTGTCTCCCTTTCCCTGCTTCATTTGTCCCACAGCAGTGATCAGCATTTGACCTTTTGTGTATTTGTTGATGTCTGTCTTCCTCCAGTGGAATGAAAGTTCTGGGACAGCGAGGTCTTGGTCTATTGTATGTTCTGCTCTATTCCCAGGACTGGGAACAGTGCCTGGCATATAGTAGAACCTTAATAAATAATTATTGAGGGGGGCTGGGTACAGTAGCTCACATCTGTAATCCCAGCACTTAGGGAGGCCAAGGTGGGAGGATCACTTGAGGCCAGGAGTTCAAGACCAGCCTGGGCAACATGGCAAGATACCACTATCTCCACAAAAAAATTAAAAAACAAAAATAGCTGGGCATGGTGGTGTGTGCTTGTAGACCCAGCTACTTGGGAGACTGATGCAGGAGGCTCACTTGAGCCCAGGAGTTGGAGGCTGCAGTGAGCCATGATGGCACCACTGCCCTCCAGCCTGGGGGACAAAGCCAGACCTTGTCTCTATTTTCGAAAAGAAGTATTATTGAAGGAATGAGCCAGGCATGGCAGCATGCACCTGTAGTCCCAGCCACTTGGGAGGCTGAGGCAGCAGGATCACTTGAGTCCAGGAGTTCGAGACCAACCTGGGCAATATAGAAAGACTCTGTTTCCAAAAAAAAAAAAAAAATTGAGGGAATAGGTGTGTAATTGAGGGCCACATTTGGTTTGGGGATGGTCACATTTCGTTTGGGGATGACAGTTGATTTCTCTGGGAGAAGAAAGGCACGACACGCAGGTTCTAGCATGGTTCCCCACGCCCTTCCGCTGGTGTTCACATCCTTGTGTAGTCCCTTCCTTTGGGTGGGGTGGGACCTGTGATGTCACTTCCAAGATTAGGTTATGAAGGACAGTGATTGCTGTCTTGCTAGTGCACTCTCTCCCCATCTCTCACTTGCTCCCGTCGATGAAGCAGTGTGCCATGTTGTGAGCCACTAAGAGGCCCACACAGTAAGGAACTGGGGTGGTCAACAGTCTGCAAGGAAGTGAGTTCTGCCAGCCTTCAGGTCAGTGAGCTTGGAAGCAGATCCTCTTCCGCATGGAGCCGTGCTGTGACGGCAGCCACAGCTGACACCTTGCAGCCTGTGAGAGACCCCGGGACAAAGGACTCAGAGGGCCCAAAAGTCTGCGACCAGATCCTGGTGCACAGAAACTGTGAGACACTCAGTGTTGCCTCAAGCCATTAGGACCGGGACAGCTTGTTACACGCAGTAGATAACTAATACAGGAGAGGTTCCGGCCATGGGGAGCTGCATTCTGAGTACAGAAGGAGCATGGTGCAGGCAATTGAAAAGGCAAAGAAGCCAGAAACCTGGAGCTTCACGAGCAAGGGGAAGAAGAGTAGGGGATAAGGGGAGAAAGGGTTTTAGGGGCCAGGTGCTGGATTTGGGGTTTAACCTAAAAGCTAATAGAAGCCACCAAAGGGTTGAAGCAGGTAGCAGGGAGGCAGTCTCTAATTTGCATGTTGCATTTAAAAGATCACCCTGGACACCATACAGAGAAGAGATTAGAAGGGCAGAAGGAGCAGGGAGACAGGAGGCTGTGAGATTCATCTGTGCCTGAGATGCAGATGGCCTGGTCCAGGGTGCTGGCAGTGGTAGCCAGGGAGAGGGAGATAGCAGGAAGCTGATCCTCAGGTTCCAACAGTCCTTGTCTGTGTTTTGGCTCAAACCCCAGGCCACTGAGATGCTGTGTGGGTTCAGGTTGATGCCAACAATGCCGAAATTACACCATTCTCATCACAGAAGTTTTCGATGCTTTCTGAAAAGCAGGAGTGCTAACCCTATCTGACTAGAGAGAAAACCAGGCCCTGGGAAATAGAGCATTTTGCAATCATTTGAGACCCCTCCGATCTGCCAGAAGCCCATGCTCTGGAAGCTGCACACTTCATTTCATGAAAGGTCACTCTAGGCTCTCCTTGGCCCCAGTCCCTGACAGTTGCTAAATCATCTATTATTACCCGAAAAACCAAAGCTGAGCCTCCACAGGGAAAGAAACAATGAAAGTCAAAAGTTGGGGGCAGAAACCGCTCAGACCTGGGCAGGCTGGAACATTCCCCTAGTGCAAGCCATAGGTAAAAACCAACCACAGCAGCTATAGAATTAATACTGTCTTCTCACCCCCCACCTTTTCCCTGTGCTTTCTCACACACCACAATAAAGAGCATCTGTGTTTTCCCAGCCCTCGTGGTGCGAAGTATGCTCCAAGATGACACATTCCCTATAGATGCTCATGTATCAGTTGTTTTTTAATGCCGCACTGCTGTGTAACAAACAACCACAAGCCCTCAGTGGCATAGACAGTGAGTACACAATGCTCCTATGTCTGGGTGGTCAGGGGGCCACTCTAATCTGGACTGAGCCTGCTCAATACCTGTGGGTCATCTGGCTACCTGCTGGGGTGACTGGGGCCACCAGGCTCTGCTCTGTGTGTCTCTCCTCCTTCATTACGCTAGCACAGGCTTGTTTTCATGGTGATCCTGAGGTGCAAGAGAGGACAAGCTTAATTGCACAAGCGCTTTTTCAAGCCTCTGCTTGTTCCATGGGTGCTAGCATCTCATTGGCCAAAGCAAGTCATGTGGCCACGTCCAGGTGTGAAGAACTGGGGGCCTTTTGCAATGCTCCTGGTAGACACAGGCACCTGATGATCTCAGATCTTTAACAGCACAATCATTTCAGTGCTGATCACTGTCATTTACGGAGCTGGCACTGTGCCTGGTTAGTTTACTTTAACTCAATGGCTCCCAGTGGGGGGTGATTTTGTCCCCCAGGAGACATCTGGAGATATTTTTGGTTATCACAACTGAATGGGGAAGATGCTTCTGGCATAGGGTGGGTAGAGGCCACGGTTGCTGCTAAACACTCTTCAGTACAGAGGACGGCCCTCACAGCAAAGACTTACCTGGCCCCAAGTGTCAGTATTGCCAAGGCTAGCCGAGTACAGTGGCTTATGCCTGTAATCCTAGTATTTTGGGAGGCCGAGATAGGAGGGTCATGGAGCCAAGGAGTACGAGACTAGCCTACACAACAAAACGAGACCTCATCTCTACAAAAAAAAAAAAAAAAAAAAAAAAAGAAAGAATAATTAGGTGTGGTGATGCACAGCTGTGGTCCCAGCTGTTTGAGGGGCCGAGCGGGGAGGATCGCTTGAGCCCAGGAGATGGAGATTGCAGTGAGCCATGACCACACCACTGCACTCCAGCCCGGGCAACAGAGCGAGATCCTGTCTCAAGAAACAAAAGAAAGAAAGAAAAATAATATTGCCAAGGTTGAGAACCCATGCATTAATTTGATAAATCCTGACACCCACCCTGTGAAGTTTCATTAGATCCATTTTTACTAATTTTTTCCTTTCTTAGCCACATAACTGGGTCTTGCTCTCTGGGCTGACTGATGGAGACTGCCTGTGGTTTGGGTGCAGGTCCCTGCAGTCTGGTTACCATCATACTGGTTCCATTTTGTTCCTGCCACCTGGTCCACCTCCCAGGTAGTGGCTGACACTCCCCTCTGCCTGGATCCTTGATGGACAAATCCCTTCTCAAGAGGCATCTGATGATACCCTCTTCGGAGCAGGTGAAGAGTATTAGAGTATCCTTGTTCTCAATTAGCTGGATAATTGGCTCTGCACGGAATTTCTCACTGGCTGTGTTGGAGAGGCATTATTAAAGAAACCCAAAGCAAAGAAAAAAAAAATCCCTAAGCAGCCAGTATGTTTGCATGGCCTCCTGGTCTACCCTGGAACCTCTAGGCAAGTGTGCAGCATAATTAAGGCGGAAGTCCACGTGGGGGCCCTGGGTTGGGAATGTTTGTGGAGAGAGCAGACACCTGCTCTGCTAATGCGTTGCTCTTCCCCACTTCAAGCAATCCTGTCCTCTTGTGAGCTGCTCCTGAAGGCTGTCATGGTCCTTAAGGAAGCTGCTGGACATAAGAACAGCTGCTGATCCCAGGCACAGGCAGCATACCTGCTCTGTGCTCTTCCTGTGAGGAAGAGAGAGATGTGGATAGGTCTTGGTTTTCACACTTTGGGGATGAAAAGACAGTATTTTTCTTTTTTCTTTTTCTTTTTTTTTTGTTTTTTTTTTTTTTTGAGACAGGTTCTTGCTCTGTCGTTCAGGCTGGAGTGCAGTGGCACAATCACAGTTCACCGCAGCCTTGACTTCCCAGACTCAAGTGATCCTCCTGCCTCAGCCTCCCAAGTAGCTGGAACTATAGGCACACACCATCATGCCCAACTAATTTTTTTTTTCTTTTAGTAGAGACGAGGTTTCACTATGTTGCCCAGGCTGGTCTCAAACTCCTCAGCTTAGCAATCCTCCCACCTCGGCCTCCCAGAGTGCTGGGACCACAGGCACTTGCCACCATACCCGGCTAACTTGTTTATTTTTTGTAAGAGACAGGGTCTCACTCTGTTGCCCAGGCTGGTCTCAAATTCCTGGACTCAAGGGATCCTCCCACCTTGGCTGAGACGCCCTGGCTAGTGTGTGATCTGCCACCTTGCAGGGCCCTAACAGTGCAGCCCCAGAATAGTGGCTGGAAAAGGCCAAAGGCTTAGGGCAGGTTGCTCTTGAACTTCACCATATGCTTGTCTCAAGGGGCCCCATCCCAGCCTGATGGGAGGGGCTGGGTCCTTGCCTATAGTGCTTTACCTTCACGAGGGAGGTTGGCCAAGTTTACAAAATGAGGTGACACTTGGCACCAAAGAATGGCACAGCCTGGCAGCGAAGCTGTTTCCTCCATTCGCAGCAGAGCTGTTGGAAGCCGGCAGCGCACACATCATCCTCAGAAGGGACTCCTCCAAAACCTCAGCGCTCCGAAAACAGGCTGCGTGTGTAGCTTGATGTTCGGGGGCTGGCAGATGAGCCAGTAATGGATGTTTCCTATCCTGAGAGCACATTTTTCTCCGAGGACCATATCACCTCTTAGGGCCTAATACAGGTTGATATTTTTCCTTTACCCTGAAAGTCTCTGCAGCAAATGTGCAGTCAGAACCATTTTTCTGATTGAACTAAAAGTATCGCAGCTTCATTTTCTTTTCCCTTTGGGTTAAGTCGGTATTTAAAAGGCCTCTCCGAAGAGTGAAACTATCTCTAATTTAGAAAGCTCCAAATCTCCATCACAGAGACGCAGGCCGCGGTGGTTGACAAGGTTCCGGGCTCTTGTTTCTAAACATTGAAGCCATCTCTACACTTAAAATGGACGCTGGAGTGTTTCTAAGGATGGGGGTGAAAGCGGTGCAACTGAAGGTCTTTAATCAACTGTGGTCAGCAAATAAAAGGAAGTGACATTTCCCTTGAAATATTGAAAGGCTTGGATTTCTTCATCAGAAGTGTTTTAAGAGCAAACTCTCAGGTTCATTCAAGTGGGGCACTGCCTTCCAAATGCCAATATCCACTACTTAAGTGCAGAGAAAAATGTGTATATATGTGCATGTGTATGTATGTACACGTGTGTGTGTGTGTCAGTGTGTGTGCATTGGAAGGGCTTCTCAGCTTCCCACCCAGGAGTCTCTGTTTGCAAAATAAGTGTGTAGGTCATGATTATTTCACATTTAAATTAATGGAAGTGGATTTCTCTAGACATTTATCGTTCAGGCAATGCAGCGTTCTCTCCAAAATCCCTGCTGCCTAAGTAGAAATTTTTCAAGTCATCTTCAGCTCTTTCCTCTCCCTCACTTGAGGGCATGCAGTCAGTTGAGCAGATTTTCTTCCCCTTTCCAATCTTTTTTCACATCTGTCTGTTTCATTCCGTTCCCACTGCCGCCCAGAAATCAGGCCCTCATAATCCTTCCCTTGGACCATTGCAGTAACCTCCCTGTCGGCAGCCTTGTGCTCTAATCCATCCTGGATTCAGCTGCTAGATGAATTCTCTGGCGGCAACTCTCTGAGCAGGTAGCTCTTGTCATCAAAGCCCACTGCTCAGCCCTCAGGCGGAGCACCTGAAAGGCTGGCATTTCACCATGTGCCTGAGCCGTCCTTTCCTGTGTTCCCTGCTGTCCCTAGTTAACCTACATCCTCCCCTCTAGGGCCCTGCTCTGCAAACTGTGCTCTGTGAATCCTCTGCAATCCCAGACATGGCTCTAGCCACCACAGTTACTGACCCACTTGGTTTTGTTAAATCCATTTACCAGTCAAAGTTTCTATGTCAGTGTTTGTCAAAGAAGAGGGTGCCACTGCCGGGGGAATGTTCCCTGGCAGTTCCCTTGGAGCATCTTATGCTTTCTGGCCTCTGAGACTTGACTCACAGCAGTCCCGCCCTCTGGAATGCCTTCTCCTCCAGCCCTGCCCTTCAAGGCCCAGCTGGGAGGCTCCCTTGCCCATGGAGGGAGAGGTAACATCCTTGGACACCTGGCCAGATGTGAGCGCTCTCTCCCCTAGGCATCTCTGATTTATCTGTGTCGTCCTTGGATGTGCATGCTTGCAGCCTACAGCATTATTGTCTCATAACCTCCCACTCCCCCCTACTCACTGGATGTGGACTCTGTAGGCACAGGGATTCGTGTGTTCATCTCATGTGTCCATTCAACAACCATGTACCCTGGCATGAGCTTTCCCATACCAGGTGCTGGGAATGTGTTGATGAACGAGAAAGACACATCTCTACCCTCATGGATTCTGTATTCTAGCTGGAAAGAGGGTCTGGAGGCCAGAAGTCCAAAATCAAGGTATTAGGAGGGCGATGCTTCCTCCAAAACCTCTAGAGGAGGCTCCTTCCTTCCTTTTCCCAGCTTGCGGTGGCCCCGGCATTCCTTGGCTGTGGCAGCATCCGATCTCTGCCCCTATCTTCTGTGGCCCCCTCCCTGTGTGTCTCTGTGTCCTTTTTCCTGTCTCATAGAAGAACACGCCCATTGGATTTCTGGCCCATTCTAATCCAGCATGATCTCATCTTGACCTTTACCTTAATTATATCTGCAAGGACCCTTAAGCCAAATAAGGTTCCGAGGTTCAGAGTGGACATGAATTTGGGGCTGACATGAAAGTGGAACCTGAGGCCCAAGAGGCCCCTGGGGCTGACACCCCTGTGGGGCTGACATGGAAGGGGAAACTGAGGCCCAAGAGGGCAGTTTGTCCTGGACCTCACAGCTGGGCTTGGCCAAAAAAAGGTCGGGCCTTGATGCAATGTGGATGCGCTTCCACTGCACACCGACCCCCACCCCTGCTGCACCCGAAATCCAAGTTTGATGGCTACCATCTTGCCTGCTGTTCCCAGCCTGCTCTCTTTGGTTCAGAATACAAGGAGAACAGAACCTGGTCAGAGGCCATCAAGAGGGACGCTTCCCCCATTGAGCCTGGCCTCTATCACCTGTGGTGACTGGGGTAGCACCGCCAAAGACCGCCGGCATTGGCTGCTGGTCACCAGCGGCAGGGCAAGCACAAAGAAGCAAATTACCCCCAGGGAGTCTGATTCCTGTCCAGTCGCATTTTCGATGTGCTTCATGCTCTCTCTTCCAGCTGTTTGCACCACCACTTCAAATGGTTGATTCTGTTGCTCTGTAAAGAAAATGTCGCTCATTTCCGTTAAGTGCCCATCTCCCTGGTTTATGTTGCCACCACATTTGTCCTCCCGCTTGATGTGAATTCAAACCGTGGTAGGCGGTGTGCCCTCGGGACTCCACTCAGCATTTTGTATGGCCCCTTAATCACCTGCTTTTCAGAGAGTACAGACCAGATTTCCCCCAACCTGGCATGTGGACGTCCTTGCGGGGACTTTTCCATTTTGGAGGGTTTCCGCATATCACAATATCCTTTTTGTAATAAAAGGAAGAGAATTGCTGACAATTTTCACAAATTTAGGCTCTTGCGAGAATAATTTTCTCTGAATTATGTGTGATTCTCCTTTTTATGTGTCCCTAACATTTAGTTTGCTTTTGGTGCAGCCGCTAAGCTGACTGTTAAATATTTGTCTCTCCTGCCACTTGGTCTTCAAGCTGTAGGTGTTTAGCACACGCGGGCAGTGCCAAGGACCTCACATGGCGAATGTCACTGGCCTTCTGGATCCCCACAAACCAGAAGCAGTGAAGGAGGAGACAGAACTGGGGTTTAATTTAACTCCTAAACTACTGAATCCGCACCCTTTCCTTTCTGCTTTTATCTTAGGGCTACGTGGAGGGCTGGATCCTTAGGGGACATCATGAAAGCAAGAACCACCCCACTCCGCCCCAGTTGCGCCTGTTAGGATGGGTTGGTTGGTTGACATGACATAAAAAGAGAAGGTAGGGGGTTTGAGGTCAACATTTTTCAACTTCACAGTCTGAGTTGAGGGCTGGGATTGTCTGAGTCTCTAAGGGTGCAGGCTTGGTTTCCAAGAACAGCGGGAACCTGGTGTGGCTCCCATCATAATCTACCCACAGTCGCCATAGGACCAACCCACACTCAACTTTGCACATGTACTCTCTGCTTGCTGGTCTTTCCACAGACTCAGCTTCTGCAAGGCAGGGATGATGCCCAGCATACAAGGTAGTAGGCAATGAATAAATCTTGGTCAAATTAATAAAATAATAACCAATTTTGATTATGATTATTCAGTTATAGGTTCATGACCATAGTCAACACATTTACGCTGAGTGCATAGCATGTGTCAGGCACCTATGTTTGATGTTGGGGACATGGCAGGAAATAGAGCAGGCAAAAGCCCTTGCCCTCATGGGGCTTAGATTCTAGACAAAGAATTTAGGCCATAGAATGCAAAAGTGGACTGTGTCCAGTGGTCTGTTAGAAGGCTACCAGTGCTATGGAGAAACAGGAGGAAAAGAAGATGGGAGGGAGTGTAATTTTAAGGACAGTGGTTAGGGTGAGACTCTTTGAGAGGTGATATTTGAGCAAAAATGAGAAAGAAGCCAGGCGTGGTGGCTCACACTTGTAATCCGAGCACTTTGGGAGGCCAAGGCGGGCGGATCACCTGAGGTCAGGAGTTTGAGACTAACCTGGCCAACATGGTGAAACTTTGTCTCTACTAAAAATACAAAAATTAGCTGGGTGTGGTGGCACACACCTGTAATCCCAGCTACTTGGGAGGCTGAGGCAGGAGAATCACTTGAACCCAGGAGGTGGAGGTTGCGGTGAGCCAAGATCACGCCATTGCACTCCAGCCTAGGCAAAAGAGTGAGACTCTGTTTAAGAAAACATAATGAGAAAAAAGGGAGAGAAACATGCAGGTGCTGGGAAGGGCATTCTAGGCAGAGGGAATGGCCAGTGCAAAGGCCCTACAGCATGTTTGGAAAACAACAGGGGAATTAGAGGAAATGGAGTGGAGTGGACAAGAGGGAGAGGCAGGGACAGGAGGGCAGCAAGCTAACAAGCCACCTTCTCCACCCTGTGTAGATGACACAGCTAATGCTCAGGGGATTTAAGGGACACGTCTCAAGCCAGCCAGCAAATGAATGGGAGAGCAGAGCCCAGGCCTGGGATTCCGGAGCTTGTGCCACTTGTCAACATGACAAGAGGACCCACTGGGGGATGGCACTTCTTGTGAATGCCACCCTTAGCGCCTACTTGGTGCAGCTTTAACTTGGAGAAAGAAAGATCCCATTCCCCTTCCTTGCTGTTGAGAACATAGTCATGGGGCAAGACTGGGCAGCCCCCTTATTTCAGTCTGAGCTATCCTTGGGGTTCCCAGCAAGATCCCAAATACCTCCAAGTCCCTAATGCGTCTTTCTTGGTTGTCAAATGCCACCGTGAGTCTGATTCCTTTCTGTGTTTTTCGTTCTTGCCCCAAAAGGTTCTTGTCTCCTTCTGAAACCTGCCTCATGGAGGCCAGGAATAAATTTAATTTAGGGCATCTACCTGTGCAGTCAGTAAATTACTTCTGCTAGCTCGCTCTGACAAACCATCTTCTGTCGCTGACCTTTCCTGCCTCATATTCTTGCAATATTTTTCTTTGCTTAACTTTCTGTGCAATCTTCTTTTCCATTTCCCATCTTTGCTCCTCTTATCATTCTTACAGACTGCCCTTCGCTCACATCGGCAGGCTTTCCTGTTTTCATTTGCTGCTTCCTCGTCACTTTTTCTTTTTTGAGATGGAGTCTCACTCTGTCGCCCAGGCTGGAGTGCAGTGGCAGGATCTTGGCTCACTGCAACGTCTGCCTACCAGGTTCAAGTGATTCTCCCGCCTCAGCCTCCCGAGTACCTGGGACTACTACCGCGCCTGACCTTCCTTGCCACTTTCCAAGGCATTTTTTTCTGCTGCCTCCCCAGTGAGTGTGGGTGGAGACCCTCCAGCCTGTTTGCCATCAGGTGACCTGATGACCAGTTCTGGCTTGGCCCCTGCCCTTGTTTGTACCCTGTATACAGAGTCAGGCATTTCTTCTTGCAAAGAGCACTATCTATTTAGGGTGCTCTGGGCCACAGGAGGCCTGAGCGGTGGTATTGATGCTGCCTCTAACAGAGAACCATGAAGCCCTGTTGATGTGGCTTGGCAGTGTCCCCACCTAAATCTCGTCTTGAATTGTGGTTCCCATAATCCCCACATGTCATGGGAGGGACCCAATGGGAGGTAATTGAATCATGGGGGTGGTTACCTCCATGCTATTCTCGTGCTTGTGAGTGAGTTCTCACGAGATCTGGTGGTTTTATCAGAGGCTTTTCCCTACCTTCAGTCTGCACTTCTTCTTGCTGCTGCCATGTGAAGAAGGACATGTTTGCTTCCCCTTCTGCCATCATTATAAGTTTCCTGAGGCCTCCCCAGCCATGCTGGACTGTGAGTCAATTAAATCTCTTTCCTTTATAAATTACTGAGTTTCAGGTATGTCCTTATTAGTAGCATGAGAACAGACGAATAGACCTGTGCAACTGTGAAACTGGCCAGACAAGAACCTTGAAGGCAGCCTTGTTCGTGTTCGAGGTCTGGTTGTGTTGAGTATTTACCTCAAGGATGACATTTCAATGCTGAGAGCAGGGGTACAAGTCAGTACTATCCATTTGAAAGGTATCTTGGTGATGTCTTTTCAGATTTCCAACACATTTCTGGGTTTTCAAAACTAAGCAGGTTCTGCAGAGATTTCTATATAAGACCACCTAGTGCAGCATTGTTTATTGTAAGGCAAATTGAAATCCTAATTGTCAATCAACCCCTCAGCTCTTTGAACTGGATAAATAAGTAGAAATACATATACTCTGGGATACTGTGAGGTTGTTAAAAATGGTAAGGAATAGACCGGGTGCGGTGGCTCACACCTGTGATCCCAGCACTTTGGGAGGCTGAGGCAAGTGAATAACTTGAGGTCAGAAGATCGAGACCAGCCTGGCCAACATGGTGAAACCCCCTTCTCTACTAAAAATATAAAAATTAGCCAGGCATGGTGGTGCATGCCTGTAATCTCAGCTACTTGGGAGGCTGAGGTAGAATTGCTTGAACCCAGGAGGCGGAGGTTGCAGTGAGCTGAGACTGCACCACTGCACTCAGCCTAAGCGTCAGAGTGAGACTCTGTCTCAAAAAAAAAAAAGAATAAAAAATAAAAAATGGTGAGGATTGATCCACATGGACATGGAGAGATGACCAGGAAACAGTTACATTTAAGCAAATTTCCATGTGCGTTTTAGTATGTGATGATCCATTTTGTAGAATAAAATTATATATCCATCACAGGGCAAATGTGATATTGTTATTAAAAGAAATTAGGTGCTTCACAAATCTTAAACATTACAGCATTCTCAGGTCATTAAGTTATTATAATATTCTATCTAATTAACATAAAAAATTCAATTTAAAACCCAGAAGAAGAACATCATTCAGGGTCAAGGTTTGTTTGTTGGATGAGAAGAAATATACATTCGTTATAACCGTGTTTTGTTTTCAATAAATATGAAAAAGTATTCCTTTCAAAACATTGCACTCTGGATTGGTGATGTTCTTTTCCCAATGAGCATACCTTTGTAAAATAAAATTTACTTTACTTTGTCTATTACTTGGTATCTCTCTGTCTCTTTTACTTTTGATTGTGGAGAATTTCAAACATGCAGGGAAGTCAGCAGCCCAGTAAAATGAATGCCCTCGTGGCCTATGGTCTCAATAACCATCAACCCTTGGCCAGTCTTGCCCTATCCACACCTAGATTCCCTTCCCCAGCCCCTGTTCCTACGTGAGTTTGAAGCAAATCCCAGGCATCATTTAAACACCTCCATTTAGCTGGGTGCCATGACTCATGCCTGTAATCCCAACCCTTTGGGAGACTGAGGTGGGAGGGTCATTTGAAGAGTTTGAGACCAGCCTGGGCAACACAGTGAGACCTCATCTCTACAAAAAATTTTTTTAAAAACTTAGCTGGACGTGGTGGTGTGCACCTGTGTTTCCAGCTGCTTGGGAGGCTGAGGCAGTAGGATCACTTGAGCCCGGGAAGTCGAGGCTGCCCTGAGCTGTGATCGTACCACTGCACTCTGGTCTGGGTGACAGAGTGAGACTCTGTCTCAAAATAAATAAATACATAAAAATAAAATCTCCATTTCCTCCTCCTGACCCTGCGGCTGCACCATAGTCAAGGGGTGCATCTTCCAATGTTGACCTATTGCAAAGAGATCCTAATCCTGACTCCCAGACCTTCTACCTGCTGTCTGCCCCCACACTGTCCCCAGAAAGGTCTTCTTACAGCCTAATCTGAGCCCTACCTTAACTGAAGCCATCAGAGCCCCCCAACTGTGACAGTGGACCAAGCAGGCAAAGCAGGAGTGCCAAGATATCAAAGTCCTCAGGTCCCGGGGCAGCAATGAGTGGGACCTGGGGTGGCCTGAGCTTGCTCATCACGGCCTGTGGCCTCATCGAGACTCATGAGTTTAACACGAGGGAGCAGTACAAAGATGATCACATGCCTCTATGGCCACGATGGGGAATGAGGAAGAGGTACTGGAACATTGGAACTCTACTGCCTGGGACAAAAGGCCCTTCACAGTTGGCTGTCCATCTGCCGGGCTCAGCATCCATTTGCTCCCTCTCTCTCCTGCATTCGTCTCCTTTTCCACCCGAGTGCTCCTGTGGGTAAACATCAGTGGGGTGGAAGTGGGAGTGCAGTGACTCAAAACCACGTCGGAGTGTGGCTCCTGATCCCAAAAGCTAGTTTTCCTGGGATACGGCTTTGACTGATCCAGAGGGTTTATTCAGCCAGTTTTTCAATAGATACTTTACTGGGCACCTCCTATTTCCCAGACACTGTTGTGGGCACTGGGAACCCAGAGGTGATGAAAAGAGACAAAACCCCTGCCCTCATGAAGTTTCTGTCCACACATGAGCGTGGACAGATGCCTGCAATGACGTCCACCGAATATGGCAGAATTGGGGACCAGCTCTGTACTTTCAGCTTCGTAATTTTCTGCATTCGTTGATTTATTTAAAAGGAGTACGTTTCATTTTTACAACAACAACGTGATTTTTCTTAAAAGCCACAAACAAAGAAAGCACACAGGGCAAGATGCTACCAGTGATTAATTCCGGGTGGCGAGCAGGTGCACAATTATTTTCTTATTCTTTCATGCGCTTTTTAAAATCCCCCAACCAATTTTTTGAATTAAAGGGAATAAAAACAGGATAGGGAAAAAAAAAGTGAATTCTTTGAAACTGGCAGTGAATCTGCCACAAAGTCAGGAATGATGGAAAGATTTTTTCTTCTTATTCTCTGCACAGTAACCACAATATCGATGCCTCACTCCAGGGCACAGATGCGTCTGCGGGAGAGCTGGGATTAGAGTCCCCTTGCACTGTGGGGCTTTCTCTAAACCACCTTTTTTGTGGCCTTAATTCCATGAATACAAACAATAATTACCAACCTAAGTAGATTACTCAGCATAGCTTACATGCCTCTGGGTCCTCGAATGAGTCACATTATTGACTGCTCACAATTAATCTAAAAAATTAAACCAATTGCTCTCCTGGTTCCTTCTCCGTTTTGTGCCTGGATGACACTGCCACCAATTTATTGCCTGAGCTGTTATTCCTACTTGGTGTTCCCATTTTTCTCCAGAACTGAAATGTTCCATTAAAACTCATTTGTTTCCAACCTGGGTCTTTTGGAGTGTGTTCCCCATCCCTTCTGCGGGTTGCCCCGTTGGCTTTGATGGGCTGCGGTGGAATTGAGCCTCTATTTATAATTCTTCCATGGTCTGTCTGGTTTTTCAATTACTTCACAAACTCCCTTCTGCCCTTCCTCACTCTGGTTCATCAATTTTCACTTCCCCTGTCAAGTCGGAAAGAAGTCAGTGCTACTGCGTGCACCTCCCAGCATCCCAAGTATGAGTCAATGGGAAGAAAATGACCAGGAAACTTGAGGAGACAGAAAAAGGCACTCAGAAGTACCAGGCACATAAGAGATGGTTGTGAAAAATCGGTGTAAACAGGACTTCGACCTTCATTCCTCTTGTAATTTACCAGAGGAAAGAAGATCACCATACACTGAATTTTAACTCAGGGGCCATTGGGGCTGATTTGTTACATAGCTATAACTAACTAATACATATTCCCTCTCACTCACTGGGTGCCTCCTGTGTGCCAAGTATTCTCATTTCAAATGTTATCACCAGTCTGGAATATTCTTCTCCCTCCTCACTCACCTTCATCTACTCTTCATTGCGTCAATGCAGACATCACTTCATCAGGGCAGCCTACCTGGGACCCCCTCCTTAGGCTCCTGGTGGCATTCTCTACCTCTCCTTTGTGACATTTACCACTGTTGTCATCTGACATTTATTTGTGTAATTCTTTATTCATTATTCATTATTCCACTGACTAACCATAAGTTTCATGAGGGTGGAGCTGTCTTTTTTTTTTTTTCTTTCTTTCTCCTTTTATATCTCCTGTCCCTCTCATGGTTCCCAGCATATAGCAGACACTAAAATATCCATTCAGGAATAAATGTAAGCCTTATAACAGCCATGTTATCACTGTTCCCCTTTTACAGGTGAGGAAACAGAGGCTAAGAGTGCAGGAGGGTGTTGCCCACGTTCATTGCCCAGTGAGGTTGAGTCGGGACTCAAACTCAGAACCCCAGAGTCCCAATTTTTCCTGGTTGCTTTCCCCAATACAGTCAACCTGAGCCTCCCTTAGCTCAGCTCTTAAAGTGCTGTCAAAGCCACCTGGGGATCTTGTGAAATGCAGATCCTGGTTCAATAGGTCTGGGGTGGCTGAGCCTCTGCAAGTCTAGCAGGTTTCCTGTGATGCTGATGTTGCCAGTCCCTGGACCACCCTTTGAGTAGCAGAAGGGAGGCCCTGCTAATTAGGGGAGGGAAGCGGATGGGCTCAAAGCCACTGAATAGCGTCATGGGTTGCATCTAGGTTGCACTAAACACTGTTATCTCTTGGCTTCAGTTCTGCTCCCAAACTGTGAATGTCTGTGTTGGTGACAGTTTACACATTCAAGCCAGTCAGAGGTTGGGGAGGAGTCCTGATGCCAGCCTCACCTCATCTGGCACTGGCTCTGTGAATGAGGCTTCAGATGCTTTGGTTCTGCAGGAAAGGCCACCAACAGGGATTCCAAAAGGGCCTATGACAAGCCCTTGTGTGGAGGTATCCAGGCTCTTGCCAAGGAAGCAGCTCCCAGGTGGGCACAGACAGCTGGTGCTTGGGAGAAGCAGATGTACACCCCGCAAAACAACCAGGAGAATCAGAGCACACAGGGGACCTGTGCAAGCTGATAGAGGCTCTGGTCACCAGGGGCGACTAATTGTCCCTGTTCCCCACCAGAAGGAAGCGTCCCCTGGGAGACGCGTTCCCAGCATCTCAGCAGGTGTGGAGCGGCTTCCGGGTGTGTGCTCTCCCCCAGGGATCCAGGTGGGTCATCCATGCTTCCCTCAGTCTTGATTTTCTTTGCAGAGCCTGTCCAAAGTCATCCTTCCTCGAGTGTCTGTGGGCTGGGTTGGGTTGTACAAAGACCTTTCAAAGCTGCAAGCCCTGCAAAGATTATGGTGTCCCCTACATAGAACAACAACAAAAGCGATGAATACTTAGGTAGCAATGAATTGCAATTCCTAGAAGGTCAGACACTGGCTTAACTATCTACCTGTACTTGTAGTTCTCAAAGCAGGCTCCCCAGACCGGCAACATCTGCATCCCCGGGGAACTTGAGAGACATGCAGATTCTCAGGCCCCGCCCCAGACCTGCTGAATCAGAAACTCTGGGAATCTGTATTGCAACACGCCCTCCAGGTGCCTCTCATGCACGCTCAGCTTTGAGAACCTGTATTAACTCACTGAATCTTGAAGACAGCCCTGTTAGGTACAAAGAGGTGAAGCTACCTGTCCAAGGCCATCCCTCTGTGGTGATGCCAACACTCAGACACAGGCACCTGGCTCCAGAAGCTGTGCCTTGAGCTACTGCTTGCACTTTGACAAGTGCTCAGTGGAAACCATAACACCTGAATGAGGATGTCAAAGAAATTACATTTTTTCCTATGATGTCTCTTTTGAGGTTTTTAAATATATATATATGGAGAGAGAAAGAATATTGAATTTTCCCCGAAAAAGTGTTTTTCTCTCTTGCTCATGTTCAGTACATCTGTTGGATAACCCAGCACTGGGCAGGGAGATGCAGATGCGGAGGAGAACAAAACAGGCCTTGGACGTGAACCCAGGGCTTCCTGAATCAGGATGCTTGCCAGTGTCCCCGGCCCCTCCTGATGAATTAGTTCAGCGGTCCCCAACCTTCTTGGCACCAGGGATGGGTTTCATTGAAGACAATTTTTCCATGGACAGAGGCCAAGTGGAGGATGGTTTTGGGGTGATTCAAGTCCATCACATTTATTGTGCACTTTCTTTTTTTTTTTTTTTTTTTTTTTTTTTTTTTTTTTTTTTTTTTTTTGAGAAAGAGTTTTGCTCTTGTTGTCCAGGCTGCAGTGCAATGGCACGATCTCGGCACACTGCAACCTCTGCTTCCTGGGTTCAAGCGATTCTCCTGCCTCAGCCTCCCAAGTAGCATGCACCACCACGCCTGGCTAATTTTGTATTTTTAGTAGAGACAGGGTTTCTCCATGTTGGTCAGGCTGGTCTCGAACTCCCGACCTGAGGTAATCCGCCCACCACGGCCTCCCTAAGTGTTGGGATTACAGGCGTGAGCCACCGCTTCGGCTGTGTATTTTATTTCTATCATTGCATCGTAATATGTAATGAAATAATGGTACAACTCACCATTGTGTAGAATTCGTGGGAGCCCTGAGCTTGTTTTCCTGCAACTAGACAGTCTCATCGAGTGGTGATGGGAGATAGCAACAGATCATCAGGCACTGGATTCTCCTAAGGAATCAGCAATTTAGATCCCTCATATGCGCAGTTCGCAATAGGGTTTGCGCTCCTATGAGAATCTAATGCTGGCCGGGCGCGGTGCCTCACGCCTGTAATCCCAGCACTTTGGGAGGCCGAGACGGGCGGATCATCTGAGGTCAG
The DNA here is from genome assembly GCF_000001405.40 of Homo sapiens. Lineage (NCBI taxonomy): Eukaryota > Metazoa > Chordata > Mammalia > Primates > Hominidae > Homo > Homo sapiens. The sequence goes on from NC_000001.11 coordinate 14,728,078, forward strand.
GAGTTCGAGACCAGCCTGGCCAACACGGTGAAACCTCGTCTCTACTAAAAATACAAAAATTAGCCGGGTATGGTTGCGTGCACCTGTAATCCCAGCTACTCGGGAGGCTGAGGCAGGAGAATCGCTTGAACTTGGGAGGCGGAGGTTGCAGTGAGCCGAGATTGTGCCACTGCACTCTAGCCTGGGCAGCAAGAGTGAAACACCGTATATATAAAAAAAAAAAAAAAAAAAAAAAAAGAATCTAATGCCACTGCTGATCTGACAACAGGCAGAGCTTCGGCGGTAACATGAGTGATGGGGAGTGGTTGCAAATAAGATGAAGCTTCACTTGCTCACTCACCTGCCGCTCACCTCCTGCTGCCCAGTTCCTAAGAGGCCATGGGTTGGGGAACCCTGAATTAGTTAATTGGATGAATGAATGATGAACTAAGTCTGTAGTAGCCCCAGAGATGCTGACTCAGGTCACCTAGGATGGGGCCCAGGGACCTGAATTTTAGCAGCTTGTCCTCAGAGGGTTCAAATGCAGCCGGTTCCTATAACCATCACATTACAAGACACTTGGCTTCCCGTATTGGAGGCTTTTTCCTGGCAGGAGCATTGCTTTTGCAGAGGCCTAGGATACACCCATGAGGACAGCAGCCTCGCCTTACACTTAAGTGCACCCGATCCTGCCTCTGGCATCTCACAAACGTCACTCCCTGGAACAAATTTGTGAAGGCCTCCAGACCACAGTGTCCTCATCTGTAAAATGGGGGTAGTAGTAATCCTTGCCTCATAAAGTTCTTGGCAAGGATTAGATGAGCGAGCATGTGAGTTTGGCCTCCGTTTAAACACTCCATAAAGTTTCCTTTTAGGATAACAGCAGGCCGTTTTAGAACCTTCCAGAGGTTACTTATTCAGATATCCTTAGGTGACGATTGGGAAGCTGCCGTTTCTTGAGAGCCTCCTGGGTGACAGATGGAGAGTGGCCCTGGCGTGACCCTTGACCCTATCCTTGAGGCTTTCCTGCCCGTCTCCTGCCTCGAATGTGCTCCGCAGCACATGGATCAGGATGGGGAAGGGGCTGTGTCACTGGATACCTTCGGCCCCTGCCCACGTCTAGGGCCTGTGAAAACGAGGAGGGACAGCAAAGAAATGGGGAAAAGGCCAGGCTGTCTTCGGCTTCACAGTGACCCAAAGAGACTTAGTGACCCTTGCTATCTGGTTGTGTTCCTTGGGCTCCAACTGAGCATCCATAGGGAAGCAGAGATTTATCCAAGACGTGCACCTGGGAGCAGTCAGCTCTGCAGAGCCCCTCGCTATCTTCTCACCCAGAATAGCCGGGCTTTCTTCCCTCCCACACTAATTGGTTCCATTCGATGCTTTTATAGGCGACCCTAATGGGTTTTGTGAGATGTCGTATTAAGTCTGTGGTCCATAGAGTAATGCCCTTCGCTGTCAGGGAATGCAAGGGAAGAGCAGGGAATTCCAGAATGGGAAGGTGTGTGAATGTAGACCTTCAGGTTGGTCACAAACAGTGTCTCGAGATTCCACTGGGGAAGCGTTCACTTTTAGAATCAGGCCAAGCTGAGGGTTCTCTGTCCTCAGGTATTTTCCTTTGTAGCAGTCACTGGCTCGAAATGGAGAATGAGAGAAAAAGGAGCTTGTTTCAGGCCAGAGACCTCACTAACCGAATAACAACACTAAGGCCCTGCAGCAGGGGGCACAAACTACCCAGCCTGTTTCCGTGTGGCCTATGATGGTTTTTTTGTTTGTTTGTTTACATTTTTTAATGGTTGGAAAAAATCAAAAGAGGCATATCTACCTATTTCATAACATGATAATTATAGGAAATTCAAATGTGGGTGACTATAAAGCTTTATTGGAACACAGGCACGCCCATTCGTTCCTGTATTGTCTATCACTGCTTTTGTGCTGCGATGACAGAGGCTGCATGTGGCCTGCAAAGCCCCAAATTTTTATCATCCAGCCCTTTACAGAAAGAGTTTGCTGGTCCCTCTCATAAAGTATCCTTTTTTTTAAATGTGACAGAGTCTAGCTCTGTTGCCCAGGCTGGAGTGCAGTGGCGCGATCTCGGCTTACTGAAACCTCTGCCTCCCGGGTTCAAGCGATTCTCCCGCCTCAGCCTCCTGAGTAGCTGGGATCACAGGCACGTGCCACCATGCCCAGCTAATTTTTGTATGTTTAGTGGAGACAGGGTTTCACCATGTTGGTCAGGCTGGTCTCGAACTCCTGACCTTGTAATCCGCCCGCCTCGGCTTCCCAAAGTGCTGGGATTACAGGCGTGAGCCACCGTGCCCGGCCTAAAGTATCTTTTTTATCATGATAGTTCACGCTTATTCATTGATGGGCTGCCTTCTTACCACATGTCCTTGACATGTTTTAATTCCTTAAGTCCTCATAGTAACCCTAGTACATGTACTCCTGTGATTGCCATTTTACTGATAGGGAAACACAGGCAGAGTCTCATGTAATCTGCCTTCTGTCACCCAGCCAGAAAAGGGCAGAACTAGGATGCAAGCACAGGGAGTCTGAAGCCAGGGTACCCATTCTTGAGCACCCTGTCACGCTACCTCTCATTATCAGGTTCTGCAATACTTTATCCTTGGAGCAAGCAAGGTGAGGTGCCTACATTTTCCCATGCAAGTGCCCCAATCTGTCCCTGAGAATTAAGGCCCAGAGAGAATGATGCTTTCTCAGACCCTCAGGAACATTCCTTCCTGATTTGCCAGTAAGTGGCAGAGCTGGGACCAAGACCCAGGTGGCTCTAATCTCATCTTCATTCTCCTCATTCTCCAAGATGGTGGCCCTCCCTCTTGTGCCAGGGACTCCCAGATGCCCACTCTTGGGCACAGCAAAGAACCCAGATGCTCAGGCCTCATGGATTCCAAGGCCCCAGCAAGTGACATCCCTATTAGCCGGGGAGAAGGCCCTGGCTATTGTTCTGTTTGCTTTCCTTTGTGATGTATTGTTACATAGGAAATTTATTTCTTAACAATTTCACTTACAGCCCTTAAAACAAAATGGGGCTCTGGAGAACTGCATCATTAGCATTGATAAACATTTTACAATACCATCATGAGCAAATGGAAGTGTCTAATGAAAAGAAAAGAAGCACTGCCGAGTAATTAAAGAGGCTGCTGGGTTTTTATTATTATTTTTAGCAATTATGACTAAAAGCCTTAATCGTGCAGCACCCATTTTCCCATCTGTTTTGAACTCAGTTATTTAAGGAAAAAACATCATCATCGTCATTGTCAGCCCCAGGCCAACAGTCAAGATGCCCAAGCCAGCTTGGCTGGGCAGTGGGCTAAGGGTGCCCAGCCCCAAGGCCCTGTGACTTATCCCCGGTTCTAGAAGCCTTGCTCCAGGGCCCACCCTTGGAACTTTTTTGGTTCCCCTCCTCTCTTTTTCTCCCATCCTCCCTTTCCCTTCCCACAGAAGGTTTTGCTTCTGGGTCGGCACTGAGCCTTCTCCATCTATTATCTCTTGTCACTATGCAAAACAGCTGCCTGAAGCTACCATAATCTTTGCAGGCCACATATGGTAGATGTGGCTCAGAGACCAGAGAAGCTGAGAAGCTCGAAAGAGGACACACAGCTAGTGGGTAGCAGAGCCTGGGCTGGAACCTAGGTCCTTGGACTGTGCTGGGAGGATGGAGAAGATGCCCTCTGCTGCACAGTGCCTGAGTGAGTCTCAGGTCTGTTCGGCACCTTAAACAAGTGCCTTAATGTTGCTGAGTATTCATGTCCTGGTCTGTAGAAGGAGGATGACAACAGTAGTACTAACCAAATGAGGGGGGTTGGGAGCGTTCCGTGAGATCACATACGTCAGTTACACAAAGCACAGGGTCTGTGCTCAAGAAGCGACAGACTTGCTGGCCACAGTTCCCAAATGGTGCGGCTAAGCCGCCCTGGGGTGCTGCAGTGAGGTCAGCTGTGGGAAGTCAGCTGTGGGATAGTGCAGTGCTGTGGGATAGTCTGAAGTTTCAAGGAAAACACAGCGACACCTGTCGGACCCTGGGTGAACTACTGGCTCAAGGTAGTCACAGTTTCAACATTCCATTCCGCTACATTCCCTTTGATGACAGCATTTGTTTGTGAAACTGGGTATTGGCCGTTGCTATGATTAAAAAGCAAGTACCACCAAGACCAGTGCAGAATGGGAAATAAAGGTGTTGGAGTCCAGTCCTAGTTCAAGGTTGGAGGATTGGTGCAGTCCCCAGTAGGCACACAAGTTCCATTTGTAAGTACTTGTGATTATTTAAGAACAAAATGAAGGCCGGGTGCAATGGCTCATGCCTGTAATCCCAGCACTTTGGGAGGCCGAGGCAGGTGTATTGCTTGAGCTCAGGAGTTCAAGACCAGCCGGGCCAATATGGTGAAACCCCCTCTCTATAAAAAATATATAAATTAGCTGGGTATGGTGACACATGCCTGTAGTTCCAGCTTCTAGGGAGGCTGAGGTCAGAGGATGCCTTGAGCCCAGCAGGCAGAGGTTGCAGCGAGCCAAGATTGCACCACTACACTCCAGCCTGGGTGACAGAGCAAGACTCTGTCTCAAAACAAAAGGAAAAGAACAAAATGAAACTTATTTTTTTTCTTTCAACATATATGTATTATTTTTTCAACTGGCTATTACAATGTTAGAACATAAATACTTAGTAAGTTGTTTGGCCCTACCTATTTAGTAAACGAAGTGGTTAGGGATTTCTTTTGGCCCTACGGTGCCATGAGAAAAATTACTGAGACTCTAAGAGTGCCATAAACTGAGAAAATATCAGGACACCTGCCCTGTGGCACACTCAGTGACTCAGTGTTCGTTTCAAACTCCTTTAACCGATAGGTATTTTCTGAATGAACAGGGAAATGGAAGCACATCTTCCCTCCTTCCCCTATGTTCACGGAGCAAGCAGAAGAGTTTGCTGCATGAGATTTGGGAAGAAATTCAAAAATGTAGCTCCAAACAGCTCCCTGGGTGGTTCAGACATGAGCAACCACTTTCTTAGAAGACAAGTGCGCTGAGTGTTTCTCGGGGATCTGTGGCTGCAAAGCGGATCAGCTCTGATTTCAGCCCCAGACTTTCTGACAGAGGGACTTTCCGCCCACTGCCCCAGGCTTGGTAATTAAGCAGTCTGAGTGATTGCAGAATTCTCGCATGTTCCCGGCAGCCTGTGCTTGGAGTTACCATGAAAGCAAGTCAGGACAAGTCCCAGAGAAACTTAGCTGGTGAAGAGGAAATGGCATTTATTTCAAATACACAACCCAGAGTTTGAAGTTGATGAAATGGGAACAGAGAAGTTCTTTCCCGTTGCCCCACCCGCCGTGCAATATTGATTTGCAAATTTTCCAGCAGCCACCGCCGCTGCAACACTTCAGCAATAGTTGAATTAATGACCGTGGCAGTGCAGCCTCGTGCCGTAGGGTGGGACCTCCTGGAGCCTTCAGAGTCGGGCAGAGATGCTTCCTGGGAGGTGTCCGGATGACCTCTCTTTCGGGGAGTGGGGGAGTTCTGGAAGTTTCCATACAAGGAGCAGTTCAAGTGTTGGAGGCCCCCGGTTCTCCCAGGGCCCCTTTGATGTTCAGCGTGGGGACTCGGGGGTCATAGCAGCTTCCTGGATGTGTCTGAGTCATCAAAGCTCTGCTTAGTAACCTTAACCTTAGTGCCTTAACCTTGCTAAGGCACAGGTTTCTCGCATCTGAACCACCTGCGAGCTGTTTGGGAGCTACATTTTTGAAGAGGAAACTCCACTTTTATTCTCTGGGGTTTGGCCCCCCGATCAGCCTCTCCAGATGGGATCTCCCTCCTTGCCCAATCTGCAGCCCACGCCCCAGCCAGTCCAGACTGCTGTCGGTTCCCGGCACACCATAGGGCTGCGCACAGCTCCTGCCCTGGCTTCGGCCCTTCCCTCTGCCCAGGATGCCCTTCATCTGGATATCTACGCCTAACAGGTTCAACTCAGGGGTTCCCTCCTGCCGGGTGAGCAGTGGGAATCACAGTCCAAGGAACTTTGGTCTTGGAAGTATCTGAGTTCCAGTGCTTACTAAGCCCTCGAGCCTGCCCCAGCTACTTTCTCCTCACCCGTGGAATGAGGATAAAGTAGCACCTAACTCAGTGTTTCTCAAACTGTACAGTGCGCCTGAAGCACTCCGGGATCTGGATAGACTGCAGATTAGGACTCAGCAGGTCTGGGGTGGGGCCAGAGAGTCTGTGTTTTTCTTTTTTCTTTTCTTTTTTTTTTTTTTTTTTGAGACAGAGTTTTGCTCTTGTTGCCCAGGAGTGCAATGGCACCATCGGTTGACTGCAACCTCCGCTTCCCGGGTTCAAGTGATTCTCCTGCCTCAGCTTCCTAAGTAGCTGGGATTGCAGGCATGCACCACCACGCTCGACTAATTTTTTTTTAATTATTATTTTTAGTAGAGACGGGGTTTCTCCATGTTGGTCAGGCTGGTCTTGAACTCCCGACCTCAGGTGATACACCCGCCTTGGCCTCCCAAAGTGCTGGGATTACAGGCCTAAGCCACCACACCCGGTTGAGTCTGTGTTTCTCTAACATGGTCCCCTGTGATGCGGATGCTGCTGGTCCAGAGTCCACACTTTGACTAGCAAAGGCTGATCTCATCGTGTTATATGTGACATGGCATGTACATGACATGTAAAGTACACAGGCCTTGCCTGGTTCATGCAAGCCCACCGTGATAACTTTTCTTGTGTGTAATGTGAGGCTTCCAGGGCACACCAGTCTCCTTCATGGAACAGACCAGACTGCGTGTCCCAAGCATCTCACTGTCTGAGGTTTGAGGAGCACTTTTAGTTCCGCCTCCTTTTACCATGCCTCCCCATAGTCCCGTTGGGCTTTCCAATCTCTGTGTAGGTTGTAAAATTCCTGGGGCAAGAAACATTCAGGAGGCAGTAGGTGTGCCTTGTACGAGGATGTGCGTCTTGGTTTTGGGGAGCACAGGATGCTAAATGGTCATGCTGGTTTTTTTTGTTTTGTTTTGAGACGGAGTCTCGCTCTTTCGCCCAGGCCGGACTGTAGTGGCGCTATCTCGGCTCACTGCGAGCTCCGCCTCCCGGGTTCACTCCATTCTCCTGCCTCAGCCTCAGGAGCAGCTGGGACTACAGGCACCCGCCACCATGCCCGGCTAATTTTTTTGTATTTTTAGTAGAGACGGGGTTTCACCGTGTTAGCCAGGATGGTCTCGATCTCCTGACCTCGTGATCCGCCCGCCTCGGCCTCCCAAAGTGCTGGGATTACAGGCGTGAGCCACCGCGCCCGGCCCGTGCTGTTGTTTTCAAAGACACGTTTATTCTTGAAGGGAACACAAAAGAGGTATAGGATCTCCTTCTTCTTCCAGGCAGCCCTGCCCTGGTTTCCAGCCACCTTGGGTGTTTAGGCTGGACCCCGAAACCACCCCCATACACAAAGCCTGAGTGTCAAAGCCTCGCTGGTAGCCAGGCTCAGAGAGAATGTGCTAAACCCCACACACCTAACGGCCGTTTTCACATGGCAGCCCCCCACGCTGAGATCCATATACCCAAACATCAGCGAGGCTGCCGTGAGAAGCAGCAGGAGACACACAAGCTACTTACCGGCCAGTTTCCATTACTCTCCCGACCTGTTCCAGATTTCCAAAGCGGCATGCCGGGTAATAGCCACTCTTGCACGGCAAAGGAGAAATGTCCACGATAGTCCAAGAAGCGCCGTCCCTGGCCCTGGGTTTGGTAAGTTGTAAAAGGAACTTGCTGCTAAATAGCCACTTAATCCCCAGAGCCTTTGTGATTTGTAAGTTTCAGGCTTGAGCTTGAGGTTGGTGACAATCTCCACCTGTGGCCATAGAAGAATAAAAGCTTTGGGGGGAATGTGGAGCCCCCGCAGGAAGATGAGTTACCTCCAACAAATAAGTGTTATGGGACATCTGGTGGAAATGCACCCTAGAGATAAGACAGGCCGTCGGTCCACCTGCAGTCAGCCATTGTTAGTTTTATTACCTCCGGTGGATGAGGCCAGGTGAAAAACAGAAGTTCCCCACAGCCTCCAGAGAGAAGAAAAGGAGTGTGTTTCCTGTACATCTGTATTCTCAAACTTCCATGTGGCTAAAAATGGGAAGGGGGTACTTTTTAAAAATATAGGTTCCTGGGCCCCTGGCCTGTTGGGGCTCATGTGGGACTCAAGGGTGTGTGTGTGTGTGTGTGTGTGTGTGTGTGTGTGTGTGTGTGTGTATATTTTTTTTTTTTGAGACGGAGTTTTGCTCTTGTTGCCCAGGCTAGAATTCAATGGCGTGATCTCGGCTCACTGCAACCTCTGCCTCCCAGGTTCAAGCTATTCTCCTGCCTCAGCCTCCCAAGTAGCTAGGATTACAGGCATGTGCCACCACACCCAGCTAATTTTTTTTTTTTTTTTTTTTTTTTTAGTAGAGACAAGGTTTCATCGTGTTGGTCAGGCTGATCTCGAACTCCTCACCTCAGGTGATCCACCTGCCTCAGCCTCCCAAAGTGCTGGGATTACAGGCGTGAGCCACCACTCTCGGCCAAGGGTGTACATTTTTAACAGGGTCCCCAGATGGTTTTGCTGCAGTTGGTCCCCTGACCACACTTTAAGAAACACTGGCTAAGACAGTTCTATAAAAATAAAGAAGAAATCATTGTTCAGCCCAGGATGTGCAAGGGTGAAGGAATAGTATATTCACTCAAATCATCTGAAGTGCATTATCCAGAATAGATTCTGGCTACAGAATCTGAAGAGACATTGCCATAGCTCCCACTTCATTCATTCATTCATTCATTCAACAAGTCTCTCTTGAGCACCAGCTGTATGCCAGGTGCTGTTCTAAGGGCTGAGGATATAGAGAACAAAACAGACCAAAATCCTTGACCTGAGAGAGCCGACTTTCTTATGAAAGAGATCGGCGATCGAGATCAATAAGGACGTAAGTGCATTGCACACCTTGAAGAGTAGGCAGGAAGGTGGCAAGAGGGAATATTGCAGGGAGGGAGGCTGCTGGGAGCAAATGTGACAACTTTAAGTTGGGAGATCAGGGCCAGCCTCACTGAGGAGGTAACATTTGAGCAGAGATGTGAAGGAGATCAACGAGAGCAGTGTGGATCTCTGGGGAAGGCACGCACGGAGACCCTGAAGCCTCAGGGTGCTCCAACATGCAAGGAGGCGGATGGTGCAGGAGTGATCAGATGGGACCTGTGGTCAGAGAAGACCTGAGAACAAGCCTGAGTGTAGAATTTGCCACTCAGCAGATGGTTTTCGAATGGGTGGATCCATTCAGGGATCCTCCACGGTATGCACAGAGAAGTAAAGAGATCCAGCTTCCAGGAAAAGAGCAGAAAAGCAGATATACAGGGAGAAGCAGGCACAGAAACCACAAGGCTCTAAGGGGAGAGGGGTTGGGAGAACAGTGATGCAGTCACTTTGTGCATCTGTTATCAACTGCTGTGTAACCAGTTACTGCACACTGGGCAGCTTATGAGGACAGACACGTATTACCTCGCAGCTTCTGGAGTTCAGAAGTCTGGCCATGGCTGAACTGGGCTCTCTGCTCAGGGACTCACGGGGCAGAAATCAGGTGCTGGCTGAGCTGCATTTCTTCTGTAACTCCAGGTCCTCTTTCGAGCTCATGTGGTTATTGATGGAAATCTGTTCTTTGCAGCTGTAAGACTGAGGCCACTGTTCTCTTGATGGCTGTTTGCCAGGTGCTGCTCTAAGTTCCTGGAGGCTGCCTGCAGTTCCTTGACACATGGGCCTCTCCATCAGCTCTTGGGCTGCCAATCTCCTAGGCAGGGCCCCGGCTCTTTTAAGGACTCACCTGATTAGGTCAGGCCCACCTGGATGCTTTTTTTAAATAAAGAGCTCAAAGTCAACAGTGGTAATGTAAGAATAGAAGCGAAATCCCATCACATTCACAGGTTCTGCATGCACTCAAAGTGGGTACACCAGGAGAGGAAATCTTGGGGGTTTAGAATTCTACCTACTGCCCTTCAGTCCAGCACAATTTCTGGTTTCTGGTACTCGAGTGGCAGGGGCTACCCTTTCTCCCTTGGGCCCCACACCATGCACCCAGCTCCATGTGATAAATGACCATTCTTGCTTCCACAGGCTCTAGTAGATCTCAGCTAGAGAATCCCAAGACTGTGATGGGATGGGAGTCCCAAAGGCACCACCTCAATTTCAGCATGATTTGCCTGTGGTGTGCAGGATCCTTCTCTCCCCAGGAGCGGAGAGAGGGAAGCGATCATGCTGAAATGCTTTTGAAGCTGCCTTTGTGCACCGTGGCGCAGATGACACAGCAGTGCCCTGAACCCTGGCTGCTGCTCCAGCACACTCAGTCTTAATGTATTGACATTGGCAGCCCTTGTATATCTCGTCATGCCAATAAGGTAATTGAAATGGAATTGTCTCCAAGCATCCAATTAATCAGCAAATAAATCATAAACCTGTGGCTGTTCATTCAGGGAGGCAAAGAGGCTTCTCCTGGCTTTCTGACCACCGGAGTTGATTGAGCTCAGACTTTATGCACTTCTAATGAGCTTCAGGAGAAGAGAGGTAAGTCCAGGCAGGTAATGTTTAGAGCGTTACTGAGGCCCCGGGAACTGTGTACAAGGTCCTTCACGTATGAAGGCTCATTCTTCCATCAAAGAGGTTTATGTACTGGATTTTTTTCGTTAAAAAAATCCCCGTGAAGTGAGGATGACGATTCACATTTTACAGGACAGGAAACTGAACCTCAGAGAGGTTAAGCAACTTGCTGAAGGCCACACAGCAAGTAGAGGGCAGAGTCTGAGTTGAAAACTAGACCCGTCTGGTCAAGTGCAATGGCTCATGTCTGTAATCCCAGCACGGTGGGAGGCCAAGGCAGGAGGATTGCTTGGGGCCATGGATTCAAGACCAACCTGGGCAACCTAGTGAAACCTCATCTCTATTAAAAATAAAAATAAAAATTAGTTGGGCATGGTGGTATACACCTGTGGTCCCAGGAGTCCTCAGGAGGCTGAGGTAGGGGGATCACTTGAGCCCAAGAGTTGAGGTTGCAGTGAGCTATGATTGCACCACGGCACTCCAGCATGGGCAACAGAGTGAGACTTTGTCTCAAAACAAAACAAACAAAACACTAAGCCCATCTAGCGTTAAAAGCCATGTTCTTTTTAATCGATGCTGTGCCAGATATGCAGATTTAAGTCACAAATGGTTTCCATTGTCAAGCCAAATTTTAAATCCGGGACTGTGTGAAGTGAGAAGCTATTGGAGTGGATGGCCTCTGGCTGCTACCCCATACCCCAGCTTTATTAGGTGCTGGCATCGGAAGTACAAGCAAGAGACGGGCAGTGTCCTGTGGTGGATTTCCATTCCTGTGGGGGAAAATCCTCCTGTTCGTGTGATAACTTCGCACCTCCTAAAAGCCCTTTGATGCCCAAAACTCCTTCATAAGCTCAAGTGTTTCCTCCCCTTGGCCGGGTGGGGAAATTCTAAGGAACCATTCTCAGGCTAGGCTGATGAAGGGAGGGATGTCATTTTCTCACTTGAGGACGCTTTCAAGACGTTTCACATGACGAGAAGTCTTCACACCACCAACTTCCCCTTTTTTTTTTGTATTGTTTGAAGTTCAAACTGGAGAACTAACTGTGGTAACGGGTCAAGTCAGCCCAGCCAAAGGAATGACGGATTCAAAAAAAGTGGAAAGCTTCGAATTTCCTCACTTAGAATAAAAAAATGTTGATCTGTCTGCCCACGTGCAAACAGAGAGCCTGCGAGGAATTCATCTGCACCCTTCAGGAGGGTTTGTATCTGCTCTGGGATTTCTACAAGCAGAAAGGAGAATTATTTTCGTGATTCAGAGCAATTCTTCAGTGGGAAATGTCACCCTGAATCCTTTTGGCTCTGGTTTATTGGGGCATTTGCTGAGCAGTTGAGAACGGGGGAAAGAAGGAGTCCTTTCCTTTCTAGGAGGCACCTGGATACATCTGCAGTCAACAAGGGACCATCTGCCTTGCAAAGCGGGGTTTTTGTGGATCAGACCCAAGCCGAGTGTGTGCTGGGGCTGTGGCAAATACCCTGCAGCCCCTAGGAGGCAAATTGGTCCCTCCACAGGCAGCTGTGGCTTAGACATCCCTGGAGCTCAGGGAACCAACCGTGGTATGACACGTAAGAGCTCCAGAGACACCGTGCTGTGCGGGGAGCTGCAATCCCAGATGCACAGGCTGTGTTTCTGGGCAGGACGCCTCTAAACCGATGCAGAGAAAACTTGGTGGAGGGAGTGGAATTTGACTTCCAGTCAAATGTCATCCTGACATCCAGTCCCATGCACAAACTATGATGCTTTTTCCTTTAGCACCTTTGGTCCTTGTCTCCTCTTCACTATTATATGTGCCCACTTCTCTTCTCTGGATTATGACAGCTGCCAACTGCTGCCTTGCTAAAAGTCTCGCCCACCCCAATTCCATCCTATCCTCTGCCTCCGCCCCCCCAAAAAAATGAATTACATTGTATGGTTCTCCTTCTTTAAATCCCTCTATAGCTCCTGTCTCCTTGGCGTGGTTTGAGCCCCACAGACCTCTCCCGCTCTGGCCGCCCGCACTCCCATCTCAGGTTTCTACTGCTGTGATTCTGAGCTGCACCTTGGGCCATTCCTGGGATCAAGAGGGTCTCTTGATTTCTTGCTCTTTGTTCATTCTCCTTCCTTTGCCTGGAATTCCTTTAGCCCTCCTTCTTGCCAGCCCCCAAACAGGAAAGATTCCACCTTTGCTGGGCTTTGGGGATTCCAATTACTAACTGTAGGAATAACAGGGCATTTGGAAATTCAGTTTTATCGTTTCCTGGGGAATGACAGACACTTTCCCTCCATGGTGCCTGTGGGGGTGGCAGGTCCTGCCCTCTGTTCACAGACCTGGAGGGGAGTGGGAAGGAGCTCTGTGCTTTGAACATGCTTCTCTGGGGGTGCAGCCTCCAGGCAGCTGGGGCAGGATCATGCCCTCACTCTCTCCCTTGTGCTACCATGGAGGTCCTGTGTGCTGACCAAGCACTTGTCCCAAGTTGCTGGAGCGGGTCGTTTATTTGCTCTGCATCCGAGGCCTGAATATGATTGGTGCTTCACTTTTAAATGCGTGCATGAATAAATGGACTTGTCTTTCTCCCCTGTGACATAATCCAGAAGAGGAACTCTATCTTGACCATCTTTGCCTCCCCAGCACCCAGCACCATGCCTGAAGCACACAGTTGCTCAATGTCGGGCATGAGGATGCTAGAGGAGGGGGCAGCTGGTGGCACAGGTGGCTATGGTTGCCTCAGCTCAGGCAAATCCCATGGGCATGTGGAGACCCAGAGACCTACAGTTTTTTTCTTGGGTTTGTTGGCTTTTAGAGTTCTAACAGTTCCAGCCTCTTCTCTTGGGCCTCCTGGAAGGGAATGTCTGTCAGAATCTCCCATCAGGTCCTGAAATTTGAGAGCACAACTATTTACATATTGAAAAGGTCAGGATAGCGTGTGACAGTTTTACTTTGATTGAACTAGTATCTTTTTATTTTTCTCTTACATGAGGCTGAGCTACTTGCTGAACTGAAAAGGAGAGGGAGGGAGAAGGGGCACTTCCCCCCGGGGTTTCAAGACCTGCTGAGCTTCATAGCCAAGAGGTTCTCACTCCCCACTCAAGTGTCAGCTTTCCAGAATGGCCCCTTGAAGACAAAAACTCTTTCAAGGCATATTAAACAATAGCAAACTCTGATAAAATTCCATTCTGGTGGCATGTTTTATGAGAAACTGATGAGGGGCCCTGAAATGCATCTCAACCTTGATGTTTGAGCCAGAATCCAAATATTCCCTTTCTGTTAACCAATTCAATGTTGCTTCTCTCTTGTGGTTGTTTTTTTTTGGGTTGTTTTTTGTTTTGTTTAGGATTTTCCTTGTGGGAAGCCACATTCACCTTCTTGATACTATGAAATGGCTATACAGAAAAATAGAACCATCCCCAAGCAAAGATTCCTCCCCCTTTGGAATTGTCCCAGTGTGGACAGCACTTCCCTCCAACTTTGGATGAACAGAACAAACGAAAGGAGGAACTGTGAGTGGGGTCCTCTCCAACTGCTATAATGTCAGCTCCAGGAAAGCAGTGACCTTGTCCGTCCTGTTCACTGCCTGTTCCCAGCATCTAGAAGAGGGCCTGGCTCATAGTAGGCACTGAATAAATATTTGTGAAGAAGCTGCTAGATTGCAGGCTTTGTGATGGCAAGGACTCTGCCTAGGTCTGTGTTATTCATGAATGTGTCCCTCCCACTTAAGAGCACAGCAGGCACAAAATAGAAGCTTATTCATTCATTGAGCAACTACCATATGCCAGAGATGACTCAGGCACTGAATAAATACTTGTTGGATTAACTAAGTGCATTCTTGCGTACGTGCTTGAATGAATGAAGGAATGAGCGAATGAAAAAAAAACCAATGAGTCAGTTCATCCGCCAGCAATAACCAATCTCGCCTCTCTGTGCTGCAGTCTTGGGACAATAAGCCTGGAGGTTTCTCTCCCTGTGCTTTTTCTCGCTTGTTGTGATATCCCTGCCTACCAAAACTCCCAAGAAGTGTCAGCTCCAATGATGTTTCTTTGAATCACCCCATCTGGCAAGATGCAAACACTCTTGCTTTTGAATTGCTTTGTCACTTTCTGTCTTAGCTGTTGAGCACAGTTCAAAACCCATTTGCTGAGCCTGTCCTGTGGACAGCCATGGTGGCAGGAGCCAGGGATGTAGAAGTGACCCTGGAGTCACCAGGGTTCAGTGTGTGTCTTGCCTGCCTGGATTGTACAAGCACCCACGGCTCAGAGACGGAGACTTCCTCCTCTCTGTAACTGCACTTGGCACCTGGTAGTGAGTCTGGTCAAACAGATGCTCCTGCACTCACCAGTGAATAGACCCATAAGATGTGCCGCCTTTGAGATCTTTGCTTTGGTGGATTTGAAATATGGGAGGAAGAGCTGAGCTGCACTGTGTGTGGGCCAGAGTGGTGCGTCGCAGGCATGAAGAGGCCAGGAGTAGGGAGAGTTCCATGGGGGTCAGGATCAGAGAGGTCCATAGTAGGTTCAGGTGTGGTGGCTCATGCCTGTAATCCCAGCACTTTGGGAGGCTGAGGTGGGAGGATCACTTGAGGTCAGGAGTTCGAGACCAGCCTGGCCAACATGGTGAAACTGTCTCAACTAAAAATACAAATATTAGCCGGGCGTGGTGACACGTGCCTGTAATCCCAGCTACTCTGGAGGCTGAGGCAGGAGAATCACTTGAACCTGGGAGGCGGAGGTTACAGTGAGCTGAGATCGCGCCACTGCACTCTAGCCTGGGGGACTGAGCGAGACTCTGTCTCAAAAAAAAAAAAAAGTACATACAATGCAGATATTAATTATTCATTAATTGGTCACTGCAACAGTGAGACTGAGGACTTCTTTGATAGAAGCCCCAGTGCTTTCTAAATTGGCTTAAGCAAAAAGAAACAAAATGAACCCTTCATTGGTTCCCAGACATGATGAGTCATATAGGTCATCGCTGGCATTTGGGAGACCCAGCAGTGGCCAGAATCTCTCCCTCTCCTCGGGTCTCAGATCTGTTGTCCCCCAAGTTGCTTTGGTTCCCAGCAGATTGTCTGGTGGGGTCCTCCTCACCCTCCACTACTCCCTGCTGTCTTGAACCACTTTATTTAGCGTTGGCAGTGGTGGGAGGGAGCCGCTTTCCTGACAGCTCCAACAAGAGTCCTGGAGTTGATCTCAGGTCGCTTATGGCCAAGAGATTGGAAAATGCTGATTATCCCAGTGGAGACAGGGGCCCATCCATGGAACAGAGGGGATCAATCTTACCTCAACTGCAGACACCAAGAATGAGGTTTCCTGAAGCAAAACCAAGACTCTGGTACCTGGAAAAGAGGAAAATGCAAGCTGGACGGACAAAAACCACTCTTGGCTACTGTACAGGCTATCAAGAGAAACTAGGAGCCACTCCAATGACAGAACATTGCTTGTTGAGGGGAGACGGTCAAGGCTGGCTTTATCATGGCCATCACCAGTGCCCTGAATGGTTCCTTATGTGTGGGCATCATTAACCTGGCCATTTGCACACATTATTAATAACACTAGCAGCATTAATAATGGCTACAGAGATGCTTTATGTGTTTTCCATGCACTGGCTGAGTATCTTACTCAGTATTATCTTATTTAGTCTTGACTGCAACTCTGTAAGGTAGGAACTATTGGCCCCATTTTACAGAGAAGGGAATCAAGGTCCAGTGAGGTTAGGTGGCCTGTCCAGAATCACATGGCTAATCCCTGATGGTGGTAGTTTTTTTTGTTTTGTTTTTGTTTTTTTGTTTTTTAATTATTTAAGTGTAACAGGCCAGGTGTGATGGCTCACGCCTGTAATCCCAGCAATTTGGGAGGCTGAGGTAGGACAGTCACTTGAGGCTAGGAGTTCAAAACCAGCCTGGGCAACATAGCAAGATCCTGGTACTCTACACAAAATAAAAATAAAAAATTAGCCAGGTATGGTGGCATGTGCCTGTAGTCCCAGCTACTCGGGAGGCTGAGGCAGGAAGATCACTTGAGCCCAGGAGTTCGAGGCTGCAGTGAGCTGTGATTATGACACTGTATTCCAGCCTGGGTAACCCAGTCTCTTTAAAAATAAAAACAATTCTTTAAAAAAGTGTAACATGCATCCAGCAAAGTCCATAGTTCATAAGTAAATAACTAGAAGGATTTTCACAGGGACCAAACTCAAGCAAGCAGCACTGACATCAAGCAAAAGAGGAATATCACCAGCACCCGGAGGCACCTGTGACCCCTCCAAGTCACTACCTGTCCCCAAGGTCATCACTGCCCTGGCTCCTTGCAGCAGTGATCCTGCAGCTGACCCAGAACCGCCTGAGCCTGGAGCTACCCATGGGCAGTGGTAACTTACTACAGATAGACCTTGAAGTTCAAGTGGCAGGAGATGATATAGATGAAAGGAAGTCTTGCTAGGACCATTGAATCGCCTTATGACCTAACCAAAAGGTCTGGCCAAAAATCCAGACAGATCCTGATCTGGACAGTGCCCTGCAGGCCAGCACCCAGCACCATCCCAGTGCCCTGGACCTGGGAGTATACAGCGCCAAGACCGATCTGCAGCCTGGCAATGTGAATGGGGCGTTTATCATTAAAAGAAAAAAAGGAAAAAAAAAAAAAAAAGGAAAATCACATGCTTTCTTTAACAAAAGGGCTTCTCTGCAACTGTTTTTAAATGGTACGCAGCTCAAAATAGATAGGAATGATAGTACAAGAAGGTAAATAAAGAATCCCCTGGCACAATCGTGGGCCTTTTTTCTCTGCTGGTTGCAAAGCCAAGAGTAATTAGCACCGTGAGAATGGGGGGAAGTGATTGCTGCTCCTACAACACTCTAATTAACAGTTACTAATAGTCATAATAAAACTGAAAGGAGGCTTTTTAAATCTCGCCATTGAGTGAGTGCTTGGTATGGCAGAGTGCTCAGCATTGGGGACCCACTGCTTCTCGGGGCTATACACTTGGCATGGGTTCATTTCTCTAATGTTGTTAGGTTGGTTGGGGGAAAACAGTGGTTAAATATGGTGGAAGAGTGGGGAAGAGATCTTAATCATCACTAGAATTATTACCGCTAATAAGATCAACGACTGATCCATCCGGAGCTTCGTTTAGACAAATGCAGTCTTAGACACTGTTTCCTTTAACCCTCAGGATAAATATTTGGCTGATGTTACTATCGTCTTGATTTGGCACTGCTATATTTTCTGTTGGGGACAGTTTTCATTTGTCACGAGTGGGCTTTCAAAAGACTGTTCTGGGCGAACCGTTCTGCTGGGCACTTGGCATCCCCGGGGTAAATTGGTGGTCTCTTGCTCTCATGGAATTTATGACTCAGCAGAAATAAAATATAACAGAAGCTGGCTTTGAAAGAAAAATCACATTCATTGTGCAATATGATTTATCATGAACTTTAACTGGTTGGGTTTTTAAATGCCATTTATGTCCACCTTAAATTAAGTTATCCCAGTTCAAAATCACCCACAGCTTTCGTGATGGGCATGTGTTCTGTGAATGCAGTCACTTTGTGACCCATTAGTGACACTCCAGCTTTACAGTCACTAAGGATAGATGGTGTTCTCTTGATTCCCCTACCAAGTTCGTCATCTTTCCTCAAAAATGCAGGTGGAGTTTCTGGAGTGGCGAAGACCACAGAGCCATGTATTTACTTATTTAACATGTTACTGAGTGGCCTCTTCTCCACCACTCAATAACAAGAGCAAGTATTTTGGAAGGATTAAAAGTGCGGAGGACTCAGTCTCTGCTGCAGGTTTCTTGAGGGAGAGGTCACTGGCAGACAATTACTTCAAACACCGAGAAACAGACAACATGGCTAGCACCAAGTCTCATAGGAGTTCAGGGCAAACTTAGACTTTCCTGCAGGCCAGATGATCCGGGAAGGCTTCTCAGAGGAAGTGGCACTGGAAGTATCCAGAGGCCATTGACAAGCAGAGGGGAGGCATTCCAGGGAGAAGCTGGAGTTGGGGAGCTGGGGTCAGGGAGGGAGGGTGGAGAGGGAGATGGTGAGGAAAGCAGCTCTTGCAGGTCCTTGAGTGTCAAAATATGGGGTGTGGGTTTTAGTCAGTGGAAAGTGGGGTGCCATGAGTCTCTGTACCAGAACAAGGTCAAAGTAGTCGTCTAGAGATGTCACTGCTGTAAATGATTTCCTTTTCAGTTATTTTATATGTTGGTGGCAAAATACATATAACATACAATTTACCCTTTTAATCATTTTTAAGTCTACAGTCCAGTAGCTTTCAATAGAGTATTGTACAACCATTACCACTATCTACTTCTCATCTTCCCAAATGAAAACTGTATCCATTAAACAGTAACTCCCCATCCCTTGTCCCCCCAGCCTCTGGTAGTTTCTATTCTACCTTCTGGCTCTATGAGCTTGCCTATTCTAAGTACCCCGTATAAGCAGAATCATATAGTATCTTGTATCTGACTTCTTTCACGTAACATATTGTCCTCAAGATTCATCAGTGCGGTAGCATGTTCAGAGTTACCTTTCTTTCCTTTTGAAGACTGAATAATATTCCATTGTGGTGTGTATGTGTATGTAGATAGTTAGATGGATACATAGATAGATAGATATCACATTTTTATTTTTATTTTATTTATTTATTTATTTATTTTTGAGACAGGGTTTATCTCCCATTGCCCAGGCTGGAGTGCAGTGACACGCTTTCAGCTCACTACAACTTCCACCTCCCAGGCTCAAATGATCCTCCTTCCTCAGCCTCCCAAATAACTGGGACTACAGGCATGCACCACCATGCCTGCCTAGTTTTTCTATTTTCAATAGAGACGGGGTTTCACCATGTTGGCCAGCAGGCTGGTCTTGAACTTCTGACCTCAAGTGATCCACCCATCTGGGCCTCCCAAAGTGCAGGGATTATAGGCGCAAGCCACTGCACCTGGCCCGTATCACATTTTAAAATCCATTCATCCATCAATAAGCATTTGCGTAGTTTCCACCTTTTGGCTGTTGTGAATAATGCTGTTATGAACATTAAATACAAGTATCAGTTTGAGTCCCTGTTTTCAATTCTTTTGGTTATATACTCAGGAGTGGAACTGCTGGGTCACATGATAATTCTATATTTAACTTTTTGAGAAATTTTCACAGTGTTTTCCACAGCGGCTGCACCATTGCACATTCTCACCAGCAATGCATAAGGGTTCTGATGTCACTACATCCCCGCCAACACCGGTTGCCACCCTAATGGACATGAAGTGGTATTCGGCTTATATTTGCTCCAGTGACAACATTTCTGTTTTGAGAATTGTTCTCTAGGTTTCCAGCTTGATCATTTCCCTGATTTCCAAACATTTCAACTTTTAGTCTTTTCCCCTTGTGAATAGAGTGGTGTTGAGATGACCCAGGGATCACCTTTGAGGAGCTAAGCTTTCTGGACATCAAGCTCTGGCTTGGAAAACTGGCCCATCCTTGGCTATCTCTTTCCTGTGAGTTGGATGGCAGCTTATCAAATTCTACCAGAATTCTATCAGAAAAGCAGATTTCTGCAGATTCTGCTAGATTTTCTCCCAGAAAAAACATCTTTTAATAAAAATGAATCTTCATGAGCCTTCAAGGACACATCAGCAAAAAGCCCACTTCTCTCATCTTTACTGGCTGTCTTTAGCTCACAGGAATGCAAGGAACTTAGCTCATTCATTGGCGTTTCCTCTGGGGATATAGAGTGGGCATCATCGCATGGCTGGGAGTTCATGACCTGGGTTAAGCCACTCACTAGTTTTGTGATTTGGGGCAAGCTGACCTTCTTCTGCTGGGAGGAAGGGAGTTGTACACTTCTTTTTTCTATTATCTCTTTGTGCCTCCGTCGTCTCATCCGTGAAATGGGGATAATGATTGAGCCTCCTTGTAGAGTTGTTGAGAAGGTTCAATGAGGCAATGCGTGTAAGTCATTTGTAACAGTCACTGGCAAACAGCAAATGTCTCAAAGCTTTTCACCTACATGAGTTTTGTTGAGGTTGGTGTCTCTTGGTCTCAATCTCTTCTAAGAAATGGAGCTAATAATAGTTGATGTTACAAAAGCCCTGTGCTGAAGACTAAATGAGGCAATGTATGTGAAGCTCTTGGTGTAGATCTAGGACATAGCAATTGTTCAATAAGCATCAGTCATGTTGTCACTACCAAGAGTGCTGATGCCAACTTCCAGTGCCCCTGGATAGGAAAGTACTGACCTGACCCCTTACTTCAAAGGGCTGTGGTTATATCCCAATTCAGTTAAGTGAGCCACGAATTTGAGAAGAAAGTTTTGCAAACATCAGAATGGTCTCCTAAACTCTGTAAGAAAAAGACCACAAAGTAATCAAAAGGTACATGTTCTAGTCTCTGCTCTGACTCTAATTTGCTGTTCTGCCACAGGCAAGTCACTCTAGTCTCTGGGCTTCTGTTTCCTGCTATTAAAGACCCTATCAAGGGTGATAAATAAACGTGGTCCACATGCTATTGCTTCCCGCAGCAGACATTACTAATTGATCCCAGAACTCACATCCACTGAGACCTGTTTCAGCCTCAGACTCCTTCTCAACACAGTGCTATGGGCAGCAACTAGCAATCAACTGCAATTGACTAGGGAGTTGAAACTAATTTGATGTTCCAGGTGGAAATCTCAATTCTGTTACAAGCCTTTCTCCCATACTACCATAAACACAGGCAAATAGGCTAAGATTTCTTTTTAAAATTCTGCATCAGTTATAGCCACCGAATGTTTTTACTAGGCCAGGTGCTGAGAACACCCTCAATGGAGCAAAAAGCATTCTTAAGCCACTCTTAAACCTCCTTCAGGAGAGGGCTTCAGTTCCACACAAGGAGGCAAATGAGAATCAAGGAATTAGTTGCATGGGGAAGCAACAGACACATCAAAAGAGAACCATGATGCAGCTTGCTCCTCTGGCTCGGCCTGTGGTTACAGGAGGAAGGCAGGCTACAGGGCAGAGGAGTATTCCCAGTAGGTTGGTTTTTCTGCACAGGGGCCCTTCTGTCATGGTGCTCAGGACCTGTGCGTCCTCACACAGGCACCAGGCCTCCCATTCAGATTGAAAGCTAACAGACTTGCCCAGTCCTCTCCATTTCCTGCCTCTCCTGGGAGCCATTCTCCTTGGCCCATCCTAAGGGGTCTTGGGAGTCGTATCACCTCTCTGGGCCTCAGTTTCCTCATTTGTCAAGCAGTGAGAGTAATAATGCCTCCTTCTTCATGCCTACCTTCCTCATGGGCCATTGTAAGGACCCAAATGAGGTCATAGTTCTGTATCTTGTTTTTGGTTGGTGGTTACACAAATCTATACATGGGGTAAAATGACATAGAACAAAGACATACCCATGACCAAAAAAAAGGTGGGGGGTGCATGCAAAAACCAGTGACATCTGAGATACTCCACCAATGTCACTTTCTTGGTTTTGATACTGTGGTAATGTAAGATGCGGCCATTGTGAGAAGCTGGGTAACGGGCACAGGGTACCTCTCTGGGCTATTTTGGCAACTTCATGTGAACATATTATTTCATAATGAAAGTTTTTTTAAAAAAAATGAGAGCCTTGAAAATGCATCAGACAATTTTGAGACAGTATTCATGGGTGCGGCCACAGACATGGACTCCTCTGCCTCATTCCCAAGAATTCAGGATATCAATAAAGGAGAGCAGCCACGGCTCCTGAATTTCCACAGCACTGTGGGCTGAATAGGTCACCCCATCCTGCAAGCCAATTTTTTACCTGACTTAACGGAAACGAAGTTTTACGTGCTCCCTATTCCAGGTACGAACACTGAGGCTTCAGTCAGCAGGAAAATATGCCTAGGAGTGCTCATAACTTGCCATCTTTTTTCTTTCAAATTCATAATCTGGGATGCTCATTAGCTTTCTGTTTCAGAAATAATTTCTTCTTTGATTTTTGTACATGACAAGTTTCTTTTCTAAAAAAAAAAAAAAGACCTTTAAAACCCATTTGTCTTCCATTTTCTCTACATAGCCTGAGGACCTGAAAGAACTGATTAATTCCTAGACTTGTTAATTACTCTTGCATGGAAGCAAACCTCTAAACTCTAATCTCCTGAAGATGGCTCACATTTGAGCCCTGTGCTGCTAGTCAGGCGGTAGGCAGGAGTGTCTATGCTTTAGAAAACACATGATTTCAGGGATCAGTTTGGGAGGGTTCTCCCATCATGAGGCTATCACCAGAAATACGCAACAGATTCTGCTGGGTGAGTGTCAATGGCCAGATCCAGTGTAACCCCTGATGTTCCATTTGTGCTCCCACCTACAAGTGAGCAAGGGCTGATCACTGTAGGGCTCAGAGTGGGAGATGGAGAATGGTTCCCTTGTTACGTGGCGACGTCATTTATAACATGACCTAGACTCTGGGCCTCCTTCCTTTGGAGAGGAGATGTGAAGCTTTGAGTATGTTCTTGTCTGTTTTGATTTTTTTAAAAAGCTTTATTGCCTAGGGGAAATCATAAATCATACATGCTCATTTTATGTTCACCCTAAATTCCACCACCTAAGGATGATCGCCATTAACACTTTGGTGAGCTTCCCCTAGATCTTTCCAGGCCTTTAATTACATGTGGATGTTATGTATACATGTGTACTTAATACGTACATGTGAATTGAATGTGTACTTGCATGCTGTTCTGTAACCTGCTTTTTCATTCACGTTGTTAGAGGCAAGACAGTTACCTTCCTTGTCATTGAATTCTACCCTTCTTTCATCACCATCTAACTTGTAGCTAACATATCTGTAGCACTTACTCAGCGCTAGGCATTATCCACAGAACTTCTCATAGCTTACCTCGTTAAAGCCTCATAACACCCTGACAAGGTAGGCACTATGACTGTCCCTGTTTTATTGCAGAGAATACTAAGACACAGTAAGACCTTGGGTAGGACCTTGGTAAGAGACTTGCCCAAGGTCATACCTCCAGGGCTTGGACTTGAATCAGGCATCCTGGCACTAAGGTCTTTGCTCTTAACTGCTGGGCTACAACTGGTGTTCAACCCTGAGTCCAGGGGTTGCTGAGCTCCTCTGGCTATGGAATGGCAAATGCTTGTCACAGGGAGCACCGTTTCTCCTTCATGTTTCCAAAACAGGCATCACTAGTGATCACAGCACCTTTTCCCAACAGTCCTAGACTGGCATAGGATCCTTCCCTATAGATATGCCATCACAGGCAGCCACTGCTGAGCCTTTGGGATGGTGTCTCAGTCTGTTTTGTATTGCTATAAAGGAATATGTGAGGCTAGGTAATTTAAGAAGAAAAAAAGTTTTATTTGGCTCACCCTTCTGCGTAATGTACAAGAAGCATGGTGCCAGCGCTTGCTTCTGGTGAGGGCCTCGGGCTGCTTCCACTCATGGCAGAAGGTGAAAGGGAGCTGGTGTGTGCAAAGATCACATGGTGAGAAAGGAAGCAAGAGAGAGAGGTGAGGTGTCAGGCTCGTTTTAACAACCAGCTTTTGTGGGAACTAACAGAGTGAGAATTAATCTATTCATGAAGAATCTGCCCCTATGACCCAAACATCTTCCATTAGGCCCACCTCTAATATTAGGGATCCAACTTTAACATGAGGTTCAGAAGGGACAAGTATTCAAACCATAGCAGACGAGTCTGTGAGATGATGCTGATATGCCTTCCCTGATCCATCTAATGCCGTTCTCTCCTTCTGCGCATAAGGAAACAGGCCCCAAGAGGGAACTGACTTGTCTAAGTGAAGGGCAGAGCTGTCTTCATCCATTTGTGCTACAAAACAAAATACCTGAGACTGGGCAATTTAGAAAACATGGAAATTTATCTCTCATAGCTCTGGAGGCTGGGAAGTCCAAGATCAAGACACCAGCAGATTCAACGTCTGGTGAGGCTGCTCTCTACTTCCAAGATAGCGCCTTCTTGCTATGTCCTCACATGGTGGAAGGACAAAAAGAGCCTAGTCAGTTCCCTGGAGCCCTTTCATAAGGGTACCAATCCCATTCATGAGGGCAGACCCCTCATGACTGAATCACTTCCTAAAGGCCTACTCTTAATACTATCACATTGGCAATTAAGTTTCAACATAGGAATTTGGTGGGGAGGGGGGACACATTCAGACCATAGCAAGAGCCAAAACCAGCGCTTAGTTTTATTAATCACAAAGCCCATCCTTTTTCCACCACCACACCACTGTCTGTTCAAATCTAACAAAACAAACACCAGCTACCATTGGAGACACACTCTGATCAGTTTCAGTGCAGCCCAGCTGTGCATTTGGACCACTCAGAGGTAACCAGAGAGCTTGGCATTGAGGATGGACCACAAAGGATCATTTTATCTCAATGCACTTTGTAGAAGATGTTGCCAAATACTGAAGAGTGCATTGGTGACATCAGTGCTTTTAATTTATACAGTGGTCACAGCTCAGGGGTCAGCAAATCGTGGTTGAGGTCAATTGCCGACTGTTTACTGAGAGGATCCATCATTGGAGGGCACTGAGGGAGCTCCAGGAAGCATGCCTTCATGCAACAAGCATGCATTGAGCACCTCCTGTTTATTTTTCAAATTTATTATTATTTTTAAATTTATTTTTCTTTCAATAGGTTTTTAGGAAGCAGGCGGTATTTGGTTATATAAATAAGTTCTTTAGTGAGCACCTCCTGTTTATGAGGAGAAACTAGGTTTACAAATGAGACAGTGACAAATGCCACAAGGTGACACTGGTGGGGTTTTATCTGGGGAGGATGCTTCTTTCCATTCCCAGTTTGGTTTCAACTGAGAATTTAAAACATGAGAGAGGCTGGGTGCATTGGGCTCACACCTATAATCCCAACACTTTGGGAGGCTGAGGCTTGCATATTGCTTGAGCCCAGGAGTTTGAGACCAGCATGGGCAACATAGTGAGACCCCACCTCTAATTATTTTTTTTACTTAAAATTAAAAAAAAATAAAATAAAATAAAACACAGGAGAAAAATGGAGATCACAATCATTACCAATTGAACTGAATGGAAACAAACTTAGTTTGGGGCCAATTCTTCACCCCAGGGGCAGGCAGAGCTGAAGGACTGCAGGCCCCTAGCCCTCCACCCATAGAGGCTACATCTTTCCCTGCACTCACCTCTAGGGAGGGAACACACTAGAATGCATATGCCCAGTGGGCAAGCAGGCCTGTTTCCTTCTGCAGCTCTGGAGGCTGCGAAGTCCAAGATGAAGACTCCAGCAGATTCAGTGTCTGGTGAGGCTGTTCTCTGCTTCCAAGATAGCGTCTTCTTGCTGTGTCCTCCTCCTCCTTCTCCTGAGACAGGAGTGAGTGAAGGGGAAGAGGGTGCCGCAAATGTGGGTGACCAGAGCTTCCTCTATGGGACACTTGGCTAGGACTTGGAGGTTCTTTCCCTAACCAGCCTGTGACCAATCGACGTAGGCTGTGTACATTTCAGAGAGGGAGATCCATGTGGGCTCCAGCCACGGGGAAGAGTTCTTGGCAGAGACCCCCTGATCTGAGTGCTAAGAGTTGGGTGGGTTGGGGTGGACAGCTGCAGGGCCCACCCTGGGCTTTCTGCCCAGGGTGCTTTGGGAGAAAGACAATGATTTATGTGGGATACAGTGGGGAGGCCAGTGGAGGGATTTTGTTGCACATAATCAGATATAAAACACAGCCTTTAAACTTTGTGCATTGAATAGGTCTACAGAACTCAAATCCATGGGCCGGATGTGGTGGCTCACACCTGTAATCCCAGCACTTTGGGAGGCTGAGGCAGGTGGATCCCCTGAGGTCAGGAGTTCAAGACCAGCCTGGCCAACATGAAGAAATCCTGTCTCTACTAAAAAGACAAAAATTAGCCAGGCATGGTGGTGGGCGCCTGTAACCCCAGCTACTTGGGAGGCTGAGGCAAGAGGATCGCTTGAACTTGAGAAGTAGAGGTTGCAGTGAGCCAAGATCACGCCACCACACTCCAGCCTGGGTGAAAGAGGGAGATTCGGTCTAAAATTTAAAAAAATTCAAATTCATTAATCCAGATTTTTTTATAGTCACGTTGTTGGATGATGTTTGTGGCTGAGGTTCATGCTTCCTAACATGGGAAAATGTGTTCTCATGCAAGGAGAGGGAGAGAAAAGTGTGCTGAGAGGGAAGGGAATGGGCTTTGGAGCCTGGTAGATGCTCACTGGAATCCTAGCTCCACCACCTGCCAGCTGTGTGACCTTATTCAGGTGACTTAACCTTGCTGAACCTCTGCCTTTCCCCCACTTACAAAATGAGAACAAAGACATGGATTTTCCGGATTGAAAAAATTAAGTGAAACAAGTCTCGCATGACCGGGCCCAGTGGCTCACATCTATAATCCCAGCACTGTGAGCGGCCAAGGCGGGAGGATCGCTTGAGCCCAGGAGTTTGAGACCACCCTGGGCAACATGGAGAAACCCCATCTCTACTAAAAATGCAAAAAAAAAAAAAAAAATAGCCAGGTGTGGTGGCGTGTGCCCACAGTTCCAGCTACTCAGGAGGCTGAGGTGGGAAAATTGCTTGAGCCCAGGAGACGGAGGTTGCAGTGAGCCAAGACTGTGCAACTGCACTCCAGCCCAGGCAACAGAGTAAGACCCTGTCTCAAAAACAAATGAACAAAAAACAGGCCTTGCAAGGTACTATTGCCATGCTTGTCCCTAAATTCCCTTTCACCTGTCTCCCTGCCCTTTGCTGCCCCTGACCCCACTCCACCCCAGAGGATTTTTATATGAGGTACAGTCCTAACTCTGGTGGGGAAATGTCTATGAAAGCTTTACTGTAAAAAATATATAAATCTTAAAAGTCAACCTATATGTCGTGTGGTTGTAGATTTTTTTTAAAGGAAGGAGGAGAACAGCGCTCCTGGGAAGTTACGATCTCCAGAAGCAACTAACATTCATTACAAGGAAGGTCTCAGCGCTGATTCCCACAAGTGGCAGAGAAGAAAATGAGATGCAGGCTCTGGATTTGCATAATCGCTGACTGTTTCCTGCTCATTTGCCACTTTGCAGGGGTTCAGTGTGGAGGGCAGCCCCTTCCTGGCCTGGACACCCTCTGTGCCCAGGGCTCCACGGGGTCCCTCTTGGAATGGTGCTTTAATGATCACTCAGATGGCATTTAGCCTCCAATTAAGAGCCGGGAAGAAAAGCACTGGCCAAGTGGAGTGAACATTCCGGGGAATTCACCCACTTAGGAGAAACCTGGAGAATTAGCAGGCACACAAAGCCACCTCTTGACTGGAAGCAGATGCCTTGAAGTCTCCCAGACGCCCCACAGGCTGCAAAGGAAGTTGGCCACAGAGCTGACCTGTGTCTAGAATGGTACCAAGGACTCTGCACAAACTTGAGAGGCCCTGTCCACTGCAGGGGAGGAGAAGAGGCATGGAGGGAAGTCAGCCTCTGCAGACACGGTACTTCCTGCCTTCTGCTAGTTGCCATGGCTTTGTTCCTCATAACAAGCCCATCACAAGCCCTGACAAAGCTCATGGTGTGGCTCAGTGATAGAAACCAGCTGGCCCAGGTATTTCTGACACCAGAGCCATGGTCTTCAGCATCTGAGCGGACATCCTGCTCTCAGCAGAGCCCACTGGAGGCTCTTCCTCATCAATTAAGCCTGTCTGTTCATCCTCCATCTTTGACTTGCTCTCGATTTCCTTCCATCTAATGGATTCCTTACTCTGAGACAAGCACGCCCCGGCAAGAGGTCTGGAAAGCCAGCTCTAGTCTTCTGTCAGCCCCCCTGCAAAAATGGCATTTGTCTGATACCGGGTGTCCCTGCAAATGTGATTGTCACTCCAGCACATCTCTGCGGATGAGCAGGAGGTGGAAGTGGCCATTACTGGTGCCACTGACAAAGTGTCAAACCAGGATCTTGCCCCATAAGTGCCTTCCTTATCAATTGATTTCTCATTGAAATATCCTGCAGTAAAATTCAGTAGTGGGTGCACCGTGGAAATAGAGCCTGTTTCATTGGATGTAGCACTGTTTATAAGGCAGCCTCGGACACCACTAGGTTCTGAAATGAAACCAGAGCAGCCTAACTTCATCTCTTCAACTCCCCAGGTCTGGGCATTGTGAATATACCAGGCATTGTGAATATAAAGAAGGGAACTTGTAGGTTTTGAATGTCTTCTTACTAAAGAGTTTGTTGAAAGAAGAACAATTAATCTCTTTGTCTTAACTGGCTTGGCCACATTTCAGTGCTGGAAAGAGGAGAAAAAAAAGCAACAGAACAAAACCTTTTGTATTTCTGCCAGCAGAAGGTAACGGAGAGGCTCGTCATTTTGTGGACATTTTTGATTAAGTGTCCCTTTACCTTTTAATTTGTGCATTCGGGTTTCAGATCTTCTGCGGCAAGAGGGAGAAATTGTTGCACATTGTCACACCTCATTTGTCTGCCACAGGGTTGTGAAACTTCAGCATCCAAGCTCAGAAGTTTGCAGAGAAAGGATTTCAAGGCCAGTGACTCTGCTCTGGATGACTTACAACTTAAACATCACCTAGCCTTGTTCTTCTGCTCCCAAGTGTCCACAGGAAATTAATAGTTACAATATATGGTTTTTTTCAGTGTTCACAAAGTGTACTCTGGCACTATGTGGGACAAAGAATTATGCATCAGCTCAGCCCATAGTTCTCAACACCTGCCTGCTCCTGCTTTCTCTTTAGTATCTCATTTCTGAGCAATGGCTGAAGAAAGGCAGCTGGCTACTGAAACCGGAAGGAAAGATTGGAATGTACTGGAAAGAACAAAGGAATTACAATCTAAGGACTGGGTTGGTTCAAGTCCCAGCTCTTCCACATACTAGCTCTGTGACCTTGGGCGATTTAGTCAACCCTTCTGAGCTTTAGTTTCCTCATCAGTAAAATGGCAACAGTAGCAACCACCTCCTAGAGTTTTATAGGGAAAAACAGATACAATTTATGGAGAGTGTGTAGTGAAGTACATTAGACACTGTTGGTACTTTTATGATATGGAGGAGAGTCCAGGAATCAAAACTGCTGCTTTTTAGGAAAACTATTTGGCTAAAATCAATAGTTTGTCGCAGTAGTCCCCTGGCACTGTGATGTCATGTGGTGGGGAATCAAGATCTCTCCCATGGGCTCAAGGATCTCTTCTGATGCCTTCTCATGGGAGCACCTTCTACATCTTGCGTATGGATTAAGAATTCATTTTCCTGATTGTCCAGTCTAATTGTTTATAGAACCTGTCGCCACTATTTGCTTTCTGTTTAAGAAGACTGAAGGAAGAGAAGGGAGGGAGGAAAGAGAGAGGGAGGAATACGTTTTGGTTAACAGTGACCCCATTGCATTGACTGGGATGTGTGGCAGGCTGAATTCCAAGTCCACACACCCTGGAATGGCATTTTGCATCCATGCTGTTGCCACAGCCACAACACAGGTAGATGGAATGGACTTCACTGCCTCTTGACTTTGTTTGTTTGTTTGTTTGTTTGTTTCTTTGTTTTGTTTTGTTTTTTCTCTCTTTCCTTCCCTCCTTCCTCCCTTCCTCCCTCCCTCCCTCCATTCCTTCCTTCCTTGACAGGCTCTTGCTTTGTCACCCAGGCTAGAGTGTAATGGTGCCATTATACCTCACTGCAGCCTCAACCTCCTGGGCTCAAGCGATCCTCCCACCTCAGCCTCCTGAACAGCTGAGACTACAGGCACACAGCACCACACCCAACTAATATTTATTTATTTATTTATTTTTAGAGTTGGGGTCTTGCCGTGTTGCCCAGGCTGGTCTCAACCTTCTGAGCTCAAGTGATGCTTCTACCTCAGCCTCTGTAGTAGCTGGGATTACAGGCATGTGGCATCAGGACCAGCTAATTTTTTAATTTTTTTTTTTAAGAGATGAGAGTTTCACTATGTTGCCCAGGCAGGTCTTTAACTCCTGGGCTTAAGCAATCCTCCCACCTTGGCCCCCCAAAATGCTGGGATTACAGGCATGAGCCACCACAATGCCCTCTCTTGACTTTAGCTTTGTGACTTGCCTTGGCCAATGCGATACTAGCTGATGTGAAGCAGGCAGCAGCTTGGATGAGCTTGGGGTGTTGAATGTGCTTTTTGACCTCTCTGCTCTCCCAATGCTTGTGCCTCCATTCTTGGGATGGGTTGGGAAGCAGTGAGAGCGATTAGAACCTCTGGGGAGATGGGGATGCTGAGGGCCTGTTTTGCCTTTCAGATGATGAAAAGATCTGGCTTTGCATGGGTTACTCTTCTGGGTCTGAAAATCTTTCTTGAGCTGGGTCATTTGAATCCAGAAAAAAAAAAATGAAAGAGAAAGCATGAAAGTAAGAGAGCTGGAGAAAGAGGAGAGAGAGAGGAAGAGAGAGGCAGACTTTATTCCACCAGTTCACCTGGACCAGGAATTAGTCCTAAGCTAACCTAGGCTACCCTGGACAATGAAGGGGATTTTAAGAAGGGAGGGAGGATTCTCTTGGAGATTAACTTTGGGCTTTGGCCTAGTTGAGTCTTGTTAGACTTTAAATAAAAATCCGTGGGGGAGGGGCACACACAGGGCAGCCACGGCAGGAGCTCGCGTTCCTATCTCAGCCTGGCTGTGCCAAAGCCTGACATTTCTTGTTCTGATAATTGATGTGGCCAAGTTGAAGCTTGTCACCGTGAGAGCATCGCACCGTGGCTTTGGTAGTGCCGTGGCTATGTGAAGAGTGAGAAAAATCAATTTCCACTGTCCACGGAAGGTTGTTTGATTTATTACTGTTGGAAGAAGAAATTCTTTATCTCCCACCCCCTGTTGGAGAGCACTGTTTTACAGTCTGCTGTTAGAGAGGCTCTATAAAAGCAGCTATATTTGTGCAAATTTTGGTATTTTGATAACCTTCCTTGACTATTCAGAGGACATTGAACATTCCCAATTTTTATAACCCTCATTTGTTTTTGATTAAGCAATTATAGGCACTAAAAGACAGTCTGCAAGAGAGTGTGGCCAGCGTACCTGCAGGATTATTTCATGCCATAGGAAGCATCAGACGGCTTTAATATTTCATGACCACTGGCAGGAGGAAGGAGGGGTTTGCTAGGAAAGAGCAGAGGATGCGATCTGGAGTCAGACGGGGATTGGGATCCCAACTGCCATTGGAGAACAGGTCGGTGTCCATGAGCCTCAGTTTCCTTATCTGAACAATGAGTATGTGTAGCAGACAATACCGTCCAGATCCTCTTAGATCCCTTCAAGCCTTTTCTTGTGCACCACGCTTGCCTGCCTTGGTGTGCTTCTGATTTCAGCATCCTGCATTGTGGCTCCTCTTCCAGGACTCTCCCTTTGCCTCCCGGCCTCCGAGAACTTAAGTACCTGGGAATTAATGTCCCCTCAGGGCAGCCCCTCCTCCCGTGACTGACCCACCTGTGAGTTTGAAAGCAGCGCTCCCTTGCCTCACCTCAGGACACACCCCGAGGTGTAACTTACATTCCAGGTGGGTGTAACTTACACTCCAAGTTGGTTCAGGCTGAGGTTCCCCCAGGCACAACTTTGCCTGAAACCAACCAATGCTCGCCTGGCTTCCCTTCCTTCCCCAACCCTCTTCCCACCCCCATTACTGGAAGACTTCTTTAATACATCACTTGGGCCCAAATCCTCGTCTCAGGCTCTGCTTCTGAGAAACGCCCCCAAGATAGTAGACTGGTGCTCCTTGCCAATGTTTTTACAAATTGTTTCATTAACTTTTATTCAGCACTTCAATGTGCCAGGCGTGGAATTAAATGGTTGAAGTGCGTTATCTCTTTTAAGGTTGTGATGATAAAATAAGGTCTAAGGAGGTACTTTGCACAGTGACAAACACATAGCAGCAACTCGGCACTCGCTGGCCCAGTTTGAACATGATTGGGCTGCAATGTGGTGAGAGGACTCAGGGCAATCCAGCAGCCTCCTCTCTCTCTCCTTCGTCCCCTCCTGCCCCTTCCAAATTTTTCTCCACACAGCAGCCAGAGTAGTCTTTTAAAACATATCAATCCAATATGTAAGACCCTCTGGTGGCTACTTGATTGCACATAGATATAAAATTCAGGCCAGGTGTGGTAGCTTATGCCTGTAATCCCAGCATTTTGGGAGGCCAAAGTGGGAGGATTGCTTGAGCCTAGGAGTTTGAGCCCAGCCTGGACAACATAGCAAGACCTCGTCTCTACAAATAAAATAAAACCCAAACTTCCTAACAATGGGGCTTAGCAAACTTTTTTCTATAGAGGGCCAGATAGTAAATACATTACACTTTGTGGACCTTACAGTCTTTGTAGCAGTTGAAGACCTCTGCCCTTCTAGCACTGAGGCAGCCATAGACAATATGAAAACAAATGGACGTGGCTGTTTTCCAATAAAACTTTATTCATAAAGACAGGCAGCGGGCCAGATTTGGCCCACAGACAGTAATTCGGTGAACACTGGTCTACAAAACAACTGAATGGGGAGGACCCTGCCTCCCTCACCAGCCACCAGTCTCATTCTGACCCACTCCTCTCCCCAGTCATTTGCTCCTGCCGCACTGGCTGGAGAATCCCAGCATTTTCCTGCAGCAGGCTAGGTCTGTGCCTACCGTTCCCTCTGTCTGGGTCCAGGAATCTCTTCCTGGAGCCCCCTGCCTTGCTGGCTCCTGCTCATCACTCAAGTGTCAGTTCAAATGCCAAATCCTGCCTCTTCAAAGAGGCATTCAAGAGCCTGCAGATCTACTATGTCTCCTCCCCCAAGCCCCTCTGTTCTCTATCACCTCAGTCATTAATTTATTCCCCTAGTCACCTGTTTGGGTTCTGCCCACCCTTTTGGAAAACAAGCTTCAACACTGATTCAGCATTGATCAGCAGCATCCTCAGCCCGTAGCACAGGGCCCAGCACCTAGCAGGTGCACAATGAGTGTTTGTTGATTAAATGGTCTCTGGGGATCCTCCCGCCCTACTGCCCCCAACCACTGTCTTCTGTAAGAAGAGTTTTTGAACCACGGAAAACATTAGAATTTCAAGTGATTATCTTGGTTGTAAAGCAAACCTACAAAACCCTAAATAATCTTCCTTTCTTCTCCTTCCCTGTCAATTATGCAGTTAAACGGAACATCTCACAGGGGGATTTGCCTGAGCAACCCTCACTTTTCTTTTCTCAGTTCCAAGCCTAAGACTGCAGACCTCCATTTTCAAGGCTAAAAACACCAAGAGGAAGGTGCTGTCTGAACGTGGCACTGAGATTACCCAGTTAATTAAAGAGGGATTTAGGAGTTACTTAACATCTGGGTGGCAGAGTCTTTTTTTTTTTTTTTTTCTACTCAGCTTCAAAAAGGAAGCAGAAATCGTAATATGCCAACTCTGGCTCTAACAGATGCATCCTGTGTGTGACGTGATCCTGCAGCAAGGCAAACCTCTTCTTCCCTGGGTTCCTTGGCTCCAAAGCATCTGATGCTTTTCATAAGGACACCTGTGACCTGCTTGGCAAAGCAAGCTCTGTGTCCTCAGGATGACGGTGGTTCCAGAAGTGCTTTGGTAACCGCTCCTTTTATTATGTCATACTTGAGGGCAGTGATTCTTGAACAGCAGACATTGCCAGAGGGCCAAGGGACTTTGAGAGGTGGTCAGAGACATGGCCGCCATTCGATGGGGAAGGGCCTTGAATGCTATGCCAAGGAATGTGAGCCGTATCCTGGCCAGGGAGTGTTGAGAATTTGACCCCAGGGATGATGTTTGGTAGTAGCCATGAAGGAGGAAGGTGGTAGCCAGCAGCCCAAGTTGGAGCTTGTTCTAGGGCTTCAGGTAGCAGGTGGTGGGACCTTCCTGGCATGGTGGCATCAAGAAAGAAGAAGAGGCCGGGTGCGGTGGCTCACGCCAGTAATCCCAGCACTTTGGGAGGCCGAGGTGGGAGGATCATGAGGTCAGGAAATCGAGACCATCCTGGCTAACATGGTGAAACCCCGTCTCTACTAAAAATACAAAAAATTAGCCAGTCGCGGTGGCAGGCGCCTGTAGTCCCAGCTACTCGGGAGGCTGAGGCAGGAGAATGGCGTGAACCCGGGAGGCGGAGCTGGCAGTGAGCTGAGATCGCGCCACTGCACTCTAGCCTGGGTGACAGAGCAAGACTCTGTCTCAAAAAAAAAAAAAGAAAGAAGAAGAGAAGCAACTAAGTTCAGATGGCTTCTCCACCCCACAGGGGCCATGGGCCAGACGGAGGCAGGCTGTGGCCTCAGCACTGGGAACTTGCACTTTGTTCAGTGCTGATGGCAACAATAATAATAATAATAATACCTACTTCTATGGGTTATTGAGATAGAAGGTGCCTTTATTTAACTTATTTGTAACAAGTCTTTTGTGAACTTTTAAACACTCATCCGGTGACATTTCTGTAATGCTTCATTCAAATAAAGACATTCATAACTTGGCAGTCTGTGAGCTTTCAAAGGACTTTCTCCTCATCCTGTTTTGACACCGAATCTTGGTCTTAGGATGGCTGTTGAGTAGCTCTGATAGGCAAAGTGAGAGGTATGGTGTGGCCAATAAAGTAGTCATGCCAGTAGGCCAACAGCAGGCAAGAGCTGCCATTAGGAATGGGAGAGGGACCATTCTGCATGCTGAAGGCAGGATTCATGTGAATGACAGCAGTCGTACCATACAGCAACTAGTTGAGGAGCTGTTTCCGTCTCAGGCAAGCCCAGAGAACAGATGCTTGCAAGGAATTCCTCTTTCACTGTGTGTATGGTTTTGGTTGCAAGCATCCCACTTTGGCTGGGTTAGAATGTCCTCCAGGATCCCACTCACCTGTGTTCTTGACCGGCCAGGGCCCCTGAGGATAAAGCGAGCACCTAAATCAATACCCCCAATAACATTTGTACCCAGCTACACCATAGGAGAGAACAGAATTAGAGCCTTGCGTTGCCACCCCTGCCTCCCCTTGGAGTTTCACGCAAAGGCATTGTTCTTCTGGGGCCTGATTTCAATTGCAGTGAGCTCGGAATGATGCTTTAATCCTCTGTAATTACTCAAGGCAGGAATCAGGCTAATGAACAAATATAAATGGACAACTGGCCTTTTCCTTTGGAGTAGGAATGGATATCCTCCAATTATGATCCTTTGCCTAAGGGGGAGATGGGATGTAGGTATTGATACTTGTTTTATTTTATGTTATTTTTTATTTGAGATGGAGTCTTGCTCTGTTGCCCAGGCTGCAGTGCAATGGCACGATCTTGGCTCTCTGCAACTTCCGCCTCCCAGGTTCAAGTGATTCTCCTGCCTCAGCCTCCCAAGTAGCTGGGGTTACAGGCACGTGCCACCACACCCAGCTAATTTTTGTATGTTAGTAGAAACAGGGTTTCAACATGTTGGCCAGGATGGTGTCCAACTCCTGACCTCAAGTGATCCACCCATCTCGGCCTCCCAAAGTGCTGAGATTACAGGCTTGAGCCACCACACCCAGCTTGCTACTCATTTTAAATTAATGTACTTGTTTACCTTCTTGCGAGTCAAATACATCACAGTCCCCAGGTGATGGTTCTCATTTACAATTTGGTAGGTGGGCCTCCTGGGAAAGACCGGCAGGAGGGTAGAATCCACATTCCCGGGGCACTGAGGGCTGGGACCTCAGGCCTTTGCATGGGCTGTACTTTCTGCTTCGGGCAACCTCCCTTCAGAGGCCCCCACAGCTGAATCCTTACTTCTTCAGGTCTTGGCTCAACTGTCCCCTTCCCAATAAGCCTTCTCCTGATCACGATCACCCTATTTAAAATTACAAACCACTCCCGACCCCCTCCCCCACACCCCCCCCACAATGTGGGCATTCCTTCCCTGTTCCTTTTTTTCCCAACCTTCTAACATGATATACGATTTACTGATTTATTCATCATATTCTTTGTTATCCGCCGCCCCTCTGCCCCCCCATAGAACGTAAGCTTTTTAACAAGTCTTTTCTCACAGGTAGATACGGTTGCCTGTTTTGTTGACCCATGTATCTTAAATGCCTGGAGCTCATACCAGGCACTCAGTAAACCTTAGTAGAACAAATGGATGAAGAAATGAAGAGTTGGAGGGAGGGAATTGAAGGAGTGCAGGACAGGAAGGCTCTAAGAAAGGTGTCACCATCCTTGAGGACAGTCACCCTGAGAGACCAGATCTGGACTTGCTCTGGCACCAGGCTGGGTATAGAAACAGGCAGAGGCCAGAGGGAAGGATTCTAGTTTCATGAGTGCCTATCCTATGCCAGTAAAACTGTGGGTGCTTTCTCTGGGTTATGATCTTCAATCCCCACAAGAGTGCTGCATACTGGATGTTATCGTTCTTATTTTATAGGTAAGGAAATGAGATTCAGAGAAGCCACATACTGCCTAGGGCTATGGTGAGTAGCAGAACCAGGCTTGGAACCCAGTTTTCTAAATTATTTCATCTGTTCTTTAAGTACAAGTTTGATCTCCTCCTCCAGGCTCCAAGACTAGTGCTTCTCTCTCCACGATGCCGGGCTCATCAGCCGCAGCACTGTTGGTGTTTGGGACTGGATCATTCTTGGTTGTGGGGGGCTGTCCTGTGCATGGTAGGGTGCTCAACAGCATCCCTGGCCTCTACCCACCAGATGCCAGTATCATTCTCCCCATAGTATGACAACCAAAAATGTCTCCAGACATTGCCAAGTACCTCCTTGGAGACAAGGTCACCCTCAGTTGCAAACCACTGCTGTAGATGAAATAGAAGCAGTTCTCATTGGCCCTGAGAACCTTCAGAGAAGTAAGAAAGAGTTGTTGTTAGGGCCATCAGCTGGCCCGGCAGCCAGGGCCTCTTGTGTTGTCTTACTCTGGGGAAGGTATAGCCCAGTCTGGGGTATGGTCCTTGTCCCCCAGATCTAGAACTTGCCCCTCAGAGGTGGGGTTTCAATTGAATTGTGTTAGTGTGGACCATTTGAGAAGCAGCTAAGGTGGAATTTGGTGTGCAGATGTATTGGGAGAAATGCCTGCAAAGGACATAGGAGAGACAGGGAGAGCCTTCAGACAGGGATGTGGGGCTGGTGCCTGCGAATGGAGAAGGGGAAGGAAGGAGTGTTGGTAGAAAGAGCCCCAGATCTCAGCGCAGCTCAGAGAGTGCCTCAGCCAGGCTGATGGGGAGTCCTCAAGCCAAAGTCACCTGTTAGAGGAATGGGCTGCACTCATAATTTTTGACAGGAACAACCCAGGAGAACTGTGGTCTTGGTGGAACACAGGAGTGGCTGCCGAAAGGAGGCAGCTGAGCTGGCAGTCCATTGTGCTCAGGCAGCAGGCAATCTGGGTGACCCGCTGATGACACTCACACCAGAAGCCCGTCTGTGCTGAAGCAAATCAGCGCCAGCACTGCCAGCCATTGGCATCTGTCGAAGGGTGTGTCTGTGTTGTCTCAGTCTGGTGCCCACAAAAGCCAACCTTGAGATGATGACTCAAGGGCACATGCATGTTTTGAGGAGGTGACGCCCATGAAACTCCAGTAGGTGAATAGGATAGTGAGACAGGAGAGGAAAACAGACAGTAGGGGGATATATGAGAGCGAGCTGCCACCGTGGGCAACTGGAGCCAGTCCTGTGGGAGCTCCAGAAACTACAGGACACGGGTATGTCTGGAGGTTTTCCAGTTGAGGGTCAAAGGAGCTGGGGTCTTCACCTGCCAACTCCCTAGTCACAGCTCCTGGGCTGCCTGAGTGGACATGGATGCTGGCAGCTGGAAGTTGCCCCCAGTTGCACCATAATGGTAAGACCATTTGGCATCCCACATGCCCCAAGCACTCACTGAGCTGCCCCAGAGGCTGGGAAAAGGCCTCGGGCAGAGCCACCAGTGTTTGCAAAAAACAGAGCTCGGTGCCTGGAAGCCAGGGAAGAGATGCCGGCTGGCACACTGCAGGAAGAGAAAAGAAAGAAAAATATGGTAATCCTAGTATATTACAGAGCATATAATCAAAACCTATTGCCTGGTGCTCTGGATCACAGAGAGGGGCCTTGGGGAGGTGGCTTGGTTCCGCATGTTAACTGAGCATCTAGTATGCACTGGGCGGTGTGTGGGAAGACAAAGATGCTGAGGGCCAGTCCTCCCCCTGTTGGAGCTCACAGTCCAGTGGCATCGGCAAGTGCCAACATTTATCCCACGATGGGAGGCAGTGTAGCGCACTGTTGCCACTAACCACTCTGAACTTCAGTCTCTTCATCATAAACTGGAGATACCACTGGTTCCTCTTAGAATCACTGGGAGGACTCTATGAGATGGTATCCTCAAGTGTCTCTCCCATGCGTTCACATACAGTAAACATTCAGTGCCCTTTAGCTATCGTTCAAGCTATTGGAGCTACAACAGAGAAATATATGTGGTCTAGGGGAAAATAAGGGCTGGAGGGACCAAATCAATGGTGGGGAGTGGGACGAGATGGATGTCAGAGAAGGCTTCTCTGAAGATCTCTGCCCTGGTGCTGAATCTTAGCTGAGAAGGAATTATGGATCCTGATCAGCAGCGAATGGGTACGCTTTCTGTGTTTTCCTTTGGATTTTACAGACCGTGATGATTGAGGTTGGTTAAGGGTTAAACATCCCGTAAGCATTTCTACTGGGCTAGTTACTGTGGGGAAGGTTAGGATTAAGGAGAACTTCAGAGTGATTTGCCTGACAATAGCAGCCTTCTTATCTGCCCACAGTTGAAAATTCCCACCATTTATTGGAGCCTGTTCTGTTTTTCACCTGAGCTGAAGGCTGGGAGTGGGAGGGGCTCCTCTGCAAATCCACAGCTGCAGAACAACAGGTCATGACAGCTTTATCTTTAAGGCCAATACCAAGAGAACCAGAGAAGCCAAAAAGAGATAACTTTGAATCCCACGGGGCAAGAATGCACCAAGCCTTTTTTTCCCAGGGGATTTTATTTAGCTGATAGGCAAAGTCTGAAGACTGGGTGCTTTCCCCATTGGAAGAACTCAATAAAGTATTTTGACTCAGTGCAAAGCCAAAATACCATCCCTAGGTCAAAGAGCTGGACTTGGAAGCCTGTTCCTCCTGGGAAGCCAGCTTGGAAGAGTTTCTTCGAGCAGCCAGACACCATAGGAAAGACCTCTATAGATGAATCTGCTGTGGATGAGTGTCCTATCCACAGACCTTTCTTAGTTTGGTCCCTGCGGCCTGCAGCCATGGGAGGGCTCAGTGGAGACTGGATGACAGGAGCAGGCACCACTTGGCTGACATTGAAAAGGCCTTAACAGTTGATGTCTGAGGGTGACCACCTGAAAAGAGGACCTTGAGCTGCCAGAATGTGGAATACAGGACTGCAGAGGGGAAAATAAGTGTCATTTTCATTCCAGAGAATATTACCGAGGTGCCTGCAAAGTTCAATCTTCCTTTCCAAGCCTTTTATTCAAACTAAGGGCCAGGTTCAGGCACAGAAGGAGCACCTACGAGCTTTAGCTTTGATTTGGTCTTAATGCACGCGTATGTCGCCGTCGAGATTTACATATTTCTTAATGACCAGAAAGCAACAATTAGAAAGTCCAAGATCAACTCTCACTACGGTATGAATTTCTTCATCTGAGCATTTTTGTAAGAAGCATGGATTCCTACTATAATCACAATAAAACAATAAAGATAGAAAAAAAGATCTGGGAAAGAGGACTCTATTTATATGACTATTTTGAGACTATAGTTATTTGTTATAAATGAATTTGTGAAAATACTAATAAGACTAGTATTTGTGGAGCACTTCTTGTGAGCCAGGCATCTCATGTGCCAAGATCAATATAGTTTTGTAACAACTCTGTGATGTTGTCGGGGAAGGTAGAATCAGCTTCATTTGATGCGTGTGGAAACGGAGGCTTGGAGAGTTTAAGTATCAAGAACTCGTGGTTAAATCAATGCTGCCTTAGGATGTGTTGCCTAAGACTGAATCCCTGCAGTAAAATGCAAGACAAATGAGATTCAAACAGACGTAAGATTTCAAGTGGTCTCCACTTCCACTCTCCAAGGTCTCCCAGCCCTCCCTATTTTTCTTGTGACCCCCTGGAGTGAGGGCACAGTTTGAGCATTTGCTATTAGATCCTCAAGAATAACAGCAGTTTCTTACTGAACTGTCAATAATCCTAGAGCTCACAGAATACCAACTCCAATGCCCATGGAAACCTGGCAGGTAGTGTAGGCCAGTGAGGCTGATTATGAGTAATGACTCAAAGGAGAGAACTTGCCTCATCCAAAGTAATCAGTTTCCACCAGTTCCAGTCAGTCACAGTCCTGTGTGGCCAAATGGTTTGCTTTTCAAGGGAAGCCGGAGATTCGCGCCATGTGAAATGTCCCAATTTTTCAATCATCAGAAATTCATTCAAAATTTTAAAAAGTACCATCACATTGGGTTGAATTTGACCAGTGTGCAGCTACCTCTTCCCTAGAGCATTGCAGAATTCTTCACAGCTAGTTGACTTTCCGTAAAAGCTTCTGAGTTAATGAGTGAATTAATTACCAGGCAAAGAGCCCATTTGAAGGCTCAACCCTTTAGAGCTCCCTTTGCTGTCCATTCACAGTGGTTGGAGCCAAGCCCATCAAGGCCAGCAGCAGGAAGCAGAGCACCTTTGAGTCTGACCCTGTCATCAGTCCTTCACTCTGATAAGCTTGGCGTGCTAGTTTCCATGGACTT
Organism: Homo sapiens; assembly: GCF_000001405.40. NCBI lineage: Eukaryota > Metazoa > Chordata > Mammalia > Primates > Hominidae > Homo > Homo sapiens. Next base: position 14,769,235 of record NC_000001.11, read on the forward strand.
TTGCTTGGGTTAGGATCATCAATGTCACCCCCATCTGAATTGCAGAACCACGTTATTGGCTTTTGGAAAGTCCCCTGAGTGTAGGGAACTATACCTTGGTCAGATTTTTCACCCTTGCAGGTCTTTTTTCTTTTCTTGAGACGGAGTCGTGCTCTCGTTGCCCAGGCTGGAGTGCGACGGCGCTATCTTGGCTCACTGCAACCTCTGCCTCCCGGGTTCAAGCGATTCTCGTGCCTCATTCTCCTGAGTATCTGGGATTACAGGCGCCCACCACCACGCCCGGCTAATTTTGTATTTTTAGTAGAGACAGGGTTTCACCATGTTGGCCAGACTAGTTTCAAACTTATGACCTCAGGTGATCCACCTGCCTCAGCCTCCCAAAGTCCTGGGATTACAGGCGTGAGCCACCGTGCCCGGCCTGCCCTTCCAGGTCTTACCAACAGAGGGCTCTTGATTAGTGTCTAAGTGATTGCGGGAAATTAACACTGGTCCTTCATTCGTTCATTTAGTCAGCAAACATGGATTGACCATCCTCTGTGTGCTGCCAATGAGATTCCAGTGATAAATTACAGACCTGTTGGTTGCTTACAATATGACGGGATAGGTAGATGTTGACGAAGTAACTGAGTATTCTGGGTTTGGGACCGGGCTATAGGATCCTAAGTGTAGGAGTGTAACTCAGCTCAGAGATCAGGGATGGCCCCTCTGAGCAGGTGATGGGTAAACTGAACCCTGGAGGTTGAGCAGGGATAAAGCCAAGTGAACAGTGGGAGCAGGATGTGCAAAGGTCCTGAGGTAGAGTGAACCAGGACCTCAGAGAATAGTCCAGGGTGGCTGGAGCCAAGAAATCATGGGAAAGAGTGGATGGGTCAAGCTAGAGACATGGTTGGGGTCCGGATCACTCTGCAGTTGGCCATGGTGAAAGTTTGGACTTCAGCCTAAGGAAAAGAGAAAGCCATAGAAGGTTTTAAACAGGCATGGTGCCTGATGATTTGCATCCTAAAAGATCTCTCTAGCTACAGTGTGGAGAACTGATAGGATGGTCAACAGTCAATGGGGAATCTCATTTTGAAGCTAATGTATGTAGCCAGGCAAGAAGGAGGATGGTAGCTTGGACCAGGATGCTGTGATAGAGAACGGATAATGCCAGGGATATATGAAATACTCAACAGGTAGAATCAGTGTAACTGGGTTGTTGATTGACTATGAGGGATGAGGGCAAGGGGGATGGCTGTTTCGAGAAACTGTAAGGAGGTGATACTATTTGCTAAGATAAGGAACACGGGTGGTTCTGTGGCTGTACAATTCTTTGAGCCATCAGTTAGACTATGTGTGAATATCTTCCCCAGGGCCATACACCACGGCAGCCCTGGGAGGAAGAGTGGGAATGGGATTGGGGGCTGGAGAAACAAATTTAGCCTGGAGTTTAACAAAGAAACTAGCAAAATATCTCCAAAGTCCCATTTGTCATTCTTAATAGCCATCATACAAAAAGTGGTCAAAGTTAGGAAATTGAATTTTCAAACACGTTAGGCCTTAAAAAGAAACAGGCCTCTGATGTTAAGAGAGAAACATGCATTTTCAATTGTTCAGAGATTACTAAATGGAAACAGTTCTCTTCCCCTCCCCCAAACAGAAGCAGGAATTAACTTTGAGGCTGGAAAATGTCAATTTACTGAGAAAGGAGGGTAAGGGGAACAGGGAGACATCGAGACCACATGTCCCAGCTCCTCATCCCACAGGTGTTCCCATGTTCAGTTGAGCTCACGATGACTGGATCTGCCCAAATTCGGGACACCCATCCATGTGATCTTACCCTTCCCGCCATCCCCAGTGTGGGAGGAGGGTGCGGGGTGAGCAGGAATCCCACCCAGAATGATTCGCTGTGATCATTGCCATATGAACAATATGCTATCACAGAGAAGGAGGGCCCCGAGGAAGAAAGAATTTTTTTAAATGCCTAATAAAGGGGTAGAAGTACTGCCCCGAACTCCTGTAAAAGCATGTTCCAAGGAGAGATGAGATCAAGGATATAAAATTGTTCTGGTTTTGAAAACAAAGATGCCAAGACAGTAGGCAGCATCTCTGGGTTGCAGGATACTCAAGGAGGTAGAGAAAGAAGGAATGGCTAATATTTCTAAGATGACAAAAATATTTAATGTGGTGGAGGATGGAAAACCTTGATCGGGTCCTAATGAGTCTAAATCAGACTTTCTCTGAGTCTTTGAATATTTCCCTTCTCATCTTGCACTTGGCATTTTTCTCAATGAGGGTGTCCCTTTTGGTTGGGGAACAAGAGTCTAGGATAGGCCTGGGCGAGGTGGCTTACACCTGTAATCCCAGCACTTTGGGAGGCCAAGGCGGGCAAATCACCTGAGGTCATGAGTTTGAGACCAGCCTGACCAACATGGTGAAACCCCGTCTCTACTAAAAATACAAAAATTAGCCAGGCCTGGTGGCAGGTGCCTCTAATCCTAGCTACTCGTGTGGCTGAGGCAGGAGAATTGCTTGAACCCGGGAGGCGGAGGTTGCAGTGAGCCAAGACCGTGCCATTGCACTCCAGCCTGGGTGACAGAGGGAGACTGTCTCAAAAATAAATAAATAATAAAAATAAATGCCTAATAAAGGGGTAGAAATACTGCCCCAAACTCCTGTAAAGAATGTTCCAAGGAGAGATGAGATCAAGGATATGAAATTGTTCTGATTTTGAAGACAAAGATTCCAAGACAGCAGGCAGCATCTCTGGGCTGCAGGAGACTTAAGGAGGTAGAGAAAGAAGAAATTGGTGCTCTTTCTAAGATGACAAAAAAATTTAATCTGGTGGAGGATGGAAGACCTTGATCGGGTCCTAATGGGTCTATCTCAGGCTTTCTCTGAGTCTTTGAATGTTTCCCTTCTCATCTTGCATTTGGCATTTTTCTCAATGAGGGTGTCCCTTCTGGTTGGGGAACAAGAGTCTAGGATGGGCCTGGGTGCGGTGGCTCACGCCTGTAATCCTGGCACTTTGGGAGGCCGAGGCAGGAGGATCGCTTGAGCCCAGGAGTTTGAGACCAGCCTGGGCAACATAGTAAGACCCCTGTCTCTATAAAAAATTTAACAATTAGCCAGGAGTGGTGGCATGCACCTGTGGTCCCAGCTCCTCAGGAGGCTGAGGTGGGAGAATCCCTTGAGCCCAAGAGTTTGAGGCTGCAGTGAGCTATGACTGCACCATGACATTCTAGCCTGGGTGACAGAGTGAGATCCTGCACCACCACCCCTGCCCCAATCACCTAATACGTTTAATAGATTGAGAAAAAAAAAAAAAAGAGACCCCTCTTGGATCTAAGTGAAGAAGTGAGCTTGTGATGAATGTTTGTTGACTGAGCAATGACAGAGGATCACAGCACCCTTGACCTGCCAGGTCACCTGATCTTCTCACAGAGACACAGGTGGCTCCCGATTCAGACAATATTTGAAGCCCTGAAAAGCCTTTGCTGCATTTCCACGAATATCTAGAGTGGGCTGGAGACCCCTTCCCCGAGGGTCCGCTATTTCTAACCATGGATTGATCTTAAGAGCACCAAGGCCTAGCTCTGAAGGTCACATTCCTCAACACAGACCTTTCTCTACCAAGAAAGAGAAAGCTGAGAATTTTCCCCCAGAATTTTCCACTGGGGCACACCACATTGGCCTTCTGTGTGCTTGGGTTTCCCGTGCCTGGGGTGTGAGGGGCCCAGGCAGCTTCTGCGCAGTTGAGTCATCTCTCTTCCATGGTTCCCCACCAGCCAAGAGAATGGTATGAATGTCCACAGGCGGCCTCTTCATGGGGGTCTCAGGAAATGGGCATTTGAGGGTCAGGTGGGTGACCCTAGTCCCCCACAAAGGTAGCATCTGGTGGAGAGAAAAGGTTGCCCTCTCCTGCATGTGGAAGAAGCTTGGCAAGATTAGAGGTGCCTGCTCCTTTTGGAGCCTTTCACAATTATCTTCAGGACAAAGACGGCCCCAACACTTCCGGAAGAGATCTGATACTGAGATCCCGCTAGTCATGGGGTGAGCTACAGTGGGACTGTGGCACACAGTGGTGGCCTGGCGTATGAGAAGACCACCCCCCACCCAATCCACCTCCCACCTCACCTGCCCACGATGCCATTGCTTCAAATGGCTTTCAACAACGCCCTCCACTCCACGGGGTCTCCCTTCTTGTAGCATTTTCAACTCTGCCTCAAATCAACTCTGCACTAAGGTGTGAAACGTAAACACCCCCGAGGGAGGAAGGCCCTTCCAGAGTGGTCACTGGGAGGCAAAAGGGCCTGGCTTCCCCGAATCTCAGCTTCCTCATCTGAGATGGTGGAAAAGATGATGTTGACTTTCCAGAGCCATAGGGAGTTGGAAATGAGGTCAGGCACCCGCCACCCGGTTCTCCTTCTTCCTCTTCTAAAACACTGCAACCACCATAGCCAGTGCCTCTATGCAGCCGGTTACCCATTGGCGTCACTTAGCCTGGCAGTGCTGCTAATGAGGCCTCTGTGGCCTGGGCTTCCGGGGCTGCCATCTCTAATGAACTCAGCCTTCCTGGGAGCTGCGGCAGGTCCCAGCCCAGGCCAGGCCTGCTCTCCTCCCCTCCCCTCCAAAGAAAACACCATCTTTCCAGGACTGATGGCACTGAGGGAAGCTTGAAGGAAACAGGCAGGGAAGACCTGTCAACACTAATTAGAAAAAAGTGGTTCTCACCGCCAAAGCCCTCCAGCCCATGGCTGCTGCCAACCAAGGCGCCCTTGTGGGCTGTTCACCTGAGCTGCCGCCATTTTCAACTCTGCATTAAGTCATCCAAGGATCCAGGAGACCCAACGCTAGCAAAAGACCCCACATGCTTTCTTTTCCAGCACCGATAGCTCTTACCTCTTCCCTAAGCCTCGACTTCTCTTTCTCTTCTCTCTCACCCCTGTGTCCCCAAGAGGCAGTCTGGGGGTGAAACTGGTCTTAGAGTCTGATAGAAAGTAGAACTCCAGCTCTGTGGTCCCGGATTTGTGGACTTGGCAGGGTCGCCTCTGTGGGCCTCACTTCTTTTCTCTGTAAAATGGGATCATAATGCCAACCCCACAGGCTCATTAGGGGGATTCGAAAGCCCCTTTCCCAGTGCCCTGAACATACAGAAACTCAGCAAACAAATGGTTCTCCGCTTATCTCCTCCCTTTCCCCTTCTCACACCCACACTCACCCTCACAATGCCTACCTTTTCTTGGTTCTTGAACAGATTTTTTTTTTTTTTTTTTTTGAGACAAGATCTCGCTGTGTCACCCAGGCTGGAGTGCAGTGGTGCAATCATAGCTCACTGTAACCTTGACCTCCTGGGCTCAGGCCATCCTCCCATCTCAGCCTCCCAAGTAGTTGGGACTACAGGCATGCATCACCACACCTGGCTAATTTTTTGTTAACATTTTAAAATTTTTTAGAAGAGATCAGTTCTCACTATGCTGCCCAGGCTGGTCTTGAACTCCTGACCTCAAGTGATCCTCCCACCGTGGCCTCCCAAAGTGCTGGGACTGCAGGTGTAAGTCACCATGCCCAGCCCTTGAGCAGATTTTTTTATCTTATCTCTGATCCTGTAAGTCAGGACCTGCTGCCTCCAAGTCCGTGGTACATCATCTACCTGTGGAAAGTTCCCTGACATCCCCTGCCATTGTCCCTTCTCCTTCGTTCACCTTACGGTATCGATTGAGAGCCCATGGAATATCCAGCACTTGATTGATCAAAAGCAGACACGGTCCTGCCCTCATGGAGCTCCCAGGCCTGGGAAAGGCAGATCCTGGAGAGAGCAGCTGTATCCCACCATACCAGGGCCCACCCACACTCTGCACCTAAGAGGCTCACGGGTGTTTACAATAGACAGTGCTTGGTGCATAAATCACCTCGTTTGACCCTCAGCAGCCTGGGACATTGGCAACCAGGTATGATCCCATTTTACAGATGCAGAGAGTGAGGGCCAAAGGGTTGGTTTTCTCCTCCATGTTCTGTGGCCTCCGACATCAGAGTCTTTAGTAATGTGTGTCTTTGTTTCCAACACAGTAGCACAGAAGTGGCTTTAATAGCAGCTCATTCTAGGCAGTCACTGTGCTAAGGGTTTTATGAGCATTCTGTTGTTCCAGCGTCATGCTTCCCCTGGAGGAAATAAATGCTGTTCCTTCGTCAGGTTTGATGAAGACACTGAGGAGGTTAATTAACATGTCCATGACTACCCAGCTGGTGAGCATGGGGCCCTCAGAGATGATCCAGGTCAGCCTTGGCGTCCACGCCTTGTGATGTGGACACAGGAGAAGGTAGATCATGAGAACCTGGGCTCCTGACACAAGCTCAGTGGGCAGACAGAAGCTGAGAGGAAGGTGGCTCCGAGGGGAATATGAGGACGTAAAACATGCGCCATGCTGCTCGCCACACTTCCTCAACGTGCGCCATGCTGCTCATCACATTTCCTCTTGAGAAGCTACCGATTTAGCCTTAGGCTCATAGCATCTATCTTGAAGCAGGAGAAAGGGGCAGGTGGGAATTCATTGTGTTCATAAGATACATGTCAGCCAGAGAGGCTGCAAAAGCTCAAGTGTCCTGAGACCACAGAGCACGTCCTCCTAAAGGGAGGGTCCGGGCCACCGGGTCCAGTCTTTACACTTGAAGGCGTCACAGGCCCTTTCCTACAGCGGTCGACACCCAGGTCTCTTCCACATGGAACCACCATAGTGAGTGTGGTCCTGCGTGATCACTGCGACCCTCTCCTGGACTTCCACTGTGGGGTTTATTTTTTATTTTATTTTATTTTTCTGAGACAGAGTCTTGCTCTGACGCCCAGGCTGGAGTGCAATGGCGCGATCTCAGCTCACTGCAACTTCTGCCTCCTAGATTCAAGCGATTCTCCTGCCTCAGCCTCCCAAGTAGCTGGGATTACAGGCTACCACGCCTGGCTAATTTTTGTATTTTTAGTAGAGACAGGGTTTCACCGTGTTGGCCAGGCTAGTCTTGAACTCCTGACCTCAGGTGATCTGCCCGCTTCGGCCTCCCAAAGTGCTGGGATTACAGGCGTGAGCCACTGCACCTGGACTCCGTTGTGGGATTTAGGAAGTGGGGCCAAGGAATAGTAACGCAGGTGGGCATACCTCATGCTTCCCTGTAGGTGGCACAGAGTGCTATGCCCACCAAAGGCACATGACCCAGACCCCTGTCCTTGGGATCTGCCCTCACTGCATCCACTGCACCCAACTAAGCGCTCTTCATCCAGGCTGGACACAAGGTCTCCTTCAAATACCTCTTCTTCTTATACTGTTGAACTTTAAGGTGCTGTCCGAGATGTCTAACCGCAGCCATTTATTGTGTCTCTACCATGTGTCAGGCACTCTGCTAAGGACATCACGGATATCTCATTTAATCTACATGGTAACTTTTTGGGCCGGGCGCAGTGACACACCTGTAATCCCAGCACTTTGAGAGGCCTAGGTGGGAGAATTGCTTGAGCTCGGGAGTTGGAGACCAATTTGGGCAACACAGAAAGACCTTATCTCCACAATCTGCTTTGTTTTGTTTTTAATTAGCCAAGCATAGTGGCGCATACCTGCAGTCCTAGCTGCTTCAGTGGCTGAGGCAGGAGGATCATTTGAGTCCGGGACAATGAGGCTGCAGTGAGCTATGAGGGCCACTGCCCTCTAGCCTGAGCAACTGAGCAATACCCTGTCTCAAAAAAAAAAAAAAAAAAAAAAGAGACGTCTTTGAAGTCGGTATTTCTTCTTTGTTTTGTTTTGTTTTGTGTTTTGTTTTGTTTTGAGACGGAGTCTCGCTCTGTCACCCAGGCTGGAGTGCAGCAGCGCAATCTCGGCTCACTGCAAGTGCTGCCTCCCGGGTTCACGCCAGCTTCCTGAGTAGCTGGGACTACAGGCGCCCGCCACCACACCCAGCTAATTTTTTTTTTTTTTTGTATTTTTAGTAGAGACGGGGTTTCACCGTGTTAGCCAGGATGGTCTCGAGCTCCTGACCTCGTGATCTGCCTGCCTCAGCCTCCCAAAGTGCTGGGATTACAGGCATGAGCCACCACGCCCAGCCCTGAAGTAGGCATTTCTTTATTCCTTTAATCTGATGAAGAAATTGAAGCTCTGAGAGACGCCTCATGATACGTAGCTAATGAGAGTACTAATAAGAGGTCTAGCTGACCCCAGTGCCCTTGCGTATAAGCACCATGAAGTACAACTTCTCCCTCCGAGGGCCTCCTCATGCTGCCAGGATCAATGCCAATCCCAATTCTATGCCCCATGCGACCCCCACAGGGCCCGGCCCTCCTCACCTCTCCAACTTCACCCAGCATCTGCTTCCATCTCTCCTCCTTAGGACCTTCTTTCTGTCCCCTGAACTAGCCAAGCATGTTCAAGTACTTTGCAATTGCTCTTCCTTCTTGGAACTCTCTTCATCCAGACTTCCTCGTCACTCTGCCTCCTCATTGTCACTCGGGTCTGAATAAATGGCTTGAGCTGCTTGACCGAGGATACATATTGTTACTTTTTGATTATATGCTAAATAAGGGATAGATTACTTGTGAGTTTTCCAGGAATGGGGTGAGCAATTCTCAGAACTGAGGGTTCCTCCCCTTTTTAGACCATATAGGGTAACTTCCTGCATTGCCGTGGCATTTGTAAACTGTCACGGTGCTGGTGGGAGTGTCTTTTAGCATGCTAATTCATTATAATTAGCATATAATGAGCCATGAGGACGATCAAAGGTCACTCTCGCCACCATCTTGGTTTTGGTGGGTTTTGGCCAGCTTCTTTACTACAAACTGTTTTATCAGCAAGGTCTTTATGGCCTGTATCCTGTGCCAACCTCCTGTCTCATCCTGTGAAAAAGAGTGCCTTAACCTCCTGGGAATGCAGCCCAGTAGGTCTCAGCCTTATTTTACCCAATCTCTATTCAAGATGGAGTCTCTGAGTCTTAACATTTAAATGCATTAAAATTAGGCTGTCTCCATCAAAAGTGACACAGAGGACACAAAGGCATCCTGCCTGCAGCCTCCATAAACCAGCCAGAAACATTTATAGTTGGTGGTCTCTTACCAGGAAAGAATGCTGGCTGGTTGTTGTGTCAAAACCGCAAAAGGAAGGGGAGCCTGGCCACTCTTCCAAAAAGCCTGCTTTCTGTTTAACCCTTAAGAAAAAAAAAAAAAAAAAAAACCCACATCCAATGGCAGTTAGAGAGGAAGGGGACATCATGAGGCAATGCCTCCCGTCCCGTCAGGGCAGGGAACTCAGCTTGTTACATTTCTCTGGGTTCCCTTGGCCAAGTGGAGATCCGTTCAGTCCATTGGGAAGCTTAGGATTTTATTTTTATTTCTCAGTACTAATGCCACCTCCCCTTTTGCTCACAATTCCTCATCTCCACAAGATCCTCAGAAAAACCCAAGGTGCACACACATCACAGGTACTGGTTATCCAGTGTTTCAGTTCTCTTTTGCCACGTAACAACCCCCAGTATTTTTATACCACCCGTGGACTCTGCTTGGTAACAACCCCAAAATTTAGCAGCTTAAAAAAACAACCATTTTTATTTGCTCAGAATTCTGTAAGTCAAGAATTCTGGTAAAGCTGGGCTGGGTTTTTCTGCTCACATGCAGCCGGCAGGAACTTTCATGAGACTGCATTTGGACAGCAGCTGGGCTGAGATGTCCAAGGCAGCTTCACTTGTGGGTCTGGCACCTGGGTGGGAACACTGGGAGCCTGAGGCCTCTCTCTTTCTCTCTGCACCTGGCTCTGGTCATGTGACTAGCTTGGGCTCCTTTTTCGTGAATCTGAAGAGTGAGTGTTTCCATGACACAGGTGAAGCTGCAGACCTTTTAAGGCTCAGCCTCAAATTTACCCAGTGTCACTTTCTCTGTGTTCCGCGAGACAGGGCCCACCCAAATCCAAGGTCAGGAAATCCCTCCACCTCTCCATAGGCCACATGGCGAAAGACCATGTGCCATGGAGAATGGGAAACATCCTTGCAGTCATCTTTGGACAAACAACCCACCAGATCCAATTCCCAGATTAGTTTGGCAAACTAGAGACCACAGAATTTATGACTCCTACACATCCTGCCACTAGGAGGCAGTGTGGGCCCCCCGGCTTCCCTCTGGGGCTTTTCTGGAGCCTGCAGGCTCCCAGCTCTTGGCATTGGAGGGTACGGCCAGAAGCTTCCTGGGGCACTCTCATACCTTCCCCGGCCTTTGCACGTGCAGGCCTCTTGCATGACAAACAGCTTGCCCCTTGCTGCTCATGAATATATTTACTTCTGAATTTAAGAACCATGATGGATTGACATCGGCCCCTGACCTCGCAGAAATACTAAACAAATGAGATGTAGGTCTACAGGGCAATTGCTTTCTTCTTTATTTCCTGGGCTGGTTACTATTGATTATCTGCTGTGCACTTTGTTAATTTCCTGCTGACAGGCTCTCTTCTATGAACAGTTCCTGGGAAGGGTTTGGCTTTGTTATTTTTTTCCTGGGATTAAGGCTCAGTGTATTCTAAACAACCCCATTATTCAGTAGAGAATTTGTTCAACTTTCTTTTCTTGGCAGCTGATTTACCAGTGACCTCTCCCAAAGTGAAGTGACACGTAAACAAGACACAAAAAGTTGACTCCCGTTTAAGAAATATTTCAAGGCTAGTGATGGGTATACATTCTCTCGTGCATTGCTGATGCTAATTGCAGTGTACCTGGGGTTAATGATGATTTTGCAATAACAGGTAACATTTCACTGGTGTCAGGCTCACTGCTAAGTGCTTGACAAGCTTTGTCTCATTAATTCCTCCCAACAAACGCATGAGGTATGTCTTGATATGATCCCAGGTATTGTCTGAGTCCCAAGGGAGAGCTTTAGAATATGGAAAGCTTTTAGGGCATCAGAACCAATTTTGAGCTAAACGTGTTTCTTCTTTAGGGCTTTTGAGTTTGCTGTTGCCTCTGCCTCAAAGCCTTGGCCCGATCTTTGCTCTCTGTGCAGCCCCTCTGGCTTGTCCTTTGGGTCTTGGCTGAGATGTCACGTCTTCAGAGATGCCCTCCCTGTCTCTTCCCAGCCTCCCCTCTCTCTTGCTTTATCTCATTCCTAGCGCATCTCTCTAGCAGGCATTTGGAGGTTGAGTGTCTCCTCCACTCTGGAATGTGTGGAGGAGCTAGTTTGTGGGTTCATTTACTATTGCATTAGCCCAAAAACTATCTGTTGAGTGAATGGATGAGCCATGTCCTCCCACTCACTGCCTGGATGGCCTTGGCAAGTTGCATAACATGTGGGAGCCTCCGGTTTCTCTTCTGTCAAATGGAGATAGTAATTAGAATCTGCCCCATAGGGTTGGTGTGAAAATTAAGCAAGATGCTATAAATAAACCTCTTAGTTCTTTCATGGGGCCTAGGCATTTCACAATTAAGACAAAGTACTATTCTAGAGGCTACAGATGAAACAGAATGAAATAAAAAATACGAAGTGCTCAGCATGGCACCTGGAATACCATGGACACTAACAGGTGATGATCGTGTATGATTTTCCTTCTGATATTGTAGGGACAATGACTGATGATCACCAGTCTAGAGTGAATTGAGTCCTGAGCTCCGCTATTGACTGAGGTATAAACTGATAAAAGTTCAAAATATTTTTTATCTTGACTTAGAAATGGAGGAGAGAAGAAGCAGAGGATTCGGTGTTCGGAAACAGCAAAATCCCTTCTGCACTTGCAGCTGGAGTTACAGGAGCCCAGAGGGTGCCGAGTGGAGTGGGGGACACTGAAGGCACCGAGAGTAAATAACATTAAAAGGCAAGAAACTTGGCCGGGCGCGGAGGATCACACCTGTAATCCCAGCACTTTGGGAGGCCGAGGCAGGTGGATCACGAGGTCAGGAGATCGAGACCATCCTGGCTAACACGGTGAAACCCCGTCTCTACTAAAAATACAAAAAATTAGCCGGGCATGGTGGCAGGCACCTGTAGTCCCAGCTACTCGGGAGGCTGAGGCAGGAGAATGGCGTGAACCCAGGAGGCGGAGCTTGCAGTGAGCCGAGATCGCGCCACTGCGCTCCAACCTGGGCAACAGAGAAAGACTCTGTCTGAAGAAAAAAAACAAAAAACAAAAAAGGCATAAACCTCAGTTTCAAGTGCTAAGAAATCATATCCCCATTTAAAAATGTCCTTTCAGGTGCCAGATTTTAAAATGAATTACTGTGTTTTCTAAGCCCAGGGTCAGCTTCAGAAGGGGATATTTACAACTCTAAACATGCGTGCTCGAGCAGCCTTTACAAATGCAAACTGAACATCTGGAATTTGGCCTAATTTATAAGAGCAAATGAAGATGTTGAAAACTGAGGGGTCCAGATAGGAGGGGACCTTCTCAGTTCTCAAATTCAAGGTTGCAATGTTACTGACTTAGAGGCTAGTCAGCACCTCCTGTAGTAGTTTGTACCTTTAAAACCCATCAAGAGGCCGGGGGCAGTGGCTCACGCCTGTAATCCCAGCCCAGCACTTTGGGAGGCCTAGATGGGAGCCTAGGAGTTCAAGACCAGCCTGGGCATGAAAAACAGCACAATCTCTGGCACATAAGCATGCTCAATAAACGGAAGCTATTGTTATTTTTAAATTAATGTGAATTCAGCCCCCAATCATAAAAAATTGTCAATAATTGGTGGTTCATATACGGACTGAATTCCACGATCCATGTTCTGTTTATTTCAATTATGACTCCACCACTTTGAGTTCTGTGTCTTTGGACAAGTTCTATCACCTCCCTGAGCCTCAGTGTCCTCATCTGTAAAGTGGGCATAAGAATGGAACCTGTCTGTCAGATCTTTTGTAAAGGTTTACAATAGTGTCTGGCACATATAAAGAATGCCATATATGTGTTTGCTATTATTAGCATCAAAATTATGACTAGTAGGAACCAGCAGTTATTTCTAATGCCGAAGATGGGACTTCCACCCTCTTTAGGCAAATATATTGATCGATAAGTGAGCAGCTGCAAATGTATGATTCTTAGCTCCTCATTGAAATGCACCTCCCGGCTGGGTGCGGTGGTTCCCGCCTGTAATCCTAGCACTTTGAGAGGCCGAGGCGGGTGAAATCACCTGAGGTCAGGAGTTTGAGACTAGCCTGGCCAAGATGGTGAAACACCGTCTCTACTAAAAATACAAAAATTAGCCCGGCATGGTAGCACGCACCTGTAATCCCAGCTACTGGGAAGGCTGAGGCAGGAGAATCGCTTGAACCCAGGAGGCAGAGTTTGCAGTGAGCCAAGGCCGCGTCATTACACTCCAGTCTGGGCAACAGGGCAAGACTCCACCTCAAAGAGCAAAAAAAAAAAAAAAAAAAAAAAAGAAAAGAAAAAGAAATGCACCTCCTATGCAAACTTGGACCATGCTTAAAGTGTGTTCCTTCATTTTAGTAATTGAAGAGGCCTATAAAAGCAATAATAAATATACCTAAGTTTCTATGGAAACAATTATCTAATTAGGTTTTCCCTTTAATCAAAGGAGTCCCAATCTAGGAACTCTTAGTATGTTTCCTGATTAAGGCCATTTGTGGTTTTCCTGAGTCGCTGGAGGAATCCCAGGGTAGAGGCATCCCCCCAACCTCGCTGCAAATGTTTTCATTACAGATTATAGCAGCAGGCCTGGCGGCATCTGTAGAGGGCTAATTTTTCCTGACAGTCCTGCTGACCTTTGTTTGCTGATAACCCTCTTCTCTGTGGTAACCCCAGCAGATAGAGGCAATACCAAGGACGTAGGTCTCATTTCCCTGAAGAGTAGCTTCTCGAGAGACTCAGGAGAGATGCCCACTGGAGGAGCTAGCATGAAAAAAAGAGAAAATTGCTGCCTTTAGGGGGTGCTCAGCCCTGAAGTGCTCAGTGCAGCCTCAGCTTAGATTGGCTGTAACATGTCAGAATGTGATGAGGCTGATATTTGGAGTTTGCTACTCAACATGGTCCCTGCAAAATGCCATTTCCAGCACCTAATACCTGTCTGGGGAGAGATCAGAACATTTAGTTTTAATCTTAAAGGTCATGCAGGAATTCATCCTAATAATAGAGCCCAAAGCCAGGCAGGGAGGCCAGAAAATCTCACCAGCAGGGGCTCCTTTTGCAGACTGAGCCACTGCAAGAGGAAGAGCCCACATGCAGAGAACTGATAAAAACCAACTGTCCTTCACGGTGACCCCGAGAAGCCAAGTTCTGCTCCAGGACTTCTCTTCTGCAAAACCAGGACCCTAGGCATGGATGCTTGCATTCAGGCATTTATTGAACAAAAATTTATCTATGTGCCACGTCCTGGGCTAGACCCTAGAGATAAGAGGTGAAAAGATATGCTCTCTGTCCTCAGGTGAGAACAGCCAAGCCAAGAAAGTGCTAAGAAATGATCCCACTGCTGTCGATCTTAGCCATCTGGGTATGGAGGGAAGAGCACCGTGCCTGCCTGAAGAAGTCATGGAAGGCTTCACTCAGGCGGTGGCCTTGAGCGGGGTCCTGGCTGAGGAGTAGGTGTTTTCTGGTAGGCAGGCACGGCAGAGGGGCTCCTGGAAGACAGAAGGGCATGGGCGCACAAGAGACCTGGCCTGGCAGGGGTTGTGATGGAAGTAATGGGGGTGGAGGACTTGAGGCTGAGTCTGGAGCCAGAGAGACTGCGATGAATAGAGGTTATGAGGACCAAACTGGAGAGGCGAGGAGAGACTGTGCCAAAAGTTGGGGTCCTCATCTGTGGACAGCAGTGACCCCTAAGAAGGGTTGTACCAGTCAGAGTTCAACCAGAGAAGCAGACCCACTAGGAGATACATATTAAGAGATTTGTTGGAAGGCATTGGCTTAGGCGATGGTGGGGTTGGTGAGGCAGGTCTGGAACGCACAGGGCAGGCTGGAATTCTTGGTCAGGCAGGGGTGAAGCTGCTGCCTCGGGTGGAGTTTCTTCTTTATCAAGGAAGCCTCAGCTCTGCTCCCACATCCTTTCAACTGGTTGAACCAGACCCACCCTGATTATCTAGGACAGACTCCTTTTCCTGAAGCCAACCGATTATGGGTTTTAATCACATCTACAAAATACCTTCCTGGCAACGCCTAGATGAGTGCTTGGTTGAATAACTGGAGACTATAACCTAGCCAAGTTGACATTGAAAACTGACCATCAGAGAGGGAGTCTGGGGAGGTATGGGCTCTCTGCAGACCCTCCTCCTCTCTCCCTGCATTAAGGTGTGGCACCATAAGCAGCACCCAAAGTCACTCAAGGGCCGGGCATGGCAGCTCACACCTGTAATCCCAGCACTTTGGGAGGCTGAGGCGGGCAGATCACTTGAGGTGAGGAGTTTGAGACCAGCCTGGTCAACATGGTAAAACCCCGTCTCTACAAAAAATACAAAAATTAGCCAAGCGTGGTGGCACATGCCTCTAGTCTCTGGTACTTGGGAGGCTGAGGTGGGAGGATCACTTGAGCCCGGGAGGTCGAGGCTGCAATGAGCCAACACCATGCCACTGCACTCCGGCCTGGGCAACAGAGCAAGACTTTGTCTCAAAAAAAAGTCATTCAAGTGACTACTCCAGACCAGAGAAAGCTGCAAATTAACAAAGGGTGATTCTGGGACAGGCGGAAATACATGTGGGCACTGGGCTGGAGTGATATCACCATGTCTGAGAATAGCCTCTTCTCAGCAGCCCCGAATCGGAAATACATAGTTCCAGAAGTCAAATACATCTTGATTTTGATCTCGGCTAGACTGCTTACTTTTTTTTTTTTTTTTTTAAGCTGTAAAATGAGATAATGCCTCGGGGGTACTTTGAGAGATTAAGATGTAAGCACGGGGGTGCATAACGTCAAGCTTCTAGAAGGTGTTTAAGGAGTGGCGTGGACCCTAAGATTCATTTGGCTGCAAGTAACAGGGACCAATGTCAGCCAAGTTAAGTAGAAAAGGGGATTTATTGGAGGAATATAAGCGTGTCTCATGGATTCCAAAAAAAGTTGACAGCCAAGCCTTGGGAAAACTGGGAAGCAAGCAAGGCAGCCCTGTGGACCCCCATGGAAGAACTTTCCCAACCTTCCCTTGGGAACTTTGTCATTGACTGGCTCAGTGTCTCTCAGTTCAGGCTTTTGAGAGAAATAATCTTATTGGATGGTTTGGGTCAGATGTTCTCTTGGGGTCCAATCAGCTATGGCCTAAGAGTGGTGTCATGGAGAACAAATATGGCGCCAAATCTTACCCTGTGGACAGAATGGATACCTCAGGGGAGGCCCGTTCCTCTGGCGCTGTAGAAAATTGCTACACCTCCTCCGCGGGAGCTTCATGTTACTCCCTCTCCCCAGTGACCTTCCTGCTCCGACCCTCACCAACACCTTCTCATCTTTTCCCCACCTGCCCTTTGCAGACTTTACAGTTACCTCTCTATCATTATGGCCCAGGACAAGTTATTTACCCCGTCTAAGCCTCAGTCTCCTCATCTCTAAGATGGAGATGAGAATAATATCTTTCTTAGAGAATTGTTGTGAAGATTAAATAATATACTTCCACCTCTTTGCCCTGATCATTGTTGTTATTTCCTTGTTACTCAAGAAGTAGAGGCAATGTTTCTCACTGCAGAGCTGTGCTTCCTCCTGAAAAATATTAATAACAGCACATGGCACGTGAGGAGGTGGAAGGCATACGCTTCCAAACCAACTGTCTCTGGGTTGAAACCTCAGCCCTGCCACTTAGTGTCTGTGAGACAAGTTAATCAACATCTCTGAACTTGTTTCCTCCCTTGTAAAATGGGAATGTTAATAATGATCTTGCAGAATCGTTGTTAGAATCCAGTGACCTCCTTATGGGTGTGTGCTTAGCAAAATGCCTGGCGTCTACAGTAGGTGCTCAGTAAAAGGGAATTCTTATCATTGTAATTATATTTCATCTTATTAAAGCACTTATTTAGTCAGATAAACTCTTACATAGCATGACTCTCCAACTCCATCTAAAAACAGTCTAAATCTGATGTTACTTTCTTGTCATTTGTATCTTGGGCACTGCAGTACTGGCTACTAATTAACAATTATAGCTCAGGCGCCTGCTCTCCCTGGTAACTCTCTAGTTAATATTTTAAGCCAGGCAATGCTGTCATTGGCTTCAAGGTCAACTGCAGTTTGGGGAGCAGCAGCATGATTTTTGCATATGGCATTGGAGCCATCCGCTCTTCCCCGAGAGTGGAGGTAATTTGGAACCCACACTTCCTCAATCGTACGTCCTTTGTGAGCACATAGAGCTGAAACCTCACACTGGGCCTAACCGGGCATGGTGATTTGGCACCTTGAATGGATTGCAAGAAAATCAAGCTCAAATAAGGAGCCACTATAAGCGCATTTCATTTTCATCTGCCATTTACCTAGAAAGGCCACGGCTCTGCATCTGAATAACCTGATGCCTATCTTTAAAATGCACTCACTTGCTCTCTTTCCCGACTCACTGAATCAGGATAAAGAAAAAAAATACCTTTGTATACAGCAATGCCTGAACAATTTGCACACCCTGTAATTCTCAGATAACCCTAGCACTCTCCCCTCAGCTCCTGCAAGACATTTAATAGAAGGATGTGGTGCTGACATCTCATATTGTAACAATATTGTTACTATGTGGAAATATGCCAGGGTGAATCTTCTAGTAAACAGTGAAGGGCCATTAGAAGAAATGTGGTGAAATGACCCATTTCTGAGCCAACGAACAGCATACATTTAGGGATAAGAGTCAACATTTTGAATCATGTTTTCTGCTTATTAGTTTCCAACTCTTGACACCAAACATCTTTAGACTTAGACTGAATTAGGCACACTTTGCTGATGCCTTTCAACTTGGGATTTCTTGGTTTTCTTCCTGGAGGACAGAATGGGCCAGTGGTTAACTTGGAGCTTTGATTCTGAGTTCAAGTCTGATTTTGGTCATTTACTACCTATGTGACCTTGGATGTATTAATTATGGCCAATACATGCGTTCACGTATGCATTGCATTTCACATGTGCTGAAGAGTGGAAGTAATTTACCTGTATTAGCTCTTTTAATCCTGAGAGGTACGACACTAAGAAGTAGGCGTTTTTCTCGTTACTCCCATGTTACAGTAGAAAACCAAGGCATAGTGAGGTTGGATAACTGGCTCAAAGTCAAGATCTGATCAGTGACCAAGCTAGCATTTGAACCAGGGGTCTTGACTCTGGAATCCCTGCTCTCAGCTAGTGTACTTGGGTTGATCTCTTTAAGCATCATCTTTTCTGTCCATAAAATGACCATGGTACTACTACCTGCTTCTGGGATTCTGGTAAGGATTAAATGTTTGAACAAATGCATGTCAAGTGCATAGTGAATTACCTGGAATATTGGTATGAGCTCAATTAATGTTGGCCATTACAATTAATGTTGGCAGCTACTTTGTCGAGCCTCTGCCTTGTACGACTCCAGGGGCATCACTCACAGAGAGTACAATGTGTCTGGTGCTCCAGGGGGCCTTTCACTGTGAGTTCTGGATGACTGGCGCCCCCTGCAGTTGTGCACAACAGCCCTGTGGACCTGCATCGCTCTGGAAGGAGGGACAGCTGTCTAGGAATCCGCAATAGCCCAGGGAGGTGATGGTGAGGCCTGAACGGGGGTGGAGGCCGTGGGGAGAAAACCTGGGGAACCAGTTCAGTAACAACTTTGTTATCAATGATTCACCATTTTCGAAAGATCAGTCAGACTTAGGACCATGTCAGTGGCCCCAGAAGAAAACCAAGCCAATCAGCGGTGAGAGCCGCTGCACAGGAATGGCTCTGTACAGGAATGGCTGCATAGTTGTGGGGACCCAGCACAAAAGGAAAACATGGGACCCCTTGTTCAAAAATTATGAATTTCAAGACAGCAACAGCAGAGCATTAAAGCACACACAGGGCACTTCTAAGCATGGGGCTCTGTGCACCTGCCTGGGTTGCATGCCAGAAGCCAGCCCTGTCTCAGTGCTACCATCCTACCCCCAGCCCCAAACGCATCAGCCAGGGATAGGCGAGTACTGGCTCTCGGGCCTCCAGCCTGCAAGCTCATTCGCTCATCAAATTTCTCCCTCCAGGAGCACGGCCAAAAGACAAATCTGTGGCAGATGGAAAAAGATGGTTGGGACTCCAATAGGAGTAAGGCAGGGAAGATAAATCTTTAGCTCAAATGAATTGTGATTAACCACAAATACTAAGAGGTGCTTCGGGGAAGCCGGGGTGGGTAAATTGAATTCATGGGGAGGCAGCCTTCAAGAATAGTCTCTGTCCAAGAAGATCGATGCAGCACAAAGGCTTATAAGGTTTTCTTTCTCCTACCTCAGGCTTTTAGAGTGATGAGCCATGAGCTACAGGCACCTGTCTGCATGAATAAAAGATGCATTGAGACCCAGTAGACCCTAAAGCACCAGGCACCAAAGGGCCTCCGTCAAAGCTTACGACCCAGAGGCCTGACCGTGGTGACTCTGCTGCTACCGACACTCATCTTCCAAGCTGGAGATGGCTTTTCTTCTGCAGTTTCATCACCTTTAAGATACTTGTACATGTGGGAGGTCACCACTTGTACACGTGGGAGGTCACTTGTACACGTAGGAGGTCACCTAAGAAGGGAAGTGGTGTGATCTGAGGCATGTGGACAGCCACCTCTGATGTCTGGGACACCCTGAGACACCACCATCAGAATCCCATGGGTTAAGATCTCCTCCAGATCATCAATTTACAAACGCAGTTACCTTTACCTGGGAAGGTTACCTTTAACTTCCCATAATGCCTTCATGAGAACAAGTGAGTAGATAATCTGGCTCTTTTCTAGCAGAGTCCTGAAGGGATGGGACACTGGACGGGTTAGTTTTGATATGCGGATGAGGGTCTTACATGTCGGGAGCATTCGTTCATTCCCTCATTTGATATTCACTGAGCATCTCCCAGGAGGGGGCCTACTCAGGCTGAGGGCTTTGGGGACAGGAGGACGCCAGGAATCTGGTAGACGGGATTGTAGGGAGGGCTTCCCAAGGCAAACCTTGTCTGCCTTACTGCTTAAAACTAGAGCCATCCCAGAGTCAGGGAAGAACACATGTGATTAAGTCACTGTCCAATAAAGTCTGTTTCCACAGACCAAATCCATCCATTCCGGTCAGCTGATGTGCAAGACCCTCCTCACTTTTCCAGACCTGCTTCCCTCTGCTTCCCCACATGCCCCACTGTCCAGGCAAATGGAAACACCTGTGTATGTTCCAGTGGCTGAACCTTTGCTCCTCTGGTGCCTCTCACCTGAACCAGCCTTGGGAAGCATTTCCATCTATCGGGACACCCACCAGTCGGGACCCTTCCAGGTTCATCTCTGATTCTACATTCTCCATGTCTCCTTTCCTGTTTCCTGTGATCAGATGGGACCTGGTCCCCCTTTGGGCCTCCTTAAAACAAAACTTTAGCACCTCCCTCCTGCCTATGGTGTGTTCTGTCCTGTCCTCAAGTCATCTGTCCTCTTATCTGAGTCCCCATTCTTACTCTGAAGGCAAGGACTCTAAGCTCCTCATTACCAAAAAAAAAAAAAAAAAAAAAAAAAAAAAAAAAAAAATCCCTAGAGCCTAGACAGTATCTGGCACACAGTTAATATGTTTGCTGAATTAAAGCTTATGCTCTGGCTACAAATTGCTCCAGGCACGGAGTAGATGACATCTCCTAACCACCATTTGTCAAAGGATTCTTTTCTTTCTTTGTGGAATATGGTCTCCTATAACTGAGTCACCATATCTTGGCATTCCTTGAATTTCTTTTTTTTTCTTTTTTCTTTTTTTTTGAGACAGAGTTTCACTCTTGTTGCCCAGGCTGGAGTGCAATGGCGCAATCTTGACTCACCGCAACCTCCGCCTCCCAGGTTCAAGCAATTCTCCTGCCTCAGCCTCCCAAGTAGCTGGGATTACAAACATGTGCCACATGTCCAGCTAATTTTGTTTTTTTCTTTTTTTTTTAGTAAAGACGGGGTTTCTCCATGTCGGTCAGGCTAGTCTTGAACTCCCGACCTTAAGTGATGCGCTCACCTCGGCCTCCCAAAGTGCTGGGATTGCAGGCGTGAGCCACCATGCCTGGCAGCATTCCTGAATTTCTTGACCCAGGATGGGATATACATGGAATAAAGGGGCTTTTTCCACTTTTCTTATTTTGCAATATAATAATTCATTTACTGGAAAATGTAATAATTCACATACCATAAGATATAATAATCCACATACCATAAAATTCACCATTTTAAGTGTACAATTCAGCGATTTTTAGTATATTAACAGAGTTGTGCCACCATCACCACTATCTAATTACAGAATGTTTACAGCACCCTAAAAAGCAAAGGGGCTTTTTGTTAGCTTTAAGTATGTGGCAGTTCTTTTGTTGGGAAGTCATTCAAGCAATTTTCACAAAGTTGTCCAATCCAAGTCCCGCCAGCCAGGGATTTGGCCTTTCCCACCAGGTCTCCTAGAATTGGAGGAATCCGGTGACTTCTTTTTTTGTTCTGTTGCTGAGGCAGAGTGCAGTGGTGCAATCTTGGCTCACTGCAAATTCTTCCTCCCAGGCTCAAGCGATTCTCTCACCTCAGCCTCCCGAGTAGCTGGAATGATATGCGTGCACCACTATGCCAACTAACTTTTGTATTTTTAATAGAGATGGGGTTTCACCATGCTGCCCAGGCTGATCTCGAACTCCTGAGCTCAAGCGATCCTCCAGCCTTGGCCTCTGAAAGTGCTGGGATTATAGGTGTGAGCCACCGCACCGGCCCCCGCTGGCTTCCAAGGGAGGGCAGGCTGGATTCCATTTGCTGCCATCTCTCTGCCTCCAAGTCTCATCCCACCCTACCTCCACTTCCTTGCTTGCTTACATTGTGCTTAACAGACAACCCTGCCCTCGAAACAGCCTTGAGATGCCTCTAAATCATCAACTCCTGTTCCTCTTTGAACTCTGTCCCTTCACCCTTAATCTGCTGGGACAGCCTTTTTCCTGATGCATTTTATTAAGATTTCATCACCCGGGAGGCAGAGTTTGCAGCCAGGGCATCTTCCCGCCAGCTTGGGGGCCCAGATAAGTGGCTTTGGAGGAGGGCTGAGTCGCCAACACCTGCACACGAGAAACCTCTCCACTTGCCCCTTCTTCTGTCCTGAAATGTCACTGGAGCCTCATCCTGACACAACTCTTTCCAAACTCGCCCACTGGCTTGCTTGTGCCATCATTCCAAACACCTGCTCAGCTCTGCTGGGCCAAGGAAGCAACACGCTGCGCTTGTTAGATTCTGCGTGACTTGCAAGCCCCCAGTCTCTGGTCCTGGTGGAGGAATGTGCCTCTGGTCCCTGGACATGCCTCTGGCCTCCCTGTCACCTCCCTCCACTTGCCCACAAAGTACCCAATGACACTGCAGAGAAGATGCCCAAGAGTCCACTGAGGACGGCGAGAGTGAGCTTAGTCCCCAGGGGAATGCAGAAACTGGAGATGATGATGGAGCTGGGCGAGCTTCCGGAACATCCTGTTGCAGAGAGCAGCTCCCGGCCTCCCTGGCACGCTTGCCTGAGGTGCTAGGGCAGCAGGCACGAGCCACCAGCCTTTGATCCCTGCGCACACACAGCTTTGCTTTCAGCAGCGCGTTTGATCCCATGGCAGCGGCTGCGGGATGACTGTTGTTTCTGTGTGATCTGCCAGCAGTGGGGATGGGACTTGGCTTTCTGGAGGAGCAGCCACATTAGCCGGGGTGACCTCGGTCAATGCTGCGGGGACTTCAGTTGGCACCACTGTGACTGTGCTTTCCAAATGCTTTTCATGTTCCCCCTGCTTCTCATCTATACCCTTCCTTACCCCACCCACCCCAAGCACAGGGCTGCCTGCTGATGTCAGATGGAAGACTTGAATCAGAATTGCCACCTGGTAGAAAAGTAGACCATCCGAAAGGTGGCCATTTATTCATTCATTCAGTTGGTGGTTATTTACTGAGCATCTACTGTTTGCCAGATGCTGTGCTGGGTGTTAAGGAGACAAAATGTACAAGCTAGCATCCCTGCCCCCAGTCACCTGTGTGCAGGGAGGCAGATAAGAATATCAGCTTGAGAGCTGGAAGGTGCAAAAAACCCAAATGTCCAACAACAGATGTATGGCTAAACAAGGTGTGGTCAATCCATGCAGTGGATTATTTTTCAGCCATACAAGAATGAAGTACTTACCAAACGTGGTGGCTTATGCTTGTAATCCCAGTGGCAGTACAAGGTTGGAAGAAGTCTACAGCCATCTCCCAGGTACATTAGAAGCCCAGAGGGTCCCTTACCTCAACCTGGAGGTTTAGTGGCTTCCAAAAGGAGAGGAATCTTGACTAGCATCATGAGGAAACAATCGGTGCAGGAAATGGGAGAGGGTGTGCCAAGCAGAGGGAACAGCACAAGGCACAGAGACAAACGCAAAGGCACAGAGGAGGAAAGCAGCGTGCATTTAAGGTCCAGGACATGGCTGGGCGCAATGGCTCATGCCTGTAATCCCAGCACTTTGGGAGGCCGAGGTAGGCAGATCACGAGGTCAGGAGATCGAGACTATCCTGGCCGACATGGTGAAACCCTGTCTCTACTAAAAATGCAAAAATTAGCTGGGCGTGGTGGCATGTGCCTATAGTCCCAGCTACTTGGGAGGCCGAGGCAGGAGAATAGCTTGAACCCAGGAGGTGGAGGTTGCGGTGAGCCAAGATCGTGCCATTGCACTCCAGCCTGGCAACAGAGTGAGACTCTGTCTCAAAAAAAAAAAAAAAAACATTCAGGACACAGTTGGCGGGACTGCATTTGGGAAAGCAGCCGGAGGAGATGAGGGTCAGCCCAGGCAGGTGTGTGTGTGGCATGTTAAGGCGGTGGAGGCCACTGATGGCTTTCAGCAGGATAGGAATGGACCCCCGACTTCGGTGGCATGGAGGAGGCAAGGATGGAGGCAGAGACCAGTTAGGAGGCAACTGCAGTGGCCTGGGCAGGAAATGATGGCAGAGCAAATCAGCACCAGGCGATGGCATCTCCGGGGGTAGCCTGGCTTTGCTAGACCAAGGAAAGAGAGGATTGAGAGAGGAGCCCCAAGGACCCACTGCATTTTCCCAGGCTCCTTTAAGATGTTTTTCCACATGCACGGCACGTCCTTGTGCTTCGTGGCTGACTTCTGCAGCGCCTACTCCATGCAGCTTAGAAGTTAGGGGCTGAGAATCTGGAGGCAGACCAGCTGGGTTCAAACCCCAACTCTACTAGCTATTAGCTATATGGCCCCAAACCAATTCATTCACCTCTCTCCCTGTATCTGTTTACCTAGCTATAAAATGGGAATGGGCATAACAAGAGTACCTGGTTATAGGGTTATTGTGAGGATTAAGTGAGTGTGTCTGTGCCTAGAATGGTGGGTGGCACACAGTATGTGCTCCATAAATGTTTGCTTTCATTCTTCCTGCTCAGAGCTTTCCTTACGCTCTGTGACTTGAGACAGATCAGAACAGGGCCTAGTTTGTATTTGGAAGCCAGTCTTTCATTCTTCCTGCTCAGAGCTTTCCTTACGCTCTGTGACTTGAGACAGATCAGAACAGGGCCTAGTTTGTATTTGGAAGCCAGTGAGACCTGAGATATAAATCACACTTGTGTGCCTTCCGGGTGGCTCCTCCTCTGGCAAACAAGACCACCCTCCCCAGGCCGTGCCCTCGCCTGTTAGGGGCCCCATGAAACCACACAGCCCGCAGCCTCCACCTGAGGAAATTAAAAACCAGATTGGTTATTTCAGGGTAATCAAAAGTAACACCACAGGTCCTGACCTTTTGTTCACGAGCAGTTACATAAGCAGCGTTTGCTAAAATCTCACCTTGAGCCTCAGCTCTCCTCTCCTGTGCTCCTCAGGATGCAACCTGGTTTGGAGGTGGCATCCTGGGCCCACTCTCCACCGGTTCTTCTAGGGTGCCCTCTTGTAAGTGTAGCTGTAAAGGGTCAGCAAGAGGGCACTCATTTCATGGAAAGCGCAGTGGGGATTGCTGACTCTCATCTAAACCCGACAGAGTTAGGACGCAAAAGAGATGTGGAAATCCCTAAA
This sequence comes from Homo sapiens, assembly GCF_000001405.40. Taxonomy (NCBI): domain Eukaryota; kingdom Metazoa; phylum Chordata; class Mammalia; order Primates; family Hominidae; genus Homo; species Homo sapiens. The sequence goes on from NC_000001.11 coordinate 14,794,291, forward strand.
AATTCCTGTGGCATCCAGAATGAAACCTCAGCAACCATCCCTGGTAGAGTGTCTACTACCAGAACCATTGGCCATCATCCACAAACTGTCAACAGGCAACAGATCTCTGGATTTGGAGCACTGCCATTCCAAGGCTGTGGGCCTTTATCTTCCTGAACCTCAGTTGCCTCCCCTACTAAATGGGTGTAGCCAGTGGTGTGCTGGTAAGTGTTGAACAACCAGTTCTCACTGCGGGGCCAGGGTAGGAGGCAGCGGGGAGGCTGGTGTGTGGTGTTTGCCAATTTCCTTGATGTAAATACTTAAGCTACTTACTTGATGTCCCTGATGGCAGAGTCATGGGAGTCGGCTCTCAGGAGCCAGTGAAGTCAGCTCATGCACACCACTGGGTATCAGTAAGTACTTCACAGGCTGTATGGGTGTAATGGTTAATACTGAGTGTCAACTTGATTTGATTGAAGGATGCAAAGTATTGTTTCTGGGTGTGTCTGTGAGGCTGTTGCCAAAGGAGATTAACATTTGAGTCAGTGGACTGGGCAAGGCAGACCCACCCTCAATCTGTGTGGGCACCATCTAATCAGCTGCCAGCACGGCTAGGATAAAAGCAGGCAGAGGAACATGGAAGGACTAGACTGGCTGAGTCTTCCAGCCTCCATCTTTCTCCCGTGCTGGATGCTTCCTGTCCTCAAACATCAGACTCCAAGTTCTTCAGCTTTTGGACTCTTGAACTTACACTAGTGGTTTGCCAGAGGCTCTCGGGCCTTTGGCTGGAGACTGAAGGCTGCACTGTCAGCCTCCTCCTTTTGAGGTTTTGGGACTTGGACTGGCTTTCTTGCTCCTCCCTCTTCAGCTTGCTGATGGCCTTTTGTGGGGACTTTGTCTTGTGATCACGTAAGTCCGTTCTCCTAATAAGTTCCCCTTCATGTATTCATCTATCCTATTACTTCTGTCCCTTTAGGACCCTGACTAATACAATGGGTGAAATGAGAAGCAGTCCGTGAAAGCTTGTGTTAACCCTGTAAGGGGTGTGCAGATGGACTCCACAGAGAGCACAACACGGGGTCTTAGGGAGGTCTGGAAATGAGCATACGCCTAGATGTAATCTCTTCTGTGTCAGGCACATAGTAGGTACTTGTCGATATGGATGGTAGCATGGTACTTGTAGGTAGGTACTATGTACTGTGGAGATGGATTTAAGAGGCTTTTTATCTTTGATGGATTCACAGATTTGCTCCCCTCCTTGCAGTCGTTTATTTTCAAATTCAGGCTTCATGGCGTCCTCCAAATGCATGCTCTTTCCCATCCATCAGAACCTGCAAAAGTAACCTAAATCTGCCCAACCTCGCTCCCACCTACTGCCCTGTGGGATCTGGCTCTCACCTCCTCTCCATTCTCATCTGTCCCTGCATGAGCTGGTGCTCATTCCACACCAGCCCCTCTGGCCTCATTCCACACCAGCCCCTCTGACCTCCTTGCTTTTCTTGTGGCATGACACACATTGCCTCCCTCAGGGCCTTTGCACATGCTGTTGCCTTGGCTGGGATGCTGTTTCCCTCATTTCCCCATCACTCAGGACTCTGCACAAAGGTCACCTTTCAGAAAGCCTTGTCTAACACAGGAAACCCTCACCGGCACCCATTCTTCCTCCCCGGGGCCTGCTGTGTGTTTCTTTCTGCCTTCTATACTGTACATTTGCTGTGTGTTTCTTTATGGCCTATCCTCCCCACCGCCTCCACTAGTGGTGAACTCCTCATGGGAGGAATCTATCCTCTGCCTGAGGTAGGCCCCACTTCGCCTCTCTTCCTTCTTGGACTTGGCCCCTCCAGTCGGACATGCTAGGTAAGCCACTTTCTGGCCTCCGTTCTGGTCCTGGTTCTTCTCTCCCTCAGAGATGTGTAATCCCACAGATAAGCCTGGGTCTCACTCCTGCAAATAAGCAGCACATGCCTCAATCCAGGGCTGGGCATGGTCCTCTCAGGCACCCTCTCCCCACCCACACCCGGGCTTTCCCAGCCAAAGCTCAGGCCACCTCCGTTCTCCAAACTCAAGGCCCATGTCTTAGTGAAGCCACGTGTCATGTCCCCATCCTGCATTCAGACCAGCCTGTGACAACCACATCTCCACCACCCCGCCTTCACATGAGCTCCATGGCTCCACAGACCTTGTCCTGCCCAGCTCTGATTCCCAGTCTCTAGAACAAAGCCTGGCACATGGTAGGTGTGCGCTACAGACTAGGGAAACTGACAATTCTTCAGACAGTCTGGAATCGCTGGAGAGCTCCAGGATGCGTTTCTGTTACAAAAAGGGTATAGACGTGCATGGTTCGGCTCAGCTCTATGTATCGCCGTATTTTGGAAGATCACTGTCTCTTCATTTGTAAGCATGGCACCAGGGAAGACTCTCCATTGGGTGTTTCCTCAAAGTACTGCCTTTGGCATAACACGAGAGTCCTCGCCCCCATCACCTGAAGGAGTGGGAAAGGAAGGGGTGAGTTTAAGAAAGACACAAACTTGACTGAAAGGAGAAAGAGTCTCGAACAGATGGCACAACCTGCCCGTTTCTCCACAGCATGACTGTGACAAAGAGAAGGAAGACCTGAGTCCACTCAGTGGTGAGGGCAGCTCCCAGGTACCCCATGTAAGGAAAATGGTGAAGACGGCCTGATGGACTTGGAAGCAGTGGGTTAAGCTATGTTGATGTATCATTTGGTGGCCACTTAGGTAACACACATGGAGGTAGAAAGGGCAGAAAGGTGGTGCTGGGTTTTTTTGTTTTTTGGTTTTTGTTTTTCAGATGGAGTTTTGCTCTCGTTGCCCAGGTTGGAGTGCAGTGGCATGATCTCGGCTCACTGCAGCCTCCGCCTCCTGGGTTCAAGTGATTCTCCTGCCTCAGCCTCCCAAGTAGCTGGGCTTACAGGCGTGCACCACCACCCCTGGCTAATTTTTGTATTTTTAGTAGAGACGGGGTTTCACCATGTTGGCCAGGCTGGTCTTGAACTCCTGACCTCAGGTGATCCGCCTGCCTCTGCCTCCCAAAGTGCTGGGATTACAGGCATGAGCCACCATCCCTGGCCTATGGTGCTGTTTTTAATTTAACTATGTTTTGTCCAAGAAGCGCTAACTGGAGACTCTAGCAGTGGGAACCTGGAAGCCGTTCCAGGAGATGAGAGTCTATGAAGAGGGATCGATGTGAGGGGATTAGAAAGTGTGTTGGAACCAAGAATGTTAAAAGGCCAAGTGAAGAGTTAAAGAGTTAAAAGGCGGAATGCAGAGTTAACAATACATCGAATCAAGAAAAATGAGGGCAATCTCATTCATTTTTATCACTGATCTCACTAAGCTTTTTTATTCTATTCTGCAAATAGAGGTTCTATAGCTTCAAGACAGAGTGTCGGCCCTGGAGTCAGGAAGATCCAGGTTCAAATTTTAGCTCCACCTTGGACTAGTTACGGGGCCCCAGGCAAATTACCTCTCCAAGCCTCAGTTTCCTCATCTGCAAAATGGTCATCACAGCATGTCTCTTTCATTGAGTAGCCGTGAGGATTCAATGAAATAGTCCTTGTGGAGTGCTTAGTGCAACTCCTAACTCAACACTTAAAAGATGCCAGCTCTCATTTATTCATCAAAAACACGATGCCCACGATGTGCCAAGGAACCCTTCTTGGTGCTTGACAGGCACTGATTCAGTTGCTCTTTGTACACTGGGAAGAAGGGACTCCTATCTCCCCCACTTTACAGATGAGGAAACTGAGGCACAGAGAGGTTAAGAAAACTGTCTGAGTCATGCAGCTTGTGAGTGCCAGAGGCAAGTTTCAAACTCACGCATGACACCTCTGGGCTCCCTGTTGCTGCCGCTTACACAGTTTTGGGTCACCTGCTCCATGCTGAGCCTGGCACTGGAGCATCAATGCAAACGGGAAAGGAGTAAAACCACGGTGCTATCTTTACGTTGCTTGCCCTCTTAGTGGAGGGCTCACTCTCTCCTGGAGCCCACACTTACAAAGTAGAACATAATTAAGTAGGGCAGCATCCAAGCAACTTGAAAATGTCAGTCAGTAAACATCTCTTCTCCACAAAGAAATCAATAGCCCTCGGAGGTGATCTTTGCTTTCTTTTTTCTGTTTCTTTCCTTTTTTTTTTTTTTTTTTTTTTTTTTTTTGAGACAGAGTCTTGCTCTGTCACCCAGTCTAGAGTGCAGTGGCCCTATCTCGGCTCACTGCAAGCTCCACTTTCCACTTCCCAGGTTCACGCCATTCTCCTGCCTCAGCCTCCAGATTAGCTGGGACTACAGGCGCCCGCCACCACACCCGGCTAATTTTTTGTATTTTTAATAGAGATGGGGTTTCACCATGTTAGCCAAAATGGTCTCGATCTCCCGACCTCATGATCCTCCCGCCTCAGCCTCCCAGAGTGCTGGGATTACAGGCGTGAGCCACCACGCCCGGCCCACTTTCTTTTTTCTTTTCTTTTCTTTTTCTTTTTTATTTTATTTGAGACAGGGTCTGGCTCTGTCACCCAGGCTGGAGTGCAGAGGCATGATCTCGGCTCACTGCAGCCTCTGCCTCCCGGGCTCAAGCCATCCTCCCACCTCAGCCTCCCAAGTAGCTGGGACTACAGGCAAGTGCCACCACGCCCAGCCAATTATTTGTTTGTTTGTTTGTTTGTTTTTTCATAGAAATGGGGTTTTGCCAGGTTGCCCAGGCTGGTCTCAAACTCCTGAGCTCAAGTGATCTGCCTGCCTCAGCCTCCCAAAGTGCTGGGATTACAGGCATGATGAGCCACTGTGCCTGGACTACTTTCTCTCTGAGGGTGAGATGAACAGAGACCCAGTAAGACATGTGTTCGTTATTTTAAACTGCTGACATTTGTGGCATTGTTTGTTACTGCGGTATAACCTATCCTACCCTGTTTAAGGCCCCCTCTTAATACTACTTTACATCTCATTTGTACAGGATGTGTTCAGAATGGATGCGCAATGAATCCTTCTTAAGTTGAGGTAAACTCCATCAACTGAATTGCTTCAGGGCTGCAGAAGCTGAAATGGGTATTTTCATCTCTTCATCCAGAAAGGCTTCATTTGGGACACCTGTGGGAATGCCTGTTCCGCTTTCACGTTAGCCAATCTTTAAAGCTTTCATTAGCTATGATAAATTATTCAAAAAGGAGGAACACTTGAAACCTCTTTAGAATATTGACGTGGACCGACAGTAAATGAATGGAAAAGTACCTCCAGGTTCGAGGCTAACTTTCATTTAATTTTTTAGAGGAACCAGTCGAGTTGTTAAAATGATCAGAAACGGGCCTGGCCAGAGCCAGCTCTTCAAAGAGGGGATGTTATTACCTCCTTGACCATTCACTTAATCAGATCTGGTCGATGTCAAGAAAACAAAATTCCTCGTGCGATGGTGGGCTCAGGATATAATTAACAAGCGGATTTTACTTTTACCCAGAAACCCCTTAAGAACTTTTTTTTTGGAAAAGTAGGCTTCAACGAAATAAAAAAATTTAATGTACAATTTAGTTTCATTTCTGAAATCTTACACGATATTTTATAGGAAGCCTTGGAGACCCCCATCAGAATTCCTCTCCTTGAGTTCATTTTTATATCTTCATGTTTTTCTAATGAAACGGTATTAGATAATAGATGTCCCCGAAGGCCATATCAAAGTTATAAGTATCTGACATGTTTCTTCTCCTGAATTTTGGAGATGTTGTCAGACTATCTGCATATCTAGGGAAGTATGAGTGTCGTGGGGACTCAAGGCTTGGATGTATTGGGAATGGGATGGCAGGTCCATGATGAGCCAGATGAGGAGACAGCAGAGATTTACGGGAGGCAGAATCCTAACCCAAAAGTACCCCAAGGCTGACCCAGCATGGCAGATCTCCAGGTTTTTGTGATCCCAAAACCAAGAACCACATATGACTCAGCAACTCCATTCCTAGGTATACATCCACGAGAACTGAAAACGTGTGTCCACACAAACACTCCTATGAGCGTTCACAGCAGCATTATTCATGAGAGCTGAAAGGTGCAAATAACCCAAATGTCCAACAAAAGGTGAATGAATAAACAAGATGTGGTCAATCCATGCAATCAAATATTTTTAAGCCATAAGAGAATGAAGTAATTGCCAGACACGGTGGCTCGTGCCTGTAATCCCAGCACTTTGGGAGGCCGAGGCAAAAGGATCACTTGAGCCTAGGAGTTCAAGACTAGCCTAGGCAACATAGTGAGACCCCATCTCTACTACAAAACATTAAAAAATTAGCTTGGTGTGGTGGCACATGCCTGTGGTCCCAGCTACTCTGGAGGCTAAGGTGGGAGGATCGCTTGAGCCTGGGAGATGGAGGCTGCAGCGAGCCATGATTGCAACACCACACTCCAGCCTGCACAACAGAGTGAGGCCCTGTCTCAAAAAAGAGAATGAAGCACATGCTACAACATGCATGTCCCTTGAAAATGTGATGCTATGTGAAGCCAGTCACAAAAGACTACACGTTGTATGATTCCATTCATAGGAAATGTCCAGATTAGGGAAGTCTGTACATTAGGAAGACAGAAAGTAGCTTCGTAGTTGCCGGGGACTGTGGGAGGGGAAGTGGGGAGTGACTGCTCGTGGGTAGGGGTTTCTTTTGGGGCTGATAAAAATGTTCTGGAATTAGGTTACGGTGATAGTTGCACAACCTCATGAATATGCTAAAAAACACTGAATTGTACACTTTAAAAGGGTGAATTTTATGATCGATGAACTTTATCTCAAAAAAAAAAAAAAGAAATACGTGGGAGAAAAAGAGTCACGGGGCGCAGAGGGTGGTGATAAGAGGAGCCGTTCTAATCGTCGCGGCAAAGCAGAGGCAGGCAGTGAGTGGGGGGCTTTCCGGCAGCTGCCCTCTCGAGCCAGTCGGAGCCGTCTCAGGGTGTTTCAGCATCATCGTGGCTTTCTCTCTCCGTCACCGCTCAGCAAGCTCCTCGGGGAAATGTGCGTCTCTCCTGAGTCCAGGGAGTCAAAACCAGGAGAAAGTCTGTGCCGTTATGACTGGCTGACTGGCGCTCACTGTCGGTTTCGTGACGAGGGGTGGCACGCACAGGTGAAGCCAGGTGTGAGGGGTCAGGCAGGTGACGACACATTCCGCAGTCCAGAGAGTGGCTGGGTCCCTTCTCCGCAGGCTCTTGGGGCTCTCCTAGGACTGAGAGGGTGATTTAGGATGGCCATCCTCCATAAAACCTACACCTCCCCGGGAAGGAGCAGAGGCCTCCCCAGATAGTGGCCGTTTACCATGCCCTGGGCTTCCTCAGGAGGGCTATGACGGCCTGGCCTGCTCCGACACAGACTGCTGATGAGTTTATGTACTTGGGCTGCAAGGTCTCTCCTAAAGTTTTTTTTGTTTTTTTTGTTTTTTTGTTTTTTTTTTGAGTGGAGTCTCGCTTTGTTGCCCAGGCTGGAGTGCAGTGGCTTGATCTCGGCTCACTGCAAGCTCTGCCTCCCGGGTTCATGCCATTCTCCTTCCTCAGCTTCCTGAGTAGCTGGGACTACAGGCACCCGCCATCACGCCCAGCTAATTTTTTTGTATTTTTAGTACAGACGGGGTTTCACCATGTTAGCCAGTATGGTGTCTATCTCCTGACCTCGTAATCCGCCCGCCTTGGCCTTCCAAAGTGCTGGGATTACACGCGTCGGCCACCGTGCCTGGCCTCTCTCCTAAACTTTTTCTCTGCGCTGAAGAGAGCTGTCCTCTGAGCCCTTCCTCTGTCATGCCCTGCTTTTTAGAATGATCTCGTCCAGAAAGCTTTCGTCGACTCTCTCCATGTGGTAGTTTTCAAAATTGGGACAATGGCCGGGCATGGTGGCTCACACCTGTAATCCCAGCACTTTGGGAGGCCAAGGCTGGTGGATCACTTGAGGCCAGGAGTTTGAGACCACCATGGCCAACATGACAAAACCGTCTCTACTCAAAATACAAAAATTAGCCAGGTGTGGTGGTTTGTGCCTGTAGTCCCAGCTATTAGGGAGGATGAGGCAAGAGAACTGCTTGAACCCGGGAAGCGGAGGTCGCAGTGAGCTGAGATTGTGCCACTGTACTCTAGCCTGGGTGACAGAGCAAAACTCTTGTCTCAAAAAAAAAAAAAAAAAAATTGGGACAATTTTGCCACCCAGGGGACACTGGGCAATACCTGGAGATGTGTCTGGTTGGCACAACTGGTATGGGGGGGTTACTAGTGAGATCTGGTCAGTGGAGACCTGGAATGCTGCTCACTGTCCTACTATATGCACGGAACAGCCCCCATAACAGAGAAGTGTCTGGTCCCAGAGCGCAGCCGTCTCGGGGCTGGGAAACCTGCTCCTGTGCTTCCACGATCAGGGGGTTGCTTCCCGGCACCGCTGTTCACAGACACTGTTCCAACACCATGAGTTTACACTGGAGACTTCTTCGTAGACACGGACCCTGTTGGGCCAGCTGGCCTCTTTTAAGGGTTAAATGTGATGATTAACAGGACAAGGAGCCTGTCACATCATGAGCACTCGGTGATGGAGCCTGTTATTCTTATCACTGTTGTCTTGGGAGGGCACTCAGTGGAACGAGAAGGGAACGAGGAGTGAGCAGCATTGGCTTGAATGCTGGCCCTGTCCCCAACCCACAGAGGGGCTGAGGAAAGCCACCTACCTCTCCGAGCCTGATTCCTTCATCGCAAACATGGAAATATTGCTTTCTGACCCACCCTCCTCCCAGTGTGTTCATGAAGACAGAGTTACATTATGTATGCAAATGTGATTTAAAAGAGAAGTGAGAGATACATGTTATTGTGCCTAATACTACATCATGGCTACCGTTTACTGAGGGCTCCTTATAAGACAAACGCTGTGCTAAAGCCTCCCTTCATCTGCGCAGTGTCTGCTGAGGAAAGTATTGGTGTCCCCATTTTACAGAGGAGGAAACTGAGGCTTAGAGAAGTGAAGCAAGTCATCCTCAGGTACCCAGGTGGGGATTAGCGGAGGGGGATTCAGCCCCGGATGTAGCTGACCTGTTTCTTCACTGCTGTCTCCACGATTGGTGAGTGATCAGTGCCAGACCCGACTGTCCCTCCTGTCCCTGGTGCATGAGTTGGCCCTGATGAAAGTTCAGGCATCGAGGTCCCTGGAAAAGGACCAGGGAGTGAGATGCTGAAGCTGCCATCCTCCTTCTGACCCTGATGGCAGGAATGTCTAGCTGGGCGGGAGAGGGCCCCATGCCAATGTTGCCTCCCACCTGGAGCGAGTGCTCAGCCCCGCCCTGAGTGCCCGTGGCTCTGGCTGTCCTCCATGAATGATGCCCCAGCTCCGTCTCTCCAACAGAAATTAGGCAGAGCCACAAGTGGGCCCCCAAAATCCCTCTTCCTCTGGGGAGTCACTCCAGTGCTTTACGACGGCACCTCCCGAGCCCTGCTCTCACGGCCTGGAGAGGCGATGCCAAGGCTTTCCTTCACCCTCCCCTTCTCCACGGAGGGCTGGCACTCCACATTGGCGCTCTGGAGCCACTGGATGTGGTCAGCAGGCAGGAGCCTTGGTGGCCTTCCTTCCAATCCATGCCTTCCTCTTCCATGTGCTAGGACTTAAGGAGCCCCAAGGCAGATCCTGTCCTCCAGTGAACATGGTGCATTTCATCAGAGCCCGCTCACACCCCAGCACCCAGAAAGATAAACACTGTCCCCTAGTCCTCACCCAGTCCCTGTCCTTTTCCCTCTTCTCAGCCTCTTGCCTGATCTTGTGTCCCATTCCAATGCCTGCCAGCTCCTGGCCTAGCAAGCTTTGCCCCCAGGTCTAGCTCCAGGGCTCACAAATGGTTCTGTTGGACCCCTGGTGTCATCTTTGGACATGGTCTGTGCTGTCCCCCTCCACACTTGGCTCCTGGCAATTCTGTTGGGCAGGGGTCTTTATTGCAAGGAAGAGAGGCCAGCCCTGGAAACAAACGTAAGCAAAGTGGGAAATTAATTCAGAGGATCTGGCAGAGCTCCCCAGTCCAAAGGAAAGCTGATGAGCAAGGCTTGGAAGGCTCAGGTCTTGGGCAGCCAGGATGCCAGGAAGCAGGGACCCCATGGATGGGCTGGGTGGGGCTTACAAGCCTCTGGCTTGTAAGTCCTTGTGTCTCCCCACTCAAAACTCCCATGCCAGGAACAGAGGGTCTGTTGGGCTAACTCGGGCCCAGTGGGGTCAGCCAGCCTCAACCATATGAGTTGAGAGTACAGGGGAGATCTCCCACAAAACCCGGGTGCTACTACCGGAATAGGGAGATGGAGGCAAAATAGCAGATGTCAACACATCACCCCTGTTTACCAAGCCCTGACCCCCGATGTACCCAATCCTCAGCTTTGCAATGGAAAAAGAGGCCTCCCCACGTCCAGTCTTTTTAGGAGAGACACATCAGGCTCTTTGGTTCAACTTCTGAAAATGCACAGATACAGGTAAGGAGTCAACACCACAGAGACTCTGGCAGGATGCTAAGTTCTGAGTGGCAGATCAAGACGAGCTGTGGTCATAGCCAGGCTAGGAATGGTGCCTCAGCTCCACGGCTCCCTCTGGGGACCCCTGGAGGAACTCCCCAGAGGGACAGCTAGGCGTAATTGGCACCACATGGGTGGAGGTCTTGGTGACCAGCTTGGCATGCCCGTGGTCTGCCATGTTCATTTTGTTGACATTTAATTATTTTAATTATTTCCTTTTCATGTTTGATGTGGGGCAAGCCACTTGCTCAAACTCCCTGGACCTCAGAGTCCTCCTCTGTAACATGGGGAGAAAACCGTACCTGTTGTGCAAAGTGACTGCAAAGGTTGAAGAGCGTACTAGTCGGGGTATAGGTGAAGGTGCTGGAACAGAAGTCCTGGAAGGCAGTAAACAAGCTACAAGGGTGTTTTTCTCTTCTGTGAGAGTCCAGAGGAGGTGGTCCAGGGTAGCTCTGCCCCATGAGGTTGTCCAGAGACCCAGATTCCTTCTGCTTTGTTGCTGTGCCTCACGCTGGGGTGTTGCTTCAGGGCCGAAGCTGACTCTCCATTCCCTTTGCAGCCCACAGCAGGGGAGAGGGGAGGTAGAGGCAGTTTCTTTAAATGATGTGATCTGTAAGTTTACCCAGCTCCACCAGTCGTTTTCCATTGGCCAGAACGTGGCTGCACTTAGCTACAAAGGAAGCTGGAAAAATGGAATATCTGGGTTACTAGGCCGGGTGCGGTGTCTCACACCTATATTCCCAGCACTTTGGGAGGCCAAGGCGGGCAGATAACCTGAGGTCAGGAGTTCGAGACCAGCCTGACCAACATGGTAAAACCCGTCTCTACTAAAAATACAAAAATTAGCCCAGCATGGTGGCTCATGACTGTAATCCCAGCTACTCGGGAGGCTGAGAAAGGAGGAGAATCACTTGAACCTGGGAGGTGGAGGTTGCAGTGAGCAGAGATCGCGCCAATGCACTCCAGCCTGGGAGACAGAGCAACACCCCATCTCAAAATAATAATAATAATAATAATAATAATAATAATAATAATAATAAATTAAAATCTGGCTAGATAGGTGGGAGCTGGATCTGGGGGGAAAGGAGGTGGAGAGAATATTCCATAACTGCACTTGAAGGGGGTGTACATGCTGGGAGGCGATTGCAGTGTTTGCCACTTGCAAGATAATACAATTAAAGAACAACTAGCCTTAATGTGCAGTAAGGGCTCAGTGGATGGTAAAGGTTGCTTTTAGAATTCTTCCTCTTAGGAGGAACAGGCAAAGCATCTCTTGTTTCAGTGTTCCTGGAGGCCAGACTATAACATAAATGTGAGGGCATGGCCTTTGATGGCTTTTCCACCAGGGCCCTGGGACCACTGGAGGAACTCCCCAGGGTTCCTCTGGCCTTTAGGGAAAAGCCTGAAGCTCCTCAAGGGTGTGGCCAATCTCCCCCAGGTACTCAGACACCTCTGTTCCCTTTGTCTCAGCATCTGATGCCAGCTCGTTAATGGTTCCATCACCCCACAGGGGCACCTAGACATGATTGACACTCCCTGGGAGGGGGTTTTGGCTAGCAGCTTGGCATGTCAGTCCATGGCCTGCCGTGTTCATTTTTTTGACATTCAATTATATTTCTTATTTTATCATTTGGCAGACCAGCTTCCTGGCAAGATGCTGAATTATGCTTGAAGCCAATCATCCCCTGCAGACACCTTCTCATTTGGGCTTTCTCAGCCGGATGGCTCTCAGAGAACACCAATGAGGGGTTGATTGGCAGGAGAGATCCTGGGAGTCCAAGGGAATATGCAGACAGGCACTGTCTTCCATTTTCTTCATGTTGTCTGCCCCCATTCAGAAACACACCAGGCTTCTTGACTGTGCTATTATTAAGGAATTTGGGTACATTTAATTATTCATTGATCTGTGCAGAATCTAACACACTCCCAACCTAACCACTACCATCCCTGTCTAATCTTGAGCTACTGTCAGGGAGTAGCTTGAGAGGGGCTTATTGGCACCCTCTGCTCCAAGGTTTGGAGCCACTGGACTGAGATGTGGCAGAACCGAGTTTGAATCCAGATAGTCTGGGTAACATTTGTACCCACTCTGCAGGAGCATGTGGAATATATAAACTCATCAACAATCCCACTCTTGTTCTCACATGCCCACCTATCTTGCAGAGACCAGAAAGCTGGAGCTTTGTGTCAGGACTCCCTTGCAGCTAGGGATCTGCATGGATCCAGGTTTGGCCAACAGAGATTGAGATGGTTGGCAGGAGGCAGAGGCCACTTCTGCTGGCCAGCATGTTGCTGAGGCACTTGGTTTCTCTGTGGCCGTTTCAGCAGTGTCCCTATGCCCTATGGGGCTTGAGAAGTGGGCCCAGCACATCTATTTTGCTGGTGCAGATCTGGGCAGGCACAACCTGGTTTCAGGACAACCAGCAGGAGGGCACAGCTTCCTGACTGTGGCAGAGGACATTAGGTTCTGGGGCTGCCTGGGTCTGATTCCTGGAAGAGGCAGCAGCCACCTTGGGGGCCCAGTTCAGCAGTGTGGCTTTGCGAGTCATTCTGAAAATCTCTGGTTTTTCAGCTCTTCCTACAATTCCATAAGCCACTTAGTATCCTGTAATAAATACCTTCTTGCTTGAAGTAGCCAGAAGAGTCTGTTCTCTTAACTGACTCTGGTCAACATGATGCTAGGCCAAAATATATTTATTACTGATAAAACTAATCTTGAGGTCCATGCATGGTGGCTCACACCCGTAATCCCAGCCCTTTGGGAGGCCAAAGCGGGAGGATCACTTGAGCCCAGGAATTTGAGACTGGCCTGGGCAACAGAGTGAGACTCTGTCTCTACAAGTTAAAAAAGAATTAGTCGGGCATGGTGGTGTGCACCTGTGGTCCCAGCTACTCAGGAGGCTGAGATAGTAGGATCATCTCATCTCAGGAGGTTGAGGCTGCAGTGAGCCATCATCACGCAACCACACTGCAGCCTGGGTGACAGAGTAAGACCCTGCCTCAATTAAAAAAAAAATCCTAATATTGGGGAAGGTAGTGTGTATCTGTGGGCAAATCAGCCCCCAAATTAGACCTATTTCCCCACCCAGACACAGGCAACCCTGGCTTGGAGCAGCCTCCACTCCCCTAGAGATAGAGCCTGCCCCTCAACTACAAAAGTCTGTGGAGGAGCAGAGCAGATCATATGCCTTCTGTAGGCAGCTCACTCCCAAGACAAAGGAGCAAGGAAGGACTGGCTCCATTGTGCTCAGTTCTTTAGCCTATACCTGCCAGGCAAATAAACCAGTCCCACCTGGGGTGGCAGTGAATGAGGAGATTATGGATAGAGTTGGCTCCAAGTGCCAGTTTCCAACACTGAGATACTGTGAGCCTGTGAATAGAGATTGTGAGCATGAAATTGCTGTGTGAAAGCAAAGGCGGTGTATGTTCTAGACCATGTGACTCTGGGTGCAATAAACAGAGTAAAAGTTTCCTTTGTGCAACTCTCAGGGGCAGGAGACATTGTTCCAGATTAAAGAGGTTTCTTTTTTTTTTTTTTTTTTTTTTTGAGATGGCGTCTCACTCTGTCACCCCAGGCTGGAGTGCAGTGGTTCGATCTCAGTTCACCGCAACCTCTGCCTCCCGGGTTCAAGCAATTCTCCTACCTCAGCCCCCTGAATAGATGGTATTACAGGCAAGTGCCACCACGGTCGGCTAATTTTTTTTTTTTTTAGTAGAGACGGGGTTTCACCATGTTGGCTGGGCTGGTCTCAAACTCCTGACCTCAAGTGATCCACCCACCTCAGCCTCCTAAAGTGCTGGGATCACAGGTGTGAGCCACTGCACCCGGCCAAGGTTTCTAAATAATGGATGCTTTGCCTCTTTCAGAGATGACATGTCTCAAAGTCTTAGACTCTGGGGGATGTCCATCTGAGATGTATTATTACAAAAAGAAATTATAATATATTATTTGAGATACTTTGGGCCACAGATAACAGAATACCCAACAGAGTCTTAAACAATAAATAAATCTCATTTCTTACAGAACAGAAAGTCTTAAGTTCTCAGAGTTGGTTTAGGGCTCAGCAGTGTCATCAAGGACTGACATTCATTCTGTATTTCCTCCCCTGAATCCTAGCACACTGGAGAAGCCTTCCCTCATGGTCACAAAACGGCTGCCACAGCTCCAAGCATCACATCATAAACCCATTTCCAAAGCAGGAAGGAAGGGGTGGTGGTAAAACAACAACAACAAAAAGAGTTTCTAGTCATGTGACTCTCTGCTTCATCACAGAGGAGAATCTTTCTCAGAAATTCCTAAGCTAATTCACCCTTACATTTTACTGACCAGAACAGGGCCCCAGGTCTATTCCTAGAAAAACCACTGGCAAGGAGGAATGGGACGCTGAGGGCCAAGTTTGGCCAGTCTTGGGGCTGAGCACATTACCTCCCAAACAAAATCAGAGCCTGGTGGCACAGAATAAGCCAAGTGGGTGTTGGGCCGGGAAGCGGTCATCAGTGCTGTGTGATGCAGAGGTGTCTGGAGAGGCTGGTGAGGTGAGGGGCAGGCAACCATTTGTCAGGAGCCAAATGCCTAGACAGCTGTGCTTTCTGAATTCTTCTCTCCCTCTGTGACTTTGCTCTTCCTCCCTCACCGTCAGGCTGCCAGGTGTCACTTCCTGCTCACACCTATGTGCCGGTTGGTACCAACATCACTTCCTGCTTTTGATTTTTTCCTTTAACTGGATGTGAATGTAGAAACTTGCAAGGGTGCAGGGGAGTGCACTGATTGGACTCTGACAGTGTGTTATTGAATTCCAAGTGCCCTATTCTGAAAGTATTTCCGAATACAATTGTCTCCAGAGCTGGCTAGAGCCAGAATCCTATTTGGTTTGATTTTTTAAAAATTTCTGGTAGGCAGAATAAGCTTTACTGGAGTAACCCCAGCCTTGGAGGGCTAGGGTATGAAGCCAGCATGTACAGTGCTCGCCGTGTGGGTGGTAGGCATTGCTGCATGCCTGTAGACCCGGGAGATGGCAGTGGCTGGGAGGCTTGCAGTCTGATGTCACCCCATCACAGGCCACAGTGCTGGTGGGTCTATAAGCCAGGTCCCTTCCACCAGGGGCATTTCCACCACCATCAACTCTGCCAAGGATCATGAAAAACATAATACAAGGTAACGGGCTAGATCAGGATTTCTCAGCCTCAGAACTGTTGACATTTGGGGCTGGATACTCTTTGTTTTCGGAGGCTGTCTTGTGCATTGCAGGTGCATTATAGATGTTTAGCAGGATTCCTGGCCTGTACCCTACTAGACCCCACTAGCCACCACTTCCTTACCCAGTAATAATAATGTCCCTAGACATTAATTATCAATGATAATCACTAATCATTATTGATCAATATTCATGATTATTAATCAGCCCCAGTTGAGAACTTTTGGGTTCAAGAATCATGGACTGGGAGGCCGAGGTACCTTAGAGGGCAGGACCTTCCCTGAACACCTTTCCTAAGGGAGCACCGCACCCCCATCACCTCATCTCTCTCCAACCCCGTACCTTGCTTGCTTTTCTTCAGAACTCTTATCATCCACTGGATTTCTCTTATTTTGTTTATTTGATTGTCTGTTGGCTGATTTTCTGCTCAGGGGCCTGGACCAGATCTGCCTTCCTCGTTGTGGCATCCTCAGCCCCCAGCCATTGTTTGGCACAGTGTGAGGTTTAGCAAATGTCAGCAGAATGAATGAATCTCAAAGTTCCACCAGAGATTCCCAAAAGGAATACTTTAATGAGTGTCCACTCCGCTCTAGACACTCTGATGGACATGACCCCCTCCCACCCCACATTAGCTCATTCAGTCTTGAAAATAAGGAAGCTAAGGCACAGAAAAGTCTAGTACCAAACTGCTAGCAAATGATAGAGGCAGGATGTGAACTCAGGCCTGCCGGATTCCAGGGTGTGGCTTGTTGGGGACACCAGGCTGCTTTCCCAAGGACATGAGGGTGGCCTAGAGGAGCGGCCTCCAGACCTCTGACTGGGGGCATCCTGCAAGAAAGCCGAGTCATGAGAAAACCAGCCTCCCAGGGTGGGGACAGGCCAGGTCCAGCCGTAGCCTGCCAGCCCAAATGGGCCAGGAAGTCAGTGCTGGGGCCTTGGCACTGCCTGGAGCACCATGGCCAGCTTGTCCTTCTGAGGGCATAGGACATCCAAGGCCCTAGACAACTTCCGTCTTTTCAGATTTGGAGATTTATGGACCAACTGCTCTTTGGTGGCCTCCAAAATGTTTCTTTTTCTTTGCAAAGGGAAACCACAATCCAAATCTTTCAACCATTTCCCCCCTCAAAGCAACATGAGAAATGTGGTCCAGAGGAATTCCTCGCCCTCCCCCAACCGACAGCACAATTGTCAGAAAACTCTGAGATGAAACAGGATTTTTGTGGTGCTTTTTCTTCCCCACCCTGTCCCCTCACAGTAATTAGCACGTCAGCTTTCTCTTGTGGTATTTATGTGTTTATATAACACAGTTCATTGTTCCCAAATGTTAGTCAACTCCAACTATAAATCAAGCCCCAAATCTTGAATCTCATTCAAACTCACAAGTTGATGCTACACGAATAAATCATAAGAGGGTGGGAATGTTATAAAAGTAGAAAACAATTCAGACAAACGCTGTAAATACAGCTCTTGGAACTACTTAGTGAATACGTTAAAACAATTAAATGCCTTGTGCAACATCGAATAGTAGATCAGTATTTTAAATGAAGCCATTTGAAAGTTTCTTTGGCTAAGAATCATTAATATTTTCAGTGCTTTACAGTTCGCAAAGATTTTTTTGCACATTGTTTCATTTACTCTCTTACAACCTTCTTTTAATGTAGGGAAGCAAGCTATTTTACTAAATTCTATCAATTCTAAAGCACACGTTGTTCTCATTTTTTGTCTCTGAAACAAGAATGCATCTTCATATTAAAGGCATGGTAGTTGAATTGGCAGCTTTGTTTTCTTAGTGATACATCAAATGATAGTGCATGTTATAAATGATGGTGTCCTAGATTTAATGAAATGCATATTATGATGATCCCTGTTGCACGGGGGAAATGACAAACCCTGAGATGTTACAGACTTGGCCCAAGGTCACGCAGTGAGTAAATGGAAGAATGAAAACTTGAACCTGAGAAGGGCAAGGTCTTCAAAATCCATCTAAGTACCCCAAGGATGGTCCTGAACTGCCCTCTGCAGATGGTGATCCCGATAACTGAAGAACTTTTGTTTTTCTGGAAAGAGGATGTAAGTTTGGAGCCAGAGCAGAACTGCTTAAGATGTTAGAAGGGACACCGAGAGCTGTCACATCTTTCCCCACCTTTCCCTTGAAATGTTCAGCACCTCCTCAGAATATTGAGGTAGCATTGCTTTGAAGGGTGTCCCAGGATTAGTCTCTTCTGGCAGGCCAGCCCTCTGTGACTACCTTGAGCAAATTTGATGACACCCTGCCTCCAGGTGGACTCAGTCCCACACCATGACACGGGGCTCACAGAGAGGAGCTCAGACTACATTTCAACCCCTTCACTCCTTAGCTGGTCTCCTTGTACAGTGCACATCTTGAGCAACTGTACTCAGCATCCCTATGCACAGGGCACCCACGTGTCTTCAACTCGTCTTCAGTGGAGGGGTGGTGGAACAAGCATGCCTGACACAGAGAAGGAAGATGTGGACAAATTCAGCAATTATCTTTCTGTCCCGGATCACATTCATTTTTCAAGCCTGGTGGGAATTTTTTGTTGTGTTTTGAAATAGAGTCTTGCTCTATCATCCAGGCTGGAATGCAGTGGTGTGATCATAGCTCACTGCAGCCTCAAACTCTTAGGCCCAAGCAATATTCCCACTTCAGCCTCCTGCATAGTTAGGACTACAGGTGCATGCCACCATGCCCAGCTAATTTTTTAAATTTTTTGTAGAGATGAGGTCTCACTATGTTGCCCAGACTGGTCTCAAATCCTGGCCTCAAGGGATCCTCCTGCCTCAGCTTCCCAACGCATTGGGATTGGAAGTGTGAGCCACCATGCCCAGACTTAAGCTTGATTTGTCTTCTGATGAAGTTTTAGCCTGTGAAAACTCTGACCAAGCGTGGCTGGCAGAAAAGAAGTAGAATCCTTGAAGAAACTCATAGCCTTAAGAAATTCAGTCTTAATTTTAATGGTCTTTCTGGGCCTGTTTCTGAAGACATGCCCTATTAGCTAACCCAACCAACCATTTGCATTAGCTTACTGGTTTGAAGTACTACTTAGTCGGGTAGAAAGAGCTTGTACTTGGAGCTTATTCAGAGTTGGGTTCAGATTTGGATCTCTGTTTCTTTCCAGCTGCTCCCTCTGAAAAAGTGCTAAATGTCTTGAAACCTCAGTCTCTTCATCAATCCACCATTCATGGGTATGGTGGATTAAAGATAACCACATATTCTTTGCTACTCTTTTCTACTTGAGATGTAGAATCTAATCTGCCTTCTCTTGAATCTGGATTAATGACTTGATTGAGTAATACAATGCAACAGAAGTGCATATGGGGACTTCTGAAGCTAGGTCACATATGAAGCCTTGCGGTTTCCACCTGAACTTCTTGGAACGCAGCTGCCATGTTGTGAGGCAACCCAAGCTGCCCATGGAGAGGTCTCCATGGAGAGGAACCAAGGTTTGAGGCTGACAGCCCTAGCTGAGCTTCCAGCTGAAGCCAGCATCAATTTGCCAGCCATGTGAGTGAGTCATCCTGGAAGCGGATCTTCTGGTTCCCATTTGCGACCCCTCGGTTAATGCCATGTGGAGCAGAGTCAAACTGTCCTCACCCACCGCTGCCTGAATGGCAGAGTTGTGAGCAAAATAAATGACTATTGTTATTTTAAGACTAATAGAAGATATAGCCTTCCACCCTAGGTCATATTCACACTCTTTTGTGACCATGGGAAGTTGTCAGCATCAAATTCAAGGAAACTTCCTCTAGTGGACATTTTGGAATGTATTTCCATATGTTCTAGAATGGCTTGTCATGCAGCCATGGATACATGGAATGCTGGAGATGAAAATAATACCTCATTCAGGGGTCGTGTTGAGAATTAAACAAGACAGAGGATGTAGAGCATTTGGGTTGCTGTCCAGTGCACAGTGGGCACCTAGTGACCCATACAAGTAGGCAGCACGTGATCTGCTAAGTACTAATTGTTCTGTCCCGCTGGGATGAGCTTACTCATCCCCCAGGAACTGGGGGCCAGGGTATCACCATAACTTAGAGGGTATTAGACCTCACCTTGCCTCTGTCAATGGGTGATGCCAGCATCGTCAGCCATTGTGGAGCACATCTGATTTCAGGTGAAAATCATTAGACCCTCTACCTTGATGTCCACTAAGGGAAGTTTCCTTGGATGTGAAGCCAACAACTTCCCTTGGTCACAACTGAGTGTGAATATGACACATGGTCAAAGACTGGATCTTTTTTATTATTATTATTACTTTTTTGAGATGGACTCTCACTCTGTCCTCCAGGCTGGAGTGCAGTGGCACCATATCAGCTCCCTGAAACCTCTGCCCCCCGGGTTCAAGTGATTCTCCTGCCTCAGCCTCCCGAGTATCTCCCACGCCACCAAGCACAGCTAATTTTTGTATTTGTAGTAGAGACGGGGTTTCACCATGTTGGCCAGGCTGGTCTCAAACCCCTGAGCTCGTGATCCACCCACCTCAGCCTCCCAAAGTGCTGGGATTGCAGGCGTGAGCCACTGCGCCTGGCCAAAGGCTGCATCTTCTATTGGTCCCTGCTGCCAGTCTCTGCCCCGTGCTCTGAGCACAGACAAACAGGAGACTGGCCTTGCAGTCAAAGATGAGAATCCTTTGAAAACCCAGCAAGGGCTCCTACCTGGCCCTGTTCCAGAGCAGGCACCATGTACCCATGGGGTACACCGAGGCTTCCTTGGGCTCCTGGTGCTTGTTACTCCTGAAATGATCCCAAGCAGGGCTCCAGCCCAGCAAGGAGTAATGGAAGGCATTAGGGGCATTTGTGACCGTGGGAAGTTGTCAGCTTCAAATTCAAGGAAAGTTTCCTTAGTGGACATTTTGGAATGTATTTCTATATGTTCTAGAATGGTTTAGCATGCAGCATGGATACGTGGAATGCTGGAGATGATTAATAATACCTCGTTCAGGGGTCATGTTGAGAATTAAACAAGACAGAGGATGTAAAGCCTTGGGTTGCTGTCCAGTGCACAGTGGGCACCCAGTGGAAGGCAATGAGTGGACTTCCACTCACAGCAGGGCCTGAGTGGGGCTCTGATCAGGGCCTGGGCTTTCAGCTTCCTCTCTCACGCATTTACCAAGGGGCCAGGGACTGACAAGGGTGTGACCTGCTTAGATACTTCCCTGTGCAGCAACAAGACCACAAAATCAGGGTCTATGTGGGTCACTGGGAAAGGGATCACAGGATAGAGGGAAATGCTGCAGTCGTGGGTAATGGAGCTCCTATCCTTCTCTGTGAGGTCAGTGGAAGGGAAGTCAGGAAATTTGCCCCTTCTGGGTGCTGGGCGCTCCCTGAGGCATTCATCCGGTGTCGTTGGCAGTCCTCTGACCCCCCTAAGAGTGCTGAGAAGGTTAAATAAACACTAGACTTAAGCACTTGGCCCAGCTTCCAGTGCAGCGTCACCTGTGAACAATGTTCTTGATAATAACGTTAATGATAATCTTCCAACAACCCTCTGAAATCCGTCCTGTTGTGCCTATTGTGGCAGAAAACTGGAAGCCCAGAAAGTTCAGTGTTGATTATGACAGATCTGGGCAGGATATCATTGCATGTGGGGAGGAAGCAACAGAATCATTGTCTGAATGTCAGAGAAATTAGAGCCATTTTACAAATGGTGCTGGAATTCAATCAAATGAGTCTGGAAACAAACCAGTCTCCCTTTCCCAGGTGCCCACAAACCTGGGAACTTACAGAGGGCTTCCAAGCAGATGGCAGAGCCCATGCTGTGCCACCCAGGGCCACTGAATTGCCTTGCAGAGGCTGAGCAGCTCTGCCCAGCTCCATATCCACATCAGGCAGTGATA
The DNA here is from genome assembly GCF_000001405.40 of Homo sapiens. Lineage (NCBI taxonomy): Eukaryota > Metazoa > Chordata > Mammalia > Primates > Hominidae > Homo > Homo sapiens. The sequence goes on from NC_000001.11 coordinate 14,815,820, forward strand.
AGGCAGCAAACAGCCAGTCATTTTTGGCATCATCTTCCTGGGTTCTGGGCAGATAAAGGAGATCCCATCACTTCTCTGTCTCCAAGGTAGCAACTTCCAGCCTCGAGGCAAATGAACCCCGAGTACACACAACCTGGAGCACCTGCCCTTCTGGGAAGTGCCCTTGGTGACATTTCTCATTCCAAGCCAGGCACCTTAGCAAGGCTGACATTGTAGAAGGCCCGGAGCCTCTTGGAATGCCAGCTTCTGTTGGGGTTTGAGGAGAGGACAAGAGGAGGGTAGGATGGCTTAAGTCTTCTTCTGCTTTCCTTCACCTCTACTTTCAGAACCTACTATGTGTCAGGCACATAGTAGCAATCTACTAGATATCCATTGCAATGTAATGAATCACTACACACTTGGTGGCCTCCAGCAATATACATTTATTATTTCTCAGTTTAGGTCCAGGAGTCCAGGAATGCTTAAATGGGTCCTCTGCTCCGAGTCTCACAAGGCTGCAATCCTTGTGACATTGGCTAGGCTGTGTTCTCATCTGGAGGCTCTACTGGGGAACAACCCACTGCTATGCTCCCTCAGGTTGTGGTCAGAATTCATTTCCTTGTGGCTATCTGAGCAGGTCCCTGGCATTTTGTTGACTGTCACCCAGAGGCCACCCTCAGATTCTAGAAGCTTCCCATGGTTCTTTGCCCTCAGGGCTTCCTCAACATGGCCGCGGACTTCATGGCACCAGCAAGGAGAATCTTGCTAGGGTATACAAGCAAGAGGGAGTCATAGATGATAGAAAGGTAAATAGATAGACAGACAGACATATTAATAGATATAGATACAGATAGATCTAGATATATTTACATGTAGAGATAGATGATAGATATAAATAGATAATGATAAATTGATAGACACATACATATCTAGATAGATAAATATAGATAGATTATAGAATGAATAAATACATACATATATTTATCTAAATAGATAGAGATGGCTGGATGGATAGATGGATGAATGGATGGATAGATGATTGATAGACAGATAGATGGTCCTAGCCACACTCAAAGCTAGGAGATTCTACAGGGTGTAACACCAGGGGACAGAGATCAAAAGAATTCTGCCTATGGCCAGTAACTTGAGAGTTAAGTAGTATCATTTCTATTTTCTAGAAGGGAAACTGAGGTTTAGAGAGATAACTCACCCAAGTTCCAACAGTGGCCATTGGCCAAGCTGGAGTTCAGACCACGCCCTCCTGCCTCTCAATGGGTACTGCTTTGTTGTCATTGTGACAACCCTTCCTTCAGTGCCCCGAGTAATGCTAATTACCTGCACACTGATGTGGACTGTTGAGGCAAAACATCCAGTACTTTCTCTAGGAAACACTCCTTGTGCTCATCATGTACTGTGCAGCATATATCTTGGCGACCCCCTGCCAAATATGAGCTCCAAGAAGGCAAGGGCTGCATCCATCTTGTTCATGGCCATATCTAAGACCCCAGACAGGTTCCTGGCCCATAGTGTGCCCTCTGTAAATAGTCATTCAGTCATTCAACAAATGCCTGTTGAGCTGGACTACATACTGCAGATACCAAGATAATCAAGACATAGCTCTGTCTTCCCGCTCCCCTCCCTATCTAGCATAGCAGAAACATAAAATAAACCACAAGATAGCGTGATATGGCACAAACATTACTATGGCCACCTTCTCAGGGTTATTCATTCTTATGTCCCCAGAGCCTAAAACAATAGTTGGCACATAGTAGGTGCTCAATAATGTTTGCAGATCATTTGTATGCCTTGCTGTCTTCTCTCTGCATATGGTAGAAAATTTAGAAGTCACGTGAGGTTAATTGGTCAAGAGAAAATTAAAAGTACATATAACAGCCTCCCAGTCTAGCTTCCGAAGTCTCTGACCCATCCTACAATCCTGGCACCTCCCTTTTTGAGCAGAGCTTTGCATTTCTAAATAGGAAAAAAAAAAAAAGTCTGTAATTATTAAAACTGTGTATATAGGAGAATTTAGCCTTTCATTTGAGGTATCCTAATGACACTTCAACAACTACTAGGGAAGATAATAGGGTTTAGAGCAATTACACAGCCTGTCAAATACCAAAGATGAGTGATTCAGATTCATGCTCAGAGCTGGAACAATTCTCAGCGGTTTTGCTCATACACAGCTGTTTCATTTAAAATATTTTGGCAGAAAATTGCAAAGTGGGCCATGCTGGCCATCCCTGCTTTGGAAACTTAACTCCTGGCATACCTAACATCATCCTTCTCTTCCCCTCTTATTCCCCCGCCCCACAGCCTCACCTTAATTGCTGCTGGGCAAACTGTTTGAGCGACATGTTTGCAAGTCAAAACTTGACCCTAGAGCTGAAAATGCTGGGTACTTTGTTGCCCCTTCGTCCACTGGAAGATTTTCTGTCTTGTTCTATCATTCACCACTAGGTAACCAGTCCCATGTGTATTGCGAGTGTATATCCATCAAGGTCCTGGCTGAAAACAGATGGCCCACTAAAACTGGGTGATCTGAGAAGAGTTCAATGGGAGACCTGTTGACAAGTGTTCAGTGTGAATTTAAGGAAATCCAGTGTAATAGCGCGTTACCCAGGTGGGTGCCACAGCAGGGAGGCGATACCACCTCTACTTCTTCAGGGACAAGGGTCACGAAGCAGTCAACAGAATTTGGAGAGCATGCCTGCATGGATGTGGGGACAGCCCAGCAGGAGCTGCAGCTTTGAGTTTGAGGCATGAGGCCAACCCCAGCAACAGCACGGGTTTTTGGAAATGCAAAGGCAGGCTGCACCCTCTAGACTCCTCCTGGTGTCTCCCATTGGCCAAACCCAAATGGAGGCCAAAACTCATTGCAGGGAAGGAGCAGACCTCGGATGCATTCCTTGCAGGTCAGCCTCCCAGAACTTTGAGAAGGGGTGAGGGAGGATGTTGAGAGTCGAACTGAAGAGGCCAGGCATGGTGGCTCACACTTGTAACCCCAGCACTTTGGGAGGCCGAGGCAGGTGGATCACTTGAGGTCAGCAGTTCAAGACCAGCCTAGCCAACATGGTGAAAGACCGTCTCTACTAACAATACAAAAATTAGCCAGGCATAGTGGCAGGCACCTGTAATCCCAGCTGCCTGGGAGGCTGAGGCAGGACAATCGCTTGAATCTGGGAGGCAAACGCCGCAGTGAGCCGAGATCGTGCCATTGCACTCCAGCCTGGGCAACAACAGCGAAACTCTGTCTCAAAAAAAAATTGAAGATACTCAGTACCAAGAAGGTCCAAGAAAGTCGACATGTTTTCTGCCCTCAAGAAATGAACCTCTGGCTTAAAACAAAAACCTTGCAAGCAACTAATGATGGGCTAACTTGGTACCGGTATAGAAGGACTCGTTCAATTTACCTTAAATCATTAAGAGTCCCTTGTCAGGGGGCCTGACAGGATCCCAGAAAAAGCCAAATCCTCGAGCTTCAAGAAGAGCTGGAGCTAACTCTCTATGATAGTTAATTTACGTGTCAGCTTGGCTGGGCTGTGGGGCCCAGTTGTTCCATCAAACACGAGTTCAGATGTTGCTGGGAAGGTATTTTGTTGATGGAATTAATGTCCCAAATCATCTGGCTTTAAGTCAAGGTGAGGACCGTTGTTCTTATGGGTGGGCCTCCTCCAACCAGTGGGCAGCCTTACGAATAAAAACTGGTTTTCCCAAAAAACGAAGAAATCCTGCCTCAAGACTGTAACGTGGAAATCCTACCTGAGTTTCCAGTCTGCCAAAGTGCCCTACAGATTTCACAGCCGAGACTGCGGCTCCAAATCCTGCCTGCATTTCCAGCCTGCCCTACACACTTCAGACTTGCGAGTCCCCACCATCATGTGAGCCAATTCCTTTGAAAAAAAATCTTTTTTTTTTTTTTTTTTTGAGAAGGAGTCTCACTCTGTCACCCAGGCTGGAGTGCAGTGGTACGGTATCGGCTCATTGCAACCTCCGTCTCCTGGGTTCAAGCAATTCTCCTCCCTCAACCTCCCGAGTAGCTGGGATTACAGGTGCCCACCACCACACCTGGCTAATTTTTAAATATTTTTAGTAGAGACAGGGTTTCACCATGTTGGCCAGGCTGGTCTTGAACTCCTGACTTCAGTTGATCCACCCGTCTCAGCCTCCCAAAGTGCTACGATGTAGGCATAAGCCACTGTGCCTGGCCCGAAAAAAAATCTATTTATATATATATAGTCCACCCTCACCTCTATCTAATCTAGTGGTTCTCCAACTTTAATGTGCTCAGGAATCACCTGGAGAATTTGTGAATTTATGAAAACAGTTTCCTGGGGCCCTTCCCAAATATGCAGATTCAGTAGGAGTGGCAGGGCCCATGAACTCACATTCTGTGACGTTCACACAGAGGGGCTGGTGCTGCTGGTCAAAGATCACCATTAGAGCAATGCTGGATCATCTATTCAGCCTACTCTCCCTAACTGTTTCCCCGCAGAGGCTTCAGGGCTTTTGAGGGTTACTTAGCCAAGTCATTGCCTCTGTTCCCGGAGCCATCTGCCAATTTCAAGTGCCACATCATCTGGGTATCATGAGAGCCCATCTCCATCTGCCAGCCTGGAAGCAGCCATGGCAAATGGGATGTGTCCCACTGCCCCCGTTTGGTGCCACAGTTGGGTTTATTCTCACAGCTGCAAACCCACGTGCTGGGCTGCACAGCTGCCTGAACGAAGCTGGAGCGTGCAGAACAAACTGCATGGAATGTCACGTGGGGTTTTCCACTCTCGCCCACAGTGAGTTGGCAATGCCTGGCCACGTGTGCTCTGTGGTCTTTGAACTTGATCTGGGAGGACAGAACTTCAAAAGGAAGATGAAGGCCCCAGCAAGGGAGGTATTCCTGTCTTGAGCAGAAGGTAAAGGTAGAAGGTGCAGATTAGGTACTGGGAATAGTCATGGTTTGGTTTGAATGGAGTAGAAGATTCCAGAGGAAGAGCAGTGGGGCACAGTGGGGAGTGAAGGGGGCCATGGCAGTCTGATGCAGGGAAGGGATACGCCCAAGATGGCCAGGAGAGAAGAGCCGAGGGGCAGGGTGAGCAAAAGGTGAATAAGGGCTCAGACGACATGACGGCACCGGGGATGGCAAGGGCTGGACGCAGCAGGACCGTGGTCTGTTCTGTGATGGATTGTCGGGAGAAACGGGAGCGTGTGAGGAATTGAAAAGGAGGCAACATTCTGATTCTGAGTCTGGATGCCTGAAAAATAGAAGTCCCAGAGATCAAAATAGTAGAGGCTGGAAGAAAAATGGATGGGGAAGAAGTGAGCTTGAAAGAATCCTTAGAAGTCACTGTTATGGGCTTAGTTGTATCCTCTTAAAATTCATATAATGAAGCCCTAACCCTCCCAGACCTCAGAATGTGACTGAATATGGAGGAAGTGTCTTTCAAGAGGTAATTACCGCCTGTAATCCCAGTACTTTGGGAAGCAAAGGCAGGCAGATCACTTGAGGTCAGGAGTTTGAGACCAGCCTAGCCAACATGGTGAAACCCTGTCTCTACTAAAAATACAAAACAAATTAGCCAGGTGTTGTGGCAGGCACCTGTAATCCCAGCTACTTGGGAGGCTGAGGCAGGAGAATCGCTTGAACCCAGGAGGTGGAGGTTGCAGTGAGTGGAGATAGCTCCACTGCACTCCAGCCAGGGTGACTGAGACTCCACCTCTGAAAAAAAAAAAAAAGAGGTAATTACAGTAAAATGAGGTAACTAGGGTGGGCCCTAACCCAATACAACTGGTGTCCTTGTAAGAGGAGGGGATTCGGACACAGATACACCCAGAGGGACAACCAGAGGGGGTCTCAGGGAGAAGACAGCCGTCTACAAGCCACGGAGAGAGGCCTCAGGAGAAACGACCCCTGCTAACACCTAGATCTCAGACTTCCAGCCTCCAGAATTGTGAGAAAGTAAATTTCTATTGTTTAAGCCCCCCAGTCAACCCTGGAAAGCTGGTACTACTGTCACCAGCTGAATCTCCCTGTGTAACAGATGGAAATATTGAGGCCCATGGAGGGAAGCAACTCCCTCCAAGGAGCAGAGTCCCGTCTGCCCTCAGTAGAGCTCTCAGCTCCAGACACGTGGTGGTTTTCTTACCAGACCACACTGCCTCTTGCATCGTGAAATACTGACCGTCTCCCTGTCTGTAGATTTGGTTGTTCAAACAACATGCTGCTACTAAAGAAAGCCTCTGTTTGTTTGTTTGTTTTTTTGGATTAATGATTTTTCTCCTGGAGTTTCCTGGTTCCCCACCTCCACAACAGCGACCCTTCTTGCCTCTTTCCATTCCTGGTCTTGATGGCCAAGCCCAGGAAAACAAAGCTTTCGTCCCAGCCAGGTAACTTGAGGGGGCACGTCACCTGTGACCCTGGGAGGTGAGGTGCCAGGCCGAGAATTCCAGGAGGCACCTGGGAGAACAGGGCAGGGAAAGAGGCTGGACTAGAGATACTGATTCAGGTCATGTGTGCATGGAAGCACTGCGAGGATATGAAATCAGGGAGACAAAAGCAGGAGGGAGAAAACATCCTTGTCTTCACCAAGATTCTTTGGGTCTTTGGGTTTCAAGCAATAGAATCTGCCTCAGGGTTGCTTACATGGTGAAGGAGGATTTCTTGGGAAGACACTGGAATTTCACACAATGCAAAGAGAAGCTGGGCGTTCAGGTCTGGGGAGGGAATTGGAGGCTGGGGAGCCGCCCCTCTCTCAGCCCCTCCCTCCTGGGCTGCGTGTCCTTCCGTCCCTGTGCAGTAGTTCAAATGTCTGTGCACAAAACAGAAAACTCTGACTCACCTTGCCCACACAATGAGAAAAGTATGTTTTCCCACATCACAGCGGGTCCTGACGTAGGATGCCCCAGTGGCCTTCTCTGGAGGCTCCGTCGTGTTCCGGCATCTGGTCTATCCCGTCTTTCCTTCCCACTCACCTCCATCGCTGGCTCTGTGGCGAGTGCTCCTTTCCTGGCATCACGGTGGCCCACACATGAAGACAGGGCTGCATCTAATCCTAGAGAGGGCTGCTTTTCCCAGGCGTCTCTTTCTTAGGAGCCCTCCAGAAGCTCCTCTAGCCCTGGCCCGTGCCGCTTTGGCCACAGCTGAGTCAGGTGCCGAGTGGATCACTGGCGAGGTAAAGGGGATCGCCACCATCCTATGGGGAAGGGGGGCTTCCCAAAGAAAATGGAGGTTCTCTTCGAAAGCAGGAAGGGGTGCCTGGGAGTGTTTGCTGGGGAGACAACTCGGCTTCCCCCTGCAACCAGCCCCGTTCTCCTCCCTCTGTAGAGCAGCCTTCTGGGCATGTGGCACCACACCTGGGAAGGCCCGTCGCCTCGGCCACACATGGGCAGGCTCTGAATCCGGATTCCTAATTCCTAGGAGAGAGAATCCACAACGAACAGCTTCAGTCAGGAGAAAACTGGGCATGAACCGAGACGTCCCCGTGAAGTCATGCAGGACAAACACGCGGCTTAGGGGCATCTCTGGGAGGGAAGGGGGCCGTTTCCAGAGGAAGGAAGTTGTTGGGAAGCCCAGGAGATACCCCAGTGTGGTATCTCCTGCACAGCCTTGGAGAATATGGAGATTGAAGAGAGTAGATACAGAGGTTGGCAACCAAGGCTGGTATCCCCACCCCCACTCCCAAGTAGGAGGTATTTGGAAATTTGGGGGGTCGCTTTGGTTGTCACCAGCCTGGGGGCAGCTATTGGTATTCAGAAGGTAGTGGCCAGGATGTTGAATGTCCTGAAACGCAGGGGACAGTCCTATACAATGAAGAATTATCCCACCAAAATGCCAGCTGTGCCACATAGGGAGACAAAAAGAAAGAAGGGATACTTAAGAAAGCTTGGGAGTGGGAGGGACAGATCGTATAGTGTGTGGAAGCCCAGAAGGGGAGGTCCGCTCAGATTGGAGGCTGGGAGCAGGGCCTAGTTCTTGGTGCTCCAGGAAACCTAGGAAGACAAGACCTAAGCATGGGCAAAATGAGGCCAGGGAATGAGTGGGCCCGGCGTGGTGGCTTGCGCCTGTGATCCCAGCACTTTAGGAGGCCAAGGCAGACGGATCACCTGAGGTCAGGAGTTCAAGACCAGCCTGGCCAACATGGTGAAACCCCGTCTCTACTAAAAACACAAAAATTAGCCGGGCATGCTGGCGCATGCCTGTAATCCCAGCTACTCAGGAGGCTGAGGCAGGAAAATCTCTTGAACCCAGGAGGCGGAGGTTGCAGTGAGCCGAGATTGCACCATTGCACTCCACCCTGGGCAACAGAGCAAGACTCCATCTCAAAAAAAAAAAAAAAAAAGGTTAAAAATCCCAGGGAGGAAGTGGAAGCAGACTTTCAGACTCAATTCAGGCAGGGGTGCAGCGTGATGGGAGGCCTGGTTAGATCCTGATGCTGCTCTTCCTAGGAAGATGAGAAGAGCCCAGGGACAGCACGAAAGAAAGAGAGCTAGAAAGGGATAGGCAGAGGAAGAGTGAACCAGCAGGGCAGGAGACCCTTGGGTTAGAACTTCCATGAACTTGCTCTGCAGACACTGTCAATAAAAGTGCATTGACTACTGCTCCTGGGAGGTATATTTAAGAAATGATAACCAATTATGATGTGTTAGCCTGAAGTTAAAGGAATGGAGAATTCAGTAGACCTACCCGGCACCCAACAGCTGTTGTGTGGGCAGCACTGCAAAGCAGGGAGGAAATGACACAGGTTTCAGAGTCCAAGGAGCGACGCTTGCATCTTGACTGTCCTTGCTGCTCAGAGATTTATCTGAGGGTTAAGTAAAAAAAGATATCTAATGCAGTCCCCAGAACATGGGCGCCATTCCAGAAATGGTGGCAGAATGCTATTTATGTTACTGTGATCATCATCGTCATCATCATCATCATCTTCATGACAGTCACCCCCTTGAGCCTCAGTGTTGCCTCCTCTCCTATGGGGGTAGTATTCTACGGTATTTGCAGCCTTCTTCTATCTGGTTCTCTGTGTTGACTTCCTGACACTTGGTGGCAGAGAATTCCTTGGCTTGGCTCTATGAACCATGAGATATTTTGGTTTGAAGTGTCCCTTCTAGGCTCTACATTTAGTGGCCTCTTGGGGGAAGACTCTTCTGCAGAGGCACTGAGGTAGGTGCTGACCATTTGGCTGTTTGCACGGCCCCCTCTCTGCTGTGAGCCCCAAATGCTGTTCCACAGCGAGGTGTGCTCACAGCGCATCCCCCTTGCTGAAGCCGGGGGTTCACCCACAGCCTTCTCTGACTTTTCCCACTGCCCCAGGCCTAAACAGGGAATTTCAGAGTCTCGCAAAAGCTAGCAAGGACTGCCTTTTAAGTCATGTCCATTCAAAGGCCTGGACCATCCCTGAGGCCGCGAAGGCACAGAGAGAACAGAACAGCTTTTGGGATGTGTTTTATGATGCTCAGAGATCCTATGACTCCTTTCTTGACTCCACTTCTGTGGCTCCACCTGGAAGCTGTCTCTCCAGGCCAGCTTTTCTCATCTGTCCTAGAAAATGCCATCTCCATCACCGCTTCTTTTTGCTGTTTTATCTTTCTCGCTCTTTTTCAGTCATCCCACACTCTCTCTAGACTTTATTTAAACAAGTATGCATTCCTGCTTGCCGCGGGCCTGAAAAAACCATAACGATGTTGTATGTAAAAGAGCTGTCTGTGCCTCCAGGCATGAGGGCTTTTCGTGTATAATTCACATCATCCTCACAAAACTCCAATGAGCCAGCTACTTTTATCATCATCCCCATTTTCCAGGCAAGCAAACTGAGGCACAAAGAGACTAAGTCACTTGCCCAAGGACACATATCTAGTAAGGGACCACGTTGGGATTGGAACCCAGGCCTTCCACCTCTAAAGCCTGTGCACTTAATCCCCAAGCTGCATTCATCCCATTGTCGCCTGATCAAGCCCCACCTGTGTGTTCTTCATACCTTACCTTGCGTGTCATTGACTCCCCAGGACTGGACTTTCTGTCCATGTGTCCACTGCAAGGCCTCTGAGACCACAGCCCTCACTCTTATTTGTTGTTAGTGGTTTAATTCTGTCTCTCTGGTCCACACGCTCCAGGAGGGCACATTGATATCTCCAGCACTTAACCCAAGGCCAGCACGTAGCAGGTGCTCAGTGAACACGCTCTGAATTGGTGGACAGCTGGCTGAATGGTAACAAGACACAGAGATTCAATTGCTCCTCAAAGTCCACATAGCAAAGAAGGGGCTGGACCTGGACTCAGACCCAAGTTTTAGAAAAGCAGGTCCATGCTGGCCGCTGAGTCCCCTGCCCATCGAGAGCCACATGGAAATGTTTTGCTGGTGGAAGCCCGTGCACCCCCATCTGAGGGACAGAGGCACAGAGAGACTCCTTTTGTTGTTCCTCCCAGATTGCAAAAGCAGGAATAAAGGGAAAGAAGGGAAAATTTCCCAGCATGTGACCAGGAGGGTGTGCTAATTGTCTGCGGATGTTCGTAAAAGGCAAGAATCTGTCTCATTGTCAGGCGCTCTGGCGTTGGCCATATGGATTTATTTTAGTGGATTTTTGTGTTGTAGAGTTTCTGATAAACACAGGATGAGTCATTGCCTGCTTCTGCAATTGCACTCAAGCCTGAGCCACCCTCCTCAACACTCTGAGACCTCCTGAGAGCCAGGTTGCAATTTCTGGAAAATTCTACAGAGCGGCCTTGCTGCTCCTGGGGGCGGCTGATGGCCCGTTCCCCATGGGTGTCGCCTCCCTCCTCTGTGCCTTCTCAGCCTCGGTCCCGCGCTGGCCGTTTCCCTCCCATGTCAGTGGTTCTGTCGGTTTCACATGCATGCCCCCACTGAGACTGTTAAGTTCCTCTCCAGTAGCGGCTGGATTTTTTTTCATCTCGGTTTTTACAGAACCTGGTATCCCCACATGCCCAACATGCACCTGCTGAAGGATGAACCTGGAATTTCCTGTTTCCCATTGGTAAGCCTGGCTGGGAATCTGGGCTTAAAAGAATTCAGGCCGCCTTTGCTCTTCTCACCCACTCAGATTTTCATGGACAACAAGTTGGTGCAGCGAAAAGAATGAAGACTTGGGGTCAGACCAAATGGGGTTCAGATCCTGGCTCGGCGGCTGTGTGATGTGGGGTTAGCCAAGCTCTCCGAGTCCCAGTGTCTGTGTTTGTGCTCTTGGAATCAATCCCCACCTATTGGAGCTGCCGTGAGGGCGGAATCAGATGATGTGCGGGAGGCTGCGCACATCAGGCAGTTCTGTGGATGTTGGATGCCTTTCCTCTTTCCCCTCACCTGGGAAAAGAGAGGGATGGGCCCAGTCCTGAGGCATCCATTGGCTAAGGTAACTTTCTGTCATGCAGGGACCCAACCCAGTAGTGATTGACTTGAAAAAACTCAAGGCTGACTCTGAGCATTCTGGGGGCAGGGATTTTGTTTTTTTGTGTTTTGGTTTTTTAAACTTTCCGTAAGTGTTTGGGGTACAGGTGGCATTTGGTTGCATGAGTACGTTCTTTAGTGGTGATTTGTGAGATTTTGGTGCACCCATCACCCGAGCAGTGTACACTGAACCCAACGTGTAGCCTTTTATCCCTCACCTGCTTCCCACCCTTTGCCCTGAGTCCCCAAAGTCCATCATATCATTCTTAGGCCTTTGCGTCCTCGTAGCTTAGCCTCCACTTATGAGTGAGAACATGCGACGTTTGCTTTTCCATTAGGGGCAGGGATTTTATTTGCCTCCCCCTGCACACTAGGCTGACAGACAGTAAAATTGCTTAGGGCTGAGCTGGGTTCAAGAGGAGGGTTGTTGGGAAAGAGGGAGTGGGTCCCAGAGAGGAGCCCTCGAAGCAGGCCCCAGAGGCTGGTAAGCAGCCGCCACTGGCCCTTTGGAGAATGTTCACAAGGGCCTTTCTGCCAGCAAGCTTCAATTTTTTAATAAAGCAGCTGTCTTACCTTCAAAGTTTGGGAACCAGTAATGAGTGGGCATGTCTATGGGATTGAGAAACTCTCCACTCAAGGATCCCCTGGCTAAGGTGGAACAGGAGCCCCTAACTTGGGGTTTCACATGTTGTCATAGGAAACCCTAGAAATAGACTGGGGTTTCTTTTATTCCTTCTCCATTTGCATAAAAGTTGGCTGTGGCCCTTCCTGTCATCTTGGGAAGACGACTAAAGTTAAATAACATTGCTGGAAACAGAGGTCCAATGCTTAAGCCAGAGATGACAAATACTAGCACACAGGGCATAACTCAGCCCTCCCCTGCCTGTGGCAGACATACACAATCAATCACCGAATTCTCTATGCCATCCCTTGGCATACACAATCAATCGACAAATGCTCTATGCCATCCCTGGCAACATAGTCACAGTTCAGGGAACTTTCTGAATTGTGATCATTGTGATCATTTATATTAATAAACATCTTCTCTTTTAAAAAGGAGAAAACAACATAAAATATCTCGGCTAAAACATGTATCACTGCACTGTGTAAATATTCAGGACTCTGGAGATTGCATCTCAATTGTTTTATTTTCGTCCTATTTTATTTGAGTATAAACAATAAATATGTTGCAAATTATTAATGGAAAACCGTGTTTAAAAATTACAGCTATTATCGATCAATTGGATGAAATAATCGCTACAATCACTGGATAATTAGATCCTTCCTGGCCTAAGAGGAGGGTGCATGAGCTCTGGGATTGATTCTCTGCTCAACGGAGTCCCAGAACCAAGAGGAGAGATTCCTGAACCCTGGGGCAGCCACGTTGGCAATTTTAAGTTGCGGTAGCAGTCCATAGTCCCCCCAAGAAAGGAAGAAACTACATCCATTATAAATGCTTTTAGCTGAAGGTTACAGAAACCTTGACTAAAAGTTGCTTAAACTATGTTTTTTTCCCCCACTAAATAAAAAAATGCTGTGGTTGGTAGCACTGGACGGGTACAACAGTCCAAAAGCATCATCAGGAACCCAGTCTCTTTCCATCTTTCCAAGTTGGCATCCAGAGGTTGGTGGTTTGTTACTTCATGGTCACAAGATGGCTGCAGATGCTCCAAGCTCCACATTCCCATTTCAGGCAGGAAGAAGGCAGAAGAGATAGCGAGAGCAACATTTGTACTGCTTTAATCAGGAGATCTCCCGAGAGACTTCTACTTAAGTCTCACTGGCCAGAACAGGGTCACATGGCCACCCTTGCTACAAGAGAGGCTGAGAAAGCGAGGAACAGGATATCCTGGGTGGCTTAAGCCATTAGTTCATGATCCTTCACCTGGGGCTGAGTATACTGTTACTCTGAACAAGCAGGGGCTCTGTTAGCAGGAAAGGAGAGCCTGGAAATTGAGTAGACAGCTAATAGTGTCGTGACTGACTCACGAGAAGACCATGCCCCAAGTCCCTTTGAGCCATGATAGGCATGAATAACAGAGCTATGGATGACTTTATGGTTCCTTGTTCATTGATTCCCTCAACACATATTTAATCAGTATCTAGTGGATATGAGAAATTGTGCTAGGATAAGAAAAGAAGTGCAGAATTATTTAGGAACATGTAACAGAGATGGAGGACAACACAGGAACTTTCTCGGGAAAGTGACAGCTAAGCCAAGAGAAGAAATGAGTAACAGCTGGTTGTGATGGCACATGCCTATAATCCCAGCTACTCGGGAGGCTGAGGCAGGAGGATCTCTTGAGCTCAGGGGTTCAAGGCTGCAGTGAGCTATGATTGTGCCGCTGTACTCCAGCCTGGGTGACAGAGCAAGACTCTGTCTCTGAAAAAAAGAAAAGAGTAACAGTTTGCCAGCTTGTCCCTTGTCCTGTGTGCATGTGTTTATTGGGGTAGGGAGGTGGATTTGTGAGAGGGGCAGACTGGAGGAGAGACGACTGTTACAGGCAGACAGAATGATGTGTGTGAAGGTCTTGATTGTCAAAGAAGCGTGACAAATTTTCAGAGATCAGAGGAGGCTAGTGTGGCCAGAGCATAGAAGGTAAGCCTGGAAAGACAGGCAGACACTGGATAGTGAAGGACCATATGAGCCAACCTGAGTTTAGACTTCGTCCAAAGGTCATGTCTGCCCCAGCCCTGTTCAGGGGCAGTCCCAGGCCCTAGGCTTTGCTAGTGGGAAGCAGGTAAAAGCAGCACTAGCCACTAGCCCCCACTAGCAAGTGGTCAACACATGAGCCTTCTTTGTGGCTATAGTAATCAGTTCTTTCTTCTTTGTGGCTATAGTAATCACAGTTAAGGGTGGGGAAAATGGTTTAATAATAACAGGTGTTGGGGGAGTAGTTATAGCTACATATTATTAAAAAGGCCAAAGGTAGCTGGCTTCAGGCACAGCTGGATCCAGGGGCTCAAGTCGTGTCATCATGAATCTGTCTCTCTTTTTCTAGACTCTTTCTTCCTTTGTGTTGGCTTCACTCACAGACAGGCTTTCCCTGAGCCGTAGCAGGTGGCCATGAGAAGCTCCAGACTTATGTTCTATAAACCTTGGGCCAGAGGGAAAAATGACAGTCCCAGCAAAGGTCCTAGGAGAACTCTCCTTGGCCCAACTTGGGTGACGTGTTCATCCCTGAATGTATCACAGAGAACAAGGGATGCTGTGCTTTAATTGTCAGGCCTGAGTCAGGTGCCCAGCCCTCAGGAGCCTGCAGAGTGAGCCAAGAGAGAAGGGGCGTATTAGTCCATTCTCACACTGTTGTAAAGAACTACCTGAGACTGGGCAATGTATGGAGAAAGGAGGTTTAATTGACCCACAGTTCTGCAGGCTGTACAAGAGGCACGGCTGGGAGGCCTCAGGAAACTTACAATCATGAGGAAGGCGAATGGGAAGCCAGTCTTCCCATGGCAGAGCAGGAGAGAGAGAAAGAGAGTGAAGGGGGAGTGCTACACACTTTTAAACAACCAGATTTCATGAGAACTCTATCTCAAGACAGCACCAGGGGGATGGTGCCAAACCATTAGAAACCACCACCATGATCTAATCACCTTCCACCAGGACCCTCCCACAACACTGGGGATTACAGTTCAACATGAGAGTTGGGTGGGGACATAGCCAAACCATATCAAGGGAGAAATGTGGATGCTGTCATGTTCAGGTGGACTGAGCACCAGGCAGTCCCTGCAGCCTCATTCTTACCTCACCCATCAATGTCAGGATGTGCCTGTTCCCCCAGCTCCAGCCCTTCTCTACCTCTTCATGCTGTGCATCCCATCTGATGACCCAGGCGCTCTCTCCCACTTTTAGTAGAGACAGGGTTTCACCATGTTGGCCAGGCTGGTCTCGAACTCCTGACCTCAGGTGAGCCACCTGCCTTGGCCTCCCAAAGTGCTGGGATTACAGGCGTGAGCCACCACGCCTGCCCAATTCTCTTGTTTTTGCTCATGCCCATTCCCTTGTTTTTGCTTATGCCCATTTGGCTTCAGGTACAGCTGGATCCAGAGGCTCATCCCTGATGGATCACAGAGAAAACCCTCGGTTGTCCTCCACCCAGGATGGAACTGCTTCTAACTGTTCTGGAGAATTCCTGGCAATCCCAGTTCCTCTGCTGCTGCTGCTGCTGCTGCTTCTGCTGCTCCCAAGAAAGTGGGACGCCTCCCTTCCTGTACTCTTCCCTTCCCTGACCTGGCAGAGCCCAGCCAACAGCATTGGTCAGTTCTGCCTTTGATAAAGAAAAATGTCGAAGTTTCCCTCTGTCACATAAAATGAAGATGTGGGTGCTGTGTGTTGCTTTCCGTTCAGCAGTTTCTCAGCGGCCTGGCCAGCACACCACCATGAAGGCATTGATTTATTCCATCTAATACACAGCACTGCTTATTAGTGCTCTCAATCTGACAAGAAATATTGAGCCTACCGCCGAGGTTTTACAAAAATATGAATACATCCCTATCTGGACTCTGAGCTAAGAGAGCATTTTGCCCACTGAATGGGAAACCGAGACAGGGAAATGACAAGCGACTGTGCTGAGGCTCGGGTGGGCCCTGCTTGTCCTTCATTGCCTCCTCCAGCTTATCTTGCCTGGACGCCTCCTCTGAAATCCTCACTGTATTATTCAGGACTCTGGGTTGCGAGTGACAGAAACCCAACTCAAATGAGCATGAGCAAAAACAAGGGAATTGGCTGGGCTTAGTGGCTCACACCTGTACTCGCAGCACTTTGGGAGGCCGAGGGAGGTGAATCACCTGAGATCAGGAGTTCGAGACCAGCCTGGCCAACGTGGTGAAACCCCATCTCTATAAAAGTACAAAAAAATTAGCCAGGCATGGTGGCAGGCACCTGTAATCCCAGCTACTTGAGAGGCTGAGGCAGGAGAATCACTTGAACCCAGGAGGCAGAGGTTGCAGTGAGCAGAGATCGCACCATTGCGCTCCAGCCTGGGCAACAAGAGCGAAACTCCATCTCAAAAAAAAAAAAAAAGACACACACACTCACAAGAGAATTTACTAAGCTACAGGCATGGCTGAATCTGCCACACCCCACACCCCCCACGTCTCTCTATCTCTGGGATCTGCTGTGCTGTGGTGGAGGGGACTTCATTCTTAAGCAGGGCCTCTCCCATCTTAGCCCCTGGAATTTGCAAAACACATCCTTACTGCTCAGCAGCTTCGACAGAGAGAGGATGACTCTTTCCCAGACTTTTCAGTAGACATCCTGGGAGTAATGTTCACTATCTTTGATTGGATCAGTTTTGATCTTGGATCTAGGGTCTAGGCTAAGGGTGTCCAAAATCTTTTGGCTTCCCTGGGCCACACTGGAAGAAGAATTGTCTTGGGCCACACATAAGATACACTAACACTGACGATAGCTGATGAGCTAAAAAGAGAAAGAAAGAAAATCACAATGCCCTAAAAAAGTTTACAAATTCGTATCGGGCTGCATTCAAAGCCATCCTGGGCTAATGCACAGCCCACGTGCCCTGGGTTGGACAAGTATGGTCTAGACCAATCCCGCCACTTGATTCTGCCTGGCCCACAACCTAAGAATGCTATTCACACATTTAAATGGTTGAAAAAAAACAAAGGAAGAGCAATATATCATGACCTGTGAAAGTTACATGAAATTCACGTTTCAGTGTCCATAAAGACTTATTGGAACCCAAGCGTGCTCATTCCTTTAGGGCTTGTCGAAGGCCGCTTTTGTGCTACAGTGGCAGAGTTGAATAGTCAAGGTGGACTATATGGCTTGCACAGCTGAAAAGATATTTATTCATCTAAAATTTTATTTTAAAAATTGATAATGAATAATTTACTTAATCATAAATAAAAGATAAAATTAATATTCTATTTACTCATCTTTATAGAAGAAGCTTGCCAACCCCTGGTCTAGACTGTGTAGCCAGTGAGATGCCTCAGTCGAGTGCCCATCCTTGGAGTGGGTTGAGGCAGAGGGAGTGAACCACTCACCGAGTTGGACCATGGCGTGACAGTGGCAGTGGGTTTCTAGCAGACAGCAGGTATCCATGCTGGACAGAAAGAACAATGAGTGTCCATGCCCCCCCACTGTCTTGGGCTGGGATCTCCTAGAAACAGACCCTGAAACAAATGTGTGAGTACTTGACCTTTATGCAGGAGGGCATCCCTGGGAGCACTGGTGTGTGTGTGGGCAGCAGAATGGGAGTGAGACAGGGAAGGAAAGGGGAGGGGAAGGAAAGAAGTCAATATAGGGTACATTGTTGAGCAGTCACCACAAGGGTTCAATCCTGCTGGGTGTCTCAGTGTGGAGCACACCCCTCAGATATCCCGCCAAGGGGCAGGGAAAGTAGGGTATCCGTCCTCTACCCCCCCCAGGCCCTCATCATAAGCATATGGGTTCTGTCTTTTCTGGGTGATTGTGAGGCAGCCCCTTTTTCCATCTCCTGTGCAGTGAGGATTTCATGAAGTCTTGTTGATGTACAGGTGCCCGGGGGAAAGCATGAGTGGTGACCAGGAGCCTGAAGATGAGAGCTCTCTTGTTCCTCGTCCCGGAACCCTTGCTAATAGACCCTGGAGCCAGGTGTTGCCGCTCCAAGGCTCTGATGACATCCATGCTTCACCAGCAGGTGGTGGCCGCCTCGTTCAGTTCATACAACCTGAAATTCGGGTTTGCCAGAATGTTGGTGTCTAAGAGCCGAGAATGTCATCAACCACAGTTCTTTTGTTACCACACAAAAGGACTCTGCTGTCCTCCCAAGTCATTCACACACACACACACACACACACACACACACACACACACATACACACACATACATACATATATATTTTTTGTTGTTGTTGTTTTGAGATGGAGTCTCACTCTGTCACCCAGGCTGGAGTGTAGTGGTGTGATCTCAGCTCACCGCAACCTCTGCCTCCTGGGTTCAAGCAATTCTGCTACCTCAGCCTCCTGAGTAGCTAGGGTTGCAGTCATCTGCCACCACGCCTGGCTAATTTTTGTATTTTTAGTAGAGATGGGGTTTCACCATGTTGGCCA
Source organism: Homo sapiens (assembly GCF_000001405.40). NCBI lineage: Eukaryota > Metazoa > Chordata > Mammalia > Primates > Hominidae > Homo > Homo sapiens. Next base: position 14,834,246 of record NC_000001.11, read on the forward strand.
GGCTGGTCTTGAACTCCTGACCTCAGGCGATCCACCTACCTCGGCCTCCCAAAGTTCTGGGATTACAGGTGTGAGCCACTATGCCTGGCCCCAAGTCACCAAGTCACTTCCTTTTTTTTTTTTTTTTTTTTTTTGAGATAGAGTCTCGCTCTGTCACCCAGGCTGGAGTGCAGTGGCATGATCTCGGCTCACTGCAAGCTCCGCCTCTGGGGTTCACACCATTCTCCTGCCTCAGCCTCCCAAGTAGCTGGGACTACAGGTGCCCACCACCACGCCCAGCTGATTTTCTGTATATTTAGTAGAGACGGGGTTTCACCGTGTTAGCCAGGATGGTCTCGATCTCCTGACCTTGTGATCCACCTGCCTCAGCCTCCCAAAGTGCTGGGATTACAGGCGTGAGCCACTGCGCCCAGCTGAAACAACATCATTTTAAAATTAGCATTATGTGCTCGACAAATTTGTATCGAGTAACTTGCACCAGGCACTGGAAATATAAGAGTGGAAAGAAAAAAGAAAAACAGTCAAAAATTCCTACCCTGATGGAGCTTGGAGCCTAGGGGAATTATTAGTATTAGTATTAGTATTAGTATTATATAATGATGAAATAGTGGCTATTGTTATAACACTGAGTCTGGATTCAGTAGATTTAAAGTGCTGGTTTGGGGCACTCTCCCATTTTAAATGACTTTTCTGCTGCAGAAGACTTCTTTAGCTAGACCACCCGCTAAAAAAAGAGTAGGTTCCCTAATGGTTTTATGTGTTTCTGTGTTCAGTTAAAGCAGGCTTATTTTGGCAAGCAGGCTTTGAAACAGTTTGTCATAAGCAGATTGAGTGCATGGCATTAATTCATTAGAAATGCCCATCCCGCCAGCGGGATCAGAGTTTCTTGATCCCTCCCCGAGAGGTATTGTAATTCCTATCAACTGTGATCATAGAATTTTCTACCTGTCTTTGTATCTGCTTTGCCCTGTGGTCACCAAAGACATATGTTGCCTTAAAGGGCAGTGAGGAAGGATGATGGCATCTGTGACAAGCTCTAAATTGAAGAAAAATTAAAATTGGCTGTAAAGTTTCAGGGTTACCGCAGAGCAAATTCAAAAAGAGGGACAGAATGAGAGATGGGCTACAGCTCCAGAGAGTGTTTCTTGTACCCCGTAGGCAGAGCCAGAGAAAACCTGACGAGAAGGGGGTGGGGGCCGCAATCTGAGTGTCTCTCCTGGAGCCTGATTGGAACACGGGATCAACCATGAGGTGCATTATGTTACTCACTCTGCACAACAGCCCCAGTAAAGTTATGGATAGTCTCATTGTCACGGGAGGAAACTGAAGCGCGGAAGTTAAATAACTGGCCCCAAATTGCACCGTAATAGAAGAGGCAGAGCTGGGATTTGAACCCAGACCTCTATGTTAATAGTGCGTTCCAAGAGCCACTTGTCACTGGAAGGGAAATGGGAGCTGTGCTTCCAGGGCCCCTTTTGTCCCTGTAACACCATCTCCTGCCTCCACCACCCGTAGCCCTTGGCCTGGACTCTTTCCCTGGCTCCTATCCGGGAAACACCTCCCACCCCCGCCCCCTGACAGCTCCCAGGAGTCCCCTTCCTCCTTGACATTGAGGTTTGAGGGGCACCAATGTGTAACACTCCAATTTTCCCTGCTGACTCATAACCCAGTGAGACTGAAAACAAAAGTCAGCAGATGCAGGCCAAAATGTTACCTCTATTGCTGGTAACAGCTGGGTTGGAGATAGAAGAATGGGGATCTCATTAGGCAAACAGACCCTTGTGGGCCAGTTGGATGACAGCAGGCCCCTGAGCCCCTCCGCCCCGCTAGCAGGAGACCTGACCTGTAAGTTTTACAGAAAGTGTGCTTCCTGCAGGCAACTGGCTCCTGAGAGAAGAGGGGACAGAAGCTGAAGCCTGCATGCCCACCTCCCCTCTGGTGCTCGCTAAAGACTCCAGGTCCCCTGGGCAGGACAGAGAGAGGGTGGAGAGAAGCCAGGAGGGACATAAGCCAGAGGACAGGAAGTTTCTGGTCCAGGTCCCCAGGTCCCAAGCCCCAGATTTTAAGCCTGAACTCAAAGCCGCACCTCTGTGTCTCTTACCTGACAGACTGGGGAGTGGGTGGGACGAGCTCCAGCCTCCTCCCTCACTGCCCCAAGCAGCTGCCCCTTTGGCTTCTGAGGGTTTTGTTGCGAGTGGCAAGTGGGAGCCACCAGATGTTCCACCGCTAAAGAGTGACAGAGGTTCCAGGTTCTGACCCTCCAACTCCTCATCCCAACTCTGAAGCTTCATTCAACTTGACGGAAGCTCATCTGGGCCCACGCCTCCTCTTTCCAGACCCACTTTGGTCTCTTCCTCTCTTGAGCATCCCCGAGGCCTGAGAAGTCAGGTCAGGTGAAACCTCAGGCTCCCCAACTCCCACCTCCTGCTCCCCAGCCACCTCCACCCAAGCCAAGTCCTGCACGATGTGGGGAGGGAAATGGAGAGGGGGTGTCTCAGCATGGATTCCCCCACGCCTTGCCTCTCTTTAAAATTTTTCATTATATTCTATTTAATATATTTTAAAGACCTCCATCAATGAATTTGAAAGTTTTAAAATATAATACTTTTAAATGGCACTCTTAGACCCATCATCTCCCCAAAGTACTTGAAACTAATGAGCCCTGCTGAGGCCACCTGCAGGTGCTTCCCGTCCACTCCTCCGCCCCCAGGTAACCGCCTTCCTGAATTCTGTCTTTCTAAAAGCTGCTTTGATCTAATTACACAGCAGTTCTGTCCTGAATGTTGTCTTTCTCATTTCTTTGCTTGTTTTTTTAAAGTTTTGCTGTGTGTTTATAAATCTCTAGATAATTATTTAATTTTTTAAAAAATTTTTAGAAAGATCTCATAGGTAGGCTCTTGCTTCTTGCTTTCTTCATTTATCATTATGGTGCTAAAATACATCCCTGCTGTTGTTGTTGCTGCTGTTTTTGAGACTGAGTTTCGCTGTTGTTGCCCAGGCTGGAGTGCAATAGTGCGGTCTTGGCTCACCGCAACCTCCGCTTCCCAGGTTCAAGTGATTCTCCTGCCTCAGCCTCCCCGAGTAGCTGGGATTACAGGCAGGCGCCACCATGCCCTGCTAATTTTGTATTTTGAGTAGAGACGGGGTTTCTCCATGTGGGTCAGGCTGGTCTCGAACTCCCGACCTCAGGTGATCTGCCTGCCTCAACCTCCCAAAGTGCTGGGATTTTAGGCGTGAGCCACTGTGCCTGGCCCATACCTGTTGTTTTATGTCAGTGTAGTTCATTCATTCCCATAGCTGTATAATTTTTTTTTTTTTTTTTTTTGAGACAGGGTCTTGCTCTGTCACCCAGGCTGGAGTGCAATAGCGCAATCATAGCTCACTGCAGCCTCAACCTCCTAGGCTCAAGAGATCCTCCCACCTCAGCCTCCTGAGTAGCTGGCAGATAGGCATGTGCCACCACCCCTGGATAATTATTATTATTATTATTATTATTTTTAGAGACAAGCCTGTTGCCCTGGCTGGTCTTGAACTCCTGGATTCGAGCAATCCCTCTACCTCAGCCTCTCAAAGTGCTGGGATTACAGGCGTGAGCCATGGCACCTGGCTCATATTCTTTTGTGTGAATATAAAACGGTTTATTTAACCATTCTACCTCTGATGGACCATGGAGCTATATTTGGGGTGGTGGAGGGTAATCATAAACAATGCTGCTGTCTTAGTCCCTTTGTGCTAAATGGACTGAGACTGGATGATTTATAAAGAAGAACAGGAACTTATTTCTGACAGTTCTGGAGGCTGGGAAGTCCAAGATCAAGGCACTGGAAGGTTCTGTTGTCTGGTGAGAGCTGCTGCCTTCTTCCAAGATGGCGCCTTGGGGCTGTACCCTCCGGAGGGGACCAATGCTGCACCCTCACGTGGAGGAAGGGATGGAAGGGCAAAAGAGCTGTGGCTGTGTGAAGTCTCTTTTCTAAAGACCTTAATCCCATTCACAAGGGAGGAGCCCTCATGACCTAATCACTTCCTGAAGGCCCTACCGCTGTATACTATCACATTGATAAGTTTCAACATATGAAATTTAAGATCATAGCAGCACGTCTGAATGTACTTATCCATGACTTCTGGAATTGCTCTTGGATTTATGGCTAGGAGTGAAATTGCTGGATTGTGGGGCATGAGATGAACTGGAAAGTCCAAACCTCAGCTGGGAAGAAAGAGCCCCCCACCTGGTCAGTTACCCAGAATCTTCCCTCTTGCTAACTTTATCTCCTTCTGTTCAGCTTCACAAAACCATGCTCAATTAGGTTCCAAGGTGTGCCTCGGCTCCCCTCTTGATCCCATTCTTTGGTTGTAAGGTTAGCTTCCTGGTTCTTTTTGTTTGTGAGGGGAAGGGGAGACAGAGTCTCATTCTGTCACCCAGCCTGGAGTGCATTGGTGGGATCTCAGCTCACTGCAAACCTCTGCCTCCCAGGTTCAAGTGATTCTCATGTCTCAGCCTCCTGAGTACCTGGAATTACAGGCGCTTGCCACCACACCTGGCTAATTTTTGTATTTGTAGTAGAGACAAGGTTTCACTCTATTGGCCCGGCTGATCTTGAACTCCTGACCTCAAATGATCCGCCCACTTTGGCCTCCCCAGATGCTGGAATTGCAGGTGTGAGCCACCGCACCTGGCCCTGATTCTTAAACCTACTCCAGGTTTGCACTTTATCCACCTGGCTTTGAAGAAAAGAGAGAAGGGCAAGCAGCCCATGCCCCCATAATCAACTCCTGCCAGGGGCATCATAAGAATTCCAGGCTTTAGCACAGTGCATGGAGGGAAGACTTTCAGGCTGCAGAGGTGCTTCCTAAACCTGCCCTGCCTGTCCTGCCACTTCGGAGCACTAACACTTAGTGTTTCCTTGGTATTATCCCTCAGATGCTTGGAAGAAATGTTCCCATGAGAAGGCTGTGTAGGATAGTGATTAAGACTGCAGTCTCCGGAGTGTTCTGTCTGGGTTCAAATCCTAGCCCCATTCCTTTGCTAGGTGAGAGACTCTAGACAAGTCCCCCTACCTTCCCTGGCCTCAATTTCCATGAGCTGGGTGTGAGGAAGTTCACTGAGTCACTGTGAGGATTAAGTTAGGGTAATACAAGTCAAACACCTAGAACAGTACCTGGCATAAACATTCAATAAATGCTAGGGATCATTTTTAAGTAGCATAATAAATGAAGCGCACCCAGAAAAATGTGACCAAAGCAAGCCCTAAATGAACATGAGCTATTGGTATGATTGTTATCGTTACCAGAAAAACCCCTATTCATCCTTCAAGATCCAACCAAGATATCCTTCCCTGTCTCTCTATTCTGACGGCATTTGGTGCAGAGCTCATAATCTCATCTATCAGGTTGTGTTTTAATCTACCTGTTTGTGTGTTTGTTATTGTTGTTGCTCTTTCTTCTTCCTCAGCTAGATTGTATCTTTAAGAACGGGGACTATTTTTCTCTGACTAATCCTCACCCTGACGTCCTTGATGGCCAGCACAGCGTAGATGCTCCATTGATGAAATGAAAGACATTGGGGCTTGTATGTCTTAGAGGCACCTCAAGGCTCTGGAGGTGCCTCTAAGTTTGCAGAGCAGGCAATAAAGGGAAACCAGCCTGGCTGAGTTTCTTCTTTTCTCTGGGTTGCAATAATTCTGGGGGAGGAAGAGCCAAATGGTCTCTGTCCTGCCTTCTGTCCTCTCCAGTACCTTGCCTGTCCCTCTAGGAGCTCCAGCCAGATGCCAAGATAGGTGCCAACCCACCCCCACCCCGCTATTTTTTCTGACCCTCCCTACCACCTGGCACTGCAGAAAACTGACTTCCTTCACATTGTGTTGTTCTCATGGGCTGCTTCAGACCACGAATCCCTTTTCATTCTTAATAGAGTCCAGGAGAGGTCTTGCACGGTGATTGCCGATTCAAGTACGCTCCTCTGCAGAGGTCGATTATTGCTTTTATTTAAATAATAGCCATTGAAATGATTAGATTGCTGGGCGCTGGAAAGTCTGGGGTGGGGGATCTAATCACACACAGAATAACTGGCAAATCATCTCATTTCAACCTTTTCTCCCTAATCACGAGCTGCTCCTCCCTTTTTGAGCATTTGGGTGCCCCTGTCCACCTCTCCAGAATCTATGTCTGTGGGAATACAGGTGCAAGAAAGGAGAGACATTTCGCAAGCACATTAAATATCTCTCAAACATGAACCCAAGGGTGAAGGCTCTCCTGATGCTCAGAGAAGATTATGCTGCACACTGCCTGCTGAAATCACTCTAGCCTTCGTGGCAGGTGATAGAGGCGCTTTGGGCGTGATCTTCTGAACTGTGCTAAGTAAGGGCTGCCATTTGGCGATAAGCTGCCCTCAGAAGTCCAACACTCATCCAGGCAGAAAGAGCGTGGTCATTTAGCCTGGATGCTGCCTCTTGCAAACTCATCTCTTGTCCACGATGCACCTCAATAGTCCTTGGTGGAGACCCTTCAAATCTATGCAGGGGGTCATATATGTAAGTGTTCATACTGTAAACAGAAGGGTAATTTATTCATATCTATTGAATGCATGCCTACCATGTGCCAGATACTATTAGGAATGTGAAGTGAATATAGCAATGCCAGGATGCCAGATACCAAAGGCCATAATCACTTTCATATAGATAGTTGATGATGAAGAAAGAGAGAGAGATAAGTGGAAAGATGATAGGTAGATAGGGAAATAATTTAATTCTGATAGTGTAAGCATGCACACATCTGGGGAAGAACATTCTAAGCATCAACAACAAGTGTAAAGGCTTCAGGTGCAATACATTTGGCACATTTGTGGCACCATATGTACTTTTGCAGGCAATTCTGTTAGAAATGGAGCCATAAGCGGCCGGGTGTGGTGGCTCACGCTTGTAATCCCAGCACTTTGGGAGGCCAAGGCGGGTGGATCATGAGGTCAGGAGATCGAGAACACGTTGAAACCCCGTCTCTACTAAAAATGCAAAAAGTTAGCCAGGCGTGGTGGTGGGTGCCTATGGTCCCAGCTACTCGGAGAGGCTGAGGCAGGAGAATGGTGTGAACCCGGGAGGCGGAGCTTGCAGTGAGCCGAGATCGCCCCACTGCACTCCAGCCTGGGCGACAGAGCAAGACTCCGTCTCAAAAAAAAAAAAAAAAAAAAAAAAAAAAAAAAAAAAGAAATGGAGCCATAAGCATGCTGTGTGCCAAGTAGGGAGAGGACACTCCCTGGCCAAAGATTTACATTTCCTGGGTATAGGGGCAGGGACTTTTTTAAATCCCTGGAGCATTAAAGAGCAGATGGCCATGCACTGGCAGTAGGGTACTGGATGCTAGGGCTAGATACACCCCTCCCTTCCCAGCTCTGCACCCAGTGACGTCACATTGGCTTAACATCAGCAGCAGTGGGAGGATCACAACACAGAAACCAGCAGATGCTGCAAAGCAGGACTTTGTATTTTCCTTTCTTCTCTTTTTTTCCTTGAGAGCCATTTTTTTGTACCACTGACATCAAGGCCTCCCTGGGAATGAATGAATGCACCAGGCAATGGATCGGACCTGCCTGATTATCTATCTCATTTCATCTTTTCTACTCATCTCTGTTCATCCTGTTCTAGCCACTCCAGCATCCTGACTGATACTCATCCAGGCTAGCTGTGCTCCTGCCTTCAGGCTTTTGTGCTGGCTGTTCCTTTTCCCCACACACATTGCAGGCCTAACTCTCTAACCTCCTTCAGGGCTTTGCTGGGATGTGCCCTTATCAGTGAGTCCTTCCCTAACTGCAGCTTCCAACCACAGCACTTCTTGTCCCCCTCCCTGCTCTCTTTCTCACTTATGCTATCTTTTGCTGATTTGTCTTTGTTATTCTCTACCTCAGCCCAACCCCCACTAGAATGTAACCATCCAAGAGAAAATGGGGATTTTCATGTTTTGTTCACTCTTTTATACCCAGCACTTTAAACCATGCCTGGCACATAATAGGTGGTCATTCATTTTTTGTTGAATGCATGAATGAATGGCCTGGTCTGTTTTCTCTTTTCCCTCTGGTGGATCCATATCTGTGGTAGTGTCTCTTATTTCTAGAACAGTAATAGACACGCAGGATCAAGCAGGCCTTGCTACCCAGGAGAAAACCAAGGTAGCACGATGAGAAGACTGAGGGTCTTGCCTGGAGCCAATGTCAGTCCATGGCACTGCAGGGAGGCCCTGGGCAGGGGCATTCTCTCCTGTTGCGTTAGCTATCAGCCCTGTGAAGCCCTCGTTGTCCTACATCATCGAGTGAAATATTCCCACCAGAGTGTTTATATTTAAAAGTCATTGCACTGAATGGAATTGACATCTGTTTACATTACATTGCCATTACTCATTTCCATGTACAATGTTTGCCTTCATGCTGCAGTATCATTTTAGGACATGTTACAAGGAAGGATTAGAGGAGCAGTACAATTTGCAAGGGGATTTTCTTTTTCTTTGTGCTTGTTCTTATTTTTTAATTTTTACTTTTATTAAAGTAATACATGCACATAATTTCAAAATCAAAGAGTAGTAAAAGGCTTATAATGGAAAATGATGGTCCCATGGCCACCCTTCTCCTCCTTCAATTCCAGCTCCCTGGAGTCAAGGACTTCCCACAGTTTTAACTGGGGTTTTTGTTGCTCCTTGTCTCCATAATGTGATGTGATTGGTATATTGCTGTTTCTCGGCTTACCCAAGAAACATCTCTTATAGACATTATCTCTTGATGTTCTGTGATGGTGGATGAAACTTGAGCTCTCTTTGGCCCCCTCCCTCCCCAGTCTTCCCAATACAGTTGCATCACATTTCCTAGTTTCAGTGGCTGGCCAGTGCTGGTATTTATTAAAACCACATTCACTGTAGAGCCAGGAAGTATACTAAGATTATCCCAGAGCTGCTGTCCTATTCAAGTCGATTCCTACTGTGTGCTTAGTCATCATACTAGACTCAAGGCAGTGTGTGGGGTCAAAGGGAGAGAGAATCCAGAAAAGAAACAAATAAAGGTTTGAGAAAAAGAATAATAAGGGACCCATCTGGATGGGTGGTAGGAGAAGACCTCTCTGAGGAGGTAGAGGAGGTAACATTTAAGCTGAACCCTAAAGGATGGCAGGGAGGGAGTCTGCCATGGGAAGAAGCCAAGAGGAGTAGTTTTCTAGGCAGAGAGAAGGGCACAGGAGGCCCCTAATCTGAGAGCCTAGGATCTCATGGTTGCTGTGACATGAGGCTCATTAGAGGAGATGACCTTTCTGCCGTGCCCTGATTCTGAGATGCTGGCAGACAAGGCTGGGGTGGAAGAGCCTTTGGGGCACAGAAACTTGCATGGGCAAAGACCCAGAGGTGGGAAAGATTCCAGCAAATTCGCCTCCCTATCACTGGCTTTAAATGTTTTCATTTTATACTCTTAAGATATTTTAAATGGAATATTCGCCCCACCCTCATCCCACTACCCTGACAGCTGTTTATTCTCCACATTCCCTTCTAGTCCTCGTCTCTTCACAGACACTCCCATGGTTGTCTTTTCTGCTAATCTTGAGTTTGTCGAACCCACAGTCAGCTTCCAGGTGTTGCTGGGTCTCTTGCACAAATCTCAGCCTCAGTGTCTTCCTCACCAAAGCAACTCACTCGACTGGACAAAGACACACTGAATCTTGCAACATTGCCAATGCTTGGAACGATTTCTTCCTGCAGAGGACAGCGTGGTTTTAATAAGTTTAAAAAGTATATTTGGAGTTTTACGCCTCTCCCTCATCCTCAGCCTTCCATATGTAGAGAACAGAAGACTTCCAGAGGGACCCAACTTCCTTTTCCAAATGTATGCTTTGAGCTCTCATTAGCCACCCTTTGACATCTAGTCCAGACTGAGCCTGCTTCTACCCACAGCACCCCACTCCAGCCCCAGAACTTGTCTTGGGCATGTAGATGAGCCCAGCCTTAGGAAAGCTCCTGCCCTAGCCTGTACTCTCACTTCTATTTTCCACCTTTTAAGTAAAATGATTTGCCTCTCTAAGCCTCAGTCTCCTCACCATAAAATGGAGATAATAACTAGACCTTCTCCTCTAAAGGTTGATGTGGAGGTAAAATTAGGTGCTACAAGTTAAGAGCTTGGAATTGAGCAGGTGCCTGGCAATTATTACTTCCTCACCTTCCTTACCCTCCTCATTATGAACAGCAACTTTTGGAAACACCCTTCATATTTTCTCAGCTCCACTTTACAAAATAACATCCTTCCTGGGCTGTCAGCCTGGCTGAACATGCGCTAGAAGTATGTCTTGCAGGCATCCCTTTGGGCACCAAGCCAAGATGTAAATGAGATTGTTCGCAATGAAGAAAGTGTGAGCTTTTGTAGGATATATTTTTGTCCCATCTGAATGGGAATCAGCTCAGATGATAGAGCCCCTTTCCTATAAGGAGGAAATGATGCTACTTTCAGTCTCTTCTTGGCTTCCACCAGGTTGGTAGGGCAGCCTGAGAAGGTGGCAGCTTCACAGTCAGGAAACTCAGTGGGTTGTCCAGCATCCCACCATAGTGTCTGGTTGGTTTGTGGGTTGGGTGGGTGGGTAGATGGATGGGTATGTGCTTGGATGGGTGAGTAGGTGGTGAATGGGTGCATAGGTGGATAGATGAGTTGGTGTTTTGGTGGGTGGGGAGATGGGTGGATGGCTGTATAAATGAGTGGTTAATGGATGGATGGATGGGTAGATGGATGGATGGATGAATGAATAAATGAGTAGTGGATAGATGGATGGGTGAGTAGTTGGATGAGTGGACAGACAGATAAATGAATGAATAGGTGGGTTGATGGATAGACAGATGGCTGGATGGAACAGCTGGATGGATGGGTGAGTGGGTGGATGAGTGGATGATGAATGGATGGATAGTGAGTGGATGGGTGGGTGGATGGATGGATGGATGGATGGATGGGTGAGTGAGTGGATGGGTGGGTGGATGGATGGATGGATGGATGGGTGAGTGGGTGGATGGTTGGGTGGATGGATGGATGAGTGAGTGGGGGTGGATGGATAGATGGATGATTAGGTAGGTAGGTGGATGGACGGATGGATGGATAGGTGAAGGGATGGATGAGTGGATGGATGGATGGATGGATGGATGGATGGTTGGATGGATAGATGGATGGGTGGATAGATGGGTGGGTGGATGGACGGATGAGTAAATAGGTGGATGGATGACTGAGTGGTGGATGGATGGATGAGTAAGTGGGGGATGGATGGATAAGTGGATGGATGAATGGGTAAGTAGGTGGATGGATGCATAGATGGGTGGGTGGATGGATGGATGGATGGATGGATGGATGGATGGATGGAGTAAACAATTCCTTCCTTCAGTTTTGCATGCCCTTGATGAGCTGGATTGTAGTTTCCCAGATTGCCCCCATGATACCCTGTGTTCCTTATGGTGGTAATAGGTGCTCTTCAAGAGGTATGTGTTGGTCTAGGTCCTCTATGGAGGAAACGCTAAAATGGAATTAAACATTTAAGGACTTTATTATGGAAAATATCTGTGAGGGAAAATGGGGAGGGAGCTGGAGACAGCTGGAGAGTGGTCAGACCTCGAGGCAAGTCGGCCCCAGAGAGATGGAGAGTGAAAGAATGTTGGGTGAAGGCATCCTAGACTGCGTGCAACCTAAAGAAGGTTTGACAAAGCTGTCCAGGAGTCCTCAAGCCAAGTTAGTCAACAGAAAAATCCCGTGTCTCCCAGGAGTGGGCTGACTTCAGATTTATGTCATGCTCCATCGTTTGCTGGGAAGAGCCCAGGGGAAGCATGGACTCTGTGCCAAGACAGCAGCTGGGCCTTTGATTAATTACACTCCCTATACTTGGAAGTCACCAGGTACTATGGCCAACATAGGGGAGGAAAGTTCTATAGCGGCATGTCTTGGAGCTGCTGCATTCTACAGTTTTTGGAGACTCAAGATGCAAGTTGGCTTAGCAAAATTGCTAAGAAGCCCTGCAATAAAGAAGCCTGTTGAATCTAGCATTTCCCAAATGTATTTGACTATGGAGCTTTTTGTCTTAGCATGATTCCAAGGACTAGAGTTTGAGATCAAGCGATCTAGGTATAACCCAAGTGTTCCTAGGCCACAAGAGAGAACAAAAAAAGGAAGGGAACCATAACAGAGAGGAGGCAGGGGGAATGGCTCTACACAGAGGCAGAACCAGCACAAATCATGTCACTGGTTGCTTTCAACAGACCGTGAGATATTAAAAAACAAAAACAAAAACAAAAAAACCTAGATATGGAATCTAGGTATTATTGGCCAAGGCTGACACAAGAACACATATTTATTTTAGTTGACTTAATAATCAGGCCTGCCATGTACACAGTGCACTACAGTTTACAAAGCTCTTTTCTATCTGTCATCTCCCTTGAATATCACCATGACCTTGAGAATCAGGGGGGAGTTATCATCCTCATTTTGCAGCTGACAATAACACTTACCACAGTGATCATAACTGTTGAATTTCCTGAGTGCCTTCTACCTGCCAGGCAGTAACTTAAGCATTTCCACCTTTATTAACTATAGTCTTCTTATATAGGAAGGTGACTGTGGTTCAGAGAGGTTAAGGGACTGATTTGAGGCCACACAGCCAGCAAGCAGCAGACCCACACGTGAACCCGGGTCTGGCTGACACCACAGCCCCTGGCAGGGAGCGAGGGGCAGCAGGAACATGCAGCCCCCTCTAAATGGGTTTTTTACAACCTGCTCTAAGTCACAGCGAGAAGTAGGCTCAGGGAATGTAAAGTGGGTAGTGATTTTTTTCTCCCCTATTCTTTTACTGCTTTTGTTTATTGAAGGACAAATCATTGCTGTTTTCGTTTGTGTTTCTAGCACAATAAAAATAAAAGATATGCCGGCAATCTTTTTAAAAGCTTATACAATTCCAGAATTTGAGCTGTCGGATTTATGCCGCACACTGATCTCATAGACATCACAGTGCCATCTGCCTGGGCCCGCCAAGGGCTTCCGAAGTTGTCGTTATCAATCAAAGTAGGGTGGCCACAAGCTCAGGGGCGACAGTGGCCAACCTCCACTGACTGCAGCCGAGGCCTGTGAAGAACAGACACTGGCTGTGTTTCCCTTGCTCTGCCCAGAGTCTCAAAGCAGCCATCTTCATTTTATTATTGAAATTGATGTAGGCTTGTAGCAGAAAAGGGATTGCAGGCCTGGGAGGTGCCTGCTGTTTTGACTCCCACCTCCATAGTCCAATCCTTGCCTTGGGTCCGCAGTGAGCTATGTACATCTGCGTCTGTGTAGTGCTCAGGTAAGAAGAGAATTTGGGAGCACACTACTTCTGTATGTCTTTACCCATCAGCCTCCCCCACCCAAATCTGTTCCATGATGCCAGGGACATTATCTGTTCCATTCAGTGCAGCATTCCCAGTGCCTAGGACAGCACCTGGGGCAGGGGCACAGTGGCTCACGCCTGTTATCCCACCACTTTGGGAAGCCGAGGTGGGAGGATCAGTTGAGGCCAGGAGTTGGAGATCAGCCTGGGCAAAATTTTGAGACCTCGTCTCTACAAAATATTTTAAAAAATTAGCCAGGCGTGATGGCCACCTACAGTCCTAGTTTCTTGGGAGGCTGAGGTGAGAGGATCACTCGAGCCCAGGAGTTCGAGGCTGCAGTGAACTATGATCAGGCCACTGCACTCCATCCTGGGCGACAGAGTGAGATTCTGTCTCAAAAACAAAAACAAAAACAAAAACCTGGAACATAGAAGGTGCTCAATAAATATTAGTTCAATGAATAAATGAATGTCACATACGCATGAAAAACATGCAAATTTGAGGACCAGGCAAGGGAGCGGCTCCCCACCTTGGATGTGTTCCTTGCTCCCTCTTGCAGCTTCTTCCTTCCCACACGTCTCTGAGCCTCTCCTCTGCCTTCTAAGCTCTCCTCTCTCTTTTCTTTCCTCTGCTTTGCTGCTTTTCTCTGACCTTCTCCTTCTCCCCAAGATGATGTCACCAAGTTCAGAACTTGGGATGACCCAGGAAGGGGAAGCTGCCAGAGTTAAGGAGACTCAGTTCTAGCTCTGCCTCTGATCTGGTCTCAGCCTGAGTTCTATCTCTCTGAGCCTCAGTTTCCTCATCTGTAAAATGGGTGCAGTGTGCCCACCACCGTGCCTACCGCAGAGGTATTTCAAGGATGGGGTGAACACAAGCTGGCAAGTGGGGAGGAAGTCAGAAAAAATGAAGCCAATTATCATTGCTAACCAAAGACAACTCCTTGTCGAGGAAAGCAACAGCTCCCTCTGTAAGCACGAGCGTGTGGGGTGCAAGGAGCCTTTGTTTTGGAGTTCAGCGGGAGGCATCCAAGTGGGGAGCATGAACATCCACTCTTAAAGTCTGAAGCTACAGATGTCAACTGTCAGTAAGACCGACAGTTCCATTAGGCAGCTGCCCGCTCTCCCCGTGAGTGATTAAAACGTCGCCATCCATCCCCCATGCTATACATCATCTCGCCAGGCTGGCACTTCATCAAGGGCCATGAAGCGGGGACATTTGCATCCTCTTCCTCGGGCTGCACCAAGGCGGAGTTGGTGGAGACATCTGTGTAGCGTAGCGTGTCCTGGGAGCGCCTTGGAAACAAAAGCTGGGGAAGGCTCGAAGGGAAGAGAGAGGCCCAAGTGCATGGAGCGGGGGCTGGCTAGAGGGGCCGGATGCTGCGGCTCCAGGAAGCAGGGACCAGGGCAGGAGCAGTCACTGGGAATTGAGGTTGGGGGCCCCGGGATCATCCAGCCCCTGCCCTCATTTTACAGACCAGCGAACTGAGGCTAGGGTGGCTGAGCTCCCCTTGTTCGGCCACTCCCAGGGGAAAGTAGGATGTTTTGAGTAATATCTGCCTCCTGCAAGGGCCTGCGTTCATTCCGCTTAAGTTGCCAGGGTGTTGCACAGTGTCTGGTGCACACTGGGTGTCATGAAGTGCTGACTGATTCCAAGAAGTGGTAACCAGAGTCGCAGGGTCACTGCCACACTGAGGTTCCAGCTGAACATTACAGCCCTCATTTGAGTGTTTCTGACCACCATCTGTTATTAATTCTAATCATCGTCATCCTCATCAACAATAATAGCAATAATATTTGCCACTAACATTTTTGAGTGTTTACTACGTTCCGGGCTCTGCACTGAGCACATTAACACAAAGGTTTCGAGTCTCTTGTCATGTGTGTGTTCACAGAAACCCTACATTCTATAAAGTCATGCACCTAGAATAGCAGGGCTTATGGGAATAGGGTTGGGGAAGATCATTCCAAAACTTTGGGAGTTTTGTAACCAGAGAATATTAAAAAACAATAAAACTCCCTAGAAGAATACTGGCGCAGCTGAATTGGTACCTAGCCTTCCTGTCGGTATTTCTATGCTCCCAGAAAGGACACATTTAAGAGCTTGCGCTTTCTCTTTCAGGATGTTGATCCCAGAGGGCATTCGCTTCTGATAGAGACCATTTTCATCAAAATTAAAAATCGAATCCAGACTGCTGCCTTTATCATTCATCCATTGTTTCCATAGCAGCAGAAGTATTTTGAGTTTTTCCATCTTACTCACGGCTCCCCCAGATAGCTTAGCAGCAGTTCTGGAAGCCACTAAATCAACTACTGCTTGCAATAAAGAAAGGCACTTGGGTAGATTTTCTACCCCCCCTTTTTTTTTTTTTTGAAACAGAGTATCGCTCTGTTACCCAGGCTGGAGTACAGTGGTGTGATCTCGGCTCACTTGCAACCTCCGCCTCCCAAGTTCAAGCGATTCTCCTGCCTCAGCCTCCTGAGTAGCTGGGACTACAGGTGTACGCCACCACACCCAGCTAATTTTTGTATTTTTAATAGAGACAGGGTTTCACCATGTTTGCCAGGATGGTCTCGATCTCTTGACCTCGTGATCCGCCTGCCTCAGCCTCCCAAAGTGCTGGGATTATAGGCATGAGCCACTGCGTCCAGCCTATTTATGCTTTTTCTAATGTTGAGAAAGCATGCTTCTGATTACTTCAAAATGTGAATGTGCTGGGGAAGATGACTCATAAACCAACATGACCTTGGCATTCTACTAACCCAAGTCCCTTACTGACCAACCACATGTGAGGTTGGTCATCTGTGACATGTTTAAGGCAAAGAGACTGTATCTTGTTAAATCCTCACACCAATCCAAGGAGGCTTATACGGCTAACATCATCGCCATTTTACAGACGAGAAAACCAAGGCTTAGAGAGGTTAAGCAACTTGCCCACGGTTACTCAGATAATAAGTACAGCAAGAGTTTGAACCCAAGCAACCATCCTCACCACCTTCCACCTCACTGCCATGGCCATCACACGTGTGTTTGCTTTCGCTGTTGCAAACTTGAGGACGGGGCCACATCTTTTTTGCAGCTCCAGCACCCAGCATTCTGTGTGGCACAGACCAGGCCAGCAGAACGTGTTTGAATGAGTGGCTCTGTTCCAGGAGAGGTTTCACCCAGAAAGTCCCACAAAGATGATAAGGGAGAGGCTGCCACCTGCCTGAGGAAGGTGGCCCTGCCACCCTGACCACCAGATCCCTCCCCTAGGCAGGTGTACCTCCCTAAGCCCCAGACTCTGGAAGTTTTATATTGGTTTCCTAGCCCAGCTCTCAGAAGGAAACCTATTTCTCCATTTGGGGTGTGGTTCCGAGGGCCTGCTCACAGTACCTGAGAGACAGCACGCAGTCTTTCTCCACTCTGTCCTCCAGGCCCTGCACAGTGCTGGGATCAGAGCAGAATTTGGGGATACTCCCTGAGTTGGACCAGCTATGCCTTTGTCGGGTTGGCCCTTCCACCATCAGATGTGTCAGTCCTTGGCGTTAATCCCTTCCAGTGCCCAGCCCACCTCTCCCCTCCTAGACGGCTCACAGCTGTATTAGGGAGATGGTCCACTTCTAAGTGCACCAGGATGGAGCAGCCATCTAGGTGGGTCCCTGCAGTGTTACCTTCTTATCACATTGAGCCTGGGCCTGCCCAGGGGACCACTGCCCAAGACGCCGGCTGATGGGATAATACCTGTAAAGCCAGCATGCCCTTCGTGTCCCACAGCTAGGGGCTCCCTTCTGCGGTGGTGGGGACACCCACTCACTCCCATACTGCCAGCCTTCAGCTGCCCCACCGCTGCGATAGCCCCTGGAGCAGAATCTCAAACACCCCACACCCTGTCCCAAGGACCAACCCTTGTTGCATGTGCAGAGGGCCCATGGAGCCAGCAAATGTGGGCAAGCAAGAACAAAGGCACCCCTCATCAGAGGCTCGTTTGGGGTGTCCATTCAGGGGGCCTGTTGAGGGCCTTGAATCCTGGTCAAAGCTAGGAGTGAGGCCTTCGGGGTTACCATGCTGGGGCACCTGGCTCTTCCCACTTCCACCTGGGCGTTGACTTATCCTCTCTGGGCCTCAGTCTTCTCAGCCATGAAGTGGGATGGCAAGGCCCGCCTGAAGGAGTGGGTGCCTGTGCAGCAGGCAGAACAGCGCCCAATACATAGACATGCTTAAGGGATGTCAGCTCTTCCTGACATTGGACGCCTTCTCATAGCAGTCATCACACTGTGTAGCGATCGCTCCACTAACCACCCCTGCAACTGCAGGTCACTGGGGGAGGGACCTAGTCCAGCTCACCCGGAATCCTCAGGGCCTAGACATGGAGACCCAGGTCCTCCGGAAGAGTTTGTGAGAGGAATGAGAAATGCGCCTGGACTTTGGAACAAGCCAAATGAAGTCATATCTCAGCTCCTCCCATTCCCTAGATCTGTGGTTCTAGGCAATTTGTTTCTCCTTTCAAAATCTCAGGTTCCTCACCTGGGAGGCAAACGTAAAGTCTGGATCTTGGGGGTCTCCCTGGATCTCCTTCTCCTTCTCTGCGTCCCTATCTCCCCTCCCCTACCATCTCCCTCCACCTTGGGGCTGTCTAACTGGACCCGGCACTGGACAGCTCCAGGTGTTTGCATTTGAGAGTTGGGCTTTCCTGGGGCCTCAGAGTAGAAGGTGGGATCCAGGTGGCCCTGAGAGATGGGCTGAGGCCCAGCAGGTGTGGACACAGCAGGCTTTCCATGCTTCAGCCCAGCTGATCTTGAATGGGGAGTCCAGCAGCCTGAGTCAGCCATGCGGCGATCAGACGGTGCCAGGCCTGCGAATGAGGAGGAACCGGAGCCAAATCCTTCCCGGGAGGCAGCAGCTCTGTGATGTTCCCTTATCAAAAGGCCCAGCCCCCTCCCCACCTGCAGGCCCTGCCCCCTCCCTGCTTCTTCCCACTGTCTAGGCTTGGTCAGCGTTTTCAGCCTCTGCCCATGCCAGGACTAGCAGTTCTGGGCGGACTTCCAAAGGGCCAGATGGTCTCGCAGGTACACTTGCCCAGGGCCCATGCCACTGGCAGAAGATGACAAGTGCAAGCCTTGGAGAACTGACTTTGAAATGGGGCAAGAGGCTCTGGGGTATGGATTGCAGCTTCTATAATCAGAAATATCACTTCTTCTGCCCGTGTAATAAGATTACGTGTTAGCTTTTATTGTGTGTCCTTGCGTGCCAGGCTACTCAAAGTGTGGTCCCTGTACCAGCAACATGGGCCTCCCTAGGAGCTTGTTGGAAATGCACATTCTCAGACCCCTCCCAGACCTGCTGAATCCAAATCTGTGCTTTAACCAGATCCTCAGGTGATTCCTATGCTCTTTGAAGTTTGAGCAACATTTGTTTCCCAGGTGAGGAACCTGAGATTCTGAAAGGAAAAATGGACCATCTAGAACCACAGATCTAGGGAATGGGTGGAGCTGGGATGTGACTTCATCTGGCTCACTCCAAAGTCCAGGCACATTCCTCATTCCTTTCACAAACTCTTCTGGAGGAGCTGGGTATCATGCCTAGGCCCTGAGGATTCCAGATGAAGCAGACTAGGTCCCTCCCCCAGGGATCTGCGGTTGCAGGGATGGTTAGAGGAGCGATCACAACACAGTGTGACGACTGCTTTGATGAGAAGGTGCCCAGGGCAGAGGGGCACAGAGGAGGGGCTGCAGTGGACAGGAAGGGCATCCAATGGGAGAGGACAGAGGAGACTTGAAGAGCAAGCACGAACCTGCCCAATGTTACCTCGTGGGTGCCAGGCGTTTTTCTACGTGGTGCACACCCTCTGTCTCATGGAATCCTCACCACACTGCATGAGATAGGAATGATCTTCAGCCCCATTTCTCAGATGGGGCATCTGAGGCACAGCTTACATGCCAAAGCTGCAGAGTGGATGCAGGTGGTAGGAGGGGGATTTGAACCCCTTAGTCTGGCTCTTACTCCCACACTGTCCTGCCTCTCAGTGGGAGAAGAACATTCCAGACGGATGAAATAGCCTGAACAAAGTGCAGCAGTGCCCTTAATCTGGTGCATGATCCACTGCAACTTAGTGATAGCCCCAGGCTCCAGCTGTGTCTCTTGGCCCCTCTCCCAGCCAGTCCCACCACTGACCCAGAATCAGGCTGCTCAAGGAAGTCTGGGGTCCTGACCTGTGGTCACTTGGCCCATATTGGTGCTAGTACAGAAGTTCTCCATCTATTTCAAGAGCTCCCGTGGGGGCCGAGACACCACAGCTGATGGGGAACGGTGGCCTGTGGACCACCCTTGGGCAAGAAACGAAGATCAGAGGAAGAGGAAAGTCAGCATGAAGTGAGAGGAGAGAGATGTACTTCTGGGTCAGGTTGGCCTGGATTTGAATCCCAGAGAAGCTGCAGAGTCTCAGGCAGGGACAATGTACATGGCCTCATGTAGAACTGCATGTGGAAGACCCTTTACAAGCCCACCTGGAGGGCCATCAGAGGACCAGGGGTCTCAGTTCCATGACAACCCTAGACCTACCCCCCGGTTAGATCATCTGGCCCTTTGTGAGTGAGGTTTCTCATCTTACAGGTGCAGAAACTGAGGCACAGAGAAGAAAAGGGACTTACCCAACAAATGCTTGTTGAGCTTGCATGTTGACTGGTGAGTGCTTCCAGCTACCATAGTGCCTAAGACAGACTCTGAGTGCCTCGTGTTTTATGGAGGACTCTTACACATAGGGCTTTCCTTTGCAGTATTTCAATCACCTCTTGTTTTAGTTCATTTTGTGTTGCTATAACAGAATACCTGAGACTGGGTAGTTTATACAGAAAAGAGGTTTATTTAGCTCATGGTTTTGCAGGCTGAGAAGTTCAAGGACATGACCCTGGCTTCTGGTGAGGACTTCTTGCAGTGTCACATGGTGGAGAAGGTCAAAGGGGATGCAGACCCACGTGAAGAGACAAAACCTGAGGAGTGTCCTGGCTTTATGACAACCCACTCTTGCGGGAGCTAATGCATTTCCATGAGAACTAATCCAGTCTCACCAGAGTGAGACCCTGCTCACTCCCATGAGTATGGCAGGCATTAGACCATTCAATGAGGAATGCACCTCCATGACCCAAACATCTCCCACTAGGCTGTACCTGTCTGCCACCGCACTGGGGATCGAATTTCCACATGAGTTTGGATGGGGACAAACCACATCCAAACCATAGCATCTCCCCTAGTTCCTAAAGGGAAGGGAAGTATCTCTTTGATAAAGTGTGAGGCCGAATTCAGGATGGCAGAGGCATTAGTTGCCAGCCGCTCTGATGTTTCTGAGCTTGTTAGGGTCCAGCCAATATTCTCAAGAAATCGGCTTTCAGAAATAGCAACACTAGATGATTTTATGGGCTGGAGCTCACCTGGCTGTGGAGGCGGGCTGGAAGGACACACAGGTGCAATTATTCCAGAAACACAAGCAGACCTGGAGTGCAGAGGAGGTGGGTGGAAGGAGGGACTGTTGTTTTTAATTTAGCTGTGAGACGACGGGAGTCTAGGAAGCATGGCTGGGGAATTTACCAGGGCTGTTACCAGCCCGTTTCCAACCTGCTAAACTGATTAGGACTTTAAGACTACAGTGCATTGCCCTCTATAGTTCCTTGCCTTAATATCTGTCTCCCTAAGACACTGAAGTTATTTTTATCTATTGCATTTTGTTCTGGGTGGAATGATCCTTCCCCAGTCCTGCTGATAAGGAGTTTCTAAGTGAATTTGCACCCTGCATGAAAGTTAAATTGCTGCCTTTTGTCATTTTTTTGTTAACACCACAGCCCCAGCTCTGCCCAACACCACCCCACCAACACACATCTGACTCCACCCTTAAAAGCCTATGCGCCTCATTCTCTGACTCATTTGCCACCCAGTTGGATGGAGCACAAGTGACCAAATGTAGTCTTGCAATGAGATGGGTCGGGTCACTGATGTGATCATTTGGCATCTGGTCAGCCAGGCCAGTGTCCATGAGTGGGGTGAAATGTTATAGGGTCTTCCTTGCTCTTGGCATTAGGAACACAAACCTGGTAGCTGTTCTGCGCAGGAAAGGGAACTAGCTCATATTGAACTGCTCCTATGTGCTGGGCACTTTGAATAACCCAGTGAAAATCCCATTTTACAAGTGGAAATACCGAAGCCAGACAGAGCTTGCTCAAGTGCACATGGGGAATAGCAGGGTTGGAATTTGAAACCACCTCTAAAGTCTTGCAACCGCGCTAAGCCATCAGCCTATGTAATTGGAATAGAAGTTTCCAGGGGAAAGAGAGGAGGAAGCCTGTTCTCCCCTTTAAACAGAGGGAGCGGCTGCTTACAGAGCTACTGTCAAAGCAGTTCGGTGGAGGGATTGATTTTTCAATAAGCCACCAAAATGATGGTACATTTACTACTTATGTTACTGACAAGGAGCACATTAGTAATTGGAATGTGACATTGGGATATGGCAGGTGAGTAATAACGTGATTTACATCCTTGGGGGTTTGGGTTTAAGTTACGTAGTAGTTATTGCAAGGGTCTGTGCTATAAAATCAGACTCTGAGGGTGGTCAGGGAGGCTGCAGCTCTTGGGAGGATAATGGGCATAGAAATTGGGGAGGGGATGAAAAGAGGGGAAGGGAAGACCAGAAATAACTTTCCCCACGTGCATTATTAAGTGAATGTGAAGAATACATATTCCCTGCTTTTATGGGTACCTATGCATTCATGCCTAAGTGTGAGCTTGAACTGTACCAACCCTAGAGGTTTCTTTAAAGACAAGTGAAGATTCAATGCTAAGGAATTTTGAAGAAGGAGGCAATATTTCCATAGGTGGCATAGCTAAAGACATTACAAAGGGCTGGGAATTAATATATACATAAGCGCATCTGCTCTAAACACTTTTTTCCCTTTCAATTGTTCCCCAGGAAGGTCACATAAATGCTCATTAATATGAACACTATGTTCATTAGTATAAAACATTCCATATTTTATTTCTATTTTGGTAGCTCAACAATTCACTAAGTGTGATGCAGCCACACATTCTTTGGGTTTTTACATTTTGGGGAATAAATAGGCAATGACCTTCTGCGAAGGAGGAACTTCTACTTTTCATGTGTTTCCTAAATCTTGGATTATTCTCAAGGACAATGGCCATTATGTCCATTCTTCCAGGATAAAGATGAGCATATGTTTGTTGCCGGGCTGTTGCAGAGAGTTTGCAATTCAATCGGAACTCAGACTTTTTTCCTCTGTTGTCATCCTTTGATGCTTCTCCTTGGGAGGTGTGTGAATTGGAGTTGCTTAATTAAGCAGAGGAAGCTAAAAGATGCTTTGGAAACTATCTTCATCCACACATAGGGGTTTCTGCAGAGGATAACAATTTGCACTCGAACAGGAGAACATGGGCATAAATGCACCAGGAGAGGTTTGGGATTGGATGTCAGGGGAGAGAAGGAAGCCAACCACGCGTGAAGGTGGAGAGCACAGGAATCCTTTGGACTCGGCGTCAGGTTACTAGCTGTGTGACCTCGCACAAGGCGTTTTGCTTCTCTGAAACACAGTTTTCTCCTTTTGCAAAATGGGGTAACAATACTTCTTTCAGAGGGTATGAGGAGGCTACAACAAATTAGTGTATGTCAAGCACGCAGTGCTGGCCAGGCGTGGTGGCTCCCACCTGTAATCCCAGCACTTTGGGAGGCTGAGGTGGGAGGATCACTTGAGCTCAGGAGTTCGAGACCAGCCTAAGCTCGAGACTAGCCTTAGCAACATAGTGAAACCCCATCTCTGCTAAAAATACAAAAATTAGCCAAGCATGGTGGCACA
Source organism: Homo sapiens (assembly GCF_000001405.40). Taxonomy (NCBI): domain Eukaryota; kingdom Metazoa; phylum Chordata; class Mammalia; order Primates; family Hominidae; genus Homo; species Homo sapiens. The sequence continues at coordinate 14,857,414 of NC_000001.11, forward strand.
CATTTGTGGTCCCAGCTACTCCTGAGGCTGGACTGCTTGAGCCCAGGAGGTTGAGGGTGCAGTGAGCCGAGATCGCGCCACTCTACTCCAGCCTAGGTGACAGAGTGAGACACACTCTCACAAATAAATAAATAAATAAAAGCTGGCACTAAGGGTGATTTGAAAGGGGCCTCCTTGGATACTCTGAGGCCCAACTCATTTTGCAATGTTGAGGGCGCCCGCTGGCTCATTAGAATTTCTGTGACTTTCTCCCAATGAAATGTTTTGTCGCTTTATTTCCCCTTAGGCTATTTTACTCATCATCTGGGTAAAACTACCCCAGATGTTTTAATTCAGAGTCTAGCCCACCCTCCTTTAAGCAAGGCTCATGGGAAGAGTGGCCCCTTTTTATTTTGCTTTTTGTAACAGGTTTCTTGAGATATAGTTCATATACCATACAATTCACCCATTTAAAGAGTACAATTCACACTCACTTCTTAACCAATTTTAGAGCATTTTCATCACCCCCAAAAGATACTCTGTACCTATGAGTAGTCATTTCTTATCCTCCCCCGACTTCCCAGCCGCAGGCACCCACTCATCCACATTCCATCTCTATAGATTTGCCTATTCTGTGAATTTCACGTAAATGGAGTCATGCAATATTGGGCTTTTGTGTCTGACTTCTTTTATAATTTAGCATAATGCTTTATCCATGTTGCAGCGTGTATCAGTACTTCATTCCTTTTTTGTGATGGAATAATATTGCATGATATGGATATGCCACATTTCTTTCTTTTTTTCTTTTTTCTTTTTCTTTTCTTTTTTTTTTTTTTTTGAGACAAAGTCTCACTCTGTTGCCCAGGCTGGAGTGCAGTGGTGCCATCTTGGCTCACCGCAACCTCCACCTCCCAGGTTCAAGTGATTCTCCTGCCTCAGCCTCCCGAGTAGCTGGAATTACAGGCGCCTGCCACCATGTCCACCTAATTTTTGTATTTTTAGTAGAGACGGGGTTTCACCATGTTGGCCTGGCTGGTCTCGAACTCCTGACCTCAGGTGATCCACCGGCCTCGGCCTCCTAAAGTGTTGGGATTACAGGCGTGAGCCACCGCACCTGGCCAATATGCCACATTTCGTTTATCCATTCATTAGCTGACAGACGTTTGGGTCGTTTCCACCTTTTGGCTGTCGTGAATAATGCAGCTGGGAACATTCATGTACAAGTATTCAATTCAATTCTGCTTCTCCCTTAAGAATAGATCTCTGTGAAAACAACTAAGTATTGGCATTGCTAGAATTGAAGACAACATACTTAAAAGGATACAAATTTAGAGGCAGGTCGAAAAATACCCAAATTCCTCCTATATTTGCACTCTTATTCCACTGGCTTGCATTGAGAGACCTTAACTGAACAGCCCCTGTAACTCGCCAGTGAATATGCTGTAGAGATATCATTATAGATGTTGTCCTCGGTCTCTCATCATGTACATCTCGTGAAGATCCATGAGATAAAATTTCTCATCTTCCATGTATTAAGAACTGCAATTCTCACGCCTGTAATCCCAGCACTTTGGGAGGCCGAGGCGGGTGGATCACGAGGTCAGGAGATCGAGACCATCCTGGCTAACGCAGTGAAACCCTGTCTCTACTGAAAATACAAAAAAATTAGCCGGGCGTGGTGGCGGGCGCCTGTAGTCCCAGCTACTCAGGAGGCTGAGGCAGGAGAATGGCGTGAACCTGGGAGGTGGAGTTTGCAGTGAGCCGAGATTGCGCCACTGCACTCACTCCAGCCTGGGTGACAGAGCGAGACCCCGTCTCAAAAAAAAAAAAAAAGAACTGCAATTCTAAGTAACCGCTCAGTGCACGTTCTGTAGCAAGCACGTTTCAGGTACCTAGTCTATTTTGTCCTCCAACAAGCCTGCCATGTGCAAGAAGTATTTTGCCCTCCATTTCACAGATGAGAAATCAGAGGTGGGTGACTGGCCCACGGTCACGCAGCAGGAAGTGGCAGAGCTGGGATTTAAACCTAATTCTCTTTTATCCTGAGGTCCAGGCTCTTAACCACTATCTACATGATTGTGTACATTTTTGAAAATCCGGCTCAAATCTTTCCTGAGAAGTGGAGGGGAGGTATAGATCTCCTTAATCTTTAACTTCTTTCATTCACTGCTTAATTTAACCCTGATCTGATCCCAAATCTGATTATCACTCACCTACTCTGAATCTAATTAGAATGTCCTTCTGGTATTTTAAGGCCATCAGGATTGCCTGATATCAAAAGCCCTTATCTGTCAATGTCTTTTCTCTATCACAGCTGTGATCAGTTGCTTGAGCTAATAAGGAGGGCAGGATTACTTGTCCTTCTAGGTTTTTCTGCATGTCTAAAGCATTCCGACTGCTTCTCCTCCTATTCCCACTATTTCCCCTTAGCGCTCTGATTATCAGCCTTCAAATCTCAGTAAGGGAAAGGATAAGGATGCGGCAGTGGGACCATTCTCCCATGAAGCCACGCCTGGATTTCTCTCCCCAGTCATCTTTTTCCTGGCACAGAATTTCTCCCAGACAGGGCTGCTGCTGCTTGAGGTTACATGAAGAACATCATGTCACTCTCACCAGTCACTTTGAACAAGAGCAGGAAGGACCCCTGCTCCCCAGGCCAAGAGACCCTCTGTTCCTTCTCCAGGTACCATTGCAACAGTAGCAGGAATAGGCCTTTTTCCTTCCTTCCTTCTTCCTTCCTTCCTTTCTTCCTTCCTTCCCTCCCTCCCTCCTTTCTCTCTCTCTCTAGATCTCTCTCTCTCTCTCTTTCTCTTTCTTTCAACAGGGTCTCACTCTGTTGCCCAGGCTAGAGTGCAGTGGCGTGATCTCAGTTCACTGCAACCTCCACCTCCCAGGTTCAAGCAATTCTTCCACCTCACCCTCCTGAGTAGCTGGGATTACAGGCGTGCACCACCATGCCCAGCTAACTTTTGTATTTTTAGTAGAGATGGGGTTTCACCATGTCGGCCAGGCTGGTCTCAAACTCCTGGCCTCAAGTTATCTACCCACCTCAGCCTCCAAAACTGCTGGGATTATTACAGGCATGAGCCACCACGCCCGGACAGGATATGCCTTTTAAAAATATTTTCTCTTCTTTCTGGCACTGTGGTCAGAGAGGGAGACCTATAGACTTTCTTCTGGAATTTGTTGAGATTTTCTTTGTGATCCAGTCTGTAGTCAACTTCTGTACATATTCCAGGGACATTTGAAAGAAAATCGGTATTTTCTGCTTGGGTACAAGCATTTTAGACACAGCACATACACACTGCACACATATACCTACCTTATATGTTTGTATTCAACACACGCATATGCTGAGTGGAGTTTAATTGTGTTCTCAGAATACATCTAAGCAAAGCAAAGTTTATCAGCTGAAAATATAAAGTCTTTTCTCAACAGACCTAAAATAAATTATTGGAAGAAGCTGAACCTAGTTAATGAAGAATCTGTCTGCATTTTTGGCACTGGGGTTGGTCATGAAAACGATTACTTCTTATCAGATTCGAGTGGCTAAGCGTTTCGCCTTCACTTGGTTCTCTTGTCTCTTGTCCCTGGTGCATGTGAAGGAAGGGAAAGAGAGAAACCAAAGATACAATTTGTGCCCCTAGAATAGTATTAGGTGGTGCCAAGTAATTGCAGTTTTTGCCATTGAAAGTAATAGCAAAGCCGGGTGCAGTGGCTCATGCCTGTAATCTCAGCACTTTGAGAGGCCAAGGTGGGCAGATCACCTGAGGTCAGGAATTTGAGACCAGCCTGGCCAACATAGTGAAACCCTGTCTCTACTAAAAGTACAAAAATTAGCTGGGTACGGTGACTCAACGCCTGTAGTCCCCCCTACTTGGGAGGCTGAGGCGGGAGGATCACTTGAACCCAGAAGGCAGAGGTTGCAGCGAGCCAAGATTGCACCACTGCACTCCAGCTTGGGTGACAGAGTGAGAGCCTGTCTCAAAAAAAATAAAGCAATGGCAAAAACTGCAAACGCTTTTGCACCAACCTAATAGAAATAGCACAAGTAGGAACAACAATGGGATGTCATCATTGAGACATAAGGAATGCACTAAAGGATCCTGTTTCTCCACTAATGTTTGTTACTTCATTCATTGAGTGCTGAAGTAGACCCTTGCTGTGTTCTATCCACCACCATTCATTACTACGACTTCCTTCCAGGGAATTACCCCTCCCCACCCTTAATTCATTTTGTTCAGCTAAGGTTCGCTCCAGAGGTGGGCATGGGGCTGGGGTCCTGAGCATTACAGTCCCCAGGCCACACTGATTGATGCAAGGTAGGCACTTGACCCAAGCAGAGCTAGAGACACAATGAGACTTTGACTGAGACCCCTGCCCAAGAGATGCATGCATACCCATTGAACTTGAACAAGGGAGAATATGAGGCTGGAGCTGCTAGCAGCCACTTTGCGACCAGGCGGAGAGAGCCGATCTGAGCAGGGAACCAACCAGAGGGAGGGGAGCCAAGTAATGCTGAAAGGGAGAAACGGGATTGGTGGCATCATTTCAGATCCTTAGCCAAGCTCTAGCTGCATGTAGAAGCTGCCCTTGGACTTTCCAGTTAGGTGAGCCCATAATTTTATTTAAACCAATTTGGGTTGTGTTGTCAGTCATTTGTAATGGAAAATCCTGACTGCCTACAGCGCCTATGGTGTGTGATGGACACCTGAAGGATAAAGGTATAAATATGAACAAGAAACAGTCCCCCTCCTCTCAAGGATCGAATAATAGAGTGAGATTCGCACAGATCTCAAATCATAATTAAAACACCACTTGACAACGGCCATAACAAATGTGTGAACCAAGTGCCAGCAGACCCAGAGAGGAAATGAGGAACCAGCCTTTTGGTTGCCCGTCGGCAGAAGGCCTGCTGCAAGGAGGGGTTTCGGAGTGCCCAGCATGGGGGCGTTGAATCTGAGAAGAGGAACCTGGCTTTCTCGGGGTGCTACAAGGCCAATACCTACAGGAGTTTCCCATCCCAGTGCACCTCCAATCAATTGAGCTCCTGTTCCAATCACACCTGGTAGGGATTTAATTGCTTTGGATTGATTTTTGCCAGTGGTGACTTTCAAACCCCCAGCCTGGGAATGAAGAGAGATTAGTCACATCAGGGGAGGCCTACTGACAGCAGCGAAAATCAGCAGGGAGTGAAGATGATTTAAACTAGTCTTTCCAATCAGCCTCCCAGACTGTACCTAGGATGCGAGCAGCCATTTTAACAAATGGTCACCTGGGAGTTTCGAATCAGTATAAACCCAGCACTGATAGTCATAGGAGCTGTCCCGTGCTATGTGCTCATAATACATTGACACTAAGTTCTTCATATATATTCGGGATGTGCTCAGCTTTGCAAACCAGGACACAGAACCAATTTCACCAGTTATTTATCACTGGCACAATTCATGGGCCTTATTAGCTATCGATGACTAGTGTCATTGCCCCTGCATATGGTGTCTCATTTCATCTTCATGACAACACTGAGACAAGCGCAATGTTGTACCCATGGTACAGATGAGGCAAGAGAAGTTACCCGCAAAGCTGAGAAAAGGTGGAGCTGAGATTCGGTCTTAGGGCCATTCTGTTGCTCCCGTGGTTCCATTTATGGATTATTTCACAGGATGAGACGCTTCTGTAGCTGAGTCTTTGTATCCCTTTCTCTTTCTTTCCACTGTCAGGTGGTGAGCTTGCTCTGGGGACTGGGTGTGGCCTAGAGCCCTGTTATGAAACACCTGGAGGGCTGTGTGCACTGCTGTTCTCGCGTTTGCCATCAATGTGGGATCTATGAGCAGCCAAAGGCATCCCCCGGGAATGTACAGAGGGTGTCTTGGGCACCCTGAGTGCTCCAAGAGTCCAAAGAGGGAGAGATTTATCCTTCGGTGTGACAGGCAGACCCCATCGGGGCAGCAGACACTCTGTCCCTCCGGGGGATGCCAGGTTTCTGCTGTGTTGGGGGATGAATGTGATTGAACAAACCTCTAACCTCACCTGGAATGTTTCAAAGACAGCTTTGAGCAGAAGTGGAGAGAGGGCCCAGCCAATGGGGTCCCTCCTCATTTTCCACTCAGTCAGGATGCAAAGCTTGGATTTTCTGTTTACTTTTCAAACACTTCTATTGAACACTAGATTTGGGGGATCAGAGAGGAATTGGATTCAATTCCTAACCTTAGGGGCTGTAGCAGTCAAAGAGAGAGAAAGATGTGTAAAGAATCAAAATACCATCCAAATCCCGTGATGGCTCTTGGTGTATATGTGTAGAGTGCTCTGAGAACATGGGAGAGGGAATAATGAACTCAGCTGAGGAGTTCATTTCAGGGGAAACTGAAGGTGCACGGGGGATCAGCTTGAACTGGTCCTTGAAGGATGAATGAGTCGGAGTAGGGGCACAGAGGCATTTCAGGCAGATGGGACTGAGCAGGCCAAGGCACAGAGATCCAGAGTGCATGCAGTGTGTTCGGGAGGAGTCAGTAGTCCTGCAGAACTACAGCCTGAGTTGGGGGGATGTGCAGCTGAAAGGTAACAGATTCATGCATTCATTCCTTCACTCATGATTCTTTTCCTTCATCCAGCTAGGAGGTAATTATTCAGAGGCTGTTATGAGCCAGGCATGGGTCAAAACAGAAAAATCAGCTCGACTCAGTGAGAGCCCAATCTTCCCATTCCAGGAAGCCTAGCAGATGGAGGATTCTACCCCCACCAGCAAGGTCCAGGCTTAAAGCAAGTGCAAGGGTCACCTCAAATCTTTCTTTACAAGGTGAATGTTAAACTTCAAGTGTGGTTACTACTGAAAAGTGAGAAAAGCTGGAACTACAATGTCAAGGGACTGTTTCAACAATGGTTCACATGGGGGCCGGGCGCGGTGGCTCACGCCTGTAATCCCAGCACTTTGGGAGGCCAAGGCGGGCGGATCACATGGTCAGGAGTTCGAGACCAGCCTGGCCAATATGGTAAAACCCCGTCTCTACTAAAACTACAAAAATTAGCTGGACGTGGGGTGGGCGCCTGTAATTCCAGCTACTCGGGAGGCTGAGGCAGGAGAATCACTTGAACCCGGGAGGTGGAGGTTGCAGTGAGCAGAGATTGTGCCACTGCACTCCAGTGGGGGCGATAGATGGAGACTCAGTCTCTAAAAGAAAAAACAAACAAACGATGGGCTTTGCTAAGTGGGTATAAAGGTGGGACGGACACAGCCCTAAACCTTGAAGTTGAAATGGTGGCAAAAGCCTGGCAGCTGGTGAACGTGGTTTTTTTGCACCACCCTCCATCCCCCAACAGCATCTGGCAACATCTGACAGGCTACCTGCTGTTGCATTCAGAGGACGGGCTCTGGATTCAGATTGCTGGGGGCCTGTATCAGCGGCACCACTTTCTGGCTATCACTTCCCCTCTCAGACCTTGGTCTTCTCATGTATGAAATGGGATAATAACAACACCCAGCCCACAAGATGGTTGTGATGTTGTGAGATGCAAACGAATTACTGCATGAAAAAAGCTCAGACCAGCAGCCCCTGCCAGGTGAAACTGCCATTAGTGTTACCCAGCACCATGCTAGACCCACCAAAACATTGCTTGTTGGATAAAATAGCAAACCCCAGGTACCATCTCCTCAATGAGATCTTTCCCCGTCCAAAATGGATTGGAATGTGTGAGAGGAAGCTAGCTACTCAACACTGGATGCAAAGATTCAGGCAGGGGTGGAATGGGGACCTTCTACCTCTGCCTCTTGCCCAAGGTCAGGGACACCGTTCTCACCACTAGACAAACTTCCCATCTGGAGGCACCAAGAGGAAGAGACTTTTCCAGAGAAATGTAGCTGCGGCTCCTCCCCAGTATGAAAATAGATCGCCCTGGGACTGGAGTAGTTAATGAAGATGATAATTAGAATTGCTTATTAGGACCTGTCTTCTGAAGTTCATTTGTGCTTTTAATAGAATCTACAACACATCTGCTTAGCAGAGATGACAGATCTTCCTGATTTGGTGTATTTTAAGACAAGATCTTTGCGCCCTGGCTTCTCCTGGTCTCCCTCCTCCCCCATGTCTGCCATCTGCTGCTGCGGTGACCTTCCCTCATGGCAGAAGCCTGGAGACTGCAACCAGAAAACACCCTTCTTCTTGCCAGGGGACCCCCTCCACCAAAAGCCAGAGAGACGTCTCATCTCTTTCTGAGGAATAGCAATCCCTTCTACGACCACCCTCCCCCTTGCTCTCCAGCCATCCTGCCTGTACTGGGTTGGATTATGTGTGCCCTCATCCCAAATTCATGTCTACCTGGAATGATAGAACATGACCTTATTTGAAAACAAGATCTCTGTGGTTATAACTAGTCAAGTTAAGATTTACTGGAATAGGGTGAGCCCTAATCCCAAGGTCTGATGTCCTGGTAAGAAGGCCACGTGGATACACAGGGAGGAGGCCGTGGGACCACAGAGGCAGAGATTGGAGTGAGGCAGCCACAAGCCAAGGAGTGCCAAGAAACCACCAGAAGCTGGGAGGAGGCAGGAAAGATTCTCTCCTGAAGCCTTCAGAGGGAGCACAGCCCTGCCGACACCTCGATCCCAGCCATCTAGCCCCTAGAACTGCAAGATGATACATTTCCGTTGTTCTGAGCCATCTGCTTTGTGGCACTTTGTTATAGCAGCCCTGGGAAAGTTTTTTTCAGCTTCTCAAACTTGCCGAGCTCTCTCCCAATTCCATGCCCTTTGCACCTGCTGTTCCCTCTGCCTGGAACTCTCTTTCAGCTTCCCCTCCCCACTCAGCTCTTCTCCTGTCCCATCCCCACATCACCTGTCCAACCCCTACTTTAGAGCGCTTTGCACATAGATGACTATGCAATGAATTACCTCACCGAAAGCAGGTGACCTGTACAGAAAGCAAGCATCCCGATCTCCCTGAGTTTTGGCGAGAGCCCCTTCCTCAGTCCCATAAGCTCCTGGTCAAGGTCTATGCCCATCTTGTCATCCTTCTGTCCCTGGAGCCTGGCATGCAGTTAACATACAAGAATTTGTGGAAGGGTCTGGCACAGTGGCTCACACCTGTAATCCCAGCACTTTGGGAGGCCAAGGCAGGAGGAGTGTTTGAATCCAGGAGTTCAAGACCAGCTGGGCAACATCTTTTGCCCCCGTCTCTGCCAAAAATAAAAAATGAACTGGGCATGGTGGCATGTACCTGTAATCCCAGCTGCTCAGAAAGCTGAGGTAGGAGGATCCCTTGAGCCCAGGAGGTTGAGGCTGCAGTGAGCTGTGATTGTGCCACTGCACTCCAGCCTGGGTGACAGACTGAGACTGTGTCTCTTAAAAAAAAAAAATGTTGAAGGATAATACCATTGATCCTACAATTGCTAGACCCAAATGAATCCAAAGGTCCTTCCAGCCCTTCCAAGACCTTGGGCCTCACTCCATGAGCATCCGGACACCTAATCTGAGGCCCCAGGCATGGAATCTGTGCTGGCCTGAGCTGTGGGGAGACCCTGGTCTATGGACACCTCTTGAGATCAGTGGAGATACACAATAATGGAGAATGCTGTTATTGTCATGGCATAAATTTGGATTGGAGAAGACAGAAAAGAAGCAGGATGCTAAGTGAGGCTGGCCACGCCCCTGCCTCCCTGATGGACTGCTGACCTTGCAATGCCCTTCTCTTGAATCCCAAGTTCGGGCTCGTTTTTTCCAGGCCTCCTCTGCTACAATGCTTGGCCAAGGCCCAGCCAGGGCCCTCCCTGTGCAGGGGAGCAGCCACGTTCAGGGCCCTGTGATCAATGGAGCGTGGAGGCCTCTCGGAGTCCTTTGCTCCCCTCTCCCTCCTCTTTTGCCTTGAAGGTCTGTTGTTTTGTGAGATCTGCGAGAGTGGGGAGAGTGGGGAGATTTATTTTGCACTGAGGCTGTGAGTGGGCTGAGAGAGAAGCAGAGGACAAAAACTGCACTAGACTTAGACCAGGCACCAAAATAGAAAGCCCAAGACCATTGTATTCCCCCGGGACCTGACTCTGGCCATGGTGCTGATGATAGAGTTACCGTTGGGTTCAGGGATGGTGCATCCTCCAGCTGGGCTCCAGGTAAGACAGGCTTTTTGACTTCTCTGTGCCTGTTTCCAGCTCTGTGAAGTAGGAAAACTACTAGCTTCCATCTCGCAAGGACGCCGAGAGGATGAAATGACAGAGCACGTAGTTGTCCGTAGACTGATGTCAGGTGCTGCTGTTTGTGTTATTAATGACAACAGCAGTCATCCTATTCAGGTGCTTTTGCTAGGACTGTGACTTCTGTCTCTGCTTTACTCGGTGTCTTTGAAGACACCCCCCCCCCCACCCTGGGCATGGAGGCATTGGGGCAAAGGGCAGCAGGCAGGTCAGCTGGCATGGCCCCTCGTCTGGGGCTTGTCCCTGGCTATGTCCTCAGCTTTCCTGGGCTGAGCCAGTGATGTATATAAGGCTGTGGACTGCACTTGGATAGGTGGAGAGGAGACAGACATGACCTGGCTACAGGGAGGACAGCAGTGGGCAGGCACAGCCTCACATAAGCACAGCATTGCATAGGCAGGCATCGCATATGCAGGCATTGGATACACAGGCATCACAAACGTGGGCATCACACAGGCATGGCATCGCATAGCATGGCATCACATACGCACAGCATTGCATACACAGGCATCACATACGCACGGTATCACATACACAGGCATTGCATACACGGGCATCACATAGCACGGCATCACATACGCAGCCATCGCATAGGCGGGCATCGCATAGGCAGGCATCAAATAGCACGCATCACATACGCAGGCATCGCATACGCAGGCATTGCAAACACATGGCATCACATACGCACAGCCAGGGCTGCGTCTGAGGCCACTGGAGGGGAACTGTTCTTAGACCCAATGGCTGTCTTTACTACTAATTGCTATTGCATCTATTGGGCAATTAGAGGGTACCAGGCTGTGGGCTTTCTAACACTTTCCTGGGATGGGAGCCATTTTATAGATGGGGAAACTGAGGCTCAGAGTTGGAGCAACTCATCTAGGGCCACACGTTACAAGACCTGGGATTTGAAACCAAGATTAGTGACTCCAGAGGCTGAAATCTTAACCACTTCCCCGTGGGCCCTTCTTGAAGTGAATGTCTAACCATTACCACTTTTCCACTGGGTGAACTGGAGTCTTGTAGACCCAGAACATCTGGGCAGACTTTGAGTTTGGGGAGGGGAATCTAGTAGGCTCCTCTGCAGCTGTCTTCATCTCTGCATGTCCTTCCAGAAATGGGGCCAAGAGGAGCCAGGCATGGTGGCGTGTGCCTGTAGTCCCAGCTACTAGGGAGGCTGGGGTGGGGGGATCTCTTGAGCCCAGGAACTCAAGGCTGCAGTGAGCTATGATCATGCCACTGCACTCCAGCCTGCACAACAGAATGAGACCCCAACTCTAAAAAACTTAATAGCTAAGTAAAAATAATAATAAATAATCCGAAATGGGGCCAAGATAAGAGAACTGAATCGGGGTTGGCGGGGGGGTGCATCTGTTCTACTCGGTGATTTTTCCCTTGTTGATCTGTGTCCCCCACTCCAGCTTGGGGGCCCCGGTGGTATTGTGGGTACCCACAAAATGCTAGTCAGGATGCCAGATTCCCCTTCTCTAGTTCCTGCTAGCACCTTGGGATGTGTCCTAGTGAGAACCGCAGACTTGCCAAAGCCATGACAGCTGGATCCTATTCTAGCCGCAGGTTGGGATCGAAGTTTAGTATTCCAGCTTCCACCATCCCCTTCCTGCCTGTCTTGACCCTTCCAGTTTGCTCCTTTAAATCTCCACTTCCCTTTTGCACAGTCTCAAGCTCTTCCAGGTTCTGAGGATTTTTTCTCACTTCTCAGGGTGAGCTCGCGACCTTTCATTGCCTTCCCTGTGTGAGCACAATTCAGGGGTCAGACTCTGGACTCTTTATGGAGCCTCAACGCAGGGGCTGTGACTGTATATTCTGCACAGCGAGGCTCTAATTACAGGCTGCATGCTGGAGACTAGTCATTTTGTGAGTCATTAGGATGTGTGGCTGGGGCTTTATAATATCTTTTGATGAGTTCTGTAATTTTTATATCTTCACCTATGCTAGCATTTTCAGTGAAGCAGAACAGGACAGTAGGGCTGGCAGATGTCACAGCCCCTGGGCTCTTTCTGGATCGGAATTGAAAGGGTCTTCTCCTCTGCACTCTGAGGAGAGAAATATTGATTCTGATTGGGTTCGAGGGGTTGAAAGCTGGCATGTGCCTCGTCTCTTGCTAATCAATATTCCAAAGCAGTGGTTGTGGGTAATGTTTGAGTACTTGCTTCTGTTCTCCTTCGTGTTGGCAAATTACAAGCTTTCAGGTGAGACTCCCTTCATTTTGCAGTGGCTGCGAGGAGCAGGTTTAATTAGCGCACAGACCTGCTGGAAAAATCCAGTGTTATTAAAAGCCTTGTTCCATGTGGTGGCTGCTGGGTTGTACCGGTCTCCTGCCCTCAGCCCCTTCCTTCCTGAAGCCACCCAACACCCACCCCGGCATTACTTTGCCATTAATCCCAAGGTATCCGGGGAAAAATGACAGAGAGGTAAGAAAAATCACATGGAAGGTAGAATGTCCAGATTTTTCCCCAATGAGATGAAAAACTCAGGGTCTCATCTCTGTGGAAAATCCCAGTATCTGTCCAGGAGCACTGGGCCTGGCCTTGACCTTGGCTTTGACCTTCAGACGACTGCTGGGGAGATTCCTTGAACATGGAGTCTAGGGCCTGGATACTGGGAAAAATCAGACCCTTCTACTCAAAACCAAAAGACCACAGGCTTTGGAGTTAAGACAGGGTGAAGGGTGAGTCCCAGCTCTGCTCCTCACTTGCTGTGTGACTTTGAACAAATGGCTTAACTTCTCTGGCCCTGTTTCCTCAACTGTTTTTTGTTTTTTGTGTGTTTGTATTGAGACAGAGTTTTGCTCTGTCGCCCAGGCTGGAGTGCAATGGCACAATCTTGGCTCATTGCAACCTCCACCTCCTGGGTACGAGTGATTCTCCCACCTCAGCCTCCAAGTAGCTGGGATTACAGGCATGCACTACCACACTGGCTAATTTTTGTATTTTTAGTAGAGACGCGGTTTCTCCATGTTGGCCAGGCTACTCTCAAACTCCTGACCTCAAGTGATCTGCCCACCTTGGCTTCCCAAAGTGCTGGGATTACAGGTGTGAGCCCCCAGGCCCGGTTTTCCTCATCTGTTAAATGGGGTTCACGACCGTGACTCCCTCATGAGCTGCTGTGATGCTTCATGAGATGAGGAGCTTCACATCTGGCACAATTAATGGCCCATGGTCAGCTCTCAATCGGGGGCATTTGTTGTGAAGGTTGTGTGGCACTATGTGTCACTGTGGCCACACTGTTCTCATTATTACATATATGAATCTTACTCCACAACCAAGTGTGCAAGAAATCTCACCAGGCCCAACCCTACCAGAATGATAAGAAATTAAGACTCATCATATGAATGGCCGCCTCCACACCTGCCTGGGGTCACACAATAACCCAGAAGGCTTGTCTGATATCTGGAGAATGAGGAAGGGGCCTGGAGGCTTCCATCCTCCATGGTCTCAGCTCACCTGTTCTTTGTCCAGGCCCACCTGATCTCCAAGAGGTGGACAGTGCTGTTGCCTGAGCCCAGGTGTGTCTTCAGTGAAGTCAGAAGCTCCAGTGTTCAAGGTCCAGACCCTCCACCACCACACGGCACCTATGTGCCCTCTTTAGTCCTGCACCTCCTCACGATGCTGGAACAGTCCAGGCACAGTTGTCCTGCAGACCTCTCCTTCCTAGGTTTGGGGAATTGCCCAATCAGCTCTCTTCTAGAATGTTCCACAGCCTCTTCCCCAATTCCTTCCATGAACCTTCTGCTTGAGGAACAAGAGTCAAGAGGGAGGTTTGCTTCCTGGTAAAGCTCTGGTTTCCTTTTGCATACAAATTGCCCTGCAGCAAGGGAGCTGGAGGATGGGCTTCCTCTTCGAATAGGAATGGGAAACTGGGGAAAAGTGTACAAGTCGCTCTGGTCTGGGATTTTACAAACACAAATTATTATCTCCATAGGGCGTGCCACACCATTATTATCAGTGCATCTGCAACAGGGGAGGCGTAAGGAAGATGCTTTCTGTGCATCTGACCCCCAACTCCCACAGCCTGAACTAAAAATATCACCTGCAGTGAGCCTGAGACATCTACATGAGCAGCAGTGTGTGTGTGTGTGTGTGTGTGTGTGTGTGTGCACCTGCATCTCTGTGTCTTGATGCTGTGTGGTGTTAATTCTTTGACTGCATTCATTCACCAAGGCCTGAAGGCATAGTATCCTGATTGACCAGATCTGAGTCACAGGCTCACATGCTGACCCTTGGAATCAGAGTGGGGTCAGCCCCACGTGAGTCTCAGTGTCATGGACTCAGAGTAGGGGAGAGAAAGGTGACCCGGGAGAATGGGGGTGTTTAGAGGGGGTGGGCCAGGAGGAAATCAGGAGCTCAGTCTGGAGCATGCTAGGCTGGAGATGTCTGTTAATCATCTGGGAGCTACCAGAAGAAGGGGGCATGAATATGCGCAGACAGCAAGGCAAGAGGCTATTGCTGGCAGATAAACATCTAAATTCCTGCACTCCTGTATCAGAAGCTGAATTAGGGTGCAAGCGTGTGGGCACCAGTCCCTTAAATTACCCTTCTTTGGAAGGAATAATGGACTTGGAGTCAGAAGACTAGATTTCAAGACTAGCCTCTGCTTCATACTGACTGGGGGACTTCTCTGGGTTTGTTTTCTTGTCTGCAAAATGGGATATAATAAACTACTACTTTAGGGTGGTTATGGAGCAGTGCTGTCTGATAGAACTTCCTAGAACTTTCTATTTAATATGGTAGCCACTGGCCACATGTGGATATTAAGCAATTAACATATAGCTAGTGTGACTAAGGAACTGAATTTTTTATTTTATTTAATTTCAATGAATTTAAATTCAAACAGCCACATATGGCTAACAGCAACCATATTGTACAGTGCAGTTTTAGATTATTCAATTGGATCATTACAGTTTGCTTTGTAAACTGTGAAGTGCTATAAGGGAATATTCATTGCATCCCTTAATTGAAAGCTCCAATGATGAAGCCAGGTACTGTGTGAATAAGTCTTGCTCATGCTCATAATTATTGTAACCACTGATCTAAGTGGGGCCTGAAATCCTTAAAATGGTCTTATTTCTGGACATCTCCCTTCACATTTGAAGGATTAATATAATGGATCTCTCATGAACCTATACAGAATCCCAGTAAGAAATTATTGCATGGATGGATGGTTCGATGGATGGATGGACAAGTGGACAGATGAATGGATAGGTGGATGGATGGATGGACGTACAGATGGATGGGTGGAAGGACAAATGGATGGATGTACAGACGGATACATAGATGAATAGATGGGTGGATGGATGGGTGAATGGATATATGGATAAATGGATGGTTGGGTGGATGGATGGATGGATGGATAGATGGATGGATGGATGGATGGATGGATGGAAAGATGAGTAGAAGAACATATAGAAGGATACATGGATGGATGGATGGATGGATGGGTGGGTGGATAGATAGATGAATCGGTGGGTGGATGGATGGATGGGTGGATGGATGGATGGATGGAAGGATGGATGGATGGACAGATAGATGAATGGATGGGTGGATGGATGGATGGATGGAAGGATGGATGGATGGACAGATAGATGAATGGATGGGTGGATGGATTCATCCATTCATTCCTTCTGTCACCTGCTATGCACTAGGCATTATTCAAGTAGTTAGGGATAGAATAATAACACAGACAAAGCTCCTGCTTTCAGAAAGACTGTATTCTAAAGGGGAGAGTCAGATGTTCAAGAAGAAAACAAATAGCATAAAGAATTTCTAGTAGCAGTAAGCACTATGAAGGAAAATAAAGTGGGGAAGAGGGATGCAGAATAATGGGGCTGCTGTTTCACATAGGGTGGTCTCTTTGGTAAAGCAGCATTTGAGAAAGCCTTGAGGGAAGGGAGGAAGTGAGCTATGCAGAGATCTGAGGGAAAAGCAGAGAGAACAGAAGAAGGCTAGCATGGCTAAACCAGAGTGTGGGAGGAGAGGAAATGTAAAAGGAGAGGAGGTCAGAGGGAGCCAGGGGCCTTTCAGGCTTTTGGAAGACTTTGCTTTCCTCTCAGTGAAATGAGAAGCCAGTGGTGGGCTTTGAGAAGAGGAGGGATTGGATCTGACATATATTTATGTTGTGTTGAAAATAGACTCTAGGGAGGAAAGGCAGGTGCCGGAGACAAATAAGGAAGCTACTGCAATCATCTAGGCATGAGTTTGTGGTGGCTGGGACCAGGGAGAGAGCAGTGCAAAGTGGGGCAAAGTGGCGAGATTCAGTATCTAGTTCAAAGGTAGAGCCAGCAGAACTGACGTGGTGGATGTGGTGGGTAGGAGAAAAAGGAGAAGTCCAGAATGATTCCAGAGATGCACCCTTGAGTAACTGGAAGGAAAGCACTTGTCATTTCTTGAAATAGAGAAGACAGGGGCAGGAGCGAGTTTAGAGGGGGTGGGCCAGGAGGAAATCAGGAGCTCAGTTTGGAGTATGCTAGGTTAGAGATGTCTATTAATCATCTGAGAGTTGACTGTCCAAATTTCAAGGGAGAGGACAGGGCTGGTCATATCCATTTGGGAATCATCAGCATATACAGATGATATTTAAAGCCACGATACCAGACAAGTGAGTACAGATAGAGAATCCAAGGATTGAGCTCTGGAGTCCTCCAACATTTGGAGGTCGGAAGGGGGAAGAGGATCCAACAAAGGCTACTGAAAAGGAACAGCTGGTGAGGTAGGAAGAAACCAGTAGAGAAGTGACATGTGTCCGGAAGAGAGTGTTCAACTGTTAGATGCTGCTGACAGATTAAGTAAGAGGGGCTGGAAAGGTGACCACTGGATTTAATAATGTCATTGGTGACCTTGAGTTGTTTCAGAGGAATGGTGGCATGAATCGCTAGCTAGCTGGCTGACTGGATGGATGGATGGATGGATGGATGGATGGATGGATGGATGGATGGATGGACAGATGGATGGAAGGCTAACTTAACTACTGCAGCTAACTTAACTACTGCAGGTAACTGCACCATCTTGTCACCTGTGACAGCAATTAAGCAACTGTTGCCTGACACTCCGTGTGCCAGAACCAAAAGCTGTCAAAACCAATCTCCTTCTCCATTCACCCAACTTTTTGGATCCAGCCCAGAAATCCTGGTGTGACCTGTGTTTGCTATAAGATGAGAATCTTGACATCTTCTGGTTTGATTATCCTTCTCTGGATTACCCATAATGCTCTTGGTCGAATGTTTCCCCTTTTAAGGTTTGAGAAGGGAAAGGAAAGGAAGAAAATGAGAGGAAAAAAAACTAACTCTGGGATCCTAGACTTACTTGGTTTTGTATTTCCATTTGCCAAACTGATGCTTTGCCAAATCTCCCTTCCTTTCTGGAAGAGCAGATTTGCGCAGCCACCTACCTCTGCAAGTGGGGGTCCCTGGAGATTCCTCCATGTTAAAGCCAAATGAGGAAAGGTCTCAGATATATCTGTAAATTTGTGGCCAGGTGCGGTGGCTCACACCTGTAATCCCAGCACTTTGGGAGGCTGAGGCAAGCAGATCACCTGAGATTGGGAGTTCAAGACCAGCCTGACCAACATGGAGAAACCCCGTCTCTACTAAAAATACAAAATTATCCCGGCATGATGGTGCATGCCTGTAATCCCGGCTACTCAGGAGGCTGAGGCAGGAGAATCACTTGAACCCGGGAGGCAGAGGTTGCAGTGGGCCGAGATCATGCCATTGCACTCCATCCTGGGCAACAAGAGTGAAACTCTGTCTCAAAAAAAAAAAAAAAAAAAAAAAATTGTAAGACATTTTATGTAAATGTTATTTATCTTTTTATGGGTTTATTTGGTTGTTGTTATCATTTATTGGGTGAGCATGGAAGCTGAACTCTTGTCTTCCCTGCCTTGCATTGTCCTTAATTTATTAAAAAAAAAAAAAAAGAAAAAAGAAAAAAAAACTATTTTCAATGAAGCCATTTCTTCCTTCTCCTAATAGTGAAAATCACTGGATTCTTAGGAGGCATGAGGCACAGACCAGGCTTCCTACGCAGGATGTGCTGGGGTCTGCTCCAGGCTCCTGAGAGCCAATAGTTACATTTTCAGGAATGTTATAAGCCTCATACTGGTGGCTTAAAATTGATGATGAGAGTACGTACACCATGGAAACTGGCAATGACTACAAATCAGGGCTCCTTCGCCCAACCCTCCACAGTTGATTGTTAAACACTTGCCAGTACACCACTGCCTGTTGCCTTCACTATCAAGAAAGAGGTTTTCTGAGATCAATCTGAAGTGTGACCTCGGGAATTTCCTGCTTTCCTGGAAGGGGGTAGATTTCAGCCCAGGCATGACTGCCACATCAACAGAGATGCTCGGGAAGATGTGTTGCCCTGCAAACTTTCACAGTTGACACCCCCTGCTTCAAGCTCTGTGTGATGACAGTGAAGTGAGAGTGAGCCGCTCCTCTGAATGGAGAGATTAAAAGCAGTTGTTTGACTGAGGCAAGGAGGAAGAAGAAAGCCCAGACAAGCCAAGTGGGACTGTGATCTTAACAGATGTTAGGATCTTACCTCATTAGGGCACCTCAGAGGCTTGCCGCGGAGGTGAGAAACAATAGATGAGGTGATGGCTTTATGGAATTGTCAGTGTTATCAGTTCCCTGTCCTCAATCTGATCTGCACAATCACAGCCTCTGTTGTCACCTGTCCAATTTCCAATCTTGTGGTAGCTGCGTTTATTACATGCGCAAATGCAGCCAGCAGCCAGAATGACATTAGCGATAGTAGCTGCTGTGGGCTCATTATTATGCAAGCCAGGAAAGGAACTCTAGGCAGGTGATTAAACATGCCTTTGGCAACAGAGCAAAGAACAGATGCTTGGGAGGACACACCTTGAAATTGCAGGTAGGAACCTGGGTTTAGGACCATCACTCCTGTGCAGGTCTTTGCAGGGGAAGCAGACACAGCGTTGTGTAGTAGTTAAGTGGAGGGAGTGGGGTCTGGAGCTGGACTGCCTGGATTCAAGTCTCACTCTGCCCCTTACCAGCTCTGTGACCTTGAGTATGCTTCCCACCTTCTCTGTTTACATTAGTCTGCCCATCTCTAAAATAGGATAATGATGCTAATGATAGTACCAAAAATTGGTATGCTTTTGAGGATCCATGAGTAATCTACGTAAAACACTTAAAGTGATGCCTGTCACACAGAGCTAATAAATGTTAGCTGTTATTATTCTCCCTCCAGACCTTTTTGTAGATAGGCATGTCTAGATTTGGGGAAGTCTTGTCTTACCACTTAGAATACTGCAAAGTCATCTACTTTGACATGAACTAAAGAAAGTAAGAAAGCCTTTGGGCAAGTTGAAACCAACTTGTATTAGTCAGACATTTTTGAGTTTCAGGTGACAGAAATTCAACCCAAACTGTCTTAAGCCAAATATATACATACATGTAGAGATGCAAAAGCTACTGGTTCTGGTGATTCAAAATACCAGGGTTGATCTTCCAGTCATGGCTGGTTCCAGGGACTTGAAAATGCCAGTGTGGATCCTTCAGGCATGACTGGCTCCAGGAGCTCAAGGGGTGTTCCCCGCACTCTCTCGGACTCTCTTGGACTCTCTTCTCACCACCAATCTCGTGGCTCTGTCTCCCGTTACTCCCTTTGTGTATTGGCCCCATTGTCTTCTACTGAAGACACCATCCTCCATATGGCTGGGGAAGATGACCTCAAACATCATCCTTATTGCTAAGGATCGCCAAGAGAAAACATATTTTCTAGAAGTTCCAGAAAAAGTCTGATTGGTTCACCTTTGGTTACATGCATATTTCTGATCCAATCACAATGGCCATGGGGATAGGGTGCATGATAGACATGCATCATGGGCCAATCCCTGAGCTGAAAGATAGGCATATGGGGTCAGCTCTGCCCAACCCAACCCAGGAGTTGGGGAAGGGGAGGTTCTCCAAAGGTGGAGTGTGAAATAGACACACAACACAGGGTCACCACAAGTCCTTGGTCACGGCAAAGACTCCGAAAGCCTGTGACAGCTTGGGTTCAAGTCCTGGCTCCTCCCTTATTAGTTTGGTCACCTAGGACAAGGTTCTTTCTCCTCTCTGTGCTTCAGTCTTCTCATCCATAACATGTGTGTAATAATAGTGCCTACTGCGTGAGCCTGTTGGGGGCAAAATGAGTGAATATGTGCAATCTGCTTAGAACGGTACAGTGCTTGATAGTTATGGAATAAATGATCAGTAAAGGCTGTTGTTATCTGATATTCACAATTATCATGAATATCTTACAAATACTTTCATTAATTCCACAAATAAATTTCATGTCTTTTATATACCAGGCTGGCTCCCAGTGTCTCGATGGACCCTACGGCACATTGGGAGAGACAGACATCCAGCAAATGATGACTCAATGATTGTGGATTGGATTTCTTGTACAAAGTGGCAAAGTGGAAAGACGAGAAGGCTTGCATTTAAAGTCAGACCAAGAACCTGCAGACATGGTTAAAATTCCAGCTCTCCGACATATTGGCTGTGTGACAGAGGGCACATCACTTCCTCTCTCTCAGTCTTAACTTTCTACCCTCTAAAATTGAATGATAATTGCTGGTGGATTCTGACTCCAGCTGCTTAATGCCTGAAGGCCACTTATCACCCCACAACCTATCACTGATGCATAGGACCAGAACAGGGCTTCTCAACTTCAACCTTGTTGGCATTTGGAGTTAAACATTAACAGTTCTTTGGGGGGGTGGCTGTCCTGTGCATTGTAGGATGTTGAGCAACTTCCCTGCCCTCTACACACTAGATACTCCCAGTGTGACAACCAAAAATGTCTCCAGACATTGCCATATGTCTCAACTGGGTACCAAAATCCCCCCTACCCATCCCCACTTGAGAACCACCAAAGGAATTCCTCTGATTAACTGTGCTGGGCATCCCCTCTTCTGGGCCTCAGTTTCCCCATCTGTCAAATGAATGGCTTAGCCCAGAAGATGGATAGCTATTGGCCTCCCCAAAGCAGAGTTTTCCCCAACTCTAAATTTTGTGGTGAAAACCCACCAAGTTCTAAGAACAGGCTTGGGACAAGGAGGAGAAAGGACATTCGGCCCTCAGCTGGAGGGAGGCAGAGCCCTGCAGATGCCCATCTCAGGTCCACCTTTTGCGGCCTCTTGTCTGGCTCTAGGCCCTCTCCCTTGCCAGTTTCCTGTTGGCCACCATGTTTTCCCAGTTGCTCTGGGAACACGTTTCCTTCCCACATCCCACTGGGAATAGGAAAGTCCATTGAATATTCATGAACGTATAAAATGAATTTGTGGTTGATATCGATCTAGTTCCTGAGGCCTAAGCTGGCCTCATCTTCCCCAAGTGGCCTCTCAGCCCTGGCTTCATGTTTCTAAGGGAACTTGTCCTGGTTTTCTTGAAAGGTAATCTTCTTGCGGATCAACTTTGCTAAGAAAATGAAAAGCTTTTTCCTCTCCCTTTAAATCCCTGCTCGTATCTGCCAAGAGCAGGAAGAGTCCCTGCCAGAGCCTTGGGATTGCATTGGGCATTTGAGCTCTGGAGTCAGGAAGGTCTCTGTTCAAATACCAGCTGCGTCGGTCCCTGAGTGCTGACCTTGTGCTGGTCACCTGGTTCCTGGAGCCTCGGTTCCTCATCTGTGTAACAACTAATGGAGTAAATAGAGTAATGGGAATTCACCATCTCGTGAGGTGGTTTCTAGCATTAAATAAATTAATATAAGTGAAGCACACAGCATATTCCTAACAAATACTCAATATGTAATAGATATTCTAGTTTTGTTATTAATGATTACATATATGATGATTGAGAAGTCAAATGAGATTATTATAGCCAGTGCTTTGTAAACTGCTCAGTGCTACGTACAGGAGTAAATAGTTCTAAGATGTTATCAACATTATTAGCATCACTTTGCCAGCCAGCCAAAGCAAAACGGCCCTGGGTGATCTGTCAATATCACAATCCAGCAGTATCAGATGCTGTTTGGCTCTGATTTCAGGATCAGAAATGGCCTACGAATAGACTCGTTGGCTCAGATTGACTTAAAGCTTCATTCTGAAAAATCTACACCACAGATTTGGGCCCAGGGAATTACCCCTAGTGGAGACCAACTGGGCTCCAGAATGAAGGCTTCGAATACAATTTGAATTGTGTGACTATGCGAGAATGTAGACCGTCCCCCACAGCATGGACATGCCTAAGACACAGTCGGGTTCAATCTTGTCATCATGGAGGTAGTGACCACCATCGAATGGTCCCCAAATATGAGCTACCATGTTAAGTACATTTTGTGCATTATCTCATTAATCCTCACAACAACGTCATAAGGGGGCTATGACCAACTCCTTGTTATGAACAAGGAAAAGAAGGCTCACAAAGATTGAATTCAAGTCAAGAATCTCAAGGCAAATAACAGTGGAGCTGAACTTCTGGGCTTCTCAGACACATGCTCACTGTAGACCACATCATCGGCACAGGAGATGAAGGTCTGATTTGGCTTTAGGATGAGGTTCTGTCGTATGCATGAAGGATGCAGGGACTGGAGGGAGGAGAGTTATGTGTGAAAAGGGAGCTGCCCCATCAAATTCTGAGCTGATGATAATGGCAACTATACTAGCAACCATGCCAGACTCTGGACTAAATGCTTTAGGTACATTATCCCACACGGTGCCTGCAATAACCCTCTGAGACAGTCTGTGGATACCCAGTTTGTAGATGATAAAGCTGCAGTCTGCAGGACCCCAGGGGATTGCCCGAGGAAAAGTATGTAGTAATTAGTGGAGCTAGGATTTGCACCTCAGCAGTCTGATTCCAGAGTTACTCTAGGTACCGCAGTGGCTTAATAAACTACCCCAAACTGAGTATAAAACACTAATTTGAACATGCTCATGGGTTTTGTGGGTCAGGGAATTAGACAAGGCTGGGATAGCTTGTTTCTGTTCCATGATGTTCAGGGCCTCATCTGGGAGGAATCAAATGGTTGGGGGTGACTCAAATAGCTGGGCACCGGACCCAGAGGCTCCTGCTGGGCTGGAAGTTCCTCTTCCAAGATGATGACTTCACTCGTCTAAATAAGTGGGCTGTTGACCCAAAGGCTGGGCTCAGCTGGGACTGCCAACTGGACTGCCTGCTTGTGGCTTCTCCCTGTGACCTGGACTTCTTAGAGCATAGATTTGTGCATTCCAGGAGAGAGCTTTCCAAGGGAACCAACCAGAAACTGCAGGCCTTTGATGACCTGACCTTGGAAGTCACATGGCATCACATCTGCTGTCCTATACTGGTCAGAGTAGACACATGCCTGTCCCAGTGGAATATGATTTATACCAGTTGCTAGGCTCGTGCTGAGGGTTGAGCAGCAGCAAGATAACTCTTTGCCGGTGAATAGCCTCCAGTTAACATGGGGAAAACAATGAGGTAAGAAAACGAATGACAGTCCAGCATGCCTTGTGCTCCTGAGGCCTCTGTGAAGTGCTGTGGGCACAGGATCCATTCTTGGAGCATGCGGTAACTGAGCTCACAGCCAAATTGCTCTTTCCCAATATCCAGCAAAGCTGTGTTCCTGGAGTTACTCATGGCCAGTGCTCCACAGATTGTGCTCAGTCAGGTTAGGCTGAACACCCCTGAAAGTAAATTCTCGCATGATAAGCAGGGTGTTTCCAGTTGGACCAGAAAATCCAGCAGGGTGACAGGTCAGATAATGTCCCAGCAAACCACTTCCCAACCCTTGTCAAAACTGGTAGGTGCAGAAACAGGCAGTAACAAATGCCATTGGCATGTGAAATGCCAGCCTGGTGGGGTGAGGAAGAGAAGTGGAAATCATTTGAGGCTACTAAGGCACAAGAAGGACTAGAGGGCAGGAAATAAACTTTCTGTGACCCGTACCATTGGAACTGTCTGCCATCTTGCCGAATCTTCCATTTGTTCATGTATCTCTTCATCCGCAAGTGTTTATAGAATACTGATTATGTGCTAGGCACTGTCCTCAGCCCTGGGAATACAGTGGTGAGCCAAGCAGAGCTGGTCCCTGCCTCTAGGAACTTACAGTCTCATGTCTGAGATTATTTCAGGGCACCACATGGTGGGTTCAGGTACAGGTTCTGGTGTCAAATCACCTGGAATCAAGTTTCTGCTCGACCACTTCCCAGCCAGAAGACCTCATATGAACCATTTTGAATCGATTTGCTCCCTCTGAACTTGTTTCTGCATCCTTATACTGGGGATAAGATTACTATTTTCTGTGTATGGTTGTTTAAATGAGATTTGGATTCACAAATGTAGGTGCTGCTGGCTATGGTGGTGGCAGCTTTCTCTTCTCTTCTGAACTCACTGTAAGCTCCTCCGGGGAAAGGCCTGTTCTCTACTCCTCCTGTGTGTCTCTCAGGTCCACTCTAAGCTGCCTCTGAAGCTGGTACTCTGTAAATACCTGTTGAGTCCTTAGGGCTACTGAATTCTGATTCAGTAGCTCTGGCGTGGGACCTGGGATTCTGCCTTGCTAGCGAGTCCCAGGTAAGACCCATGCTGCTGGTCTGGGGATCACACTGTGAGTAGCCAGAGACTGGCTCATCCTCTCGCCTTGCCCTACAGTTTTTCATAACTGAACAGGAAGTGTTGTTATCTCATGCAAATTCAGGGTTGTTAGAGCGTGAGCTCAGCATGCACTCAGCTAAACTTCAGAGATTCCAAACAAACTTTTTTCCCTCCTAGAAGAAGCTGAAGTTTTGCTAGATATGCTTTAGCCAGGACTATTTTAAATGACTCAGCGGCAGTAACATTGAAGCTTCAGCCCTAAAGACTCTTCCATGTGTTAGCTTCTCACCTGGGGCAAGTTGTTTAATCTCTCTTGGCCTCGGTTTCCTTGTCTGTAGTAGGGGGACTGGTCCATTTGGGGGCTGTGAAATGATGCGTGGAAATCACCCTGCTCGAGGTCAGGCATATGGTTGGTTTTGATAAAGGAGGGCTTCTGTTATAGACCTGGTATTTCCCATCAGTCCAGATCTTCAGATGCTGGAGTGAAAGAATCAGTGCTAAGGGAAGTGCTGGCTCTGAGGAACCAAGGGAAGGTTAAAGCATCACTTACAGCTCCTCCCTTCTTCTCCCTGCACGTGGAGGGCTAGACGGAATGCTTGCAAAACTAAAAGCAATTATAGCACAGTTTTAAAAGTTCATTGGCATTTATGGAGCATCTAGAAACTTCCAGATGCTGTTCTAAGACCTTTCCATGGATTATTTCATTTAAGTCTCATAATAACCCCTGTAAAGTAGGGACTGACATCATCCTCCTTAGACAGATGAGGACACCAAGGTGTGGAAAGGTGAAGAGATTTGTCAAAGTTCATTTGAGGAATAAATAGGGAGCTAGAAGTCAAATTCAGACATCTCTCTCCAGAGCTGCTCCTTAACCACTCATGGGTAACTCAAAAAGTGGTTCTTGGCCGGGCACGGTGGCTCATACCTGTAATCCCAGCACTTTGGGAGGCTGAGGTGGGTGGATCACCTGAGGTCGGGAGTTCGAGACCAGCCTGACCAACATGGAGAAACCCCATCTCTACTAAAAATACAAAATTAGCTGGGCGTGATGGCACATGCCTGTAATCCCAGTTACTCAGGAGGCTGAGGCAGGAGAATCACTTGAACCCAGGAGGCGGAGGTTGCGGTGAGCCAAGATCACTCCATTGCCCTCCAGCCTGGGCAAGAAAAGCGAAACTCCATCTCAAAAGAAAGAAAGAAAGAAAGAAAGAGAGAGAGAGAGAGAGAGAGAGAAAGAAAGAAAGAAAAGAAAGAAAGAAAGAAAGAAAGAAAGAAAGAAAGAAAGAAAGAAAGAAAGAAAGAAAGAAAGAAAGAAAAGCGGTTCTTGAGCTCTTCTGTTGCAGGGTGCAGGCTTTCTTAGGACTGGATGGAAGTGGTGGCCTCTGTCCCACCTTTTTCAAAGGTGAGACCCTGGGTCACAGCCAAAGGGAGCATTATCTTCACACGCTCCTCCCATCCTCCATCATCCCTCACCTCCCGCCTACCCAATCAAATCAAGCAGAACTTATTAGAATAATGTACCTGCACACAATATTGGATCTAATTTCAAGAGATTCAAGGGCTCTCCCTCCCTATCAAAGCCAGCCCATCCCCATCACATGGACACAGGCAAGACCTTCCAGGCAAGAATCAGACAGGGGGCCTACCTTTGCCTTAACCCTGAACTATAATCTGAAACTTGCATGCCACTTATTTGAATGTTACCTACTTGGGAATCTCTTGTTTTCTTTAAATCATCAAACACCCCTTACGGTTTGGGATAGGAAGCTCTATTGTATCCTTTAGGTCTCCCAGCCTCAGTCTGTTTTACAGAAGAGAGAGGCAGGCAAGAAAGAATAGGGTACAGGAATGGGGTCCTTATATCTGTATGTGTCTTCTTAGGTGCCCACAAAATCCCAGTAAGGGAGACAATATTTTCCCCATTTCACAGATGAAGAAACTGAGGCTGAGAGAAACTACATCACTCATCTAGGGTCTCACAGCCTATAAATAAGAAGTTCAGGCCGGGCGCGGGGGCTCACACCTGTAATCCCAGCACTTTGGGAGGCCGAGGCGGGTGGGTCACGAGGCCGGGTGATCGAGACCATCCTGGCCAACATGGTGGAACCCCGTCTCTACTAAAAATACAAAAATTAGCTGGGTGTGGTGGCGGGCACCTGTAGTCCCAGCTACTCGGGAGGCTGAGGCAGGAGAATCGCTTGAACCCGGGAGGCAGAGGTTGCAGTGAACCCAGATCACACCACTGCACTCCAGCCTGGCAACAGAGCGAGACTCCATCTCAAGAAAAAAGAAGTTCAAAGGACATTGACACCAAAAACATCATTTTCTACCGTGCCACTGAATTAAAGAATAAAATCAGTGTTTAAGACTATGCATATAACAGAAGCATAGGTTGTGTGGCTTTGGTGTGAATATATGTACTCTTAAGTTCTCCATATTAAGGACGTTCATTGCTAGAGTCTTAGAAGTCCAGGGCTGGGTGCATTTTCGAAGGTCGTTTAGAGCAGAGCTTCTCAAACTTCATGTGCATGGAAATCACATGAGGAGCTTGTTAATTTTAATGCAAATCAATTCTGATTCAGTAGCTCTGACGTGGGATCTGGGATTCTGCCTTGCTAGCAAGTCCCAGGTAAGACCCATGCTGCTGGTCTGGGGATCACACTGTGAATAGCCAGAGGCTGGCCCATCCTCTCGCCTTCCCCCACACAGTTTTTCATAACTGAGCAGGAAGTGTTGTTATCTCAGAGCCATCAAAGAAGAAATACATTTCTCAGCGACAGCGATGGCGGAGGAAGAGGCCTGCCAACAGGCGGGGAGCAGAGGGGACCTTAGACCCTGGCAGAGATCGAGCATCACGGAACACGTATCGTAATGCTGTGCTCACCGAGGGAGTCCACCAGGGAAAGGAGGACACTATTGTTCACGGGAAAATGCCTGGGAGGGAGCTATTATCCGTCGGTATCAAGCAGTTAGAGAAGTCTTCTCCGAAAAACACTTTAACAAGAAATCAAGAATCAACAAAAATAACATTACCTCCAGGTTCTCCTTCATTAACCTGGAAATGGGGATATAATCACCACTTTCTTGCTTGTATTAACCAGGAGTCCAGCCTGGGGAAGGTGGCTCGCCCCCATCCTTCTTTCGTGGCCCAGCTCCCCCTAGCCACTCCTACGTCCTTGCCTGCTCCCCAAATCTCCCAGCTCCTTCTGCCTGCTGAACATTGCAGCTGCCAAGCCTGCTGAGAACATCCTTCCCCCTTCTCTCCACCTATTGAACTCCTCCTATCATTTGGGGTTCCCCTAAGTGTCCCCACTTCCCCAGGAAAATATCTCTGATTCCTCCAACATATGTCAGGTCTGCCTGTAGACTCTGACACTGCACCCTTTATTTCCTTTTTTTATTTTGTTTGTTTGTTTTTGTAGAAATGGGGTCTCACTATGTTGCCCAGGCTGGTCTTGAACTCCTAGGTTCAAGCGATCCTCCCACCTCAGCCTCCCAAAGTGCTATTATTACAGGAGTGAGCCACCGTGCCTGGCCTTATTTTCCTTCATAGAATCAATTAAGCAGTACCGTGTAAGCAAGTCCCAGGTAAGACCCATGTACTTTCTGACTTGTCCCATCCCCGTTGTAGGTATCATGTCTCTTTCCTTCACTGCTCAGCATCTTGTCCTAGTAGGTGCTCTACAATCCTCTTGCAAAGCCCAGCCTCCCTTAGCCATTCTTTGTAACACTCGTCACTACCTGAAATAAATCTATCGATACAGATGAATATATGACTACAGGTTTCTCAACTTCAGATCCATGATGTACATAGCCAGGTCATTCTTTGTCATGGGTACTGTCCTGTGCCCTGTAGGATGTTTAGCAACATTCCTTACCTCTATCCATTAGATGCCAGTAACACCCCCCGCCCCACCCCACAACACCTGCAAATGTGGCAAGCCATAAAGTCTCCAGATATTCCCAAATGCCTTATGGGGTACAAAATTGCTCCCAGTTAAGAATCACTGAAAAAAATACACCTGTGTAGGCCAGACACAGTGGTTCATGCCTGTAATCCCAGCGCTTTGGGAGGATGAGGTGGGAAGACCACTTGAGGCCAGGAGTTCGGGACCGGCCTGGGCAACACAGCCATACCACATCACTACAAAAAGATTAAAAAATCAGCTGGGCATGGTGACATGCACCCGTAGCCCTAGCTACTCAGAAGGCTGATGTGGGAGGATCACTTGAGCCCAGGAGTTCAAGGTTACAGTGAGCTGTGATTGTGCCACTGTACTCCAGCCTGGATGAACGCATGAGGCCTTGTCTCTATACACACACACATACACACACACACACACACACACACACAGAGAGAGACAGAGAGAGAGAGACAGAGACATATAAACACGCATATGGCCAGGCGTGGTGGCTCACGCCTGTAATCCCAGCACTTTGGGAAGCTGAGGCAGGCGGATCACCTGAGGTCAGGAGTTTGAGACCACTCTGACCAACATGGAGAAACCCTGTCTCTACTAAAAATACAAAATTAGCCAGGAGTGGTGGCGCATGCATGTAATCCCAGCTACTCCGGAGGCTGAGGCGGGAGAATCGCTTGAACCCAGGAGGCAGAGGTTGCCATGAGCCAAGATCGTGCCGTTATACTCCAGCCTGGGCAACAAGAGCAAAACTCCATCTCAAAAAAATAAAAATAAACATGCATATGTCTTTACATGTATACCTGTATATGTACACTTACACACACGTGTGTATGTGTCTGAGTGTTTATTTAGTCGTTAAGAGCTCCATAGGACAGGCAGTTTCTTTTGTTTGTTGCTGTGTTTCCAGCACTTCAAAACCATGCCTGGTTCCTAGTAGGTTCTCATAAATACTTGTGAAATGAATAAATAAGTGATCCATCCCCCCACCTACCCCCACGAGTGTGGTTGTGAGGATTAAATGGGATTATTTACTTATTCATTTATTTGTTGCACTTAGCATAGTGCTTGGTATTGGCAGACGATCAATAAATGCTAATGCCCCTTTCCTCCTCTGTTTTCCCATTTCCTTCCTGCTTCCCCTTAACTGCCAAAGACCTGTTTTATTATTTTACCCCCTGTGAACCTCATGTTTCAAAAGATTTTTTTTCCTAAACTGATTAAATAATTATTTATTCTTTTCTCCCTGTGCAATGAAGCAAAGACATGGCTAGCTGTGCAGTAGCATTGCCGTGAAGAACTTGAGGCTCCTTTCGGCATGAGTGCCATGTTCCCAGATGTGGCATGGGCTGCCGCTGAGATCCCAGAAATGCTTATGATGTTACTGACAACCCATTAGGCCTCTGATTGGTGTCAGCAAGCTAGGGGTACCACTGAGCTGATGGAATTCCAGCCCCAAACAAACTTGACATTTCTAGTTTGTCTGCCTACGCAGGGTTATCAGGAGTAAAATAATTATTTCAGTTAAACATTTTTTTAGTGTCTAGGAAAAAACATGCAACCTTCCCTGCAATTTTCCACCCCCAAGACTACCACGAGGAGCCCCAGTTTGGGAACCATCAACCCGTCGTGGTAGTTTTTTTTTTTTTTTTGCGGTCGTGCTCCCAGGGAACCGGAGAAGGGATTTTTCAGGACGCAGCTACTTGATCACTTTTTTCCTTGCTCTCGGTAATGAGCTTTCGGGCCTAATTAGAATGAAATGTGTTGTTTCCCTTCCTTCTTTCTCTGTCTCCATAATGATCTTTATCATTAGGATGGATTAATTTCTCATGCCCCCCTCTCTCTCTCGTTATGTTTCATT
The DNA here is from genome assembly GCF_000001405.40 of Homo sapiens. Taxonomy (NCBI): domain Eukaryota; kingdom Metazoa; phylum Chordata; class Mammalia; order Primates; family Hominidae; genus Homo; species Homo sapiens. Next base: position 14,887,892 of record NC_000001.11, read on the forward strand.
GTGGTGTGTTTGCTGTGTGGATGGGGATCGTTAAGGGAACCTCACTAGCACTGTGAATAAATAAAAGAAAGAGAAGGAAAAGTGACAAGGAATGAAAATGGCACCAAATGAGCCTCTTGCTGACAGCCTCTCTCGGTGATAATGGAGAACAGGGAAGCGCCATGCAGCACCATTTGTCCTTCCTCATTGCCACTGCTTTAATGAGAAAGGGAAATCAAGCAATCGGGACATTCCTGTCATCCTCCAGCCCGGGCAGCTCTATTGTGAAGTCCACAGTGAGCGTGCCTCGCCGGAGCGGTGCTTTCAGAGGCTCCCAGGCACAGAGGCCTCTGCCCAGCCCGGCCTCCTTCCTCTCTCATCAGTCTCCCAGCATATGGACATTCTCCCCTCACCTGCTTTTTCTTCCAGTATGTCAGCTGGCCCAAGGCTGGGGTGTCCCCACTCCTTCCAGGGTCGTCTTGTGCACTGGAGTCTCTTCAAAGGGCTTCAGGAAAGAGAGAGGAAGCGAGGGACCCACGAGGTCAGGTAGGAGGCTCCAATCAGCCCTCTACGTGCATTTATCTTCAAAGCTCTTTCCAGCTGCTAAAGAATGAATCCCTTTCAATACACACACTGGAAGGGGGCCACTTCGACCAGATTTTACCCCTCAAATATAGCTTTTTGCGTGACTATTAATTAATTCACGCAAATATAGCTTTTTGCGTGAATTAATTAATTCAGTCTTCCAGGAAAATGACCACCCCCTCTGAGCCCTACCCTGGAAATCCGTGTTGTGATAGAGAGAGAGTGATGTATCAGTTAGGATAGGATCACTTATGCCGCCGTGACAAATGACCCCAACATCTCAATAGCTTTCAACAGCAAGGATTTATTTCTCACTCATACTACATTATCCAGTGCAGCTCAATGGTGGCTCTGCTCGGTGTCATCTCCCCGCCAGGACCCAGGCTGATCAGAAGCCTATATCTAGGACATTGCTGGAGTAAAGAGAAAATAAGTCAAATCACGCACAGACTCTATACAGAGGTGTCCAATCTTTTGGCTCCCCTAGGCCACATTGGAAGAAGAATTGTCTTTGGCCACACATAAAATATACTAACAATAATGATAGCTAATGAGTTTTTAAAAATCGCAAAAACATCTCATAGTGTTTTAAGAAAGTTTACGAATTTGTGTTGGGCTGCATTCAGAGCCATTCCGGGCCGCATGCAGCCTGCGGGCCATGGGTTAGACAAGCTTGCAAAAGCTTCTGCTCAAAGGTTACACACACCAATTCTGTTCTCATTTCATTGACCAGAAAATGTCACAAGCCCACATCTGCCATTGATGGGAGAAAAGTATTATTGTCCCCCAGGAAGGAGCAGAAAATATCTCTGAGAAATAGCAATCTACCACAATGGGCTTGGAGTTTATAATTATTAACAAATAAGAGAACAAAAAGACCTAGGAATTATAAATATATACTAATATAGTCACCTAATGGAAAGTATAAAGCAGTAAAATGGATGCACTATAGCCATATAAAGCATGGGTGCATCTTGGAAATATAATATTGAGTGAAACTCCTTGTACCCAAATCCTTGTCTCAGGCTCTGCTTTGCAGGGGGAGCACAAACTGAGGCAGCTTCTGTGTCTGGTGCTTGTCCAGAGTGTACTTAGCACTCACTGTCTCCTAGGACAGAATTCCCCCTTGGGGTACAGCTCTAATTCTGGAAAAGTCTGCCCCTGCCTACCCTTCCTTCCTTAATTCCTGTCCAGCTTTCTCTTGGCAAACTACAGCCCACAGGCCAAATCCAGCCCACCAACCAAGAATGTTTGTACACTTTTAAATGGTTGAAAAAAATCAGAAGAATGTTTCACGATGTGAAATTTATACAAAATTCAAACTGCAGTGTCCATAAATAAAATGTTACTGGATCACAGCCTTGCCCATGTATTTATGAGCAGTTGGGACAGAGACCATTGAAAATATTTACTTCCTGGCCCTTTGCAGAAAAAGCCTGTCTTACATGACAAAATATGGCAACTAGCAGACTGTGTCGGGTAGTATCATCAGTGAAAAGAAGTACCTCGTACGCTCGAGCCAAACATCAGCCTCTTGAAGAGTTACAATGGGCTTTTTATGTCGTCAACCTGCAGAACACAGGAAGAGTTAGGGAGAAGCCTAGACCCAGGTCAGAATGCAGTTGGAGATGATTCGGGAAGCTTACCACAGGGACCCTGAGGGGGCTTCCCAGAACTTGCTGAACAGTCGCCTTTCCCTTCCCTGCTCTGCGAGTTTGGGTTTTGGGTAAGCAAGTCAAGCCTGGTCAGCTGGAATGCTCTGGCTGGTCAAGGCAATTGAAATTTCTCTTTAATGGAAGATTGAACAAAAAGCTCTTTCTGGATTGCCCCTGGGGAGAGGTTTCTCAGCTGTGTGCAAAGCCCATTTTCCTGATGGGAAATCTCTCCACTGCCCGAGAATGGCACGCAGACCCAGAATCTCCCGGGCACCAGTCCCCACCAGTGGGACATCGTCCCGCTGCAAAAAGTATAGGACAAAGAAACTGAATCTGTCAAACCTGTGACATCCCCTAAAAGCTGAACATTTTTAAAATTCCTGATAGCAAATTTAAATCTTTTTTTTTTCCTTTCTGCCCGCCTTTTAAAAAGATAGAGAAGGTTATTTTTAAAGGCAGGCCATAGATCAGGATTCTGAATGACGGGCGTGAATCAGAGTCCTCTTGTGGGCTTTCTCAGTATACAGACTTCCGGGCCCCACGGCGGATCCACTGATGAATCTCAGAATGGGACCCAAAGATCTGTATTTTTTTTTAATCTAGAGCTGGGGTCTTGCCGTGTTGCCCAGGCAGGTCTCAAACTCCTACGCTCAAGTAATCCTCCCACCTTAGCCTCCCAAAGTGCTGGGATTACAGGTATGAGCCACTGTGCCCAGCCAGGAATCTGGACTTTTTTTTTTTTTTTTTTTTTTTGAAGCAGTCTCGCTCTGTCGCCCAGGCTGGAGTGCAGTAGCCGGATCTCAGCTCACTGCAAGCTCTGCCTCCCGGGTTCACGCCATTCTCCTGCCTCAGCCTCCAGAGTAGCTGGGACTACAGGCACCCGTCACCACGCCCGGCTAACTTTTTTGTATTTTTAGTAGAGATGGAGTTTCACCGTGTTAGCCAGGATGGTCTCGATCTCCTGACCTCGTGATCCACCCGCCTCGGCCTCCCAAAGTGCTGGGATTACAGGTGTGAGCCACCGCGCCTGGCAGGAATCTGTATTTCTAAAAATTTATTGTTTCCATAGGTTTTTGGGGAACGGGCGGTGTCTGGTTACATGAGTACGTTCTTTAGTGGTGATTTGTGAGATTTTGGTGCACCCATCACCATAGCAGTATACGCTGAACCCAATTTGTAGTCTTTTATCCCTCACCCCCTTCCCACCCTTTACCCTGAGTCCCCAGAGTCCATTGTATCATTCTTATGCCTTTGCGTCCTCATAGCTTAGCTCCCACTTATGAGTGAGAACATACAATGTTTGGGTTTCCATTCCTGAGTTACTTCACTTAGAATAATAGTCTCCAATCCCATCCAGGTTGCTGCGAATGCCATTAACTTTCCTTTTTATGGCTGAGTAGTAAGGAATCTGTATTTTAACAAGCTTCCCAGCACTTCCCATGTGTGTGCTGGGCTAAAGCAGTTAAAGACCACTGCTTTAACACTGTATTTATTTACATGGGAAAATGTCCATGGAATACCGTTGAATTGTTTTTTCTAAAAGCAAGTTAGCCTGTGTCATGCTGATTTCTGGAAAATTCTATGTCATTATGTTTCTTTAGGAGAGAAGAAAAGCCAAAAAAGTATTAACGGGGGTAGTGGGATTTTACAGGTGATTTATACTTTTTTTTTCTTTGTACTTTCTCCAACTTGTTTGAATTTTATGCAATGAATAGCTATTTCTTCTAAAATGAAAAAGAAATCTCTGAAGTTATTTCCATGGTTGGGGGTGGGATGGGGCAGTAAGACGTGTCCATGAGCCTCCGTTAGTCGGCTCTGATTATGTGAGGCTTCTTGGTGTCAGGGAGTCTTACATCTGGCCCTGCCTGTTGCTATGACCCAGAAGCTACTGGAAGGTGTCAGGAAAGTTCAACATGCCCCCGTCCCTACCTCCTGCCTCTGGCCTCTGGTGTGGTGCAGACCCCTGAAGTAAATGCCTCCTCAAGGCAGCAGGCAGAGCCCAGATGGGATGGTGACCCTGCCGTCATCTGTGCTCCCATTCCTGGCCCAAATGGAGTCTCAAGGTCTCTAGGGAGCCCAGCCCAGCACCTGCCACAAACACTAAATTCTCTCAGAACTCCAGGAAGAAAACACTCCTGGCAGAAGAGAGTTCAGTCCCTGCCCCGGGGCTCGCCTCCAGCCATCTCTGATGACCCAGGTCCCAAGATGCCCTCCTGTGCCTTCATTATGGGAAGAGAGGCATCTGTCTTTCAGAGGCATCTCTCTCTCTTTTTCCCTCTCTCTCTCCTTTTTCCCCCTCCCCCCTGCTGTCTCTCTTTCTCTCTGTATCCTACAATCCCTGGATCATCTGAAGGCCTGTAATCTCAGGCTTGTTTCCCCCCAGACACCACCATGGAGCTTCTCCCTCCCCTGACAGCCCATGGGAGCCCACCCCACAGGTTTTTCTACAAGGTCTGCAAAGGACAGAGTGGAAGGGAAAGTGCTAGAAGGTTGCAGAGACACCCCAGAAGGTGTCTCCAGAGCAAGCTTTCGAATGACCTCTGTCTGCATCACTGCCCACCACCCCTGCCCATGGCTCAGGGTTCATAGGGGTGTGTGTTCATGTCCTCAGACTTGGGCAGGTGAGCCCAGGACACTTGTGCCACGGGGCTGTGGGGGCCTCCTGCAGGCTCCGGTGGCCTGGGCCCAGGCAAACCAGCCCACTCATCTTGTATCTCCAATACCTACACACACACACACAAAAGCTTCCAGAAGAAAGGAAAAAAGGAATGGACAGAGGAAGGACCAGTCTCCTAAGATTATTCCTCATTCATGCAGTCCTCCACAAATATTTACAAGCACCTACTACGTAGCAGGCACAATTCTAGGTGCTAGGATAGAGTGAACAGAATTAGACTGATTAGACTGGTCCCTACTGTCATAAGGCTGATGATCTACAGGAGGAAGTCAAATAATCATTTTTAAAAGGAAAATAGAGGCCAGTGTGGTGGCTCATGCCTGTAATCCCAGCACTTTGGGAGGCCGAGGCAGGTGGATCATGAGGTCAGGAGTTCGAGACCAACCAGACCAACATGGTGAAACCCTGTCTCTACTAAAAATGCGAAATGTAGCTGGGCGTGGTGGCTCGTGCCTGTAATCCCAGCCACTTGGGAGGCTGAGGCAGAAGAATCTCTGGAGCCCAGGAGGCAGAGGTTTCAGTGAGCAGAGATCGCACCATTGCACTCCAGCCTGGGCAACAGAGCGAGACTTTGTTTCAAAAAAAAAGAAAAAGAAAATAGAAATGGCCCCTGGGAGAGGAGCTCCACAGGAGAGGCAGATGGCCCTTTGACCTGCTCAGAGAAGTAGGTCACGGGGGCTTCTCCAGGGAGCAAAGCCCTTGCTGATGCTGAAAGATGAGTGAGAGGAAGAGCGCTCGCTGAGACCCCCATCTTCCCTTCCTCCACACCCTAACCTTGACTGATGGCCCCCTCGCCTTTACTGCTACTGCTCTCCCTACAGGCTGGGGAAGGAGAGAATTGGAAAATCTCCTTCTGACCATATTGTGTCTGGAGTTTTGTATCACCCTTGGTCTCAGACCCTGAGGCCAGAAAGCCACAAAGGGTCAGAGGTCAGAGTGGGCAGAATCAATCTGTGCCCGCTTCAGCCTATGTTTAAGGTACAAGGATCATTTGAAAAGTCCCTTTCACAAGGGAGGCACCCTCTGAACATAAAAGTCTTGCCCCAGCTCAGGAGCAGACAGACTTGCTTACTGGGACGTCTCAAAACTTGTGCAAATGACAAGTTCATTTTTAGCCGAAAAGAAGACACATCTGAAATATTGATGTGGCAGCCGGAGCCCGGCTCCAGACCCAGCTACAAAGGGAGGTGCTAGTTGATGAAGAGTATAATTAATCAGCACTTAGGGACCTCTGGCTGCTGATTTCAAGCTAACTGTCCCCCAAATCCACTTCTCTGACCCACCAGAGCCCAGGGTGCTGCCACTCAAAGCATCACAGTACGTGAATCTAATTGCAAACCTCCTGCCTGCCATCACGCCCATCTCCCCTGCCCAGCTCTGCCACCATCTCCCCTCCCTAGCTCACCCCCATCTCCCCCGCTCCAGCCTACAGTTTCTGCCGCAGCCTCGCCTGCCTGACCCGACAGATGGCTCCTCCTGCATCCTCCATCCCTGCTTTGCCATTTGCTGTTCCTTCTCCTCCTTCAGCACCTGGCTCACTAACTCCCGCTTTATAACTCACTCCCAATCAGCTGTGCAATCCCAGAAAAATTTCTGAATCACTTTGTGCCTCAGTTTCCCCATTTACAGAAATGGGGAAATGGTAACAGTCCTCACTGTGTTAGGGTCCCTGGGAAGACTGAATGTGTTAGGGACGTCAAGGGTGTAGAGTGCCTCATGGCACGTGACACTTGCCCTGCAGGCGTTAACTGTCGATGTGGCACATCTTTCCAGCTCATCTCAAGCATCACCTCCTCCTGGAGCCTTCCCGGCCTCTCAGTCTGAGTTAGGGTCACTTAATTGCTGATTCGCAGTCCTTGCTAGACTCTAAGCTTCTTGAACCCGAGAATGGCATCATTCATCTCTGCATTCCCAGTGCCTGGAATTGGGTACACAGTAGGTGCTGAGTAAGTGAATGGATGAATGAATGAATGAATGAATCTCCTTGCAGATTTCTCCAGGGTCTGAGATTCTGTGCTATCACACCAAGGACGGGGAAATCAATTCAAAATCTTCTGCATCTTTAATTTGGGCTGAAGAGTGCAGCTCTCTCCTCCCTGCTCCAGGGAGGTAGGTTTGCCGGTCCAGCCAGCCTCATGACTCAGCTGCCCCAGAGGCTTCTCTCTGCCCCAGGGCATACTTAGCCATTTGGCACAGAAGGCACCAAGTCTAGGGCCATGAATATTATGATGCAGCCTGCTCTGCCCAGCAGCACTCAAGGCTGAGTTTTGGAAAGCGAGCCTTGTGGTGACTGAGTAGGAAGTGCCTATAACTGGCCCCTCCCTGGCTTTGCCCTTTGTCCTCCCACTACCTGGCTGGTGGCCATTCCCATCATTTATGCCTTTTTCCCCCAACGTGGGGCAATGGCCAGCCCCAGAATCTCAGCTGCAGCCATGGGGGCTGTCTTTGGCTTTTCCCAGCCCTGGTTCCCCTGGCTCTCCCCTGCCGTGGCTTGCATGCTGGGCACACACTGCAGGATCTGGGCAACTCTGCCAGCCAGGAAACGCAGACCGCCCTTGATTAGCATAAGCAACGTGCTTTCCTTGGCTGAGTCTGGAGCTGTCGCAGCCTAATTAGCAAAGCCGCCAGATCAGCAGGCCCTCTCATTAACAGCGGCCCAATCCCACCCATGTCTCAGCAGCCCAAGCCTCCACAGCCCATCCCTCAGCAGCCTTCCCCTGGGATCACATCAGGGGTCTGGGAGTGAAGGGGACAGCCAAGAAGAGCCAGGCCATGACCTTGTCATCAGCTGATGCGTAACCCAGCAAGGAACTCATCTTCCGGGAGGGTGGAATTTGGGCTAGGGGCCTCTGAAAGTTCATTGCAGGCCTTGTGTCCCAAGTCTTTTCAGCCCCTTCATCATAGAGTGACCCTGTGCTAAGTTCTGCAAAAGATAATCATGCAGGCCGTGATCCCTGGCAGCAGAAAGCTCCGTCCTCTCCCTGGTTCAAGCCACCATGTTCTCTGCCCTGGACTCCTCACTGGTCTCCCCAAGGTGTATAGTTAGGTCAGTTCAGGGTACCCGAGGACAGAGAATAAAAGCAAACAAAGTGAGGAAGAGGGGAGGCTGCTTTCATTTAAGTAGTCAGGAGGGCTTCTCAGAGGAGGTGACACTTTAGCTGAGACTTGGATGACAAGAAAAAGTTGGCCAGGCAACAATCTGAAGTAAAGATATTCCAGGACAAAGGTCAGTAAGTACAAATGAAAAAGACGCCTTTTTTTTTTTTTTTTTTTTTTTTTTTTTTTGGACACAGATTCTTGCTCTGTTGCTAGGCTGGAGTGGAATGGTGCAATCTCTGCTCACTGCAACCTCTGCTTCCCGGGTTCAAGCGATTCTCCTGCCTCAGCCTCCCGAGTAGCTGGGACTACAGGCACACACCACCACGCCCAACTAATTTCTGTATTTTTAGTAGAGACAGGGTTTCACCATGTTGGCCAGGATGGTCTCAATCTCTTGACCTCGTGATCCGCCTGCCTCGGCCTCCCAAAGCACTGGGATTACAGGCGTGAGCCACTGCGCCCAGCCAAAAAAGATGCCTTTTTAAAAGACGATGAAGGAGGCCAGGAGCAGTGGCTTGATTTGTAATATCAGTTCGGGTTTCACACTTTTCAAGCTTTGCTCTTTCACCCTTCAGGAGATGTGTGTGTGCTAGCCAGACAAATGGGACTTTTTTGGTTAAATTGGCTGGAATTGGTTTCTGTTGCTTGCAACTAATAGCTCTAACTGGTACCCTGTCCTTATGACTCATCAGTAGAGAATGGATCTCTGCTGGTGGGGAGCAGGCTGCGGCTGTATCAGGCAAATCCAGGGCAGCCTCAAAACTCCCAGCAGTGGGACAGAAAGCCCATCTTTTCTAGGGCCAAGAGAGGAACTTTGGAAGACACTCCTGAGTGAGAATGCTCCACTCCCTGCTGCCCTACCCCATGACAGTTTCTTGTGATCTGTTGTGATCTGGGTTCTAGAGAGGGAAGAGCAAGAATGTAACATTCTTGTAAGCTATAAAATCAGTTGCAAAAAGGAAGATTTGGGGTGCAAAGAGACCTGGGTTTAGATTCTGACTCTTCCACTTACTAGCACTCACTTAAACTCTCTGGGCCTCAGTTTCTTCATCTGTAAAATGGGGAGAGTAGCAATTTAAATGTTTTCATCTGTAAGTACTAAACACCCAAGCCCAGCTGGCATAAAAAAACAAAGGTGTTTATTAGGTCAAGGAACTGTACTTGCAGATGTAGGTTGACCTAATCACGGCTCTATCTCCTTTCTTGGTGATTCTTTTGGCTCTGCCCTCTTCTGGGTGTCAGCTTCATCCTCAGGCTGAAGTTCTGAACATTATACTTGTTCACAGTGATATCAAAGAAAGGGAAGGAGTTGCATAAGCCAGAGTCCCAGGAAGAACTTCTCCAGCAGCTCAGAGCAAACCACTCCACCCATTGGTGCAAATTGGGTCACATGCCCATGCCCCAACCAATTGCTGTCACCAAGAGAATGACACATGCTGATTGGCCTAGGTCTGAACTCCTGAACCAATCACTGGCAAGGATTATGGGATTATCATGATTGGCTTAAACCAGCAGTTCTCAGACTTTTGTTCCCAGAACCCCTTTACTCTTGTAAAAATTAGAGAGGACCCCAATAAGCTTTGGTTTATGTGAATTATATTTATCAATACTTAACATTTTAGAAATTAAAATGTAAAAGATTAAATATTTATTCATCTTTAAAATAACAATAGTAAGCCCGTTATACATGTTACTATAAATAACATATTTTATGAATAATAATGATACTTTCCAAAGCAAAAAAAAAATAGTGAAAAGAGTGGCATGCTTTTACACTTTTGCAAATCCCTTGAAAGTCTGGCTTCACAGAAAATGGCAGGATTCTCAGACCTGCTTCTGCAATCTGGCCGTTGTGATATGTTATCTTGGTTTGTAGCATATGAAGAAAATCCAGCCTTCTGCAGATGTGTGGTTGGAAGAAGCTGGGACTCACAGACCTCCTGAAAGGCTCTCAGGACCCCAGCAGACCTCACTCAGAACCGCTTGCTGAAACTAACCGGGGCTCACTCAGGAGCTGTCTGGGATCAGACTCTGTGAACTCCATGGCAGCTACAGTTCAGGAAGGGATGCGCAGCTATGGAGGAAACACCCATGGTATCCAGTACAAGGATAATAATTGCTTCCACTTCATAGGGTTTTTGAAAGAACTAAGTGAAATGATGGATATAAGCACCTAACACTGGGCTCAATAAATGGTACCCGGGGGTGAGAAAGGACCACAGGTGAGCACAGTTATAAGCGAGAATCCATTATCCAGATGAACCAACTTCTCAGCTCCTTTCCCCAAGGTTCCTTCCACCCACGCACATTCCATTATGCCATTCTTGCTACATCATTTCACTGAATGTTCATCTCTGGAAGAAAAGACATACCATAATAAGTGCCACAGAAAGGAGAGCAGGGGCAGTGTTCAACAGAGGGGAAGATGAAACAGAACTGTCAAACTCTGGAACACTGAGACGGTTCTGCTCCTCAGAAGAGCAGAAATGTGGTCCTTTCTCAGGAGTGGCTGTGTGGCAAGAGCGAGATACAGTCCTGGCTCCAGAAGGTCAAATCAAAGCATCTGGTGTCTACGTCTGGTCAGCAGATAGGGGTTGGGGTCAGGAAGCTGAAAACTGGATGACATCAGGAAGTCAGGGCAGGACAAGAGAAAGCAAAGGGGGCCTTGGAAGGAGCAAGCAATTTCAGGCCCAAATCAGCACCTCCAGCTTACAGGGAACATCTGGAGCCCTCGCTTGTACACACACATACACAGGGACACACACACAGAGTAGGGTAAGGGGTGCAGGGCTGGAGGGACAGTGTTACTAGTAAGTGGCATGATAGACTGTCTGTGCTGTGGCACAGCTTACAGAACAGTCCCAATTTCAAGACTCTAAGAGGGCGGGACTTATCGCCCCAGCACCTAGCTCAGTGCATAGCTCCTAGCACACTCTGTAGCTACTGGTTGAATGAATGGCCCTCTACCTTGTCCCTATAAACCATCAAAATGTCCCTGAAGTGCCAATATGCCAGCACCCCGATTACCTCTTCCAGATTGCCCCTTGCTCCCAGGACTGGCACAAAAAGCCTGTGAATGACAATGTATTTGGATTTGGGACTCAGCTCTGCTGTGGAGATCAGGAGATGCAGGTTCTAGTCCCATCTCTGCACTAGATCACTATGTCATTCAGGACTTGACATGTTCCCTCTTGGAGACTCAAGTCTACCACCTGTGAGTCATAAGAAGGGGCCCCTGAGCAGATGTGTTGAATGAAGGGCTCAGGGACCCAACAACCCTGTACCAAGGTCAGGAAGATGGAATGTTCCGCTAAGTCAAGTTCACTGGCATGACCAGAAAGGCAAGTTGCCAACTGAGGATGAGGGTGCCTGGAGACTTTGGGGCATGGCCACACCCAGTGACGTGTCCCCTCTGGGCCCTCATTACCCTTTTGTAGACTGTCCTCACCTCTCTTCAGCCTCTGACCTGATATAGGGTAAAACCTTTTCCCAGGGTTTTAAGATAGCTGCTGCCGGGACCTGAGACCTGTGAACTTGGGTCTGAGCCATGAACCTGTCCCAGGTTCAAACTCCTTTTTCCAGATGCGAAATTTAGGAGGCAAAGAGAAAGGGAAGGAATGGTTACTGAGCACCTAGAAATGCCAAGCCTCTGTTAGACATTTTGTCTGCATATCTGACTTCCTATCCGTATGGTAGACATCAATGTCCCAAGAAAGTTGAAAGAAAAGTGCAGTATTCTAGCCAAGATCATGAGGCCCGGATTTAAATCTTTCCTCTCCTGTCCATTCCCCTCCCCAGGTCCCACCTCCCTAGCTCCCTCCTCCCTCTGTCCACCACTCCTCTCTCCTTCCCTCCCTATGGGTTCCTGTAAGGCACCCAAGATGCCACTGCCACCTCCGCTCCCTCGGGGGATGTGAGCAACCGTCTTAAGCACTGTCCTCATTTCAGTCTCCCTTCGTAACTCTGCGTTTTTGCTCTGGGCATTCAGAGTGGCAGGTTCCTATCGCCCTCTCTCCTCTGCCAATGAAAGCTGGCGCATAATCCTGCTTCCTGCCCACCCCCTCCATCTTCTCAAGTAATGTCTGTCGTCCCGCATTCTTCTTCCCGTTCCGGCCCTGTGGCTGCTTTCAAAGCAGATCCTTGGGACTCAGGCCAAGTTCATCAGGAGGGCCTGGAATGGCCCAGGAGGCAGAACCTGGTGACCTGTGTATCCCAGGGCTCAATGCTGTCTGCTCACCCCGATGGCTATGACATGGGGTTTGTGAAGATGGGGTAGCTGCTGAGAGAAGCGAACAGCCTCAAAGACCCCAGGGCCAATGTTCTGATTCCCGCTCAGAACTACTTCTTAGGGAGCCATCATCACCTGCCTGGAGCCCTGCTTTCAAGCTGCCCTGGGAGATGTCTTGTGTTTTTCAGATGCTTGCCAAGAGAGGGGTGAGAGCCCTGGCTGTGCAGTCACCTCTGCCAATTTGCAGAGTTGAAGCCAGTCAGTGCCTCCATTTCACCATCTGTAAAATGGGCACAAGAGTGGTAATGACCCCATAGGGTCATCAGAAGGATCGTATGCCTGTAAAGAGCTATGGTTGGCCGGGCGCAGTGGCTCACACCTGTAATCCCAGCACTTTGGGAGGCCGAGGCGGGTGGATCATGAGGTCAGGAGATCGAGACCATTCTGGTTAACACGGTGAAACTCTGTCTCTACTAAAAAATAGAAAAAATTAGCCAGGTGTGGTGGCAGGCACCTGTAGTCCCAACTACTCGGGAGGCTGAGGCAGGAGAATGGCAAGAACCCAGGAGGCAGAGGTTGCAGTGAGCCGAGATCGCGCCACTGCACTCCAGCCTGGGCGACAGAGCAAGACTCCATCTCAAAAAAAAAAAAAAAGAGCTATGATCTCACCCACAGAAAGGACCTAGCAAGTGGGTGCAGCTACTACTGTGGTCACCAGGAGGAGAGGGATGCTGGCATGGCTGGTCCAGGGAATGAAGTCTCCTTACCCAGATCCCTGTGATTCCAGGGTTGGATATGATGCCCACTTGGGTATGTTGCATAAACTCTCTGTCCGCACACTTATTTGTCCAACAAATAAATGAGCATTTACTCTGTGCCAGGCACTGTCCCAATGGCCATCATACAGCGGTAACAGGACAGAGATGGCCCCTGTCCTCAGGGAGCTTACTGTGTGGTAGGGAGAGACATCCGTGAGCATTTAACAAATGATCTCAGGGAAGCATCAGTGCTATGACAAAAACTGGTCGGGGACAACTGGGGGAAGGCTTCAGAGAAGGTGCTGGGGAAGGTCCCCTGGAGAGCTGGCACCTGACGTAGACCTGAATGGCATCTGTCGGACGGGGAAAGAGCTCTCCAGGTAGAAGGTGCAGCAGGTGACAAGTCCCCAAGGTGGGAAGCAGCTTAGCTTAGTTACGGGATAACAAGAAGCCCAGTGGAGATGAGTGAGTGAAATCGAAAATAAGAAAGGATGGAGTAGGGGTGGTGGGAGGCAGGGGACAGATGATGCTGTTTATGCCACATCCAGGAGTTCAGATTTTATCCACCGAGCAATGGGAAGCCAGTGGAGGACCCCAGGCAGGGGAGTCACATGGTCTGAGTGCTGATAAGTCTGGCTGTTGGGTGGAGAATGGGCAGGGAGTCAGATGGGGGTGGAGAGGCCAGCAGGAGGCTGCTGTGATCGTCCAGGGGAGAGATAATGGCAGCTCAGACGAGGGTGGCAGCAGTTGAGGTGGTGAGAAGCCCTGGAATTCCAGATACTTTTTGGAGGTAAAACAGACAGGATTTGCTAGCAGATGGGTCCATCCAGGTCACATCCCCAAAACAGCCATTGTGGGAGAAGCTCCCGGACAGCCTGGCGTCCAAGGTCAAGGTTCAAAGGGTTGTTACATCTCTGCCCCCACAGCTGCCTCTCTCTGGGGCGGCCAGGGTTCCGCCTCTGTCTTTCTCCCAGAAGCCAAGGGTCAGATGCTGATATATTTGGGGAAATATACATGAAATACAACGAAGCTCTCAGGAGGTGGTCCTGAAGCCACCTCTCTTGAGTGCTGCAAGGGCCTCCAGCAGTGGCAGGCAATTTCTGCTAATAAAACTGGTAAAGGCAACTTATGCAGATGTGTATGCAGACACAGAGATGGCCAACCCACCGGGCACGTTAAAGACACAGGCACCTAGCGAGGTGGGAGGCCCCCAGGAGTCCCGTGCTAACACAGTTCCGTGCACGCACTTGAAAACGCTGCTTATGCAAGGGTGCTGGGAGCAGATGAGGATTTAAGACATGCTTTGATGGACATAAATTTATAGACTAGAAAATCCGAAGTTCTGAGAACTGCAATTTTTTTTTTTTTTTTAAGATGGAGTCTCGCTCTGTCACCCAGGCTGGAGTGCAGTGGCTCGATCTCGGCTCACAGCAAGCTCCGCCTCCCGGGTTCACGCCATTCTCCTGCCTCAGCTTCCTGAGTAGCTGGGACTATAGGCACCCGCCACCACACCCGGCTAATTTTTTTGTATTTTTTTAGTAGAGACGGGGTTTCACCGTGTTAGCCAGGATGGTCTTGATCTCCTGACCTCGTGATCCACCTGCCTCGGCCTCCCAAAGTGCTAGAATTACAGGCGTGAGCCACCGCGCCCAGCCAGAACTGCAATTTTTTTAAATCTTCCATGGTGTTTCCAAGGGGAGGCTAATATTCAGCTAGAGCCAGAAAAATACAGTTCCTTTTACCAGCTTTACAGACATTTTGGAAAGTGGCATCATTAAGTCCATGTGAATACAGCAAAAGTTCTGGTACCAAACTCAGTGAGAGGGGTGGGAGCTGCCAGGGCTGCCCACCCAGAATAAAAGGTGTGGACAGGTGGACAGGTAGGCCCTCTGAGCAGTGAATGTCCTGCTTTTTGAGGGGAGGGAGGATTTAGAAAATTGAGGCAATTGTCCTTGTAGACACATAGTATAAATAATCTTTTGTTCCTCCTTCCTTTCCTTTTTTTTTTTTTTTAAGATGGAGTTTTGCTCTTGTCACCCAAGCTGGAGTGCATGTCATGATCTTGGGTCACTGCAACCTCCACCTCCCAGGTTCAAGCAATTCTCCTGCCTCAGCCTCCTGAAGTAGCTGGAATTACAGGCACCTGCCACCACGCCCAGCTAATTTTTGTATTTTTAGTAGAGATGGAGTTTCACCATGTTGGCCAGGCTGGTCTCAAACTCCTGACCTCAAGTGATCCACCCGCCTCCACCTCCCACAGTGCTGGGATTACAGGTGTGAGCCACCACACCTGGCCGCCTCTTATTTCTGTGGTGGTCTCTCTGATCACCCACTTAGGATGCCAAGTATAGGGAAGGCAAGAAAAAAATTGCTGATAGCGTCTCCATGCTTGTAAACCCAAACACAGGACCCAAACTACGTTTCAAGAAAGAGGTTGTGAAGTGGCCCGCTTTGAGCAGTGTCCCTGGGGCCGGTCAAGCCTCAGCCACAAGTGCCAATTTCACTTTCGTCCCAGCCTTTCAGGTGGGCACACTGGGGCCCTGGCAGCAGAGCGGGCCATCTGTGCCACTTCCCTCTGTCCTGGGGTACTCTTCCTTTAGCCAGAGGGGGCACACTTTGCCATTGGGCACTCAGAGGATCCGGGGAGAGGGCTGGACCCCTCCTCCTTAGTACATTTGCCAGATGGGCAGAGGAGGCCGAGAATGTAAGGCCGGGGTCTGCTTTGTTGTTTCCTTGTGGCTAAAGATAGGGATGATGTGAGAATCTATTTGCTGTAATGAAAGACAAGCTCACCACACTCTCCACCATCCCTGGGTACAGGCTTTGCAAAGAGTGGCCTTGCTTTAAAATCAATTTTAAAACATAATAGAGACCACAATTTAATTTTTAAAGTCGCGATCCCATTAATCTAACCTTAGTAGGTTACATGTATTGAATGCTAACTCTGGCAGATGGTGTTCTAAGTGCTTTTACATGTATTTGCTCACTTAACCCTATAAGGGAGCAGCATGATTGTTCCATTTTGCAGAGGAGACAAATAAAGCCCCAGGATGAGAAGCAGACTGCGGAAGGCCAGACAGCGAGGGCAGCATTCTGTCTTAATCTCCCCTTGCTTCCAGTGCCTGGCACCAGCAGGCAGCCAGTGAATGTGTAGACCAGGGGACGTTCACTGGTCAACGGGTTGGTTAGTCACCTGATTAGCTAGTTGGCCTAGAGGCTCAGTCTTGAGTTAGCAGACTCACGTTCCAACCTCAGCTCAGCCACTTCCTAGTTGTATGGCCTGTTATGGAAATTCTTTCCTTCCCACGTGCCTCAATTTTCCTTATTCATGCAATGGGTTTAAGAATTGCCTCACTTGGGAGGCGGAGTTTGCAGTGAGCCGAGATAGCGCCACTGCAGTCCGGCCTGGGCGAAAGAGCGAGACTCCGTCTCAAAAGAAAAAAAAAAAAAAAAAGAATTGCCTCACTTTGCAGGGTTTGGATTGTGAATTAGAGGAGACCAACGCCTATAAAAATCTGGCACATGGTAGATGCCTAATAAATGCTTGTTGCAATGCTGAGTTCTAGCTGCAGGTACAGCTTTGCTACCCAGTTCCAAACAAGAGACACCCCAGCTGCCACATGGACGTCAGCTTGTAAGATGCGGGACGTCCCCCTGTATGTGCCACTGCAGATGTCTGCACGCACTCCAGGCAGCAGCACAGACAGGCCCGTGCGCCACATGTCAGATTCCCGACTAGAGAAGCCAGTGCTCAGGTCTCACCACCAGGTACAAACTGAGTCATTTCCCACCCATCTGGAATAACGGCATCTTCCTCCATGTGCCACTGGCCCCAAAGCCTGCTCTTCTCTGTGGGGCAGGAAATGCACTTTGGTGTTTTTGTTTCTGTTTTTGTTTTTGTTTTTTTGAGATGGAGTCTCGCTGTGTCACCCAGGCTGGGATGCAGTGGTGCGATCTCCACTCACTGCAAGCTCCGCCACTCGGGTTCACACCATTCTCCTGCCTCCGCCTCCCAAGTAGCTGGAACTACAGGCGCTGGCCACCACACCTGGCTAATTTTTTGTATTTTTAGTAGAGATGGGGTTTCACGGTGTTAGCCAGGATGGTCTCAATCTCCTGACCTCGTGATCCGCCCACCTCGGCCTCCCAAAGTGCTGGGATTACAGGCGTGAGCCACCATGCCCAGCCTTGTTTTTGTTTTTTTGAGACAGAGTCTCGCTCCTTCGCCCAGGCTGGAGTGCAGTGGCGTGATCTTGGCTCCCTGCAACCTCTGCCTTCTGGGTTCAAGCAATTCTCCTGTCTCAGCCTCCTGAGTAGCTGGGACTACAGGCACACACCACATGCTTGGCTAATGTTTTGTATTTTGAGTAGAAATGGGGTTTCACCATAATGGCCAGGCTGGTCTCAAACTCCTGGCCTCAAGTGATCTATCTGCCTGCTTCTGCTGCCAAAGTGCTGGAATAACAGGCGTGATCTACTGCGCCTGGACAGGAAATGCTCTTGGGCTAGAAAAACTCCTGCTGGCTTGTCTTGCTGCCACCTGCAAATGGGACGCAGTCACAAAGGCCTGCACTGGAAAAAGGTCCCCCAGGCCTGCATCTGGCACATCCTCCCAAGGTCTCCTAACCAAACAGTAATGAGGATGAACCAAATATTTCATGCAAATAGTTCAGTAAAAATAATACAGCACAGGCTGGGTGCAGTGGCTCACGCCTATAATCCCAGCACTTTGGGAGGCTGAGGAGGGCGGATCACAAGGTCAGGAGATCGAGACCATCCTGGCCAACATGGTGAAAACCCGTCTCTACCAAAAATACAAAAATTAGCTGGGCATGGTGGCACGTGCCTGTAATCCCGGCTACTCGGGAGGCTGAGGCAGGAGAATGGCGTGAACATGGGAGGGGAGCTTGCAGTGAGCCGAGATGGCACCACTGCACTCCAGCCTGGGCGAGACTGTGAGACTCCGTCTCAAAAATAATAATAATAATAATAATAATAATAATGATACAGCACAGGCCGGACACGGTGGCTCATGCCTGTAATCACAGCACTTTGGGAGGCCAAGGAGGGCGGATCACGAGGTCAGGAGATCGAGGCCATCCTGGCCAACACGGTGAGACCCCGTCTCTACTAAAAATACAAAAATTAGCTGGGTATGGTGGCACATGCCTGTAATCCCAGCTACTCGGGAAGCTGAGGCAGGAAAATCACTTGAACCCGGTAGGCGGGGCTTGCAGTGAGCCAAGATCATGCCACTGCACTCCAACCTGGCCACAGATCGAGACTCCATCTCAAAAAATATATTATAATAATAATAATAATAATAATAATAATAATAATAATAATACAGCACATGGATCCAGCCTGTGAACTCCCCAGAGGAACTTGGATGTGAACAGCAGACAATTTCACAGTCCACATGGTTGCCCTCAAAGTATGCTAGGTGTTTTCTTTCTCGCCCTCTCTTGCCTGAACAGGGTGACCTTTCCAAAAATCACGTGGAGTTGCTTAAATGAATGTTAAAACTCATTCTCATTCCTTGACTTGGTGGCGGGCATGGAACAGGAGCTTGCTGGGTCATGAGAGGAAGTTAGCCTGGGAATCGAGCTGAGGTGTGGCTGTGACTTGGGGACGCAGCCTCATGCGGAGCGAGTTCACTGTAAAGTTTATTTTACTTTCTGCCCCATAAAAAGAAAATGTGTAAAAGGGGCACGTTGATATTTTTTCAATATCACAAAACATATAAAGGGAATTTTTTAGAAAAGCACAAATGATCTGTTGAAATAAGCAAGTTAGTTTCAGGATTAAAAAATAACATTGTTTCACCACCTTATCTATGGTCCCATATTTTTCTAGAGATCAAGCTGGCCATCCTAGATACTTATCATTGAGGGGAGGTGGGGGAAAAAAACCACCCCCAGGCTACACAGAAGATGTGGGTCAAATTATTCAATTTGGCGGGCCCTCTGATGAATTCTGTTGGGTCCACACCCGCTCCCCGCCTTGTTCCCTAGGGCTGAGATTTACAAATGCTGAGATGAGTACAAAGAAGCTTTTGCACTGGAGCAGTGTTTTGTCCCTGGGGGAAGAATGACCCCCAGGATGTGTCCTCTGACCTCGCTACTCAGGGCATGGTGGCGGGTACTCAAGAGTGGACCAAGACCAGCAGCATCAGCAACTCCTCGGAGTTTATTAGAAGTGCAAGTGCACTTCTAATAAACTTATTTGTACGATTATTAGAAGCTAGATGCAGTGGCTCATACCTGTAATCCCAGCACTTTGGGAGGCCGAGGCTGGTGGATCACTTGAGGTCAGGAGTTCGAGACCAGCCTGTGCAACATGGTGAAACCCCATCTCTACCAAAAAAAATACAAAAACAATTAGCAGGGCATGGTGGTGCACGCTTGTAGTCCCAGCTACTCAGGAGGCTGCGGTGGGAAGATTGCTTGAACCCAGGAGATGGAGGTTGCAGTGAGCTGCGATTGCACCACTGCACTCCAGCCTGAGCAACAGAGTGAGACCCTGTCTCAAAAAAAAAAAAAAAACAAAAAGTGCAGAATCTCAGACCCCACCCCAGACCTCAGGCATCAGAATCTGCATTTTAACAAGATCTCCAGGAGATGATTGTGTTCAGTAGAGCTTGAGACGCCTTCTGAAATAGTGCCCGAAGACCCTTGGATGCCTAAGAGGGCCAATTGAGTTTGCAAAAAGCTCAGGGTACAAAGACGAGGGCATGATGACTCTGCCCGGGCATGTCCTGAGCTGCTTCCGGAAAGAAGTCTCCTCTGAGCTGGGTTAGAAGGAAAAGAAAGAAGGGTTTCATGAAGATGGAAAGGAGAATATTCCTGGCAGGGGGGTGGACAGAGTAAGGAAAGTCATGGAGCTGTTGAAGGAGCATGATGGGGGATGGCAATTGGGGTCTCAGGAAAGGCAAGTGGGAGGTGGATCCCCGCTCAGCTCTCATCCCAGTGGAAGGGCACCCCTCCTCCAACCCTTCTCTCCCCAGAGCCCATGAGCCCACGAGGGAAAATCCCTGGCTCCCTGTTTCATTAGGGCCATGAGTTGGACTTTGCTATGCCAACCCAGACTGGGGCTCCATGAGATAGGTCATAGCTTCTGAGCACTAACTCTGTGCCAGCATCATGCCGGGCACTTCACCTACTTTCCTTTGTGTATTCTTGAGGACAAGCCAAGAGGCGGTTCTAGAGAGGATGAAGAGCAGAGCCATCAAAAGCATGTAGGGTCAGCGGCACGGTGGCTCACACCTGTAATGCCAGCACTTTGGGAGGCTGAGGCAGGAGGATCGCTTGAGGCCAGGAGTTCAAGACCAGCCTGGGCAACATAGCAAGACCCCTATCTGTACAAAAAATAAAAATAAGAAAAATTGGCTGGGCACAGTGGCTCATGCCTGTAATCCCAGCACTTTGGGAGGCTGAGGCAGGTGGATCATTTGAGGTCAGGAGTTCAAGATGAGCCTGGCCAACATGGTGAAACCTCATCTCTACTAAAAATACAAACATTAACCAGGCAGTAGTGGCAGGGGCCTGTAATCCCAGCTCCTCGGGAGGCTGAGGCAGGAGAATCGCTTGAGCCTGGAAGGCAGAGGTTGCGGTGAGCTGAGATCACGCCACTGCACTCCAGTCTGAGCGACAGAGTGAAACCCTGTTTCAAAAACAAAAAGAAAGAAACAAGAAGAAAAATTACCTGGGTGTGGAGGCATGTGACTCCCAGCTACTCAGGAGGCTGAGGTGGGAGGATTGCTTGAGGCTGGGAGGTTGAGGCTGCAGTGAACCCTATTCATGCCACTCCTCTCCAGTCTGGGTGACAGAGACCAGACCCTGGCTCAAAAAGAACATGTGGGTCCGGGCATGGTGGCTCACGCCTGTAATCCCAGCACTTTGAGAGGCCGAGGCAGGTAGGTCACGTGAGGTCAGGAATTCAAGACCACCCTGGTCAACATGGTGAAACCCCATCTCTACTAAATATGCAAAAATTAGCCAGGTGTGGTGGCAGGCGCCTGTAATCCCAGCTACTTGGGAGGCTGAGGTTGCAGTGAGCTGAGATCACACCACTGCATTCCAGCCTGGGTGACAGGGCGAGACTCCATCTCAAAAAAAAAAAGAGCATGTGGACTGGAGCCAGAACACCTGGTCCAGATACCGTCATCATCTCACATCATCTCAACAGCAGTGTCCTCGGGAACATTAAAAGGGATTTTCCTACCCATATCCCGAAGTTTCCTCTTCCATAAAAAGGACATAAAACAGTAATAGTATATACTTTCGTAGAGTTGCAGTGATAATTAAATATATCCCATAGGGTTTGGCGGCACATGGTAAGCGCTATACATGAGAGTTATTATTCTTACTGATCCCCATTGAACAGATGGGGAAAGTGAGGCTCTGAGCATTTAAGTGCCTTCTTCAGGCTCACACAGTTAACTATACTCTACTATCTTGGCAAGGATTCCCCATGGCCTCTGCCCTCTCTCTCCACTTAGCTTGTCTTGGAGACCCCTTAACAGTGTGCTGCAATCTCCGCCTCCGACATCAGGCCCCTCTGCCTCCCACCAATTTCCTCCCACCTAACTCGTAACATCTCATCTTGGCTGTGTGCCTGAGTCTGTTACTGCCTCCAGAGTTAGGCCGTTTCCTCTGCCCACAGTGCCCACCTGCCCATCTCTGCTGATCTAGATTGCATCTTTCAAAGCCAGGGCCAAATAACACTCTTGCCCCAGAGACTCTGCAGTGCACCCCAGAGTGCCCTGCTCTTCAACTGGCCACCTCCAGAGCACCTGGCGGGCCAGGGCCATGTTGTGGACAACTTGACTTTCTCCCATCCTTCCAACCACAGTGCTTTGTATGCAGTTGGTGCTTTCATAAATGCATGATGGCCAGGCTTGGTGCTTATGCCTGTTTAACCATCACTTTGGGAAGCTGAGGCAGGCGGATCACCTGAGCTCAGGAGTTCAGGAGTTCGAGATCAGCGTGGGCAACATGGCGAAACCCCATCTCTACTAAAAGTACAAAAGTTAGCCAGGCACGGTGGCGTGTGCTTGTAGTCCCAGCTACTCGGGAGGCTGAGACAAGAGAATCGCTTGCACCTGGGAGGCGGAGGTTATAGTGAGCCGAGACACTGTTGCACTTCCTGCTTGGGCGACAGAGTAAGACCTTGTCTCAATAAATAAATAATGAATGAATGAATGAATGAATGAATGAATGCCTGGCCCTGCCCTAATTACAACCAATTAGCCCCTGGCTCTCCAGAAGGCTCTGGGATATCTGTGGCCTGTGGATCTCCTGACTGGCTGCTCTTCTCCCTCCTAACATTCATTCCTGACCTTTAGCCATGAGTGGCTGTCATGAGATCTGTTTTCCCAGGAGTGCGAGTGAGCGCTCCATATCCATCACAATGACAGAAAAGGACTTGATGTGCAGGGCTGGGCCTTCCCCCATGTGGGTGCCCTACCAACTCCTCCGTCTCAGGATCCGGTTCCTGGCCTGGGGCCCTTGGTGTCTCTTGATTCAGCCCAGGGTTTCTCACCCTCAACACTGCTGACTCTTGACACCAGATAATTCTTTGCTGTAGGAGGTCATTCTGTGCACCCACTAGATGCCAGGAGCAGTCCCCACCTCCCCAGTGTGACCAAAAAAATGTCTCCAGATATGCCAAATGTTTCCTAGGTGTGGGGGGCAAAATTGCCCTCTGGTTGCAAACCACTGCTATCTGGAGTTTTGCCCAGGATAACCAGGAAGGGAGGAACTATGGCTCCAGCACAGAGACGCTGCAGAGGAGGGCTCAAAATCCCCAAACCTACATACAAGAGATCCCAGAAACAGTGAAGATGGCCGGCATGCTGAGCAAGAGGGGGCTTACCTAGCTCCTGCCAGTCGTGGCCAGGCAGAAATTGTGGTCCACCTTTTGGTGGATCCCAAGGCTTTCAAGAAAAGTCAGAAATCCTATCTTTTAAGTGAAATTTTCTGATTCTTAAATGTCGGCAACTAATGTGAATTGTTTAAAAAAACACTGTGGGAAAAACAAAATATGTCTGTGAGCCAAATGTGGGCTACTGGCTGCAAGTTTTGCAACCTTTCCTATAGACCAAGCTTCCATCCCGGAGGCATGGGCAGCTCACACCACTCCTGAGCCCGCACAGTGCAGCAGTTTGAATCTGAGGCACCGTGAACAAGCTCCATGCCAGGCCTCTGAACCAGACAGACAGGCCCTGCCCATGTTGGCCACTTCAAGTCCCTTCTGAGGTCCAATGCCAAGAAATGAAAGGTTCTAAATTCCGAGGGAGAGAGAATATAGGAAACACCCCAGGACAGAGGTCAGGAAGCCTGAACCCTTGCCCAGCTCTGTACTGATTTGCTGTGGGCCTAAGCAATCACGTTCCCTCTCTAGGCTTCAGTTTCTCCCTCTGTTGAATGTTTGTAGGATGATGAAAGAGAAGTGAGATTGAATTCATGCTCTCTATGTCCCTGGGACTTGAAAGAGCGAGCACTTCCTGTTGGCAGTCCAGGGCCCCAGCTAGCTTGCCCAGTGCCCAGGGGGCATCCTTGTCCTTAGACTGACCTGGGCAGGGAAACGCTGGCTCCACCTCCCAGCTCCGGCATCCTGCATTTCCGAGTGGGAAGTTTGGGTGGTCCCTGATGGACTCCTCCTCTGTGCAATGAGGTCATTAGGCGCCGGAAGCTGCTTCAGGTATGGAACCCACACCCTGTCACTGGGAGAGCCCACACCCTTGGCCCCTGCTGGCACTGATGGTGCAGCTCTGGAACGGTTCCCTAGCTAGGAGGTGCCCAGGGCCACAGGATGGCTCAGTGGGCAAGCCTGTACCTGACTGGTCTGGAATCCCTAGGACAGTTTCCCAGTGGGCTCTGCAGCTGGGAGGAGTCTTGCTGGAGATGATAGGAGTAGATGGGCTCTGGAAGATTGTTCTATCTAAGACCCTAATTTATACATGGGAAAACTGAAGCCATGAAAGGGAAAAGCCTCGGCCAGGCACGGTGGCTCACGCCTGTAATCCAGCACTTTGGGAGGCCGAGGCAGGTAGATCACCTGAGGTCAGGAGTTTGAGACCAGCCTGTCCAATATGATGGCACGTTATCTCTACTAAAAATACAAAAAATAGCTGGGTGTGGTGACGGGCACCTGTAATCCCAGCTACTTGGGAGGCTGAGGCAGGAGAATCACTTGAACCTGGGAGGCAGAGGTTGCAGTGATCACACAACTGCACTCCAGCCTGGGTAACAGAGAGAGACTCCACCTCAAAAAAAAAAAAAAAAAAAAAAAGGAAAGGAAAAGGGTCTTCCCAGGGCCACCCAGCCAACAGAACAAGCATCCACATCTCCTGACTCCCCGTCCAGTGCTCCTTCTAATCTGCCACATTGGGGTCTCCCAGTAGTGGGGACTGGTGAGATAACAGACAGAAAGATGGACAGACCCAGGACATTGCCTTTCACTAATTGTGCCTGGAGCAGCCAGGGAGGTCACATACCTGGGTAAGGTAGCCAGAAGTAAGACAGTAGGGAGTGGAGGGGACCTACCACAGTGGGGGATGAGAGGATACGCTGTCACCATGTGGGATGGAATGGGGGTTTGATAATACCTCCCTCCCACCTCAGCCTCCCGAGTAGCTGAAATTACAGGTGCACGCCACCATGCCCAGCTAATTTTCATATTTTTTGTAGAGACAGGGTTTCACCATGTTGCCCAGGCTGGTCTCCAACTCCGGGGCTCAAGCAATCCTCCTGCCTTGGCCTCCCAAAGTGCTGGGATTATAGATGTGAACCACCATGCCCAGCCTAATTTTTTCAAAAAGGCCAGGTGGAAACTAAAAATCTGAACTTTTGGTGTAAGTTATCCTAATGTTAAAATGTTGGCATCCGGTTTAAAAAAATTTTTTTACTGGAGTACTAAAAAAAGAAACCACATTCACAGGCCAGATGCGGCTCCAAGGGCCACCAGAATGCAAGTCCTACTTCTCTCTTTTACCCTCGGTTTACTCCGTTTTAAAATGGGTATAAGAACAAAGCCCTTCTCTCATAGGGCAGGTGGGGGATGAAACGAGCCAATGCCAGTCATACTGACTGGCCCACAGTAAATGGTAGCTATTGTTCTTTCCTAAGACCTGAGACACTTGGCAAGATGCGGAGGGGCTGGAGTGATGGAAGGAGCTTGTTAAGGTTGGCACGGGCAACTGGGAGGCCCCGAGCTAGACTTGAGAATCTTTAGGAGTGTGTGCTTGTGGTGCGCCTGGCACTGTGGGCACAGAGCAAGTTTAAACCCCTGCCCATGCCTTGTGTTTCAGGGGGAGTTGGGATTAGGCTCACCCAGCGGCTCTTGGGGTTGTACTTTACCCCAGGACTCCCTGAGTACCCCTCCACTGGGCCCCTGATCTGGGAGAAACATTCCACTCCCAAAGGTCAAGTCTTTAAAAACAAAAAGAAGGCAGCGCCTTTCGCATTTATCCAAACACATTTTTGCTTGTTTGTTTTAATGAGAAACTTCAGGGGGAAGATGCCAGTCCTTCCTACGTATCTGTTCAACAAATCTGCCTCCCGAAACCAGTTCCAAAGATATTTAAATAACAATCCTGGGAAAAGAAGAATTTAGAACAAATTCTAATTAGTCCCATTGGGACTAGGGGCCATTACAGATTTCTGCCCTGAGAACCCAGAGACCAGGGCCTAAGGTGACTTTCTGATGTCCAGAGTACAGAACTCTCTGCCTTACTGTCTGGGCTTGGCCCATGCTGGGGCCACTGAGGGCAAGGTAAGGCCCGTTCCCAACCTTGCTGGGCGTCTTTGTAGCCACCAAAGCCCCTAACCTGCCTGTGCAGGGGTGGTGGGGGCCCTGTGTGCTCTGCCTTGAGTTGGAGAAGCTAGGAGTCGCTCGGGCTGACGTGCCTGAGTTCTGGTGGGCGGGTAGACAGGCGGGCAGAGCCCATAATTATGGGGAAAGCAGCCGCAGGCGTGTGCAGACAGGCCTCCTGGAGCCCAGGCAGGTGGCCTCCTGACAAGGGAGGGCCTCTGCATTTGGACTCTGGGTGCAGAAGACCTTCAGGATGGAGGAGGGGATGTTACATAATTCCGACACCACAGCCACTGAAAACGCGACCTTGCCACGCTCCACTGCCTCCTTCCTCCCCACTCAGAGGGCATGAAGACCTAGCAGCCCTTCTGGGCAGGGCAGTGGCCCTCAGCTGTCACAGCAACAGGGTCACCTGGAGGGCTGTGGAAACAGACTGTTGGGCCTCGCCTCCTGGGTTTCTGATTCAGGAGGTCTGGGGTGGGGCCAAGAATTTGCATTTCTCCTCCATGCTCAGGAGAGATGCTGCTGCAGCTGATCAGGGGCCACACTTTGAGAACCGCTGCCCTAGGGCTTACCTGATTAGTCCCCCTGGCCCTTGATTTGCTGTACCCCCCTGGGCAAGTGTCTGCCTCTCTGGGCTTTGCATTTCTCACCCACCAACAGGAGAAAAGCCAGCTTTGTCTTTGAACAACTAAACCCCCATCGGTGTTGGGATGCCTAATTACTATTTGCCGGTAGCACAGAGATCTTCCCAGGAAAGGCCCAGGCACGACTACACAGGGGCTCTTACTCTATTGTTCCAACTTCCTTGTAGCCACTGAGGGAGATGAGTTTCTCTAGGAGAGATGGGCACTTTAAGCCTTAAAGGGACAGGCCTGGCCGGCATCCTTGGACCTCACCGCTGACCCAGCAAGAATCTGGAAGCAGTTCCCTAGCCTGCTCTTTGGGATCATTTTGTTGCCTTCGAGAATGGGTGGCAGGGGCTCCATCCCAGTCCCATTGATAATGGCATAATGGTTAAGAGAACAGGTTCTGGAGCCAGAACTTTCTAAGTTTGAATCTTAGCTCCACCTTATACTAGCTGTGTGATGTGGGGCAACCTGCTTAACCTCTCTGAACCTTGGATCCCTCATTGATAAAATGAGGATAGTAATAGCAATAGCACTTACATAGTACTGGTACTTACATAGTACTTCTGGGGATGAAAATGAGCTAATATTGGCCAGGCGCGGTGGCTCACGCCTATAATCCCAGCACTTTGGGAGGCTGAGGCGGGCGGATCACCTGAGGTCAGGAGTTCGAGACCAGCCTCAACATGGAGAAACCCCATCACTACTAAAAATACAAAATTAGCCGGGCGTGGTGGTGCATGCCTGTAATCCCAGCTACTCGGGAGGCTGAGGCAGGAGAATTGCTTGAACCTGGGAGGCGGAGGTTGCGGTGAGCCAAGATCGTGCCATTGCACTCCAGCCTGGGCAACAAGAGCGAAACTCCGCCTCAAAAGAAAGAAAAAAAGAAAAGAAAATGAGCTAATATGTGTAAACTGCTCTGTCTACTATTAATAGCTCTTAACAATCATGATTATATATCTGTGCATTGATTAATTAAATGGTAACTTTTAAGTAAGGAGTCTCCAGCAGAGTGCCTGGCATAGAGGTGGCAGTGCTCAGTAAACAGTAACTGTTATTCTTTTCTTGGGCCCCTTGCTGGCCCCTGGCCCTCTGTGTCTCTCAAATCACACGCAGGAAATGGAGACACAGAGTCTGAAAATTGCAATGGTGAACATAGTGTCACGATTCCCAGAGCCAAGGGTCCCACTTGGGGAAGAAGAAGTTCCGCTAGTAGCCACCAGGGGCAGCAGAGGACACATCCTGCCCAGCAGCACTGCTGAGGGTTCCCTCTGAGTCCCCCCTCTTTATGAAGAATGAAGAGGTGACTGTTCCCCGCTGCCCACAGGCATGCATTCTCCATAACCCCTGATGTGGGAGGCAGTTTCGCAGAGGATACCCCTCAATTCTGACAGACTCCCAACGCTGCCTTTTCCAGCCACATCACCTTGGATGAGTCCTTTTTGTCTCCCTAAACCTTCATTTTCTCATCTGGAACCTGGGGATAGGGTGGCTTGGCGGGTTGAATGAGCCGGAAAGCACAGTCCCTGGACTGATGTCAGTGCTCAGTAAATGACACCTATTGCCAAGGCAGCATCATGGCTATGAGTATGGACCTTGCAGCCAGACTACGTGGGCTTTAGTCCTGCTTCCATCACTTACTGGCTGTGTGACTTTGGGTAAGTGACTTGACCTCTCTGTGTCTGTTTCCTCATCTGTAAAGTGGGGATGATAATAATAGTACACTTACCTCTCTGGGTTGTGGGGAGGATTAAATTAATATTTAAATTCTTAGAACACTGCCTGGCACATAGTAAGTGCTATGTAAATGTTTGCCATTATTATTATTATTTGTAGTATTTTCACTGTTGTTCTTTTTTTTTTTTTTTTTTTGACAGAGTCTCGCTTTGTCACCCAGGCTGAAATGCAGTGGCATGATCTTGGTGCACTGCAGCCTCCACCTCCCGGGTTCAAGCGATTCTCCTGCCTCAGCCTCCCGAGCAGCTGGGATTACAGGTGTGTGCCACCATGCCCAACTCGTTTTTGTATTTTTAGTAGAGATGGGGTTTCACCATGTTGGCCAGGCTGATCTTGACCTCGGGTGATCCTGACCTCAGGTGATCCACCTGCCTTGGCCTCCCAAACTGCTGGGATTACAGGCGTGAGCCACCACACCCAGTCTATTCTTTTAATTCTCAATAAGCTGCAACATTTTAACTTTCTGCAGAAACTTTCCTACTTGAACTCTTCAAAAAGGGACTTAGAAAAGGTGAGATGTGGCCCCTGGATAAGGAAGGACTTTATTATTTTGTTACAATTAAGAATCTAACTTGGGGCCCACTGTGGTGGCTCATACCTGTAATTCTAGTGCTTTGGGAGGCTAAGGTAGGAGGACCACTTAACGCCAGGAGTTTGCGGCAGCTTGGGCAACACAGTGAGACCCTATATCTACAAAAAAAATTAAAAATTAGCTGGGCATGGTGGTGGCACACCTGTGGTCCTAGGTACTTGGGAGACTGAGGCAGAAGGATTGCTTGAGCCCAGGAGTTTGAGGCTGCATTGAGCCATCATCATACCACTGCATTCTAGGCTGGGTGACAAGCAAGACCTTGTCTCAAAAAAAAAAAAAATTTAACTTGGGGCTCGTGA
The DNA here is from genome assembly GCF_000001405.40 of Homo sapiens. Classification (NCBI taxonomy): domain Eukaryota; kingdom Metazoa; phylum Chordata; class Mammalia; order Primates; family Hominidae; genus Homo; species Homo sapiens. The sequence goes on from NC_000001.11 coordinate 14,916,946, forward strand.
CAGTCCAACAAGCAGGGCATGAAGGCAGCTCCACCTGACACCTTGAACTCCATGAAATGGCTTGAATGGCCTGTTCTGCCCGAGGACTGGGCTAAGCTCTGCCTCTAGGAGAAGCCCTTTGCAAGGCCCTGGAGGAGATCAGGATTTCTGCCAGGTCATTTGGGGACCTGGGAAAACCATCAAAGGGTATCAGTGAGCCCATGAAAGGCCCACAGAAGTCTCTAGCCTCGCCAGGACAGATGGCAGGGTGGACCCCGAGTAAAATCCTCACCCCACCAAGGGCAAAGGTCTAAATAGGTTTGGGGAAAATCCAGCTCTAATCCTTCCCGATGCACCTGGGGTCCCAGAGTCCTGCTGGGATGGCCGAGGGAAGAAGAGGAGATCAGCACCATCCCTGCTGGTGGCCTCAGCAACAAAGGCGGCCCAGGGGCTGCCAAAGGGCTTCCAAGTCACTTTGGAGCCCCCAGGAGTGGACGGAGATGACAGTCTCCATAGAGATAGCAGGGAGTGTGTCCCGCTCAGAAGCCGTGGGCAGGTCACTCTGGCCTCCTCTGGGAATGTTTCACTAGCCCAGTTTTTGAGGATTTACCCTATGCCAGGCCCCATGCAGAGCTTTTTATGTGTGCCTCATCTCCTGAAGGCCCTTGCCACAGCCCGACAAGTAGTGACCATGATCATTTCCATTTTTACGGATGGAGAACCTGAGGATTCCAGGGATGAAATCATCTGTCTCAATCACACGCTAGTGATTTGCATCCTGGCCTCTCTGCTTCTAGAGACTGTGTCCCCAACTCACTGGGTGGGCAGCTTCCAAGATGACCCCAATGATCCTGCCTCCTGGTATCCACCTCAGTTTGTCTTCTCTCCTAGATTGGGGGTGAGATCTAAATGTACTTCTTTCTTTCTTCCTTCCTTCCTTCCTTCCTTTCTTTCTTTCTTTCTTTCTTTTTTGAGATGGAGTCTTGCTCTGTCGCCCAGGCTGGAGTGCAGTGGCGCGATCTCAGCTCACCGCAACCTCTGCCTCCTGGGTTCAAGCAATTCTACTGCCTCAGCCTCCCGAGTAGCTGGGATTACAAGCATGAGCCACCACGCCCGGCTAATTTTTGTATTTTTAGTAGAGATGGGGTTTCACCATGTTGGCCAGGATGGTCTCAATCTCTTAACCTTGTGATCCGCCTGCCTCAGCCTCCCAAAGTGCTGGGATTAAAGGCATGAGCCACTGCGTCTGGCCAAGATCTAGATGCACTTCTAATGAACAGAATAGGGAGAACAAGATGGGCTGTCCTGTCTGAGATTAGGCTGCAAAGAGACTGTGGCTTCCATCTCTTCTTGCACACCTTCTCTTCTCTTTCTTGGAGGCCTCTGTGGGAAGCAAGCTGCCATTCTGTGAGGAGATCTCACAGCCAATGAGGAACTGAGGTTCTCAGTTCAATATCCTGGGAGGAATGGGGCTGGCATGGTGGCTCACCCCTGTAACCCCAGCAATTTGGGAGACTGAGGCAGGTGGATCACCTGAGGTCAGGAGTTCGAGACCAGCCAGACCAATATGGTGAAACCCCATCTCTACTAAAAATACAAAAATTAGCCGGACGTGGTAGCACATGCCTGTAGTCCCAGCTACTCTGGAGGCTGAGACAGGAGAATTGCTTGAACTCGGGCAGCAGAGGTTGCAGTGAGCTGAGATTGCGCCACTGAAGTCCAGCCTGGGCGACAGAGTAAGACTCCATCTCAAAAAAAAAAAAAAAAAAAAAAAAAAAAAAAAATATATATATATATATATATATATATATATATATATATATATCCTGGGAGGAATTGCATCTTGCCACTAGCCTTGTAAGTGAGTTTGGTTTGGAAGTAGATTGTCCCTAGGTTGAGCCTCAAGTTGGCAGCAGCTCCACCTGACACCTTGATTGCAGCCTTTAAGAGACCCTGAACTGGAAGACCCAGCTAAGCCACACCTGGATTCCTGACCCATAGAAACTATGAGATAATCAATCCCTATTGTTTTAAACCACTGAGTTTGGAGGTGATTTGTTATGCAGCAATAGGTAATATACTTCCCATCACTACCAGCGACACACACACAAAACATACCCACGCAACTACCATGAGAAAGGATAAAAAAGAGCAAGTCAACTGCAGTGGGCAGAGCTAGAAAAACCCTCCTCACACCCGCAAAGCCAGCCCTTCGAACCTCCAGAACACTCAGATGCAGAGACAGGAGGCACTTTTTTGTTTGTTTGTTTTTGAGACAGTCTCGCTCTGTTGGCCAGGCTGGAGTGCAGTGGCACGATCTCGGCTCACTGCAACCTCCGCCTCCCAGGTTCAAATGATTCTCCTGCCTCAGCCTCCTGAGTAGCTGGGATGACAGGCGCGTTCCACCACACCTGGCTCACTTTTGTATTTTTAGGAGAGACAGGGTTTCACCATGTTGGCCAGGCTGGTCTCGAACGCCTGACCTCAGGCGATCCACCCGCCTTGGCCTCCCGAAGTGCTGGGATTACAGGCATGAGCCACCGCGCCCCTCCCGAGGCACTTTTTCATGGTCACACACAGCAAGGGATCCTGACATTGTGGCTGAGGTCTTCATACCCCCTGGAAAGTTTCACCAGGAGTTACAAAACTATGGGGTGTTACAAAACTCTGCATCTTCCAGGAATCAAGAGTTTACTGCTTTGTCTTAGCTAAAGGTGTTTGGAGATAGTAACATGTTGGCTGGAAGATCTCAGTAAAACATCTTCTACAAATAGAAACATAAAAACATTTGGGTCAATGATGGATCGATCGCATATCTGATGATGGTCCCGTAAGATTATACTGTATTTTTACTGTAGTTTTTCTGTTGAGATATGTTTAGATATATAAAAACTTACCATCGTGTTACAATTATCTACAGTATTCAGTACAGTGACATGTTGTACATAGGAGCAATAGACTATACCATATAGCCTAGGTGTGTAGTAGCTATCTCGTGTAGGTTGGGTAAGTACGCTTTATGATTGCACAATGACAAAATTGCCTACCAATGCATTTCCCAGAACGTCATTCTGCCTCTGTCCCTGTCCTTGTCATTAAGTGATGCATGACTATTTTAAAATCATAGCCAAATTGGGGGTGGGGGAAGGGAAAGAGTTCAGTGGGCTCAAATATTCAACTTTAAGCAGACACCAAACATAATGGGGTCTCTTAATACCATGTTTCTGGGTTTTGTTCCTTAAGCCAAATTTATCTTGTAGTCTTCTCCAGTGATCTAAAGGATGTTCCTCTGGGAACGAGGGGATGCTCTGGATGGGACCTGCACTTTTTTCTGTCTGCAGCCTCTTTTCTGTTTTTTTTTTTTTTTTTTTTGGGTGGCGCCCTGTCCAGCCTGAGGTCAGGGTCATGGGGACCCTGTCTGGCCTCAGAGCCCAGAACCAGAGCAGCCTCCCCACCCCCTGTCTGGACTGCCCCTTTCCCCTCTGAAGTCACACTATGCCTCTGCTCTTTAAAATGAGTTGCCGGGAGGACTGGATGAGGACACCTCCTGCTGTCTTTCCGGACCCCCAAATCCCCCCTTCCTGCTGCCCCACGGAGGCTGGACACAGTGTGCCCTGGAGCAGGACAGAGTGAGCCAAGTTGTATCCAGCCTCAATTCCCAGCATCTCCCAGGGGGTCTGGGAAGGTCTCCTGGAAGTAGAACTGGCTACATAATTGGTAGGTCCCAATGTTCAAAAATAATTAAGAATTTCAAGGCAACAACAGTGGAGCATTCACCCAAGCTCGGGGCCCTTCTGAGCACGGGGCCCAGTGTGACCACACAGGTCACATGCCCAGAAGCTGGCTCTGCAAAGGGATCTCCTCTAAACCCCCAAGAGTTATCATTTGTGTGGGACCTGCCCAAGCCACTCAGGGCAGAAAATGGGTAGGTTAGTCCTTGACTCCAGGGTCTCCTGGTGGAGAACTGAGCAGAAACATCTCCTGGGCTCAGGGCATCCTCATAAATGTACCTCAAGGTGTTTTTAATGTACCTCCCCACCCAAGACAGATGGGTTTCTGATAGGTTCCTAACTGCCACCGTGGCCACAGACTTGCCAGCTAGCAGAGTTGAGAGCAGGGAGAGTGAGGGGCTACAGCTGAGTAAGGGGGGCATGGGCAGCCTGGGAACCTCCAGAAAACTGGAGAAGCTGGACCCCACTGCCATCTGCAGTCCTGGGCCTGAGCATGCAACACACACACACACACACACACACACACACACACATTCACACAGAGCCACGGCCAAACTGCACTGAGTAAAAGTTACAGAGGGAATTCCCCAGGGTTGTGGCCTTACGAAGCAGCTTGGATGACTGAAAAGTAACTAGGACGTATGTGCGCTTCAGGAGGTTGCAGAGGGACCAGTGACGGTAGCGGTGAAATGGTCCCTGGTGGCCAATGGGCTACATAAAGACTTTTAGATATGTTTACTTTCTTCTTCCTCCGTCTCCTCTTCCTCCCTTTCCTTCTTAAGTTTTAAAGAGTTGCTAATGTTTCAAATTTAGATTTCATGTAAAAATCCATATTCCTAGTAGTTCTAAACAAACAAAAAAAAGTAGAACATCTGACAACACTAAGACTACATTCCTGCCTGACAACAATCTACAGCCTCCTCTACAGGGGCCGGTGGCCTCATTTGCCACAGTCCCCACCAGCCTAATGTCTCTCTGATACCAAATCCAAGTGACAGGAGCTACATACTCATACTTGTGCTGGGTTTTGTTTATAGGGGTTTTTTTGTTGTTGTTCTTGTTTGTTTGTTTTTTGAGACCAGGTCTCACTCTGTCGCCTAGCCTGGAGTGTGCTGGCACAATCTCGGCTATCTGCAGCCTCCCCCTCCTAGGTTCAAGTGATTCTCCTGCCTCAGCCTCCTGAGTAGCTGGGATTACAGGTGTGTGCCACCACTCCCGGCTAATTTTTGTATTTTTAGTAGAGACGGGGTTTCACCATATTAGCCAGGCTGGTCTTGAACTCTTGACGTCAAGTCACCCACCCTCTTCGGCCTCCCAAAGTGCTGGGATTCCAGGCATGAGCCACCATGCCCAGCCAGGTGCTATTTTTTTCTTGTTATGGAGTTAAGAGGAAAGCACATGTCTCTATCAAAAGTATAATTCATGTACTTCCAGAAATACGTGAAAGACTATGTTTCTTTGCGGAAGTGAAAAGTCTTCCTAAGTGTTTAATATGCCAAGAGTGTTTAAGTCAAAATAATATAACATAAATGCCCTTATGAAATAAACCACAGTAGCCCCTGCTCAACCCAGCTCACTCATTTATGTTCCCAGGCAGGTCCCTGAAGGTAACTCAGACAGTCCTGGACCAGATTCTCCAGGATGCAGGGGCTGGCAAGGGCATTCCTAGCTTCTCCGCTCTCGGGTGCTCAGAGTGATCATTCTTTTGTTCTGCTCTGTCTGTTATCTCAGTAAAGGAGAGGAATTAGGGGATTCCCAGCATCTCTGGTCACTTGGTGTGGTGTCAGTTTCCTTCCTCCTGGAAAAGTGGTGTGGGTACTTTTCTTCCACAGCTGGGAGCACCCAGCACTTCCCATGCCACTCTGCCGTCCTCTGGCGCAGTTAAAAGTGCACTTTGGGAGGCCGAGGCTGGCGCATCACCAGATCAGGAGTTCGAGACCAGCCTGACCAACATGGCGAAACCCTGTCTCTACTAAAAATACAAAAATTAGCCGGGCATGGTGGCGGGCACCTGTAATCCCAGCTACTCAGGAGGCTGAGGCAGGAGAATCGCTTGAACCCGGGAGGCGGAAGTTGCAGTGAGCCAAGATCACACCACCGCACTCCAGGCTGGGTGACAAAGCGAGACTCTGTCTCAAAAAAAAAAAAAAAAAAAAAAGTGCCAGCTAGACAGGGCAGGGGTTCTAAGGCAGCCTCCGCAGCTGGGCCAGTTTCCATCATTGGGAAGGTGAGGATGCGGGGGCGGGGGGAAGCTGGGAAGGCCATGATAGTTGGTGGCCAGGCCACTGTGGTTGCTGAGAGCCAGGGCTTCTGACCCATGGGCAGGAAACTGCTCCTAAAAGGTTTTGTAGACTTAAGGGAAAGTAATTAGGTTCTCACAGCTTGTTGGACAGCCATAGGCCAGTGACCTAGAAATTTGCACATCTCAGGCCTGGGCCAGTGGGAGCCTCAGATTATAGAGCCAAGCCTGGGCAGGGTAAGGTTGCTAGCATGCTGCCTACAAGGGGAGGCTGGGGGCTCCATGAGTGTGTGACTGACTCCTCACCTGGCTGTGTGGCCTCGGCTCCCGCGTGTCTACAACAGGGGGGAACTGGACCTGCCTCCTGGGGCTGTAAGGAGATAATTAGTCTTTCTAAACAGCATCGTAATCCCCAGATCAAAGGGGGCTCAGAGCTGCACACTTACTTCACAGGAGCACTGCCAGCCTGAACACCCACTCCAGCGGGTGGGTTCTGTTGTGCAGACCCTCCAAGGTGCCACTTCCTACAGGGTTTGCCTGGCCTTGTCACTGTTCCCCCACCCACTCCCAGGGTCCAGGCTCTGGCCTCCCCTGCCAATGGCTGCCATAGTTGGAGAGTTCATGGGCAGCACTGATAATGGACAGTGGGGAATTACTAATGCCTAACTCATAGATGGGGAAACTGAGGCTGGGGAAGTGAGGTGAAGTCACAGGGCCTCCCACCAGATCTCAGCCCCCTCGCGATCTCCCCCACCAGACGGTGGGTGCACTCAGCATTCCCCTCACTTAGAGGATGGCCGGTCACACGCAAAGATGAGCGAAGGAAAGGTCCCGGGGCTGCTCCCCTGCCCGCCCACTCCTTCTGACCTCTCCCGGTCAGCTGTGGGGACCTCGGCTCTCGGCAAGGCTGTCACAGGGTGTCAGGAGAGGAGAGAGACACAGCAAAGTGGGGTGCCAGGCAGAGGCCAGGGGCTTTCAAAGACCGGGGCTCGAGTTCCGTCACAGCCACCCCTGTGACATCGGCCGTCTTTCTGACCCTCCGTGTCCCCGGGAATGACCGCGTCGGGGATGCACCGAGTGGCGGGGGCCGGGCGCACAACGGGGCGACGCGGCGGCGCTCCCCGGGCACTGGGGCCAGTCTGGGCGCCGCGGCGGGGCGGGGGCGGGGCGGGGGCGGGGCGAGCCTCGGCAGTCGCCAGCCCGGAAGGAGCGGGAGGAGGAGCCGCGGGACTGAGAGCCGTTCCCACGTGAGAGGCTCCGCGGCCGAATTCCTCGCGTGCAGCAGGCGCGGACCGCCCGGCGTCCGGCCGGACTGAGAGCCCTGGTCCGGCGCGCGCCGCCGGCCGGGCGGGAGGCGGGGGCGGGCTCGGCTGCGCCCCGATGCGGCGGCGACCTCCGGGTCTGTGAGCCCGGCGCGCGCCGTCGGAGCCCCTCGCGCAGCCGCTGGTAGCGTCCCCCCGGGCACCCGGCATGCGGGCGGCCGACTCGGGCTCGTGGGAGCGCGTCCGCCAGCTCGCGGCGCAGGGCGAGCCGGCGCCTTCCTGCGGGGCGGGGGCCGGGCCCGCGCGGCCCCCGGGACCCGCAGCCTGCGAGCAGTGCGTGGACGCGGCGGGGCCCGGCGATCGGCCCCGCGCCGGGGTTCCCCGGGTCCGAGCGGATGGCGACTGCAGCCAGCCCGGTAGGTGCGCGCGGGGCGGGGCGGGGCGGGCGGCGCGGACACAGGCCCAGGAGCCGCCGGGGCCGGGCGCGCGAGGGCGCTCGGAGCCGGGATCGGGAAGCCGCTGGTGGCAAAGTTCTCGCAGCGCGCGGAGCCCCGAGCCCCGGGCGGGTGCAGCGGGAGGCGTGCGGGACGCAGAGTGAGTTCCTCGGCGTGGGGACCGGGGCTCGGGGGCTGCACCGGGGGGCCAGGACCGCGCTTGCCGGAGCCAGGCGATCCCGCGGCGCCTGGAGACCCAGCTCCGGGCTGGACCCCGCGTCTGCTGGGGGAAGCGTGGGAAAGGGGCCAGCCCTGCGCGAAGTTGGTTCGGCCCCCTGGGACCGCACCTGTGAGCCATGTGGCGGCCCCCGCGGAGTGCCGAGGGGAGCCCCCTTCACCGCCGCCCCTCCGAGGCGAAATTGATGCCTCGCATTTGCTAGGAGCGGAGAGATTGCTGCGTTTCTCATACACTTGAACTCCGAGTAATGCAGAAAGAGAAATTGCAGAGGTGGAGACACAAACGCAGTGATCTAATTGCGTTTGGTTGGCGAATCCGCCCCAAGTGGAGAACAGCGTTTTACTGTTAAAGTGTTCCCAGCGGGTGTGCCCGTTCCATCCCACTCAGGCCTGCGCTATCTCCCTTCCCCCTGCCCCTTCCCCCCAAGTTAGGGCATGGGGATGGGAGACAGGAACCCCTGCGTCATCTTGACTGGAGTAGGAAGAAACCTTAGAAGACGAAGGGCTTTTCTGAGAAGGGGCTGCCATCACCAGGTCCAAGTTCTGAATACTTTTTCCGGGAAAAACGGGAGGGGGAGGCACAACATAATTATTCCTTATTCATCGAACACCTATTGTGTTCTAGTAATTCACATGCAACACATCCTTAAAATCTTATCACAACCCTGGGAGTGAGGCTGTGTTATCTCCATGCAGATGAGGACAGAAAAGCCCGGAGGTTAAGCGACTTGCCCAAGTTCCCAGAGTCCTAAATCATGGTGTTGGAATTCCCAGTTTTGTCCGTGGAAATCCAAAGTCTTAGCACCATAATACCTCTCCCAGGCAGCAAGCTCACTAGCTGGGGAGCACACGGGCTTATTTTCCTAATAATCATTTCTTTCCTGTAAGAAAAAAGCCAACCACAAGGCCCCCTATTCTTGTTTTTGCCTATGGTAGCCTCCCCAGGAGATGGAATGCCGCCTCTGGGTGTCAGGGCAGAGTAGTCCTCTCTCCTGTGTTGGAGTTTTCCTTTTCCCACCTTCTCCCCAGTTACACACGGCAGAGTCCAAGACGGGTTGAGGTAAAACAGCATCGATGCGAAAAGGAAGCAGATGGGAGAGTTTGGTCAAGTTGCTTCATCTTTTTGAGACTCAATTTACCCATCTGTACAGTGGAAATAATAATAGTACCAACTAAAGATCTGTCATTCCAAAGATGGTGTCTGTAAAACACCTTGCCTCATTCACCATAAATGCTTAATGCATGTTAGTCCTCAGCTCCTTCTGGCATTACATGCTTGCCAGATGACCTGTCAGTGCTCCCACTGACTCAGTTTCCCATTAGATTGTGGCGCTCTCTGCTCCATCTCCACCCTCATGAACTATGTCAAGATGACTTTTGTCTTGTCTGTAAAATACTAAAGTGATCTGAGGCTGAGTGTTGTGTCAGTGGGAGTTGTTTTCATGTAAACATGTACAGGAGATGGCTAGGTGGAGATAGGGCTGTTTACTTTGTGTCTCTATAGACTCCATTTGTGTGTTCATCATAATATCCTAATGACACGGTATAGCCCAGGAATGCCTGTTTCCTAGGTCTAGGGGTGGTTGTTATTCCTGCAGCCCTCATGGTATGTCCGTTTTAAAAGACAGCACATTGGAAAACTCTTTTCCCAGTTTACAGATGACATCACTGGCATGAAACAAGATCAGACCAGCAGCTAAACCAGAAAGTTTTGAGTTTTCTCTACCCTACTGCCCTTCACCCTTTCTGGTCTCTGGTTCTTAAAGACCAAATCGAGTTTCTGAGAACTTCCATGATGGCTAGGCATTGAGGACAGCCTGCCGTGGAAATGGTTCTGAAACCATCGGCTGTTACAAGGGGCTTTCCTCTAGGAGGGCGATGGGAACTCTGGCTCAAAGCTGCAAGCTGAACTTGTTGCTGAAATAAACATTTCAGCCAGGCTGTGCGGTGGCTCTTCCTCGAATCTCAGCACTTGATCCCAAGTCAAATGTGGTGCTCAGTTTAAGGAGCTGAAAGAGGTGCCCTGTTGGATGGGAGAGTCTGTGAATTGGCACTTTCAGAGATGTGGGGAAGGGAAAAGATAGAGGGGGATGCTGGCTTGGTGGGATGGAGGCCCGAACACCTTGAATTGCTCAGGGAGAATGTCCTGAGATCGGCAGGTGATGGCCCTGTGATGGTGACAGCTCTGACCTCCAGGGTGCGTGACCCAGGGACTAGAGCAGGAGGTGCAGACAGTGGATGTTTGCACAATCCGCACCTGCTTCTGCCTCGATTGCGTTTTACTCTGAGATGTTCCACAACTCACTTTCCCTGTTGGCACCAAGGGAATAACTCCTTCTGAAGGACGGATCATTCCAGAGCCCCCTCAGAGTGAACCAGGTGCTCACTGGAGGTTCTTAAACTGGGAACAGGAATCCGGTTCTTTGATCTTTCATTGTCCATTCATTCGGTCACATTTCTTGAGCATCTGCTCCGGGCCAGGCACTGTTGTAGCTGCCAGGGATATGGCAGCAAAGGAGATGACTGCAGCCCTGGTTTCCATGGAGCTTATAGTCTGTGGGAGGAGATTTCCAGTAGGCAAATAGGCACAGGATATGTCCAGAGATGGTGTAAGTGCTATGCAGAAAAATAAAGCCGGGGAGGGGTTAGAATGATGGGAGCAGGTGCTGCTTAGTTTTTAGGTAGGGTGGACAGAGGAGCACGTTCTAGAATGAAGTGAGGTGTGTGGGTGCTGAGTTTCTAAGGCAAGAGGGTGTTGCCGATCAGCTAAAGGAACTAAGCCATTTTTAAAAGGTGGTGGGAAATTAGTATCTTTGTAGACGAGGCACTCTACAGGTCTGTAACTGAAGCATCTGCACTCTAACCCTTTTGCTCCATTTGGCATTTCTCTTAACCCCGAGCTCAGAAAGCCACGTGGCCTTATTCTGCCTCTTCACATCCTCTACCTTTTTAAAATTCTGTATTATTTTATTACGATGATCATTTGGGTTCTTATCACTTCTTGCCCCTCCCCTTTACATGAAACCCGCGGTTGAGGGGACTGGGGCGCTTGTGTGTCTTTGTCTTTGTGTACCGGCTCCCAGCACTGTACCCTTCTGGGGACCAGTTGTGTCGTGAACGAAACAGGATGCCTTGTCTTCATGGGTCCTCCCAGCAACCCAATGGGGAAGTGCAGTTGCTAATCCCATCCACAGATGGGGAAACTGGTCCTTAGAACAGTTCAGTAACTGCCCAAAGCCACACAGCCAGTGGATGTCCCAACCGGGAATTTATCCCAGACCGTAGACCTCAGCAGTATGGAAAGACTTCACGTTGCTCTTAAGAAAGTAGACCCACATTATGGCGGGGCGCAGTGGCTCACACCTGTAATCCCAGCACTTTGGGAGGCCGAGGCGGGCGGATCACGAGGTCAGGAGATCGAGACCATCCTGGCTAACACGGTGAAACCCCGTCTCTACTAAAAATACAAAAATTAGCCGGGCGTGTTGGCGGGCGCCTGTAGTCCCAGCTACTTGGGAGGCTGAGGCAGGAGAGTGTCATGAACCTGGGAGGCGGAGCTTGCAGTGAACCGAGATCGTGCCACTGCACTCCAGCCTGGGCGACAGAGCGAGACTCAGTCTCAAAAAAAAAACAAAAAAAAAGAAAGTAGACCCACATTGTTTCTGGTCTCTTTTTCCTTTAAATTTTTATCCTTAAAAAAAAAGTTTGTCCTCTCCTTGACATTCCTTGTTTTAAGCAACGCAAGCATTTGCTTATCTTCCTGCTGTTAGCAATTTCAGTGGGAGGTCTGCTCTCTGTGAGCCGTTCTGAGAAGAACTTGTGCTGGGACTGGATGAGATGCAATCTCCACTGCTTGGAATTAAGAATGGTTTTACGAAGCTGCCCACTAGGACCCATTGGTGGGTTTCGTGTGAGCATACTTCTGCTAGCAGGGCGAGGGCAGGATGGAGGCAATGGAGGGCTTGGTTCTTCTGGACAATCAGGGTGAAAGCCACTGCTGAGATCCATTTCCCTGAGGAGTCTCAACCTGTGGTCCGGCACCCTCTGCCCTCCACCCTGTGTTGTGGTCCAGTGTGATGGACTGAACTTTATCCTTCTGCCAAGGCTGGTGGCACGCCATAGTGGGTACAGGGCACCAGTTTTGGAATCAAACACACACTGATTTGAATTTGTCAGCTCTGCTCCTTACTAGCTATATGCCCCTAAGCAAGTTATTTAATGTCCCAAGCCTCAGTTTACCCTTCTGTAAAATGGAAATTGTATTACCCACCTCAGAGTTGTTGGAAATTGGACAGGAATCTGTGTGATTAGCATCCTTTCCCCCTGTGGGGCCTGATGCTACCCATGCCATAAGGAAGGAGGGGGAATTCCTATTCCTCTAGACTCCAAAGGACTTGATGTATATGTGTTTAAAATATATATAATACATTTTCTTTTATTTTTGAAGTTTGAAATATTGGGATTTACTCAAACAGGTGACTCCAAAGGGCTGCTAGCTGCTTATTTGGCTTTCTGAGTCATCACGAAATCTCCATAATGGGCACCAAGCACCATTTATGTTCTTTGTAATACTCCAGTTGAGTGAACTGGACAATTTGCCAGGACCCTCCAGCCATTCTGGAGGAAGAAGAGTTTGTTCATTTTTTAAATCATCTCAAGAGGAAAATAGCACCCCTGGCTCTGGGGTTAGCCTCCCTCATCTGTAACACAGCAAGCTGACAAAAATGGAACGTCAGCACATTTGCATGTAGACAGATTTTAGTCCCAGCAGATAAGCACACCCAACATGTCATTAAACCCGGCCGAAGCCATCGCCCTGGGGATCCCGTGTTTGCTGTGAGTCACTAAGGGCTGTAAACACTCCAGAGAGACAGGCATGGTTATAAGGGGTGTGCGGGCGTGGAGTTATTTTAATGGATTTACTCTCCGTGAGTGCGTCTTATGTTGCGGGTGCCAGATGAGTGCCTTTCAAGGGAGAGGGAAGGTCAGGCTTGCCTCCTGTTCACAAGGACAACCTCTGTCTCCCTTGTGGCGGCTTCTATGAAGGTGGGGACTCCAGGCTTTCTCTCGTCTGCTTTTTGGATGCCTTCAAGAGAGGCCAGTTAGAGGATATCAATTGTGGCAATTCCCCAGAGCCCTCATCAGATGGCATTAGCCCGTCATGTGCTGCAGTGGCACCCAGTTTGGAGGAAATTCGGAACCAGAAGAGTGTGACAGGTACGTGAGTGCTGGCCGCTGTCCCAGCCCTGAACTGGCTGACACTGAGTCTGGCCTAAGCAGCGGGGAGCTGGTGGGCTCTGGGTGGGGCCCGTCCTCAGTCTACGTGCTGGACACTGGGGACTGTTTTGGGAAACACCCTCCACCTGGCACCAGGTGGGTAATCTGCCGGTGCCCGTGGTCTCGTCTTTTGTTGCTTCTTGGATTCGGAGGCTGGCTCAGGCTCCCAGCTAGTTTGGGCTGTAACTTTATCACAGGCATTCACTGTGTTCACTACCTTTTAATTGTACAGAAGTTTCAGAAAAGCTCTCCTGGGGAATTGGAGAGAAGTAAAAACAACAGCTGCTATTTCCCGGATGCTTTATTCCCTCCCCTCACAGCACAGCCTCAGCAGCATGTTCCTGACTTTGAAGTTCTATGTGCCCAGGCTGGGAAGAATGTGGATTTTCGCTCAGTCGGGTCCCATTAGTGTGGAAGGATCATTGACTGAGGGCCGAGCAGGAACCAAGCACCTTGTTACATGTGTTCCTTTTGATCCCCCTCTTCCTGTCAGGCAGCTGCCATTCTCCCCATCTTACGGGTGAGACCACTGAAGCTTGGGAGAGGTTACACCGGCTGTGGAAAGTAGCTGTTCCAGGCTGCCATGCTGCCCTCCTGGGACCCTTCCTCCTGCAGTTTCCTTGTCAGCTGACGATTCCCCGGGCTACCAGGCCACAGAGCGGAGGCTGAGCTGCCGAGAGTCACAGGACTTTTCTTCCTGGCACCTTCGGCTCACTGGCTTGCCAATCAGCCAGAGCCAGTTGGGAGGGGGGAACCCTGGGGGCCCAGAGTGGCCCCCGATCTCTGTCAACAGGAGACTCTGCCCCTGCCCCTTCACCCCAGCCCGAAGCCAGAGGCAAGCTGGCTCCTGACGGGAGACTCCCCCGCCACAACCATTTGGAAATCTAGAATGCAGAGCCCTGAGAGGGAAACCTCTGCAGGGATGGGGTGAACCCGTTTCCTCTACTAGGTGAGGAAACTGAGGCCCGAGGCTGGGAAGGGACCATACTCCAGGGTGTCACACAGGGAGGCTTCCAGGGCCAGATATGAAACCTTAGAAAAGGTATGGGAGGCTGGGCTCGATGGCTCACACCTGTAGTCCCAGCACTTTGGGTGGCCGAAGCAGGCGGAGCACTTGAGGTCAGGAGTTCAGGACCAGCCTGGGCAACATGGTGAAACCCCATCTCTACTAAAAAAAAAAAATACAAAAATGAGCCCAGCATGGTGGCGCATGCCTGTAGTCCCAGCTACTCGGAAGGCTGAGGAAGGAAAATTGATTGAATCCAGGAGAAGAGGCAGAGGTTATAGTGAGCTAAGATCATGCCACTGCACTCCATCCTGGGCAACAGAGCAAGACTCTGTCTTTAAAAAAAAAGAGAGAAGTCATGGGAATGTCTTGGCAGCACTGGAAATTTTCACCCTTTACCATCTTCCCAGCCCTCTCTGACCCATTCAAGGAGGGTCTCAGACTTCAGGGATTGCAGCGGTCTGGGGTGCTTGCTAAGGTATAGATTCTCAGGCTCCCCTCCTCCCCCGCCAGGAATCTGGATTTGTATCAAGTACCCTGCGTAATTTTGGCATTCCACAGATCAGACATTGAGAACCTCTGCCCTTTGCTTTCCTGGGATTGGGTTAATTTTTTTAGAGTAAGAAACCCAGGAGGGCACATACTCTGGTTTACACTGTGTTGCCCAGGCTGGAGCACAGGGACGATTCACAGGCACGATCAGGGCACGCTAGCACCTTTTCACTCCCACCAGTGGCCCAAAGTACACAGTCAGGTAGATGGACATCTAAGTTAAATCTCGCTTTTTTTCCTCTTTATGCCAACCCCTGTCCGGGCACGCGTGTTCCCAGAATCTACTAGAAAGAGGCACGTGCCTTTCTCAGTCTTGTGAACTCACAAGACTGCCGTGCAGTGAGAGAACACATGGAGGCTTTGGTGGTAGCTGTTTGGATACCCTGCTCCCGGCTCCAGGCTGCCCACCAGCACCCCGTGTTTCCCGTTCACCCTGAATTCCTGGCTCCTTGAGCCCCGCAGAGGAGCCAAGGCGCTGGGCAGGGTGCTAAGGAGACAGAGGAGACCAAACTCTTGTCCTGTGATTCACCTCTGGGCCGCCTGTGGGGCCTGTTCGTCCATGCTCCCCACTATGGCTCCCCACCCTCCCCGCCCCGTCCCCTGCCCCGGGTCCCTTTCATTGTCGGGCGTGATGCCGTTCAGGTGGTCAGACATCCAGCTGGGTGCTTGTCTGTGCTTCCTCTGGCATCTCTACCTGTGTCAGCCAGACAGTGGAGAGCCACGTGGGGGAGTTTCTATTTACTCTCTACCCTTTGGGGAGGGAAGCCAAGGGGCCTGGGAGGTTTCGAGGAGAGCCTGCGTGGGGCCCTCCCCTGCATGGTAGCCCCTGGGCTTAAATGCAGCTAGTACGACTGAAGAACTGAGCTTTAAATTGTACTTAATTGTAAAAGGCCCCATGTGGCTAGAGGCTCCCATGTTGGAGCTGGCCCTGAATCAGGGCATGAGGCTCATGAGTGTTTCCAAGGCCCGTCTTAGCTTGGGAAGCCTGAGATGTGTGTTTTTCCACCGACAAGATGTGTGTTTTCCACCCACAAGGAGCTGAGCCCTGACATCGGTGGGCTCAAATGCAGAGTCCCACCCCAGAAACTGACTCCAGGGTGGAGTTCAGAACCCTGCACTTTTTTTTTTTAATTGAATTTTTTGTATTATGGTAAAATGTATGTAACATAAAATTGACCATTTTAACCATTGTTCGATATTCAATTTAGTGGCATTAAGCGCATTTACA
Source organism: Homo sapiens (assembly GCF_000001405.40). Taxonomy (NCBI): domain Eukaryota; kingdom Metazoa; phylum Chordata; class Mammalia; order Primates; family Hominidae; genus Homo; species Homo sapiens. Next base: position 14,932,891 of record NC_000001.11, read on the forward strand.
GTGTTGAAGGGCCATCACCACAATCCATTTCCAAAATTTCTTCATCACCCCAAACAGAAACCATGGCCCATTAAACACTAACTCTCCATCCCTCTCCCCAGCCCCTGCCAACCACCATTCCAGTTTCTGTCTGTATGTGTTGGCCTGTTCCAGGTACCTCATCTAAGTAGGATCACACCGTAGTTGCAGGGTTCTGCACTATTTATTTCTTTATTTATGAGATGGAGTTTCGCCCTTGTTGCCCAAGCTGGAGTCCAATGGCACAATCTTGGCTCACCGCAACCTCTGCCTCCTGGGTTCAAGCGATTCTCCTGCCTCAGCCTCCCAAGTAGCTGAGATTACACACATGTGCCACCACACCTGGCTAATTTTTTGGATTTTTAGTAGAGACAGGGTTTCACCATGTTAGCCAGGCTGCTCTCGAACTCCTGACCTCAGGTGAGCCGCCTGCCTCGGCCTCCCAAAGTGCTGGGATTACAAGTGTGACCCACCATGCCCGGCCAGGTTCTGCAGTTTTAACATACAGTCCATTCCTGCCCCACCGCTGATGGTCCTGGAACCACATCTGGAAGTACCTTGTCTTAAGTGTTTTATCCCCAACATGTCTCACACTTCCCTTAGCCCTTTAAACAGGGCTCCCTCACAGGTGCACTGGGAAGGTTTGGGGAAGATGTAAATCCAGGTATCTTTTTCCAATAATTAAAATCAGCACCTTGATATGTCTCTGGCATTGTGATGTACATTTTAATTCTTATTTTAGAGACAAGGTTTCACTGTGTTACCCAGGCTGGTGTGCAAGGGCTGTTCACAGGCATGATCATTGCATACTACAGCCTTGAACTCCTGGTTTCAAGCCATCCTCCTGCCTCAGCCTCCCAAGTAGCTAGGACTACAGGCATGTGCCACCACACCCAGCAGCATCACTTTTGTCTGTTTGTGTGGGATGTAGCTTTTTTTTCTTTTTTTTTTTTTTATGAGACGGAGTCTTGCTGTGTCACCCAGGCTGGAGTGCAGTGATGTGATCTCGGCTCACTGCAAGCTCCGCCTCCCGGGTTCACGCCATTCTCCTGCCTCCGCCTCCCGAGTAGCTGGTTAGCTAGGACTACAGGCGCCCGCCACTACGCCTGGCTATTTTTTTGTATTTTTAGTAGAGACGGGGTTTCACCGTGTTATCCAGGATGGTCTCGATCTCCTGACCTTGTGATCCGCCCGCCTCGGCCTCCCAAAGTGCTGGGATTACAGGCGTGAGCCACCACGCCCAGCCAGGATGTACCTTTTTAAAAAGAGAAATGATTGGGGTTTTTGTCAGTTTTCTTTTCTTTTTTTTTTTTTCTTTGAGATGGAGTCTCGCTCTGTCACCAAGGCTGGAGTGCAGTGGTGCGTCTTGGCTCACTGCAACCTCCGCCTCCCAGGTTCAAACAATTCTCTGCTTCAGCCTCCCGAGTAGCTGGGATTACAGGCGCCTGCCACCACGCCCGGCTAATTTTTGTATTTTTAGTAGAGACGGGGTTTCACCATCTTGGCCAGACTGGTCTTGAACTCCTGACCTTGTGATCCACCTGCCTTTGCCTCCCAAAGTGCTGGGATTACAGGCGTGAGCCACTGCGCCCGGCCCTCCTTTTTCATAGCATATTTGTGACTGCTAAGCCCCAGGACCACTCCTTGCCCTGGGGTTTTGAACAGAAGGGCACCTGCTGCTTAGACGCTGTAGTGTAGGGAGACAACCTTTCCTTCAGTATGAGACAGATTTTCTGTTCAGCAACGGGACAGGCTGCCCTGGGAGGCAGTGGGTTCCCCAGCACTGGAGGCATCAGGCAGGGACTGGGTGTGCCCCATCAGGGTACCAGAGTGGTCATTTGGGGGCTGATGCTGGCCAGTATCCATCTAAATACTCAATTGCCCATCCTGGCCTCCAGTCGCCCCCTCCATCTCTCCTTTCAGAGAAGGGTGGGGAGGTTGGGCCAGCCAGGTCTGTGGCCCTGCAGCCACCTTCACACCATGAGCGTTCCCTGCTGCCCAACAGCTTCAAACATCCCAGGCTGAGGGTCATCGCTGATCTGGGGTAGCCCTTCTTCTAGCGCCGGGGGCCTCTGTGGCATTCCCGTAAACCTCCCTGGCTGGGGAGGAGTTGCTGGACTTGCATTTCCACAGTGCCAGCCCTCAGCCTTCCTGTGCTCCTTCCAGGCCCTCCTGGGTGCACCAGCGGCTGACCAAGGGGCAAACCTGCATCCCTGGTTTTCCCTCTGCAGGGACAGAGGCTACCCCTTGGGTTCTGGAGCAGTCACGGATGCCTCCCCTGCCAGTCTGGCCTGACTTCTCCCTCCCACCAGGGTACAGTGGTTCTTTCTTTTTTCTTTCTTTCTTTTTGAGACAGAGTTTCACTCTTGTTGACAAGGCTGGAGTGCGGTGGCGCAATCTTGGCTCTCTGCAACCTCTGCCTCCTGGGTTCAAGAAATTCTCCTGTCTTCCTAGCATCAGGGGCCCTACTGTGTCCTTTGTGCCTTTGCCCCCAACCCCCAGCCCCATCCCCCAGAACCGCTTGAGCTGGACCATCGATTCTCAAGGTGTGCCGCCAGGACCAGCAACATCAGCAGTGCCCGAGAACATATTAGAAATGCAAATTCTCTGTCCACTCCGGACCTACAGAATCAGAAACTGGGGGTGGGCCCAGTCTGGGTGTTAACAAGCCCTGCAAGGCGATGCTGATGTAACTATAGTCTGAAAGCAGCCACTGAGCAAGGTGGCTCTAGAAAGCTTTTTCCACTTCTATTTTTCCTCTCTCCCTCCCTCTCCCCTCTCCCTTCCCCTTCTCCCTGTACCCTGGCCTGTTCCCTGCCCAGCTGCCAAGGGCTGGTTGGCCCTTCTATGCCTAGGGGCTACTGGATGTGTCACTAGATGGTCTGTCTGCCTTTCACAAGGGCCTTCAGAGATCCTGGCCTTACCCATGGGACAGCCCTAATGGTGATGTTGGTGGGGCAAGCGGAGCTGCAGCCTATAGCACCCCCGCCCCATCTTCTCTCCCAACATCCCAGGTGGTGGCCGCCTGCTCCCCAGTGCCAGAATTTTAGAAGAGCAGAGGGCCAGATGGGCCCATTTCCCTGGAGCCTCCAAGCCCCCCTGCCCTTGGGGACGCCTGGACGACATCCGCCCATCCCACAGCTGTGCTCAGCAGACATTGCTTTTCCATGTCATGTCTCTCCAGTGTGTGGAAAGGCAGGGGAGGTGACGGGCAGAACATCAACCCTGGCTTTGCAGATTACCTGCTGTGGGACCTTGTACAGTTCACTCACCCTCTGGACCTGTGTCCCTGTTTGGTGAAATGAAATCATAGTGTCAGCCTGGCCTAGCTCACGGATCTGTGGTTGCTTTACGAGAGCCCGTGGATTTGGAAGTGCTTCACTCACTCTGAGGCACATTAGAGATGCGGTTGGTACCATCAGATGCAGTTGGTATCATCGGTTGGTAGCTGTAGGATGCTGGTGAAGACAGACCTGTACCTGGGGCGACCAAATTGTCCTGTTTTTCTCAGGACTTTCTTGGTTCTAGCACTGGACATCCCGCACCATGGGATATGCCTTGGTCTCAGGCAAACCGGGCTGGTTGATCACTGGGTGCCCTGCTCCACTGTGCCAGCCATACTCGGCTACTTTTGCCATATAGAAAGGGATCCCTCCACCCTCCCAGCAGTTAAGGCCTCACCTACCTGCTCCGCCCCCTTTTAGATTCCCTGATCACTTTGATCCTTCCTCATCCCATAAGTACTTACCAGGCCCCCACTGGGCGCCTGGAACTGACAGCTGAGCAGGACGAACCCTACTTTCATGGCACTTATATTCTGGAAGAGGGTTTTTTTCTGCCTAAAACTCCTGACTGAAACCAGAAAGGAAAGATACCCTCCCTCACCCTGTCCCCAGATGCGACAAGCCTCCTTGTTCATCCACATGGCGGGCATCCAGCACCTGCTCTGTTCTCGGTTTTGTGTGAGGCTCCATAAACGTGACAGTCCCCCTTCTGTCTCCAGTGGAGAGGAGCTCAGGGCCTGTCTGTCCCATGAACCACCCTGGCTCATTCCTACCCTTCACCTTGCTAGTTCTTGCCTCTGTTATCTTCCCACCCCGAACTAAGTCCACATCCCTCCCCATCCTGGGCCCCCAACCTTTCTGTGAGCCTTTCTTGCTCATTGCAGCCCCTCTGGGCATAATTCTTGCAGTGTGCAGCCCCTCTGGGCATAATTCTTGCAGTGCCATCTGCAAGTGTCACCCAGAGGACAGCGTGGCAGAGAGTGGCGCTGCAGAAGGTGAAGATGGCTCCTCAGCAAGCCTGTGTCTATGCCCCTTGCTAGGTGTTATAGGACCAGAGGAGAGCCTTCATCATAGACCCTGCTAGTTAATTACTTGCAGGTTTTCTTAGAGCACCTACTTGGGGCCAGCTCCCTTTCTAGTTCCCTGCAGAGGAGCTCAGTTTTCTCTTTTACGAGTTGTTTGTACTTTCCTGCCTTTCCCTTCCCCCTCCATCTTCAAGGACTAGCAAATCAGTTGCCACCTCTTAGGTTCTGTCCACAGTCTCCTGGCCGTAATAATCACGTCCCCTCCGCCTCTCTCCCTGCCATCCTTCTTTGATCACACAAGTCCCAGGTCAGCTTGTAGGAGGACCCCTGGATCTATCAGCCTCCTGAGTATGGGGCCTGGGTGGGGTTGACTGAACACCTTCTCCTTCCCACCCCAGTGTGCCTGCTCCCTCAAGGGGCTGCATAAGCACTTGCTGTCACGTCCCCTTCGCCAGTTTCCTGGCACATCCCTGATAGAGCTGAGCACGCTGAGGTCAGCAACAGCAGCTGGTGTTTTGGGTGCTCCAGACGGCATCTGGCTCCTCTCAGTCTTCCCAGTGGGAGTCTGATCTTCCAGCCTGTGCCTGGAGCGTGGCCATCTCCCTGAAAGGCGCTGATTGCTCTCCTTTAGAGGTGACTTGAATCCATACCCAGCAGGCAGGCCGATGCTACCTTCTCACAGCAGAGCAGGCATGCATGGCCCAGGAAGGTAGGAATTTAGCAACAGGGCACCTTTGCCTTACTCTGTGCTTGGTGGTATTTAGGGCGTTTTAGCCTTCCTTGTGTAGAACAGGCTCCCCTCACTGAGCTAGGACAGGTACACAGACACAGGGCTCTGAGTGTGGGGACGTTGGAGTCTATGTACCAAGTGCTTAGGGTCATAGAGCCCCACTGCCTGGGTGCAAATTGTTCCAACAGTGGGGACCCTGAGCAAGTTCCTTAACCCCTCTGAGCCTCAATATCTTCATCTGTAAATTGGGGTGCTAGCCCTATCTAGTAGGGGTTTTGTGGAGATTAAGATCATTTGTATTGGTTCAAAATGGGCCGGATGCGGTGGCTCACGCCTGTAATCCCAACACTTTGGGAGGCCAAGGCAGGCGGATCACCTGAGGTCAGGAGTTCGAGACCAGCCTGGCCAAAATGGCAAAACCGCATCTCTACCAAAAATACAAAAATTAGCCAGGCGTGGTGGTGGACACCTGTAATCCTAGCTACTTGGGAGGCTGAGGCAGGAGGATCACTGGAACCCGGGAGACAGAGGTTGCAGTGAACCAAGATCGCACCACTGCACTCCAGCCTGGGCAACAAGAGGGAAACTCCATCTCAAAAAAAAAAAAAAAAAGGGTGCTGGAGTGATATAAGACTCACCAGAGAGATGGCCAAGTCAGACAAGTCCAGAGTCCAATACTCAATAGGACGTCAAGCACTGGGGCAGGATTTGGACTTCCTGGGGAGAAATTTTTGCAGTTAGCATCTGCCCGGGCTTTGCTCTCCCACTTAGAAGGGGATATCTGGCGACAGTTGGTCAGAATCTCATGCATTATGAGAAGACCACACTGGAGACTCTCGGGCAAGCTGCTTAATCTCTTTGAGCCTCAGTTTCCACCTCTTGTAAAATGAGAATGATGGCACCCATCCTACAGTAGGAACTTGCCAAATAGAGCTGCTGCTTTATCAATAAACCATCTTAGATACTGTGTGCAATACAATGGATTGCAGATAATGATGTTTATTTATTTATTCATTTTTTGTTTGATTTTGTTTTTGTTTTTTGAGATGGAGTCTCACTCAGTTGCCCAGGCTGGAGAGCAATGGCATGACCTTGGTTCACTGCAACCACCACCTCCTGGGTTCAAGCTATTCTCCTGCCTCAGCCTCCTGAGTAGCTGGGATCACAGGCACCCACCACCACACCAGGCTAATTTTTATACTTTTAGTAGGGACAGGGTTTCACCATGGGGCCAGGCTGGTCTTGAACACCTGACCTCAGGTGATCAACCCACCTCGGCCTCCCAAAGTGCTGGGATTACAGGTGTGAGCCACCGTGCCTGGCCTGTTTATTCATTTTAGACACAGGGTCTTGCTCTTGCCTCCCAGGCTGGAGTGCCATGGCAGGATCATTGCTCGCTTCAGCCTCAAACTCCTGGGCTCAAGTCATCCTCCCACCTCAGCCTCCCGAGTAGCTAGGACTACAGGCACACACCACCATGCCTGGCTAATTTTTAAAACATTTTGTTTGTAGAGACAGGGTCTCACTTGTTGCCCAGGCTGGTCTCGAACTCCTGGTCTCAAGTGATCCTCCCACCTCAGCCTACCAAAGTGCTGGGATTACAGGTGTGAGCCTCTCGCCTGGCCAGTGATGTTTATTAAGCATGAGGTCCGCATTGGCAGTGGGAGGTGCCTCTGCATTGGGACGTGCCTCTTGCATAGGGTGGAGTGTGTGTACTTGAGGGTGTGCATTCTCGGGCACTCGCCTCTGCCTGTTGGGATATTGAGAGCCGTGACAGTGACTGAGCTTTGAGCTTTGTTGTCCACGGCACAGGCTCAGGGTCCAGGCACTGTGCTGAGCAGTGATAACAGGAGGTCCCTGCCAGGCTGGACAGAGAGACCCTGAGCTCCTCCTCTGGAGGCAGAAGGGAGACTATCACATGAACCCCAGTCACAGGGGGCCTGGGTTGACCTAGGGAAGTCCTCAGGCTCAGCCTCAGGAGTGCCAGGTTCCAAAGGCAGTGGCAGAGCCTTCACCTAGCCTGATCATCCCACCCAGGGAGGGGTCTGCCTCCCTCTGTACCCCTGAAGCGCTTAAATGCCTGGGAGGCAGGCATTGATTGGTCCCTGCCTAACCAGTGGTTTGGCAGGCCATGGATCAGGTGACCATCTTGGTTCAGTCAGCTGCCTCTGTAAGAGTGGGCGGGGTACTTGGTATAGAGAGCTGCTTCCTTCCAGGGCCTGTGGGAAAGTAGCTGTGGTGGGAGGAATTTAGGGCAAGGAAGACAGATTGACTCATAATGTCCAGTGCAGTTGTTCCCCTTGAGTTTGAATACCTTCAGGGATTGGAAACTCACTTCCTCTCCAGGCAACCCCTACAATTTTTGATTCGTTTTAAGCATTCACTCACTTTTATATTGAGCCAAAAATTGATCTCACAGTAGCATCCACCCATTGGCCTGTGCCCTACACTTGAGGATCTTACACACTGAGTCTGTTTCCTTGACATGATGACCCCTCTGTTGTAAGAAGACAGCCACCATGGCACGGGGGCCAGCTTCGTTTCTCCAGGCATTTTTCCTCCCAGCCAGGGCAGAGTAGAATGGGTTGGGTGGTTGGGAGCACAGGGCTTCTTGCCTTGATCCTCCCAGCTTAACCAACCTTAGAGCTCTCGTCCCCTACTGGGAGCTCTTTGTGAGGGTGGAGGAAGAGCTGCTGGAGCCTGTACCTTCTCTTGCACGTCCTAAGGAAGAATGTTCCCCGGGCTGAGCTGTGTGTTCCTGGCTCTCTTGATGTTTGTTTAAGAGGACATAGCAGGAACTCAAAGCCATCAGGCAGCCCCTCTGGAAGCAGGCAGGAAGAGGGGCAGGTGGAAATGACTGCGGAGTGCTATCAGGGTGGATGTGGCTAGCCCAGTAGCCTGGGCCTGGCCAGGCAGGTGGAAATGACCAGACAGATGTCATTCTACCTTTCTTTTTTTTTTTTTTTTTTTTTTTTTTTTTTTCTGAGAGACGCAGCCTTGCCCTGTCGACCAGGCTGGAGTGCAGTGGTGCAATCTCGGCTCACTGTAACCCCTGCCTCCCGGGTTCAAGTGATTCTCCTGCCTCGGCTTCCCAAGTAGCTGGGACTACAGGCGAGCGCCGCCACACCCAGCTAAATTTTTGTATCTTTTAGTGGAGATGGGGTTTCACTATATGTTGGCCAGGCTGGTCTCAAACTCCTGACTTCAGGTGATCTACCTGCCTCGGCCTCCCAAAGTCTGGGATTACAGGCGTGAGCCACCACGCCCGTCTTCATTCACCTTTTCTGTAGCCTGCCCTGCATCCCCACCCCAGTGCCATCAGGTCAAAAGGGACCCAAAGGCATGCAGTGGCAAGTTCACATATTCCTTTTGGGGTCCATGAGTGGCGTCCAAGGCCAAATAAACAGTATACTCACCTCTTGGCAAGAGGGTCCTGAGAACATGGGCACTCAGCCGAGAGATTACAAAAAAGAGGAGGGCAAAGATGGAACAATACATTAACTGCCGACCATTGGAAAAAGGAGGTTGAATTTCTCTGCCTGGGAATTTGTAACCTGAATCAGCAGCCTATCTTCTAGGCCAGGGCAGCCTGGGTTGGGGGGTGGGATGGGGGTGTGGGGTGGGGAGGTTCCGGTTTTTTTTACCCTGCTTCCCCAGAATTAGCTTTCTGCAGGTGTACATGCAGAGAAGATGCGAATTTCGAAGATGTATAGCTTTCTCCAGAGATCAGGAGCAGGGAAGATTTCCTGGGCACTGGAGTTATCCTGAGTTAATTTTCATGAATGCCGAAAGCTGAAAACGCTTTGGTTCTGCCCATGGTCTTTGCTGAAATCCATGCTGTCTGTTCACCAAAGAAGGACCAGAGAGCTGCTGTCCTCTTGTCTGGCTTCCTGGGTTTGGGCTTCATTGTCCCAGGCATCAGGATGAGAGAATAACTAGAACCCGGCATTGGTCTTTTGTTGGATTTCTGGGATATCTGCAGCTATGGGCCGTCTACCGCTGGAGGTGGGGTGACCTCATGGCTTGGTTGGTGGTCAGCCTACAATTCCAGAGAGACGTGGCAATGAGCCCACTATACAGGGCTTGTTCGTGTCCCAAGTCGTGTTACAATGCAAACACCTGCTCCTGATTAGGACTTTTATTTCTTCAATTGGTTTATTTTCTGCAGCTTCACCCAAGCGTGGAGGCAGTGTTGAAGCATCACAAGCTGCGGTGTTTATGTGGCTTGTTTTGCTTTACACCTCCCACCCCTGCCAGCCCTGTACGCCCAGGGTGCACATATTTGTCCCCTGTCCTCCTCAAGCAGCCACAAGTGATCATGGCATTATTGCAGATGTGTCGGGAAAGAGGAAACGTCCCCAGACGTTCCAGGGATATATATGGTTTGAGGTTTGTGGAGTGCGGAGAGGAAAAAGGAAAGATCTAGTAGAAGTTCAGCTCAAGAGAGTAGGGCAGGAGAAGGCTGACTTAGAGAATAAAACATGTAGATGAAAGAAACGCTTCCGACCCGCTCCAAACGTTAACACGCAGTGTTTCTGCACAACCTTCTGTTCTTTATTCAAGCTGCGCACTTTGATCCTACAGCAGCCGAACCTAGAACCTACTCTTCTCTAGTCAGTATCATTTTCTCCTGGGAGATGAGGGGTAGAGGGTGGCTTTAAGGAAAAACATGTTTTGGCATGAAAGCACCTCTGGCCAGGAGACTGTAGTCCTAGGGGGTCTTTGGCTTGATGGAAGGACGCTTTTGCCCCTGGGCTTGTGCCTTGGGCTAGCTTTAGCTCAATGGGCACTTCTTGGGCTTAGAGCACAGGTCAGGGCTGCACCAGATGCTGCAGCTTATAATACCTGGCCAGAAGGGTGTCTAGGAGGACCTGGAAGGATGCTTCTCTGTACAAGAGATTTCCTTGTCTGGGTTAGCAGGGCCGTCTGTAATCCTCTAAGAAAGGCAGGCCTGGAGCTGGTCACCACTGGTGAAAATTCGGCATCGCCCTTCTGTCTTCCTGCTTGTTGTGGTCTTGTGTTATGTTGAACTGGATGTGAGCTGCGTGTGTGTGTGTGTGGTGTGTGTGTGTGTGTGTGTGTGTGTGTGTGTGTGTGTGTGTGTTGGGGAGGAGAGCCTTGGGTTTTTTTTTTTTTTTAATTTACATTTTTCGAATAGTTTTCTCCTCTGCTCTCCTTAGAGGCGGCATGCAGAGTGGAAACAGCGTTTGACCTTTGTGAATTGTGGGCAGAGCTAGCCAGACAGACGGGGAAACATTTGGTGGGAAGTCAGAGGCCACTCAGAGCAAGAATTAAAGTTCCGTCTCTACCTTTTTCAGTCCAGAAACCAGAGAAAGCCAGAGGGGACAGCAGCAGAATAGTGCCCAAGCCTCCAGATTAGGATTGCAGGATCACTTCCTCAGCAGTCACCCCCCGCCAGCTGCTGGAGAGCCTACTCCGGAGACCTCTCAGCAAAGAATGTTCTACCTGAGGATTTACATCAGAGATTCCAGAAGTCTCTGGGGACCCAGGACAATGCTTCCTGGCAAGGGCTGGTCTCACAACGAGAAGGCAGTGTGGTTCTTGAGGGAGGAGCAGGAGGGAAAATAATAACCAAAATGTATGTAGTACTTGCCGTGTGCCCAGCAATGTTCTTTTATGGTATAGACCCCCAATTAATCCCTACAGCAATCACTCCCATTTTACAGATGAGAGAACTGAGTCACGGAGAGGTGAGGTGACCTGCTCAAGATCACTTGGTTAGTAAGTGGCTGGGATGCCTTGCTTGGAGATGTGTTTCTAGCTGCTTAGACGGCATCGCCTCTCAGGCGAGGTGCTCAGTGAGTGTCAAAACCAAAAGTTGAGCCGGGCACAGTGGCTCACGCCTGTAATCCCACCACTTTGGGAGGCTGAGGCGGGCGGATCACCTGAGGTCAGGAGTTTGAGACCAGCCTGACCAACATGGTGAAACCCTGTCTCTACTAAAAATACAAACTAATTAGCCGGGCGTGGTGGCGCATGCCTGTAATCCCAGCTACTTGGGAGACTGAGGCAGGAGAATCGCTTGAACCCGGGAGGCGGAGGTTGTACTGAGCTGAGATCTCACTACTGCACTCCAGCCTGGGTGACAGAAAGAGACTCTGTCTCAAAAAAAAACAAAAACAAAAAAACACACACTGGATATGCAGCTTCTATGTCAGGGTCGAGTTTTCTTGTGGGGGAAGAAATTCTGTCTTCAGACATAAAGGTAACTCGGGGACTTGAGTTTGTCTGCCTCTTCCCGCTCCCAGCTCCCCCTCCTAAAAAAAAAAAAAAAAAAGCAACTCACATTTTTCTGTGCCTTAATTATATGTTTGGTTCACAGACTAAACTGCTGAAACTCTGTAAGTGAAGTAAGGGTGTTTTTCTAATCAGCTGTGTTCATTTCTAGTCCTGAAAGGTTGTGGCCTGATGCCGGGGAGACACAGCTGTGGGGGCCCCCGTTGGTGTCCTACTTGGTTTCAGAAGCCATGCCTGCCACGGCCCCTGGAGATGGGATGGACCATTCTGGAATTGCAGGTCTCTCTCGCCTTCGAATAGGCAGGGGTCCTAGGGGGACACGAATGAACTGCCCCAGAGAGGCGGTCTCCAGTGTGGACTGCCTGGTGTCTGTGCATGGGAGATGGGCCAGGGGCAAGGGGCAGGTGGGGAACTGGGCTTGGGCCTCCCCATACCCCAGACTCCTATGTGACCCAGCTGAGTCATGGTGCTGTTCCCGGGGCCTTGGGGTTGGCTGGCCTTTATTTAGGACAATAAAACCCACCATTGTAATCTTCCCAGGCAGCTGGGATGATAAACAGAGAAGTGAGCACTTGGAAGGAGGGAAAAGTGCTTTATTCAGCACTTTGTCAATATCAGCAATATCAGCCCGCAGCAAGGCCTTCTGCGGATGGCGGCACCATCCTGTTCTGGGCAGGGCAGGAGGCCTCTTGCCCGCCTGCCAGCTGATCTGCATTCTGGGCTTCCTTCCGAGTTACATTCGTTGGGTTTTGGGGTCGCAGTGGCCCTGCCACACATTCAGAACAGCATCCTGGGACAAAGTACCGCAGGGGACAGCACCAGGCTGCACGGAGGCTCATGGCCCACAGCTCCCTAGCTTTCTGTTCTTGGGCAGGCTCCTTATCCCTTTTGCCTTAGTTTCCCCATCTGTCAAGTAGGACTGAAACTACCCCTGAGGTCTCTGGGAGGTTGCAGGGGATGTGTGCCCAGCATCAGGAGCACCCCTGCAGGCCTCGCAGCTATAGATGGTGGAAGTCCAGTGCTGGAGGCTGAGTTGGGTCTCCTGTGAGGCAGTCCCCCGTGGCCCAGTCCTGGTCTTTCTCAGCCCAAGGTAATTTTTCAATTAACTCAATTGGCTGGAAACCGGGGCGCCCTGGAGTGTGGGAAAACGTCCCAGGCCGGAAGGGCCCTCCCCTCTGCCCCCACTCATTTGGGGCTTGGCTTCCAGAGGGAGGATCCAGTTTCACATCGGGACACCAGGATGTGATCCCCGTGCCCCTCTGAAAAATCCCAGATGGCGCCTTCTGGAAGCCCTAGCAGTCTCCGCACTGGCGGCCAGTCTGTCCTCCCTCCCTGCCCCCTCCCCCCACCCCGGCTGGCTCCCCGGCCCGGCTCCAGCTCCGGTGGGGAGAGCCTCAAACACTGCTCGTTAGTGACTTTATTGCTAAACAATTTAGAAAGGCAGCCCTGCCAGTTTTCATAAGTGAAACATTTAAAGTATGCAAAGCATATTTTATTTCTTCCTGGAGCAGCTGCTCAGGCAGGCTGGAGAGTAATCGGGAGTGAGTTATATGGATTTGTGAGCTGCCCCGCAGCACTTTCAAGCTCCACGGCCTCGAGAGCCTCCCACCAAAGGGCAAGTGTCCGCTCCGGCCCGGAAGACTTGGGCAGCCTGAGCCCAAGACTTGCTCTCCTTTCCTGTCGCCTCCATGGAGTCAGGCATGCCCTGTGATGGCATCAGCAGCTGTCTGCCAGTGTTGACGGAGGGCTCATGGGTGCCAGGCCGCTTGCTGGGGCTTTTTATCTGTCCTCAGGCATTGGCACAGCAGCCCTGGGAGATGAATACTATTGTGATCTTCATTCTCCACACAAGGACAGGGAAGTGACGTGCCAGGGTCAAACAACTACCCAAGGACAGAGCCAGGATTTGAACCAGGCCATCCAGTTCCAGAACCACTGCTCTTCACTGTCATTGTGGCCATTTTACAGGTGAGGAAGTGGAGGGACGTAGAGGTGATGTGATTGCCGGAAACGCCCACTAGGTGTGTACCTTCAGAAGCTGCATGGGAGACAGTGAGTCCCCAGGTTTGCCATTTGCTCAGACCCCAGTCTGGACTTCTTTTAAATTCTCTCTCTCTTTTTTTTTTTTAATTCTCTCTTTTTTTTTTTTTGAGATGGAGTCTCGCTCTGTTGCCCAGGCTGGAGTGCAGTGGCACAATCTCAGCTCACTACAACCTCTGCCTCCCGGGTTCACGCCATTCTCCTGCCTCAGCCTCCCGAGTCACTGGGGCTACAGGCGCCTGCCACCACGCTTGGCTAATTTTTTGTATTTATAGTAGAGACAGGGTTTCACCGTGTTAGCCAGGATGGTCTCAATCTGGTTTAAATTCTTTAGAAAGCACGCGTCTGTTCACTATGGAGATCTGAAGATGTGTGAACTGCAGGCTCACCACCCTTGTGTGATGGCGACGTCTAGGAGAGCCTTCAGCTGAGCCCCCGTTCACCTACTTCTCCTCTTAGCAGAATTATTTACATCTGCAGGGACTGTCAGCATGCCTTACTCATTTTGCTGCATTTAACCCGAGTTGAAATCTGATACTGGCTTAGCATGTAGTGTGTTTCCAGTTTGTTCTCCAGCTCATGGTATAGCCAGTGGCCGCGCGGTTGAGGTTGTGGATTCCAGACTTTCCTCTAGGCTTTGGTTTGATTGTCTATAATATGGAAATAGAAATGCCTGTTCTTTCCCCTAGTCTTCTCAGAAAGTTAGCTCTCCCGCCCGGAGCTAGACACGGGAGAACCTGCTCTGTGAGGTGTGGGGCAAGCAGCTTCCATCTTTCCGTGGGTTCTGGGAATGGGTGGAGAAGGAAACTGAGACACTGGGTGTTATGCTGCTGAGTCACACTCAGGGTGGGAAAGAAAGCAGGGCTGGGCTCTCCCGGCCGTTGTAAGGCCGTGCTCAAGTTGCTTCCTCCCGATCTGCAGTGAGCTTTGGGCTCCCTGTGTGGATGGTGTCATGAGGTGGTGGATGTAACTAATGCGCGGCCTTCCTTCTTTTTCCTCTTGGGGTGTTGGTAATTTTTTTTTCCTCAAGGGTGGGGAAGAGGGAGGATGGATGAGGATGGATGGAAAGTCCTGCACAGTGAGGATGTGGAGGGAAGCAGGCAGTGCCACCCGGGGCTTGCTGTCCCTCCCCTGGGTACCTCCCTTCAGGAGCCTGGCCTTGGGGAGGGGAGGAGATTGTTGCAAGAGCCAAGACTGGGGGACCTGGCCATTTTTTTCATCTGAAGCTCAAAGACCCAGTTTCAACGCTGTGCCCAATTTCAACTCTGTGTCCACCTGTGAGACTATTTGTCCTGACATTTAGTTTGCGAAGCAGGCACAGCATGAGACTTAGGGCTGGGAGCCTATCCAGTGGTTAGGAACATGAGCTTTGGAATCAGACCAGCCGGGGTTGGGATCCAGCTGTGCCACCTGGACCAGCTCTGTGACCTTGAACAAACCTGTTGAAGCCTCCATTACTGCCTCTGCAAAATGGAGAGAATGCTAGCACTTCTCCCATGGGGTTGGTGAGAGAATCTGATGGGCTGAGGCTCAGTGCCAGGCACATAGTGAACACCCAAATGGGAGCTGGAACCCTCAGGTGAACCCCAGTGGCTGTGGGTTGGTGCAAAGACCCCTCCAGATGGGGGAAAAGGAGAAAGACTGATATGGGCAGGAAAAGCCTGGAAATGGCTTTGAGGCAGAACTTGAAAGGTTTGTGACATCCAGTGTTTCAGTCCAGAAGGACTGGTCACTGGGAACAAAGAGAAGCTAGAATTGAAGTCTAAAGAGTGATAAGTGCTCACTGCTTGGAAGAACTAAGTTCCCTTGTCCATTTTTGCTCATCCAGTTTTTGAAGAAAGAATAAGGTAGCCTTCAAGTTTGTAGGGAAGCTAAGTGCCCAGAAAACTGTCTCTGACAAAAACAGTGTATCAGGATTCTTTTTCAAGTACAAGGGATAAAAAAGATGCAACTCAAACTGGCTTAAATGAAAAAGGGAATAATTGGCTTATGTAACTGAAAAGTTCAGGGATAGGATCTGGCTTCAGGTGTGGTGTGATCCAGGACTCAACTATTCGGATATTATCTGAATCCTGTCCTGGTCTCATTGGCTCCTCCCCTCCCAATGGCAAGACAGCTGCCAGCAACTCCAGGCTCCATCCTCACAGCCTGAGCCCATTGGTAAAGAGAGCACCTGGATCCTGGTGCAGAGATTTACCTCTGATTGGACTGACTTGGGTCATGTGCCTTCTCCTGAACCAGTCACAGTGGTCAGGGTGATTCAGTAATCTCATTAGCCAGACTGGGTCATATTTTCATCCCTGAACCACAGGTGTTGACAGTGGGGGCTCCTGAAAGGGAAATGGAGGTGCCATGTTGAAAAGAAGGGTCATAGATGTCAGCCAGACAGAAACGTCTGCTGCCCAGTCCAGCGGGGGCTAATAGAGAAATTTGGAAAGAAAAGGCTGGATGAGGTGGCCTCTCAGAGAAAGCAGTAGCATGGAGGCTCAGCTTGATGGCTGTGCTAGGAGTCTTCCTTGTACCAATAGGATGGCCCAGTAAGCTCCCATCCCAAGTCAGCCCACCTGACTTGTGATGAACTGGCAACAACTTGCTGCTTCTAATCCCTCAGTGGAAAATGTGCTCATTAGGCCAGTCATGGTGGCTCATGCCTGTAATCCCAGCACTTTGGGAGGCTGAGGCGAGCAGATCACTTGAGGTCATGAGTTTGAGACCAGCCTGGCCAACATGGCAAAATGCTGTCTCTACAAAAAATACAAACATTAGAAGGGCGTTGTAGCACATGCCTGTAATCCCAGCTACTCGGGAAGCTGAGTCAGGGCACTTGAACCCAGGAGGCGGAGGTTGCAGTGAGCCAAGATCATGCCACTGCACTCCAGCCTGGGCAACAGAGTGAGACTCCGACTCAAAAATAATAATAATAATAATAATAATAATAATAATAAGTAATTTGTCTGTGGTTTTACATTAAGCAACTGAATTGGGATTAAAGGGAAAAAAACATTCCTTTATTAAAACAACAGTTAATAAATACTAACTTAAAAACAAAAAAAAGAAAAAGAAAATGTGCTCACTGAGGGCTGGAGGAGGCAGCTGGCCAGGCCCTGAGCAGAGGCCAGCACTTCCCCATCCCTCCTGCCCAAGCAAATTCCCAAGTAGGTAGGAGCAGACTGTTCATAAGTCATCAAGGAGGCCTGGCCATGGGCTCTGGGACTGAGCAGTCCTTGCTGCCACCAGCAGTCGGGAACCCAGCCACTCTGGTGGCAGGCAGGTGCCTGCCTCTCCCACCCCCACCCAGATGGTGTTTTTCGAGATTCACATTCCTCCTGGTGCCAGAAGCACCTGCCAAGTGATTTTTGTAGCCTCTGCCATGAAGGTGTTACCCAAACCTCCGGCAGACCCCAGGGGGCTGCGTCCTGCAGTGCCAATCCTCAGGTGAAGTGGGGCTGGAGGTCTGCGATTCCTTGACTTCCCCAGGACATCCCTGCTTCTGAGCCTGTGACTGTCACCCTTCCAGGACAGCGACATGGTTGCTGCCCAGCCTGTGTTTGGTGAGGGGTGGGTGAAGGCATGCAGGAGAGTACAGGTTTTCTGGGGTGTGGAGCTGGGTGGGCCCATCTCCCCATGGGAACTCTGGGCAGCAAGATGGTAGAAGAGGATCCGCTTGGCACTCAGGGCACCGAGGAGGGTCTGGCTAAAGGTGTGTTTACAGGCCAGCGGCTTCACCGGAAGAGCCTCTGCACGGAAGACGGTTTCAACACCACCTAACGGAAAAAACAGTTACTGTGCAATATGAGAAAAGGACAAAGGCTGTATTACCTGAGTCCCTGCACCCTCCACACCCACCCGTAGTAAGAATTACCAAGCGGCTCTCCGGGCTGGGGAGCGCCGTGGAAGAAACCCTGTGGAGGAGTGGGTGGGTGTTATTTGAGAGTCTTCTCCTATTTGGGGATTGCTGTACTGCTTCCCATCACCCCCTACCGAGTGTCAGGATCATATGACACAGGCCCAGAGGACATGGAAATCTCCACCAAGCCAGGCTCCTGTTCTTGCCTGCCTGCAACCCTGGGGACTGAGGGAGGGATGGGAGGGTCCGTTTGGCAAATGGGGACAGAGGTGGTTCAAGAAGATGGGGCTGTTTCCAGCTCCCCATGCAGGGACCAGGCAGGAGAGGGGAGGCCAGGCTGGGCCTGAGAGGGTCAGCCCCACAGAGGGAGTGACGCCAAGCCTAGGCTTACCTCTCCCCGAAGGCTCAGGATGGCCAACAGAAACATGGGCTTGAGGCTGGCATTTTCCAGCCTACACTGGCAGACTTCTCACTCCACAGGCAAATCATTAAGCTTAGGACGCTGCGAGCTGAGTTTCCCTGTGGCAGCTGTGGTCACATACAGAGCTTTCAGGAGGCTTTGGAGGGGTCTGCAGTAGAGAGCCAGTGTGGCTGCTGCGGCGGCCCTGGGCTGAGCTAATCCAAGACTCCCAACCCCACTCAGATGCTGGGTCAGCTGAGCAAAGACACTGAGGTTCTGTGACCTCAGGCCTCCCAGTCCAGGGAAAAGATGGAAATGGGGGTAACTCTCCAGGGAGGGTTTCAGGGTTGTCTGCCCAGCTGCAGGCCCAGAAAGGAAGAGTGCACAGGGCTTTTGTCTACCTGCAGGGTGTCTTGAGTCTGGCAGCAGTACCCACAGGAGAAAGGGAATAACTCAGTGGTTACAAGCAACAGCAAACTTCCTATGTTTAACTGCATGTTCTCTCTGTGGCTCAGTTTCTTTTGTAAAATGGGGACATCCCCTAGGGTTTTTAAGGGGATTGAGAATTCATGCACATGAAGATTTCAGTCAATCTCAACACATGTGAAAGGCTCAGAAAGCATAACTGTTATCACCTGGGCAAAGGCGACAAGCACATTCAAGATCAGAGCAAAGATGCATTTCTTTCCTGCCACGTGCTATGCCCACACAAGTACAGAACCGAGGAGGTGCCCTAGTCCACTGGCAAAGACTCCCATCCCCTCTGCCCTGGGCAGTGGGCTCTGCCGGCCTCCTCATCTCTGATTCTTCCTTTCAGAACTCCCCTCCTCTGCTGGGTACCTGCTTTGTTGAATACGTTAATAACATTCATCCTGTCACTGCTTAGCCTTGGGGTCCTGGGAGTCCCTGTCTCTTAATATGACTTTGCCCATGAGAGTCATTGTGTCTCTGTCTTTTTTTTTAATTTTTATTTTATTTATTTATTCATTCATTCATTTATTTTAGACATAGCCTCGCTCTGTCACCCAGGCTGGGATGCAATGGCACAATCTCGGTTCACTGCAACCTCCACCTCCCAGGTTCAAGCAATTTTCCTGCCTCAGCCTCCCAAGTAGCTGGGATTACAGGTGGCCGCTACCACACCTGACTAATTTTTTGTATTTTTGGTAGAAATGGGGTTTTACCATGTTGACCAGGCTGACCTCGAACTCCTGACCTCAGGTGATCTACCCGCCTCAGCTTCCCAAAGTGCTGGGATTAAGGCATGAGCCACCATACCCATCTGTGTCTCTGTCTTAAAGCTTTAACCCTCCAAGGGCAATATGATTCCTTATTTTTAGGATAAGCATCATTCCAGTGTACTAAGATCACATTTGGACCTGATTTGGGCCCAACTCAATAATAGCAAGAGTGGTGGCCAAGGGAGCACTCACAACCTCCTAGGTGCTGCTGGACCAGTGCATGGCAGGGCGGCCGCAGAGCCCAGCAGACCTGGGCTTGATCCCGTGCCCTGCCAATGTCTGTGAGCCTCAGGCGGGGACCACCGCAACCCTACATGGGGTCATGAGATGAGGGCTGTCATCCAGCACATGGCATCCACCTGCTCAGGGGTGGCAGCAGCCATGGTCTCTGCAAGGCTTCATGGAGACAGTGGCAGGTCAATACAGAGCTCTTGTCACTTGGAAGTGACTTCCATTTGACTGTGGTGGGTGTGGGACCATTCTCTAGGCATCTGATTTCTTTCCCACTGTGTGTGTGTGTGTGTGTGTGTGTGTGTGTGTGTGTCTCAAGCAAACACACTAGTGTTTCCTGGTCACACAGACCCCTCGCTATCCACAAAGCCACCAAGATGGATGGGGTTTAGACCAGGATACCCCTTTCACGGGGGCCTGCTGGAGAATAGGGGGTTGATTGGTTGTGTATCTGGATTTATTTTGCAGGGAGGGCTATAAAAATGAGTTTTTAATGGAAAATCTGAAACATGCTACTGCTATATTTAGATTTTTTTTTCTTGGGGTATAATTCACATACAGTGAAATGCTCAGCTCTTTAGTGTACAGTTTGTGTTCAGTGAGTTTTGATATTTGGGCGTGAGGCTGTTGATCAGGGTGTCCACCCCGATGGTCAGCTGGGGACGGTCCCTCCAAGCCTGGACTCCACTCAGAGCCCCCCAAGCTCTCTGCTTCCCTAGTTCTCTAGACTTGATGGCTCAGCCTTCAGCACATTCATCTCTGCTGTTTCATCCACCTTCCTGGGCTGGGGAAGCCCGAAGGTCAGGGTTCTGCATTTAGTGAGGCCAAGGTTTTCCTCCGGAAGATCAAGGAGGTTTGCCCTTTTCCGAAATGATCATGATGAGCTACATTTGACCCTCATGTAGAACCTTCCGGAGAGTTTCCACTGAGATGATTGCTTTGTTTAATGTTTACCGCAGGCCTGAGAGACTGGCCTTGGCTCCATTTTCAGATAAGAGATCAGAGGTTGCTTGTCCACAGGTCAAATAGCTGGGAAGTGGGGGAGCCAAGACTGAGCCCCAGCTGGCTGACCCCAAACCTGCATGCCCGCCTCAGAACTGCACTGCGTGCCTCCCAAGAACACGGCACAGAGCATGGTGTCGGGTGTTGGGTGTGAGCAGAACAGAGTCCCTGCCCTCATGGAATGGACAGGCTGACTCCATGGCCACACCCTTCTCCAGGGGCTGTGTGGGGAGTGTCCCCAGTGGAGGGCCAGAACCACCATGCGCTGAGTGGCTGACTCACTCATACCCTGCTGAGGGGCATGCCCCCCTCTGCTGGCATCCACCAAGCCAAGCCTGGTTGCCACCTGGGCCCTGCTGGTTCAGGAAGCCCTTGTGTCACCCACAGACCTTGCTCCTCTCCTTTTGGAAGGTGGTAGTGTGGGAGTTGAGGCTGGAGGTGCTGGAACCAGACCATCTGTGTCCAAACCCTGGCTCTGCTCTTCACCCTGTGTGACCTTGGCCAAGCCATTTAACTCCTCTGTGATTCAACTTCCCCATCTATAAACTGTGGATGATAAAATAGGATCTGCTTCATGGAGCTACTGTGAGAATTAAACTAGTTAAGTAGGTAAAATACAGCAAAGCTTAGAACATATAGTATGTGCTCAATAAGTGTTAAGAAAGATGTAATTGTTATTATAATAAATAATAATCATAATATTATTGTTACTTAGACCTTTGGCTTGGGGAGGCTGGATTTACAAACCTACGATTCACCAAGAGTCTTAGCAGTCTGAGAGGTCGCCTTCTGTTAAAAGGTGGCTGCTGTAGCTCTAGCCATTGAGTCCACTTCCCAGAAGTGGAGAAAGTGGAGAAAGGTGGAGAAAGAGGTAAAGCCTTATTTTTGTAAGAGTCATTCCTCCTAAAGGACTTTTTTCTGCACCTCACTGCCCAGAAGTGTGTCACATGGACAACCCTAGCTGCAAGGGAAGCTGAAAATAGCATTTTTAGAAAGTGGGACTCATTGCTTTTGCAAACTAAAGGAGATGGGCTGCAGAAGGGCAAGGGTCTGCCCCAGCTCCCTTTGCCACCTGGTATGGACCTTTCCTCTGAGTGGGTACACCACACCCCCTTTCCCTTGGGGAGGAGGCCCCTGGGGACCTGCTGCATGGCCTGCCAGCTGGTATCATTATCCCCCCTGAGGGCAGCACCATTGGTAACAGTTGGCTCCCTGGGGCAGGAGGGCCACCGTTTCCCAGACAATGTTTACTTCCTGCTACCATGGCCAAGAGAACTCTGCTAAGTCTATGGGTTTTGGGCCCCTCTACTTAGAGGCCTGAGGGCACTGTGGTTCCCCAGCGTCAGCAGAAAGGTACCCAATCAGTCTTTGGGCAAAGGCCAGGAGAGTTTTTTGTCCTTGGGCAAAGGCCAAGAAAGTTTTCTCCAGTAAGGATGACTCCTTCCTCAGTAGCTGTCTTGCCTTTGGCAAATGGCTTTCTCCTGTCATTGGGTCATCAGCCTGAGCTGTACCAGATGCTTAACAAATACCATCTTCATCTCACACCCTCTAGCCCAGTGCCAACAGGAGAGCTTCGTGCAGTCATGGCAGCGGTCTGGATCTGCACTGTCCGGTACCCTAGCTCCTAGCCACGTGGGTGCACGTGAAATGTGGCTAGAGAAACTGAGTTTTTCATTTTAATTAATTTATACGTAAGATAGTCACCTGTGGCCAGGCCCAGTGGCTCACACCTGTAATCCCAGCACTTTGGGAGACTGAGGCGGGCAGATCATAAGGTCAGGAGATTGAGACCATCCTGGCTAACACGGTGAAACTCCATCTCTACTAAAAATAGAAAAAATTAGCTGGGCGTGGTGGCAGGCGCCTGTAGTCCCAGCTACTCGGGAGGCTGAGGCCGGAACCCAGGACCCAGGAGGCAGAGCTTGCAGTGAGCCAAGATCGCGCCACTGTACTCCAGCCTGGGCGACAGCACGAGACTCCATCTCAAAAAAGAAAAGATAGTCACCTGTGCCTAGCAGGTACCATACTAAGCAGTGCAGCTATAGACCCTGCCCATGAGGGGAGAAACACAAAATCGGTAGCATTCATCTAGACTCATAAAGAGTGGGTCCCTCTAAGGGAACCCATGTTGTGAAGGCCCAGAGAGAGACAGTGACCGGCCCAAGGTCACACAGCAACGTAATCTTTCCTCTGAGAAAGAAACACAAGTCTTCCAACGGCAGCTTCTTTATTGTTTCTTCAGAAATGTGGTTGGTCCCGTCAGTGCAGAGGGGAAGGTGAGTTGTGGACACAGTGCTCAGTGTGCCAGGCACATGTAAGCGCTTTACGCATGTCTTATTTATTCCCATCTCCCCCGTTTTACAGGTGAGGCCACCGAGGCCCAGGGAGAAGTGCCTGCTGGTGGCCCCTGAGCTGGTGAATTGAGAGGCTGTGCTCTTGGAGCTTAGGCTGAGATTGCAGTACCAGGGCTGTCTCCACTCCTGGAAGAGTCTGGGGGATGCGAGACCTGGGCCTCCATGCCCAGCTGGGGCAGATGCAGTTAGCAAGCTCCGATAAGCCTCTCTCTTTCCATGGAGTTGTTTTTCCAGCCTGGTCTCCTAAGACTTGGCTCCTGCAGGTGCCGCACCTGGTGACCCGCCCTGGAGGCTCCCATCAACTTACTCACAGCCTGACTGGAGGGGCAGGGCTTAGGCATCAGGTACACCTGTTAGGAAGGTGCACGCAGGAAAAAATCTGCCTTTGCCACTGTTAGTCAAAGAGAAAGGCACATGGCACCCAGCTCCATCTCACTCTCTGCTCTCATCTGAGTGCAGGGTGCAGAGAAGACCCTGGCAGATGCCCTTCCTGTGCCTGCCCCGCCTCCCTCCTGTGCAGTGCTCAGGCAAAGCCTGCTCCCCTGGTTGCCCCATTTCATGGTGTCAAAATCCCCGTGAGATGAGAGTAGCACTGCTGGCATTAAACACAAGATGCCCAGTTAAATTTAAATTTCAGATACGTGCTGAATCAATTTTTAATATAGGTTGGGACATATACTGAAAATGATTTGTTGTTTATCTGAAATTCAAATCTAACTGTGCGTCTAGGGGTGTTTGTTTGGCATTACTTTGTTTTGTTTTGCTTACTCTGGCAACCCTAAGTGGGTGGCATCTGTGCAGCATACATGACAACTGAGACCCAGAGAAGTGACACGAGGCTTATGCAAAGTCAAGACAAGGCCCCGGCCAGGCCTGGGTTTGAAGCCAAGTCTCTTGGAATCCTTTGCCTTCTTCCTGGACAATAGTAAACAATCTTGGTGGCTTCCTTGGGTGGTTGGAAGAGACCCAGAAGTCACTGAAAAAAAAAAAAAAAAAAGACCCAGCACGGTGGCTCCCACCTGTAATCCCAGCACTTTGGGAGGCTGAGGCAGGTGGATCATCTGAGGTCAGGAGTTCGAGACCAGCCTAGCCAACATGGTGAAACCCCATCTCTACTAAAAATACAAAAAATTACCCAGGCGTGGTGGCGGGTTTGTAGCCTGTAATCCCAGCTACTCAGGAGGCTGAGGCAGGAGAATTGCTTGAACCCGGGAGGCAGAGGTTGTAGTGAGCTGAGATCGTGCCATTGCACTCCAGCCTGGGCAACAGGAGTGAAACTCTATCTCAAAAAAAAAAAAAAATTAAACAAAAACAAACCTGCCTCTTCTACCTGTGTGACAATGGACATACTGTTAGCAGTCACTCACACCTTATTGTGAAATAGACTCTTAGTGACAGCCAAGCAGGGAAGAGGGGCCCTGGCAGGATGGTAGATTGAAGAGTATTGATCGAGAGGAGAAAATTCCAGCCTTGGCGACTGCTAGAGACAGTGAGCTGAGGTGGGAGCACCGAGGGGTGGTTGGGGCTGAGGCCTTTTATAATCTGACCTCTCCAGCCTTCCTCCTGTTCTTCCTCACCTGGCACCCATTTCCTGGTCACTCAAGACCCTCCAGCTTTGCAGCCGCCTTTGCTCACACCATTTCCTCCTTCCCCAGTCGCATCCTCTAGGGTCCATCTGGAATGCCGCCAACTTCTCAAGGGTGTCCGAGTGCTCTGAGCAGATGTGGGCCCTTCCGTGTTCTGTTTCTTCGTGTGTGCGTCTATTTGCTGGAGGCTTCTTGAGGCCAGGAGTCTTTCCTTCTCTCTCCTGGCCTGGAATGTAGGTGGGCCCCAAATGTTTACCCGGAATGAGAGCAGGGGCATGGCCCCAAAAGCAAACCTCCTACTTAGGAGTTTTGCTAAGAGACTTGCTGCCTCCATGGCATATGAGATTTGGGGATCCTTTGACCGTGGGGTCCAGGAGCACTAGCCTGAGAGTGGGGCCTGTCTGGGGCATTCACCCCAGTGCCCCCGTGCCTAGAGCCGTGCATGGTATGAGGCAGGGGCCTCTCCATGTTGGGTGGATGGAGCCATTCGACAGACGTTACCGAGTGCCCGTGATGTGTCGCGCAGTCACTGTTTCCAGCGCTGAAGACCCAACAGTGAAGGAGACGAGGCAGGATATGCGATTGGGCCCCGCTCTCGGATCCTGTGTCCACCAAGCACGCCGCTGGGGAGCGAGTGAGCCTCCACGTCACTACGGGGTTTTGTCCGGGTTGCCTGCCGTGCTGTTGACGCTGGACAGGAGCGGAGCCGTTTTAGGTCTCTTGAGGCTGTGACAGTGAGGCTGAGACAGGCTGATGGGAAGGAAATCATGAAGAGGGGAGACGAGCTCCCAGGCAGGTCACAGCTCTGCGGAGGCCCTGAGGTGTGGCGAGTCTAGCGCCTTCCAGAACTGAGAGAAGCTGGCATCCTGAAGGAGGCCTCAGACAGGGCCAAAGAGGCAGCTAATATGCTAGGTGGGGCGGGGAGGCTGTCGGCACCGAGTGAGATGTGCCTTGCACCTCAGAGGCGCCCTCGGGCTTCTGTGGGGAGGAAGGACTCGGGTTAGGAGGAGCTGGGAGGGCAGGGAGGTGCCCTGGGAGGCCTCCTCTCCTTACAGGGGTGGCTGGGCCCATTGTGGCCTCAGGAAGTGATGTGAGATGGATGAGGGAACAGGGGCTGGAGTTGCCACCACCTTTTCCCAAGGCCGCTGGTGGGAGAGAGGCGCCCCATCCTCAGGGCTCAGCCCTGCTCCCCCTCTGCCTGCTCCCTCCCCTGGACCTGGCTCTGCCCGCTCAGCCTCGAGGCCAGTGGATCCCTAGTAGTCCAGAGGGTTGTAGTGCCTTAGAGATTGCCAGCAGGCACTGATGGCGAGGGTAGGGCATCTAGGAAAGGGCAGTGCATTACCAATATTGGACCTTCTCTGTGTACATGGCATTCACGGAGCACATCTTGCATAGGTACATGGAGCATTTCCTGTGTATGTGGAGCACTTCCTATGTATACAGGGCACTTCTTGGGTACATGGAGCACTTCTTATATACATGGAGCACTTCCTGTGTACATGGAGCACTTCCTATGTACACAAGGCACTTCCTGGGTACATGGAGCACTTCTTATATACATGGAGCACTTCCTGTGTACATGGAGCACTTCCTTTATGAGGAGGGGCACTTCCAATGCCTCCGAGGAGCCTCACAGCCAATGAGGGTTAGACCCGTTTAACAGATGCAGTGTCCGAGGCTCAGCAGGGTGGGACAGCCACCACATGCCTGGCCGGAGACCTGGTGACTCCAAAGCTGTGCCCCCAGCCACGCCCCTTCCATGACCCTCGGGGGCGAGGACTGTGCACCAGACCTCCAGGGAATACACATCCCCTTTTACCAGCAGGGACGCTCCTGGCTCTACCTGCATGTGTCCGGTCTAGCCAGGGCTGCCCTTGGCCCCTCCCCTGGTCCCTCTGTGATCTGGAATGGAGGGAAGGGGAAGGCAGTGTGGGGAGGGGAGGGGAGGAGTCCGTGCAGAGGGTGGGACGGCCAGGTGGCCAGCGCAAGGCTGGTGAGTGCGGCGCCTTCGTCTGTTCATTCTCGAGGGCAGCCAGGTGCCAGGTGCTGTTCTAGGCATGAGGATGCGGCCATGGACAAAACAGACTCAAGTTCCCGCCCTCCTGGGCCTTACAGCCAGCCTGTGGATAAACAGATCCATAGGGCATGACAGGCGCTGATGAGTGCTGCGGAGAAAGAGCAAAGAGGAAGGAGGCCGGGGTGCAGGGAGGCGGGGCAGAGTTTGTGCTGAGCTTCCGCCATAGCAGTGATGGACACAGACAGCCCTGCACCCCCACCCGCCCCTAGAGCCAACATTGAGTTTGGGAAAGAGACAGATAAATACAGCATCACACAGGGCGGTGAGAGAAGACCCTTCCACGCAGGTGATGTGGAGTAGACGCTTGTGTCACAATGAGGAGGCAGCCACAGGAAGAACCAGGAAAGGGTGTTCAGGTGGAGGGCACTGCAGAGACAAAGGCCCTATGCTGGAAAGAGTGTGGCATATTGTAGAGAGAGGGACCAGTGTGGCTGCAGGTGGGAAGAGGGAGAGGATGTAGGCAGAGGCCTGGCCCCAGCCAGGGCTGCCCTTGTCCCCTCCCCAGGTCCCTCTGAGATGTAAAATGAAGGAAGGGGAAGGCAGTGTGCGGAGGGTGGGGGCGGCCCGGTGACCAGCATGCGGCTGGTGAGTGTGGTACCTTTGTCTGTTTATTCTCAAGGGGACCTGCTTAATGAATATTTCAGTATGTCCTTCCACGGTCTCCTAAGTGAGGTTTCCTCCTTCTCTTAATGCACTCTCCTAAGAGTTATGCAGAGGTACACGTAGCCTGGCGCCTGTGCACAGCCTGATCACTGCCTCCAGCACCCCTTAGCAGTTCTGTTTTCACTATTGCCCAGGTGAGCTGACCTGGGCATGGGTGTGTCTATCCGCCCGCAGGACTGAGAAGCTGACAATACCTTGGTTGACACGGCTCTCACTTTGGGAGGATGGCGCACCTTCTGGGTCGCTTCCTGAGGCACCCCACAGCCTGAGGAGACACCGTGTTCTCCTTGGCCCCATTTCTGGGGCCTCACTGTATGTAGGGTTGGATTTAAGTGCTGCAGAAACCTCTGCCCACGGTGTCACCTTGTCACTGCTCATTAGACCCTATTTTCCTGCAGGACAGTCAGGTGCAAATGCACAAGTTCTGTTTGTACACAGTGCTGAGCTCCTCGAGGGTATGTGTTTTGCAAAATGTGTTGAATATGCCTTTCTATGGCTGTTTCCCAAGCATGAGACTGGGAGTCCAGGCTGTGGAGTCAGCCAGGCCTTGGTTCAATTCCCAGCTCTGCTATGTACTAACTTTATGACCACCTGGAGTTACTTAATCTCTCTGGGCATCGATGTCCTAATTTATAAAATGGGGTTATGATGGTCCCTGCATCCGAAGGTTTTGGTGGCTTAAATGAGATAATGCATATGAAACTCAACTCAGCATGCTGTTGGCTCATGGTTATGATGCTAACTCCTAAGACCGTCGGCCACCAGAGCGGACACTCTGAGTGCAGGACAGCGGCAGTGGAGTCCTCGGGAGTCGTGGTGGAGGGGTCTCACTAGGTGAGCTCTGCAGACTGTGGGTGGGGCCTAGAATTGGTGCTGAGGCTCTTTGGAATAAGGCAGTGGCCTCCCTTCACACATGTAGGAAAGGCCCTGAATGCAGAGCAAACAAAAAAGCCAAAGCCACCTCAAACCATCCCCAGAAAATGCGAGTGAGCGGCAGAGACGTTCCTGTCCTCTAACCCTGTGCCCTTCTCCCCTAGTGCTCCTGCGGGAAGAAGTGTCGCGGCTCCAGGAGGAAGTTCACCTTCTCCGGCAGATGAAGGAGATGTTGGCGAAGGACCTGGAGGAGTCGCAGGGCGGCAAGTCCTCTGAGGTCCTCTCGGCCACCGAGCTCAGGGTCCAGCTGGCCCAGAAGGAGCAGGAGCTAGCCAGAGCCAAAGAAGCCTTGCAGGGTGAGTGACGAGTCAGCAGCAGTTCCTTCGCTGGGAGCTCAGGCCCCAGGGATCTGGAGTCCTCCCCATGCAGGGGAAGTGACGCAGATGGACACAGGGGTCTCCCAGCACCCACCTCCAGCTGTGGCTGCCCTGTCCCTTCTTCGAGTGGAATTCTGCATCTTGTGGGCTGGGTGCAGATGCCATTCCTTCCTCCAGTGTGACCATCACACATTGTCCATATGGCTGGATGTGAGGTGTCTCCTTCTGGGGTGTGAATGGTGGATGGGCATCTTGGCTGGACCAGGACGCTGACCCAGCAGCCGAGTCTCTCTTACCCAGCACCCTTGGGGTCCTTCGGTGCCTCCACTCAGGGCATAGTGTGGCTACGCTGATTTCTCTGCTGGAGGACATGTCTGTGTCCCATGCGTCCCTCTTGCTCACCATGATGGGCTCTCCTGGGCCCAGAGGAAGGAGTTGGAAGATGACATGGTGTAGTGTCCAGGGGGTCTCTTGAAGACAAGGACCACAGACCCGTAACTACCATGTGGCTGGTGTGTCTTCAGCCAGAAATTGCTTTAGGAGATGAGGAAACCGCTGTCCACATGCTCAGCCTGGTTTCCCTGGAGGGACCCACATCCCTCTCTCCCGGGAGGCACTGCCACATTCTATGGGGCTGGAAGAAGGGTCTCAGCGGGTTATTTGAGAAAGGTTGGAAGCCATCATGTAACCTGTCAGTGGACTCCACAGTGCTTGGAGAACTCAGGCATGAAACATCTGGGGAAAACACAGCCTTTGGGGTCTGCATTGATTCTCTTAAGCCCCCTCAGTGTCTTTGCTTCTTCTAGAAAAGACAATAAAGCTTTGCAACCTTCTTTCCACTTACCATTCACTAGAACAATGAATCCTCTTTAAAAATGTTGTTTCTGAAGCTAAAGCAGGTTTATTAATTAGGTTAATACCATGCTGCTGTAACAAAGAGACCCCAAAACACAGAGGCTTAAAGAATCTGTTTCTTCCTTTACCACCCCACAGTGAGCATTTGAGGCCGGTTGGGTGTATGTGTTTCCCTGAGAGACCCCAGGGAAAGAGCCAGAATGGAGGGCCAGAGATTTGCCTTTGCAAGAGCTTGGTCATGTGACCATTCCTAGATGCAGAGGGTTCTGGGAAATGTAGTTTCTAGCTAGGTGGCCTTGTCCCAGCTAGGACTCTAACAGGGTAAAAGAGAGAATGGATTTTGCTGGACAGTTAATCGGCTCAGTGAGAGCCAATTCCCTGACAAGGGGTGTGATGTGGGCAGCAGGCCAAGAAGGCTATCTGTCCAGTGCCCAGCTGACTATCCCCCAGAAAGCCTGGGAAGTCCTCAGCTGAGGGTGAGCCCGTATCCAGAGTGTCACAGCACTCTTGACAAGTGTTCTTTTCAGCAGTACATGTTGCTTTCCAAGGCAGGTAGATGACCCTCTTCTTCTGGGGTCTTGTTTCTGGTGGGGTCACGGCGGCAGCATTTTGGGTGGTCTTTTGAAGCTGTAATAGACATTGGGGTGCATTGTGGCCCAGCTGACATGGCATGCCTGGGAAGTCATTTTGCCAAGTAGGCGTACTTTTCCTCTATGCAGCCACCCGGCAGTCTAGGCAGATCTGTGTGAGCCATCCTCCACGCCCAGCTTCCCAGGATCCTGTAATATCCATTCTCCTTCTCAGGATGGAGACCCAAGTCTCGGGAATCTCCCACAAGCAAGTGCTGCTGGGCTCAGGCTGTGCAAGCTGTTGTCGTTTGGTCTTGCCAAGCTTTATCATGTAGTGGAGAGTAGGGACTGGCTCAGGAAGCAGCCAGATGCTGTTCAATCACCTTTCCCATTCTGTGTCCCAGGGACAGAGACGCCAACCTCCACGTCTTTGACCAGGTACAGGATTCTCACCCCTATGTGCTCTTCTGGATCTGCAAGGAGGAGAAAAACCTCCCTTAGTGGTTCCTGGGCCTACAGGGATGGCGGCGGCGGGAGTTAAGCAGAGGCTCACTTACACTACCATCCCCAGCTCCTTGGAGGCTACAACCTAGCCTCTTTAAACCTACAATCTAGGATGTACAACCTAGCCTCTCCATTCCTGATCTGAGTGATTGGACATTAACAGTGGCTTTGCAGGAGGTTGTGAGAATGAAACGAGGTAATGTCTGGAAAGGTGATAGTTAGTTCCTGCTGTTGTCATAATGTACATCCTCCTCCCTTTAGCCCACAAGGCACAGAGCTGTACAGGCAATCTTTACTAACTCTGTGCTGTAAGATTTCTTATCCACCACCAAAGATCTTTGGCCTTGCCCAGGGACGCAGAGATCCACCCCTTTGTAGGAGTATTAATATAAGCAACAAGGACTTGTCAGTATTCTTGAAAAGGAAGCTTTATTGAGCACCTACTGGGTGCCAACACTCTTCTAAGTACGTGACTTACCATTCACCTCAATCCTGCCAGGAGCTAGAAACCCCATTTCTCAGGTGGAGACACCTGAATGAGGTTCAGGGAAAGTAAATAACTTGACCAGGGTGGCAGAGCTAATTAGCAGAAGCAGAGACTTTTTCCCACTGCACAGACACGCCTCATCTTCCCTCTGGGTATGGTCGCAGGGAAGGAAGTTGGCCCAGATGCCAGAGACAGAAGCCATTCTTACTTCAGTGGCGGTGACAGCAGACTCAAGTCAGATCTGGGGGCTTGAATCCCACCTCTACCATTTATTGGCTATGTGAGCTTGGATGCATTTTTTTGTTGTTGTTGTTGTTTACTTTTTTATTTTCCTCTAAGTTCTGGGTTACATGTGCAGAACGTGCAGGTTTGTTGCATAGGTATATGTGTGCCATGGTGGTTTGCTGCACCTGTCAACTCATCATCTAGGTTTTAATTAGATATTTGTCCTAATGCTGTCCCTCCCCTTGCCCCCTACTGCCCAACAGGCCCCAGTGTGTGATGTTCCCCCTCCCTGCGTCTACATGTTCTCATTGTTTGACTCCCACTTATGAGTGAGAACGTGTGGTGTTTGGTTTTCTGTTCCTGTGTTAGTTTGCTGAGAATGATGGTTTCTAGCTTCACCCATGTCCCTGCAAAGGACATGAACTAATTCTTTTTTATGGTTGCATAGTATTCCATGTTGTATATGTACCACATTTTCTTTATCCAGTCTGTCATTGATAGGCATTTGGGTTGGTTCCAAGTCTTTGCTATTGTAAATAGTGCTGCAGTAAACATACGTGTACATGTGTCTCTATAGTAGAATGATTTATAATCCTTTGGGTATGTGCCCAGTAATGGGATTCCTGGGTCAAATGGTATTTCTGGTTCTAGAGCTTGGATACATTCTTTAACCTCCCTGCCCCATGATTCCTTTGCTGAGGGTAATAGTAACAATGCCTGTTTTTCTTATAATTGGGACTAATAAACAGTAGCTACTTCATAGGATTGTTGTGAAGATTGAGGTGTAAAGTGCATGGCCTGGTGTGTAGTACCATTAGTGCCAATACTGAGATCTGCTTGGAGATGTTGCTTGTCTGATTCTCATGAGGGGTGGCCCAGACCTGAGACCACCCCTTGAGCCCATCCAAGCTCAAGGTAGCGGCATTCCTGAAAGGCAGTGAGTTGGCACCTTCAGCCACCACGAGCATCCTGCCTGGAATTCTACAAAGTCATAAATAAGATGCTTCACCAGCCACAGCACATGGTGAGTAAATTGCAGACAGATGCGGGCAGAAGGAGTCCAGGGCATGGAAAGGGATTTATATGCCCATAATGAGGAGAGGGGGAATAAACGCACAAGCCGAGCAAGCAGCAGATGTTGGGCGACGCTTGTTAACATCCAGTGTCCCTAATGTGGGAAAAAGCAGAGCCCCCAAAGACTTGCCCCCTGGCAGATTCTCTCTCCAACTAACTGCCCCACCGTCTTTGTGTTTGAATGAGACCCGAAATTTCTAGCATGTGAGAGGAACAGGAACTCAAGCAGGCACCCAAAACATCAGTCTGCGGTTACAACACAAAAGCAATGGAAAGAATCTTGTTTGGGAAAAACGGGGGCTTAGAAGATTCCTTTGTTTCTTTGGAAATGAGTGTGGGAATATTTGGTTTTGAATTTTGGTCTCATCATGAGCTTAAAGGCAGAAGCCTGAATGATTGTTTAAGACATATATATATATTTTTTTCTTTTTTTTTTTTGAGACAGAGTCTCACTCTGTCATCCAGGCTTGGAGTACACTGGTGCAATCTCAGCTCACTGCAACCTCTGCCTCCCGGGCTCAAATGAGCCTCCAGAGAAGCTGGAACTACAGGCACACACCACCATGCCCGGCTAATTTTTGTATTTTTTTGTAGAGACGGAGGCTTGCCATGTTGCTCAGGCTGGTCTGGAACTCCTGGGCTCAAGCAGTCTGCCCGGGTCGGCTTTCCAAAGTGCTGAGATTACAAGCATGAGCCACCAAGCCCAGCTCATCAATGGTATCATCTTATGTATAAACTGCATGAGCCCTGCCCAGCACATGTGGTAAGCGTGTAGCCTGGGGGACCCCTTTGGGGTGTCTGTTGATTTCCTCAGGCCTCCTCAATTTCATGATTTCTCCGCGAATCAAGGCAGCACAGAAACAATGATAGTGAAAATTTGCTTCATTCCTTTTTAAATCTCTTAACAGCATGTCAGGTGTTTTGAGCGTGTTCCCACAACAATAAATACTCTTTGAAAACATAATTTTTAATGACTACATAATGTTCTGCCAAATGGAGATACCATAATTTATTTAGCCGTTTCCCTATTATTAGACACTTAAGTTGTTTCCACTTTTTTTCTCTCTCTGTCTTTTGTTTGTTTGTTTGCCATTATATAACACTGTCTTAAAGATCTGTGTATGTAAATCTGTTTATTTTCATAAGACAGCATTTCTTAAGCTCTTTGGCCTGAGGACCACTTTATATCTTTACAAAACTGAAGACCCCAAAGGGCTTTTGCTCATATGGTTTAGATCTATTAGTATTAATGTTTTCAAAATTAAAACTAGAAAAAATATGTAAATCTTTAGTAATTTATTTTAAAATCATCATAATAAATGCATTATATGTTAACATAAGTACAGTTATCTTTTTCTTTCCTTTCCTTTTCTTTTTTTTTTTTTTTTTGAGATAGTTTCACTGTGTCACCCAGGCTTGAGTGCAGGGGCGTGACCTCGGCTCACTGCAACCTCCGCCTCCTGGGTTCAAGTGATTCTCGTGCCTCAGCCTCCCAAGTAGCTGGGATTACAGGCACGCGCCACCATGCCCAGCTAATTTTTGTATTTTTAGCAGAGACAGGATTTCACCGTGTTGCCCAGGCTGGTCTGGAACTCTTGACCTTAAGCAATCTGCCTGCCTCGGCCTCCCAAAGTGCTGGGATTACAGGCGTGAGACACCTTGCCCCACCAATATAGTTATGTTTTAATGAGAAGTAGCTGTATTTTCCCAAACAGATTCGAGTGAGAAGAGCAGCATTATTTTTTAAACATTTTTGTAAAACTCACTGGTGTCTGGCTTCATAGCAGAGTGCTGAATTCTCATCTCTGCTCCGTCTGTCTAGTGTGATTGTTGTTTTGGTTGAAAATCTGGCGTACGCAGTTTTGTATTAATAGTTGGAGAAGGAAGGATTATATTAATTGCCTTGTTAGATAATTGTGGGTGTTCTTTGATACCATGCTGAAATTCAGTGGTAGTTTCTTGAAGGTTTGTTGCAGTGCGCATCTGAAACCTAATCCTTTGTACTCTGCTACGTTAAAATCCACTGGTCTAATTTGCACTTTGAAATGGGTATTTTACCCACGTTTTTTTTTCTTTTGAGATAGAGTCTTGCTCTGTCTCACCCAGACTGGAGTACAGTGGCGCCATCTCAGCTCACTGCAACCTCCGTCTCCTGGGTTCAGACGATTCTCCTGTCTCAGCCCTGCGAGTAGCTGGGACTACAGGCATGTGCCACCACACCCAGCTAATTTTGTATTTTTAATAGGACTGGGTTTCACCATGTTGGCCAGGCTGGTCTTGAACCCCTGACCTCAGGTGATCACCCGACTCAGCCTCCCAAAGTGCTGGGATTACAGGCATGAGCCACTGCACCCGGCCCCCGCATATGTATTACTGGCGGAAAATGGCTTGAACAAAGGCTAGAAGACTAGTCTGCACATGGAGGTGGGAAGGGACACCTGATGTTGAGGCTTTGATGCAGGCAGATGATGGGCGATGGTCACGGTGAACTCGAGGGTCACACCAGAAGCTCAGGGACCTTGGAGCTTTTCAGCAGGAGTCACTATGTGAAGTGTGGTGTTTTAGGATGTCCCCATTTTCGTTTCCCTCCCTCTCCCTCCCTTTGCAGCCTGGTCACTGTCCTTCTGGCACATGGTGGTGTGGTTACATCTGTGTGGCTCCTGGATGTGCCTATGGTATCACCTCCCTTCTGTCCCCTCAAGGTCTCTGCATTTGTACTTTACTCTCCCCCAGCCTCCAGATGGTCACTCTTCCGCCTGCTTCAGGTTCAGTCTCCGCATCCTCTAGGCAGCTTTCTGGACCAGCTTCCCTGTCCGATGGGCTCAGGGCCTGTTTTTGGCAGAATAATGATGTCCCCCTCTCCCAAAGATGTCCCCAGCCTAATTCCTGGGACTTGTGAATGAGTTAGGTCACACGGCAAAGGGGAACGAAGCTTGCCAATCGGATATCCCTGGGATGAGTCTCCGGTGGGCCCAGTGGATCACAAGGGCCCTTGAAAGTAGAAGGGGAGGCACAAGAGAGAGTCAGAGGAGATGTGACCGGAGGAGCAGAGGCCAGAGGGATTCAATGTGGGGCCTTGACACACCGTTGCTGGCTTTGAAGACACAGGAAGGGGCTGCAAGCCAAGGAGTGCAGGCGACCTCTAGAAGCTGGGAAAGACAAGGAAACAGGCTTTCCCCAGAGCCTCCAGAAGAAAGGCAGTCCTGCCAACACCAGGGTTTTAGCCCGGTAACACCCATTTTAGACCTTTGACCTCCAGAACTACTATAAGAACATTCATTTGTATTAAATTAATTTGTATTATGTTAGGCCAGCAGTCCCCAACCTTTTAGGCACCAGGGACCGGTTTCATGGAAGACAGTTTTTCCACGGACCAGGTGTCCGGGGTTGGGGGATGGTTTTGGGATGATTCCAGGGCATTACATGCACTACATTTCTTGTGCACTAAATTTCTATTATTATTACATTGTAATATATAGTGAAATAATTATACAATTCACCCTAATGTAGAATCAGTGGGAGACCTGAGCTTGTTTTCCTGCAACTAGATGGTCCCATCTAGGGGTGACGGGAGACAGTGACAGATCATCAGGCATTAGATTCTAATAAGGAGCACGCAACCTGGATCCCTCACATGCGCAGTTCACAAGAGGGTTCGTGCTCCTATGAGAGTCTAATGCCATCGCTGCTGATCAGACAGGAGGTGGAGCTCCGGCGGTAATGTGAGTGATGGGGAGCAGCTGTAAATACAGATGAAACTTCGCTCGCTCGCCCCTCACCTCCTGCTGTGCAGCCTGCTTCCTAAGAGGCCAGGGACCAGTACCAGTCCATGGCCTGGGGCTTGGGGACCCCGTGTGAAGCCACTGCATTGTGTCACTTTGTTACAACAAGAATGGGAAACGAACCAGGCCCTCTCTTTCCCTGGACTTGGCAGCCCTAAACACTGCCCTCTCTCAGGGCTTAGGACACGTGAGGGTCATCTGTTTCCTTTAGAAACGCCTGCAGGGCACAGCAGCCAGCACGGGGCGGGTGGAGTTAGCTAGCACTGACTGAGCATGGAGCAGAAGAAAGGATCCGGAGTTTCCTCTCCTTACTGGAAGGACTAAGGCCTGTGGGAGCCTTTTCCCTGCCACAGAGTGAGTCACCTGCCTTACACTGAAAGAAACACAACTTTATTATTTAATTTGCTCATTCACCAAATGTTCCCTGAAAGCTTCCCTACCCCAAAGCTTGTGCCGATGCCTGTGGTTCAGAGCATTCCAGGCCCTGCTCAGAGTCTAGGGACATGCCTGAAACCTACGACACACTCAGTGTACCTTACTTGAATCCTATTTTTCCAAGTGGCCAACCAGGCCTGTAGATGAGAGTCTATCCCATAGGCATTCCTGCTTCAAGGAGTTCTAGGCTGCAGAGACTGTCTTAAGTCCAGCGGGGTCGGTGGGGCTGGAAGACTAAAGCTCCCAGCAGGTGCAGCCATGCCCTGGCTGCCTTTGCAGATGTCACCAGGCCTGCAGACAGTGGGGTAGTAGGTGGCCTGAGAGGCTGTTGAATAGAACGATGTGTCATCTGTGCTGGGGCGGCCATGCCCACTTGCTTTCTTAGACACACATCCTTGTCACCACAGCACTGTGTGGGTTTGAAAAGCTACTTGATGTTTCCTGTGTCCCTTCCCACATCCGCACTCCATTCTTAGTCTCATTCCCTCCATCAAAGACGTGTTCATCTTCTATGCAGTTCATCACCTGGGGTTGAATGTGTATGTTCCTCTTTAGTAAATTCATACGCTTGAAGCTACTGCTGTTTCTTTAGCCTGGTGGCTCTCGGGGCTGCTGCAGGGGGCCCACCCTGAGCCAGCCCCTCGGTCCCACAGCCCTGACGTAGAAGACTCTTTGCTGGTAAATCTCGGAACTCACTGGAAGCTTCCACAAAGTTTAACTCTACAGACAGAATGTCTTCCTTACATACTACCGGCTGCTTTTAAATATTGTTAACAGATCCCCCTTAAAGGCTTCTTAGACTCCACATTTTGATCCAGTTGATAATAATTGATGGTCAGGTGGAAGAATTGCCCAGGCTCTGTTGTTGTTCTGTTATAGTTGCCACTGGACCTGCTTTCAGCACCCTCACCCTGGCTGCTTCAGAGGGCAGCTGGATTCCTAAAAAGAACCCATGCCCTAATGCACAAGTACTTTTTATTTTATTTTATATTATTTTTCGTGGGGGGACAGAGTCTTACTCTGTCGCCCAGGCTGGAGTGCAGTGGCATGATCTTGGCTCACTGCAACCTCTACCTCCTGGGTTCAAGCGATTCTCCTGCCTCAGCCTCCTGAGTAGCTGGGATTACAGGCGCCCGCCACCACGCCCAGCTGATTTTTGCATTTTTAGTAGAGCTGGGGTTTCACCGTGTTGGCCAGGCTGGTCTTGAACTCCTGACTTCAAGTGATTCACCTGCCTCGGCCTCCCAAAGTGCTGGGATTATAGGCATGAGCCATGGTGCCTGGCCCACAAGCACTTTTTAAAAATAATTAATAATCATCATCATTTAATTTGAGAGTAGTTTGAGGTTTACAGAAAAGTTTCTAAGATAGTACGGAGCGTTGCTGTATACCCAGTTTCCCCGTTAAGATCCTTCAATTACCTTGCACAAGAGCCTTAAAACCATCTCTTGTGTCGTGCTTGCTGATATCTCATTGGCCAAAGCAAGTCACCTGACCAAGCCCTGTATCACGTGGGCGGGGCTCTGCAAGGCCAGGCTCCTTGGCAACCCCGTGACTCACAGTCCAACACAGAGATCCTTTTAAATAGAATTGTTTCCAGAACCTGCCCTGAAGTCTGGGGTTCTGGTGACTGACAGTCTACACATTTGCAACAAACTTTGTCCCCTTTGCTTTTTATGCAGTAATTTTTTTTGCACCCGAGGAACTGATGTTCTCGTCCTCATCTGGGGTTTTTAGCACTGAGTCCTTGACCCTCTGTGAGTTGCACAGGCAGCCAGGACGGCGCCTTCCCCCAGGCGTCCCTGTCCCCCACACAGCCTCCCTAACATGTGCCCTTTCCGGCGTCTGCTTCAACACTTGGATCAGCTTCTTAGTAGATTCCGTGATGTCTTAAGGTTCTAATTATGGAAGTCTTCCATTTATCCTGAGAACAACGGAAAGGCTGGTCTGTTTGCAAATGCACAGACACCCTCTAGCACTCACCCACGCCCATCTGATACTTGTTTTGGAAACATTTACCAGAGCTCAACTCTTCTGTGTTCTGGGGAGGGGAGATTAAGCCCATTTTGTAGTTGGGAAGACTGAGGTGTGAACACACACTGCATCACTTTGGAGTGATAATCATTTCGGCTAGCATGTATTTAGCACTTGGAATTTGCCAGGCACTCTCTTCATTCCTTTGCCTGCGTGAGTCATCAGTCCTCCCAACAACCCATGTTCGATGGGTAGTGTTAGCCTCAGTTTCCCCATCTATAAAATGGGGATGAGAGAGGTTAAGAAATTCTTCTGGCCGGATGCAATGGCTCATGCTTTTGTAATACCATCACTTTGAGAGGCCAAGGCGGGCGAATCATGAGGTCAGGAGTTTGAGACCAGCCTGACCAACATGGTGAAACACTGTCCTTACTAAAAATACGAAAATTAGCCAGGCATGGTGGCGCGTGCCTGTAATCCCAGCTACTCAGGAGGCTGAGGCAGGAGAATTGCTTGAATCCGGGAGGCAGAGGTTGCGGTGGGCTGAGATTGCGCCGCGGCACGCCAGCCTGGGCGACAGAGCGAGACTGTCTCAAACAAAAAAAGAAAAGAAAAAGAAAATCTTCTACGGCCTTCTAGCTAGTAGGTTTTGGAGCCAAAGCTTGATCCCTAATGAGTCTGTTTTCCAAACTGATTTTCTTCATAGATATTTGGCAGGTACTTCTTTGATTCTGAGGTTCTCAGGGGTGATCACAGCAGAAAAGAGGAAAAGAGTGAAATAGGGAAGAGAGGAGAAAGAGGAGAGGATCTGGAAGTGGGTGTCTTTCAGAGGCCCCCTTCCCTGGAGGCACCAGGAGTTGTTTTTTTTTTTTTCTTTTTCTTTTTTTTTTTTTTTTTTGAGACGGACTCTCGCTCTGTTGCCCAGGCTGGAATGCAGTGGCGCGATCTCTGCTCACTGCAAGCTCCGCCTCCCGGGTTCACACCATTCGGCACCAGGAGTTTTAATGCATTCTCCGTCTTCGCTCTGAAAATGGTCCCCGGGAAGAAAGGCTGCAAGGTTGCTCTCTTGGCCACACCAGACAGAAGTTTTTCTTCCCACCTCCTCCCAGTCTCGTCCTCCTTCCCCTGCAGGGCATTGAGCATGCTCCAGCCCCCGGAAATGCCAGTGGTCTCGGCTGCAGCAGAGGCTGTCTTTACGGTAGGGGCAGAGGCTGCACACGCTGATCCTCAGCTTTTAATTAATCCACCCCTCCCTGGCCCCTTCCCAGGAAAGGTCAGAGATGGATTCTGCAGAATGAGGACAGGACTCGGTGTGCGTCAAGCCAGGCTCTCCAAATGCCTTTCAGAAGACCTTGCCCAAGACCCCATTAAATTTTGCTTGGAGCATGGCCTCCATCACTGTGCAGGTCTTCATGCCTACCTGGCCATGACAGGGTCAGGACATGACCTTGAAAGTGTGGCAAGAAAACGAAAGCCACGCTGGCCTCCATCCCAGGAGAAGACCTTTGGTGTGAGCAGGGGAGGGTCATCTTCAGAGTTGGCCTCAGAGGCAGTGCAGGGCACTCTTGCTCTGCGGTGCCTGAGCTTGGCTCAGTTGAGCACAGGTCCAAGGCGGCTGTGGACACAGGATCAAGTCTGACACAGGCCTTGACCCTGATTCACCTCACCCCTGCTTGGCTCCCAGGGGAATGCGCTGCTGACCTCAGACTGGGAACTTTTTTTTTTTTTTTTGAGTTGGAGTCTCACTCTTGTCGCCTAGGCTAGAGTGCAATGGCACAATCTCAGCTCACTGCAACCCTGCCTCCCGAGTTCCGGCGATTCTCCTACCTCAGCCTCCTGAGTAGCTGGGATTACAGGCACCTGCCACCACGCCCGGCTAATTTTTGTATTTTTAGTAGAGACGGGGTTTCACCATGTTGGCCAGGCTGGTCTCGAACTCCTGACCTCAAGTGATTCGCCCACTGTGGCCTCCCAAAGTGCTGGGATTACAGGCGGGAGCCGCTGTGCCTGGCCGTGAGCTCTTTTTGTAGAGTAGCCCCTGCTCGTGGTCAGTCAGCAAAGGAGGTAGCAGGGCTTTGGGGTATTGAATGCAACACAGGAGAGGGGGTGTGGGGAACAGGGACTGCAGTTTCACTCAGATTTAGCAAAACGTATCGAGCACCTCCGAGAGCCGGCCCTATCCTGAGCATGCCATATGCCTTCTCTTCACATTATCCCCAGAACAACCCCATGACATAGATGGGGTCACCCTGCCTTTACAGTTGGGGAAACTGAGGCTCCAAGATCGTACAGCATGCGAGTCTCAGCATTTGGATTTGAAGCTCTGTGTCTGACACAGATCCATCAATGCTGCACCGGTGCTAGTTTTCCATCAATAGACATCGTTTTAATGTTACTAAAATATTACTAGAATCCCACTCATTCATTCAGCAGATACTTGTTGAAGTCCTACTGTTTGCCAGACATTATTCTGGGCACTTGGGGTTTATCTGTGAGCATGTTAGGAATAACGCTCAAAATCCTAAGGAAACTGAACACTCAAACAAAGGATTCTTAGCAAAGCAATTGTACTTCTGCGCAGAGGGGTACCTCCTTGG
This sequence comes from Homo sapiens, assembly GCF_000001405.40. NCBI lineage: Eukaryota > Metazoa > Chordata > Mammalia > Primates > Hominidae > Homo > Homo sapiens. The sequence goes on from NC_000001.11 coordinate 14,973,399, forward strand.
CCAGTTGCCATGAGAGCACACCTGAACAAAGGGGCACGAGAGCCTTTATTCCTGATGCAAGTCCTGCCCCTGTACCCTTTCCCCACTGGCCGGGGTCATACAATCTAAACTAATCCCAGTTGACTGAACATTTGATTTTTTTTTAGATAGGGTGGGCATGTAAAAGAAAGTGGAGAGGAAGGGGAAGGGGTGTCTGTAATGAGCTAGAAAGTTAGTCCTCTTTCCAAATAAGGAAAGGAATGTGAGCTGGTACTGATAACGCTTGGTACTGTGGCATGCCTGGGCATTTAACAAAGGCAAGGAGGAAAAAAGGAGAAGAAAAGGGGGGTGGTACAATGAATTAAAGAATAAAAGATTGATCAGATTATTTGAAGAGAAACCTCATCATATCCCACAGCAGAATTGACAAAGATCCATTTCTTGTGGAGATTACATTCTAGAAGGGTGCACCGGTTACTACTGCTGTGTAACACACTGCCTGTAAATCTTAGTGGCATAAAGCAACCACCGTTTTTCTTACATCTCATGATCTTGTGAATCAGGGATTTGGCAGGGCTCAGCTAGGCGATTCTTAGGTTCTCTGTGGTGTCAGTAGGGGTACTTCCATGCTATTCCTCTGGACGACCCAAGATGGCTTCACTCACATATCTGGTGCCATGGCAGGATGGCTGGGCTAAGCTGGGTCCGGCAACCACATGCCCATTTGCAGCCCCTTCAGCATAGTAGTCAGACTTTGTACATGGATGCTAAGGGCTCCCACAGAGAGGGCTCCAGGAAACCAAGTGCAAGCTGCCAGGCTTCTTATGACCTAGTCCTAGGAGTCACTTAGCATCACTTCTGCCACATTCTGTTGGTGACAGGCCAGCCAGACCCCACACTATAAAAGGCATGTGGCATGGGAGATGCATTTGTGTCCAGCTTTGCAAAAATACCATCTGCCATGGAGGGAAGGGAAAAGGCAAACAAACAATATAGCAAAAAGTAAATGTATGCTGTTTTAGGGGATTGTAGGTACTATATGGAAATGAAGATTTTAAAGTAGGGTAAGATCAGACCCAGCTGCTCCACTCCTGAGTGTTTACTCACCTAGGAAATACACATCCATACAAAGACTTGTACATACGTGGTTTTAGCAGCTTATTTTTAATAGCCAAAAACTGGAATCGGCCCAAAGGCTCATCAACAGATAAAAAAATAAACAAACTGGTAATATTGTACAATGGAATCCTACTCAGTAATAAAGCAACAAACTGGGTACATATAACAACATGGAGAGATCTCAATTCTACTGAGTGACAGAGTCCAGGGGAAAAATGTATATAGGATATGATTCCATTTAAGGAGACTAGAAAATGCATGCTAATCTACAGGGACAGAAAGCTCCTGTAGGAACGTGGGCTTATTGCAGAGGGTAGGCAGAAACTGGGTGATGGGTATTTTCACTGTCTTGATTGTGGTGATAGTTTTGCAGGTGTGTACATATATCAGAGAATGTCAAATGGCACATGTTAAATATGTACAGTTCATTGTATTTTATTTAAAACCAATAAAGCTGTTTTTAGAAGGAAGTAAGGTGGATTTGGAGTCCTGCGGATAGAGCATTGTAGGGCAAGGAGCATTTTAGAACCCTGTAAGTCACATCAGTGGGGTGGCCTCTGGCTTTGCCTTCTTTCCCTGTGTGCTGGCCTCAGCAGGTCACAGAGGGGACCCGGCCCCAGATGGGCAGAGTCCTCGAAGACAGGCAGACTGTGCCAGCCAGCTCCTGGGTGAGGGAAAGAGCAGAGAGTCTGCAGAGCTCCAATACCCAGGGCTCCTGGGCTCGCATTCCAGGAACAGGCAGAGACCAGCAAGGTCCAAAGCTGGATGTGCTGTGGCTTGAGCTCCCGCCCAACTTTTTAAATAGGTCTGACCACCTGGCCCAGCTAGAGGCTGAGACATAAGCTCCTGATAGCCAGGCAGGCTGGACAGGCCTTCATGCCTGGAGCCTGATGTTGGAGCAGAAGGAGAGGCATTTTTCTTGGCACCCAGCTAAAAATTCAGACCAGCTTAGAGAGGAACGTTCTAATTTCAGCTTAGGGCCTGGTGCTATGGCTGGGAAAAGACCAAGGTTAAAATTCAATGTCTCCATGAATATAATATTTTTAAAAATAATCTTTAGATTTAAGGTATATATAATTAATAAAGTTTTTATATATTTATGGAATATTGGTATAGTCCAGGCATGCATGGAATATAAATTCCACAGATTTCCTCCCAGCAGCCCTGTGAGTTGTTTTTCCCATTTTGCACATGAAAAGATTGAGGCCCAGAGACCTGACCTACTGGGAGGTGGAAATTAAAGCAAAGAAGGTGGCCGGGCACAGTGGCTCACGCCTGTAATCCCAGTACTGCGGGAGGCCGAGATGGGCGGATCATGAGGTCAGGAGATCAAGACCATCCTGGCTAACACGGTGAAACCCCGTCTCTACTAAAAATACAAAAAAATTAACTGGGCGTAGTGGCGGGCGCCTGTAGTCCCAGCTACTTGGGAGGCTGAGGCAGGAGAAAGGCGCGAACCCGGGAGGCGGAGCTTGCAGTGAACCGAGATCATGCCACTGCACTCCAGCCTGGGCGACTGAGCGAGACTCCGTCTCAAAAAAAAAAAAAAAAAAAAAAGCAAAGAAAGTACACTCAGCTCTCAGACCTGCGCGGTGAGCCCGCACACTGCACAGCCGCACACTGCGAGCCTGTTGCTGTTGGTTTTGGACGTGGCTAACAGTTTTTTATTTTATATTCATTCATTTATTTGAGACAAGGTCTCATTCCTATCACCCAGGCTGGAGTGCAGTGGCATAATCTCGGCTCACTGCAGCCTCAACTTCCTGGACTCAGATGATTCTCCCATCTCAGCCTCCTGAGTAGCTGGGACTACTCAGAACAGCACGTCATCAGGCCAGGCCTACTGTGGAGGCCAGTCACTCTTGCCCCGGCCACAAGAAGGACCGCAGGACTTAGGCCTGAGTGCTCACCCGGCAGCACAGACCTTGGCAGCCCCTGAATTCCGGAGGAACTGCTCACTCACAGGCCCTGGACCATGACGACCCAGAACATGGTTCAGACTCAGGCCCTTCCGGCAGAGCACATTGCCCGAGGGAAGAAAGTGGTCTTAGCGTGAACCCATGGGTTCCAGCAGAAATGCGTGAGCCGGATGAGCCCACGCTGCCCAGCCCCAGAGGAGGCCGGGAGGGGCTTCTTGGTTGGTTTGGCTTCTTGGCTGACCTGCGACGAGGCCCAACCAGATGGGCATTGGCCGTCCTGGGACATGGACTCTCCCCCTGGGTGCCCAGCACTGGGCTGAAGAACACACGGCAGGGCGCTCAAAAACTGGGCTCTAGGCAGGGCGCGGTGGCTCACGCCTGTAATCTCAGCACTTTGGGAGGCCGAGGCGAGCAGATCACAAGGTCAAGGAGTTCGAGACCAGTCTGGCCAACGTGGTGAAACCCTGTCTCTACTAAAAATACAAAAAAATTAGCCAGGTGTGGTGGTGGGCGCCTGTAATCCCAGCTACTCAGGAGGCTGAGGCAGGAGGATCACGTGAACCCGGGAGGCAGAGGTTGCAGTGAGCCAAGATCGTGCCACTACACTCCAGCCTGGGCGACAGTGTGAGACTCCATCTCAAATTAAAAACAAACAAACAAACAAACAAAAAACTGGGCTCTGCTGAAGGCATAGGACTGAAAAGGCCATGGAGTCCTCGGGGCGGTGATTCCCCTGGGAGGGGCTGTGCTTTCCCCCTTTGGGCTGGAGGCCCTGAGGGTCAGGACCTGACGGTGTCTGTCTCTGTCCTTCAGCCACAGGATTGCTCCTGTCCCCGCAGCTGGGTGAGTAAGCAAGGCTGGGAAAAGAGGGACGTAGTAGGGACAATTTGCTGGCCAGGACCTCAGGATGGCACTGGGTAGGTGCTCAGGGAGTGGGTGAGGAGCTGAGGGAGCACTCACACCCTCAGGTATGTACCCATGGTTCCATCCCAGATTCCGGAAGGTCAACGTGCCCCGACCCTGCCTTTCTGGTCGTGTGGCCTGTCAGCCCTGTCCTGGGCACTGACCTGTGTCTCCCTATTATGTGGCCACCAGATCCACCTGTGGAATGCACCTCTGCAGTGAGTGTCGCGCTCTGCTGCCTCTGAGTCAGCTGGAGAATTCATGTGCCTGCCGAGGTTGGCAATGGGTGGCATCAGTGGAGAGAGAGGAAAGGCACACTTTTTTCTTCCCTGTAGTTCGGGTGACTGCAGATTGCGGGAGACTCACTTCCTTCAGGTGCAGAATGGGCTGGGACAGCCCTGGGTGGCGCCCAGGAGAGAGGTCCACCAGGTGGCTCTGGCCAGGTCTGCCCACGAAGCCAAGCAGTTTTCTGGTGGGAGCTCCCAGCCTCTCACTCGCTTGCCTGGGCAGGGCTGACTGTTGGCCGTTGTCTCTTAAGCCTTGCACCTGCTGTGGGGTGCACGTCTTTTTTTTTTTTTTTTTTTTTTTTTTTGAGGTGGAGTTTCGCTCTTGTTGCCCAGGCTGGAGTGCAATGGCACGATCTCGGCTCACTGCACCTCCATCTCCCTGGTTCAAGCGATTCTCCTGCCTCCGCCTCCCGAGTAGCTGGGATTACAGGCATGTGCCACCAAGCCCTGCTATGGGGTCCATATATTGAGGGCAGAGTTTCTGGTCCAGGCGAACGCTCCCTCCCCGTGGCCTTCCTCACGTCCTCCCATTCCCAGCTGGGGCTGGTTCTTGCTAAAGACCTCTTTCTTTCCTTGGGCACATGCTTGCTGGCAGGGCCTGAATCAGAGCTTTTCTTCAAGATCTTCATGGCTCAGATGGGTGAGCAACTTCAGCCCAGCCTTTTCGAGCTGCCAAAGACAGTGGATGTGGTTTGGGAGCAACACTCTTAAGCCACTGGGACCAGATGAAGAGCAGAGTCTGGCTGGCTGTGTTCTACGGAGCATCTGGATTGTCAAAAGCATCCGGCAGCTTGAGGGATGTGATGGTGGGGAGGAGGGTCGACATGTGGTCTTGTTGATGGGACTGTTGTGTCCTTCTTCAGAGGAGAAGGTGGTCAACAGTAGGCCCCACATTTTACCTTTTTGGGGATCTTGCAGACCGACCTGGGAAGCCCCTGAGGCAGTCTTCTTCTTTGTTCGTTTCTCTTAATCTGATAGAGGTTCTTCTTCCCACTCTTCTGGAAATTCAGGTCCCCACCCCTGGGCTGCAGAGGGCAGTTTCGTGTTGGTCACTACTGGCCACCGAGCGCATCTCAGCCTCTGTGTGCTATGGGGGCTGAGTGTGTGGGTGTGGTCTTGCTCTCCTGGAAGATGGGGGGCTTTGCCAGGCAGAGGCAGTCTTTCTGAGCTGCTCCTAGAAGGGGGTCTGACGCCCAGACATAGCCGCCTCTGCTGCTATTCAGAGTCTGTTAGGAGTAAACGGGGAAGACAGTGAATAATTTGGGGATAGGAGGTACAGGAAGAGGGCAGTGGGAGGGAGGTTTTGGGGTATTTTTTGAGACGGAGTCTTGCTGTGTCACCCAGGCTGGAGTGCAATGGCGCAATCTCGGCTCACTGCAATCTCCATCTCCCGGGTTCAAGAGATTCTCCTGCCTCAGCCTCCTGAGCAGCTGGGATTACAGGCGCCTGCCACCATGCCCAGCTAATTTTTGTATTTTTAGTACAGACAGCGTTCACCATGTCGGCCAGGCTGGTCTCGAACTCCTAATCTCAGGTGATCCACCTGAGGTAATCCCAGCACTTTGGGAGGCCAAGGCGAGCGGATCACGAGGTGAGGAGTTCAAGACCAGCCTGACCAACGTGTGAAACCCCGTCTCTACTAAAAATGCAAAAATCTGCTGGGCATGGTGGTGGGCGCCTGTAATCCCAGCTACTCAGGAGGCTGAGGCAGAAGAATTGCTTGAACCCAGGAGGCAGAGGTTGCAGTGAGCCGAGATCGCACCACTGCATTCCAGCCTGGGTGGCAGAGGGAGACTTCCTCTCAAAAAAAATAAATAAATAAGAACAAATATAAAGTGAGCCCAGCATGCTGGGCCCTGCAATCAATTGATCGTGAGGTATTCCTGAGCTCATGCTGTGTCCTGGAGCTATGGGTCCCCCTCCCCGCCAACGCACCTGGTCTTTTTCTGGAATTCAAGCAGGTGGCTCAGAGACCACCACATGCAAAGCCCATCCTTGGGGGCAAAGGCTTCCAAGGATGGGGAGGCCTCCATGGGCTTGGGTGGGTAAGCTCAGGGGAAGGGGCCCTGAGGACTTGTGGGGAGGCAGTAATGATGTGATAGACATTGGAATTGATGTTCCTGAGTTCAAATCCTGCCTCCTCTTGAACTTGGGCAAGTTGCTGAACTTGTGTGTCCCCACTGGTATTACGGGATTATAATAGTACCTACCCCTTGGTTGTGAAGATTAAATGAGCTGATTCATAGAGTTTAGAACGGTAAGTACCTATTTATTTTTTATTTTTTAAATTTATTTACTTTTGAGACAGAGTCTCGCTCTGTTGCCCAGGCTGGAGTATAGTGGCGCAGTCTCGGCGCACTGCAACCTCCACCTCCTGGATTCAAGCAATTCTCCTGTCTCAGCCTCCTGAGTAGCTAGGACTACAGTTGCAAGCCACCACACCTGGCTAATTTTTGTATTTTTAGTAGAGATGGGGTTTCACCATATTGGTCTGGCTGGTCTCAAACTCCTGACCTCAGGTGATCTGCCCACCTCCACCTCCCAAAGTGCTGGGATTACAGGCATGAGCCACTGTGCCTGGCCATAAGTACCTATTTATTAAAGACCAGCTGTTTACTGTAAATATTTTACTAAGCTTAGAGTGGCCGTATCATTTGTTGTTTAAACTGGGAGAGTTTTGCAAGAGAAGAGGGCTCTATTAAAAGTTGTGTTGGGAGAGTGGGAGTCAACAGGGATTTCCCGAGACAGACAGGATCTGTAGCCTTGCCCAGTGCTCAGGATCTGAGTAGGCAGGCAGGTGTGTCAGGCAGGCATCCCAGGTCAGGGGATGGCATAGGCAAAAGTGTGCAGGCTGGACGTTCGTGCTACGCGCAGGTGACCATGAGGCAGCCTTGGGGCCCACCTGCCCCCCTGGACAGGAATAGGAACATCTGTCCATCTGCACCCCGACTCCTTGACCCAGAAACACATCCTCGACTCTGCTCCAGGCTCATCTGCATAGTCCAAGACCGTCTGCCTGTTCAGCATCGTGATTTGCGAGGACACAACAGGCCCCATTCTGTTTTTTATGGACCTGAAAAAGACATGATCTTTACCATGACAGAGAGGCAGGGGGTGTCTCGGAAACCATTCCGATGCCATGATAGACGGCAGGAAGCCGAGGCAGAGAAGGAAGTGGTTAAATCGTGGAGCACATCCTCAGTTGACACCAAAGGAACAATGCTTTCAGATCGAGGCCTCAGGAGGAAAAATGAGGGAGGCAGGAGGGGGAGGTGGGGTGGCTGGAGGAGGCTGGTGGCTCCTAGACTGCGTGTCTTCAGTGTGAGCCCCTGCAAGAGCATGTGACGCCCTGACAAGGCGGCGTAACCAGGCAACCGTCATTACTCATCCCCATGGCCACTGGGTCTTCCAGTGGAGCACCGTGCTCCTGGGGGTCAGGGCTCCCCAGAGGGACAGGGCAGCCTCCTCTGCAGAACAGCGGGGCCTGAGAGATGCCAGGAAAACGTGCTTGCTCCAAGAAGGGAGGGGAGAGTAGTTAGGAGCTGGAGGCCCAGCCTTGCCGGGAAAGTGGTGTGCCACAGCATAGCTGGGAGCTGGGGCCTAGCTCCCAACCCTGAATGCTTAGTGGGGTTTCTCGCTTTTTGCTGTCTCTGTTCCTAAAACGGATTTTTAAATTTCAAGTGCGTGCTTGACCCAGTAGCACAGTTCTGTGCATTAAAGACCTTAGCCCATGAAGCATAGACCAGTCTTGTGTGTTTTGTAAATCCATGTTTTTTAGGTATTAACAGAACTCCCACTAGCTTATATGGAGTTTTTATGCAAATTGGAAAAAGGTACCCACTCTGTGTAGACAGATAAGGAAAAGGTGCTCTTCTATCATTGAACACAGTCCTATGCAACCCCATAGCCTGGTGATCAGGCAGTGGTATCTGCATGCAACCCCATCTCTGGGGGGTTATAGCCCTGTGGCAGGTTTGCTGCGGAAGCAGAGAGATGCCTCCTCCTCCAGGTTGCCGGAGCCCTGCGCTAAGCTGCACAATATGACAAACACAATACTGGCTGCATTTCAGCTTCCACCTAACTCACCTATCAGGCACTTTTGGGCAGTACACAAGCTGTGCGACTGTCCATGGCAGCCCTGGGTATAAGTCACGGCCATCCTTGCTGGTTGTGGTTGGCATAAGGAGCAATACCCTCTGGATTTCATCTTAAAAGAATTTAAGGAAGAGAAAGGGGATGCAGTGCCTTTTCAACATACCCTGAGTTTGTTCAAACTAAAGACATGACCATGCCCCAGGTATAGCGTGCCATCCAGGGCACCTTTCTCACTTGGAGAAAGTGAGAGGTGAAGCACCTGTTAGGAGGGACTTACCCTGGCCTGTCAGCTGTGATCTAAATGAGGCTGTCCCCTGCATGGAGTTAACGTTTGCCTGGAGAGCCTGTGTGCCAGGCTGTCTGCATACGTGGTCCCATTTGATCCTCACAGCAGACCGGTGAGATGGGTCCTGTTATCATGCCGACTTTACAGTTGAGGTCACTGAGGCTCAGGGCTGGAAGGAACTTGCAGCAGACACACGGCTGGCAAGTGGAGGAGCCGGGTCAGCACTCCGGCCGTTCCAGCCCGCGATCCACACGCCTGACCACTGTACCTTAAAGACCAAACCCCTGTCTGTTGACACCTGAAGTTTCTCTGAGCCTTTAAAACGTGGCCTTTGGGTGGATGTGGGCGGGCTTGGGCATGGGACAGGGCATGGGACAGTGGTTCCCCACATGTTCCCTCTGAACTGGGGCCGCTGTTCTCAGCACCTGAGATTTTTTTTTTTTTTTTTTTTTTTTTTTTTTGAGATGGAGTGACACTCTGTCACCCAGTCTGGAGTGCAGTGGTGCAATCTCAGCTCACTGCAACCTCTGCCTCCCAGGTTCAGGCAATTCTCCTGCCTCAGCCTCCCCAGCAGCTGGGACTACAGGCATGCGCCACCACGCCCAGCTAATATTGTATTTAGTAGAGATGCGGTTTCACCATATTGGCTGTTCTGGTCTCGAACTCCTGACTTTGTAATCCACTCACCTTGGCCTCCCAAAGTGCTGGGATTACAGGCGTGAGCCACTGTGCCTGGCCAGCACCTGAGATCTTGAAAGGGATCCAGGCCCCTGTGTCAGCCAGGAGCCGGTGACCGGTGTTGTCAGGGAAGACCAGAGGCCTAGTGCTGGATCTTCCCACTGCCTGAATTTCCAGATATCTTCCTGTGGCCCGAGAGCCTGCCATGCGAAGCGCAGGTGCTGACCAAGGAGACAGAGGTCCCCATTAGTAAAGGTAGCCCGCACAGGCATCCTCTGGCTGGAACCTCTCCACCTCCTCCTTGGAGCAATGTTGAGGGTTGAGGGAGCTGCCGGCCCCGCAGCAGACGCCCTGCAGCTTGTCCTTGATCATGACAGCAAAAGGCTAACAAATCGCTTTTGCCTGCTGAAGGCAGCAGGGGGGCTTTTTATTCCAGAAATGAGAAGGGCATGCCTCTGAGGTTTCTCCAGAGACCCAAAGCACCCTTTCACCCATCCGCAGTGCCAGAATTTCATCTGAGTATTGTCTGCCTGCATTGTTCACACCAAGGTTCATGGGCGGGGTAAGGCTGTACACCCCCTACCTCCACCCCGGCAGGGATACTCAGCTTAGCACCTTCAGGATGGGCCCCGGACTTGACGCTAGAGCCGGAGCCTTGGTCCTAGGATTGGAAGTGGGCGCAGTAGATTCAGGCAGTCATCGAAAACGCAAATTAAAACAACCCTGAGATATCGTTGCTCGCCTATCAGGTTGGCAAAACCCCTAAAGTACACCAGCTGGCTCAGCTGGCAAGCCTGCAGGAAAATAGCGCCCTCACCTGTGGTCGGTGGAAATGCAAAGTGACGTGACCCCTGTGGGGGGAGCAAAATCACATATGCATTTACCCTTTGACTCATCACTGCTACTTCTAGGGATGTACCTTGAGGATAAAACTGCACAAATATGAAACAAGTCACTGCACAGTCTTTGTAGGATACATTCTAAAGCCTAAGAGAGGCCGGGCGTGGTGGCTCATACCTGTAATCCCAGCACCTTAGGAGGCTGAGGCAGGTGGATCACCTAAGGTCAGGAGTTTGAGACCAGCCTGGCCAACATGGTGAAACCCTGTCTCTACTGAAAATACAAAAATAAGCTGGGCGTGGTGGCACGCTTCTGTAATCCCAACTACTCAGGAGGCTGAGGCAGGAGAATCTCTTGAACCCGGGAGGTGGAGGTTGCAGTGAGCTGAGATCACGCCATTGCACTCCAGCCTGGGCAACAAGAACAAAACTCTGTCCCAAAAATAAATTAATTAAATTAAATTAAATTAATAAAGCCTAAAAGAATGGGAAGCAAATTTTGAAGTTTATATAGATTTGTAGGCAGTGCTTTGGAGTAGTAATTCTGAAATTATTTTGTGATTACAGAGTAGAGCAAATGTGGCTGGGCATAGTGACTCACACCTGTAATCCAAGCACTTTGGGAGGCCGAGGCAGGCAGATCACTTGAAGTCAGGAGTTTGAGACCAGCTTGGCAAAACTCCATCTCTACTAAAAATACAAAATGAGCCAGGCATGGTGGTGTGCACCTGTAGTCCCAGCTAGTCGGGAGGCTGAGCATCTACATGGGAGGCTGAGGAATGAGAATCACTTGAACCCAGGAGGCAGAGGTTGCAGTGAGCTGAGATCATGCCACTCCACTCCAGCCTGGGAAACAGGCAAGACTCTGTCTCAAAAAAAAGAAAAAAGAAAAACAGAGTAGAGCAAATAAGTAAATATATACTGTTAGGTACCAGGGTTCTCTCTGTGGGAAAAGGGCCTTCTCATATGGAATGGGGGAAGGCGGTGGATTGGAGTTGGGGCCATCATTATGCTCTTTTGATGGTATAAATATGCAATTGACAAGTCATAACCATAGAAAGAAGAGCAAGAAGCCATGTCCCCCTGTAGCAATGCATGTATCTAGTGCCCACATCTCTCTATTTCTTGATGCCAGTCTCCATCAGAAGGAGCCAGGTCTCCTTGGACAAGTGGAGGATGCCAGGCATGAGGCAGTGGAAAGTAAAATGCAACTAGAGCCCTTTGTCCTTCCAGAAAGCAAGAATGCATTCAAAGACAGATGGGTCCAAAAGACCCAGGCACTGGCTGAAAGGGACTCCTGCTGGCAAAGATGGGACAATTGAACATCCAATAAAATAATAAAAGAAATGGGTGATTCAAGGGGGAAAGGAGGGCCTGTAATCCCAGCACTTTGGGAGGCCAAGGCGGGCAGATCACGAGGTCAGGAGTTCAAGACCAGCCTGGCCAATATGATGAAACCTCGTCTCTACTACAAATACAAAAATTAGCCAGGCGTGGTGGTGCTCACCTGTAGTCCCAGCTACTCAGGAGGCTGAAGCAGAAGAATCGCTTGAACCCAGGAGGCAGAGGTTGCAGTGAGCCAAGATCATGCCACTGCACTCCAGCCTGGGCGACAGAGCAAGACTCTGTCTCAAAAAAAAAAAAAAAATGGTGGGGTCGGGGAGGAAGAGAAGAGATGAATGCTGATTAATAAACATAGAGGGACTGGGCCTGGTGGCTCACGCCTATAATCCCAGAACTTTGGTGGGAGGCCAAGGTGGGAGGCCAAGGTGGGAGGCCAAGGTGGGAGGCCAAGGTGGGAGAATCACATGAGCTGAGGAGTTTGAGACCAGGTTGGGCAACATAGGGAGACCTTGTCTCTATAAAACATTTTTAAAAATTAGCTGGGCATGGTGGCACTCACCTGTGGTCCCACACTCTGGGGGCTGAGGCAGGAGGATGGCTTAAGCCCAGGAGGCCAAGGCTGCAGTGAGCTGAGATCATGCCACTGCACTCCAGCCTGGGTGACACAGTGAGACCCTGCCTCAAAAATAAATAAATAAACAAACAAAGATGGAATGAAAGAATGAGAAGGCGTTACCAGTAATGGACAGACGGACATTATGGGCTTCCTGATGTGATGCTTTGAGAACACATTACCTGTGGGTTCGTTGGATTGAGGCAGGGCAGCTGACCTGGACTCTTCCAAAACTTCCATGTCATGAAAGACCCACAGAAGTGCCAGGCACGGTGGCCCATGCTTGTAATCCCAGCACTTTGGGAGGCTGAGGCAGGCGGATCATGAGGTCAAGAGTTCAAGACCAGCCTGGCCAACATAGTGAAACCCTCATCTCTACTAAGAATACAAAAATTAGCTGGGCGTGGTGGCACATGCCTGTAATCCCAGCTACTCACGAGGCTGAGGCCGGAAAATCACTTGAACCCAGGAGGCGGAGGCTGCAGTGAGCCAAGATCACGCCACTGCACTCCAGCCTGGGCGACAGAGCCAGACTCTGTCTCAAAAAAAAAAAAAAAAAAAAAAGGAAAGAAAGACCCACAGAAGGCAAAGAGAACCTTCTAGATTAAAGATTAAAGGACAATCAGGAGCCAGGAGAGTGGATTGCAACATGTAATCTCATTTGGGATCCTGGATCGGAGGGGTGAAAAAGCCATGAAAACCATTAAGGAGATGTTTGGAGAAGCTTGCATATGGACCTGCGTTCGATGATATTATTAACATCAGTGGGTAGTACAGTAATAAAACACATCACTAGCAGCTTTGAGAACCTGCAGTTCTCAGGGCGGTCCTCGTCCTGAGTGCTTGTCTTCTGGGCTCTGGCAGTTTAACAGCCTCGCTTTTGCAAAACGCCACCTCACCGTTATGTGCCTTGCACTGGCCAAGCTCTGGGAACAGATGTTAATCCTTGTTTGCAGAGAGGAAACTTGTGTACAGTGATATTACTTCTCTATATGAATATTTTAATATTAAGGCAGCAAATCCCAGAAAGTGCTGACCTGCTGCTTTTCTTGGTTGGTGCTTTCCAAGCAGTTCCGCAGTCCTGCTTGGTGCCAGCCTGAGCCAGGGCTGTGAAAGGAGTGTGTGGGCCACTGAGTACGGCTGGTATGGGTCTCTAGCATGACGCCCCCAACCCTCCTTGATGAGGCTCAAAAGAACCAAAAGGGAATAACCTGTCACCTTAATTTGAGGTCACTTCAAGAAAGTGAGGCTCAATTCCAAATCTAAGTCAAAGGGTCAGTTGTTTGTTGGGGTGGAGGGACTCTGTTGGAGCTCTGACTGGCTGCCTTCCCTGAGGTTGACATGGGGGCCATTGGACACCAATCACTGTGCCTGCCCTCACCCACATAATCAGTAGGTTCCCAATAAGCAGTGAATGGTCACTGCTATTTTTCTCTATCCAATTTAATCAAATTCACGGTAGCAGGCACTCTGCCAGGTGTCAGGAACACAGATAGTCATTCCAGAAATATCAATTGACCTCCGATGCATGCCAGGCCAGGGCTGGGCACTGAGGGTATCGAGTCCTGGTGGGCAGAGCAAACTGGGCAGTCTCCTCCAGCCCAGGCAGCGTAGAGGAGAAGCAAGGAATAAATAGGTGAATAGACAGTAAAAAGATGAGATGGTAATACATACTATGAAGGATTCAAATGGGAAGGCGCAGAAGAGAGTGTAGGGCTGCTTTGCACACGATTGCCAAAGAAGTTCTCTCTGGGCCGGGCACGGTGGCTCACGCTTGTAATCCCAGCACTTTGGGAGGCCAAGGTGGGCAGATCATGAGGTCAGGAGTTCGAGACCAGCCTGGCCAACATGGTGAAACCCCGTCTCTACTAAAGATACTAAAAATTAGCCGAGCATGGTGGCGAGCACCTGTAATCCCAGCTACTCAGGAGGCTGAGGCAGGAGAATCGCTTGAACCCAGGAGGTGGAGGTGGCAGTGAGCCGAGATTGTGCCACTGCACTCCAGCCTAGGTGACAGGGCAAGACTCCATCTCAATTAAAAAAAAAAAGTTCACTCTGGAACAGGAGCCTTTTATCCAAGACTGAAGGGAAGGAGGCCCCCGGAGCTCAGGGGAGGAACCTGCCAGGCAGGGAGAAGGCTGAGGACAGGAATGAGCTTCGCGTATGTTGGGGACCCAGAAGCCATTGTAGCTGGAAAGTGAAGGATGGAGAGGGAGCAGGAGATGAGGGGAGGGGCACTTTCATGCGGGGCTCTGCGGTCCTGGGTAAGGAGTTTGGATTTTGTGATCCACGTGGAAGGATGCGGGGAAGCCACTTGATCGGATTTCATTTTGAAGCAGTCCTCTAGCTGCTGCATTGAGAATAGATCAGGGGTGTAGGGATACGGGGCCCAGGCCGTTGGACTCTTCTAGCAGGACATATGATAGACACTCAGGCCAGGCTGCAGAAGCCACAGGACATGCTGGCAGGTTAGATGGAAACAGAAGAGAGGAGAAAATAGCAGGAGTTGGGCTTGAGCACCAGGTGCAAGTGAGGCCAGCTCTGGCCTGAGGGTACTAGGGAGCCATGGTGGGCTTTAGACAGGGAGTGATGGGATCAAACTGGGGCTTTGGAAGCTGGCCTGGGGTGCAGGGTGGAAGCAGGGAAACCAGTAGTGAGCAGGAAGTCCTGAGCCAAGAAAGGAGGAATATAAAGACAGGAGTGAGGCTCTCCCTTGAGAGGAAGAAGGAGCTGCAGGCAGGGCCTGCTTCCTGCTCCCATTTGGTCTCATGCCCCTACCCCAGCCCTGTCTGCACCATCAGCCCCATCTCTTCCTCCTCCCGGGGCTTCCTCCGTCACAGAACGCGCCCCTCCCCTGCGGGCAGCTGGCCGCATTCTCAGGCAGACACGGAGCCCCCAGGGGCATCTCTGTTTTCTCTCCCCACCCTGCTGGCTCAGCCTGAGCAGGACTAGGACTCACTTAAGGAATGAGGGCCGCCTGGCAGCTCCACCCGGCCCAGCCCTGCTGGAGGGAATCGTGATGAAGAACAGGGCAGCTGCACTGAGGGTGATGGCGTGCTGCCCTCAGAATTGCTTTTCTCGGCTCTAATTTTCCTGATGCGAGAAAAGCCAGTAACCCCGGGGTACATCCAATAGTCAGGACATGGTGCTGATTGGACTTGAAAAGTCCGTCCAGCCAGCTGTGCTTCTGATTATCCCTATTCTTAAGTATCTGTTTGGGCTGGGGCTGTCACTCCACTGATGCCCCCCCAGTTTACAAGGATGGTCCTTGGCCTGGGTGGCAGTCAGATGGTCAGATGTGCGGCTCAGCTGCAGGGGCCACTGAATTGTGTCGGGTCATGGAGAGGAGAGGGGCACCCAGCAAAAACCAGCTGCAGGCCACGGCCCTCCGGGGCTTCTCAGCCCTGGCAGCTCTGGGCACGCTTACCACTGCATGCGAGACCACCTTCCTTGGCCTGGATTCCTGGGGGAGGTCCTCGCACATGACCTTGTCTGGTAGCTGCAGTTTGTCCCTCGTTGTGCCACACTTTGCACCACCACCTTCAACAGCTACCTATTGAGGCCCCATCTAGGTGCTGGTGCCATCATGGTTCTGTCTTGACATCTGGGACAGCAGGCTTTCCTGGAGCCTCATGTACCTGCCTTCCCACACAAGCTCAGAGGAGCAGTTTAGCATTTCTCAGTGACTCGGGGTCACCCTGGGAACAGTCATCTTTGTACTTTAGAAAATGGCAGCTGGGCACGGTGGCTCACGCCTGTAATCCCAGCACTTTGGGAGGCCAAGGTAGGTGGATCACTTGAGGTCAGGAGTTCGAGACCAGCCAGGCCAACATGGTGAAACCCTGTCTCTACTAAAATACAAAAAATTAGCCAGGTTTGGTGGTGCACACCTGAAATCCCAGCTACTTGAGAGGCTGAGACAGGAGAATTGCTTTAACCCGGGAGCTGGAGGTTGCAGTGAGCTGAGATAGTGCCACTGCACTCCAGCCTGGGTGACACAGCAAGCCTCTGTTTCAAAAAAAGAAAAAAGAAAAAGGACTGTCACTTGTCTTCATCGTCATTGGACCTTCTGTCGTCCTTGATGGAGGCAGTACATTGGAGGGGTTGAGACTGTGGGCTCTGAGTTCAAATCCTGGCTCTGATGCACAGCATCTGCAGGACCTTGGGCCAGCTACTCAGCCCCTCTGTGACTCAGTTGGTTCATCTGCAGTGTGGGGGTAGTAGTAGAACCTGCCTGGGATTGACTAAGATCATATGTGTGAAGTGCTCGGGATGGTGGTGGGCTCCCAGGAAGAGCCGAGTGAGTGCTGACCATCCACCTCCTCCCTTGCTACCTGGTCTGTAGCTGCTTGCCTCTGTAGGTTGGAAATCCACAGCTGAGCTACATCAGAATCGAGCATTGCATGTTAGACGAGAGCAAGTGGTGCTGGCTGCAGAAGGCGCTTTGCATTGGAGCAGAGGAGATAGGCATCGATGTTTAACCAGTAGCTGCCGTGGGCTGGGGTGTGCACACTCTGTCTTGTTTGATACAGCAACTCTATGACATAGGTTTTATCACATTGCCATACAGGTGAAAAACCTGAGGCCGAGAGATATTCAGTAACCTGCTCAAAGCCACACAGCCGCTAATCCAGATGCAGGCCTGTCTCATTCCAAAGTCCAAGGTTGGGATCTCATTCCAAAGTCCAAAGGGAAGGGATCAGCAAACTGTGGCTGGCCCTTGGACCAAAACTGGCTCACCACTTGTTTTTGTTTGTTTGTTTGTTTTTTGTTTTTTTGGGAGACAGGGTCTGGCTCTGTCACCCAAGCTGGAGTGCAGTGGAGCGATCTCCGCTCACTGCAACCTCCACCTCCCAGGCTCAAGCAGTTCTCCCACCTCAGCCTCCCGAGTAGCTAGGACTACAGGCATGTACCACCATGCCCAGCTAATTTTTTGTATTTTGTATGGAGATGGGGTTTTTCCATGTTGCCCAGGCTAGTCTTTAACTCCTGGGCTCAAGCAATCCACCCGCCTTGGCCTCCCAAAGTGTTGTGATGACGGGCATGAGCCACCGCACCCAGCCTACCACCTGTTTTTATAAATAAAGTTTTATTGGAACACAGCCATGCCCATTTGTTTCACATATTTTCTGAGGCTGCTTTTGAGCGACAACAGCAGAGTCATTGCAGCAGAGACCATGAGCCCCTTCAATACTGACTCTCTGGCTCTTCCCAGTAAACCCTTGCCACCCTCCCTGCTCTGGAGCACGCCAGGTCTTGGGGGTCAGCTGCTTTCTGCCTGTTATATGTTGTTATGCCCCCTAAAAATTCACATGTTGAAGTCCTAACCCCCAGGACCTCAGAATATGACCTCACTTTGAGGCAGGGTCACTGCCAATGTGATGAATTAAGATGAAGTCGTACTGGAATAGGGTGAGGCCTGATCTAGTTTGCCTGATAAAAATGGATCAGGGGAAATGTAGCCACAGACACCCAGGGAAAACAGCAGGTGGGGATGAAGGCAAAGGTGGGGGTGATGTGTCTGCACACCAAGGAATGCTGGAGATTGCCAGAAGCTACGGGGAGGCCTAGAACAGAGTCTTTCTGCAGCCTCAGAAAGAACCAACCCTTGGCCGGGCGCAGAGGCTCGTGCCTGTAATCCTAGCACTTTGGGAGGCTGAGGCGGGCGGATCACCTGAGGTCAGGAGTTCGAGACCAGCCTGGCCAAAATGGCGAAACCCCATCTCTAATAAAAATACAAAAAATTATCCGGGCGTGGTGGTGGGCGCCTGTAATCCCAGATACTCGGGGAGGCTGAAGCAGGAGAATCGCTTGAACCCGAGAGGCGGGGGTTGCAGTGAGCCTAGATCGCACCACTGCACTCCAGCCTGGTGACAAAGAGACTCTGTGTCAAAAAAAAGAAGAAGAAACCAAAACTCACCCAACATGAGGCACCTTGATCTTGGACTCCTGTCCTCCAGAGCTACAAGCCACCCAGCATACAGGACTTTGTCACAGTGGCCCTGTCAGAATAATATCCTCTGCTGTTAGCCTCTTCCGTGTCCTTCCTAGGAGCCCGAGGAATGTGGGTGCAGGAAGTCTCACTCTAGATGCCTGGGATGGCCTCACCCTCAGAACCTTCTAGCTGCTTCTTTTGGATGATCTTCAGGTCCCATGTCCTTTTATTTGGGGGACCATGTGCATGGCCACACATACCCAGGTACACCTGAGCCCAAGGCTGGAGAGGCCAGGCTGGCCCCAGGGGGATTGGAGCACAGGGATTGATGCTGTGGTGAGCCATCCCTAGAGTCAGCCCTGCAGCAGATTCCGCCCTGGACCGCCAGAGCCTGGTCCCACGTGTCTTAGTCTTAGCTCTTCCCAGGATCCACTGATGCTCTAAACCCCTGACTTCTGGAGAGAGACAGAACATGAGAGGTTCTAGCCCTTCGACTGAGGAGTATCTGTGAATCAAACGCAGCAGCTTCCTTTTGCCTGGATATCCCTCGGTGCTTTCTCTGATGGACTGTGGGGTGGGGTTGTCACCATCACTGTGGCCTCCAGAATACACCTCTCTTTGCCTGGTGTCTGTGGCTTTTAACCTCATTCTGTTGGTCCTGGGTCACTGATGGCTCTGCCCAGCATGACAGTGAGTGCCCTGCACATGGGCAGGCACCATGAGTGGCTTGTCCATTACCGGGGCCCCAGCAGAAGGCCGAGCACGTAGGAGGTTCTTTTCTCCAGAATCACACATGTCCCTACCCGTGAGTGTGTGAGGAGCATCTGCAACATGTGACCTCCTCAGGGAGAAGCAGGGGAGGAGTCTTGAAGGAAGGACACAAGATGGGAGCACTCCAGGAATTAGGTTCTCCTGCAGTGGAGGGCAGACACACCTCTAATGCCCAGGGAGCATCCAGGGTCAGGTCCCTCACCCCGTGTGAGCACCGTGCCAGCCCGGGCCAAGGGTGAGGAGGAAAGTTGCAGAGACAAATAGGAACCAGTCCTGGCCATTATTCGATGAGGACCTGGGGTCCAAATTGAAAGAGCAGCCTTCAGAGATGCAAAGCCCAGTGGCCCCTCCTCCAGGGCTGTTGGCCACCGCTGTGAGCTCATCTCTTTGGACTGAAAAACAATTGGTCTTAGGAACAGCCCTTGGCACCTCAAGAGTAGAATGCCCAGGTACCTATCTGGGAGCCTTTATTGTTTTTTTGTTTTATTTTGTTTTGTTGAGAAGTTTAGCCCTATCGCCCAGGCTGGAGTGCAGCAGCGCAATCTCGTCTCACTGCAACCTCCATGTCCCGGGTTCGAGCGATTCTCCTGCCTCAGCCTCCCAAGTAGCTGGGATTATAGGCGCCCACCAACACGCCCAGATAATTTTTGTATTTTTAGTAGAGATGGGGTTTCATCATGTTGGCCAGACTGGTCTCGAACTCCTGGACTCAAGCGATCCACTCGCCTCAGCCTCCCAAAGTGCTGGGATTACAGGAATGAGCCACTGCACCCAGCCAAAATGGTTAAGATGGTAAATTTTATGATAGGTATATTTTTTTACCACAATTTTTTTTTTTCTAATAGAGACAGGATTTCACCATGTTGGCCTGGCTGGTCTCAAACTCCTAGCCTCAAGCAATTTGCCCACCTCGACCTCCCAAAGTGCTGGGATTACAGATGTGAGCCATCGCGCCCAGTCTGGGAGCCTTTGTATACCCAGCAAAGGTTACATAAGCAATTAAAAAAAAAAAAAAATCAGGCCAGGCGCGGTGGCTCACGCCTGTAATCCCAGCACTCTGGGAGGCCAAGGTGGGTGGATCACCTGAGGTCGGGAGTTCGAGACCAGCCTGACCAACATGGCGAAACACTGTCTCTACCAAAAATACAAAAAATTAGCCGGGCGTGGTGGCAGGAGCCTGTAATCCCAGCTACTGAGGAGGCTGAGGCAGGAGAATCACTTGAACCTGGGAGATGGAGGTTGCAGTGAGCCAAGATCACGCCATTGCACTCCAGCCTGGGCAACAAGAGCAAAACTCCATCTCAAAAAAAAAAATAATCATCATCATCATCATCAGTTCAGGTGGCGTCTGCCCCTAGCGGAAAGAATTCTACCAAGAGTCTGCAGACCTGGTCCCAGCCCTAACAAGCAGTGTTCTCGGCCTGCACTCTCCCCCACTCCCCGCCGCCACCCCCCTGCTGCCTCGACTCTCGTCTGGGAGGGGGGTGATCGCGCTGACCCTGGAGGCTTCACCCTGAGAGAGAAGGAAAAGAACTGGGCACTTCTGAGCCCAGGACTTCGCCCATCCTGGGTGCTCTTGATGTGTTCGTTGAGTCTTATGAGAGAGGGGTCACAAGCCCACACGTAAGTAATTATCTCCCAAGGTCAGAGGCAGAAGAGAGAACTTTGAGCCGTAATGACCCGGATGTGTGTGGCATTGGAGCTGGGCTTGAAGGATGAGGAGGGTTTCTTTGGGTGGGCAGGGAACAGGACAGGCACTCCATGCAGGCTTGTGGAAGGGAGATTACGGGGACTTCTGGGTGTGTTTGTGGTTTAATGCGTCCTCCCAGGTGCGACGTAGAGCTCTTAGGCATGGTCGCCTTTCCTGCTGGGGCGACAGTGGGCATCTCATAGTCCTCTGCTTTGATCCCTGGGCCCCCAGGCCATGGAAGCAGGTCCCCTCTGCAAGCCATCCTCAGAAGGGGAGCCCCTGGCAGCAGGGCCTGTGAATTGGGTCGGGCCATGGGGAGAATGGAGGAGGCACCAAGGAAAGATTGGCTGCAGGCCGTGGCCCTTGGGGACTTCTCAGCTCTGGCACCTCCGGGCACACTTGTACCACTGCATGCAAGACCACCTCCCTCAGCCTGGACTCTTGGGGGAGGTTCCCACACATGACATTTGCTGACAGCTGCAGTTTGCCCCTCATTGCGCCATACATTGTACCACTGCCTTCAACAGGTATCTACTAAGGCCCCGTTGTAGGTGCCAGTGCCATTGTGTTTCTGTTTTGCCATCTGAGACAGCAGGCTTTCCTAGAGGTTTGTGTACCCATCTTCCCATCCAGGCTGAGAGGAACACAGTTGAGCATTTCTCAGTGACTCCGGGTCACCCCGGGAATAGTCACCTTTGTACTTTGGACAATTTGGCTGCACAGTCTTTTTGGTTTTGCTTTTTCTCTTTTCCTTCCTCTTGGGCTGTGGACCATCACTTATCTGTTGTTCTTGGGCTTCCTCTCAGCGTCTTAGAGGCAGTGCCACGTGGGGAGTGGAGAATATGCTGTCTGGTTCAAATCCTGACTTTGGTGTGTAGCATTTACAGGTCCTTTTGCCAGGGACTCAGCCCCTCTGAGACTCCGTGTATTCATCGGCAAAGTGGGGATAATCAAACCTGCCTTATAAGAGGAACATGAGGATTGACTGATGTCACTTCAGCCAGTTCCTCTGGAGAGAAGTAGCCCCCCAGCCCTGAAGTGACACCCTCACTTTCTTCTTGCCCACTCTGCCATGCCTCAGACACAGCATGGAGTAGGCCGTGGGCCACCAAGGCCACCACTGATGTAGTGCTTAGCAGCGGGGCAGTTCTTGACTGGCAGGAGGAGGCTGAGTCAGTAGGGACATGGTCCTTGTGCATTTCACGCTGGGAAGGTTGGCTGGCCCCTCGGGAAGGGCAGCTGCCCTGGAGGAAGAGGGGAGCTGGAAGAGACAGAGTGTATGTCTTTAAAACGAGGCCTGAGCTCTGGGCAGTGCCCTCAGTTACATACCTGCTGTGATGCCAGTGCTGGGCCCTGGCCATCCTGTTCCACCTGTGAACTCACGTGACTTTTCATGGAGTTCCCTGCCAAGCCTGGCCTGGCATCTGCTGCTCCACATCCCGGTTCTCTTAGACCAGGCGCTCCAGGGACAATCTTCCTGGGTTGTGCTTCTCCCCTTCCCTTTGCTATCATAAAGAGACTGGTAACAGGCTGGGCACGGTGGATCACCTGAGGTGAGGAGTTCAAGACCAGCCTGGTCAACGTGGTAAAACCCCGTCTCTACCAAAAATACAAAAATTAGCCAGGCATGGTGGTGGGCACCTGTAATCCCAGCTACTCAGGAGGCTGAGGCAGGAGAATCGTTTGAAACCCTGGAGGCAGAGGTTGCAGTGAGCCCAGATTGCGCCACTGCACTCCAGCCTGGGCGACAGAGTGAGACTCCACCTCAAATAAAAAAAAAAAAAAATAGACTGGTAACAGCTTGTGGATTCCAGCATCTGCAGGGGCTCAGTGGGAGCTTTTGTTTGTCTCTGCTCCTCAACTTGCTCTTCTCTGGACTCTTCCAAAATGCCCCTTTCGGGAAGCTCTCTCCTGCCCAGCCCAGGTGCCTTTGGGTGCCTCGCCTGATTTATATTTACCTTCATTTATTCTAGGCTCTAAAACTGGTGACCGACAGAGAGATTTTCTTGAGTCTGCTTGGGGCTTTAAACATTTTCAAATTTGTTACCACCATTTAAAAGTTGGAAACTTTTACAGTGTGGATTTCCAACTTGTCCTGGAAAATAAGCCGGTCCGGCCACCTGGGTCAACAGTCAGCTGGACCCAAGGGCGGCTGCCCTATAAGACACCTAATGCCATCCTCAGCCCGCGGCCCTCTGTAGCCCCCAGCCCCTTCTGCCTCTGGAGAGGGTCCATACCCTGCACAGCAGACGCGAGTGTGCATGTCAGTTTCCAGGCTATTTTCTCACCGCAGAACTCACTGGGCCTTCTGGGTCTTGGCTCTTCATGCCCCGCCCACTCCACCCCCAGTGCCTGGCATCTTGAACAGGGGTCACTGGGTCGGCCTTTCTCTTTCTTGTTCCCGTGTGTCTCTGTCCACCCAGACCAGCAAGCAGGATGACTCACACCTTCCCTTCTGTTCCCTCAGTCCCTTCTCCCTGGGTCCTGACACTGGATTTTAACATATTGGGTTGCTTGGCTGTCCCGGCACATCATGGGGGCCTCAGAGGCAGGGACTGTGACTTAGTCATCACTGTATCATCAGACCCGGCACAGGGCCTGGCCTACAGTGGGTGCCCCAGGAATGTAGGGGGGATGGACGCCATGCTGAGAAAGCTGCCAAATTCCCCCACCTTGTTCTCCAAGGAGGTCCCCTGACCACACCTGCCTGCAGTGGGGAGAAGGCTTATGGCAACGCGTTTCTGCCGCCAGCACCCTCCCACGGGCGTGCAGATCTGACAAGATCAGGATCTGGGTCTGTGAGAGGCCCTGTGTCCCCTACATTCTCTACGCACGACCGAGGGCCATTCTTCCCTCACTGCCGGCCTCTCCCAGTCCCCAGGAGAAAGGGCTGATGCTCCCAAAGGCAGGCCACTTGCAGGAAGACACACCACGGAGCCTCCCCGCTCCTGGTGCTCCAGGGCCTGCATGTGGGGCACTGGGAGGGAGGGCCGTTTGCCTGCGGCCCCATGACCTCGCACCCACCTCCCTGCCTGACCTCACCGCCCCAGGAAGCTTAGTCACGTTGCCTTTTCTGTTCCTCAAATGCTCTGAGGCTGTGTGTTCCCCCAGGCACCCTGTGCTTTGCTGATCCCTGGGCCTGGAGTGCTTTTTTTCCCCAGCATTCCCTGATGCCTGGAGTTCCTGACTTCTCCTCATCCTTCCCAGCCTTAGCTGAAATGTCACCTGCTCGGAGAGGTCCTTCCTGAATTTTCCCTCACAAGATCTGCCCTGCATCCCCTCCCCTCCAGCGAGTCTCAGTTCCTTCATGCATTTCACAGACTCTGTTTTCTTTTCTTTCTTTCTTTCATTTATTTATTTATTTATTTATTTATTTATTTATTTATTTATTTATTTATTTTGAGACAAAGTTTCACTCTTGTTGCCCAGGCTGGAGTGCAATGGCGCGATCTCAGCTCACCAAAACCTCCACCTCCCGGGTTCGAGCGATTCTCCTGCCTCAGCCTCCCGAGTAGCTGGGATTACAGGCATGCGTCACCACACCCAGCTCATTTTGTATTTTTGGTAGAGTCAGGGTTTCTCCCTGTTGGTCAGGCTGGTCTCGCACTCCCGACCTCAGGTGATCCACCTGCCTCGGCCTCCCAAAGTGCTGGGATTACAGGTGTGAGCCACCGCACCTGGCCTTTCTGTTTTCTTTACTTGAGTTCCTGTTTATTGGCTGTCGGCTCCAGGAGAGCAGGGAGACGGTGTCTGATGTATCCCCAGCAGCCTCACACACCCAGAACAACGTGGATTCTCAGTAAATCCATGCGGAAAGCCTGTGTGGGGAAGTGGACAGCCCCCTGAGGGTGGAGGAGCAGGGGCTGGGCTGGGAGTTGGCAGCAGGGTTCAGAGCCTCATGGCTGATCAGGACCTGGGCACCTGGGGTCCACTGGGGCCTCACAGAGCAACAGCATCAGGTGGGCATGATCAGATCCCACCTCAGCTCCGCTACTTAGTTGCTGTGTGGCTTTGGGCAAGTTGCTTAACCTCTCTCAGCTCCAGCTTCCATCTGTGAAATGGATGTAGAACTTTCCAACTCATGTATGTGAGGAACTTGGGACAGACCACCCAGACAGGCTAAGCACTCAACGAGTCACTGTCGTTATTGAGCCTGGTTTTAATCGTGTTTGGTTTTGTCATGAGGCAGGCAGGAAGTCGAACTGTGGGTCTGTGCCCAGGAGCAGGGCAGGCCTCGGACACTCTCCAGTGGATGGGAACTGCCCCAGAAGCTCCTCAGCTGGCACAGACGGCGGGGGGGAGGGGCAGCGCGGGGGGTGCTCCCCTGCTGTTACTTCACTGATTCCCTGATGGTTTTCATGGTTTTGTGGCTAAAAGATGCTCCAAAGATTAGCCTGTGTGAAGGTTTGGGAATCCGCTGCAATATGGGAGCCTGGGCCTTCTCTGCGTCTTCTGTCTGCATCAACTCAAATATAGGTAAGGATGTTGCTCTCAGAAGACAGCCAGAGAAAGCCCACCTGAGGCAGAGAGGAGAGGCTGTGTGTATGTGGCGGGGGGACTTTGGGGGTTAGACCTTGAGGGTTCCTCTGGGTGCAGCACTGTTGCAGCCCAAACACTCTACCTGAATTAACTCATTCACCCTCATAATACCCTATGATGGAGGTGCTTTTATTGACTCCACTTCATTTATTTTTTATTTTTTTATTTTTTGAGATGGAATCTCACTCTGCTGCCCAGGCTGGAGTGCAGTGGTGCCATCTCAGCTCACGGCAACCTCTGCCTCCCGTGTTCAAGCCATTCTCCTGCCTCAACCTCCCGAGTAGCTGGGATTACAGGCGTGCACCACCACACCAGGCTAATTTTTGTATTTTTAGTAGAGACGGGGTTTCGCCATGTTGTTCAGGCTGGTCTCGAACTCCTGACCTCAGGGTGACCTGCCCACCTCGACCTCCCACAGTGCTGGGATTACAGGCGTGGGCCACCGCACCCAGCCCAACTCCACTTTAGACTGGAAAAACTGAGGCATGGAGAGGTGAAGATTCCCCAGCTTGGTAGAGCCTGGATTCAGACACAGGCTGTCAGGCTCAAGGACATGCACTGCCAGCCACCTTGCAGTCTGACTGGGAACAACAGTCACCAGGTATTTGTCATTAATTTAAACATTAATTTAAATTTAAACATTATCCAGGTGTGGTAGTGTCCACCTGTGATCCCAGCTACTTAGGAGGCCGAGGCAGGAGAATCGCTTGAGCCCAGGAGTTCGAGACTGCAGTGAGCCATGGTGGTGCCACTGTGCTCCAGCCTGGGTGACAGATGGAGACCTTGTCTCTAAATTCATGTGTTGAGCCTGGTTGCAGTTTGGGTGGTGAAGTAGAAAGGACACTGGTCTTGGAGTCAGGTGGATTGGTTGGAATCCCAGGTCTTACTGCGTGTGACTTTAGCCCAGTGATTTCACCTCCCCGAGCCTTCACTTTCCCATGGGATGATGGCCATGCTAATGCTTCCTTTGCAGGGCTTTCTGGAGGATAAAGCCAGGAGAGCATGGGAGGCCCTGCCTCCAAGGTGCTCACAATGCTCCTTCATTCCTTTTCTCCCTTGCTTCCTCCTACCCAGTGCGTTCAGCCCCAGGCATTGCCTGCCCCCCTCCCCCCGCCCCGCCATCCAGACCTTGACCTTGGCCTTGAGTTCCATGAGGCCTTCGGAAATGGCTTTGGCTGCTACCTCGGAGGGAGCTGCCCCGATCCACTTGCAGATCAGAATCTCCGGGCACCCCTTGCCAGGGCTTTCATGTTGTTGCTTTATTTCACAAGAACCCCGGCATTTGTTTAGCAACTGGGTGGAATTTTTAGAACTTAAAAGTAATTCTGCTCTTCGAGGAATGCGCCTGTGGATGTAACCCCAACTCAGGCCAGGCCTGGACCCAGAGGGAGTGGGCACTCTGCCCTGGGCCTCCCCACCTCCACATCTTTGCTCCAGTTGAATGCAGGACACCCTCAGTCTGCCCTGTCCGGCTTGACTTCTTCCCGCCTGCTGGTCTTGACCCCAGGGCAGGGGCTGGTGGGGTGGGCACAACAGTGTCAGCCTGTGGTAAGCTAAATAATGCCCGCCCCCCAAGATGTCCATGATATAATCCCTGGAACCTGTGGATATATTATATGGCAAGAGGGACTTTGCAGCTGTGACGGAGGATCTTGAGATGGGAAGATGATCTGGATTGTCTGGGTGGGCCCTGGGTAATCGTGGGGTACTTATAGAGGAAGGTTGGCAGATCAGAGAGAGGGAAGGAGATGTGAGACTGGAAAAAGGTCAGAGTCAGAGAGATCTGAAGGTGCCCTGTTGCTGACTTTCAGGCTAGAGGACAGGGCCAGCAGCCATGGGATGCAGGCGGCCTCTAAAGGCTGGGAAAGGCAAGGAAACAAATTCTCCCCTATAGCCTCCGGTGGGAGCCTGGCCCTGCCAACACCCTGATTTTGGCCCAGTGAAACCTAATTTGGACTTCTGATCCTTAAAACTATAAAATAATACATCAGTGTTGTTTTAAGCCACAAAGTTGGTGGTAATTTGTTACAGCAACAATAGGATTCTAATGCACAACCCAGAGCCCCCGTCCCTCCTTGGAGCACCTCATTCAAAGTAGGGCTGAGGAGGCACCTCGGGGGGTACAGAGGGTGTCGTGAGAGAGCCACTCCAACCTGTAGCCAAATGCTGCCCGGCCACTGTACCCCTCTGAACCTCCAGTAACCCCTCTGGAAAGCAAGGTTCATTCCTCCTAGAACTGTTGGGAAGAATTTTTGAGGATGGGAAGGACCTAGCCCAGCCCCTGGCATGGAATAAGCACAAAATTACTCAGCCGTGTATATTGTTTGTTTCTCTGCTGAAAAAGGCAGGGAAAGAGGGGGTGTGCCTGGCACAGTGCTTGTACGTTTGGATCAACATTAGGCAACCTGGATTCAAATTCCAGCTTTGGCCGGGTGCAGTGGCTCACGCCTGTAATCCCAACGCTTTGGGAGGCCAAGGCGGGAGAATCACTTGAGCCCAAAAGTTCAAGACCAGACTGGGCAACATAGCAAGACCCTATCTCTAAAAAAATTTAAACATTATCCAGGTGTGGTAGTGTCTACCTGTGATCCCAGCTACTTAGGAGGCTGAGGCAGGAGAGTCGCTTGAGCCCAGGAGTTCGAGACTGCAGTGAGCCATGGTGGTGCCACTGCGCTCCAGCCTGGGTGACAGATGGAGACCTTGCCTCTAAAAAATAAATAAAAATCCCAGCTTCCCCAAACCCAGCAAAGGTGGTGGTGCATTGCAGGTAAAGTTCTGCAACATGCCTGGGCGTGGTGGTTCACGCCTGTAATCCCAGCACTTTGGGAGGCTGACGCGGGTGGATCACTTGAAGTCAGGAGTTTAAGACCAGCCTGGCCAACAGGGCGAAACCCCATCTCTACTAAAAATACAAAAAAAAAAAAAAAAAATTAACTGGGTGTGGTGACTCACATCTGTAATGCCAGGTGCTGAGGCACGAGAATCACTTGAACCCAGGAGGCGGAGGTTGCAGTGAGCCCAGATTGCACCACTACACTTCAACCTGGGCGACCGAGCGAAAATCTGTCTCAAAAAAAAAAAAAAAAGTTTTGCAATGTTGCTGGTGCCTCCAGGCCTTAGTTTCCTCATCCTTAAAAGGGAAGAGCAGCAGCCCCTACTCCCTGGACTGTGAGCAGTGCACACAGAGCACTTTCCACAGAGCCTGGCACAGGGCACTGCCCCATGAATGAAGCCACCCTTGTTTTGTCAGCTGGGCCAAATTCTCTCCACCCTGAGCTTGAACACGTGCCTCCTTCAACTGCTGGAGTGCTCCTCGCCTGTGGGGTCGACCTCACCCAGAGGCAGTGTGTTCCCAAAATGTTAATCATTGTTCAGAAGGTTCGTGAGGATCACTGTCTGTTCCACGGGTGGGTGACTTAAGGTGAGAGGTGGATTCTTCTGGCGATGTCCCTCTTGGCCCCACAAAGTCAAAATCTTTTTTTTTTTTTTTTTTTTTTTTTTTTTAGGTGGAGTCTCGCTCTGTCGCCCAGGCTGGAGGGCAGTGGCACGATCTCGGCTCACTGCAAGCTCCGCCTCCTGGGTTCACGCCATTCTCCTGCCTCAGCCTCCCGAGTAGCTGGGACTACAGGCGCCCGCCACCACACCTGGCTAATTTTTTGTATTTTTAGTAGAGACGGGGTTTCACCGTGTTAGCCAGGATGGTCTCGATCTCCTGACCTTGTGATCCACCCGCCTCGTCCTCCCAAAGTGCTGGGATTACAGGCGTGAGCCACCGTGCCTGGCCGCAAAATCTTATGTATTCGACGGTCACAGTCCTGTTCTTTCTCCCAGCCGAGGCTGGCCCCAGCCAAAATTCACTGATACTCCCTGTGGAGGGCACAGAATGTCAAAGGGGAATCAGAACAGGAGCAATTGGTTGAGTTTACAGAGAGAAATCTGGGGGTACAGCCTGCTGACGCTGTTGACTCCTTGACTGGGCCAAGAGTCAATGGGTCTGCAGCCCCAGAGGTGAGGGCACATAGCTGCGTTGCACCCTGAGTTTTTCGTGCCATAGAGAGGACAGCATTGTGGTTAGCAATACCAACTTGGAATCAGACTGCCCGAGTTCTAAGCCTAGCTTGGCCAGTGACTCTCTGAATGACCTTGGGTGGGTCACTTAGTTTCCCGGAACCTAAGTTTCCTCATTCAGAAAAATCAGCGTCATCGCCATCATCATTGTCATCATCTTGCCAAGTACTGTCCTGAGTCTTCTAGATGAATATTAAATCTTTTATTCCTCACCAAAAAAACACACACACGGCTGGGCGTGGTAGCTCACACCTGTAATCCCAGCACTTTGGGAGGCCAAGGCAGGCAGATCACTTGAGGTCAGGAGTTCGAGACCAGCCTACCTAAAATGGTGAAACCCCGTCTCTACTGAAAATAGAAAAATTAGCCTGGTATGGTGGTGGGCGCCTGTAATCCCAGCTACTCAGGAGGCTAAGACAGGAGAATCACTTGAACTCAGGAGGTGGAGGTTACAGCGAGCCGAGATGGCGCCACTGCACTCCAGCCTGGGCGACACAGCAAGAGTCCGTCTCAAAAAATAAAATAAAAATAAAAATAAACGTACACACACACACACACACACACACACACAAAATTGAGGGTGTTCTTTTATCCTCAGGCGACAGAAGGGCACAGACAGGTAAACGAAGGCACCAAAGGCCCCACGGCTGGGACGGGGCAGAGCTGGGATTTGGACTTGGGTTACGTGGCACTCGTTAGCCTCACAACCTTCTGCCTTGGGAATAATGTCGTGGAGGTGAGCACCCCCGCTAGAGCTTTCCAGGTGGGATAATGCATGTAAATTGCAAAACACAGGGCGTGGATCCGGTAGGCAGTGGGTGCCGGTTAGCTGTTTTCATCTCTATTGCTCCAGTTGGCAGCGGCTCTGGTAACTTGTGTTCAGGGGTGTGGGTCAAAATCCACTCATCCCTTTGGGGGCCATGAATAGATTCATTATCTTGATTGTGGTGATGGTGTCAGGGTGTCTACATACGTCAAAGCTTAGCTCATTGTGCATTTCAAATTACAGGCAGGTTATCCCATACCAGTGATATCTCAGTAAAGCTGTTTTTTAAAAATAAAGCAGAGGTCAACCAACAGAACAAAAAGAAAAATCTATTTTGCCCACTGGGTTTGGCCAAGTGAGGGCCCCCTCCCATGGGATAGCACCCCTGTGACTGTTTTTCAGGCAGTGTTCTTTATGTTCACGTTCTAGCATGAAAGGGAGCTTGGGAAAAGGGGTGGGGGACGGGCATTGCCTTCGGGTCATCAGCTTACCCATTCCTTGTCTCTCAGCTCAGGATCACCATGAAACCTCTTACCCCCACTCCCTGCAGTTGGATACTCTTCCCCAGGTGTGCCGTAAAATGTCCCTGCCTGCTGTACCCCTCTCTTAGGTGGAGACCTGGGTTCAGCCTCTGTCCCCAGGTGTCACTCACAGTGTCCCCTGCCCACATACACACACCTGTTCAGCTCCAGGGGCTGCAGGCTGCATAGGTCCTGGCCTCTGCTGGGGGAAGCATAAAACCGGTCCTCCTTTGCACCTTCCTTCTCCAGGCTTTAAAGGACATTTCCTCTGATTGTCTTCTGTTCTTGGCACCGTGGAAGGTGCTGGGCATACCTAGGTCAAAGACAAAGTGAGGTGAACATACCTGGAGCCTCGTGCACTATCAGGGTGAGGAGGATAACATCAGACTGGCCAACCTCATGGTGCTGTCTGGATGAGAACGTCCTGTATTTCATAAACTCTAAAATGTGCACTTTTTGCATTTTAGCAGGTCTGAAACCATTGCACTCCCCTGTCACAGTTAGTTGGCAGTGTTCTTCCTTCCTAGGTGGCCCCTAGATTATTGGTGCATCTTATCCCAGCCAGCTTCCAGAGCTGAGGACGCCCGCTGTGCAGAAGAGGCTGGTACTGTGCAAATATCATTGCAGAGTGAAAGAATCTGGAGAAAGAATACTCCAGAGTCTGTGGGCATGGCTCTCAGCTTTGCTACTTTCTAGCTGTTACCATCTTGGACAAGTGACCTTACCTCTCAGAACCTGAGTTGCCTCACCTGTGAACTGGGGACAATAGAGTTGACTTCTTCAGGGTGTTTTGAGAATCAAATGAGATGATGTGTGTAAATCCCCTGGCACAGGGCCAGGCATGTAGCCGGAGTTTGGTCATTTTGTTTGCCGTCTTCAAGGAGATGAGATGGTGTCTCACTGAAGTCAGCCTCTGGTGAAACCAAGTCTGGGGTCAGAGGT
The DNA here is from genome assembly GCF_000001405.40 of Homo sapiens. NCBI lineage: Eukaryota > Metazoa > Chordata > Mammalia > Primates > Hominidae > Homo > Homo sapiens. The sequence goes on from NC_000001.11 coordinate 15,004,693, forward strand.
GCTTCTGGCCTTGCCCTTTTTTATCGGATCTTGCTCCACCCCTAGCATTAAATGGGGGGTTCAAATCCTGCCTTAAGCGCTCATTGACCAGGTGAGCAAGTCACTTATTAATAGATATCATGCCTCAGTTCCTAATCTGTAAAGTGGGTATAATAATAGTACCCACCACCTGGCATGATTGTGAGGATTAATTGAATCTTGGCACTTCAAGCACACTCGTTGCTGGGCATGAACCAGGCACCTGAGAATCGACTTTTTATGATTGCCATTATTAAAGGTGATTATTCTTTTGAGCTGGTGATACAGAGGTAAATACGCCCAGGTTGCTATTTTGAGACCTCACAGCCTCATATCCATTGGGGAGGATAATATGCAAACCAAGCCCAGGCTGGGAATGAGGGGTGCCATGGCCGAACTTCATCCCAAAACACATGAGGGTCTCAGGCACAGAGACCTGCCACGTATTTTACAGGGACACTTTGATTGCTTAAAATCATCCCTGGTTTTATTTGGAAAAAAAAACATGTTTTTAATCCATTCCACAGATTCTGCCTTTGCAGTTTGCTGGGCATGGACCCAGCCCCTAGGAGTCCAGTCTGACTCATTACAGACCACGTGCCAGTGTTTGCAAGGCAGTCACCGGGCAGGTGCCATCTGTCGATGCTGTGTGCACCCTGCTCCACACCTCCCCGAGACTGACCCTGCCAACTCTGTCCCATTTTCCCTGGGCTCCAGGTTAGCCAGAATTGTGCCCACCCCTTCCTGTTTTGTTTTGTTTTGTTTTTCTGAGTTTAAATTTTAACCTAAAGGGGGCCGGGTGCGGTGGCTCACACCTATCATCCCAGCACTTTGGGAGGCTGAGGCAGGTGGATCGCTTGAGGTCAGGGATGCGAAACCAGCCTGGCCAATGTGGCAAAACCCCATCTCTACTAAAAATATTTTAAAAATAACTAGACATAGTGGCACACGCTTATAATCTGAGCTACTTGGGAGGCTGAGGCAGGAAGATCGCTTGAACCTGGGAAGCAGAGGTGGCAGGGAGGTGAGATCGTGCCACTGCACTCCAGCCTGCATGGCAGAGCGATACAACTCCGTCTCCAAAAAAAAAAAAATTGTTTTAACCTAAAGGGCATTAGTGTTGGCATCTCAGCAGCAAGGAAACCACTGCCTCCTGTATTGTTTCCTTTGTGATGGGACAGACATCTCAGCGGGCCGCAGTGGCACTTAACAGTTTTGTTTCCCGTGTGCCTTACCGCGACACTGGGCCCTGGGCAGATGTGCAGGCAGCTCTTAGGATGGCTGGAAACTTGAAGATCAGAACTCAGCTGGATCTGAGCCTTGAACCCTGGGACTGTGAGCTGTGTCAGAGACAGTTCCCACCCCCATGAGACCTGGGGTTCTGGGGTATTCTGCCAAACCCACTCACTGGCCAGCCCAGGGGCACCAGCAAACATAAAAACCAAAGGCCAAGCCCTTTAGCATTTACAAAACACTTTTGCATCCAGTATCTTGTTGAAGCAAAGGAGGATTCTCATGGCCAGGAGTAAGACTAGAGGTAGATGACCCAGGCCTCTGGGCCAGGGGAGGTTTGAGCTAAATCTTTGCTAGGCTTAGGGAAGAGAGGAGCCCTCTCCTACCTGCAGAGGTTTGGTGGTCACCTAGCAGCTACCTTGCATGCAGCAGCAGCTTGTGAAGTTCTAATTGGATTGGACTGGATGGGAGCAAGAAAAGCCCGGGCCGGGCTGGTCCCTCCTGACAGCGAGCCGGGAAAAGGCAGGGTCTTTCTCCTATCTTTCCCGTCATCATATTTTATCCCATCCACAGGGCTGAGGCCCACGTGTCAGAGCGGAAGCAGGTGATCAATCACTCATTCATGCCGCACATATTTACTGAATACCTACTATGTTCCAGACACTGTCCTAGGTGCCAGGGATACAGCAGTTGACAAAACAGATAATAAACCAGAGAAATAAGTAAAATGTATGATCTGGTAGTTGGTGCTAAGTGCTAAGGAGAAAAATAAAGCCAGGAAGAAGGGTGGGATGCGCCAAGGATTGCCATTTTAGAAAGTTCCAGGGAAGGGGCTGGGCGCGGTGGCTCACGCCTGTAATCCCAGCACTTTGGGAGGCCGAGGCAGGCGGATCACGAGGTCAGAAGATCGAGACCATCCTGGCTAACATGGTGAAACCCCGTCTCTACTAAAAATACAAAAAAACTAGCCGGGCATGGTGGCGGGCACCTGTAGTCCCAGCTACTCGGGAGGCTGAGGCAGGAGAATAGTGTGAACCTGGGAGGCGGAGCTTGCAGTGAGCTGAGATCGCGCCACTGCACTCCAGCCTGGGTGACAGAGCAAGACTCCGTCTCAAAAAAAAAAAAAAAAAAAAAGAAAAACAGAAAATTCCAGGGAAGGATTGATTGATGATACTCATAATACCAATCACAGCTGTATTTACTCAGTACCTTCAAGGGGCCAAGCCCCTGCTGGGAACTGGACAGACACTCATGTAACCTTTGGCAACAACTCTGAGAGTCAGCATGTTGGGAGGCTGGGCAGTCCTCGGGAACCAGAGCACTAGGTGAGGGGCTGGAATATTATGGGTATGATTAACCCCATTTATCACCAGTGAGCTGCAGAGGCAGGATTGGAACCCAGAACGGGCACTCCAAATCTGGCGAGGGTTTTTCATGAGCTAGGAATGTAATGTTGCCACTACCTTTGAGGTGCAGACATTACGGTCCCCAGTTTGGCACACTGCACTAGGCTGGGAGGTGTGGAGGGTGTGATTTGAGCCCAGGGCTCTCTCAGGCCTCTCTGTTTCCCAGGCTGGCCACATCTGGACCCAGGGAGCAGGAGGAGGTCCCAGGTGGGAGGCTCGGGCCGAGCTCTGGTGGGACGCAAGGTGGGCTTGGCCAGCCGACCCGTTGGGTAGTGGGAGCCCTCCCCTTCCTTCCCTTCCTGGTTTCTGCTCTGCCGGGCAGGTAGCTCACCTGCCCGCCTCCATAACAGATGATTAGCAGGCCCGGCAAAGTGGGTATCTCCACAGCGGAGGAGACTGGGAACAGCGCACTCCTCATTTCCAGCATATGCCTGCTTGCTAACAAACCTGAATGCCACCGCCCATTTCACTTCTCGGCTTTGATTTGCATAAGGAGTTTTTTCCTGATAGAGTTATCAGTTCATAGCATCTCCCATGTGCAAAAGCCTTGAGCCCCCATCAGCACAGGAAGGGAGCCGTGCCGTCACCCAGCCTTGGCACAGAGGCGGCCCCTGCGAGTGGGACTGGTCAGCTGCGGAGTCTCTTGCCAAGTTCTGGAGCAGAAAAATCACCTCCTTCTTCCTTCCCTTTTAAATGAAATAACTGTTTTGGCCTTGAGGCCTGCTGAGGCTCCTGGAGGCCTTGTTTGTCTTGAACTCGTGGCCTGCGGAAGTGGGTAGCTGCTCCCCCTGGAAGCTCAGCCCGAAGCTTATCTCCATGAGCCCAGCGCTTGGGCCACACCTCACCCATCCAGACGGCACCACCTCGGAGTCCAGGCCTCGGCTGTAAGTCTGAAGCCCAGGCTGCCAGAGTCGTGGAGGAAAGAGTTTTCCCAAGTGGATGAGTGGCCAGAAGTGGCAGGTGTTACAGTGGATCCTGCTGGACTCTGCAGGTCTCAGGCGAGCCTGAGAGTAGTCGGCCTTGCTGCTCACTGGCAGGCTGACCAAGGCAAGTCATTTAACCCCTCTGAGCCTTACTTTCTCATTCATCAGATGGGAACACTGGTACTCAGTAGGTTGTGTGAGGTGAGTGAGACAGCTATGATGAGGACCGGGAATGCCCTGCCGGGTTTCCAGAGCACTTCACTGTTTGCAGAGCTCTTCGCAGAGGTCATTTCATGTGACCCTTTAAACCCCTCTGGAACAGGCAGGTTCAAAGGCCAGAGGTTATGTGACCTGCACAGGTGCCACAGGGCTTCTAGCCCTGGTATCTGGCTCTAAGTCTAAGGCTCTTTCTAGCTTGTCCCGTCTGCCTTCCAAGTTCAAGGTCTGTGTAAGGCACTGTTACTATCCTGAGAGTCAGCCCAGGTTTCTCAATGGTCCCTGTGGGCCCAGGAGCCCTGGGCAGAGGCGGCAAAGTCATAAGAGGAGCGGCAAGGCTGAGGTCCCATTCCCCTGCCAGCCACAGTCCTCAAGGCCTCTCCTGCATCCTCATCACTTAGTGCTGTTTGTTTGGGCTGTAAGTAGCTCAGTTCCTGTTATTCCCCCCTGGACAATCAGGCAGGAAATTCTTCACTTTGGTTTCCTTAAGAGGTCACATACTTTTCTCTCTTGCAGAAGTAAATAAAGCCCGTGTGCTGAGTTGGCAGTTTTGCACACGAGCCCGCCCGCTGGGGTGAGCCAGCAGCCCCCTTCCCTCCAGCCTTAGCTAGCCCTACCCAGGGGGCCCAAGGGCACCAGGAAATTCGGGCAGCCTACTGCCCGGGCACTGACTCCCCAGGTGGCATCCTGGGCACGTCCTGCAAAGACAGGAAGATTTTTAAAGCACGCCCAGGGTTAGAGCCTGGGATAATGTGCCTTGAGGAGACTGTGCCTGTTCACAGAAGCAGCAGTCACATTCCCCTCCCGCACCCAGAATCCCGACAGAAGAGAGGGAGGGCGCCATGTGACAGTGTGCTTATGGAGAACTCAGGTAAGCGCCATCCCAGCTCCCAGAGCACGCTGAGCACCAGGAAGGCCAGGAGGGTTGCCTGGGAACAGGCAGACCCAGAGTCACAACGCCAAGCACCTTTGCACACATGGCACCCCTTGCTCAGGCTGGGGAAACGTGCTTCCACAGCTGCAATGAGCCCAGTCCTCTTGCTAAGCCCACAGCAGTTGAGAGATGTGTTGGGAGAGGCTGCTTTGAGCACCCATGCAGACGGGACAGCTGTCAGCTCCATAGCAAAGGAAGAGAGCGAGGACAAGGCTACAGAACTTGGCCAAGACTCAAGCTCCACCATTTGGACCACTGGGCAGAGGCATAAAATGTCTTCTGCTAGCCTTGGTGGCATTTTTTATTATGGAACATTTTTGTTACATACAGAAGTGAATAGAATAATGAAATTAATCCCATTTACCTATTACCTGACCCCAAACATTCATCAACCCATGGCCAATTCTGTCTCACCCTCCGCTCGTTCCTCCCCATAATATTTTGAAGCAAATCCAAGATGCATCATGTCATCTACAAATATTGTAATATGTATCTATAAAAGATAAGGACTCTTTTTAAGAAACATAACCTCCAAACTATCATCTCACTTGAAAAAATGATCAGATACTGTTATTACTCAAATTTCCTATTGACTCATAAATTCTGTACCTTGTTGGAATCAGGATCCAAATATCCACACAGTGTGATTAGTTTTAATATCTTTTTAAGTCTTTTTAAATCTAGAAGCTCTTCTTCCTTTCTTTTTTTATTATCCTTGCTAATTATTTGTTGAAGGAAACATGTTGTTTGTCTGGTAGGTTTTCCAGGGTCTGGAGTTTGCTAATTGCATCCCCATGGTGTCCTTAACATGTTCCTCTGTCCTTTGAATTTCCTGTAAATTGATAGTTCATCTAAAGGCTTGATCAGATTCAGACTCATTTCTTTACTGATTTTTTTGAAAGACTCCTTCAAAGGAGATGTTGGGTCCTCCTCTCCAGGGGCACGTGCCATCTGGTTGTCTTGCTTTTTTTTTTTTTTTTTTTTTTGAGACGGAGTCTCGCTCTGCTGCTCAGGCTGGAGTGCAGTGGCGCAATCTCGGTTCACTGCAAGCTCCGCCTCCCAGGTTCCCGCCATTCTCCTGCCTCAGCCTCCCCAGTAGCTGGGACTACAGGCGCCCGCCACCATGCCCAGCTAATTTTTTTGTATTTTTTAGTAGAGACGGGGTTTCACCATGTTAGCCAGGATGGTCTCAATCGCCTGACCTCGTGATCACCCACCTTGGCCTCCCAAAGTGCTGGATTACAGGCGTGAGCCACCACTCCCGGCCCGTCTTGCTTTTGTGATATTGGCAGCCCAGGACCTGTGACACCTGAATCCAGACATTCAGCAGAAGTAGCAGAGTGGCAGTGTTCTCTTCTCTCACTCCTTTTTCATGGAGTAGCTAGAACCCTTCCATAAACAGACCCCTCCATCATCTACTGTTTGCTTACCCACTGGTAGAATTCAAAAACGAAAGCTGGGTAATTAACATTTCTCCCTTTATTTACCAGTCAGAATAATGAGTTACTGCCTCCACTTTCATTACTCCATTTTAAAAGCTTCCATCATCAGGAAATGGTTCAAGCAATACATTTATTGAGTTTCATGCTTAAATAGGCTCAACTATTTAGAAAAGTCAGATAACCCAAATGATGTGTTCACCAAGATAGCCAAGGGTGTTAAGAAAATGTAGATATTAACGTGTTAATAAACAGAGTACACCCACTGGCTCAGTCTTTGGAGGCAGATCGGAGTTTGATTCCTACTTTGCTAATGAGAAGACTGAGCCCCAGAGGCTGGGACCTACCCTGCTTATGTAGCCAGTTAGGGTAAGAGCCCAGGTGCTGCACCCAAAAGCAAGGGCAGAGGTAAAGTGATCATATGCTCTTGTTATCTCTAAATCCCAGGGCTCCTGGCTGGATTGAATAAGCTGTCCCCTCTTTTGCTTCCAAAATGCTCAGGGGTCTGGCAAGATCCCAGCTCCGAAGGCACAGGATGCCAGTCACCAGAACGTGCAGCCTTGAGAGGTGGTTGTTTGCACTTCTGCCCATTTCTCAGAAATTTGGGAGAGGCCCTCTTCCCAGAGGACTTTCCAGGGATCCAGCCAGCTCATGCTCTCTCTCTGACTCCCCCTCCCCCAACCCCAAATACTCATATTCTCATGGCCTGTGTTACCTACTTATTGCATTGATTACTGCTAAAGACTTGAAGTGTTTTTGTTTCTGTGCTAGCAGGGTGCCAAGTCACCAAACTTAAAGCCGGTGATAAAGTTTGCCCGGATGAATGAGAGAATGAACAAAAGCATAGACCTTACTCTCTTCCATTTGTATTTAGACCCTTCTTTCTGACCTTGCCATAAATCCCTCGAGAGCAGGGAATCTTGTGTCCTCATGTAGCCAACACTGCGCACTCAGGGTTGGGGGCGGGGCACCACTTAGCATCTTTAGGACCAAAAAGAGGAAGGAGGAGTGGGAAGGCGGGTGGTGGACGCGGCCAGTCCAGAGCCTCCAAGCCCCCTCCTCTGTGTGAATGAGTTTGCTCCTCCCAGCACCTTCAGGGCTGCTGGAACTTGGAAGAGCCTTTCTGTACACCCCCCAGCCTCAGGCTGCATCTGTTCTTAGCTGCTGCTAGTAATAATGGCAGCTAACACCATGGGCACTCTTGCAGGTCCCTTGCATGTGGAGTAGCCTGTGAAGTAGGAGCTGCTACCATTCCTCGTTTTACAAATGAGGAAACAGAGGCCCAGAGAAATTAAGACACTCTCCCAAAGTCACCCAGCTAGTGAGTAGAGAACACTCTACTCACACCCCAGGACTTGAACCTAGGTGGCCAGGTACAGAAAGCTATTCTTACCACCTGCTCCAGTTTCCTGCTGGTAGAGAAAGGCCTCCCAGAAGAAACTTCCGCTGCCTCCCATGGGGACCTCTGGGGCCAATCCACAGGCTCCAGACCTCAGTGTTAGAAAAGTTATACCTAAAAGACCCAGTTAAGCCCAAATCTCCCATGGTGAGTAAGGATGGGGGGTTGGAGAACAGTTGGTACCTCACCGCTGGGTTGATGCAACGCCCCACACCTGGAGGCAGAAAAAGTCTCCCTGGCTTTTTGCCCTAAAGCTAGACAACCCCAGTTTCTTCCAGGCCCTCAATGCAGGGCACAGCATAGGAATCAAGGAGATAAGAAGACACACACAGAACATAGATCCTCTTGAAAACCTCTGCACAGAAAATAATGGGATCATGGCCCGGCGTGGTTGCTCACGCCTGTAATCCCAGCACTTTAGGAGGCTGAGGCGGGTGGATCACTTGAGGCCAGGAGTTTGAGACCAACCTGTCCAACATGGCAAAACCCTGTCTCTACTAAAAATACAAAAATTAGCCGGGCGTGGTGGTGCACACCTGTAGTCCCAGCTACTCAGGAGGCAGAGGTATGAGAATCACTTGAACTGGGGAGGCAGAGGTTGCAGTGAGTTGAAATCACACCACTTAACTCCGGCCTCGGCAACAGAAAGAGACTGTCTCAAAAAAAAGAAAAGAATGGGAAGCGTCAAGCTCACTCCCTCCCAACCCAAGGCACCAGGCGTGGTCCCAGCGTGTACCCAGAGGCTCAGCCAGGTTCCCAGCTGGGAACAGTTCTTCCTGACCTTCAGTTTAGCTAAGCTCAGGCAATGCTGAATTGAGTGTGGCTCCCCAGACACGCCAGGTTTCCACAGGTGTCCATGGATTTGCAATAAGGCCTCCCTCCTGTAGACTCCTCTGCCTTCTGGCCTCTGCACCTGTACACGCCTCCACTGTGGTCACTTTCAGTGCTTCCGCAAATATTTATTGAGCACCTTCTGTATGCCAGACCCTCATTTTAGCACTGTGGGAATAGCAGGAAACAAAATAGGAGGCAAACTACTCACCCCCGTTTCGTTTATATTCGAGTGGGGGAGGGGGAAGCTAGACAGTAAACAGGTAAATGCAAAACAGATGATGTCAGATGAAAAAAGAGCATAAGAAAAAAATTAAGTATGGAAGGAAAATAGCACTGAGGGATCTGGCAATGTGACAGTTTTAGAGATGGTGGAACCGGGCCAGGCACGGTGGCTCATGCCTGTAATCCAAGCGCTTTGGGAGGCCAAAGTGGGCGGATCACTTGAGGTTAGGAGTTCATGACCAGCCTGGCCAACAAGGTGAAACCCCGTCTCTATTAAAAAAATATAAAAATTAGCTGGGCTTGGTGGTGGGCGCCTGTAGTTCCAGCTACTCAGAGGCTGAGGCGGGAGAATCGCTTGAGCCTGGGAGGCGGAGGTTGAATGAGCTGAGATCGCACCATTGCACTCCAACCTGGGCGAAAGAGCAAGACTCCATCTCAAAAAAAAAAAAAGAGAGAGATGGGAGAACAGTACAGCTACTCCAAAAAGCTGATCAGGTGACTGAGGAGCTGAAGGAGGCAGGAGAGTGAGCCACGTGCATGGGATTGGGGTGAGGTGGGGCAGGGGCATTTCAGGCAGAGTGGATGGGAAGTGCAAAGGCCCCGTGGCATGCTAGAGAAATCGTTGCTCTGCAGTTCGGAAATTCTTTGCTTGCCTGTCTCTCCATTTACTCAGGAAGGATGCTTAAGTGAACCCATGGCCGAGAGCCTCACAGAACTGGAGCTCATTCCGGAGGAGGGTTTTGTCTTAGGCTGAGCAGAAACTAAGAACCGAGTTTGCTCTCTGGTCCAAGAAAAGGGCTGAAATTCTGCCCTTGGTCCTTCTGAATGAGTCTCGAATCCTTCAGGCCACCTCTACCCAGGTACCCCCAGAGCCATCCACACCTGCAGGATTCTGGGAGGCAGGGAGAGTTTGTCTAAGAATCAGAAATCTGTGATTTAGACCTCTGATTCATTTGTGAGGAAGTGACTTTTACTTTCTGAGCCTCAGTTTCTGCATCTATGAAGGGAGCCCATAGGTTCCCACCCTGCCCACCTTGCAGGGTGCTTCTAAGATGGGCAAATGTTTTCTCAACCACAGTGCTCCACGGCGGAGGCTGGGTATGGTTATCATTGCTGCTCCTGTTGGTTTTTTGTATAATTCTGTCACCTTCTTCAGTGTCAGACCCTCTCCAGACCTAGTGGTCCCCAGATTAACCCTTCAAGCTCTGCTGGATGAGCCTCTCGTGGCACGGCATTTCCAGCACGTTGGAAAAGCGCCCTAAAACCCTGCTCCGGGCTTCTTGTGTGGGAGAGCATTTGCTGGCACCCATGGAACTCTGCCATCTGTCACTGTCCAGAAAGCCTTCCTCCCGGGAAGAATCTTGGCACATACCTCTTGCTTAGAGCTAAGGAAGGGCAGTTAGCTGAAAGCTGCAGGCAATTCTAAAGGGATGGTCAGACAGTCAGCTTGTGGGGCTGAGGCCATCTGCAATTCTAAAGGGATGGTCAGGCAGTCAGCGTGTGGGGCTGAGGCCACCTGTCCCGCCTTCCGTGCCCTCACCCTGCCTGGCACTGGCCCAGTTGTTTTCTCGGGTCATGAGAAATAAGCCTCTGGAGGCTGGCGCTTCTCTACTGTGGGACCTTGGCTGCATGACTTCCCCTCTCTGTGCCTCAATTGTCCCTTCTATAAAATGGGAATCATAGTAGTTAATAATTATAGCACCTTCTTCAGAGGATTAATAATATATAAAGTTTTAGAACACTTCTGACACATAGTATGAACTAAAGACTGCTTTTTTCAAGTTTATAAGAACTTTAAAAACTGAAGTTTTTTCTTTTTATTTATTTATTTATTTATTTATTTATTTATTTATTTGAGACGGAGTCTCACTCTGTTGCCAGGCTGGAGTGCAGTGGCGCGATCTCGGCTCACTGCAACCTCTGCCTCCCAGGTTCAAGCAATTCTTCTGCTTCAGCCTCCTGGGTAGCTGGGATTACAGGCGCCCGCCACCACACCCAGCTAATTTTTGTATTTTTAGTAGAGACGGGATTTCGCCATGTTGGCCAGGCTGGTCTTGATCTCCTGACCTCGTGATCCTCCCGCCTCAGCCTCCCAAAGTGTTGGGATTATAGGCGTGAGCCACCGGGCCCGGCCATAAAAACTGATGTTTTTAAACATGGTTTAAAAACAAAGCTCACGGCCAGTTGCCCGATGCTCTGTGCGGCTGGAGCTGTCTCTCGGGTGAAGAGTGGTCCTGAGGTGGCCCTCTGTGGCAGCTGGCACGGTTGAGCTGCAGGGATCTGGGGCTTCCCTCCCTCCTCCAGTGGGACCTTCTAAGGACAAACCGTCAGCATGGGCAGGTCTAGGACCTGAGTCAGGCTGGTCACCCCTTTCTGGGTCTGCTCCACAGGTCCTTCTATATTTTAAGGGTTTCCTGGTGACCACCATCCCTTCTGGTGGGCACAGTCCCCCTTGGACCCATTGCCTCGTCTTTGCTGCTGCTATCCCACTCCAAGCCACTGTCTTGCTTCCTGAGCAGCAGCAAAACCCTGACCGGCCTACCTGTCTCCACCTGTCCCCAAGTCCCCAATCCAGTCTCCGCAAGGCAGACACTGTGATCGGAGGGCAGGGCGCCCCCACTTAACCCCGTCCCTGCTCTGCTGGGTTGAACAGTGGTCCCTGGGTAGATACCTCCACCCGGAACCTGTGCACATGGCCTCATTTGCAAACAGATTCTTGGCCGATGGTGTTAAGGTGAAGATCTCGAGATGAGATCATTCTGGGACAAGTGTACTTGGAAGAGAAGAGAAGAGAGGAGCACTGAGGGGAGAAGGTGATGAGAAGACAGAGGCTGAGGTCAGGGTGACACATCTACAGGCCGACGGACGCCAGGGACTGTGGCGAAACTGGAAGCTGGAGGAGACTTTGAAGGGGATGTGGCTCTGCCACACCTTGATTTCGAGCTTCTGGCCTCTGAAACTACCAGAGAAGGCTTTTTTGTTTTTTGAGACAGAGTCTCACTTTTGTTGCCTAGGCTGGAGTGCAATGACGCGATCTCAGCCCACTGCAACCTCTGCCTCCCAGGATCAAATCATTCTCCTGTCTCAGCCTCCCGAGTAGCTGGGATTACAGGCGCATGCCACCGTGCCCGGCTCAATTTTGTATTTTTAGTACAGACAGAGTTTCACCATGTTGGCTAGGCTGGTCTCAAACTCCTGACCTCAGGTGATCCACCCACCTCGGCCTCCCAAAGAGATGGGATTACAGGCATGAGCCACCGTGCCCAGCCTTGAGAATGCATTTGTTTTAAGCCCTCAGATTGTGGCAATGTGTTACGGAAGCCACAGGAAACTGACGCAAGTGGCTTCCCACTTCCCTGCAGGGAAACCCAGGCTCATCTGCACAAGGCCCCTCCCTGGCCTTCGCTTCTAGAAAATACTGAGCTCTTTGCTGCCTCAGGGCCTTTGCACTTGCCCTTCCCTCTGCCGGAACATTCTTCCTCTCGGCATGTATGGCAGCTTCTCCATCCTTCAGGCCTCACACAGGTCTTCACAGACCACGCCACCGGCGGCCCAGGATTCTGTTTGTTTACTTCTCAGCACTGACCTCAGTGTGTATTTAAATAATTGCATTTAAATAATAATTAAACATGTGTCATGTGCTTGTTTGTCTTCCTTGCTCCAACATAGTATCCATGGGAATAAAGACCTTATCTGTCTGGTTGGGCGCCGTGGCTTATGCCTGTAATCGCAGCACTTTGGGAGGCTGAGGCGGGCGGATCACCTGAGGTCAGGAGTTCAAGACCAGCCTGGCCAATATGGTAAAACCCTGTCTCTACTGAAAATACAAAAATTAGCCAGGCTTGGTGGCTCGCACCTGTAATCCCAGTCAATCAGGAGGCTGAGGCACGAGAATTGCTTGAACCCAGGAGACAGAGGTTACAGTGAGCCGAGATCACACCACTGCACTCCAGCTTGCGCAACAGAGCGAGATTCAGTCTCAAAAAAAAAGACCTTATCTGTCTTATTTACCCAGACTCCTCAGCTGCAGCTCAGTGCCTGAGCAAGTTTTTGTTGAATAAACATAAACCCTTCTATTAATAAGGCCGTGGCTAAGTCCTATTTATCTTGTTCTTGACCTAGGAGATGATAGGTTGTCTTGCAGATAGTTTTGCAGATACTGTGGTCTTAGTTTTGTACGACTGAATTTAAAGCCTTAGCATTCTGGCCAGGCGCGGTGGCTCACGCCTGTAATCCCAGCGCTTTGGAAGGCTGAGGTGGGCGGATCACCTTCAGTCAGGAGTTTGAGACCAGCCTGGCCAACAGGGTGAAACCCCGTCTCTACTAAAAATACAAAAAGTAGCCGGGCATGGTGGTGGGCACCTGTAATCCCAGCTACATGGGAGGCTGAGGCAGGAGAATCGCTTGAACCTGGGAGGCGGAGGTTGCAGTCAGCTGAGATTGCACCATTGCACTCCAGCCTGGGCAACAAGAGCGAAACTCCATCTCAAAAAAAAAAAGCCTTAGAATTCTGGGGGATACCCCGATGTCACCCCTATAAACCATTCTCATAAGCCTGCCTCTGGCATGTGATCATTAGAGCAAAAACTGGCTACTCCTAAGAGTAGTGAGTTCTCCATTCATGGAGGTGTGCAAATTTTCACATATACTAACTTATTGATCTTTCCCATTTCCAAGAACCCTATGGAGTCTTTAGGGTTCTCCCCTCTGATCTCCCTGGCTTCCCCCCAGCCTGCAAACTCCCTTTTCTCCCCCTCCATTTTTCTGGGCCACGCTTTCAGCTTTTTTTCAATAAGACAAATCCAAGTCTATCTCAGAAGTCTAAAGTGTGTACGTCTGCTCACACATATAATTTTACTATGAGATAGTTTATCAGTCCTGAATGTATATTTAGTGACAAGCTTGGCTAATCTTTCATCTAATTACACTCATTAACATTTAAATGTATAATCATTAATATATCTGAGAATGGCGGTCTAAATATTTTATAGAGGTCTTAATTACAGTAGATTTCCAGTCTTGCCATAAAACTCTCGCACCCCTCCAATTAACGGGATGGCATCAGGTAGCTCCAGGGCCCTGGCTGGGGGTTGGTGGTGGCCAGGGTCTCTCACTTTCTGGTTGCAGGAGAAGACAAGAAAATTGTTCTCTGTGATTTTTTTTTTGCTGCCACGCCTCTGTCTGCAGCCGTCATGGGGTCCCCTGGAAGAGGGAAAAATCAAAGACAGGATCACAAAAATTGAAAATAATAATTGTTGCTGCAGAGACTTTAGGGAGTTGATTTAAAAAAAAAAAAACACTCCTTTCTTCCTCTACTAAATTAGGAAGTAGTTGTGGGGGTCTCACAGAAGTCAGACAAGCAAAGATCACAGTGTTTTGTGACCGAAAGGGGGTCTGAGATCATGGCTGGGATCCTGGGCCACGGTGTCTGGTTGATGCTGAATGCCAGAAGTAGACAGACTTACCCACCTGGACTGGCACAGGCGGGCAGCCACAGCCCCCCAGCAGCTGCCCTCCCCTCCCATTAACAGCTGTCTTCACACCTTTGAAATCTCTGTGGATTCTAAAGCTCATCTTCAGATATCGTTTCCACCTGTGAGGTTGCTAGGTTGTTATTGTGCCCATTTCACAGAGTTAAACACTGAGGCCCTGAGAAGTTGCTGGATGTCCTGAAGGCACATGGCGGGCGGGAGGCTGAGCAGGACCTGAATCCTTAGTGACCTGCTGTGAGTCCCAGCCAGACTGAGACTCATCTTATCCCAGCAGCCATACTGGGTCTGTGAGAGGACCTGGCATGTACCTCCACACCTTCCAGGGACAACTGGGGCCTGTGGCCTCCAGGGTGATGAAAGGCCTTGCAGGGTGGGACCACCAGGCTCCACTGCTCCCCACTGCACCCCCATTCCATGCCCAGGTCCAGCATCTGCCCCAGCCTTGCTACACCAGGGACTGCCTACCTGGATATGATTAAGAGCAGGGGGCTCAGAACCAGACCCACCCAGCCTGAACCTGGCTCTGCCTCTTACCAGCTGGGTCAGTGTAATCTACCTTTGCCTCAGTTTCTTCATTTGGTTGTTTGTTTGTTTCTTTGAGACAGAGTCTTGCTCTGTCACCCAGGCTGGAGTGCAGTGGTGCAATCTCAGCTCACTGCAACCTGTGTCCCCCTGGTTCAAGCAATTCTTGTGCCTCGGCCTCCCTAGTATCTGGGATTACAAGCGCCCGCCACCACGCCAAGCTAATTTTTGTATTTTTAGTAGAGACAGGGTTTCGCCATGTTGGCCAGGCTGGTCTCGAGCTCCTGACCTCAAGTAATCCACCTGCCTCGGCCTCCCAAAGTGCTGGGATTACAAGCGTGAGCCACCAAGCCCAGCCAGTTTCTTCATTTGTAAACTGGGGAGAATGATGGCATTACCTCTCAGGATTGCTTTGAGGAAAATTTGAGTGAAAACATGCAAGGTGTAGAATAATACCCACCCCATAGGAATCACTCAATAAATGCTGACTACGGCTGTTACTGTGGTGATTGTTATCATCGGTTATCATTGCTGTTGTCATTATTAGTGCTGGGGAAGCCACCACCTTTCATCATGCCAAGTACTGCCTGGCACCTCCATGAATGTCCTCCCCCTTAACTAACCACAGTAACACACGGACAGCGTTGTCGTGGCCTGTGCAGGACTGAGCTGGACTTGAACCCAGGACCAACCCCACAGCTCATCTTCCTTCCCCAGCCCCAGGGGCCCTGGGGACTCACAGTGGGAACAACGCCTACCTTGCCCACACCTGGAGCTGCCCTGCCTCACTGCTACCCCAGGCGGGTGTCTACTG
Source organism: Homo sapiens (assembly GCF_000001405.40). Lineage (NCBI taxonomy): Eukaryota > Metazoa > Chordata > Mammalia > Primates > Hominidae > Homo > Homo sapiens. Next base: position 15,020,145 of record NC_000001.11, read on the forward strand.
ACGTCATGGGGACCCACAGCCCTCCAGGTGATACAAGCTGGGTTACCGCATTCCCCACACACTAGTCACTGTTCCGAGGGCATTGCATATACAAAACCAGTGCTATGAGGTGGATGCTGTTTCTAAAAGCTTTTAATTAAAGGATCACATAATACTCACATAATACATGAATCTCAAGTTTATATCTTGGAGAATTTTTACAAACTGAATATACTGTGTAATCAGCACCCAGATCAAGAATAGGACCTCATTCGCTTCCCAGAAGCCCTCCTGTGCACCTTTCTTGCCACTATCCCCCTCCGAAGGTAGCCTGTCGCTGACTTCTAGCCATGGAGATTAATTCTGCCCCTCTTGCATCGTCTCTTCTTAGCACTGTTTACAGTATATACTCATCTGTGTCTGGCTCCAGAAGCGCGACACTCGGTCCGTGTGGCTCTTCTGCGTCACGTGTGGCCATCGTTCATTCATTCTCACCAGGTCAAGCCATCCACCATGTGAAGGGATCACAGTGGCTGCGGCCATTCTCCTGATCAAGGGTGTCTGGGGAGTTTCTAGTTTGGAGCTTTTACAAATAGGGCCGCTGTGAACTTTTTCGTGCAGGTGAACGCACAGATGCAGGCCTTTCAGACATATACCCAGGTAGGAACTCTTTTCATTCCTTTTACAGATGGCAAAAACGCTGGCATGATGTGACTTGCCCCAGGTCCCCCCACATCACTCTAAGGAGCGGCAGAGCTGGATGTGAACCCAGATTGTCTGGCTCCGGGTTCTCACTCGTGAGCTCTGCTCTCTGCAGCCTCTCTCCTCTCTTGTAAACTTTTCTGGGAAAAGGCTGCTGCCTGCATCTGCCTTCAACAACCCTGCTGTGTCTCTGTTACGCAGCAGGGGTGAGACCAGTCCATATCACTAGGCACCCAGGGCAGCTTCCCGATGGACAGTCTTGAGTAGGACACCAAAACCCAGAGAGGGTGCCTGAGTTCCCAAGGCCACACAGCATGCGGGTTTGCACCCCAGTGTCCTGCCTCCCTGTCCACCGGCCATTCCCTGCTCCATGCTGCCTCTTCCTCCTTTCTCAAGACCGAGCCCAGGCCATTATCTTGCCTGCATACGACCTCACACACCCACACAAGCCTTTAAAAATAGTCCTCGTTGTGTGGGGCATGGGGCCTGAGGCTGATATTGCATTTCCAGAAATCTCCATTTCCCCCTCCCGCTTCAACCTAGGGAATGTCCGTGTTCCGGGCCCATTCCCTGCCACTATTTTTAGTGGTGATTGGGAGGAAGGAGGACATTTCCTGGACTCCCCTTCAGAGGCTGGAAAACAAACACCACCCGCTCCCAGTCCCGGCCCCTCCCATTTCCCTCCTGCTGGTATACCTTGGCCTCCTGTCTCCCTCGGGGAGGAGCAGGCAGTGGGGGCCTGCTTCCCGGGGCCCTCCGCCCTCCTGGCTTCCAGGTGACCTCTGAGCTCTTCCAGGGGCAGTCCTGAGCCGGGGTGGTGGCAGGGACAGTGTGCCCTGCGTGCAGTTAGCACCCTGAAGCCTGCAGAGGGCCCCTGTGGCTCCCTGCAGTCCCTCTTATGACGGACACTCTGTCTGCAGGTTTCGGTCCCCTCCCTGGGACCGGCCTAGCTGTTTCCAGCCCTTTCTCATTGGAAGCCCTGGCTCCTGGCATCTGTATGAGTTCGTTTTCATGCTGCTGATAAAGACATACCCGAGACTAGGACATTTACAAAGAAAAAGAGGTTGGGGAGGCCTCATAATCATGGCGGAAGGCAAAAGACACTTCTTACATGGTGGCAGCAAGATAGAGCATGAGAGCCAGGGGAAAACCATCAGATCTCGTGAGACTTATTCACTGCCATGAGAACAGTACAGGGAAAACTGCCCCCAGGATTCAATTACCTTCTACCATGTCTCTCCCATAACACGTGGGAATTAGGGGAGCTACAATTCAAGATGAGATTTGGGTGGGGACACAGCCAAGCCTCATGCATCCATGCCTGAGGCAGAGGCTCTCCAGATGGCCAGGACGGGCCATGCACCCCCCTCCCTCCCATCACTTCCCTGCCCTGGCTCCAAACGGGTCTATCCAGTGGTCTTGCAGCTCTGCTGAGAACCACGCCCGCACCCCGCCCCAGGGTGCTGCTTCCTTCTCAAGAGTCTGCCCAGTCCAGCCTGAGCCTCTCTGGCTGTTAGGCAGTCACTCTGCATGGTTAACCGGAGTTTTGCGGTTGGGGAGCTTTTGCTCTCATTCAATACGCATTATTCAATACTATTATCCCCATTTGACCGTGAGGCAAAAGGCACTTACCCAAGGTCACAACAAGCAAATGGTAGGGCCAGGCTGAGAGTCCAGGCCTCTGTCTGTAGAGCCTGGTCCCTCAGCCATGGATGGGCCCAAGTCTCTCCTGCTCCCTCTTCCGTGGACACTCACTCAGGTCAGCAGTCAGCACCCAGCCGAGCCCACAGACATGGCTGGACTTGTGATCAGTTGCCAATGTGGAAACATTGGGAGACATTTAAGGCATGGGAAGTAGCCATCACCTGGAGTTGGGAATTTTCTCAAAACTTTGGGAGGCCTGGCATGACTGGGCCACATTCGGTCAGTCACCCCCTCTAGGTGGGGTTGGTGTTCTAGGTCCCCGCTCATGCACCTGTCTGACTCATGATCCCTGGTAGGCTCTGTGCACAGCTGCGGGTTCTACCTGGATGGTCCTGGGTCCCTCAGCTGGAGAACCAGGGAAGGGGCAGATTAGGATATTTGGAAATGGTGAGCACTGAGCCTCTGACAGCCTGCTTAAGCCCCCAGGTTACCTGTTAACCCTTTCCTTTACCTGCCAGGGGCTGTGCCGAATGCCAGCTCCTAGAAATAGCTGAGGCCCAGGCCCTGCCTTCAGGTGGCCTCTAGGCTAGTCTTAGGGGTGGGTAGGTCCTGAGCTGGGGGTCTGGTTTCCAGGCTGCTAGTGCGGATTCCTGTAGGGCCGGGTAGTGGATGGGCAAGGCCATGATCACGCTTAGCATGAGCTGTGGGCTTAGAAATCCAGGAACAAGCTGCATTGAATTCTCAGCAGGTTATGGGGTAGGGGAGTCTTCAGGGGAAAGGAGGAGGTGCTTGCTTCAGTGAACATTTCCCACGATAAACACAGAATACACAGTGTTAAGTTGGTGGCCAGTTCAAAGGAAAACAAAGAACAGGGAAGGGTGTCCAGGGAAGAGGTTGCCGAGAAAGGCATGTTTGAATAAAGAGGAGATGGGAGGAAGTGAGACACGTGGGTAGGAGGGGGAAGGAAGGAGGGCCTTCCAGGCAGAGGGAACAGCTCATGCAGAGGTCCCGAGGAAGGAGGCCAGTGCATGGACAGCCAGGAGGCCAGGGCAGCTTCCCCGGAATGTGAGCTGGGGGAGGATGGGTACAGGACCTGGAGACAGATCTTGGGGGGGTCCTTGTAGACCATTGGAAGGACTTTGCGCTCCCCCTTGATGGGGACAGGAGTTGTGGGAGAGAAGCAGAGAAGTGACATGGTCTGAGCTGCCTTTTAAGGGGACAGCTCCATGGCAGGATTGATATCTACTGAAGGGTTGGAAAACCAGTTAGGAGACTACCGTGTGACCCAGATATGGGGGTGGGGGTGGGGACACAGCCCGGGTGGGTGAGCAGGGTAGTGACTGAGGAGTGGTAAAAAGGGCCCAGGTCCTGGTGCCATGTTGAAGGCAGAGCTGGCGTGGTCGGCTGATTAATTGGGGGTGGAGTATGAGAAAAGTTTGGGGGGGTGGTCAAGGAAGATTCCAGAGTTTAAGGCCAGAGCAACAGGAAGGCTAAGGCCACTGTGAACTGAGTTTGAGGGCACTGAGAAGAGCAGATTCTTGGGGACTGGTCAGGGACTATCTTGGATGTGTTAGGTTTGAGTTGCTTTTAGAGGTTCAAGCAGAGGTGTGGATGCTCTGGGCTCTGGGTCTGGAGTTCAGGGATGAGGTCCAGGCTGAAGCCTGTGGTTGGACTGAAGCCACCAATGCCCAGAGGTCAGAAGGGAACAGAGTCCAAAACGGAGCAGGCAGAAATGAGAGGAAACCAGGAACACGGGCCCTGGAGGTCAAGCGAAGACTTGTCATCACCTGCATCGCCTGCTGGAGGCAGAGCTCATCAGATGGAGAATGTGGATTCACACTCAGAGGTCGTTGGCGACCGGCATGGAAAAGCCAGAGCCGGTCCCAGAGAGGATGGTGGGAAGGAAATGGAGACGGTGATACGGTCAACCCTTTTGAACATTTTTGTTCCAAAAGGAAGAAGAGAAATGGAATGAGAGCTGGAGAGGGACATGGGATCAAATGAAGGTTTTCTGTGAAAGATGTGAGAGAGAATTGCATGTTCCAATGATGCTGAGAAAAATTCAATAGAGGGCACATGCCAAGTGCAAAGAACTCAGATGGTCCGAGGAGCCTCTTGTAGAAAAGGGGAGGCCTCAGTTTCCAGCGGAGGGAAGGCACAGCAGCAGCCAGGCTAATAGCGGGAGAGCCTGGTAGGGGAAGTGACCCTCACACTCCTGGACCTGGGGTCTCACCTCTGTGGGAAGCACAATGTCTGGGGTCTTTCCCCAGCCCTGGGCACCTTAAAATTTGAGCACTCTGGATTAGCAGAAACTTTGGTCCACTTGAGTCTTCTCATTCCTGGCTGGGATGTGGACACAGTTCACCAAGCCCAAGGCAGCTTAATAAGAACTTCAGCCATGCCGTGGCCAGCTCCGAGATCACCAGGACTGATGCTCAGGGTTCTGTCAGGAGGCACAGGGAAATCAGCATGGCCTGTCCCTCCCAGGGAGGGCAAGAGGGGACAGGCAAAGAAAAACAAGATGTCCTCTGCCCTCATGGCACAGGATCCTGCTGTCCCTGGGGCTGTCCACCTAATTCAGTCATTCATTTGAAAGTCACTATTTCCTGAGCACTTACTATGTGCCAGGCACTGCTGTCGTTGTGGAGGATACAGCAGTGAACAGGACAGACCAGGTCCCTGCCCTCCAGGAACTTAATATCACAGGTTGGGAGTGGACATGAAAATAAGTAAACTCATTAATCCTTCACTTACCTTTGGCCCAGGTGAGGGAAATAAAGTCTGCTCTTTCACCCTTAAGCATGCTGTTTGGAGTTTTTTTGCCACCATCTCACTGGTGTGAATAGACTCATTTTCTACCAGTTGAGAAAATTGGTTCTCACTTTTTTGGTTAAGTAGAATTGCCCTTGGTTCCATGGAGTATGCTGGTAATTGGCACAGCGCTGACCAGAATAGTTCTCAAACATGCCAGCCCTGATCAGGCACTACTGGCATCTGCCTCCCTGTCAGGGGCAGAGCTGGCAAACCTGCCCTGTTTCCCTCCCGTGCCATGGCAGACATCCCTAATCAACCCAGCTTCCTAGGGAGCCTAGTTGATTAGTCGTGTCTTCCCTGGCGTGTTACTGGAAAATAAGAAGCTATTCCAGATATTTGCCTTTCCTGCCCCAGGCAGGAGGTTGGAAGGGTCATGCTGACTAACTTTCCAGGGTGCACTTGGAGAGAGAGTCTATGGGTCATCTGGAAAGATCATGGGCCTGAGCGACAAAGTTCTGGGATCAAGTTCCAGGTCAGCCACTTGTTGGCTGCGCGAGCCGGTCAACCCACTTCACCTCGTGGTGAGAAGATAAAGGAAATTAACATTGTGGGGAGCAGACTGGGCGCAGTGGCTCAGGCCTGTAATCCCAGCACTTTGGGAGGCCAAGGCGGGCGGATCACTTGAGGTCAGGAGTTCAAGACCTGAGCACCACCTGATGTGACGAGAACCTGATTAACCTTTATAAAGCAGGTTAAACTTTAACCTCTTCCGAACTCACCTTACTCATCTTTGAAACGGAAAAAAAAACAAATAAACTGCTGTCCGCCCATCCCAGGACCATAAATTTGTGGCCTTGAACTTGCTGCCCTCGACTGGCCCTTTCCTTCTCCCTGACCTGGGTCTCTTCCCCGGGGCTCTTTACTTGGAAACCTGCCTATTGCTCAAGTCAGCCTGTATTTTCTGGGGCCTCCTAGAGCCTGAGCTCAGGCCTGGGAGCCACGGGGAGCTGGAAGATAGGAAGAGAGGTTAACACTGAGCACCTGCTGTATGCAGCTGAGCTCTGTCCTGGGTCCTGTCACATAGAGCCTTGCCAGGTGGAGACGATCATGCACAGCTTAACAGCTGGGGATAGGGAAGCTCAGAGAAGTTGCATGTGGGGTCTCAGGCCCCGCAGCTGCTAAGGAGCAAGTGACAAAGGTGAGGTCTGTTGGGATTTCAGAAGCTAAAAGGAAGCTCACAGACTCCAACACCCTCATTATGCTGGGGGAAAACCGAGGCTTAGAGCGGGGGAAAAAAGCAGCACCAGAACCTGGGACCCCCACCCCCAACTCTGAAGCTGTGTCTTTCTGAGGTTCTCGTCTCCCAAAATGCTCAAGGTCAGCACCCCACAGTCACTCAAGACCAGATAGCTTGTCCCTATGGCAGAAATGATTCAGCCCTCTGGATCCATGGGTTCCACATCGATGAATTCAACCAACCAAGGATCGAAAATAATTTGGAAAAAAAAAAAATGGATAGTTGTGCCTGTACTGAATATGCACAAGACATATTTCTTATCATTTTTCTCTAAACAATGCAGTGTAACAACTACTTACATAGCATCTACATTGTATAAAGTATTATAGGTAATTTAGAGATGATTTACAGTACACGGGAGGACGTGTGTAGATAATTTGCAAATACTATGTTTCATCGGGGACTTGAGCATCGGTGGATTTTGGTATTTGGGGGAGCTCCTGGAACCAATGCCACACAATACCAAGGTTGACTGTACTGTCAGCTGCCGTCTACAGATGAGGAAACTGAGGCTTAATCAAACTTAGGCAGATTCCCAAGCCAGTGCTTCTTTTTTTTTTTTTTTTTTTTTTTTTTTTTGAGACAGAGTCTCGCTCTGTCGCCCAGGCTGGAGTGCAGTGGCGCGATCTCGGCTCACTGCAAGCTCCGCCTCCCGGGTTCACGCCATTCTCCTGCCTCAGCCTCCCCAGTAGCTGGGACTACAGGCGCCCGCACCACTCCCGGCTAATTTTTTGTAATTTTAGTAGAGACGGGGTTTCACCATGTTAGCCAGGATGGTCTGGTTCTCCTTACCTCGTTATCTGCCCGCCTCGGCCTCCCAAAATGCTGGGATGACAGGCGTGAGCCACCGCTCCCGGCCCCAAGCCAGTGCTTCTAACTCAGCTGCCTTGGCCTAAGAGTTGGGAGACCTCAGCTGACTCTCTGTGCATTGGGCATTCTTGCCTCGTCTCTGGGCCTCAGTTTCCCCATCTGTAAAGGGAAGCTGAGCTAGAAGAACTCCGAGAGCCTCACATTCTGATGGGTGTTTATTAGAAGTTCAAGTTTGCCAGATTGGTTTGCCAGGCTTTCTGGCCCTTACCTGCCCACCCCTCATTTCGCAGAATGTAGTTCCTGAAGGTTCCATGGGTCAGGAACATTGCATGGAAAAGAAAGGGGGGCCCCCTGCTGGCAGCAGCTGGGATCGTCTGACGTGGACCGATTCCTCCCTCCTCACCTCTGAGCGCATGTTTGTCCAGGGTACACCCAGGCTGGAAATTTTTACAAGAGCTCCTGACCTTGCGACATCCAGGATTGGGCCCACAGTGGTTGTTTGTTTGTTTGTTTGTTTGAGACGGAGTCTCGCTCCGTCCTGTCCCACATCTGGGTTAGGGGCTGTGGCATCCGAAGCCAGAGAAGGAAGAAAGGTCTGTGGTGGGAGCTTGAGGACAAACTGAATGTCACCTCATTGTGTACCCGACAGAGCCCAGAGGCTCCTTTGTGTCGTTTTTAGTTTGTCTCCACTGGGCATTCATTCCTAAAGATTCAGCTTTTGTGTTGTCTCGGTCTTTCGCCTGGGAGGGCCCAGCTCAGAGACGTGCCATCATCGTGGGGCCACAGCTGGGCCCCTGGTTACACCCTGGTCTCAGGCATGCATGTGGCCACCTCTGAGTTGGAAAAATAAGTGCCTCCCACACACCCTCCCTCCCACCTCCAGAGTCCCCACATTCCCAGGAGCGGGCTGGTCTCATTCCATGATCCTGCAGGGCCTGCTGGGCGTGACATCACCAGTCACCATGGCAGTGGTTCCAGTGGCTTGGCTGCTGGAATAGGACCCGCGTGGGTGAGGCCAGATGATTGGGAAGTCATGCAGAGCGCTGGGGAGCTAGGAGCTGAGTCAGGAGGCCAGTCCCAGAGAAACACAGCCATGCCTTGCAGGCTGGCAGCTCATCTTGCATTAGGAGCATTTAGGGAACAGGTTTTGAAGGAGAGAAAAAAGCAGAGCTATGAGGAAGAAAGGAAGAGTTCCATTGCATCATTTTCATAGCTGTGTGTAGATTTTAAATTATTTCTTGGGGGCCCATCGCACCAGCCTCCTTGTTTGTGTAGAGTTGCAGCACCTGCCATGTGCAAACTGGATGTCGCCTCCTTGTGTACACGACAGAACTTGTGGCACCTTTGTGTTATTTGTAGTTGTTCTTCACCTGGCATTCATTCCTAAAGATTCAGTTTTTGTGTTGTCTTGGTCATTAGCCTGGCAGAGTCCAGCCCAGAGGTGGGCAGAGCGAGGAGCGCCCGTGGAAAAGAACCATGAAGTGAAGCCTCATGGGAGAGGGTAGCAGCATGACTCACAGCCTGCCCTGGTGTGTCTGTTAGGAATGTGCTGGGCTGCATGTAACAATAAACCCCCAAAATATTGGGGTTTGTTATTCTCCTGCTGTAAGGCATCCCCGGCTGGGTGGTACCATCGGGGACCCTGGCCTCTTCTGTTTTTCTTTCTCCTCCCCATTCTTAGCTCATATCTTCCATCCTTGTGCTCAAAAAAGGGCTTATAAAGAAAACTAGATTTCCCAGTGGGCATCTGTGTGCATCTTAATGGCCAGAACTGTGACACCTGCCGCTTGTAGCTGCAAGGGAGCTTGGGAAATTGAACATTTTAGGTGGACACATTCCCCACCAAACAGAATTGGAGCATCATGGTGAGGAGGAGGGTGGATGGTGCCAGTGCCAGCCATAGGTGTGAGTTTGTCTCCTCTATGAGAGCGTCAGCCTCCCACAAGGCAGGAACCACGTCTGGCTCACTCCTGTCCTCACAGCAGCAAGCCTGGCGTACAGTAGGTGCTTAATTGAACTATTTGGGGAGAGCCGCAGGTCCCCTCTTAGGCAGAAGCGAATAATCTAAAGGCACAGGCTCAGCTCTTGCTCTCAGAGAGCCCCAGGTTAGATGCAGGAGGCATAGCCTGCACCCCACCATGGAGGCAGCCCACACGTTGCACACGCAAAGCCAGGCACACGTACACACACCCCTTGGACTGCCGGATAAATGATAACAAGGATGGAGCAGCAGGGAGACCCACAGAAGCCACAAGAGGCTGCACTGCACCCCCACAAAGGCCATTTGTGAGAGGAAAGGCCTGGGAATGCCATGTTGAGGTGCTGGGGGGGTTCCCCTCCCAAGGTCTCCAACTGCCAAGAGCAGAGTCTGGAGTTTGGTTCTCATGGAGATGTGGGTAATGTAGGAGGCAATTCAGAGCCTAGGCGGGCAGGGGTCATTCATTTCCAACCAGAAAGCAGAGGCATGATTTCCCTGCCAACCAGAGGGCAGCGGTGTAAATCCCCCAGGGAGCCCATGCGACCTGCTGAGTAGCAGCTTCTTTCCACCGGAGCAGGAGGGCCCAGTGAGGCTCCAGGAAGCCACAGTGATAGCATGGCTGGGGTCAGCGCCCCTGCCCTCCAGGAGCCACTCCCCAAGCTCAGCAGTGCTCTCCTGCTACTCTCCAGCCCGCCAGCATGAAACCAGCCTGAAACTGAGTCAGGTACCCATTCCACCCCAGCTGTGCCATTAACCAGCTGTGTGGTCTTCGTTTCCCCCTCTGTGAGATGGGATGATAAAAATACTCACCCATGCACCTGCCTCTCCTAGGAGGGCGGCCAGGATCCCATGCGCATGTGCAAATGGAAATTTCCCATTCATCAGCGACAGCGGGGCCCCGGCTCTTCCTTAAGGAGCCTTCTGACCGGGATGCATCTTTATTTTTATTTTGATTTTTATGTATTACTTTATTTTTTGAGACAGAGTCTCACTCTGTCTCCCAGGTGGGAGTACAGTGGTGCAATCTCGGCTCGCTGCAACCTCTGCCTCCAGGGTTCAAGCGATTCTTGTGCCTCAGCCTCTGGAGTAGCTGAGACTACAGGCACACGCCACCACGCCCGGCTAATTTTTGTATTTTTAGTAGAGACGGGGTTTCACATGTTGGCCAGGCTGGTCTCGAACTCCTGACCTCGAGTGCTCCGCTCGCCTCTCAAAGTGCTGGGATTACAGGCCTGAGCCACCGCGCCTGGTCATACATCTTTAGATGTTGGGTCATCTTAATATGAGGTTCACCAGCAATGTGGTCGCATCATGTTAGGGGGCAGGGCACAAAACTAGCCTAGCTGTGCCGGGGCCTCCCACCCACTGCCTGAGGCCTGCAGGGCCCACCCGCTGCCTGGCAGGAGTGAAGCAGAAGAGTCCTCTTTCCATGGACTCTACCATCCCAGCCCTTTAAGGTTCCAGCCCAGCAGGCCTGGAATTCCGGCCCTGGTGACCTAAGCTGCTGCTCAGCCAAGCCAGGCAGGAGAGGACAGATCCAGCTGTGGGAGCCAGGAAGCTCAAAGCTGGAATTTAAACAGCTGCCTGAGACCTGGGGTCCCCACTGCGTGGGCCTCCTCCCCGTGGTGACATGGCCCAGCTGGCCTGCCTTCCACCTGGGGAGCTTATGTTGGACACTGGGCCAGGAGCTCAGATCCCTCAGTCCTTAGGCCATACCTGGTGTCTCCAGCTCTCTCATGTACACAGGCTGAGTCTGCAGGATTGGACGTTCAGGACAAGATGGGATGGCACAGTCATTGCCATCCCATATTCTGCCCTCAGCTAGCCTTGGGGCTGGGGACCCTCCAGGTTTAGGGAGCTTCAATGTGGAGGCAGCAGAACATAGGGTCGGGTGTCGACTTTGGGGTCAGACATGGCTGCGTGATTTTAAACAAATGACCACTCTGGCCTTGTCAGGCTGGAAGTTTCCAGAGTCATAGAGTTGCTTTGCCTCCCTAACCCCCACCACCACCTCCACAACTCCAGACACAAGGAGGCTGTGGAGAGGGGTTAGCCTCAGAAACCCCTCCTTGGTATTCTCTCCAGGAAAAGGACGGAGTGCTAGGGGTCTGGGCAAAGGCCGTGGAGCCCACCCTGCAGTCAGAGGCTGCCCTGAGTCTGTTCCGTGCACCAAGGAGCCAGCGCTGTGGGGAAGGAGAGTCTGGAGGGGACAGAAGTCATGCTGCTTCCAGGCAGCTACTCAGGGTGTGTTGTGTTGTGTTGTGTTGTGTTGTGTTGTGTTGTGTTGTGTTGGTTTGCTTTGGTTTGGTTTTAGAGACTGGATCTTGCTCTGTCACCCAGGCTGGGGTGCAGTGGCATGAACATGACTCACTGCAGCCTCAACCTCCTGTGCTCAAGCAATCATCCCACCTCAGCCTACCAAGTAGCTGGGACCACAGGCATGCACCACCACAATCAGCGTATTGTTTTAATTATTATTTTTTGTAAAGATGAGGTCTCACCATGTCGTCCAGGCTAGTCTCGAGCTCCTGGACTCAAGCAATCCTCCTGGAAGATCCCAAGGTGCTAGGATTACAAGCATGAGCCAAGGCGCCCAGCCTTATTTTGTTTTGCTTTCTTAACAGCTTTATTGACATGTAATTCACATACCATGCAGTTCACCCATTTTAAGTGTCCAATTCAGTGGTTTTTAGTATGTTCACAGAGTTATGTATCCATCACAATAACCAATGTTTGAACATTTTTACCACCTCAAAAAAAATCCCATACTCTTAGCTACCACCCCTCCCTCCCCGATCCACCCCCACACCCAGCCCGAGGCAGACGCTTATCTCCTTTCTGTCTCTATAGATTTTCCCATTGTGGACATTTCTTTTTTTTTTTTTCTTTTTTTTTTTTTTTTGAGACAGAATCTTGCTTTGTTGCCCAGGCTGGAGTGCAGTGGCGCGATCTTGGCTCACTGCAAGCTCTGCCTCCCAGGTTCACGCCATTCTCCTGCCTCAGCCTCCCGAGTAGCTGGGACTACAGGCACCTGCCACTACGCCCGGCTAACTTTTTGTATTTTTAGTAGATTCGGGGTTTCACCATGTTAGCCAGGATGGTCTCGATCTCCTGACCTTGTGATCTGCCCGCCTCAGCCTCCCAAAGTGCTGGAATTACAGGCATGAGCCACCGCGCCCAGCTGTGGACATTTCATATAAATTGAATCACATAATATATGGCCTTTAGTGGCTGGCCTTTTCCCTTAGCATGTTTTCAAGGTTCATCCATGTTGTTGCAAATATCAGTACAGTTGGCCTCTTTATCCATGGGTTTCACATCTATGAATTCAATGAACTGTGGATCAAAAATAGTCAGGGACCAGGCACTGTGGCTCATGCCTGTAATCCCAGCACTTTGAGAAGCTGAGGCAGGCAGATGACTTGAGATCAGGAGTTCGAGACCAGCCTGGCCAACATGGTGAAACCCCATCTCTACTAAAAATACAAAAATTAGCCTGGGGTGGTGGTGGGCACCTGCAATCCCAGCTACTTGGGAGGCTGAGGCAGGAGAATCACTCGAACCCGGGAGGCGGAGATTGCAGTGAGCCGAAATCGCGGCACTGTACTCCAGCCTGGGTGACAGAGCAAGACTCTGTCTAAAAAAAAAGGAAAAGAAAAAAAAACTCCGGAAAAGAAAATGAATGGTTGTATCTATACTGAACATGTACAGATTTTTTTTTCTTGTCATTATTCCCAAAACAATACAGTATAACAACTATTCATGTGGCATTTATATTTTACTAGGTATTGTAAGTGATCTAGAGATAAAGTGTATGAGGGGATTGTGTAGGTTGTGTGCAAATACTATGCCATTTTATATAAAGGACTTGAGCATCTGTGGATTTTGGTGTCCACAGGGAGTTCGGGAACCAATCCCCATGCATACTGAGCAATGGCCCTCCTTGTTTTTATTTATTATTAGGTAATATTCCATTGTGTGGATATATCTCATTTTGCTTATTAGTCATCCATTGGTGGACTTTCGAGTTATTTTCACCTTTTGGGCTCTGATGAATAATGCTATAAACATTTGCATATAAGTTTTTGTGTAGACATATGTTTTCATAGCTCTTGGATGTATGCCTAGGAGTAGAATCGCAGGGTCGTATGGTAAGTTGATGCTTAATCTTTGGAGGAGCTATCAGACTTTTCCAAAAGCAGCTGCACCATTTCACATTCCTGCCAGCAGTGCATGAGGATTCCAGTTTCTCCACATCCCACCAGCCCTTGCTATTGTCTGTTTTCTATTTTTAGCTATTCTAGTGAGTGTGAAGTGGTATTTCATTGTGGTTTTGATTTGCATTTCCCCGATGACAATTGATACCGAGTTTTTTCATGTCCCTATTGGCCATTTCTTGGAGAAGTGTCTGTTCAGATCCTTTGCCCATTTTGTTTGTTTGTTTGTTTGTAACAGAGTCTCGCTCTCTCACCCAGGCTGGAGTGCAGTGGTGCAATCTCAGCTCACTGCAACCTCTACCTCCTAGGTTCAAGCAGTTCTCCTGCCTCAGCCTCCCGAATAACTGGGATTACAGACACACACCACCACGCCTGGCTAATTTTTGGTATTTTTAGTAGAGAGGGGGTTTCACCATGTTGGCCAGGCTGGTCTCAAGCTCCTGATCTCAAGTGATCGGCCTGCCTCAGCCTCCCAAATTGCTGGGATTACAGGCATAAGCCACCGCACCTGACTTCCTGTTTAAATGACTTCCTGTTCTTTTTATTATTGAGTTGCAAGAGAGACTTGTATATTCCAGATAGAAGCCGCTTATGAGATACAGGATTTGCAAATATTTTCTCCCATTCTATGAGTTGTCCTTTACTTTCTTGATGATATCCTTTGAAACACAAACGGTTTTAATTTTGATGAATTCCGATCTATCTGTATTTTCTTTTGTTGCTCTACACTTTTGGTATATGTCTTAGTGCATGTTTTTAACGTAATACTTCTCCCCACGGAAGAAATGAGGCAGGAGGGGCTGTTGGGCTGGACTGAGTGGTTCCAGTGGACTCAGGGTGGCCCAGGGTTCCTTTTGAGAGGGAACTGAGGCCCTGTCCGATTCCTGAGCCATGGGCCCCTGGAGCCCACCAGGCCTCAGTTCTTCGTCATTGAACACTCAGCCAGCTTAGGGCTGGGAAAGCAGTTTCGACAACGACTTGCTCCCTGGTCAGATTGACACAGCTGAGAGGGGAGAATCGGGGCTCTCGACATAGGTGAGCCTGGCTTGGAATCCTGGGAAGGCCACCAAGTGGCAAGGGCACATGGAAGGGACATTTCGTCTTTCTGAGCCCTGTTTTCTCACCTGTTACAAAGGTGACGGCGGTGATGCCACTTCTCAGCACTCAGGCATCTGGAGAGGACAGCTGGGGTCTTGGGAACTAACTCTCTCCTTTATCCCCAGCCATGAAAGCTGATCGGAAGCGCTTAAAGGGCGAGAAGACAGACCTGGTGAGCCAGATGCAGCAGCTGTATGCCACACTGGAGAGCCGCGAGGAGCAGCTCCGAGACTTCATCCGCAACTATGAGCAGCACCGCAAGGTCAGCCGCCGCCCTGCCCTCCCCTCCCCTCCCGACACACCAGCTCCCACCTCCCCTGCTGGCTGGCCACCTTCACAGGCTCTGCCTCTTGAATCCCCAAACACAGATAGGGAGGCCCTTGATGTGTCCAGCCAGGCCTAGGCACCGAGATAAAACCGGCACAACCCCCGGAGAGGGATCTCCATGTCTCCTGGGCAAACAGGACAGCGTGGACTCAGGAGTCCGGGGGGTTCAGATCCTGGCTCCTTGTGTGTGTGCCCTCGCAGGTCTCGCTTGACCTCTCAGAGCCTCAGTTTCCTCTCTGCAGAGTGGTGATTGTGGTGGACCTTTCAAAGCTACAGTAAGGACTCTATGAGATGATGAATGCCGAGCACTCAGCCTGGTGCCTGGCACATAGTATAGCATCATCAATAAGACGCATAGCTAACATTTACTAACACCATAATAAAAGTGTGAAGAGAGAGCTGGGGAGCCCCAGTGAGACAGCAGGAAGTTCTGCCTATAGGGAGGGAGTCTTGGAAGGCTTCACAGAGGAAGTGACATATGCATTGGGCTCTGTGGGGTGAATAGGAGTTTATGGGCCAGACAACTGAGGAATTTGTTTCACCATGTATCTCTCTGGTATCTGTGGTATGACATGCCAAAGAGGACACCAAAACTTAAAGAAGAGTCAGTCCCCTGGCCAGGCACGGTGGCTCACACCTGTAATCCTAGCACTTTGGGAGACCCAGGTGGGTGGAATGCTTGAGGACAAGAATTCGAGACCAGCCTGGCCAAAAGCCCATCTCTACTAAAAATACAAAAAGTAGCCGGTCATTGTGGTGCACACCTACAGTCCCAGCTACTCAGGAGGCTGAGGCACAGAATCACTGGAACCCAGGAGGTGGAGGTTGCAGTGAGCCGAGATCACCCCACTGCACTCCAGCCTCGAGCTGAATGCACTTCTGGCCTCTGTTTTCTGCCCTGCGTAGGCACCTTGGTCACAGCCCTTGTCACAGGGTGTTCAGCTCGAGGCCCCTTTTTTGAACAGTGGGAAGCAGCAGGCCAGGTGAATGAGTCCTTCCCAGATGCTGCCTCTGAGCCGCAGTTCAGAGACCAGAGTGTTCAGACTGGATTTGAATCTAGATGCTTGGTCCCCCCTACCCACTTTGGTCTTCACCGCTGATTCCTCACTGTCACCTCCCGGGCATGCACATCACTTCCTTTCTATGATGAAAGGAGCCTCGAGAGTTCTCTGGGCCAGGCCACCACAGCCCCTGATGGGGATCTGGGACTTCTAGCTGCCCTCAGTGCCCGACTCGAGAGCAGGGCCCGGCTCCCCCTACCCTGCCTACCTCTCCCCCCATCCCCCTCTGCCCTGCCTGCTCGCCCCAGCCCTCCCCTGCCCTGCCTACCCAGCTCCCTCTGCCCTGCCCGCCCAGCTCCCTCTGCCTAGCCTGCCCCGCCCGGCTCCCCCTGCCCTGCCTGCTCGGCCCAGCCCTCCCCTGCCCTGCCTGCCCAGCTCCCCCTGCCCTGACCACCCAGCTCCCCTTCCCCTGCCTGTTTGGCCTGGCTCCCTTTCATATTAGATGAACTGAGCCTCCCCATGCCTGTCACAGGCAAACGGTTTGGCAGGAAGGGGACGACCCAGAAGCAAGGCAGAGGGAGGCAGGGGAGCCCACAGAGGCTGCTTTCTCAGACTCTGGCATGGGGAGCAACTCATGGGCCTGGGGTGCAGCTCGTGGGCCTGGGGTCCGCTCCTTAGGGTGAGGCTGTCTCAGCAGCATTGCCTTTGGCCACCAGCAAGGAGTCAGAGACCAGGAGCTCAGAGTGACCTCCATGCAGAGGGAGGGGTAGGGGACACCGCTATCCTGTCTGATGATGCAGGTACACGTGTGTGCTCACAGGGGCGTGCTGTGGGAGTTACGGCATGTACTTCAAGGGCTTACAGGAAGAGTTCTCAGAGCCTCGTGTGTGTCCATTCATTTAACATCCACACGGACACTGTGGGGCATATGGTTATCCTCCCATTTCACAGATGAGCTGATAGACACAGAGAGGGGAGATAACTCACCCACGGTCATGCAGCCGGCGATGGCAGGGCAGGGGCTTACAGGGCCTGGGTCCAGAGCCTACGGGCCTTCCCCCTGTGCAGCGCGCCTCTTCCCCCAACCCCATCACCCCCTGGCACTCAGCACAGCATCTTCTGGTCGCCTCTGCTCCCTGCCTCCCCTTCTGTGTCCACCTCTCTCATTTCTCCATTCTCGGCCTAAGGAGCTTGGTCTTTTTTCAGTGGGCAAGGCAGGGAGAGCCTCTGCCTGACCAGCCCCATGCCCAGCAGCAGGGAAACCTGGTTACCTCTTTTTTATTGGGGACAGGACACAGTGGGGCCAGAGAACCAGCCCATAGCCTTCAGTGACGTGCTGGCCCTGGGGCAGAAGACAGGCTCCAAGCTGACCTTCTACTTGTCCCCTGAGCCACCAGCTTCCTCCCCTCCTGGGACCAGGGTCACGCAGGGATTAAGAGCAGACAGATAGGTTAGCATCTCACCTCTGCACTCGCTATGGGGGTGGCTCGGGCAAACAGCTGACTCTCCCCGGTCTCAGCCTTCACATCTGTAAAGCAGGATGAAGATTGCAACTACTCACAGCCCAGTGCTGTCAGACCTGAGGTTCCCGGGGCATGGAAAGCAAGGGGGGTAGGGGCATATGCCTGCTACCATTATTATTATCATTATCATTATTATTGCTTTCGGGGATTCAGAGTCAGCCATTTGATCATGAAAATTCCACAGTGGATTTCAAAGCCCCTCTGCCGGCCCCTCACCTGCCACTCCCTGTTGTTGGTCTCACTGGCAAACCCGGAGAAGGAAACGAAGGCCCCGGGTGGGCAGGATTGGAGCTGTGGCTGGTCCCACACAGACCCCAGTCGTAGGTCTGGTTTCTGGGAATGGGGTGGAGAGGCAAGACCTGTGCAGAAAGGAACCCAGACAAGTCCTTCTGGGAGGGACAGAGGGTCTCAGAGGACCCAGGAATCAGGAGCTAGAAGAAAGAGCTCCCTGAGAACACATGCCCTGAAGGAGGACAGATCAGGATTTAGAAAAGCAGCCAGTTACGGTGGCTCACACCTGTAATCCCAGCACTCTGAGAAGCCAAGGTGGGAGGATCGCTTGAGCCCAGGAGTTCAAGACCAGCCTGGACAACAGAGTGAGACCTCCATCTCTACAAAAAATTTTAAAAATTAGTGGGGCAGGGTGGCACACGCCTGTAGTCCCAGCTACTTGGGAGGCTGAAGCAGGAGGATTGCTTGAGCCAGGGAGGTTGAGGTGGCAGTGAGCCCAGATTGTGCCACTGCACTCCAGCCTGGGCAACAGAATGAGACCTTATCTCAAAAAAAGAAAAGAAAGAAAAAAAAAAGCAAGAGGGTGCTGAGCAGAGTCCAAGAGGATCCAAAAGATGGCGCTGTTACCAGGTAATCATCCTGGCAGGGACTGATGTGATGGCTGCCTTCAGAGGCCACCTCAGCAGGAGCTGGCATGAACACAGTATTACCTATAGCAAATGTTTATTGTGCACCTACTGTATACAGGCATGAACATGGTATTACTAATACCAGACGTTTGTTGTGCATCTGCTGTATACAGGCATGAACATGGTATTACCAATAGCAGACGTTTATTGTGCACCTACTGTATACAGGCATGAATGTGATATTACCAATATCCAATGTTTATTGTGCACCTACTATATACAGGCATGAACATGGTGTTACCAATAGCAGATGTTTATTGTGCAACTACTGTTTAAGGCATGAACATGACAAGTAACAGACATTTATTGTGCACCTACTGTATAAGGCATGACCGTGACAGTACCAATAGCAGATGTTTATTGTGCACCTGCTGTATACAGACATGAATGTGCTATTACCAACAGCAGACATTTATTGTGCACCTACTATATACAGACATGAATGTGCTATTACCAACAGCAGACGTTTATTGTGCACCTACTGTATACAGACATGAATGTGATATTACCAGTAGCAGATGTTTATTGTGCACCTACTGTATACAGACACGAATGTGCTATTACCAACAGCAGACGTTTATTGTGCACCTACTGTATACAGACATGAATGTGATATTACCAGTAGCAGATGTTTATTGTGCATCTACTGTATACAGACACGAATGTGCTATTACCAACAGCAGACGTTTATTGTGCACCTACTGTATACAGACATGAATGTGATATTACCAGTAGCAGATGTTTATTGTGCACCTACCGTGCACAGGCACTGCCCTCATCTCTTCACATTTGCTATTTTAATAGCAATCCTTCGAGGAGTGATTGTCCCCATTCCCCCCATTTAACAGGTGAAAACTGAGACTTAGGTAAAGTCTCAGGCCGAGGGCCACACGATTATGGAAAGGGGTAGAGGCAGGATGCAAACCCAGGAGGTCTAGTCCCAGAGCCCCAGCCCCAGAGCTCATAGGACTGGGCCTGGCCTGGGCCACCGTCCCCACACCACTCAGTGCATGTTCAGAGGAACGAAGGAATGAGTCCCACTGTTTGCCATTTTCAACAACCCAAGGCCGACCACAGAGAGGAGGTCACAGCTGTCCCTGTGAACCATGGGTAGAGTGCTGGCTATTTCAGTGGCCAAACTAGCATTTCATACCAGTGCTTCTCTGTGTCTTTTCATGATATATCAAATTTGTTTTTTAAAATTATTTGGGCAAAAATGATACATTTTAATGGGGTACATAGTGATGTTTGGATCCATGGAATGTATAGTTATCAGATCAGAGTAATTAACATATCCATCTCAAAGTGTAACATCCATCTCATATTTGGCAATAAAATTCCCATGGAGAGCACCGTGTCATTTTTTAAGACATAGGTGACTAGGGGCATCCCCCAAGTCTGACCAGCCGCTGGGGTGGGGTTGACGCTACTCAATAGAAGCCTTGTGGCTATGACTGCCGGGGGCAGCTCCCTGTAGCTACAGCTGAGCAGCAAGTGCCACTTTTATTGATTGGCTTCATAATGCCCTTCAGATTCATTCAGAAAAATGAACTTTGGAAAATACTGATTTTAAAAAAATTAATACCTTAATACTAAGATATGAATATTAGAAGTGGAGAGAGTCGCGCCTGTAGATCGGTGGAATAGCAACATTAAAACAATATTTTAGTCATTGTTGGGTCCAGCCCCATTTTACAGGTGGGAAGACTGAGGTCCGCAAGGGTCAAGTGACTGACCCAAGGACACATGTTTAGAGCCAGTTTGGCAAAACTGAAGCCACAAGTCCTGGTTTTATTTCATCTCTTCCAAGATCTTGCAGCTGGTTACCAAAAATGATTTGCATTTTATGTGCATGATAAATGTCCCCCTGGAACAGGATGACTGGAACCCTCAGGTTCCCTCGCCCACGCAACTGTGCCCGCTTAGTCTGCCATGGCCCACCCAACTTCTCCAGCAGACTCCTGTAGGACTCCACTGGAGCAGGCAGCAGGAAGGACCCCAGGCCCTGAGCTACTGGGAGTCGGGGGATGGCACAGGAACAAGGCTGCTGAGAAAGGAGGGGTCTTGGCCTGTCCAGAATGTGGCCGATGACCCAGCATGGTGGCTCATGCCTGTAATCCTAGCACTTAGGGAGGCTGAGGCAGACAGATCACCTGAGGTCAGGAGTCCAACACCAGCCTGGCCAACATGACAAAAGCCTGCCTCTACTAAAAATACAAAAATTATCTGGATGTGGTGTTGTCCGCCTGTAGTCCCAGCTACTCGGGAGGCTGAGGCAGGAGAATTGCTTGGACCCGGGATGCAGAGGTTGCAGTCAGCCAAGATCGCACCACTACACTCCAGCTTGGGTGACAGAGCAAGACTCCATCTCAAAAAAGTTAAAAAAAAAAAAGGAAACAAAAACAAACAAACAAAAAACAGAATGTGGCAAAACTGCAACATTTCTGAAAGCTGTGCCAAATGCACTTTCCCTGTCACGTGACTGCAGATGGAAGGGAAACAGGCCACTTTCATCTCACCACTGTCACCTCCCCAGCCAGACTTTTTTTGTTTTTTGTTTTTTTTATTTTTTTTGAGATGGAGTTTCACTCTGTTGCCCAGGCTGGAGTGCAGTGGCATGATCTCCACTCACTGCAACTTCTGCCTCCTGAGTTCAAGCGATTCTCGTGCCTCAGCCTCTGGAGTAGCTGAGAATACAAGCGCATGCCACCACACCTGGCGAATTTTTGTATTTTTTTTTTTTTTTTAGTAGAGATGGGGTTTCACCATGTTGGCCAGGCTGGTCTCGAGCTCCTGACCTCAAGTGATCTGCCCTCCTCCACCTCCCAAAGTGCTGGGATTACAGGCATGAGCCACCGCACCCGGCTCCTAGCCAGACCTTCATGCCCCTGCAGCCCCTCCTCTCCCCTCTGTATTCTACTCTCCGCATTTTTTTTCTTTTTTTTTTTTTTTGTTTTTTTGAGATGGAGTTTTGCTCTTATTGCCCGGGTTGGAGTGCAATGGCGGGATCTCGGCTCACTGCAACCTCCGCCTCCCAGGTTCAAGCGATTCTCCTGCCTCAGCCTCCCGAGTAGCTGGGATTACAGGCATGCACCACCACGCCCAGCTAACTTTGTATTTTTAGTAGAGGCAGGGCTTCTCCATGTTGGTCAGGCTGGTCTCGAACTCTCGACCTCAGGTGATCCATCCACCTCAGCCTCCCAAAATACTGGGACTACAGGCATGAGCCACTGTGCCCGGCCACACTCCCCTCTTATGTCCATGTGATCCCCAAGTGCTGGCAGCCCCAAAGAACCTCAGCTCCCAGGCCTGTCATCCAAGGCCCCATGAGGTCTTGGCCAAATCCCACCCTCAGAAATTCCCACCACCCCCAACCCCCTTCCAGTTCCAGACCTCTCAGGCGTCTCCTT
Organism: Homo sapiens; assembly: GCF_000001405.40. Lineage (NCBI taxonomy): Eukaryota > Metazoa > Chordata > Mammalia > Primates > Hominidae > Homo > Homo sapiens. The sequence continues at coordinate 15,041,805 of NC_000001.11, forward strand.
TCAGTTCCTTTCCTGCCTCAGGTACCAGCAGGGATTGAGGCCTCTACCACACTGTCTATGAGCTGGCGAAGTTGTTTTACCTCTCTGGGCCTCAGTTTGCTCATCTGTGACATAGGGATAATCATAGTCCCTGCCTCAGGGGTGGTTGTGAGATTTAAATAATGCACCTAAAAGCCTTAGCACTGTACAGAACGTTCTGTGACAGTTGCTGCTGAGCCCAGCTCTCCTGCTGCCGCGGAATATGACCCCAAGAAGGTGGGAGTCCAAAACTTGAAAGCACCTACAGGCCTTCCCACCCGGCCTAGAGCCCTTGGTCTGTTCGTGAGTAGTAGTGTGAACCAGTGACTGCGATGAGACAAAAATGATCCTGAGGGACCTAGTGGGGCTTCCTCCTAATTCAGGGACATTTTATAAGCAGCCTCTTGTACACCAGCGGGTTCTCAGGGACAACCCTTACCCCAGTGGTCAGTTTCTACACTGTAGCAGAATTTTTCACTATAAGCTCCACGAGTGCAGGGATTTTTGTCTGGTTTGTACCAGACAAATATCCACAAATATTGGTTGAATAACAGACCAGTATCAGCTTCAAATAAAGAAAACAGGTTAGAGAGGGCCTGGGGCTTCTTTCTTACGTGGGTGGTCAGGGAAGGCTTCTCAGAGGAGGAGACAATTGAGCAGGGATCTGAGTGAGGCGAGCAGGTGCCTGCTGGGAGCCCAGTCCTGTGCAGAGCTCTCCAGGTGGATTCCTTCATGCAGACCCACACAAACGCCCCAAAGTATATGTGGTATTATCCCCTGGTTACAGATGGGGAAACTGAGGCAGGGATGACTCACAGCAGTCATTGCAAAGCCAGGATTTGGCCCAGGTTCTCCCTCTGTCTCCAGAACCAAGGCCATAGCTACAGCTCTGACAGCCACAGAGAAAAGGCCACGTTCTCCCTCAGCCTCCCTGTCTCTCACCATCTGGAAGTGAGGCCTTCAGAGACAGGTTTGTCAGACAAGGCAGGATGGTGGCCTCTCTCCACGGTCCCAGGCCACACGGAGACCTTGGATTTGCTTTTGATTTGGTGAATGGGAAGATGGTGGCTGGGTGGATGGGTAGAGCTCCCCGCTGGGACTGTCCTTCTCAAAAGGACGCCTGTTGTTCTGAAACTTTGCTCCGGCCAACAGAGGTCACAGCCTCGATTCAGCTGTCTGTTCCTTCCCTGCTGGCTCTGCTCTGGGGACTGGCACAGCCGGGGCCTGGCCCTTCCCTGGACAATCACAGAAAACAGCTCATGCAGGAGGGCCAGCCTGGGGAGGGGCTGGGGCAAGCGGCTGAGGACTGTGCTGCATTCAGGACACAGCAACTGTTTCTCTCACAGGCTGTGACCCTGTGGAGTGGTGGCCGGACCTTGTGGCAGTCCAGACAATTGGGGTCGCTGGTGCCTCCTTACTGTTGACCCTGTTTCCCTGTGATGAACACAATTGACCAAACAGAACAAAGCCCCAGAACAACTATTGCACCCTAACTTCTGTCAGACTGTGTTAAGTATTTCCCGCACGTGAAGTCATTCAATCTTTAGAATTCTTTGAAACAAGTAGGATTGACTCCTGCCCCATTTTACATAAGGGGAACCCAGACTCGATGAGGTAGAATGACTTCCCCAAAGCAGTCATTTGCCAACTTACTCATTCATGCAGCAAAAAAAGGGTTTAATGAGTGTCTACTGGGTTCGTCTCTGTTCCAGTCTTCCAGCTAGTTTGTGGCAGAGCTGGAGTTCGTGCCCACGGCTTTCCCACCACAGAGCCAGAGCTCCTGGCCACATGTCATGGGGCCTCCCCACTTCTTTTTTTTTTTTTTTTTTTTTTTTTTTTGAGACAGAGTCTCGCTCTGTCGCCCAGGCTGGAGTGCAGTGGTGCGATCTCGGCTCACTGCAAGCTCCACCTCCCAGGTTCTGCCATTCTCCTGCCTCAGCCTCCCGAGTAGCTGGGACTACAGGTGCCCGCCACCATGCCTGGCTAATTTTTTTGTGTTTTTAGTAGAGACGGGGTTTCACCATGTTAGCCAGGATGGTCTCAATCTCCTGACCTCGTGACCCCACTTCTTTTTCCATCTAGGAGTTAGGCCCCCTCTAGGCATCCCTGGGCCAGGAGGAGCCTGGCTGTAACACCCACGGTGCTCTCTCCCTCTCCCACCCACAGGAGAGCGAGGATGCGGTCAAAGCGCTGGCCAAGGAGAAGGACCTGCTGGAGCGTGAGAAGTGGGAGCTGCGGCGCCAAGCCAAGGAGGCCACAGACCACGCCACGGCACTGCGCTCCCAGCTGGACCTCAAGGACAACCGGATGAAGGAGCTGGAGGCCGAGCTGGCCATGGTGAGAACCCTCCCCACCCAGGTGGGCCTGGCATCTGCTAGCAGTGCCGTGCTGGGAGCCGGGACGTCTGGCACCGACTCACATCGGAGACCTAGGGTGGGGTGGGTGGGGCAGAGCAGAACACAAGCAGGGGGCAGGGCCCGCCGCGGGAGGGGGCTTTCTGCAATGCATCATAAGTTTCCCTCCAAGACCATGCCCCCAGAGACTGGGCCAGCCTTTTATCCACCTGCCTTGGGCCCAGGGAGTGTGGAGACGCTGGGAAACCACTCACTCCTCCACACACCCCAGCCTACTATTAGGAAAAAAAGGCCTAGTGCAGTGGCTCATGCCTGTAATCCCAGCAGTTTAGGAGACCAGGGCAGGTGGATCGTATTTGAGCCCAGCAGCTTGAGACCAGCCTGGGCAACATGGCAAAACCCTATCTCTACCAAAAAATTAGCCAGGCCTGGTACATGCCTGTAGTCCCAACTAGACCGGTGGCTGAGGCAAAAGGATTGCCTGAGCCCTGGAGGTAAGGCTGCAGTGAGCCACTGCACCCCAGCCTGGGCGACAGTGAGACCCTGTCTCAAACAAAAAAAAAAAAAGGAAAGGAAAAAAAATTTTTTTTGTTTAAAATATACATATTTGCTTAGGAAAATATTTGGGAGGAAATACATGGAAATATTAATGTTCATTCTCTCAGAGTGGTAGCAACTTTTATTTATTTCTTTGTTTGTTTATTGGCCTCTTTTCAAATGTCTTTGCAGCAAAAATGTCTTACTTGGGTCATTAAGGAAACAAATAATTTTTTCCTAACCCAAACCAAACCCTCAAAATACTTCCAGACACTTTGTTTTCCCAGGAGATGCGTACCCTTTGTGTGTGGGGACAGAGGGTCCGGGTCGGGAGAGAGAGCCCTGGAGGTCTGTTCTGCCTGCTCCTGTGTGACCTTGGGCTGCCCACTCAACTGTTCTGGGCTTCAGTGCCTTTTACTTGTTACTGGGCTGGGAGTGGAGTCTTAATCCCACCCTACCTTCCCCACAGGGTGGCTGGGCAGATCCAGGGAGCTTGTGGCTAGAGTAGGGGAAGGGGGAGGACGTAAGTCTTAGAGGATTTGTCGTCCTGCAGAGTGCTGATGCCAGCTAACGGTGTGGTTACAGCCATGTGATCTGGGTTCGAATCCAGCCCCAGGTGCTTCCCAGCTGTGTGACTTTGGGCAGGAGCCTTCACCTCTCTGGACTCCATATCCATCAACTCAAAACAGAGATAATGGCATATGTAGTTGACCCTTAAACAACGCAGGGCTTAGGGGTGCCGATCCCCTGCGCAGCTAAATCCATGTATAACTTTTGACTCCCCTAGAAGATAACTTCTAGTAGCCCACTGTTAACCAGAAGCCTTACTAAGAACAGTCAGCGAGCACATCTTTTGTGTGTTCACTGTGTCGTGTACTGTCTTTGTATTAGTTCATTCCTACACTGCTATAAAGAAATAGCTGAGACTGGGTAATTTATAAAGGAAAGAGGTTTAATTGACTCACAGTTCCGAATGGCTGGGGATGCCTCAGAAACTCATAATCATGGCGGAAGGCAAAGGAGAAACAAGGCACCTTCTTTACAGGATGGCAGGAGGGAGAATGAATGCAGAGGAACTACCACACGCTTATGAACCATCAGATCTCGTTAGCATTCTATCACTATCACGAGAACAGCATAGGGGAAACCAGCGCCATTATCCACTTACCTCCACCTGGTCCTTCCCTTGACACGTGGGGATTACAATTCGAGATGAGATTTGGCTGGGGACCCAGAGCCAACCATATCAGTATTCTTTGAATAAAGTAAGCTAGAGCAAAGAAAATGTTATTAAGAGAATCAGGCCGGACGTGGTGGCTCATGCCTGTAATCGCAGCACTTTGGGAGACCGAGGAGGGTGGATCACCTGAGGTCAGGAGTTCGAGACCAGCCTGGCTAACACGGTGTAACCTTGTCTCTACTAAAAATACAAAAATTAGCCAGACATGGCGGTGGATGCCTGTAATCCCAGTTACTCGGGAGGCTGAGACAGGAGAATCGTTTGAACCCGGGAGGCGGAGGTTGCAGTGAGCCAAGGTCAAGCCGCTGCACTCCAGCCTGGGCAACAGAGCAAGACTCCGTCTCAAAAAAAAAAGAGAATCATAAGGAAGAGAAAATATATTTGCTATTAATTAAGTGGAAGAAGAGGATCATCATCAAGGTCTTCATCCTCGTTGTCTTCACGCTGAGTGGCTGAGGAGGAGGAGGGAGAGGAAGGATTGGCTTTGCTGTCTCGGGGTGACGGAGGTAGAAGAAAATCCGCCGATAATCAGACCCACGCACCCATGCCGTCCAAACCCACGTTGTTCAAGAGTGGACTGTGCTTTGTGGGGCTCTTGTGAGGATTTCCAAGAAATAAAGCAGGAGAAGCATTTGGCACCGGGCCTGGATTCCTGGACGTGGTAAAACCACGGCAGGATGGTTTACTAAGGGCCAGGCCCCAGGACAGGCCGGGGCAGGATCCGTGGGCCTAGCCTAGGTCTCCTTGTCCAATGCTGACCCCTAGTGGTGAGAACTGCTGGGCAGGAAAAAGCTGCGGCTGCAGGGACTTCTGGGGTCCAGGGGGTTCCCACCAGTGGGGTTGATAATACTGGAGGCCCTGCTGCTGCGTGCAGCCCAGAAAGAAACCTTTGAACTTGCAGGCCAGGAAAAGGCCCCTGTTCTCCCAGGTCTTTCTCATGCCTTGTGGACAGACAGATATGTCTTCCTTCCTTGGAGTCCTGGCCTTAGGCATCCGAGGACTCCCTGGGTCTTTCTGGCCTAGAAACCAGCTCACCCTGGCTTCCACTCCCACTGCGTCTGGACACTCAGCCTGTTTCCGCTCTGGCCAAGAAAACTCAGCTTCTGGCCTCCTTCTGGCAGGCATCAGATGCATCTGCCCGTGTGAATGTTGGCAACTCAGGTTGATTGGTTTATGTTCATGTTAACAGCACATGCAGTGTCTACCCAGGGCTTGGAGGCAGAGAGAAGGGGCTTCACGAGGAGCTGTGATGACCCCAGTCTTGTTGGGGTGTCCACCTGACTGCAGGTTCCCTCCATTGCCCGCCATGCCTAAAGTTTCACCGCCAGGCTGTGTTGCCTGCAGGCCCAGCTCCCCCACTGCACAGCTGACCCTTCCTCGGGGGGTGCCTTAAGTCCTGGGTTGCAAGCAACAGAAAGCAGCTCTGCTCTGCCAGTGGAAGCATAGAGGGTGGGTTGGAAGGAAGTCAGGGTCCACACGTGCAGTGGGGAGGTGGAGGGCGCAGCTTAGCAATGGCAGAAGCCACGGCAGCTGCAGGCCGGGCGTGGTGTCTCGTGCCTGTAATCTTTTGGCTTTGGGAGGCCAAAGCGGGCAGATGACTTGAGGTCAGGAGTTTGAGACCACCCTGGCCAACATGGCGAAACCCTGATTCAACTGAAAATACAAAAATCAGCTAGATGTGGTGGCACGCAGCTGTAATCCCAGCTCCTCGGGAGGCTGAGGCAGGACAATCGCTTGAACCCAGAAGGCAGAGGTTGCACTGAGCCAAAATCGCACCACTGCACTCCAGCCTGGGCAACAGAGCGAAACCCCATCTCAAAAAAAAAAGAAGCCCCCCAGCTGCGGAGGTGGGGAGCCAGGCCCGGGGGGATGGTGCACTCAGCAGCCCCTGCAGCTGGGGGACGAACATGTCCCTTTTGTCTTCTGATGAAATCTTACCTCTGTGAGGTCCATGCAGTGTGCCCTGTGGCCCATCTTGGGCCACTTACTTGCCCCTTACCCAGGGGTCCTGGCTGTAGCTGCTGGTGCTGGGCGGTTTCTTAAGTGACCCTGAGGTGCTGCCACAGAGGTGGCAAAGCTCACACCTGCCAGTGACACTGAGGCCACTGGGAAAGCAGGTATTGGGGAAAGAGCCCAGGCTGGTGCCAAGTGAGGGGTGAGCAGCCCCTCAGGATCCAGGCATCGTCCCTCCCCCCATGTCCTGAGGAGCCAACTCTGGGCCGCCCCACACACCCTCTTCGCTGCTTCACTTGGGGAAAAGCCAAAAAGACATTTGCTTCTGCAGACGTTTCCCAAGAAGCAAAGCCCTCTATTGGCATTTAGCAATGAAGGTGGGCACCCTGAGGCCTGCCCAGCCATCCACCCTTGCTGGGGGCATTTCCTGTTAAATCCTGATTGAACCAGGCATTACCACCCACACAGCAACTTCTCTGTAACCACACTGGCCCCAAGGGACCGCATGTGTGTGTATGTGTGTGTGTGTGTGTATGTGTAAAATATTGTTTATCAACTTAGAATGTCAAGGCCCGAGCCCACATGAGCCTACCGTTGCCCCCGCAGGAGCCTCCCCTCCATGGCCAGAGCCAGCGTTGATCCTTGGTTGTTGGTCCTGGGTCGTTGATCCTTGGTCGTTGGTCCTGGGTCGTCGGTCCTGGGTCGCTGGTCCTGGGTCGTCGGTCCTGGGTCGTCGGTCCTGGGTCGTCGGTCCTGGGTCGCTGGTCCTGGGTCGTTGGTCCTGGGTCGTTGATCCTTGGTCGTTGGTCCTGGGTCGTTGGTCATGGGTCGTCGATCCTGGGTCGTCGATCCTGGGTCGTCGATCCTGGGTCGTTGATCCTTGGTCATTGGTCCTGAGTCGTTGGTCCTGGGTTGTTGGTGCTGGGTCGTTGGTCCTGGGTCGTTGGTCCTTGGTCGTTGGTCCTGGGTCGTTGGTCCTGGGTCGTTGGTCCTGGGTCGTTGGTCATGCCGTTCAGTGGTTTTTAGCATGCTGACAACATTGTGCAGCCACCACTGCTGTCTAATTCCAGAACAGTTGCATCTCCCCAAGAAGCACCCCGTCTTCATGCGCAGTCACTCCAGTGAGGTCTGTATTCTTACGGTTTCGGAGCTGGAGATCAGGCGATCCTGTACTCCATGGGGTGACGGCTTTGCCGGGAGGCTTTTGACGGGAGTCCAGCCATGGCCTGAAGGAGGCAGCTCCCTTACCAGCCTTCCCTCAGTCCACAGGCCTTTCCCACCAGCCTCCCTAGTCACATGTGGGGCTGGGAGACAGGGCTGCCTGCTCCTGAGACCATGGGCATCCCCCACACACTGGTCCTGTCCCTGGGAGCCCGGCTCACACGGACCTCGCTGCTGACGAGCGCGGCTTCTCCAGCACGGGAAATGCTCTTCAGTTTACGGTGCTCTCTGTAAACAAGGGCACCATAGACGTTTGGGGCCACATAACAGTGGTGGGGCTGCCCTGTGCTCTGTAGGGTGTGTGGCAGCTTCCCTGGCCTCCACCCACCAGATGCCAGCAGCACCCCCTCCACCCCAGCCCCCCAGTGTCACAGCAGTAGACTCCAGACATGGCCAGATGTCCCCTGGAGTGCAGAATCACCCCAGACTGGAAGCACCCCTCCATCAAGTAGGACATTTTGCAAGAATCAGACGTTCCTATCTGTCTGGGCCTGGGCTGTTTGAGTCTAGCAGAGTCCCAGTTTGGGTCCTGTTATTTTCTGTCTGTGTGACCCTTGACAAGGGACTTAACCTTTCTGAGCCTCAGTTTCCTCCTGTATAAAATCAGAACTATAGGCCAGGTGTGGTGGCACACACCTGTAATCCCAGCACTTTGGGGAGGCCGAGGCAGGTGGATCACCTGAGGTCAGGAGTTCAAGACTAGGTTGGCCAACATGGTGAAACCCGTCTCTACTAAAAATACAAAAATTAGCCAGGCATGATGGCAGGCGCCTGTAATCCCAGCTACTCTGGAGGCTGAGGCAGGAGAATCGCTTGAACCCAGGAGGGTTGCAGTGAGCTGAGATCACACCATTGCCCTCCAGCCTGGATGACAGAGTGAGACTCCATCAGAGTAGAGTAGGGTAGGGTAGGGTAGGGTAGGGTAGGGTAGGGTAGGGTAGAGTAGAGTAGAGTACAGTAGAGTACAGTAGAGTAGAGTAGAGTAGAGTAGTAGAGTAGGTCTCCATCTCAATAGAATAATAGAATAGAATGGAATAGAATAGAATAGAATAGAATAGAATAGAATAGAATAGAATAGAATAGAATAGAATAGAACCTTCCCCCTAGAGTGACAGTGCAGGGAAGTGAGGCAGTGGGTGAATCAGGCAGGCACGCTGCAGAACTCGGTCAGCGTTCACAGCTCTGTGCTGAGGTTGCTCTAGAGCCACCCTGTCCTCAGACCCCACTGGGGAGGAAGAGGCGTGGATTCTCATGCCTGTTCCACTCATCAGTATTTGACCTCGCACATGTCACCTTTAACCTTTTCCTGCCTCAGTTTCCTCATCTGTAAAAACGACAGCCACCACAGGCCCAGACGAGAGGCAGGGACTGTGAGGGATGAGCGGGCGGAGAAGCAGGAGGGCTTGGCCAAGCCTCAGGTTTATTTTTAATGGCCACGCTCTGAGTCTATGTCCCTTGTGCCTGTTCTCAGCTGCAACGAAAGCAGTCTGCCCCAAATGTGCCACCTTCAGGCCCCTGGCCACCACCTTCTTGGACCATTTGGACCAGCCCTTGCCAAGCCAGTTCCTAGGCTGGGTCTGAACCCAGAGTGGTGGGGGGCCTGCCGCCCTGCATGAGGGCAGGGTCTGCCCAATCCCGAGCCCACCTGAGCCACGCCTGTCGTTGCCCCCACAGGAGCCTCCCCTCCACAGCCGAGCCTGCATTGGTCCTTGGTCTTTGGTCCTTAGTCATTGGTCCTTGGTGTTGTGACCCATATTTGCCTCATCAGCTCACACCGGTGCCTCCCTGCTGGACCTGCTCCCACCCGTACCCCTGAGATCTGTGAAAGAGGGTCCCAGCCGGCTTCCCCCCAAGGAGAAGAACTTAGCTGTGCCACAGAGTGTGTTTATGAAGCACGGGAAGAAGGTGGCCTTGTGCCCGCTCAGTGCCCGTTTGGCGCAGTGTGCCATCCGCACAGGAGCACCAGCCTTCCGATGTCTGCTCAGAGGCTCCTGCCTCGGGATCCTCCCAGTCTTTACCCCAGAGAAACATTCCCTAGACGAGCACTCATCTGCTGAAGGACCTGGTAGAGGATTCGGTTTCTGGGCACAGCATGCCTGCAGGGCCAGACTTGCTCTCTGATGTGGGAGATGTGATGGGTGCACTGTGGCCTCCGGATCAGCGGAACCTCAGGCCCTCCTGGTTAACAGGAACTGCCATTGGCCCCAGCCAAAAGGCAGGTGAGGGCAGGGCCCTGTGCTGCCATCTCCCCTTCCTGCCTCATGGGTCTCACTGCCCAGGCTCAGGGAGCGCATAAGTAATCCTAACTGAGCACTATGGCTGCTCTGAGACAGTGGGCCAGACCGGATCCTTGACCCTGGTGTGAATTACTCCTCACATCATCCCTGCTTGTGAAATAGAGACTCTTTAATAACAATCGCTAATATTTGTTGGGTATTTTTACCCTGGACCAAGCACTTTCCCAGCAACCATGTGAGGGAGGAACTGTCATTATCCCCGTTAGACAGCTGGAGGAACGAAGGCACGGAGAGGTGTGGAGCCTACCTTGGGATCCCACAGCTCAGAGTGGCAGAGCCAGAACCAAATCCAGACAGAGCCCAAGCTCCAAAGAACTGTGCCAGGGCCTGGCCACCTCATCACACAACTCCAGAGGGTGCTGCTTACATAAACATGGTCCCTCTTGTTTTCACCATCTTATATTGTGGGACCTTGAAGTTCAGAATGGTGGAGTAATTTGCTCAAGGTTACACAGCAAGTTAAGTGGGAGAAATGGAGTTTGAAACTAGTTCTGTCTGACTTTTGTCAAATGGATGCATTTGTGTCAAGTTAACAATTCCCAGGAGCTTGACGTTCCAAGTTCTGAGTGCTTGGAAGAGGCTGGAGGCTCAGAGAGGAGAAGAGAAGAGTCAGAACCCAAGGGGAGTTCCCAGCATTAAATTGCATTTAGTGGAAGAGATTAGTCAGAGAAATGTGTCAATTGCCACAGGAGAGGATCTAATGCATGTGTGTGTGTACGTGTGTGTATGTGTGTGTGTGTGGTGTTAGTCTCTTCTCATGCTGCTGATAAAGACATACCCGAGACTGGGTAATTTTTAAAGAAAGGGAGGCTTAATGGACTCACAGTTCCACATGGCTGGGGAGGCCTCACAATCATAGTGAAAGGTGAAGGAGGAGCAAAGGCACGTCTTACATGGTGGCAGGCGAGAGAGCATGTGCAGGGGAACTGCCTTTTATAAAACCGTCAGATCTCAGGAGACTTATTCACTGTCACAAGAACAGCACGGGAAAAACCTGTCCCTATGATTCAATTACCTCCCACTAGGTCCCTCCCATGACACGTGGGGATTATGGGAGCTTATAATTCAAGATGAGATTTGGATGGGGACACAGCCAAACCATATCAGTGCATATACATGTGTATATGTGTGTGTATGCATGTGTGTATTGCATGTGTATGTGTGTGCATGTGTGTATGTGTGTATATGTGTGTATGTGCATGTGTGTGGATACGTGGGTGTGAAAGCAGGTGCATGTATTTTAGATGAGACTTCACACGCGTCATCTGCAGTTCCTCTCCATTGTAGCTCTGCCTTGGAAGCTTACAATCCTGAGTGGGCAGAGTGGACAGTTTATCCTTGTGCTTCAGAACTCACAGGTACAGCCACCCCATTCTGAAGGACCAACCGTAGGGGACCTCCCAATTGTCAGGTAGCAAGGATGTCAAGCTGCCTACTGAGATGGAAGATGCCACTCCCAGGCCCAGACAGAGATGAGACCCCGCCTGGGAGAAGGAAGCCGATGGGTTCAGGAGAGCCACCCCACCCAGGCCTCTTCCTCACTCCTTCCCGTGCTCCCTCCAAGGGCTGCCTGTTTCAGGGGCTGGCTTGTACAATCCTGTGCTTCCTAGGCATGTGGCTGGGAGTGTTTGCAGGAGGGGGAGCTGAGGGTTCATTCCTGCATGATGGCAGACCAGCCTGGGTGCTTATTTCTCCCGAGTCGCACTTTCTGGGCAGCCAGATGGACTGGGCAGGTGGAAGCAAGGGAGTGGGGCATCCCCCTAAGACTGCGAGTGTAGCAGTGTGGAGGGCCAGGGGGCTGTGTGCACGCACACCTGGAGGGAAGGCAGGTGCCGCCACCGACTCGCCTGGGCTGGGTGTGGTGGTTCAGGAAGTGTGGGTCTCCGTGATGCTAGGTCTGCTGCAGGTGTACAGAGGCTCGAGACACACCCAGCTTCACTCCTTCCTTAAACAAAAAAGTTACCCCATTGTTCTTGCAGTAGGACAACAGAGCTGTTCCCTGGGCCATCAACACAACAAAGGCTCTGTGAAGCAGCGACCTGCTTCCATTTATCCTGCAGGTTCTTACAGCATGCATCCTGGATGTGCTGAGCCCCAGGCCGGGTGCTGGGGACTCTGGTGAGCAGACAGAACTGGCCCACATCATTTGCGCTGGTTGTTTTCTTGCCCCACAGGAATGTGGGCTTAAGGGAAACCACACTGTGCTCCCAGTCAGACACCAGGGTTTGGTACCCAGGTTGGATGTTGTGCCCACTGGAGAAGTCACTAAACCTCTCTGAGTTTTGGTTTCTTACCTGTTGAGCACAGATAATCCCGAACTCCCTACCTGCAACCCAGCACTGTTGCACAGAGCGCGTGAGGGTGGCAGAGCACAGGTGGTTTTCTCGGCCAGAGCAGGGGCAAGCCAGGTTGGCGGGGCAAGGCTGACACCCTCAGCTTAGCCTCTGCGGTATGGATTTCTATTCCCTGGAAGCTGGCAGTGGGAGGGAAGTGATTTCACAGACTTCTAGGATGTCCGAGCTGGAAGGAGCCCTGAAGATCACTTGGTCCAGGCTTTTCACTATACAGATGGGGAAACTGAGGCTCAGAGGAGGGAGTGACTTGTCTAAAATAATACAGCTGGTTGATGTGATGAGAGTGCATCAGGCATTAGGCCAAGGACTGTCTGTTTCTTGGTGGGACCCTTTCTCAAGAATCCCTGCTCTGCCAGGAAGAACTCCAGGCCTGGGGCAAAGTTAGAAAGGTTGTGGAGAGATTAGATGGATTTTTTTGTTGTTGTTAATCTGTGTTCACATGAGAGGCAAAGCCAGCACTCACAGTGGCCCTGCCATCTGTAGCTACCCCGGAAACGTCCATGTTCACCCAAAACCTCAGTGCAGGGGACCCCTGGGCCTCTCCCTGTCTCCTCTGCCCTGTCATGAGCCCCCGGAGCCAATCAGAAGTAGAAAATGACTGTGATGAAAAGAATGTGCATTAACACTTTGAGAGGCCAAGGCGGGTGGATCACTTGAGGTCAGGAGTTTGAGACCAGCCTGGCCAACATAGTGCGACCCTGTCTCTACCAAAAATACAAAAAAATTAGCTGGGCATGGTGGCAGGCGCCTGTAATCCCAGCTACTCAGGAGACTGAGGCAGGAGAATTGCTTGAGCATGGGAGGTGGAGGTTGCAGTAAACCGAGATCGCGCCACTGCACTCCGGCCTGGGCAACAGAGTGAGACTCCATCTCAAAAAAAAAAAAAAGAAGAAGAAGAAGAAAATAATATGCAGTAGCACATTTCTAATACTTGCCGTTTTTCTCCCCAAAAGAATTTGAGATCACTTCTAATAAAACCCCAGATATTCTAAGGGGAGATAACACAGCTGAAAGAGGTCTCAGACACTGGGCAGAGAAAGGAAGACCTGTGTGGCCAGTCGAGGCGGCCTCCCGGCCCCAGCTCAGCCTCACACTTGTCCCTGGGCTCCCTCCTGTCCTACATGTTCTTGGCGTGGGCTCCTGAGAGCTGGGCTTAGGATCTGCCTGTCCCCAGCCTGCATTCAAGAAGGAGCTAGTCGTGTAGGCTGATCGTGCACCTGCCCATCTCCTTGCTAGTTCTGCAGAAGGTGCACATGGCACTTCTCTGGCAAAACCTTGTGACAGGGAGAAGAAGCAGCCTTCAATCTTGCAAGGAGTTAAACTAATGGGAGCCAAACACCTTTTTCTTACAATCGGACTTGAATCCTGGCTAGTCCCTGGAGAATCCAAAAGAATGGGTGGTAAGAGTGTTCCTGGGGCCGGGCGCAGTGGCTCACACCTGTATTCCCAGCACTTTGGGAGGCCGAGGCAGGTGGATCACTTGAGGTCAGGAGTTCAAGACCAGCCTGGCCAACATGGTGAAACCCCATCTCTACTAAAAATACAAAAATTAGCCAGGCATGGTGGCACATGCCTGTAATCCTAGCTACACGTGAGGTTGAGGCAGGAGAATTGCTTGAACCCGGGAGGCGGAGGTTGCAGTGAGCTGAGCCACTGCACTCCAGTCTGGGCAACAGAGTGAAACTCCATCTCCAAACAAAACAAAAAAAAGGAGTGTTCTTGGAACCCCTCTATTTCTGGTCTCACTTTGCTCTTGGTGGGTAACCCCCAGGTTAGCTCTCGGGTGAGTTAACTTGACACAAATGCATCCATGTGACAAAAGTCAGACAGAACTGGGTTCAAACTTCACTTCTTCTACTTGTTGTATGACCTTGAGCAAATTACTCCACCATTCGGAACTTTAGGATCCCACTATATAAGATGGGGAGACCAAGAGGGACCATGTTTATGTAAGCAGTGCCCCCTAGAGTTGTGTGACCAGGTGGCCAGGCCCTGGCACAGTTCTTTGGAGCTTGGTCTCTGTCTGGATTTGATCCTGGCTCTGCCACTTCTGAGCTGTGGGATCCCAAGGCAGGCTCCACACCTCTCCGTGCCTTCGCGCCTCCAGCTGTCTAATGGGGAGAACAACAGTTCCTCCCTCACACGGCTGCGGGGCAGGCGCTTGACTTACCAATTGACGCTCGATGCCGAGCCAGCAATACCCGGTGCAGAGGATCCGGGCTTTCTCCCCATGGCGGTGGGTGGTGCCAAGCAGCTGGCCAAGAGTTCCCCTTGATCATGACTTCTTCTTCCTGTCTTCTTGCTCTCTCCAGGCCAAACAGTCCTTAGCTACGCTGACCAAGGACGTCCCCAAGCGGCATTCCCTCGCCATGCCGGGCGAGACGGTGCTCAATGGCAACCAGGAGTGGGTGGTGCAGGCGGACCTCCCGCTGACCGCAGCCATCCGGCAGAGTCAACAGACTCTCTACCACTCACACCCCCCTCACCCTGCGGACCGGCAAGGTGAGTCCTGCCCTGGCCTGGCTCCACCACGGCTTCGAGGGGCTTCACAGGAGGCCATCTGACCCAGTGGGAGAGGCAGCTGCTTTGTTCGTACTACAGCAGCTTGGGGGCGTGGGACAGAGACCTTGGGCTCATGTAACTGAAAAATCTAAGAGATGGACAGCAGGCATAGCTGGATCCAGAGGTTCAAACACTATCTGGGTCCCTCTGACCGTCTCTCCATCTCTTAGCTCTGCCCACCTCCTTTTGGCCTCATCTTCAGGCTGTCTCTTTCAGCAAGAAAGTAAAATAGTCCCCTGCAGTTCCAGATGTTTAAGACCCTCACAGCTCAAGTCTTAAGAAAGAAAAACTATCTCTTTCCCCCTGTGTCCATAGCAAATCCCAAAGAAAGACTCTGATTGGCCACATCAGAGTCACATGGGCATCCTTTGGCAGGGGAGGCAGCAGAACTCCTTGATTGACAGCTCTGGCCAATCACAGGGCATCCAAGAGGGGCTGATGTCAATGTCACAGGTGTTTGCTCCAGGCACTCGGCAGGGAAGTCTGGCCTGTGGACAGCATCTGCACCTACTGCCCATGGAACAGGCTCCAAACTTCTCGCTGTCCTGTTGCACGTCTGCAGGCCACCTTGCTCTGTTCTCTGTCCCTTCTGCAAGTAGTTGCCCTTATGTGATAGATGCAAGTTGGGAACAGGCATCCAGCAGCAGCCAATGCACCAGAGGTAAGAGCTGGTCACTGTGAAGGCTGCAGGCTGGGCTGGCTGTTGGAGCTGCAGGAGATGAGTCAGACACAGCCCTGACCTACAAGGGCCTGGCAGGCTGATCAGGGAGATGCCAGCAGGCCCTGCTATTGCCTGTCAAGGGTACAGATGGGGGAGTGTAGGTGAGTCATTGGGACGAAGGGGCATAGGCCCTGGATTCAGACTGCTGGGTTCAACTCTGGCCCTGCTGCTTACTAGAGGCATGACCCATGACCTAGGCCAGGGTCCTCAGTTTCCTCATGTGTAAAAGGGGCATTAGGCTCTTAGCACACAACGTACGTTAAAGACGTTTGCTGAGACTTCCTTTACCTACTTCATGGAGCTGTCGTGAAGATGAAATGTGTAAAACTGCGGGAATGGGGCTGGGATCATGGTCAGAGCTGGGTAAATATTAGCTGCTATTCTCATTATCATCGTCATCATCACCATTGTTGTCATCATTGATAGGTGACACAGGGGACTTTGAGAACCCAGACAGTAAGCAAATTCAGAGTCTTCCCTTCCCATTGAGTGGGATAGCAGCCCTCCCTTCACTGTCTGACCCAAGGTGGTGTGACTTTTTTGGGGTAAGCGTGGGCAGCTCTGGCCTTCAAAGCCTCAACTCAGAGGTGGAAGAGCTTATAATAAAACTGCTCGGGGCCAGCATCCTCGTCAGGCAGGGAAACTGAGACCCAGAGAGGGCCACCACTTGTTCAGAGTCTCACAGCCCAGCCATGCAGCCAGCTGTCCTGGCTTTGGGTCCAGCCCCAGGGCAGCAGGAGGGCAGAGGTGCAATTTGAAGGCAGACAGGGCTTGGGCAGTTTCTGAATCACGTGGGGGCAGCAGACTCCTGGTCATCCTCGTCTGCCTCTGCAGGGCCTCTCCTCAATGGAGCTGGCTCTGGTCTGGGAAAGCTTGGACAGGCTGGTGGATCTGCCCTCTGGGCCCTTCCTCCTCCACAGTATCTGCCTCACATACAACCATCTCCATGCATTTTATCAGACACCCCCTCCTCCAGGAAGCCTTCCGTGCTCTCTCCCCTGTGTCCTCTATGCTCCTGTAAAGTTGGGTGCTCACCTGCGTCATAGCACCTCTTACCCTACCTCGGGTTTGCTGTTGATGCATTTGTCACATGACTCCTCCCATCTGTCCAGTGCCTGGCACTGTGGTAGGCTCATCATACATGTGGCTACTGTCTGGGATTGGTACCACTGGCATCCATCCCCATGTTACACATAACAAACCTGGCTCAGAGGGGCTAGGGAGGATGCCCAAGGTCACACAGCCTGTAGGGTAAACTCACCCAGATTGGAATTGACTCCAAAGCCAGGGCTCCTTCAGCCACCCATCTTCTGTATTAGAGCATATGGCCATTGGTGGCAAGGACTGTCTTTTGCAGGAATGCAACCCCACCTGCTGGCATGCCGCCTGCACATGGTAGGTGCTTAGCCAGTCTTGTCAAACAAAAGATGCTTTCTCCATCCAGTGCCAATGCCTGCAGACAGGAGAGCAACCTGCTGGGGACTTGGAAGGGCTTCTGAGCTGTGGCTTCTGGTCTGGACCTTCCATTCAACCACTATTTATTGAGTACCTATTATGTGCCAGGCACCATGAGCTCTGGGATTCGACAGGATAAGACACCCAGGGTACCTGCCCTCACAGAGCAGATGTTGTCAGTGTACAGATATGATATGTAAATATACTATTAAATAACAAGCAGGCCAGATGCAGTGGCTCACGCCTGTAAGCCCAGCACTTTGGGAGGCTGAGGTGGACAGATCACGAGGTCAGGAGTTCGAGACCAGCCTGGCCAGCATAGTGAAATCCTGTCTCTACTAAAAATACAAAAATTCGCTGGACTTGGTGGTGGCAGATGCCTGTAATCCCAGCTACTCGGGAGGCTGAGGCAGGAGAATCACTTGAACCCGGGAAGCAGAGGTTGTGGCGAGCAAAGAACACACCACTGCACTCCAGCCTGGGCAACAGAGCAAGACCCTGTCTCAAAAATAAATAAATAAATAACAAGCAGAACGATGACAGATTGTAATTAGCACAAGGAGAGAAATCAACAGAAAACAGGCACTTTTTTTTTTTTTTTGGAGAGATGGAGTCTTGCTGTGTTGCCCAGGCTGGTTTCGAAGTCCTGGGCTCAAGCAGTCCTCCCTCTTCCGCCTCCCGAAGTGCTGAGACTACAGGCATGAGCCACCATGCCCAGCCAAAAGCAAGCACTTTGATAAGAACCAACAAGACAGGGTAGGGAGAGCTGATTACTGGGGAAGGCCTCCTGGGACAGGCTGAGACCTGGAGGATGACAGTGCCCCTGATGGGCAACAGGAATGGCAGAGACCAAGGCAGGGGGACATGGCCTGTCTCAGGCAGTCAGAAGGCTGATGTGGCTCTAGCCGAGGCTGCTGGGGTAGGCAGGGCCGTGGCACATCAGGCCACCTCGGAGGCCAGGAGGAAGAGAGATGAGATGCTGGCTGGTGGCCCATGCTCTGGTGTGTAGAGTGGAGTCAGCGCGACCCACCGGGAGGCCTCATGGTCTTCCAGGCGAGAGTCAGTGGTGGCAATGCAGTGGGAGAGAAGCAGGCAGATTTGGGGCAATGTTTTGGAGCTGCTGCTGCCGATTGGATGTGGGATATGGGGGAAAGAGAGAAAGTGGTGGTGGCCTTTAGGTTTCTCATTTGGGAAACCGATTTGGGGCAGTGGTTAGGATTGCACCAGGTCTAGGAATGTCCAGGTGGTGGGAGCATGTGAGTAGAGTCACAGAGTACTCACGTATTAATGCATCACGGTGCTGCTTAGAAATGAATTTATAAACATCAAGCACTTTCCTGTATTGGACTTGGAAACGAGGAGACTTGAATTTGGAATGAGAAGACTTGAAAACTTCCATGTCTTCTCCTCGTTCACGCTGGTGGAGGAGGGTTCATTGGATCCAGAGGCTATGGGAGGTTCTTCCCAGCAGCTGCTCTATGGGAACGTGTGGAGCTGTGGAGTAGGGGGTTGGAGAACCAGGCAAGTCTCTTCCCTTCTCTACACCTCAGTGTTCCCATCTGTAGAACGGGGGTGTTGGGTGGAATAACCGCCAAGGCAGCACAGGCGAGGACGTTCTCTCCATCCCTCACTCACCAGCTGTCCCTGCTTTCCAGCGGTCAGGGTGAGCCCCTGCCACTCCCGGCAGCCCTCTGTCATCTCCGACGCATCTGCCGCCGAAGGCGACCGGTCGTCCACACCGAGCGACATCAACTCCCCTCGACACCGGACACACTCCCTCTGCAACGTAAGGCCAGCAGCAGCGGGGCCTGGGCCCCTGGGCCCTGCCCAGAAACTGCAGGGGCGGGGGTGGCGGGGTGAAGCCATACTCGCTGTTTCCTCTCGTCCACCCAGGGAGCACTCTGGCGAATGCATTTCCTGTTCTGTTCTTTCCTTTTGCAAGAAGCGATGGATGTGGGGAGAAAAAGGAATGAGGCCCGTTTGCTCCTTGTGTCCGGGAGGGTGAGGAGAATCCAGAGGAAGCGGGCCTGGGTCGGCCGCAGGCACAGCCTGGAACTCTGCCCCAGTGGGCCCTGTCTGGGACCGTGGGCTTCTCCTCCCACACATTACCTTCCAGAGCTCAGGGCCTCCCCAGCACCTCCTCATTTCCCTTTAGAGCCAGCTCTCTATCCTGACCCAGGAGTCTTGGCATGAATTGCCTCTGGAGAGGCTTGTGAATATGGTCTAAGTTTGTTTCCTTTGTTTATTTCATCAAACACTTTTTGATTGCATACTGGGCACCAGCTCCCAGGAGGCAAAGGCCCTAGCTGCCTAGCTCTTGATGACTAGTGGGGCAGACAGATGGGCTCTGCAACAGTGTGGGAGTAAATTGAAGGTGGGTTGAGCTTCTGAGGACAGTTGGAAGCCATGTCGAGGCTCTAACATGAAATATTGGGGTCTGGGTGTGGGGACCACCTTGAATTTTTGTTTTATCACACAGTTGGTAATGCAGAGGCTCCCCTCTGCCATATCCTGAAGACAGACATCATAGGGTTAGATCCTCAAATGCACGAGACGGCTTTTTCCAAAACTCAGTTAATGTCACTTTATTAACCAGCGAAATAGATAATAAAAAAGAAATGAGGTGAACACATTGGACAAAACCATTACTTGCCAGTGACATGATTCTCTACCTGGAGAACTCAAGAGAATAACTTGAAAAGCTATTAGAATGAATAATAAGCATGTACATAACAGTGTTGCTTGGAAATCAGTGTGTAAAAATCAATCACTTTCCTATAGATGAGTCGTAATTATGGAACCATTTTTTTCAATCCACAATAATGAAAAGTGCTTATAAAAATAGCTAAGAGTAAACTTCAGAGAAGCTGCCTCAGTCTGCTCAGGTGGGCGGCAGAGATTGCTGGCCCGGGGACTTTAGATGGCCTCCTCAGAGTAGGAAGGTCATTTGCAGCCTGGGGCCCTGCTCAGGCCTGGGATTCTCTTTTTTATTGTTTTATTTTATTTATTTGTATGTGTGTGTGATGGAGTTTCACTCTTGTCACCCAGGATGGAGTGCAGTGACGCAGTCTCAGCTCACTGCAACCAACACCTTCCAGGCTCAAACAATTCTCCTGCCTCAGCCTCCCGAGCAGCTGGCATTACAGATGCCTGCCATCACACCCGGCTAATTTTTGTATTTTTAGTAGAGATGAGATTTCACCATGTTGGCCAGGCTGGTCTTCAACTCCTGACCTCAGGCGATCTGCCCACCTCAGTCTCCCAAAGTGCTGGGATTATAGACATGAGCCACTGCACCTGGCGGGATTCTCTGTTTTATACTGGTGCTTTGAGGAAGCAGTATGTTCTTCTCTTGTCCCCAGAAGAGAATCCTAGTGACAAAGTCTATCTTGACTAACAGAACCAAGGCAAGGAAGGTGGGCCACTGGAGGGGTCTCTGACATCCATTCCCTGATCCTGAAGGACCACTGTGGAGTTATACCTACAGCCAGCAGTGTCCCTGCACCATTCTCATCCCAGTTGAGAATACCTTCCCCCCACGGCCATATTTTGTCTTCTCGTGGTGGGCCCATGGGGACTCTGGCAGCAGAAATGCTGCTGGAAAAACCCCATTCTGCAGAAGGAGTTCTCCAAAGGCCTCTTGAATTGCATTTGACCCAGTCCTAGTCTTTTGCCCACCATAGCCTTGGCACATTCCTGCTGCCAGGAAATGGGTGCTTTGATAAGCCAGTTGTCTGCATACAGGCGTTTCAGTGAGCAGGCCCCATTCTCTTTACCCATAGATTTGGCAAAGATGTTCCTATCCAGAGTGGAACTATCTTAGCTGCCTTCAGAATGGATTCTGTTTGCAAACCTTGAGACTAAAGACTAAACTACCATTCATTAATTCCCTCACTTCCTCAACCCTTTTTATCCCCCCATCTCAACAGGTGTGCATGCAGGTAAGCCAGGAAGAGCCCAAAAATAGCTACAGGTAACCCTTTGCCTTGGGCATCTGACGTCCACCAGCAAGAATAGTGCAGCCTGGACTAATGACTGCCTCATCCTCTCACACTCTGGCCACTAATTTAGAGCAAAAGTAGGAACTCAGCATAGAGAGGTTGGAGAAGGTTGACGGACCTTGGCATTATGCTTGCAATTCCAGAAATAACCACCAGGAGTCTCCCTAGTAATGACTGTTTTGATCCAAAGGATCTGTGGGCTCCAGACAGGGCAGACTGATTCTGGGATGTAGTGAAGGCTTTTGTACACCTGTAGGCTATTAAGGGTTCCCTCCACACCCACGTAAGGCAGGGCTGGCAACACAATGGAAATGTCCTACCTGCCCATCCTAGGGACCTGTCGTCTGAGGCTCCCTAGGAAAAAGGGAAGGAGTTCAGACCCCTCCTGGGGCAGCCCAAAGCTCAGGACCAAGTATGCAGTTACCCTGGAGCTCCTGCCTGGAAGGAGCACTGTGCCAGGAGGAATCTGACAGCCCCCAATTGGAGCTGTAGCTCTGCATCCAATTAGCTCCACGGTAGTGGACTGTCTGCTGCCTCTCTTGATATCTGTGAATAGGGCTAACGAGTCCTGCCTGCCCCTGCGCAAACTAAGAGATTCATTGTGTCGGTTGTGGGGGAAGCTAGAGGCTACGTGGTCTCCCAAGTTTGTTTCTGTCCCAAAATTCTCTATTTTGTGCTTTTTCTATAAAAGTACATTTCTTTATGAAAAGCACCAAGTCTAACCAAGCTCTAGCTCTAACTCAGAGGACAGACTGGGACAGGAACTTAGACGCCCTGGAGTGGCTAATTTGTTGGTCAGAAGATGCTGGGGGTTGAGAGGCCAGACTGGGCAGGAGAGGACCCCAGGAACTCTAGGGAAACTCCAGGCCCCATCAATAAGCCATCTGGGGGTATCTGCTTCAGGAGATGGGGGGTGGGCTCCCCACTGCAGAGGCAGGGTGGCCCCTGAGAGATGGCATCCTTCCACGGAAGGCCCCACACCGCACGGGCCGCCTCTGCTCTCCTGTGTCACCTGTCTCTGCTGTTTCATCTTCCTCTTCTCCTCTGGCTACAGGGCGACAGTCCCGGCCCAGTTCAGAAGAACCTGCACAACCCTATTGTACAGGTAGGTGTGCCCTCCCTGGCCACTTGAACCCTCCCTCCACCCCACCTTGACTACAACTTCACCCTCTGTTCCCCTGAGCCCACATCCATGCCGCACACCCAAGGTGGAGAGGATTTATGCCACTTCCGCTGAGCCCACGTCCATACTGCACACCCAAGGCGGAGAGGATTTATGCCACTTCCGCTGAGCCCACATCCATGCCGCACACCCAAGGCGGAGAGGATTTATGCCACTTCCGCTGAGCCCACATCCATGCCGCACACCCAAGATGGAGAGGATTTATGCCACTTCTGGAGTCTCAGGTGGGCTGGGGCCTGAGCCAGTCTCAGCACCTGGGCCCGCCTGGCCCTGTGCCCTGCAGGGCTGTGGAGCTGCTGAGTGCACACATGTCCTCCGTCCTGATGCCCTGGCCATGGCTTACCCTGGCAGCCAGCTCTATAAAATTCCCATTATTATTGAAAAGCTCATAGCCCAGGCAGTGGGTTTTTTGTGCTGCTAGAAACTTGATTCATTTTTAACATTTTCAATATTCTGTCATCAGAGTGAGGAGGGGGCTGCAGGGAGGACAAACAACATGAATTTGAGGGTCTGCAGGGGTCTCTGAAGTCACCTTTCTAGTCCTGGGCTCCCCACCTGTGGGTCTGCACACCACCCATTCGCAACGGAGACCACCAGGGAAGTGGTTCAAATGCAGATTCCTGGGCCATTTGCCCTAGAGATTCTGATCCACCAGGTACAGGGTGGGGCCTGGAATTCAGGAAATCCCTAAGTGTTTGGGGAACCATGAGTCAAGTCTAAGCCCCACCCCGGTTACGCATGATGCCACCACATGTCTTTGTATGAAGCACTTGGCAGTTTGCAAAACTCTCCTGCAGATACCACCCAGATGCCGGTAGTGTCCCTAACAGGAGGGCAGGGTAGACCTTACCACCATCATCTTATATTGTTTTCCCACGTCACAGACAAGAAAACGTCTCAGAGCAGCTCAGGTGCTTTCCAGGGTTCCACAGGTAGAGTCATGATCAGAAATGGAGCCCCCGGTGGCCATACTGTCTCCTGTCCAGGGCAAGTACCAAGCCATTGCCTTCGGCTGACGCAGGCTCCAGACTCCTCCACATTTTCCGGACTCTCCCAGGCCTCCTTGCCCATGTCACTGTGTGCTTAGTGCCCTGGCACGGCAGACAGGGCCTGTGGCCACCCTTCCTCCCTGTGGCCTCGCATCGTGGACATGACCACAGGCAGTGGCCGAGTGCATGGACATCCTCCTACAAGCCCTCAACAAGCACCTGAAAGTTGTGGGCAAATTGAATTTAAACAATATTATTACAGTACAAATGACCACAGCTGCTCACTGTACTGAATGCCTGTGGCACACCAGACACCGTCCTTGGGGTCTTTTTCTTTCTTTTTTTTTTTTTTTTTTTTTTGAGACGGAGTCTCACTCTGTCGCCCAGGCTGCAGTGCAGTGGCGCGATCCTGGCTCACCACAACCTCCTCCTGGGTTCAAGTGATTCTCCTGCCTTAGCCTCTCAAGTAGCTGGGATGACAGGTGCCTATCACCACATCCGGCTAATTTTGTATTTTTAGTAGAGACAGGGTTTCACCATGTTTGCCAGGCTGGTCTCGAACTCCCGACCCCAGGTGATCCACCCGCCTGGGCTTCCCAAAGTGCTGGGATTACAGGTGTGAGCCACCGTGCCTGGCCTGTTCTCAGGGTCTTTATCCTCTCTTTAGCAACATCCTCGTGGCAATCTTGGAAGGGTCTTACTGTTGTCCCTGAGAGGTTCTGTGACTGGTCCCTGTTTGCTCAGTGAATGAGGGGCTGACCTTGGCATTCCAGCCCTGGAGGTGGCTTCTCAGCCATCCCAGCCCGTCCCTGACCCCACTGGCTTAAAGCTCAGAGAGGCCTTCCCCACCCCGGATCCCATCCACTGCAGTCTGCACCCCAGCTAAGCTTGGCTTTCTTCTTCTCCCCCACCCTCTTCCACGTGGCTCCTGACTCCTCAGTCACTAGAGGATCTTGAAGACCAAAAACGGAAAAAGAAGAAAGAGAAGATGGGATTCGGCTCCATCTCCCGCGTCTTCGCCAGAGGGAAGCAGCGGAAGTCCCTCGACCCCGGCCTCTTTGATGGTACCGCCCCTGATTATTACATAGAGGAGGACGCGGACTGGTGATACGCGCTCCCCTGCGCCTGCTGCCCGCAGGCGTGTCTGTGCGTGTGGGCGTGTGTGCAAGCGAGCGTGGGTGCGCGTGTGGCCGTGCGTGGGGTGCGTGTGCACGTGTGCGCTGGCACACATGGGTGCTGGGTGTGGCCGAGCGCCTCTAACAAGTGAAAACACGAGTGTGAACCTCTCTCCCCTGCGTCGCCACCTCTGTAATTGATGTACATACCGCAAACCGTGTGTGAACCTGTCAACTCTCTGTCGTCTTTGGAGCGATACAGTTGTGTTGTTAATCTGGTTTATTATTTTTCTTCAGTGTTTGGTTTTTCTTTTTCTTTTTGTTTGGTTCGTCGGTTTGTTTTTGTTTTTGTTTTTTTCCCCCTTTCTCCTCCCCTCCTCCTTTTTATGAAACTTGAAAACTTGAAGGACTGCTGTGTATTTGTAAATAACAAAACTATTGTGCACTCTGTGCTTGTAAATGTCCCTCGTCCAAACCGCTACTCCTGGAGCCCGTCTGGCAGAGGATGTGGTCTGTTTTTGATGTCCCCCCTCCCGCCCCCCTGGTGTGAACGTGTGGGACCAGACCCTGTCCTGGGGGTGCGCCCAAGTCACTTTAACCACAAAACGCCATCGTCGTCAGGGTAAGCTCTGCTCTCTACAAAGACTCGCGAGCCGGGCCAAGGGGCCTTGTCTTGGCTGGGTTTGTCAGAGGTCAAACCGGCTCTTTTAAACGGCCTACCAGTTTTTAAATTGCATTGCCGTTTCTTTCTTTATGAAAAAAAAGAAAAAAAGAAAATTGTTTCATTTAATTTATTTGCACAAATGCTGAAAACTTATTCTATCTAAATTATTACATAAATATTGGAATGTCTATTTTTCCATGGGGTGGGCGGGAGGTGGGTGTCTCTGTTGACTTGTCTGTTCTGTTACCATGCTGCTACCCAACTGTGCAAAGTAGTTTAGGGTGGCCAGAACCCAGGGACCATTGGATTTCAAAGCTTGCTTTTTCTGTTGGTTCTTCTCTCTCCTTCTCTCTCTGTCTCTCCCATTCTCCTGCCCATGCATGAAAGGATCCTCCACCTTCTTCCCACCCAGAGCTCCCTCCAGGCCTTTCTCTATATATTTATTTATCTGACATACAGAACACGACTTTAGTGAGCAGAGTGCTGACAGTCATGGTCCCCTTCTTTGGGTCTGTCTTTTGAGAGAGGTTGAGTTCAGGGCAAGACAGCCTGCCACACATCCAAGGGTACGACCAGTGGGACCCTGGCCTGAGTCTGTTCTCCGAGGGGCCTCCAGCAGCTTCTGTTCCTCCCTGCAGCTGTGTCTTTCTTGTCCTGGGTTTAGGATGCAGGTGGGCCAGGCAGGTGTTGTTAGGGGAGGCACCCACTTCAAAAGGAGGGCCACAGTGGGGACACAGAGTCCAGCACCTGAGCCCTCCACCCTCCCCATTCTGGTTGGTTCCATCAGCCACACTTAGAATCTCCCAGGATCCCTTGGACTCCGTCCCCCAACTTGTCACAGCAGCCTGAGCCTACCCACCCCAGGAGACAAGAGCTGGCAGGAACATCTGCCTATATGGGGGGTGGCGTTGGCCCCAAAGAGGCTTCACCAGCAAAGGAACTGTGTGTATTTTAATGCCAGGGGACGGAGGATGTGTGAGCTGTTCAGCAAGGTCTGCCCAAGGCCTAAAACTCAATTTCCTTATTCTTTTGCTTCTGCTCGTCCTTAACAACTAACAGCTCAACCCACACCTCTAGACAACAGTAGTCGTGCTTTCTGCTAACGGTGACATTTTCAGCTCTTAAAAAGAAGCAAGGAGATTTTCAAATGCTAGAGTATCTCTATCAGAAGGCATAGGACATTGTGTCCAAAGTCTCAAGAACAAACAACACTTTCCTTCTGACCTGGTCCAAAAGTCAGCAAACAGCAAGCAGGCAGAGGCCCTCATAAGGACTTTTCTGTCCTCCTTTGACCAAACTGTTTAACCGAGCCTAGGGGTGACGGGGAGCGACCCAAGCTGGCATCTTTCTCTACGGAGACAGATTTTAGAAAATACTTTTCTTGCCCATGAATTTCTTTTCTGGTTGATTTTTATCATTTTCCCTTTACTTACAAGAAAATAAGATTGCAACCACTCCTGCTAATGATTTAGTAGTTCCTTTTCATTTCAGTTTTTGTAAATTAGGAGATAATTCTAAGAGTTACTAAAGGATGATTTATTTAAGAGAACTACGTCAAATAGCGAATGAGTTATGGGTAACATTAGACGAAAATAACCTTTCCCGTGGGAAAGGTTTCTCGAAGGCATGGATGCAAATATAAAATATTAAAAAAAATCTAAATAAAGCTTATTTTAAAATATGATCGAATTCTATGTTATTTGATTGCTTCTATTTGGCTCCGGGTGGGAGGCTCTGCCCCTCTGGGAGGCACAGGCTGGCATGACCTGCTCCTTGGACTTCCAGGGCTGGGTTCTGGGAGGGGGGATGGGAGGGGCCGAGGAAAGCTGGCTGGATTCGGGGCCCTTGGAGGGGCCGAGCCGGGGTAGCCTCCCAGAAGCATCTCGCCTCTGCCGCCCTGACTGTAATTTGGAGGGCTACCCTGTGGTCCAAACGCACCACCCCCGACCTGGCACCCTGCATTGTGGAGCTTAGTGGCCCCAGTCAGCTTTCGTCTGCTTCCTTCTCCCCCTGAGCTCCTTCCAGAGGCCCCAAAGGAGCCTGTGCTTTGGGGCGTGTTACTTCCCGCAGACCTCCGTGGACCTCTGCGCGTCCCACGATCCCACCCTCCCTGGAGGACCGAGAGGAGCTTCAGGGAGATAGAGAGGGAGCCACAGGCTTCCTTGATTGAAGCCAGAGTGAGCCAGGCTTTTCCTAGCCCCAAGAGAACCCCCCAGATACAAAACTCAGGCCTCCCCCAGCGAGACTCCACTGTATGTCCCGAGAAGAGGGTACCCGGGTTACCCCAAAGCCTGACATAGTCAGTACCCTCAATCTCTATATCTCCCAACTGAAAAAAAATTTTCCCCGGCAATAAGACTGATGGAGGGCTGGCTTTTAAGTCCCCTCCCACCTCTGCAGCATAAAGCTATGTAATACAGACACGATGCCGAGGTGAAAATGAGCCCCCAGTGAGGATGCAAATGGATGTGGTAGGATTGGGAAGGCCAGGAAAGCCCTGGGTGACAAGGAACTTAGGGCCATCTACCCCAGCAGTTCTCAGCCTGACCACACCTTAGGGAAAAAAAAAAATACTCATTCCAGGCCATATTCCTGGAATTGAAGTGTATTTAAATCTCCTCTGGTGATTCTAAAGGGTTGCCAGGATTAGAACCACTGAGCTGATCTGAGGAGGGCAAGTGTGGCCACACGCATGCCCCTACTCCCCTCTCCCTGGCCCCATGCAGACATCACCAATCAATTGAAGAGCCCTTCCTGCCCATCCCGAAGTGGCCTCTGATTTCTCACTTTACATAGCCTCAGATAGCCACAGCCAGTCAATCAGAGTTGGCATACAAGGATAAAGCCTTTTTGCCCTCTCAAAACTAACCCCGTCTCTCATGCGGGACATATGGCAAAAACTTTGGCCCAGAGAGGAATGACTTGGCCAGCGTCCTAGCTATCGTGCCTCTCATCCTGGGACCTTCTCAAGAGCCAGGCCATACCTTATTTGGGTCTTTGTAGCTCTACTCAAAAGCCACCGTACCTCCTTTTTTAAAAGAATCTTCTCCAGGGAAGCTGAGGCAGGAGAATGGCATGAACCCGGGAGTTGGAGCTTGCAGTGAGCCGAGATCGCGCCACTGCGCTCCAACCTGGGTGACAGAGCGAGACTCTGTCTCAAAAAAATAAATAAATATTTAAAAAAGAATCTTCTCCAGGACCTTGCTCCAAATGGTCCAACTTCAAATGGTACCTATTAGAAATTGGAGTAGGGCTGCCCAGGGCATCCAGGGCCAGCTGCACAGGTTGGGCACTGCATTACTCCAGAAGGTGCCATTCTCCAGGCTACCACGTGAATGGTGTCCTGGTTTTTCAATACACAAGCTGCATGACTGTACTCAGTGGCCCGTCTGTGTGCTCCTCCTACCCACGTTGCAGGCTAAAACAGCTGTAACCAATAATAACAATAATAATAATATCTAACATTGATTAGGCATTTACCACAGGCCAGGGTCCATGCTATGCACTTTACACATATTAACTCAGTTAACCCTCCCAACAGCCTGTCATTGATGAGAAAACAGACGTTGAGTAACTCATCTGAGGTCATGGAGCTGGGAGACAATAGAAGTGGGCCTCAAACTATGGAGTTTTGGCTACAGAGTTTGTGCCCTGAACCACTCCACCGTCTGAGCAGTGAGGGGCTGCCGCCAAGCAGCTGGGCCTTCTCCCAGGGGGGCATCTTCAGTGCATCATCTGGGCCTGGTTTCAAGGCCCCTTGCCCACCAGTAGCCTCTGACACAGCTTTGCACTGCCTCACTTTTGTGACTCAGTCTGTTTCCATCAGCCTTTTCCCCGCAGGCCCAGAAAGCTCACCCCTAGAGAGGAATCAGCGGGGGAATCAGAGCAGAAACCGGCTGCTGTCCAGCACCAGCTCTCCCTTCCTCTTCCTGGCTAAGTCAGGAGCAGAATCACCTCCACTGGCCCTGCAGTCCAACCCCTGGCTGTACCAGAGCTGCAGATCCTGAGGGGTAGTGCAGCCCCCAACACCTGGGGAGCTCTGTGGCACCCTTCCCCGCCACAGCATGAGCCTGCGGTCCAGGAGCCGCCCCGCACCTGTGACAAACGGTATCGTGCCCGTCACTCAACCTGGGCTCCTGGGGAATCCAGGCAGAGTGAGCCTGAACCGTGGGGGACATCAGTCGTTTGACAAAATGATTTTTAAAATACCTCTGGGCCAAAAGTTAGCCAAGTGTGGTGGCACACGCCTGTAGTCCCAGCTACTCAGGAGGCTGAGGCTGAAGCATCTCTTGAGCTCGGGATGTCGAGGCTGCAATGAGCCGAGATCGAGCCACTGCACTCCAGCCTGGGCGACAGAGTGAGACCCTGTCTATTATTTATAAATGAATAAATAAAATATCTCTGGGTTTTCCCCAAAAACTTGCATTTTCCCAGACACCCCAGATGGCTCCTAGGCTTTTTCCAGTTGGACTCCACTGGGCGGGGCAAAATATGCCCCGGTCCCTGGCCCCCACCTGTTCCCATTTTCCAGTGGTTACAGAACCTGGTGATAATGAAGAATGAATAGGGAACATGTATCAGCTTATTCTTTATAAAAGAGTATATTCGTAATTCTGCATTACAAAATAATGCCCCCAAACTTACAAATATCTTAGCAGTTCGTATGTTAGAAGTTATTTAAATATCAAAGTTATGGCATGTCACTAAAATGTCCCCCTGTGGGCAAATTGAGGGTATAAGTCTGGGATGGCAAATAGGATATGGATATTTCTCTTTTTATTTTTCTTTTTTTTTCTTTTTTGAGGCAGAGTCTCACTCTGTCGCCCAGGCTGGAGTGCAGTGGCGCGATCTCGGCTCACTGCAACCTTTGCCTCCTGGGTTCAAGCGATTCTCCCACCTCAGCCTCCCTAGTAGCTGGGACTACAAGCATGCATCACCACACCCGGCTACTTTTTGTGTTGTTTTTAGTAGAGACGGGAGTTTGCCATGTTGGCCAGGCTGATTTTGAACGCCTGACCTCAGGTGATCCACCCACCTTGGCCTCCCAAAGTGCTGGAATTACAAGTGTGAGCCACCGCACCCAGCCTGGGTATGGATATTTCATACCTGAACCACAATTGGATGATGTCTCAAAGTCCCGTGGCTGGAAAATATGCAAATATGCAGCACGGTACTCTATAGGGCAACAAACTGAATCCTTGAGAAAATGATCCCAACAGGATTGATCCAAGAATAGCAGCAAGGGGAAATCTTGGCCTATTCATCCTGAAAATGGCAGGACCTCTGATGACCTAGCACGTGCCTTGCAAGGCCTTGTGACGTTGCCAGGCTGTGTACAGAAACCATGCTTCTGGATCACAGAAAACACTGGCTGGTAGCTTGTTTGCATTTCTGAGTTTTAGGTTTTGAAAATTCCTTGTTGCTTTCTTAATGGTTACCAGTAAGTAGCTGTTAATCGCACCAATACAAGAGAACCTATAAAATTGCGTGCCTTGCTTCCAGAATCCTCAACGGAAGATTTGCCTTCGGGAAGTCATTTTTGCCCCCATCCAGAGGACCCTTGTAGCCCACCAATGGCTTCCCTGTCATACCTGGATAATCGCTCCCAGTTCTGGCCCCACATCTGATTCTAAGCAAGTTGTTTAACCTATGAACCTCAGTGTACTCATCTGTAAAATGGGTGTAATTACCCTCCCCTCCTCGTAGGTTCAGAAATGAGAACTGAATGTGTTTTTGGAGTCTGAAAAGGGCTGGCCCCATGATTACTATTCTCTGTGATTTGTAACACATCTTGAGCCTGACAGTGCCTCAAATCAAAACTTGTCCCTGGGGTAAAATCAGGGCATCGGGCTGTGTGTGTGAAGTTCCTCCATCTGCCAGGGTCTGTGAACACCAGCCCTCAGAGTGCAAATGCAGTTCCAGCACTGCTACAGAAAAGAATCTGGGCTGCTCTGCCTCAGAACAGGGAGGGTTTGAGTTATTTGCCCCTAGAATCCACCAGCTCTGACAGCATTCTGTCTTTCTGAGGTCTGAGTAGAAACACTTAGACGCTGCTCTCAGAACCCAGGGCCAGCCTGGTCTGGAAGTCAGGGCTGCCTCACTTATGCAGTATTTTCTTTGTGCCAAGCACTGTTCTAAGCTCTTTCCAGACACTCACTCGTATAATCCTTCCAGCAACTCTCCAAAATACATGTCATCCCCAGTTTACAGATGAACAAACCAAGGCGCAGAGAGGTGAAGTTCTTGACTGGAGTCACACACCTAGGAAGAGGTGGAACTGGGATTCACCTCTAGCAGTCTGGCTCCAGAGTCCATGTTCTTGGTAACTTTGCTGTGTAGTCTCAGGTCACCCACTGGCCCCAAGCCCCCTCTCAGGGCCTGCTGAGCAATAGAAAGCTTCAGAGAACATCAGAATGCAAGCCTCATTAGTAGGATGAGGCCGGGCGCTGAGTAGGCCAGCTTTTTAGGATTCAACTCCTTAATCCAGAAGAGGAAGAGACCGGCAAAATATGGGGTTTGCAAACTGTGTTCCATGGAACCCCGAAGGGGTTCCTCAGCAGTCCCTCAAGGGGTTGCCATAGCTGGCGAAAGAATCAGCAGGCAGGGCTCCAGCCTACCCTCAGCCAGTGGCTCTGCACTTACCTGTTACACACTGGACTTCCGTGTACGAGTCCACGTGAAAGGTCCCATGGTAGAGTGAGTGAGAAGGAAAGAGGAAGAGAGGAGGTTTGAGAAGCACAAGGAGATCAGTGGTTGTCAAACCTGACCTAGCTTTGGGTTTTAAAGATATCCATTCCCAGGCCCCATCCTGTAGCTACCGAACCAAAGGGTCTAAGGCCGAGGCCCTGGGAGCTGTGTGCGTATTGAACAAGCTGCCTGGTGTGGGCTCAGTCGCAGGAGGTCACATGGGGCAGAGACTGAGGGTGGCAGCGTAGTGCCCGTGGGTTGGAGGGCAGACTCGCCAGGGCCATCACAAGGTAGGTTGAGGCCACCTTCCTGGGGCAACCCCAGGGTCCCCCCAGTAAGGGAGGAAACTTACCCAAGCCAGACCCCAAGCTGCCCCCCAGGCAACCTGCTGCTTGGGGCCTTTCTAGGCCCCGCTGAGCAGAGGGGACGGGCACTCTGGAGTATCTGACGCCCCAGGCCAGCCTCAGAAGCCTGCAGCAGCACCCACACTGCAGGCACAGAGAGGTTCCCCGAGTCTCCGAGAGATGCATAGCCAGGAAGTGGCAGAAGCAGGAGTCAAACCTGAGTGAGATCTGAGTTCTGAGCCTGAGGTCCATCCGACTCCTCCTGACCTGTGTCTGACTGAGACTTCTGTCCGGTGGACCTGCTGGCCTCGGTCTGGGGCCAGTGATATCCCATGGACACCAGACCATGAGCCCTAAACTGGGGGCAAGTCAGCCCAAGCTGCTGCACTCTGGGAAGTGGTCAGATGTGGAGCTGCTACAGAGGGGCCTGCAGGCCTCTGCCCACCCCTGCCCTTGGGCTCCTGAGGAGGCCCAGTCTTCTTCACCCAGAAGCCCCACCACCCCCAGCCCAGCGCCTTCAGGGCCCCTGAGCCCGGCTCTGGACTCCCAGTGTTCAGGTTGGTCAAGGACTCGCTGTGTGACCACAGCCAAGCTGGTCTCCCTCTCTGGGCCTTAAGCTGTCTCTAAAACAGACCAGGACAGTGGTTTTCCACCTGTGGCCTGTGAAATCTGAGAAGTCCCTGGATGTGCCTCAGAAGGCGGTCGGCAAGGGAGAGGCTGCAGCCACCGTGTTGGAGGGTCCCTCCCTGCCATCCGCCTCCCTGCCCTTTAGCCCTAAACTCCAGTGTATTCGGCTTGTTGAAATAGGTGTGAATGACGGGTCTGCAGCATCTCTGCAGCTGAGAGGCAGTATGTGAGAAAACCAGGGGGCACATCATCTCCAAGCTCCTCCAGGGGTCTCTGGGCTGTGATCAGGAAGGGAGAGGGGCACCAGCCTGGTGAAGGAGTCACTCCTCATGGGTGTCCCCCGGCTTCCCTGCTCACCCCTCCTCCCTATCAGTGAGGGGCAGTATGAGACCCTCCTTAACCCTGGTAGAACAGGAAATAGGAAAATGGGGCCCCTGGCTCCCCTTCTGGAAGTCTATAAGACAAGGCCAAGGCCATGAATGTCCCCCACGAACCACAGGACAACTGCATTGAGCAACGCCTCCCCAGGTCACAGCGATTTACAGTTCACGACACTCTTTCACGGGGAGATGGGGGTCAGGGTTAAGAGATTACATCCTGGGCAAACTCCCTGGGTTTCAACCTCAGTCCTGACGCTTGTTACCTGGTAACCTTAGGCAAAGGACTTCACCTGCTGTGCCTTCGTTTCTTCATGGGGACAATAGGGGTGAAAAGATACTAGGTCAGAGTGTGGCTGCAGGGATGAAACAGGCCAATATGTATACAAGGCTTAGCACAGGGCGCAATAAACCTTAGCCACCATGATGATGACCGTGATGATGACAATGGCAATGGTGATCTCATTTCAGCCTCTCGCCGGCCCTGTGAGGTAGGCAGGACAGGGCCCTTTGTACAGATGAGAAGACTGAGGCCCAGGTAAGTTCAGCAATTAGCCCAAGCTGCAGGGGCCAGCCCAGAATAGGACCAGAGGGAGCAAGAGTTTGGGAGCTGAGAGGGGTGTCAGTGGTCTCTAGTCCACTCCCCTCATATTGCAGATGGGAGGGTGCTTGACCACAGCCCAGCAGGGCATCAGTGTCTGAACTGGTTCTGGAACCCAGGGCTCCTGCC
Source organism: Homo sapiens (assembly GCF_000001405.40). Taxonomy (NCBI): domain Eukaryota; kingdom Metazoa; phylum Chordata; class Mammalia; order Primates; family Hominidae; genus Homo; species Homo sapiens. Next base: position 15,075,234 of record NC_000001.11, read on the forward strand.
TTCCTGGCCAGTGCTTTGAGCTGCCTCCAACCATAAGACTCAACTAGGGGGAAAAAAATCCCTGGGTCAGTAAGTTTTGGAAACACTGCATCATATCTCCACCCCTTATAGATCAGCACAACCCTTTCACTTATTAAGGCTCTGACAAGTTCTGCAATGAAAGAAAATCTTCTACCTTTACCCATCTAGTGTTTCCCAAACTTACGTGACCACAGAACCACACCTTTTACTCTCATTCGGTGGATCACCGACTGGAAACTATTGGGACAGATGACTTCTTCGGGCCCTTCAGCTCCACTATTCTGTGCTTTGAGGGCGCTGTCAGTGGTTCTGTGGCGATCTCTAAGCATGCCACCATTATTTAGCCATGAGAAGTCTCTGTGGCTCATATGACATCCCTATGGGCCTCCAGAAGGGAGGTGACAGACACCAGGTCAGGTGTAGTCACAGCCCCTCTATCTCAGCATCCACTTTGCTAAGAAAGGACCCAAAGCAGTGCACAGCACCCACATGAGGCAGAAGAGCCCGACAGATTGGCTTGGAAATGCCGGTCCCAGGGTGTTCATTATTTTCCTGCTCTCCTAGGTCCTAGATATAGACAGAGGGGCTGAGTCTGTTGGCACAGGGACCCAGGGGATGGGCATGTCCATGCTGCCAGGGTGTCTGGCCCCACCTGCCCTCCAGAGCACTTCATCACCCTTTGGTGGCTCTGAGCTGCCTAATTCCTTTCCCTGGGACAGGCCAGAGATGTCAGAGTCACATCCAAATTGGATCCGTGCTATACTAGGCCAGCTTCCTTCCTTATTAGGAGGCTGATGTCTGTGGAGGCGGTGTGGAGCCTGTGGCCAGGGCATGTGGACCAGGAGGGAAGGAAGCAGCCTCTGACAGCTGTCACTGTGGGCACCAGAGCTGTGGTGGCAAGGAGGAGACTTGAGACAAGCCAGGAGGAACTTGAGGGCCTGTCCCCAAATGGAGGGTTAGAGGTAACAGTCCCGGGTCACTGATGGCAGCTTGAGTGTGTGAGCCAATTCCAAATTCCTTGCATCTTTTCACATGTGTGCAAGAAACAAACTCATCTTAGTGACAGCCTGAGCCCAGCAGAATTGATCGGCCTCCTACAGGGAGGGGCTTGAGGAAAGGCCTCGGCTTCGGAGCTAGATCCTGAGGCTCAATCCCAGCATCGGCACATGCCAGCTGTGCAACACCGAGTCCCTTTGAGCCTCAGTTTCCCCCTCTTTGAAATGGAGATAAAACATATTGGCTGTTGCAAAGATAAAATAGTAAATGGAGAGACGCATCCAAGACACCCCAGCTGCTTCTTTCAGGGCTGCAGAGGCCCACGTGACAGAAAATCTCTGCTTCAGAGCAGGAACCCAGGCCCTGAGTCTGGGCTGTGCCCTCTGCACACAATTGATTGGCTTTTCTGAGCTCCACTTTTCTCATCTGTAAAATGGGCCCCTGGGAATCTTGAGTCCCCCTCTCTGGGGAGGATGCAATGAGCTCATGCTTACTAGTTGTAAAGCACCAGGCAAACATTAGCCGTCACGACTGCACTGCCTCGCGAGCAAGCTGGAATTACGGTCACCACCTGCTGTTTTAGATCAGCACCCACTGCAAACATATATTAGGGTGACAATGACAAGGACCCACCTTGTGGGCTCTCTCAGTTGCCAGCATTGGGCTGGACACTTACTCGCCTCATTTCAACTACGCCACAAACTCAGAGGCCTGTGGGGACCCTGCAGATAGGCGGGTCAGTGACGTGGCCACGTGGGGCCAGCACGTGCTGTAGCAAAAGGAAGCAGCTCTGCTCACTCCAGCGAGGCTGCTCGGAGCAATGCCAGCCTGGTGTTTCCAGAGCTCCAGATCTTCTAGAGAAGCCAAATATCTCACATAATACACCCCAAGTCTTTCATATTGACAACTAATTTTTTTTTAATTTAGTGTCCATTGGGGGAAAATTTCCAAGGCCCTAATTTGTCTCAGGGCCAACAGCTCTGTCACCTCCAGTCTAGATTCTCTCTCTGTGGACACCTCGTGCTCTGACAGTCCCTGGTCTTCCCCTGCGTGTGGAGTCCCCGGGCCTGCCTGGCTGTAGGCGCCCATCTCAATTCACCACCATCCTCCTTCACTGGAGGGCCCTCCTGTCCTCCACTCCCTGACGGCCAGGCAGCAGGGCTCCACGCTTGTTTCTCAACCCAGAGAAGTGTTCCCAAGACTTAGAGTGTTTGGGGAGTGGCAGTGGAGAAGGGAAAAGGGGTCTTCGCTCAGCACTGCCCTCGGAGGCCTTGAGTCACTGCAGGAATCCTGAGCTCCACCGCTCCTCCGCAAGGGCTACACAGGACCAGGTCAGCTGCTTGCAGCCACGTGACTCAGTTGTTTTTTATAGTCACTACCGGAGTCTCTGGGACTCAGAGATGGGGGTTGGGGGTTTCACCTTCAGGTGAAGATGTTGATGGGCCTGACAATAGGGTGACTCCGTATTATCCAAGAAATCCCAGGAGGCTGCGCAGTTATCAGCATGAAAAGCAGCTGCAGGCCTCCCAGGGATGCGGACAGGGGCTCAGAATGAGGAATGGGGACAAAGACTGGCTTCATGGGAGCAGGAGAGGTAGCAGGGGGTGTGAGGAAAGCTAATATGACTTGCTGACATTTACTAAGTGCCTACTGTGCCAGGCATGGGGTAGGCATTTGATGTACACTCATTAAGTCTTTCAACGAACACTGACTGAATGTTTCCTATATGCCAGGTTTAGGGCTTAGGGCTGAGGATGCAGATGTGGATGATGAGATAAATTATCCTAACATCATCCTCACCAAAGTCACGTAAGAAATTTGGTGAGGAAACTGAGGCTCAGAGAAGTAACATACATAGCCCTAAGAGACAAAATAAGTGATGTGCTGGATGCGGTGGTTCATGCCTGTAATCCCAGCACTTTAGGAGGCCAAGGTGGGCAGATTACTTGAGGCTGGGAGTTCGAGACCAGCCTGGCCAATTCCATCTCTACTAAAAATACAAAAATTAGCTGGGCATGGTGGTGCGTGCCTGTAATCACAGCTACTCGGGGGGCTGAGGAAGGAGAATCGCTTGAACCTAGGAAGCGGATGTTGCAGTGAGCCGAGATCGTGCCACTGTACTCCAGCCTGGGCAACACAGCGAGACTCCATCTCAAAAAAAATAAAAAATAAAGTGATGGAACGAGGCCAAGAATTGGGGTCCAACAGACTGCACGACACTGCTTTCCAGGCAGATATGATTGAAGCTGATTAAACTGTGAGCTGTTAGGATAAGGCTTTGTTCTCTAATTTCCAGAATTCAAGGGCTGGAGGGAGGCAGACAAGGCGGGGAGCAGGGATCACGATTAAAGGTCACCTACAAAGGGAGAGAAGATTAATTCACAAAATGGGAAGAAACCTCCTAGGATCCTTTGCCCCATGCTGTGGCTCTGGCTGAACATATTAACAGATTCTAGAAGGGCATCGGTCTGCAGCGCGCATGCTGTTCCTCTCAGCTGCCGCTACGGGACCTCCAGTTAGAACGTTTCATGAGGCATGATTGGAAAAGCCAAAACTGGTGCCAGTGTTCCCCTTGCCATTCTCCTATAGGTGTCTAAGTTGCAAGAATTCCCCCCACCAAGGACCTCATCAAAGCTGTCTTCGTTCTGAAGGAAATTAAATCAATGCTGCTCGTAAATGTGTTTGCTGTTCCTAAACTGGCCTTTGTGCAATGCATAGTGAAAGCCGCTCACCACTGGCTTAAGAAACTCCCGGGAGGCAGTTGCAAAGCTTTTTGAGGGAGATCGGAGGTGGGACAGTTTGCATGAATCATGCAAGATAGTCACATAGAAGACAGCACCTCCAATCACCTCACCCTGGTCTAGAGGCTTGGCATCTGGCTCAGTGGTGAGTTCCTGTCCCGGTGTGCAAATAGGCAAGGATTCACCAGGCAGGGTCTCCCAGCCGTCACAATGCCCAGTGTCCATAGGCGCCTGTGGAAGAGGCTCAGCTGAGCCAGAAAGAACCTAGGTTGTCTGGAGGCCTAAGGAGGAACTGCTTGCCAGGGAGGGGGCTCATTCAAGCCAAAGAGGCAAAATTGGTGAAAATCTAGCTAGGGAGTGAATTAATCCAGTTAATTAATTATTAAAGTAATAACTAGTCGTTAAATTGTGGACACAAGATGAAGGACCTTTTGTCACAATTCAATACTGTTGGCTTATTTTTTTTTTTAGTGAAACCCAACATAATTTCAGATATTTTACTAAACAATGTGAAAGTGGGGTTGGGGCACAGCTGATTTCCTGAAACCCACAGCCATCCATCGCCCCCAGCTTTGCCTCCAAGAGCTGTACAGATGCACACGTGCCCGGCCTCTGCATGGGTGCGTGGAGAAGGATGGTCTTCTTGCCCTGGCCACCTGTGTCAAGATCCCCCCCTCACTTCTCATGGGATCCACCTTTCAGGGCTGCCCACTGGCAGAGAAGCCTGCCGGGAAAACATGTCAGAAAAGAGGAGTCAGTGTGGGACTTGCCCAAGGAGGCCAGCAGCTGGAGAAAGATGGGCTTCGGCTGCACTTGCAATTGAGACTATAAGAAGGACTTCCCAAATGTGGGTGCTGCTGCAGCAGTGGAACAGGTTAGCAAGGAAGAAAGAGGAAAGCTTTTGATGTATAGATATATATGTAAAAGCATAAAGTCATTGTCATTGGATAACTATGTGTTTGTCTTCCCTGGACCTCTTAGCAGCTTCCTCCTAAGTGCATAAACTTAGAGAATACTTGTCAAGTACCTGCCTAGGAACTGAGTGCAGAGCAGTGGGGACCCTGGCCAACCCCAGGATCTCAATTCCCTGGCCCTTTGGAAAATTTTCAGAGTGTGGCAGGAGGGACTGAAGGAGGAGGATGTCCTCCGAGGTTGGGAGAAGGGTGGCTGGTCATGGGAAAAAGCACAAGTCTAGGCCTTTGCAAGACGGTGGCACCAAAATGAGGGGGCGCCCATGTGATTTTTTAAAAGTATAAAGCAGTTATTGTTGGTAAAAGCAGCACTCTGCTGGACTTTTCTATTTACTTTATGATGTCGTAAATAGGGACACGTTGGGGTGGGAGGTACCACCACTGTTTTAGCCCAGGGCCTCCCAAGGGTGAGCCTGGCCCTGGGGTCAGGGGTGGTGCAGGTTGGTGGCAGGGCCCCTGCCACCTCGCTGCCCACCAAGGGTCCTGCCATCAGCCCCCAGCAGCCACAGTGGTGAGTGACTGATAGGCTCTCCTCCTGATGCTCTTCACACCCACGCTGTCCCTGGTCCTGTGGGCTACCACAGAAGCCTTTCACACATTTCATAAGTATTTCATGGGGCTTGTGACTGAGGGATCAGCAAAGCATCTACATCCAACAGGGCAGCCATGATCGGGCCATAAAAAGTTGTTTTTTCACATTATCATGAAGTGTTTAAAAAATGAGAATTCAGCTTTTGGAGCTACATGTGCTGATGGAGGCTCCCCTGCCACTTCCCAAGGGCAGGGAGTGTTGACAGTAGTTGGCTGCCTGAACAGAGCTGGGCTGGGCTGAGAACAGAGGCCCCGGGGTAGAAGGGAGTAGGACCCTCCCTGTGCCTTAGGGCATGCTGGGGACGCTGGGAGCAGCTACACTCGGTGCTCCCCAGCAGCTTGTGGTTGGAGGCCAGGGATGCTGCTACATGTCCTACGATGCACGGGACAGCCCCATGACAAAGAAATCTGGCCCCAAATGCCGAGTGCCAAAGTTCAGAGGCCTTGCCGTAGGCAGAGGGACAAGAGAATGGTAGCATCTACTGCATAAGAGGGGCCACAGGTGACCCTGCTGTGGCTGGAAGAGGCGTGGACGAGGCGGGGTTGGCAGAAGATGAGACCACAGAGGAAGGCCTGCTCCCTCCCTCCCTCCGTTCCTCCCTTCCTGCCTTCTTTTACTCAATACTTAGAGGGCTCATTCAATTGCAGGCAGTGCTGGGCCAGGGCTGGCTCACACAGGCCCACGGATGGCTCTCTTCCCAACTCCACGTCCAGTGACAGCCTGCCGGTCACTGAAATTGGCCACAATAGGAGTATTTACACCACAGAAATTGGCAAGCAAATGCTAAAACCAGTGTACCTCTGGAAAATATAAGAGCCGGTTGTTAAACGTGGTTGGGCCCTTGCTAGGGACTAGAGATGTCTAGGGAGCAAAACCAGGCCCAGCGCCTGCTCATGTGCAGTTTATGGTCTGGTGGGAGACACAGACTTTCATCGAATAATTACACAACTGTTCGTTTCAGCTGTGAGAGATGTCATGCAGGAAAGGTTCCAGGAATTAATGACAGCGTGTGTGTGTGTGTGTGTGAGTGTGTGTGTTGGGGAGTTGTAGGGTACCCACACTAGGTGACCAGGAAAGGAGTCCCTGAAATAATCAGTATTGAAACAGAGCCCTGAGCCTGTGTAAGCTTCACCAGGCAGAGGAAAGTGACAGGCCGCTGTTCAGGCCAAGGGAACGGCAGGTGCAGGGATTGGAGAGGGGGAATTAGGGGCATCGGGGAAATGCAGGAAGCCCAGGGTGCCAAGGGCAGGGGTGAGAAGCTAAGGATGAAGCTGGCAAGGTCGGCCTGTGGGTCACAGCAAGGACCTTGGGCTTTACCAGGGAGCCATTGAAGGATGATGAGCAGAAGAGGTCCCTGGGAAGATACCATTTTTTAAAAAAATTTCCTCTGGGCTTGAAGAGGATGGAATGAAAGAGAAAGAGGGAGGTAGGGTGTTGAGATACAGCTGGAGTGCTCCAGATAGGAGATGGTGGAGCCAACTGAGACAGGGGACAGGTGATGGAGACTCAGGAGTGATGGAATTCAGCAGGGGACGTTGCAACCTTAGCCTGCCCTCACCAAGCTCACTGCCTCAACTCTGCCTCAGTGGCAGCCGAGGTCCAAGTGCTCAGCCCCCCTATCTGAGGTCTGAGACCCTATGGGGCAGCAACAGGCCCAGCCAGGTGCAGGGACACATTCAGCCACCTCACTTGACCTCCAGGGAAGCCTGGTTCCCTGCGCCACCTCCAACTCAGACACACAAGACACATTTACAACTAAAGCTTTTCTATCAGGCTCCAGGGAGCTCTGCATCCAGGCACACATTTGACCCCAGGGATGCAGATGCCAGGGAGGTGCCAATGTGCTTGATGCTGCAGACATCAAAAGAGGCTCAGAAGCCCAGGGCATGGGTCACTCAGCCACAGGCTGGGTATAGACTCAAAATTTTAAATAGTAAAAGAAGAAAAAAAATTAATTAAAATGCTAGAGCACTAAGTCTTTCCCATAGCTGCTGCCAAGGGTGTCTGCCAATGGCACTCTGAGGTCAGGGACATGCGGGACCAGGATGAAGAATTCCACCTCCCTCTCACTCGCCATGCAGGGTGGGCATAGGAGAATTTACAAGGCCTTTACCTCTAAGCCTCTGCAGTTTGTTTTTGTTTGTTTTGTTTTGTTTGAGACGGAGTCTCGCTCTGTCGCTCAGGCTAGAGTGCAGTGGCATGATCTCGACTCACTGCAACTTCCACCTCCCAGGTTCAAGCGATTCTCATGCCTCAGCCTCTCAAGTAGCTGGGATTACAGGTGCGTGCCACCATACCTGGCTAATTTTTGTATTTTTAGGAGAGACAGGGTTTCATGTTGGCTAGGCTGGTCTCGAACTCCTGACTTCAATTGACCTACCTCTGCATTTTTAACCACCTCCCTGGTAGCTGACATCCCTGATCTAAAGACCACTCTAGGAGCAGTCTCCCTCCTCTAAGTCCCAGCCCTACTGCAAGACTGTGGGATGGACCACGTGACCTTGAGGGCACCATTTAGCCCTAGAATTCTGAATCCCACTGGGTGGGAGGCCCAGGTGACCCCATTCATGATGCCATTTGAGCAGCAAGTACCAGGGTGCTCCAAACTCTTCGGAGGTAGGCACCTTTCCTTGCTCTGGATGGCTCCTAGACAGGCATGTGGACTCAAGCCTGTGCAGCCCCTTTTAGTTGCAAATGTCAACCTCAGGCTAGGTGGAGGGGGGACTGTTTCAGGGCAAAAATGGTGGAAAGTAGTACATAGCAAAACCTTCTCAAAGCTTCTCCCAGACACTGGTGAATGGTGCACTGGGCCTGTCCGGCCATCACCTCTGGCTCCAGGCTGCCTGTGTCACTCCAGCCCAGGGCTCACCCCCGCCAAAGTCTACCATCCTTCCATCCCGCCTTTCCATGCCACCTGTCCCCGGTAGCTTAGTAAGCATTAGGCATGAGTGTCTCTGGTCATAGAATGAATATGCAGGCACTGTACGGTTTGGTAGAGCAGTCCAAAGGATGGACAGACACGCAGAGCCCCAAGTTCAGTGGCAACACCCATGTGAACATCGGCCTGTCTTTCCCGATCACAGGCCTTTGGATCCCATCAAGTCTGTCTCGGTGCTTAGGCCTGTCTCTCTGTCTCTCTCTGTGTCTGTCTCTCACTCTGAGTCATGGCTGGCTTCAAGTTCCCCAGCCTGGCAGGCAGGGCCAGGAGCCATTTCCCAGCCTGTGAGAGTATCTTCCCACACCCCACACACCATCCTGCCTCTTGCCAGTTTGAGCAATCCTTGCCAATGTTATGTAACCAAGCACAGGCGTTCAAGAACAGGCGAGAGGGCTGCTCACATAGGTTCTTCTACACTGGGAGGCGGGGAATTCAGGGTTGAAGCAGAGCTCCCACACTAGCCTGCTGGAAACATCGGGGGACCCCTCTGAGCCTTCACTTCCCATCTGAAATGTGCCCTTTGCCCCTTTATTCCTGGGGGAAGGCAAGAGAAACTGAGGCTTCCCAAAGGAATATCCAAGTGAATAATGGTATCATCTTCCTTGGCTGTCAAAACAAGTAGAACAGGGAAGGGCTGAGCTGGGGGGAAAGGCAAAGGAAATGGTATTTCCCATAACCTGGACTTTTCCCATCACTGATGACATTGGACATCTCCATATACCAGGCCCTGGTAATACAAATATGGAAAGACTTGGCTGATGACCTCGGCAATCACTTTGTGGCAGGGCAGATGGACAGGCCATGCACAGCAGTGCCAGCAGGAAGCAGTGTGCTGGGTGGACAGTGCACACAGCCAGAGGGACGGCCACTCAGGGCAGCGTGGGGGAAGACATATTCGGAAGGGCCTCCCTCTACAAAACCAATAAATCTGGAATGAAACATACTTTTTAATGCATTCCTGGTCTCACAGAAAATAAGGGAAATCCCCAAGACGTCTACAGACAAAAAACAAAAGCTGTAAGCTAACACCAGAACAGGAGCAGTGAGTGATCACCAAAGGCAAAAGCTGAGGTTGTCCTGGAGGCAAATGCTGCTATCAGGACTGTTATCAGGGGGTTAAATTTTGGGATATAGCAAAGTGGAAGAACAGAGCCAGAGATGCTGTCATTCAACCAGAGTCTCTCAAAGGGGCATGAAGTGGCCCCTGGACCCAGGTCTCATCCCCACTCCTCTTCTCTTCCCCACCCCAGTAGAAGTTAATGTAAATCCTCTCTGGAGAAAGGCATCTGCTATTTAGACCCAAAGATTCCCGCAAATTAAGATCAAATATGTGTTCAGCATGAGTGAAAGTCAGCAAAAACAAATAGCAAATTTAGACCCTCTAAGGCCTTTTCAGGTTTAGTAATTATCAATACCAAATACAAAATACTAAATACTATGCATAAAATACTTAAGGAAATGTCAGATGAAATCACAGACATGAGCAAACAACAGGAAACTGTCTCACAAGACCAGGAAAACTTGAAAGAGAAAACAGATAAAACGTTTTAGAAATGAAAAAAATATAGCTGATAACATTAAAAATGAATAAAAGGGTGGGTTAAACAGCAGACTAAATAGGTGAAGAGATAATTTTAAAAATGGAAAAAAAGACCTAAGGAAATTACCAAGAATGCAACGCACAGAGATGAGATGAAAACTAAAGGAGAAATTGCTGTATCGAATACACTAGCCACTAGCCCACATGTTCTTAGATTTATATTTGAATTAATTAAAATTAAATACAACTAAAACTCAGGTCTTTAGTTGTATCAGCCACATTTTACCTCTGCCATTATTATTTTGTTTTTTTTGAGATGGAGTTTCACTCTGTCACCCAGGCTAGAGTGCAGTGGCACAATCTCGGCTCACTGCAACCTCCACCTCCCAGGTACAAGCGATTCTCCTGCCTCAGCCTCCTGAGTAGCTGGGATTACAGGCATCTGCCACCACGCCCAGCTAATTTTTGTATTTTTGGTAGAGATGGGGTTTCGCCATGTTGCCCAGGCTGGTCTCGAACTCCTAGGCTCAAGCAAGCCTCCCGCCTTAGCCTCCCAAAGTGCTGGGATTACAGGCGTGAGCCACCACGCACCACCCACTAGCCACATTTATTAGCTCATAACCACTTGTGGTTAATGGCTATCCTATTGGTCAGTGAAGGTTATAGCAGATTTTCATCAACACAGAAAGTTCTGTTGGACAGCACTAGGTCACAAGATAGGAAAAAATAGAATTAGAAAGTCCAACTTATATCTAACTGGAATCCCAGAAGGAGAGAACCGAGAGAATGGAAAAGAGGTAATATTGTAAGAGATAATGGTTCAGAATATTCAAAAAAAGGAGTCCAGAGATACAGGAAGCACAATTATATCATTCAGAATAAATTTGAAATATCCACATCTAGCCACATTGCAATGAAACTTCAGAACACCAAGGACAAAAAGAAAAAATTTTTTTGAGACAGAGTTTTGCTCTGTTGCCCAGGCTGGAGTGCAGTGGTGCGATCTCGGCTCACTGCAACCTCTGCCTCCTGGGTTCAAGCGATTCTCCTGCCTCAGCCTCCCAAGTAGCTGGGATTACAGGCGCCCCCGACCACGCCCGGCTAATTTTGGTATTTTTAGTAGAGACGGGGTTTCACCATGTTGGCCAGGGTGGTCTCGAACTCCTGAAATCAGGTAATCCACCTGCCTCGGCCTCCCAAAGTGCTGGGATTACAGGCATGAGCCACCATGCCTGGCTGACAAAGAGAAAATTTTAAAAGTAGCTAATGAAAGAACAATTCGGCTTGCAGTGGACTTCTCTATAGCAGAAATGAAGACCCACGATCATGAAACAACATCGTCAAAGCGCTAAAACAAAAGGCAAACTCTCAACCTAAAACCGTGTTCCCAGCAAAACCCTTTGAAGCACAAGGGTAAAACAGACTTTCTTCAGATAGGCAAAAGTTGTAACAGCTAACTACCAAAACACTTGTAATCGAAAAATCTTTTAAACCATGTTCTTCAGGAATAAGAAAAGTTATTCCAGAAGGAAGGTCTGAGGTACAAGAAGACATGATGAACAAAGAAATTGGTAAACATGTAAGTCAATTATTTTAAGCAAACGTTATCAGTATAAAATAATCATCGTGACAATGTCTAAATTATGGGGTTTCAAAAGAGGATAGAATTAAAATCCTGGATGTGGTAGCATGGAAGTCAGGAGGAGTGAGCAGAATTAATATATTTTAAATAATTCTTACTATTTAGGATGGCATTAGGATATTGAACAACCCTAGGTTTTATTAAGGTAAATAGGTATAGTGACTTTTCAAGGGTAATCATTAAGGCCGTGGTTCTAGAACTTGAGAATACCTCAGAATTATCTGGTGGGTTATGAAGCAGACCACTGGGCTCCACCCCCAGAGTTTCTGTTCCAGGAGATCTGGGGTACAGTTCTAGAATTTTCATTTCTACCAAATTCCCAGATGCTGCTGATGCTACTAGTCCAGGGACCACACTTTGAGAACTACAACTACTATACTAAAATCAGAAGCAGAGAAAGCTTAACTTCCAAACCAACGGAGGGTGGCGGGGAAATGGAATGAGAAAACAAACCAAAGAAAAAAATAATCTTCCATCCAGACCAGCTCTGTCCAGTAGAAACTAATGCAAGCCACATGTGTAACTTTATACCTTCTATTAGCCACATTTGAAGTAAAAAGGAACAGGTGACATGACTTTTAATAATATATTTTATTTAACTGGTATACCCAAAATATGATCAATATGTTATCAATTTTTAAATGATTATGAAATAATTTACATTCTTTTTTTTTTCTACCGTCTTCAAACTCCAGTATGTGTTTTATGCTTAAAGCACTTTTTTCTTTTTTTTTTTTTGACAGGGTCTTACTCTTTCGCCCAGGCAGGAGTGTAGTGGCGTGATCTCAGCTCACTGCAACCCCCGCCTCCTGGGTTCAAGCAATTCTCCTGCCTCGGCCTCCCGAGTATCTGGGACTACAGGCATGCACCACCATGCCCAGCTAATTTTTTTGTATTTTTAGTAGAGACGGGGTTTCACCATGTCGGCCAGGGTGGTCTTGACCTCAGGTGATCCACCCACCTCGGTGTCCCAAAGTGCTGGGATTACAGGCATGAGCCACCACACCCAGCCCTTAAGGCACTTCTCAATGTGAGCTAGCCACATTACATGTTCTGTAGGCACATGTGGCTTGTAGCTGCTGTACTGGACAGAGCAGTCTGGACAGTAAGTGACATGGGCCCGCAGGGGACAGAGGCCTCCACTCCGTCACTGAGTATCCACTCTATGTCAGACACAAGGCTGAACACTTTGCACACATCATTTCATTTCATCCTCACACCATCCTGTGAGATTAAGCGTTCCTATCATCCCCGTTTTACAGAGGGGAAAACCGAGGTTGAGAAAATGTAAAACGCTTCCGTGAGATCTTTTGGTTGATAAGCCACGGAGCTGGGATTCAAACCCAGGGCTCCCATATTCCAGTGCCAGCCTCTGAACGTCTAGGCCAGGCGTTTCTCTATGTGGTCTTTTGCACCGGGCCAAAAAACTTTGTGGGCTTTAAGCTTTAGGCTTTGTGGGCCTGTCTCAACGTCTCAACTCTGCCATTGTAGCATGAAAGCAGCTTTAGACAATAAATAAACAAATGGGCATGGCTGTGATCTAATAAAAACTTTATTTAGAAAAATAGGAGGGAGGGCTGGATTCGGCCTGGGAGGCCGTAGTCTGCTGACCTCTATGCTGGGCCAACACAATTGCCTCTGTAAGGCCTCATTTAGGGGAGACGTCAATGGTCACACTCAGTAGTACTAACATTCTGTGGGTGGGGGGGTGTGCATGCGTGCATATGTGTTGGGGTGGGTGGAAGGATGCACAGCCTCTCGTTCCAAAGTCCACAGTCTTTCTAGTTTCTGGAAGGATCCCGAGTGACTGCCTTTTAGTGGTAGCTTCTCAGACTCCACCAGGGACTCAGCCAGCACCCGCGACTCGGCAGCCCCTCCGCTGAGCAGCCTGGCCATCAACATGAGTTATTCCCTCTCTCAAGACTGAGAAGGAGGGAAATAAAAGCCAGGATTGATGGAATCCGGACATAAAATCTGGCCCCATAATGCCTGCATTTTGGAAACTGCCTTTAATTAATGGTTTATGACCCCAAGGCCCCCCTAGACTCCTCCCAAGCCCTTCTGTCACGTCGTCTCGTTGGTGCTCAGTCCTCAGGGGTGGGGGAGAAGGAGGCGGTGGTGAATAGGGGCGGTGAATAGCTGTCTTGCAGAAACCAAAATGTGTGGTTTGCGCACATGAACCCAGCCTGGCCTCTGGCATTCCTAGGGCCTGGACTCCATAAATAATGCGAGCTGTAAAGCCAGCTCCCCTCACAGCCCTGAGGCCTGCTCACTACAGAAAATAAATAACCCACACACACTCACAAAGACACACAGGCACACGCACACACACGCTCACATTGCACACCAGACGTTTGCCTTTTCTGTTTGTCCACGTATCTGTTATCCCCTCTCTGACCTCGACTCCCTCTCTCCCTCTCCTCCTTTCAATTTACTTTCGCATCTTTATTGCATCTGGACACCCTTTCTCTCCCCAAACCCTCTTCTTTGAACCTTCCCCTCTTCTGGGGGACTCAGGAGCAGCAGCCAACTTCTGCTCCCATCTCCTTTCTCTCCTTCCCATGCTCCTTTAGCTCCCTTTCTTGGGGAGACATAGCCAAGGGCTGCAGACACCCCCCACCCACCCACCTGGGCACAGAACGGACAGATCCACCCTCACCTCACTGAGAGCCCCACCCCTCCCACCTTGACCAGGCAAGAGTCCAGCAGGGACAGTGAATTTCTGCCCTGCCAGGCTGGACAACCAGGAGGACTTGTTCCCTCTGAAGGCACCAAAGCTGTAGCCAGGAATGTAGTGGGAAGGAAGTGGCTGCAGCTAAACTCTAGGTGTGGCCAAACAGTGCCCAAGCCCCAGGAGAGGGGCCCCTTATTGCCAACAATAGCCAGCCTTGACTAAGTGCCTACTGTCAGCCTGAAAAAACAGACATCAGAAAAAAATATCTCCTATATGATGAATGTATTTGGGAGTAAGCATAAATGGATTAGTCTCTGGAAGTATAGCTGTGGCAAGCCATAGGTGCGTCTGGAGAGGGGACAGCAAAGGGAAGCTTTTATTGGCAAAAAAAAAAAAAAAAAAAAAAAAAAAAAAGAGAAGTTCACATAAGCTGCTTGGAAACAGACTTCATTGGCTGCAGAGGCTCAAAGCTAGAGTTGGCATCAGTTCATTGGTGGAGATGACGTTACTGGGCAGTGTTCTTTGGAGAACATCTTACCTGAATTGCTGCAGTCCTGAAGAAGGAATTTCTTGGGGGCTATTTTAGAAAGTCCTTGAGACAGTCCTTATCTCAAACATGCAAGCATGAGTTCCCCTCCTTCGTGATTTCCCGGCTCTAATTCTTCTGGTTCTGACAAAAGTGATTTCATCCTGGTATCTGCAACTTTCACACCCCCATAGCTTCGCATTCAGAGTTTATAACATTCATTTCAAGCTACGAGGCAGATATTCTCATTATTCCCATTTTATATATGGAGAAACGGAGGCTTCAAGGAATCTGCCTGATGCTGAGGTCTGTTCAACTCCAAAGCCTGGTCCAAATGGATGACAGGGGCCGTGTCTTGGAACTTTGGGTAACCAGATTTGGCCACATATCACCTCTCCTCTTCCCAGAAGCACATAACAGAGGTGAGACTCAGCTAGCAGAATAAAACAGAGTGAAGCCAGCCAGGCTGGAGGCCTCCCGGGGGCTCTCAGCTCTTTCCCATCCAGGAAGGATGCCGTGTTTCAGTGCCTGTTCCAATCCCTATAGAATTTGGAGTCCTGTGCCTGATCCAAAAGACTTCCCTGCAAGCCATGCCGGTCCGTGGGAGCCGGGCACCAGCACTGGCTGCCGGCCTGCACCCCGGCCTGACAGCCCTGTCACCTGGCAGGAAGGTGGGGCCCTGGCGGGGCTGCAGAGGCAGCTGCTGCCGTTTCCGCATTCCTGGCACCATGGCAACAGGAGGCCACTCAGACGGGTGACCTGCACAGAGCTCTCTGCAACCTCTGCCATTTCCTTGGGAAAAACAAAGGGCTTAGGCTCACTGAGAAGGGAAACGTGATAATGTTGGCAGTGACCTCTCAACCCATACTTGTCCCAGCACGGACAGCCCGTCACACTCACCCCCGCTGAGTCCTCACGGCAGCCCACAGAGGAGGCAGGCAGCAGAGAATGGTACCGGGTTAGCTTTACAGAGGAGGAAACTGAGGCACAAGGTGTTTGGGAGACAGGTTTTGGTGGAGATGGGGATGATGGATGAGTGTGTGGTCACCAGGTGGATACAGTCCTTTTCAAAGAGTCCCTCAAGGAGTTTAAAATGGAGAGAGGGAAGGCCTTGTGGGGAGGGGGTTTGTAACTTGAAAAAGTGAGATTTCTAGGCTTTTTTCTACATATCAAACATACTATAGTCAATGCAGAAAACTTGGGAGACAGAAAAGTATGCACAGTCACAAATACTCTCACACTCACACGGGCACATTCACACACACACTCGCACAATTACCTATCACTTCTTTTCCAGAGACAGACTTTTCATGTTGATCCATCTAGTACTTTACATATTTTTATATACTAGATTTTCTCCACCTAGTATATTGTATACACACACGTGTATATAATAATTATACACTTTACATCTACATATAATTTTTAAACCACAGTCAGGGTTACACTGTGCCTGCTGTGTTTTGTTGTTTTTTGTTTTTTGTTTTTGCAATGGAGTCTTGTTCTGTCGCCCAGACTGGAGTGCAGTGGCACAATCTCGACTTACTGCAACCTCTGCCTCCCAGGTTCAAGTGATTCTCCTGCCTCAGCCTCTGGAGTAGCTGGGACTACAGGCGTGTGCTACCACGCCCACGCCGGGATAATTTTTTGTAATTTTAGTAGAGATGGGATTTCACCGTGTTAGCCAGGACGGTCTCGATCTTCTGACCTCGTGATCTACCTGCCTCCCAAAGTGCTGGGATTACAGGCGTGAGCCACCGCACCCGGCCGTGTTTTCCTTTTTCATTTGGCAGTAGGTGGTGGATGTTTTCCCGTGACAGGACTTTTTATTCATTGCACATATTCCAACATATGAATGGAGCGTCATTCCTTCAAACAAACTCTCATCAATAACCATTCATATTGCTTCCTAGTATTTAATTTTTCCAAAGTTTTTATTACAAAACTATACATGTTTACTAGGGAACTTTGAAAATACAGAGACATACAACAAAAAGAAAATAACCATATTCTCCCCAGCACAGAAAGGCAGTAACTATGAACATTTGTGTAGACTTATCACCTATTGTTTTAATGTTGTGTCCTGTCTCTATGGATGGATAAGCATTTTTTTTTTACATTCTTGTAATGATTTATAATATTGAATTTCAGCAGGGTCATTTCTAATCAGAGGTTTTGTTTTTTTGTTTTTTTTTTTGATTTTTTTTTTTTTTTTTTTGGAGACGGAGTTTCACTCTTGTTGGCCAGGCTGGAGTGCAATGGCGCAATCTCGGCTCACCTCAACCTCCGCCTCCTGGGTTCAAGCGATTCTCCTGCCTCAGCCTCCCGAGTAGCTGGGATTACAGGCATATGCCACCACCCAGGCTAATTTTGTATTTTTAGTAGAGACGGGGTTTCTCCATGTTGGTCAGGCTGGTCTTGAACTCCCGGCCTCAGGTGATCCACCTACCTCGGCCTCCCAAAGTGCTGGGATTACAGGCATGAGCCACTGTGCCCAGCCAGTCAGAGTTATATTTAAATACTTGTTGTTTCTCATGGTATTGAGTTTGTCTGTTTGGGTGTGTGTGTGTGTTTTTATTTGTTTTGTTTTGTTTTGTTTTGTTTTGTTCTGTTTTGAGTTGGGGTCTCAGTCTGTCACCCAGGCTGGAGTACAGTGGTATGATCTTGGCTCACTATAACCTCCGCCTCCCTGGCTGAAAAGATCCTCCTACCTCAGCCTCCTGAGCAGCTGGGACCCCAGGCACACGCCACCACGTCCAGCTAATTTTTTTGTATTTTTGGTAGAGATGGGGTTTCACCATGTTGCCCAGGCTGATCTCAAACTCCTGAAGCTCAAGCATTCTGCCCACCTTGTCCTCCCAAAGTGCTGAGATTATAGGCGTGAGCTACCACGCCCGGCCTGTTTAGGTTTTTATCGAACCCTCTTTTAGAGAGATTCTTTTCCCCTCTCAATTGAGTCTCTGTAACCTGAACTTTTCATATTTACCAGGCCTTGATGCAACGAACCATATATAGAAGAGTGGGGTTAGAAAATGTTGGTGGATGAACTTTTTTTTTTTTTTGGTCTGTGAGGGCCATTCCAGAAACAGCTTTCAGTGTATTAAGGAATGGAGCTGGGTTCCATTTATCCTACGAAAATAAATCACCCAGTTGCCCAAAGACGACTGCCGCTGTGTTGTTTACAATAGTGAAAAATTGGAAACAACCGCCATGCCCATCAGTAGGAGGTGAAATAAATTACGGAGCCTCCTTCTGATGAATCCCGCGCAGTCAAAAGGTACCGCAGGTCTCTGTGGAGATGGAACAGTCTCCTCCACAGCGAAAGTGAACAGGCATATCACAAATGCACACACCTCAAATGCACGCACCCCGTAAGCAAGCGGGTCTGTGTGTGTTTGTAAGTGTGGCTTTTCTGTATCCAGAAAAGAGTATTTAACAGCTGCTGTCTCTAGGTGGTGTCGATCTAGAAGAATGATGAGACAGGTCTCAGTCATTTTAGGAGGTGTATTTGTCAAAGTTAAGGACGCGCGCCCAGGAGACAGGTCTGTGCCTTTCTCCGAAGATGATTTTGAGGCCTCCAGATTTAAAGGCGAAAGGATATTGAGAAGCACACAGTTTCATGTAAGAGGGGGGCGGGGGAAAATAATCATTCGTGCCTTTGTCTGGCCCAGTGAATCTGCATTTTTACATAAGGTAACATAGACAGATGGGGAACATGCAGGAAATCGACATTTTTACATAAGATAAAGATAAATGAGGCAGGGGAACAATCAGATATGCATTTGTGCCAGGTGAGCAGAGGGGTGAATACTGTGTAAAGATAAGCTATCCATTTACATTGCCATGGTGAATTTTAACAGAAATGCTTTAGGGTAAATATCTCCAAGCTCGCCAGGAATTTCCTTGTGGGCAAAATATGAGGGAGGTGTGTAGCAGTTCATCTTATTTAGGAATCAAAACGGGGAGGCAGGTTTGTGTGACCCAGTTCCCGGCTTGACTTTTCCCTTTGGCTTAATGAGTTTGGGGTCCCAAGATTTATTTGCCTTTCACAGTCACGTGGGGTGATCTTCATTTACTGTTTTATTTTTTTCTGGGATAAGCTTTTCTTCTTTTCTTTTCATAGATTACTTTTGTAATGGGGGCAAGGGCAGAAAAACAAAAACGCCAAAAGCCACTTTGATTTTGAAGAGAATACATGGAGGGGAGGATGTCCCCACCACCCTCTGCCTCCCGGGGGTATGGCCTGCCCAGCCCCTGCCCCCAGCAGCCTCGTCCCCCA
Organism: Homo sapiens; assembly: GCF_000001405.40. Taxonomy (NCBI): domain Eukaryota; kingdom Metazoa; phylum Chordata; class Mammalia; order Primates; family Hominidae; genus Homo; species Homo sapiens. The sequence continues at coordinate 15,094,154 of NC_000001.11, forward strand.
GCATGGCCTGCACTTGTGTGTTGCAGACTCGGACAGCCAGTGCAGCCCCACGCGGCAGAGCCTCAGCCTGTCGGAAGGCGAGGAGCAGATGGACCGGCTGCAGCAGGTGGAGCTGGTGAGGACCACCCCTATGTCCCACTGGAAGGCGGGCACCGTCCAGGCCTGGCTGGAGGTGGTGATGGCCATGCCTATGTACGTCAAGGCCTGCACGGAGAACGTGAAGAGCGGGAAGGTAGGCAACTCCGGGCCCCCTATGGGATGCCACCCATGCCCTCTGTGAGCTTTACGTACCCAGAAGCTGGCCTGCCCCCCACTCCTACCCTGGAGTCAGGAGAAGGTGCAATCTAGGAGCTAGCCAATGCAATCAGCCTCTGATGTACCTGCTCATTGTGCCTCCCTGGCAAGGCAGAGAGCCCTCAGCTGCCTCATCCTGACAATGGACCCAGGTTTCCTTTACCTGCCTAAGGGAAAGGGCTCCCTCTGCCTGAACAGGGATTCCGCCCCACATCAGAGTTGCAGAGGTTTCCATGTGCCCTGACCCCACTGTATGAAAGGTGGGCAGGAGATGGGGAAGGAGCCCCATGTCAACAGACCCCCTCTAGGGCAGGAACCCCGCCGGCAGCTGTCCCAGCCCCCATATGACACTCCCTCCCGGGGGCAGGTGCTGCTGAGCCTGAGTGACGAGGACCTGCAGCTGGGCCTTGGGGTGTGCAGCTCCCTGCACCGGCGCAAGCTGCGCCTGGCCATCGAGGACTACCGTGATGCCGAGGCAGGCCGCAGGTGAGCCCACCACGAGGGGCCCCGGGGGAGGAGAGAAAAAGTCATCCTGAGGCCTTTGGTCACACAGGTGGGGTGAGCGGGGCACTGTGGGCTGAACCAGGTGGTGGGGGACAGCAGGGTGTGACTAAGATGGTCCGGGGATGCCCCTGATGAGGGGGCTTGGGCATACCCCAGCCCTGCTCTGGGCCAGCCCCCTCCGTAGAAAGACAGACACATGGGGAAGACAAGAGGCCCCAAAGGCCCTAGTACACCCCCAACCAATGCGGGAACCTCACGAGCCCCCCAGCACTCCTCTGCCTTCCGGGACCAGCCCAAGCAGCTCTGCACACTGGGCCGCCATGGTGTCTGCTCCTGGTTCTTACCATACATAACAGGGTGAGGAAAAACGGTGCAAGGCAGAGCCGAGGCAGGCAGAGATCAAGTAGGCGTGAGTGGGCTTGGTGAAACCTCTCCCATAGAGGAGCGGGCCAGGTGGAGGGGGCTTCTCTTAGCAAGCATACCTGGGATGGCTGCAGGGCCTTCTCATCAGGTGTACCCCCGCAGGCCACCCACCCCCACCGCTCATACCACTCCTGCTCTGCCTCCGGCCTGCCTGCCTCTCTCCTGGCTTTCTGTGAGCAAAATTTGTTGAGCAGGGGCAGCTACAGGGTAAAGGGAAGGAACCCCCACCCCCACCCCGCCCCACCCCGTTCTGAGAATGTGGAGAGGGGAAGAACTCGCTTTGTAAATCTGACACTTCTGTTTTGCATAATTATGTCCTTCACTGGTTTCTCCATCATTTTTGTGTAGTTAGTTAATCAAACCTGGTGGTGTGTGCTGTAATTTGCAGAAGCAGCTTAGGGGATTTTTTTAGAAGCAGGGTTTGGGGTGGAAAATCGGCTGGTTTGGAAGCAGGAAAACCAAATCCATATGTGTGCAGGAGAGGGGCCCTCGGCATGACTCTAGGGTGGCAGGAAGTACTGAGGTGAGACTGGATCAGAAACTTAGGGAGCGACTCAGAGCAAGAAGGTGCCAGGCCTCATTGGCACCATCAGGATGCTGGCTCGTCTGAGACAGGGCTGGGCTGAGGGATGGGGAGGAGGGCCATGAGGGCAACCCCTGCTGGGCTTTCCTTCCTGAGGGTCCCAAAAACACCTTACACCCAGCACCCACCTCCTAACCAGTTCCATCCAGGAATCCCCTAAAGCCATCCCTGAATCCCCTCACCATCTTTGGTCACCCAAGTAGGAAATCCCTCCTGCCCCCTTACCCCACACCCAGCAGGGTCCATAAACACTGCCTGTGTTCAATGAACAGGGTGGGGATGACTGCTTCATCTTTCAAAAACTTCAGGAGTCTGGGCTACTGCCTGGGTTCCCCCTAAATGGGGATAAGCTTTTCTTCTTTTCTTTTCATAGATTACTTTTGTAGTGGGGGCAAGGGCAGAAAAACAAAAACACTAAAAGCCACTTTGATTTTGAAGAGAAGAAATGCATGGGGGGAGGACGTCCCCACCGTCCTCTGCCTCCCAGGGGTGCGGCCTGCCCAGCCCCTGCCCCCGACAGCCTCGTCCCCCAGCATGGCCTGCACTTGTGTGTTGCACAACACAGCCCCTAAATGGGGCTGTCTTAGTCTGCTTGGGCTGCCATAACAAAATGACACCATCTGGGTTGCTTAGACAACAACTTACGTCTCACAGTTCTGGAGGCTGGAAGTCCAAGATCGGGATGCCAGCATGGTTGGGACCTGGGGAGGGCTCTCTTCCTGGCTTGCAGAAGGCAACCTTCTTGCTGTGTCCTCACATGGGGAAGAAGGAAGAGGGAGGGGGAGAGAGTGATGTCTCTGGTCTCTTCCTGTAAGGACAATAATCCCATCATGAAGGGCACCCCTATGACCTCATCTAATCAGCTCCCAAAGGCCCCAGCCACAAATACCATCACATCGAAGGTTAGGATTTCAGCATGTGAATTGGGTGGGGGGCATGGCAGAGGGAAACATTTAATCCCTAACAGTGGCACCACGTTAACCTCCAGGAACCAGGAGTCTGTGGTCCCAGGGATCGTGGAGCCCCACCCTTAGACACCCCCAGGGCTTCCTGGAGGAGGCAGAGGACTTATTTTGAGTTTTCTACTCCCAGTGGGAATCTGGCCTGTCTCCAGTTTGCCACATGACCTTGCCCTCTCTGGGACTGTTTCCCACCTGAGAAGTGAAGGGAGTTAAATTAGGACAGTGGTTTTTAAACTTTTGAGGATCATGACCACTTTAAGAATCTAATAAGAGCTTTTGACACTTTCTCTAGAAAAAATACACAAAACTTCACAACTTTTCACTGTGTTGGGTTGGTGGGTGGGACTCTCTGGCCCACCCACTTTCAGGGCTCCATGGACTCGGGGGTAAGAACTCTAAATGAGTTCATCTTCGAGAACATTTTCAGCCATGACATCTTGTGTGACCATGGGCATGATGGCGTCCTCTCTGGGACTGGTCACCTTATCTACAAAATACCAATGACAAAACCCACCAACCCCTTACCAACCCATCATCACCTTATGGATATCATTTTATTTACCCTCACAACATCAATGCAGGATAGACATGCTTACTCCCATTTTAAAGATGGAGAAGGCCGGGTACGATGGCTCACACCTGTAATCACAGCACTTTGGGAGGCCAAGGCAGGTGGATCACCTGACATCAGGAGTTCGAGACCAGCCTAACCAACATGGTGAAACCCTGTCTCTACTAAAAATAGAAAAATTAGTAGGCGTGGTGGTGTGTGCCTGTGATCCCAGCTACTCAGGAGGCTGAGGCAGGAGAATTTTTTGAACCCAGGAGGCGGAGGTTGCAGTGAGCCGAGACTGCATCATTACACTCCAGCCCGGGCGACAAGAATGAAACTCCGTCTGAAAAATAAAGTCGGAGAAAATTAGATGCAGAGAAATCATGAGCATAAAGTCACACTACAAAAAACCTGACTTCAAAGTCAGTTGCCTTTCCAGTGTCCCATGCTGCCTTTGTGTTAAAAACAAGAACAATGACAGCTTCTACTACTACTATTTATAGAACACTAGGTGTGTCCCAGACCCTGTGTTAGGGGTTTTGCATTCTCCTCTCTTTTAGTCCCTACAACTCCATGAGGCAAGCGCAATTCTCCCCGTTTTACAGAGGAGAAAACGGAGACCCAGAGTTTCAAGGTCCCAGAGCTAAAAAGTAATAGAACCAGAACAGCTTCCCGTTTTCCGTGCTGCGCCGTGACCCAGACAATATCTAAATTTTGTGCCGTCCTCAGATTTCAGAGTCTAATCCGGCTCCAGTTCAGGGATGGGGCAGTGACAGATTTTATAAAATGTCTGAATTCCTTTTAAAATCATGCTGTTTTATTCAACTTGGGCTCTTACAATAAATAGCTCAAACCAACAGCTGGGAACGTATCGCCAAGCTGCGGCCCCATGGGGACACCCTTAATGAAAAGAGAACATTTCTGAAGGGCAGGAGCACATTAATTGTGGGCATGCAGATGGAGATTGCTGATTATGGATGGGCCCCTCTCGAGTAGGTTAAGTGGGGTGCCCCCTTTGCAGCTCTCCACCCCAACTCTTGTTGCACCATTGATTTGCTGACCAAACTCTTGCTTCAGAGAGGAGAGGAGGCCATTCTAGTCTTCATCAGTGACAAATCTGGCCCAGTGGCATCTGATTCAGAGGGCTGTGGGCTCCAGCTCCTGCCCGAGAGAACCGTCCTGTAACAAGGCTGAGGCCGGCCCTTGAGGGACTGGGAGGGGGACTGCCCCAGGACCTTTTCATCCTAGAAGGGAGGTTGTCTTGGGCCAGAAGTTTCCAGTTCAGGAGCTCCAGCTGGGCAGCCTCCAGGTGGACTGGGGCAGATGACCCGCTCACCCAGCACTGCTCTGTCATCCACACATTCGACTATGAGACAAACACTGGTGAGTGTGAACTCAGAGCCTGAAGGGGCCCTGGACATTCACAGATAAGCCACACCCCACCCTGCCCCCCAGGAGCTGACCGTCCAGTGAGGCAGCTGGCCAGATGCGTAACCATGAACCACAATGTGACTGGTGCAGAGATGGGGACTTCCAGGGGCTTTGGACACAGAGAAGGGCTCCTGACCCAGCATGACATCTTGGAAGGCTTCCGGGAGACCAGACGTCTCTGCAGAGTCCATAGGAGTTCACTGGGGGAAGAGGGTGGGGTAGAGGACAGGCCCGGAGACAAGGGGGTCCCAGTGGACCCAAGTGGTTCTGGGAGGCTGATGGGCAGAGGGAAGGAGAGTGAAGCCAAGCTGCAAGCCCATCCTGCTCTTAGCCATTATTCCAGGAAGCATTCAATCAGTGTCTACTGTGCACGTAGACTGTGCTGTTTGGCAGTGAACGCAGTTTCTGTCCTGAATGAGCTTATCTGCTAAGGTGGGGAAGAGAGAAAATAAATTAGTGGACAAACCAGCAATTGCTTAGGTTCAGTATGTGATTAGAGCTTTGAAGGAAAGCACTAGGGACAGTAAGCAGACTTGGGGGCAACTTCAGACAGCAAATTCAGAGAAAAGGGAGATTTGACGCCCAAGGGATGAGGAGGGGTGAGCCCTGGGCAGGGTTGCAAGGGGCTGGCCGGGGAGGGGAATGGGGGGTGAAGAGCTCAGTGCCTCCAGGAAACGGCCCCCAGGACCCCAAGCCCCATGTGCGTTGGGGGAGGGGAAGTCAGCCAGGGCCAGTGCAGGTGACCCTTGTGGACCATTCAAAGGACTTGCGATTTTACTCCTGCAAAGAGAAGCCACAGAGTGTTGAGCAGGGGAGTGCACGGTCACACTGACATTTTAAAAGGACCCCCTGGTGGTCCTGGGGGATGCGGAATAGAAGGGAAGCAAAGGCAGGAAACGGGGAGCAGCCGGGGAAAGTGGCAGAAACCCACACCAGAGACGCCTGCAGCTTAGAGCTGGGAAAGGAGAGAAGTGGACAGAGGATGCACTGACCAGAGTGACCGACAGACAAGGACGGGCTATCAGCTTGGGAGCTGGGTGACAGAGAAGGGCCCCTGGGTGACGGTGACAGTGACAGTGAAGGGGAACAACTGAGCCATTAAGTATGACACGTCTGTGACAGCCAGGCAGCGTTAAGAGGACAGCTAGAGGCTGAGAGAGGAAAGAGGAGCTCAGAAAAGAGCTCAGAGCTTAGCTGCTCAGAAGAGAGTGGAGAATTTGGGAGCCCTCCCTCACGGGTGCCTTCCAGAGCCCTGGAGATGGGTAATACAGAGACAGGAGTGCCTGGAGAAAGAGGGGAAGGGGTTAGGAGGGAAGAGGAGCCCATTGTATGGCAGCATGTACCCCAGCAGGGTGGTCACGGGATGCTGAATGCATATCCGGGCATGAAGGCAGGAAGGACAGGGAGGACCCACCCAGGACCCTCAGCAGGAGGGTGGCATGACAAGCTGTCTCTGGCTGCTGCCCCAGGAGCAGGGTGGAGTGGCTTTGCAAGCCCACCACTTTCCCTTTCACATACTGATGGCTTCGTGGCCCCCTGCACCTCCCACTTAGACCAGCGCTCTCCCACCTGTCAGACCTGGGGCATTTTGCAAAGTCCCTTGCAGGTGGGATGCGGTGATCCTCGTTCCTTCTGCAAGGCTGCCACTGTGTGGCGAGCAGCGGAATGACAGCCAGGCACAGTCACACATTCACCGGCTTGAAAATTCAAGCACTTGCGCACCTGCTGTATACGTGGTACAGGGGTCATTTCTATGTGGGGCACAAGGAAATCTGAGACCTGGCAGTGCAGTGGTAAGAGAGAGGGTTTGTAATCAGTCAAACATGGACTTTAATTCTGACTCCAAGATGAGCCACTGTGTGGCTCTAGGCAAAGTTGGAGCATCCCATCTGCAGAGCGAGGACGGCAGCTTTGCCTTCTTCGCGCATGATTAGGACCTGCCTGGCACACCTGAGTGGACACCCAACATCCCTGAAGCAGGAAAACAGACCGCAGAGCACTGGGGAGGGATGCGCCGATCAGGTGGGCCAAGCCCAGGCTTTGTGGGTCTCGGGGATGCTGTGGAGGCCCCCAGGGAAATGAGGGGGGCTTAGGTGGAGGGGCGGGGTCCCCAGAGGTGCTGCCTCCTGCCACACGTGGCCCTTCTGCTCCCCGCCCCTGCGCCTTCTCACCCTCGCTGCGTCTGAGTGTGGGATTCTCTCTTCCTGTTCCCTTCCGTTTGTTTCTCTGTTGATCCCTTTCTGTTCTTGAGTCTCGGTCTTTCTCTCTCTCTCTCTCTCTCTCTGCCTCTTCCTCTTTGTTCTTCTCTATCTCCCTCTGCTCCTTTCTCTCAGTGTCTCTCTCTCTCCTTCTCTGTCTCTTTCTCTCTTTGTTCTCTCTTTCTGTGTCCCTTTCTCTCTCTCTGTCTCCCTCCTCCATCCACCTCTTTCACCATCTCTGCCCTTTCTGTCTCATTTTTTCCCTTTTTTCCTCTTGATCTCTCGGCTCCATCCCTGTCCATGTCTGTCTCTGTGGCTCTCTTGGTCCTCCCCCAACCCCATTGCTTTTCCTCTCTCTGCATCTCCACCCATTTCTGCCCGTCCGTCTGTTTCTGCCGCCTTTCCCCACCCATCCACTCTCTGGCTATGTCTCCTCCCCAGCCTGTCCAAAGCTGCCGAGCTGGACCATCACTGGGTGGCCAAGGCCTGGCTGAATGACATTGGCCTGTCCCAGTACTCCCAGGCCTTTCAGAACCACCTGGTTGATGGGCGGATGCTGAATTCCCTGATGAAGCGAGACCTGGAGAAGCACCTGAACGTGTCCAAGAAGTTCCACCAGGTCAGCATCCTGCTGGGGATCGAGCTGCTGTACCAAGTGAACTTCAGCAGGGAGGTGAGGACCAGGGCACAGGGTGGGGGCACCTTCCACTGCCCACCCCTCCCCTCTTGGCATCTACTGTCTGTTCATCTGTCCACCCACTACCCGTCTATCCATCTGTCCACCCATCCATCCATCATCCAGCCATCCATTTATTGATCATCCGTCCATCCATCTACCTACCTATCCAGCCATCATCCAGCCAGCCAGCCAGTCAGCCAGCCATCTTCTCTTCCTCCTTCTTTCCAACAACCCCCTATTGGGCACGGGCCAGGCGCTGTGCTCAGTGCAGGGGAAATGGGAGCCCTCATCCTTGGAGAGCTAAGTGCTTACCAGAGAGAACCACAAGGAAGCTGGTGGTGCCAATATTGTGGGAGATTGTCCCAGTGAGGGAAGCCCAGGGTTTTATGAATACCCAGAGAAGATATACCTACTATGTATACCCACAAAAATTAAAATAAAAATTTTTAAGTGTTTGCTATTTTAAAAAAAAAGAAAAAAAGAAAACCCAGAGAAGTCTTCAGGGGGCTCAGGGATGGCTCCTCAGAGATAGCAACGACTAAATTGAGACCCGAAGGAGGAACCCCAGGGATCAGTAGAAGACATGAGAGAAAAAGTAACCCAGCAGAGGCAACAGTGTGGTGAAGGCCCAGAGGACTGATCCACGGCAGCAGAGTTGCTGAGAGTCCTGTTGGGTGGGGTGCTGGCTTTGAGGTGGGAGGTGGTGGGGGGTTGCTGCAGAGGTCACCAGGGGCCTGAGCTGCTGGGCACTGTGGGGCTGAGTCCAGGTAGCTGACTTTTCTTAGAGTGATGTCAGAACCCAACAATTCAGGGTCAGAAGAGGGACAGAAGAGGGGGCCATCCAGCCTTTTGTCCCCCTTCTCAACCACCCACTGAAAAGCATCCACTGTGTGCCTACTGTGAACCCTGGGGTCAGTCCCTGTGGGACCCAGGGAGGCCTGCGATACGGTGGCGAGATGGTGAGAGAGGACCTGGAATCAGCCAAACATGGGTTTTCATTCCAACTCCAAGACGTGCCACTGTGTGGCTCTGGGCAGTCAGAGCTCCCTGTTAGTGGAGCGAGGACAGCAGCAGTGCCTTCCCCATGCCACGCCGAGGACAGGGAGTGACAAGGACACAGACCCTGGCCCCAGTCCCCAGTCTGCCAAGGAGGCACGTGTGGGAGATCACAGCAGTTACATGTAAAAAGAGGTGCAGGGGCCAGGCCTGGTGGCTCACGCCTGTAATCCCAGCACTCTGGGAGGCCAGGGTGGGTGGATCACAAACAAGGTCAGGAGTTCGAGACCAGCCTGGCCAACATGGTGAAACCCCATCTCTACTAAAAATACAAAAAGAAAGCAGCCCGGTGTGGTGGCAGGTGCCTGTAATCCCAGCTGCTCGGGAAGCTGAGGCAGGAGAATTGCTTGAACCTGGGAGGCGGAGGTTGCAGTGAGCACAGATAGCACCACTGCACTCATGCCTGGGCAGCAGAGAGAGACTCTGTCTCGGGGGGAAAAAGAGATGCGGGGCACCCCCACTCCACACGTGGCCTCTGCGTGTCCCCTTGTCCCTCCGAATGACCCACTGTCTCCCCACAAGGCCCTCCAGGAGCGCCGGGCCCGCTGCGAGACGCAGAACATTGACCCCGTGGTGTGGACCAACCAGCGGGTGCTCAAGTGGGTTCGAGACATCGACCTGAAGGTGAGGGTGATAGCGGAGGTCGGGGTGACTCTCGGGCATACACAAACCCCATGCAAATCTATATGCAAATCAATATGCAAATCACATGCAAATCAATATGCAGATCTCATGCAAATCAATGGGCAAATCCCACACAAATTAATATCCCCTTTGTGTGGGCTGGAGCATCTTAACTCAGGCCCAGCAAGAATTACCTGCCTCCTGTTATTCAGGAGGAGGGAACTGCTTACCTTCCAAATAGGAGCCCCATGTCATGATGCTTTGCTCACATGGGGTAGAGAGGCTGAGCCAGCCCCACTCTCCTAAGCAAGTGTGGGGTTGAGATTCATTTAACAAATATTGATGATTTCCTGCTAGGGTCAGGGACCATCTCAGTAACAGGAGGTCCCTGACCTCGTGGCTCTAAAAAATTGGGGAGGGGTTCCTCTTCACCGTCAAATTAACTGGTCCCCAGGGGGTCAAGCCCTTGCTGTTGGGGACAGAGCCCCACGTGGAACTGGGGCCCCCTTAGGCCAGCAGCATGGCCCCTGCAGGCTAACAAGTCCCCTGCCTTTGCCCCCAGGAGTACGCAGACAACCTGACCAACAGCGGCGTCCATGGTGCTGTGCTGGTGCTGGAGCCCACATTCAATGCCGAGGCCATGGCCACTGCCCTGGGCATCCCCAGTGGGAAGCACATCCTCCGGAGACACCTGGCAGAGGAGATGAGCGCCGTCTTCCACCCAGCCAAGTGAGCACGGGCTGGGATCCAGTCATGTGGGCTGCTGGGTACAGTACAGCTCAGGGCTTTGGAAGCAGATGGTCCAGCTCCCCATCCTGGCCCATCACTTACTGCCTCCCACTCGTTCTTTGCACCATGGTGGTCACCTTTTACAGATCAGGAAACTAAGGCTCAGAGAAGCAAAGTGCTTTAGCCTGAAGGTCATAGACTAGAAAGACGTAGAGGAGCAGTCAGGTCTTGAATTAAGTGTATATTAGATCAAAAAACACCCAGGTGTTTAGAGAAGAGATAGCAAGCAGTGCATGTGTAAGGAAAGGCCACGTGCAGGTGGAGTGTAGCTGGGAGGACTTGCATTGGCCTAATAGGTTGAGTTGGTTGGTCCAGGTGGGGCAACTGTGGGGACAAAGGCTTGGAGTCAGGAATGAGCATATTAATGATGCTTATGGACCAGGTAAGCAGACCACATCAGCCCACCTATCCTAGTATCCCCATCTGAAAAGTGACCAGAGAATGAACACCTGGGCATAAACCAGTCCCCCTCCCAGTGGATTCTCTTCTTAAAATCATGCACTTAGGGTTAGATGACCATTTATTGAATACTTCCTGTGTGAACTATCTAATTTCATCCTCCTGGCAATGTCAAGAGATCAGTAGCACTATCCCTCCTTTATAGATGGAGAAACTTCTTCAAAGGTACCAAGCTATGTGCCCAAGATACACAGCTAGTAAGTGGCAAATCCTAGATTTGTCCTTTATTCTATCAATATGGTGTATTATATTGATTGATTGAATTTCATATGTCAAACCAACCTTGCATTCCCAGGATAAATCTCACTTGGTCACAGTGTATAATCCTTTTTATATATTGCTGGATTAAATTTGTTAGTACTTTGTTGAAAAAATCTGCATCTATATTTATAAGGGATATTGGTCTATAGTTTTCCCTCCTTGTGATGTTTTTGTCTGATTTTGGTATCAGGGTAATATAGCCCTCATAGCATGAATTGGGAAGTATTCTCTCCTCTTCTGGGTTTTGGAAAAGCTTGGAAGGATTGGTGTTTGTTATTCTTTAGACATTTGGTAGAATTCACCAGCGAAGCCATCTGGTCTTAGGCTTTTCTTTCTGGGAAGCTTTTTGACTTCTAATTCAATCTCTTCACTTGTTAGAGGTCTGTTCAGATTTTCTATTTCTTCTTGAGGCAGTTTCAGTAGCTTATATCTTTCTAGGAATTTGTCCATTTCATCTAGGTTAGCTAATCTGGTGGCATGCAGTTGATCATATAATTTTTATCTTATAGTGCCTCTTATATATAAAGTTGGTAGTCATATTCTCTCACTCATTCACTTACTCCTGGTTTTAGTGATCTGAGTTTGAGTTTTGTTTTTTTTTTTAATCAGCCTATCTAAAGGTTTGTTGGTTTTGTTGACAGAGCCCAGATTTGACCTTGGGGCTCTCTAACTCAGGCCTGAGTCCTAAACCCCTAAACCACATGGATCCTTAGGGAGCAGCTGGGCCACTCCCCATGTTATACAGGTGGGGAAACTGAGGCTTAAGGAAAAATTGTGCATGTATGGCAGGGTCCAGGTGTCCTGGGCTGCTCTTCCCTATTGGAGGCTGACACCCAAGCTGTTCTCAAAGTGAGGCCCACCCCACAGACCCTTGCAGCAGAATCATTGAAGCTATTGTAAAATGCAGATTCCCTGGTCCTGCCTCAGACTTGCAGGACAAGTATCTGCTGGCAGAGCACAGGACTCTACATTTTTAGCATTTTGGGGTGCTTCTTACAGAGACAATGTTTGATAAGAACTCTGTTTTAGGCCAGGCATGGTGGCTCATGCCTGCAATCTCAGCACTTTAGGAGGCGGAGGCAGGAGGATTGCTTGAGTCCAGGAGTTCAAGATCAGCCTGGGCAACATAGCGTGACCTTTTCTCTACTAAAAATTAAAAAAATTCCCTGGAGGTGGTGGAGTGCACCATATAATCCCAGCTACTCAGGAGGCTGAGGCTGGGGATTACTTGAGCCCGGGAGTGTGAGGCTGCAGTGAGCTATGATTATGCCACTGTACTCCAGCCTGGGTAACAGAGCAAGGGTCCATCTCTACAAAACAGAAAAACAAAACAAAACCCTCCTCCAGGAGCCATGAATCAAAAGACACAGGAAAAAGCCTTTTCTCCTCAGAATTATCCCCTTTCCCTGACTTCCCTTCTGGAGCCACATGATCTGTAACAAACTTTTTTCTGAGCCCTGGAGAGATGGCTCTAGCTGAATATTAGCAGGCATTTGTGTATCTGATTAAACTCTTGACCACTCATGAGGTGACAGGTGTGTTCAGGACTAAGACTAGTCAGGGAGCACCAGAGAAGGGACTGGTGGGGACAAATAGGGTGGGTTCTTATGTTGTGGTGGGGCAGGGACTTCTTCAAGAATGAGACGAAATCAATGAACCTCTCAATGATAAGATAAGAGGGAAATGACTCTGTCCAGGCTCCACATTCACCAAGAGCTTATGGGTCCCAATATGACGTCATCTCTAGTCTCTTCCCACAACTTTGACAATGCACATGACCCAAAGGCGCCAAGGAGAAGTCTCTGCCATGGTCTCATGGTATCTGCTTTGACACACACTGACTTCCTGCATCTCCCGATAAACCTTGGTCCGGCGCCAACAATGTGTCAGTCATAGGACTGTTCTTTAAGGACCTGGAGAATAAAACCAGTGGGCAGGAAGGATGCAGCAAGGAGCAGAGGTACCCAAAGGCAGCTGCCAGGGGATCGGAGGAGTCAAAACAAACAAAAAAAATATGCCTTGAAGGCAATATGGCCTGTCACTAAAACAGAGTCAGGGACAGGACACACAAAGGAGCAGGACTGGAACCAGAGCAGGACTGGAACCCAGGTCTCTACTCCTAGTCAGAAGCTCTTTCTGGAACTGATCTCTCTCCCCTGGGATCTAAGCTAGAATAGTGCCCCTTTTGCCATAAAAGCCACCCTCCACAGTCATTGAACACCTGCTGTGAGCAGGCACTTGGGTGATCCATGTCCTGCCTTCACGAAGCTTACAGAGATGGGAGAAGACCTCATAGGTGGATGGTGTGGAGTTCCAGCCCAGGGCCTGCTTCCACTCCAGGTTTTCTCTCTTTCCCTTTTTTAATAGATCTCTGAGGGTCTCTGCTCATCCAAGAAAGGCTTTGGCTCCCATCCAGGCAAGAAACTGGTTTCATAGACAACTAGGTGAAGACATAAACCCATCCAGAATGCCTTGTGGCACTCTAGCCCCAGGCAACCCAAGTTCAAATCCCAGCAGCACCAATCCTGGCTGTGTGACCCTGGGCAAGTTACTTAACCTCTCTGAACTGTACTTTCCTCATTTGTAAAATGAGTATGGTAATCACTATCTGCCACCCAAAGAGTTGATGGCAAGATGAGATAAGACAATGCATAAAGCAATTGGCAAAGGAACCAGTACATCATAAGACACCCAATAATATAAATATTAGTGATTTATTCCAAACCCACCCCTAGCCCCACCACCGCTGCCTCCCATTCCTCCTCTGCAGGGCAATGGCTGCAATGTGGTTTCGAGCCCCAGCATCACTGCTTTCTTGCTGTGTTGAACATGAGCTAGTGGTTTTAGGTTTTACTCTCTGAGCCTCAGTTTCTTCCTCTGTAATAGGGGAATATGACTCATACCGACCTTGTAGCTTTGTTCCAAAGGTTCAGTGAGGCAAATTGTATGCAGCCTGCTTGATACATAGATGCCCGGCAGTAACTGAGAGCTTCTGCCCCTGCCTTCATCTGGAGGCAGAAGAATCTCCATGCAGTCAATTTCCTCTGGAGTAGCTGCATAGGAGTCCCCTTCTGTCAGTTTGCTCCAGCGTTCTCATTAGCATTTCAATGGAGAAGAACAATTCCATTACAAACTCAAATAGACTTGACCCTCAAACACATAGAATGAGAGAACCTTGTCACCTGTCCCACCTCCTCGGCTGACAGGCTTCCCAAGACATTGGCAATGGAAAACATTTATTCTCTGGTCACTCAGCAGGCCGCTGGAATGGGGGTGGAAGGACACATTGAGCTTAGATGAGATTCTGTCCCACCCCACCCTCAAACCATCCCTGAAATGTGAGCCCAAACTCCAGGCACTGGGTCAGCTGAGTGCCCAGAGGCGTGGGCCTGTGTGCAATGGGACCCAGCGGGGCCTTTGAGGCCACATTCTGGCTCCTCCGCCATCATCGTGTGATTTTAGACAAGAAATTTACCCTCTCTGAGCCACGGTTTTTTCAGCTTGCAATGGGGATGATCACTCCTTCTTCCCAGGGCTTTGCAGAGGGTTTGCTGAGCCACCGTGGTGAGGAGCTGACAGTGTGCCCAGCACGTAGTGGGTGGCCCTCGAGTACTCTTTCCTTCCCATTCATTTTCTCCAGCACAGCATCTTGTGCCTCTCTGCCCTTGTAAATCCTTGGTTAATGGGTTGAGACTCAATGCTCGGGCTGGCCCACCTGGTGGAGGCTGACTCCCAACCCCCAACCTTCCTTCCTGCACCATGATGCCTATTTAGTGCCCAGGGTTCTCTACATTGACTCAGGAGAGTCCAGTGAGATGCCCCATTCTCCATAACGTTCCCTCATCAAAAGTTCCCCTTCTAACGTACCATTTCCTCGAGGTCTAAGTGACTAGAAATACTTAATAGGTCGGTTCAAAGCTTCCAAAGACCTTGGCCCTGTGCTTGGCTTATGCCCTGGAGTTTTCGTGTTTTCATCTTATCCAAAGGCCTAGATGGGGGGATTTCAGCCACTGTGGAAAAAATAAGGAGGGAGGATATTTTGGCACACTGGAGGCCAAGGTCACCCCGTATTCCTTTGTCTACAGAAAGACAACCACTTTCTGTGCATAGGGTAGCTTGTTAAGACCAGGGCTGGCCAGGCACGGTGGCTCACACTTGTAATCACACCACTTTGGGAGGTCGAGGCCGGTAGATCACTTGAGCCCAGGAGCTGGAGACTAGCCTGGGCAACATGGCAAAACCCGGTCTCTACCAAAAATACGAAAATTAGCTGGGTGTGGTGGCGTGCACCTGTAGTCCCAACTGCTTGTGAGGCTGAGGTGGGAGGATCACCTGAGCCCAGTAAGCCAAGATTGCACCACTGCACTCCAGCCTGGGCAACAGAGCGAGACCCTCGCTCAGAGGAAAAAAAAGATCAGGGCTGCTTACTGGACTTTATCGTACAGATGAGGAAACTGAGGCCCAGTAAGGTGTTTTACTCGCACCAGAACATATGGAGGGAATAGCTGAGCAGGAACTCCAACCACGTCTGTGTCCCCAAAGCCTTTGGCCACAGTAAGATGTAATTGTAGCAATTACTCTTTCTATTGTTACTCAGAGCTTAATGTTTATGTGTGTGTATATGTATGGGTATGTATGGGTATGTGTGTGTGTGTGTATATATGTGTATGTGTGTTTGTATGTTTGTGTATGTGTTTATATGTGTGTATATGGGTGTATGTGTATGTTTGTGTATGAGCGTGTTTGTGTGTATATATCTGTGTGTATGTGTGTTTGTGTTTGTATGTTTGTGTCTGTATGTCTGTGTATATATGTGTTTGTGTGTATGTGTATGTGTGTGTTGTATGTGTATGTATGTGTATGTGGTGTTTGTGTATGTTTATGTGCGTGTATATATGTGTGTATGTGCATGTGTGTGCTTGTGTGTATATGTGTTTGTGTATGTTTGTGTATGGGTGTGTGTGTGTGTGTGTTTGTGTATGTGTTTGTATATGTGTGTTTGTATGTTTGTATGTTTATGTGGGTATATGTGTGTTGTGTATGTATGTGTAGATGGTGTTTGTGTATGTGTGTATATATATATGTGCGTGTGTGTGCCTGTGTGTGTATGTGTGTATATGTATGTGTGTATGTGCGTATTTGTGTGTGTATTTGTGTATGTGTCTGTGTATTTGTGTATGTGTGTGCATATGTGTTTGTGTGTGTATATGTGTGTTGTGTATGTGTGTATGTTTAGGTGGTGTTTGTGTGTGTTTGTGTATGTGTATATATGTATATGTGTATGTGCACTTGTGTGTGTATATGTGTGTATGTTTGTGTGTGTGTATATGTATGTGTGTATTTGTGTATTTGTGTGTGGGCATATTGTATATGTGTGTATGTTTGTGTGTATGTGTGTATATGTAGTGTGTATTTGTGTGTTTGTGTGTGTCTGTGTATTTGTGTGTGCGCATATGTGTTCATGTGTATTTGTGTATGTGTGTATTTGTGTGTGTTTGTATGTTTGTGTATTTGTGTGTGTATGTATGTGTGTGTATTTGTGTGTTTGTGTGTATGTGTTTGTGTGTGTGCATATGTGTTTGTGTGTGTGTGTGTGTGTATCCTCTCATTTAGTCCTCACAATGACCTGCCGAGGAAGTTCTGTTATTAACCCCACTCTGCTCAGCACGCGGCCCAGGCCATGCCAACGCTAAGGCACTGAGCCAGGCTGCTGACGTGGAGCCCACACGTGCGACCACTGTCCTACCCTAAATCCCAAAGTGGGAAGGCCGTGGTCTAGACCTTGATCCCAGAGGCCCAAGTTCAATTTCCATCCCTGCCACTGGGTGTCTTGTGTATCTTTGGACAAGACACACCCCCTCTTTGGTCTTCTGTCTCTTCAGTGAAAATAAGAGATGGGACCCTGAGGCTCTCCCAGGCTTATTTGACTGCTAGTGTTCCAAGAGCTGGGGGATCCAGCACCCCTCTGTGCCAGAGAGCAAACAGCCAGCTACCTGAGTTTACATTTTTTGGCTTCTGCAATTACAGCTGCTTCCCCACTGGACCTGGGGAATTTCGCCTCCAGGTGGAGCAGAGGGGCCATTCATGAGGGCATTTCCTGACCCACCACTGAGCAAGGCCCTCCCTGTTATGTGGAAGCCTGTGGAACCCAAGAGTTTGAGAACGTAGCTCATTTGCCATTCAATCAGTGCTGTCTCCTACACACCACTCCCCTCCCTTGAACTTTCTCAGCAAAATTTGCCCCAGAAGAAGAACTTCTCTGAGGCAGCTTAAAAGATGCTAGAAGGTTCTGTTGTTGTTGTTTGTTGTTGTTGTTGTTGTTGTTGTTTTAAACAGAGTCTTGTGCTGGAGTGCAGTGGTACGATCTCGGCTCACTGCAACCTCCACCTCCCAGGTTCAAGTGATTCTCCTGAGGTTCAATCTTAGCCTCCGAGTAACTGGGATTACAGGTGTGCACCACCATGCCCAGCTAATTCTTTTTGTAATTTTAGTAGAGATGGGTTTTGCCATGTTGGTCAGGCTGGTCTCGAACTCCTGGCCTCAAGTGATCCACACGCCTTGGCCTCCCACAGTGCTGGGATTACAGGCATGAGCCACCATGCCCGGCCTAGAAGTTTCATTTCTTTCAATGAGTCTACCTCCGTGGTGACTTCTGGCTCCAGGCCGGGCCTCTTGCCCCAAATCTGTTTATCCACAGCATTGATATGCAGACTTTTTCTGTATAAGGCCAGATAGTGAATATGTTACGATCTGGGAGCCATATGATCTCTGTCAAAAGTCTACAACTCTGTCCTTATAGCAACAAGACAGCAGCCATAGACAACACATAAGCAAATGGGCACTGCTGAGTTCCAATAAAACTTTATTTATAAAATCAGTCGGCCAGCTGGATTTGACCTGCAGGCAGGCTGTAGTTGGCCAAATCCTAACAGAAGCTTCCATGCTTTTGCACAAAGAAGGGAGTCATGGGGGCAGCTTCAGGCAGAAAGCCAGGTGGGGGACACAGATTGCAAATTCAGAGCAGGGGAGACTCCTCATGCTTCTCCAAGCACAACTAATTAGCTACCATGCTGAGATTCTCATCTGGAGTCTGTTGCAGTAAGGTTCACAGTACACTGAAGAGTTAAGATCAAGACTTTGGAGTGTCAGAAGCCTGAGTTCAGATCTTGATTCTGCCGCTAACAGCTGTGTCGTCTTGGGCAAATTGCTTGCTGTCTCTGGCCTCCTTTCCCTGTAATGCTGGGCTGGCAGTCCCAAGCCCCAGGCATGTTGTGAGAATCACGCTTATAAAGTGCTGAGCACAAGGATGGCACGTGGGAGGTAATCAGTCGGTCTCAGCAGCTGTGGTCATTGTCACCAATGTGTGTGTGTGTGTGTGTGTGTGTGTGTGTGTGTGTGTGTGTGTCTGGGGAGCTGACTGAGCCTCCCCTGCTGACTCAAAATGGTCCTCTCTTCAGCTCCACAGGCATCCGGGAGGCTGAGCGTTTTGGAACGCCCCCTGGCAGGGCCTCCAGCGTCACGCGGGCAGGAAAGGAGGAGAACAGCAGCGGTCTCAAGTACAAGGCTGGCCGGGTAAGTCTCTCAATGGATTTACCTGTGAGTCCTGCAGACCCGGGAAAGGTCTTTTTTTCTCCTCCCGGGAGCTCTGTGGCTCCTGTGCTGGCCTGTGAAGGTGGAGTGCCAGGCCGGGTCACGGGGGCATCCAGGACAGATGCCCTGGATGTACCTTCAAGGAACCTTCACGATGCTTTGGGTACAGTGCACAAAGCCCCCGCAGGGCTTCGAGTAGCACCTGGATCTCAAAGTGCAGGTCTCACCTGCCTGCATGAGAATCACCTGGGGCTATTACTGAACTTGCAGATTCTGGGACCCACCTTGGTCTCCTGGAAAAGGAGTTCTCTGGGGCGAGGGGGATCCTGCATTCAGCTAGGCTGCCCAGAGGGTTCCGGCGCAGCCCCAAACTCTGAGCCCCAATCACTGATTTCAATTTGCGACTTCAGTGACCTGACCAATAGCAAAGATGAACCCTCTGGTGACTCCAACCAAACAGTATGAAAACATGTGCAGTTCAGGTCTGATTGCACAGACTCCAACTGACACAGATTCCTCAATGGAAATGCACAGACAGAGACGGCAGAACTGGGTAATCCAAAATGTCTTCCATTTGAAGAAGGCATGATCCCCATTCATTCATAAACATGAATACATTGCCACTTTACCCTTAAGAAGCTCCATTCTAGAACGTGCATTCTAGTAATTGGGGCTGATATTGCCCCCCAAAGGAGTGAAAATTTGTTTTGGCGCTGGTGGGGGGTGGGGGCGGTGGCAAAAATTCTTATTCTTTCTATGTAAAAGCACAAATGTACATATGGTACGGAAGCAGAGGCGTAGTATGTCTGTGGCATTACAATTTCACAGCAGGGGTGCAATTAGGAAAAAACTGTCTAAAAAGTCTCCTTAGGGAGCAATAATAATAATAAAAAAAGAAGATCTGGAAACACTGGTCTGGAAAGAAAGGCAGTCAAATAAATAGTTACAAAGCACTAATGTGACTACTTTAACACAGAGATGTGTGCAGTAAGAGAGAAGTATTTTTGAAGGCCTACTATGTGTGATAATAATAGTCACTATTCATCAAGTACATCAAGGACTTACTCGGTGCAAGCACTTGCTATGTGCTTTGCAGATGGGACTTGACTTTTTTTTTTTTGAGACAGGGTCTCTGTCAGGCTGGAGTGCAGTTGCACGATCTCAGCTCACTGCAACCTCTGATTCCTGGGTTCAAGTGATTCTCATGCCTCGGCCTCCTGAGTAGCAGGGACTACAGGAGCTCGCCACCACGCCCGGCTAATTTTTGTATTTTTAGGAGAGGCGGGGTTTCACCATGTTGGCCAGACTGGTGGGACTTTACTTTTTACAACAAACCTGGGAGTTAGAAACTACTATTCCCATTTTGTAGCTGAGAAAAATGGGCTCAGAGAGGGGAAGTGACTTGTCCAAGGTCACACAGCTGGGAAGTGGCAGAGCAGGGATCTGAACCTGGGTCTGTGAGTCTCCAAAACTCGCATTCTTTCTGCCACACCAGGCCGTCTAGAATATTCCTCCTTGACTTGGGAGTGCAGTCAGACCTCATGGGCCTGCTCAGACATTCTCACAGGTAGTCTCCAGGACACACTTCCTCAACTCTCCACCCACCAAGGAGGGAAGAAGGAGGCTTTTGTGAATCAGGAATAATCAGACTAACGATATTTGTCCTCACCCTTGGTAACCAACTGAATCCTTCCGGGGGCAGGGGGACACAAAGCTCTCCCCTAATGGTCATTCACAAACTCCCCTCAACCTCCCTGAGCAGGGAGTATTATTACTAATAGGAGGAGCACACAGAGGTTAAGTAAGTTACTCAATCACAGAGCAATTAGAATTGGAGACATTTCCCAGACCTTCATTCTTAATTCTTGTTTCTCTTCTTCCTGTCCTTTGATCATATTCTTCTCTTCTCAGCTGCCCCTGGGGAAGATAGGAAGGGGCTTCAGCAGCAAAGATCCCGATTTCCATGATGACTATGGCTCTCTTCAAAACGAAGATTGCGGAGACGATGACCCCCAGAGCAGGCTGGAACAGTGCCGTCTGGAAGGCTACAACAGCCTGGAGGTCACCAACGTGTAAGGAACTGGTGGCTCCACCAGACCCAACGTGAGAGACCCAGGAAGGAAGAGAAGCCAGATGGCCCCAGGTGTCGTTCTCACTGTACATAGCGGCCGCAGGCTGAGGATGTCCCTTGCTCCTGGGCAAAATCCCGATGGACTCTGCGGTTTCAGCTCCACAGCGCCCAGGAGAGAGAAGACACCAGCCCACCTGTCTTGGGTGGGCCATGGACTTTCCTGTTCAGCTGGAGATGGGCCCAGAGGACCTGTCACAGTGTCCGGCCCTGCCTCCATCCAGGATACACAGGCTCCACCTCAGAGTGACCGTCACTGTGGAGCAGCCAAGCAGTCCCTGGAGCCTTAAACGGAGCTGCCAAGGTGGGAGGAGGCCCACAGTTCCCTAAAACACCCTTCCGGCGGGAGCAGGGGGGACCCCAACCCCACACCCCAGCGCCCAGTGCATTGGCAGAGCCGGGTGCAGGAAGTGCTGCCTCTTGCCGAGACGTCGGACAGGGCGGGGGTTGGGGAACTCTCGGCTACAGCATCTTACCCTTGACTGAGAACTTGGGTCCTGACTTGGCTCACTGAATCTCTCTTGGGAGAATGCAAAATCCTTCCACCTGAAAAGCTCTGTGACACATGGGGGTGGACGTATTGAAGAGCTGTTTGCCGATCCACCCAGGAGTGGCTACGCTGAGTGGGGAGCCGGTGAATGATCCGTGCAGGAGTGGGGCTTAGCAGCCACATTTCTAGGAGATGCAGATATCCTATCACCAGAATGAAAGCTATTGGGACAACAGGATCGGGGATGACCGACGGCCCCATATGGTGAATCTCTGGCCTGTGGTTTGGCTTTACTGAGATTCCAAACCCCACTATCTGCACTCCGTGACAGTGGTATGGAGTGTGGCAATGAGTTTGGGGTCTGGGGCAGGGAAATGCTTGACATTGTTAACCCAACAAACCTTTGTTGTGATGTCCCTGTCACCTGAAACATAGGTGACATAGCTCACCAATGTCCTAACCGAGACACAAACTCCACAGAGCAAAATCATTTGGTATTGGTGGGGAGAACCCCAGCCCTTTTCTTGACCTGCCACTGTTATGCTGTGTGGCTTCTTCCCAGTGGCCTCACCTCTCTGTGCCTCGATGTCTTCATCTACGATACTTCTGGTTCCCTCCCAGGGACATCGTGAGGATTAACACTTGCTAATATCTGTAACACAATTTGTAACCTCTCAGGAGACAATGGGAAGTTATGGGGTAGCTAATTTCCCATTTACAACACAGAAATGATATAGAGCTAGTTCGCTCCAACTCTTTAGGTTGAAGCAGTGTGCAAAAGGAAGAAAAGAAATGTTTAATGTTCAGACCTGCCAAGAGCCTCCAACAGGGCTCAAGAAACATATAAATCCCATGAGCACAGCCTTGAAAACCAGTTTGACTCAAGCCTTCGGGCCTCAGTTCATTGACCAGATGACAGCCACGTGATGATTAGGGAAGGACGGATGCATTGCGATTCTGCTTACACATCGGGTTATCAAAGCGAGTCACTTGTTGGAACCATGATGCTCGACCTCCTTCAAGGCCGTTTGCACTGGGGCTTGAGTTTCCAAGATTCACAACAGGTGTCAGCCTCTGAGAACCCTCAAAGCGTGTGTTCTTCAACCTGGCAAATTGTTTCCTCTCATGGGGGAAGCCGAGCTCTGATGAACTTGAGAATTACACCTCTCTCATGCCGAAGACCGTGGTGTTCCCCCTAATGACATAAACGCAGCCTTTCTTGCTGTCTGAGACCAAATGTCTAGTTGGTAGACAGGTGGATGTTTGGCCTCCTAAGGGCACACTTCTGATCCTGGGCCCCAGGTGGTGAATCTCTGGCATGTGGCTTGGCTTTGTTGAGACTCCAAATTCCATTATCTTCATGACATTCGGCCTCATCCATAGGGTCCTGAAGCTGCAGTCCACAGCTCAGAAAGGAGAGGTGAGACCTCCCTCCAACCTGGTGCCACAGGTCTCTCCCAAGCCACATCCAGCCTGGATGACCTGGGACCCCAGAAACTGCCGTTTGGGAGGCAGCAACAGCAACGTGCCCAGGCAGGCAGTTATTCCCACAGAGTGAGCCAGAATTGTAGCAGGGCACTTGAATGCAGAGCTGATGATTTGAAACCAACGTTCACCCAACTTGTCAGAAATGGCACTTACATGGTTCGATCTTGCTGGAGACAAGTGGACAATTGGGGGTCACTGGCAGAGACAGTATTGCCCAAAATGTTCACAGCAGGAGGCCAGCAGGCCTGAGGCAACACGGGCAACCGCGAATGCCTCTTTTGGTTTAAATTATGCCATCACAACCCTCTTTCACCCATGAGGCTCCCCATCCCTGACAGCCAGGTGAGCATTTGGAGCTGGTTTCTCAACATGAGGATGGGTTGGTTGTTAAATTAACAACCTCCACAGTATCAGATTGAGTGAGCTTTGTCTGCTGGAAAAACCTGAAACGTCAACTCTGCTTCAAGGTCGGCAAGAAGAACAGAAGGCGGAGACTTGGCAGAGAGACTCAAGCTGATTGTCACAGGCTACAGAGGGGCCAGCTCCAGAACAGTGACCAGCTACATCCTGTCCAAGCAGCCCGAGTGTGGTCTTGGTCCCTGCAGGGCAATGTGGGCATCTGGACCTGGGGACGATGTGGATGCACTTCTTGGAAAGCTGTTGTAGCTTGTGCCTGTGGGTGGAGAAGGCACCTGCCTGGTAGACTCTCAGCTTTCTGACCCCCAGGAGCCTCTGCGAGGCCCCTTTGTCCTTGGCTGAGCCGGACCTTTCTTTTGGAAATCTGTCTGTCTGTTGGCATCGCTGTTTTCAGACCCCAGGCTGCAGAGGAGGGGAGAAGCCACACAACAATCTGGACCCAATAAAGTGGAGAGAAGGGCGTCTCTACACAGCCCGGCCAGCGTGGAGGGCCCCAGGACAGGGACCCAAAAGCTTGACGTCACTGAACAGGGCTGGGTACTGGCAGAACAGGAAGATTTGGCCAGAGGTGACCTCAGTGTTCCCTCCAGGGGCATCCAGGCCCCTCTGACCTGGGGAGAAGAAGGCCCATGCTCAGGCCCACCTCCCTCTTCCCATCAGAGCCCATGCGTCCTGGGCACCACCACTTCCACTCTGCTTTTCGAGGCTCCGGAGGGCTCTTCCTGCTGTGAAAGGAAAGGAGAAGAAAGCCTGTGGGCAATGGCAACCTCTGAGTCTGGCATTCTTGCCAATGGCTGGCCAGCGAGGAGAATCTCCCGAGCCCTGACACACAAAGGCATTTTGTGGCTGCAGAGGAAATGGGTTGGCTCTGAACAAAGATGCAGTTTCTAGGGCCGTGGCCCCAAATCGCTTCCCCGAGAGTGAATTTTAACACTGTAACAATAAATACTACTGCACAGCACTTTATGGCAGAGGGGGCTTTTTTCTGTGTTTTCTCATTTAGTGTTCCCAGCAGCCTCTTTGTGAGATTTTGAACCCATTTCACAGATGGAGAAGCTGAGATCAGAAAGGTGGAGGGCCTTGCCCAGCTCTGTAAAGCTAAGACATCCCAGGGCAGGGACTCAAACCCAGTCCATCTGCCTCCAAATCCCAGGATCATCCTCACAATTACACACTCTCCCAACCCTCACCCCCCTGCAATGTTGGCAAACCCCCCTCCCCCCACCTCCCAGCATAGGATTTACCTTAGCAGGCAGCATCACTCAAAATGCAATTCAGGTGCACTCGGAGTGTCTGGAAAAGTCCCTGTGGGGGCATTGCCTTCTGCCCTGGGAACTTGCAGTCAGGAGTGGACACCTGACAAGTCCCCTCCCCTTGTGTCATTTGTGTCACTCCGTCACTCCTCCTGGGGGCACTTACATCTTCAGATTACCGGACTGGATTTCTAGTGGTGGGACGCCCCAGCACAGTGCCCTTCAGACCGCCCCATGGCCTCGGATCACCTGGTGGGGAGGTATTTTGGGAGTGCAGGTGCAGATGCGGGAATTCTGGAGTCCCACCTGAGATCAGCATTTCCAACAAGCTTCCAGGTGCTGCTGCCGGTCCAGGGATCTCACATCGAGTTCCAAGGTCATGGCGCACAGATGGGCCTTCCTAGCAAAGCCCTAACCACACAAGGTGGGGGCTGGTCTGTGGGCTCCACCCAGGTATCCAAACAGCCCTGATGGAGCCCCACCTACCAAACCAGGCTGTGTGCTTCTCATGGGGCAGGAACCCAGCTGGACGCGCTGCCCATTGCTCATGTCGGCAGGGGCTGAGCACTCTGGAAGTGTGTATTAAATGGGGAGGAGACAAGAAAAGTTAGAAGACGCTGAAAGATAGACTGGGGATGGCCAGTTTCTCTAGGCTGACCACAGATACTGTATTGTTCAATCCACCTGGGAGCCAGGGCTGGTCCTTGGTGGTGGGGATCCAGTGGCAGAACTTACACAGGTCATGAAAGGAGGTAAGAAACACACCAGTGGCCAGGGTGATTGATTTCAGATAGTGACAAGTGTGATCGGGACTTCAAGTAGAGTGCGGGGGATCCTTGAGGATTTTTGAGCTGAGACCTAAATTCTGAGGAGCCAGCCCTGCAAAGATCTGGGGGAAGACCATCCCAGGCAGGCAGGCAGTCCCTGAGCTAGATGCTGGGACGTAATGGTGAAAAAATCCTGCCCAACCACTACCCTCTTGGTGGGAAAGACAGACATGAATTAAATACTCCGCCAAGTGTCACTGTGGTCTGTCTTTTTTTTTTTTCTTTTTTTTTTTGAGATGAAGTCTTGCTCTGTCACCCAAGCTGGAGTGCAGTGGCAGGATCATAGCTCACTGCAGCCTCAATCTGCTGGGCTCGAGCAATCCTCCCACCTCAGCCTCCCGAGTGGCTGGGACTACGGTCATGTCACCACACCTGATTAATTTTTTTTTTGTAGAGCTTTCACTATGTTGCCAGGCTGATCTTGAACTCCTGAGCTCAAGCAATCCCCCTCAACATTGGCCTCCCAGAGTGCTGGGGTTACAGGTGTGAGCCACCACACCCAGCCAACTGTAGTAAGTCTTGACAGCAGAGGTAGCTGGTAGTCAGAGGGCTTTTCATATCTTTTCACATGGGGGATTTAATGTAGAAAAGAGAAGGTGAGGCCTGGGTGGAGGGGAGTTCAGCAGGTGGAGAGGATTCTAGACAGGATGAACAGTGTGCAAAGGTCCTGTGGCAGGAGGGGCAGAGCCCCACGGCTACAAAGGACCCCCTGAGGCTGGAGTGCTGGGGGTGAGGGTACCATCTCCTGAGGGTAAAGAAGGGGCACCAGGCAGATCCTCTGCTGGGCCTCTGCCCCCTCCCAGGACCCTCGACCTGGCTCCCGTACATCTGTGTCATCCCAGATGCAATTAGTGCTTCCTAAGTGCTACACCTGGACATGAGGCCCCGCCTTCTGCAAATGGTTCGCTCTTTCCCTTTGCTCTGGCTCATGGCTAAATCAGATTTATCAGGCTACAGCCCAATGCAAGGGACCCATGAGGTGGCACTAGGGTAGCCAGGGCACAACTGATTGGCTGCCAACTAAGGTGTCAGGTAGAATCTGCCCAAGATGCCTGTTTTCAGCCATGTTGGTTGCAAGTTGTGCCGCTGATTCCCAGTGGCAGGGAATGAAGCTGGAGAGGAGCTTCATCAAACCGGTGGGAAATGCCCAGCTCCCCTCAATTCACTTGAACCAAGCAGGGCTTCTTTCTGTGGTTGATCTCCGGCACCCCAGGCAGCCCTGGCATTGAGGGGAGTCAAGAAAGGAAGACCCGGCCCCCAAGGAAGGGTAGAGCCTCGTGTGGGATGGAGGTGAGGGGCTGGGTCTCCCTTAGTCTTTCTAAGCCTCACAGTGCACCCCCCAGGAGGAGAGGGCTGAGTCCTCCTAATAATTGGCAGCTAAGATTCTATGCATATGTTTGTTCCAACCACTTACCGTATGCTGAGGCTTTGCACAAGTATCTCTTTTAATCCTAAAACCATCTGGAGGGGTTCATGCTATCACTATTTTCCTGATGAGAGTCGGTGAGTGAAGGAGCTCTCCCAAGTGTTCACTGCTAATAGAGCCAGAATTTGAACTTTGGCTGCATTAACCCTATTCTGCCGGGCCCCATCCCCTCCAGCTGCCTCTCGGATGAGGACTTACATCCCAGAAGGGCTCCTCAGCAGAGCGCAGATGGATCAGTTCATCTCAGTGTTTGACTAATCGCCCTTGAGGAGTCTTACGCAGTCCCACCCCATCTCTGCAACATCTCTCTGGACCACGAGAGATCTCCGCTGAATTCCAGAGGCTATAATCTGGGTCTCCTCTGAGACATTCCACATTCTCACCTTTGCATTACGGTAATTTGTGGGAGGTCTATAGGGACTGTGACTGCTCCTGGACCACATTTCCCAGTGTCCAGCACACTCTTGTTGTCTGTTAAGCAAACGAACAGATAAATATATAAAAATTCACAGAGCAACAGCTGCCCATGGAAGATGCTACCCTGCTGTGCCGGCCAATATGGCAGCCACAGGCAACACGTATTTACTCAAATTATGAATTAAAATTAAATTAGAATTTAAAACTCCATTCCTCAGTCACACTAGCCACATTTCAGGTGTTCTATAGCTACATGTGGCTAGTGGGTGGCTGCTGTACCAGACAGAACAGATACAGAACATCCTCTTTGTCACAGAAAGTTCCACTGAACAGTGCTGCCTCATAGCATCCAGAGGGGATTGAGTTTATTATACAAGCCCTGCCCTCAAGAAACTTCCAATCTGGCTAATGAGGAAAAAAAAAATAAGGCTGCAGGAAAACATAAATAGAAAAACAAAAGACCGTAGGGCAGGTAGAATTTCTACATGAGCCAGTGATATAGTTCGAATATTTGTCCCTGCCCAAATCTCATGTAGAATTGTAATCCCCATTGTTGGAGGTGAGGTCTGGTGGGAAGTGATTGGATCATGGAGGCCAATTTCTTTTTCTTTTTCTTTTTTTTTTTTTTTTTTTGAGACGGAGTCTCGCTCTGTTGCCCAGACTGGAGTGCAGTGGCATGATCTCGGCTCACTGCAAGCTCCGCATGGAGGCCGATTTCTAATGAGTGGTTTAGCACCATCCTCTTGGTGCTAGCCTTGTGACAGTGAGTGAGTTCTCACGAGATCTGGTTGTTGTAAATGCTGGCATCTTCTTCCTACTTTCTCCTTCTTGCTCCTGCTTTTACCATGTAATGCACAATACATGGTAAAAGCAGGAGCAAGAGAGAGAAAGTAGGAAGAAGGTATCTTCTTTTGCCTTCCACCATGATTGGAAGCTTCTTGAGGCCTCCCTAGAAGGGGATGCTGGCACCATGCTTCCTGTATAGCCTGCAGAACCATGAGCCAATTAGACTTCTTTTCTTATAAGTTACCCAGTGTCAGGGATTTCTTTATAGCAATGCAAGAATGGCCTAATACAGCCAGTGACCAGTGACTGAAACCCCACTCAAAGAATGGTTTGCAAATACAGTAAATGGGAATGAAGCGGCATACGTAAAGAACACTCAAGGTCAACAGCTGGCTTTGGACACAGCTGGCGCCAGGGTGTCCGATGTTGCTTTCAAGACACTCAGCCTTCTTCACCTCTTGGGTTTGCTATCGTTTATACCAGTTAATTCTCAGACAGATTGTCCCCATTTGTTGGCAAAATGGTCACAAGACAAACACTGTCTCAGCCAGCAACCCCTGCACAAGAGAGACCCTCTTGCCAGGCGGTTCTAGCAAAGTCTCAGGGTGGAATCCCATTGGCTTGGATAGGATTGCAAACTCACCAAGGGTGGAGGCAGCCCACCCAGGCTTATGGCCTGAGGACACAATGCATGCACGGATTTTCCGCTCTTAAGAGGTGAGAGAACAGCAGCCCAAGAGCACCCTGCGGCTCTTAGGACGTGCGAAGCCAGTGGATCCTCTAAAGTGGCCCGGCAGGGGCCTCCTCTTTCCCAACACAGGCTTCCTCTCCCCTGCAGGTGGGGCTGGGCAGGCAGACTCCAGGGGAGAGGAGCCCCCTGATATTCAGACAGGAGAAAAAACTTAAGACCAAGCACCCAGCAGCTCACATAAGTGCCAGAAAGAGAACTGAGAATTCAGGGACATCCAACCTTGAGCTGAGGACTGATAAGCACCAATACTGATTGGACCATCACACTGTCTTTTACGCCAGCATTTCTCAGTGAGCACTACTGACATTCTGGGCCAGTTTTTGTTTTGTTTTGTTTTAATTTTTGTAGAGACAGGATCTCTCTTTGTTGCCCAGATTGGTCTCGAACTCCTGCGCTCAGGCAATCCTCCCACCTTGGCCTCCCAAAGTGCTGGGATTACAGGCATGAGCCACCGCACCAAGCCCAGATCATTCTTATAGGATGTTTAGCAGTATCCCTGGCCTCTACTCACTAGATGCCAGTAACAACATCTGTCTACCTAGTCAGAACAACTCAAAATTTCTCCAGACATTGCCAAATGTCCCTGGGGGAACAAAATCATCCCTGATTGAGAATCACAGCTGTATGTGTTTTTGCTCATTTAGTCTCCACAACAATCTCGGGTAAGCATTGTTTTCCCCATTGGTCAGATGGGAAACTGAGGCACGGAGTGTTCCATAGATTTCCCAGTGTCCCACCTTAGTGAGTGGCAGCTAGGACCTCAGCCTCAGCAGACTGGCTCTCTGTGGAGTCTGGGCTCGAACCCACTGGGCCATTACAGCCTTGGCCCTAAAGCTGGCTGGTCACACCCAGCTGTTTACAGTAAAATTTCCTGAAGCCAGATGTCCCCAAGGCGAAAAAGACCTCCTCATTATTAAGTACTGCACGGTTGGAAGCTGGATCCACCCCCTCTGCCTGGAAGAATATTGCTCTGTAAATTATAGGCTTAAAGGGTAAAGACAGCCCCATCAGCCCCGTGAGCTCCTGACTTAAAACAAGGTAATAATTTAGGGACTTAGAAAGGTCTGGTTCGGTGAGTACTTATAATAGCTAATCTTGCACCACACCTGCATCATCACCACCTTTTTTAAATTTTTAAATTTTATTTATTTTTATTTATTTATTTTCTTGAGACAGAGTCTTGTTCTGGCGCCCAGGCTGGAGTGCAGTGGTGCAATCTCGGCTCACTGCAACCTCCGCCTCCCAGGTTCAAGCAATTCTCCAGTCTCAGCCTTCCAAGTAGCTGTGACTACAAACACGCGACACCACGCCCGGCTAGTTTTTGTATTTTTAGTAGAGACGGGGTTTCACCATATTGATCAGGCTCGTCTTGAACTCCTGACCTCAGGTGATCTACCCACCTCAGCCTCCCAAAGTGCTGGGATTACAGGCCATCATTTTTTAAAAATAGACAATAGGAAACAACCAGGACATTTTGGAAACTTGCCCACGTCCAAATTGGGCAAGTGATTCAGGCCCGGCCACTAATACAGCACATTAGCGGCGGTGCCTGGCAGCAGCTGGGTGTGCCAGCCTTCCTCCCCTTCTAACCAAGGTTGGAGCTGAAAGACCTGGTGGGGCTGACTGTCTGTCACCCAGGCTCTGCCACATACACCAGGCTGTGTGACGTGGGGCCAACTCCTTACCCTGTCTGAGCCTCGGTAGAGTCGGAGCGGATGTTCTCTGAGGTCTTTTCCCGGCTCTGAAGTGGTAGGTTGGGTGAGGAATGGAGGTGTGGGCTGGGTGGACAAACCAGGAGGGGTCCCTGTTCTTCCATGTCCCACCTCAAGTCCTAGATAAGGAAGAAAAAGAATGGACACCCTCCTATCACCATGACGCCACATGGCCGTCGACAGCCACCACCACTCCACACACTCACAGGGACCCGCCTGCCTGCGCCCCAGGCGCGGCCCGGGACCTCCCAGTGGGGGTCCGCCTCGAGCCTTGTGGTTTGGATTTCATGGGAAATTCCTGGGTGGGAACCAATCAGGATGGAGAGGGGAAAGCATCTCTGCTGAGACCTCCCGATTGATTGGCTGGCCTCAGGGAACTGCTCCGCCCCCACTCCGTGAAGTTCTTGGAGGTGGGGGTGCTGCTGATCTTAGTGCCCTTAGGATCCTGCTGCCCCCACCTCACCCCCAACCCCGCCTTCAGGGAAGTCTCAGGATCCTGGCTGGACCAATCCAGCCCTGCAGCCCTGGCCCATGATGAAAGGCCCGGGAGTAGACTCCAAACCTGAGAGGTGAAAATCAGAACCCTTTCCGACAGGGCTCAGAATTGCAGGTGGCGGTGAGCTGCCGCTTTTTTTTGGATCTTAAGCTGTACGACGAGTCCCAGAGCTGCAGGCTGCCCCATCCCACCCACAAGGAGATGCCTAGAGAACGGGGCCCAGCCAGAGTCGGATGCCTAGATGCGGGAGGGGGGCAAGGACAACTGATCTATTCTCAGATCCAGTCGTCTCCAAGGCCACGTCCACCCCTGCTTTCTGAGGTTTGGTTGTGATGCACTAAGCACCACCACCCTACCATTCCCATTTCTCTGTGTCTTAGTTTGCTAGGGCTGCCATAATCAAGAGCCACAGGCCACGGTGCTTGCACAACAGACATGGACCCGCCTATGGTCCTGGAGGCTGGAAATCCAACCTCAGGGTGCCAGCAGGGTTGGCTTCTTCTGAGGCCCCTCTCCTTGGCTTGCAAACGGCCATATTCTCCTTGTGGTCCATCCACGGTTGCCTCTCTATGTATGTGTGTGCCCAAATCGCCTCTTCTTATAAGGCAGTAGTCATGTTGGATTAGGGCCCACCCATCTGACCTCATTTGAACTTAATTACCTCTTTAAAGATCTGATCTCCAAATACACCCTTAGGTACTCCACATCTGAATTTTGAGGATATGCAATTCAGCACGTAAGAGTCTCACACACTACCCCCATCACCAGCTAAAGACAACTAGAATTGGATTCCACATGCTTGACTGGAGAAGATTCCCAGGTAAATGACCTACTGTCCACTGGCCTTGACACTGAGGTGACTCCCACCCTTTCTCCCAGCAACTACATACCACACACATGCACACACACAACTCTCGCCTGCATTTTAAGGACTCTATCTGCATTACACAGAACAACTTGGAAGCATGAAAGAATCCTAAATTCTTCTGTTTTTTTAATTGACCCAGTCTTGCTGCTAGAGATGAGTAACAAGTGCCCCCATTTTTCCCGGAAAAAGACAAGGAGTTACTATTATTCTTTATTATTTTCTCTTCTTTTCTCCATTTCTCCCTGTTCTTCACTTCCTACTTAGCTCTTTAGAAATGCAGTTATAGCCTTTTACCTCCTCTTCCCCACACACTCCTTACAGGGCAAGTTCACCTAATCATGTGCTTAGAAGCTCCAAAGCAAAACTCTCACCCACCAGGAGGTTTCCTCGATAGATAACAGTTGATTGATGACCCAAAGTATGCCCATGAAGATGCCAACTCGAGTCCCAGTAAATAAGCCATCAAGGTAGCATGTGAAACCCCCCTGCTCACTTCCACCCCTGTGTAGGCCCCTTTTAAAAACACTCCCCTTCTGCTCCAAAGGCAAGGTGGAACCCTTAAGGCAGGAAGCCTGTACTTCTTTCCCTATGTTAGCTTTGGAATAAAAAGTCACTTTCTTTATACCAGACCTAGCTTGTTAATTAGACTCTGCAAGTGGCGAGGAACTGAATCTGCATTTTGGTTACAATGTCGTCCCCTTGAGCCTGTGAGAGTTGCAGAGTCAGAAGCCAGGCTGCTTTTGTGGGCAAGTTATGGCTCTGTGTCTCCTCACTGCCATGCCACCATCTGGACACCCCAGGACCATCGCCCCTCTTTTGGTTTCTTCACAGGGTTTCCACATGGCTCTTTTCTGGCCAGGTTCCTCTCCAGGACAACTCCGGTTCTAGCTCAGGATAGAGATCAACCCAGCGCCAAGAGGATGGAGCCAACACCACCCTGACAGCACAGAGCCCTGGTACACTTGCTGCAAGATGCTCTTCCAGGAGCCTCTCAGAGATAGATGGGCATGCAACTGGCATCCCCAAACAACTGGAGCAAGTCTTATCAAAGTTGCTTCCATCATTTATTCACTCAACAAACACTTGCTGGGTGTGTGTGCCTTATGCCAGCACTATGTGAAATAGATCTACTGACAAAACAGTCTCTGGCCTGAAATAATGCACACATACATATATATCATGTCAGCAGGTGCTGTGAAGAAAAGAAACACAAAGCAAGAGTGAAAGACTCCAGGAGACACGTGTTAGGTGGGCAGGTTCATTTGGTTTTGTGGTCACTTAACCCAACAAACTCCAGCATCGAGGTCACCAGAGGCTTCAGACTGGCTTGTTAAAAACGGCAACTTTGCCGACACCCTCTTGGTGACACAAGAGTGAAGGCCCTGGGGTGGAGTCCTCACTCACAGGAAAGCCAGTCCATGTCACTGACATCAGTCTCCAAACCCAAGCAGAAAGTTCCTCTATGGCTGGGTTCCCCAAGACCACCCTGACTATTCCAACCACATCCACAACCAGCTCTACTATTATTGGCATAATAGCTGCCTATTTTAAATCGGGCCAGACCTGACATCACTGCCTGTGTCTGTGTAACCACAGGCCTAAGACGCTGGCTCTGTTTTCTAATACATAGATGTGGGTACGGATATGTGTGCCTCTATGTGCCAAGTATGCACATAAATATACAAATAAATATTCCTGCAAATGCTCACCTGCATGTCCCCCAAATCAGGTCACACTCCATGAGGGACATAAGTGCCACAGTTGGGAACCACTGCTTTATGGCACCCAACAGATTCCTCATGCAGCATCGGCCTGCAGTCTCCTGTGGCTGTGAGCTCACTGTACCATGAGTCTGCCTGTGCCCTTCTTAGTTCCAGTTGCTCATGGGGACTTTCTATCACTCTGCCTCCTGGTCCCTCTTCCACGTTGACCCTCTGTTATTTGTTTTGTTTTGGGGAGACAGAGTCTTGCTCTGTCACCCAGGCTGAAGTGCAGTGGCACGATCTTGGCTCACTGCAACCTCTGCCTCCTGGGTTCAAGTGATTCTCATGCCTCAGCCCCCTGAGTAGCTGGGATGACAGGCATGAGCCACCACACCCGGCTAATTTTTGTATTTTTAGTAGAGACAGGGTTTCGCCATGTTGGCCAGACTGGGCTCGAACTCCTGACTTCAGGTGATCTGCCCGCCTCGGCCTCCCAAAGTGCTGGGATTACAGGCGTGAGCCACCGCGCCTGGCCTGTTATTTTTTTTAAGCAGCATAAATGCCTCCCTCCCAAAACATCTCCTTCCCCCAACCCCATTACAGACCCTCAAGCCTTTTCCATGCCCCTTGTCCTTCTTCCATGGTCTCCCCTTCCATCTCTTCCTTCTCTGGACAATCCTCTCATAAATACATCCCTGAATAAGGACACCGTGCTCCCACATAGGCCCAAGCAGTGGAATCGTAATGAAGGGCCCAATTCCCAAGGGTCAGGCCCTGTGCCCTTTACATGAGATCTAATTGAGTCCTTGCTGTAATCCTGGCAGACAGGTACTCTTATCCCCACTTTACAGAGGCAGGAAAAAGTTAAGACACTGGCCCCGGGTCACATAACTAGTAGTATCAAAAGTAGGGATTCGAACCCAGATGTTTTTAACTGCTATCCTCCCTTAACCTGGACTTTATGCTCCTAGTAATACGATCGAATATTGTATCAGCTTTTAAAATAATCTACATCCCACAGTTGCCTCATTTATCTTGTGGGCAGCTGAATGGGTGGTGTTCAAGTCAAGCTGCTCACGAGAGTCACTGGAGTACTCTTGTTAAAAGTTCCGATTTCTAGGTCCTTCTCCAAAGCCAATAATTTAGGGTTTTGAGATAGGGCCTAGGGAATCTACACGCTAAAGTTAAAATGCTTATTTCCAGGCCTCGGGATTTCTGATTCACTAGGTGTGGGGTGAGTCTGGAGCCTACGTAGTTTTTAAACTTCCTTTGGTGATTCTGTGGCATGACCAGGGGCCTGGGACCAACCGCCCTGGTATATATGGCTCCACTATAGGCAGCGCCTGGGCCATTATAGCTCGCAGTCCCAGAACTCGCCACTAGATGGCAGGACAATACGCCCCTCACCAGCCTAGCCCAGCTCAGCTCAAGAAGGACCAAAGCAGCCTAGGCCACTCAGAGATCCAGGCCCAGTAGACAAAGTTTCAGGTGGGCAGGGCCCCCCACCATCCCTGCCAGCTGTCTGCAATCCCAAAAGGTGGCTTTTGGGGGGGAAATGGCTTTTGTTTTCTTTCCTCCACAGGATGCCAGAAACATCAGTGGGGTCGGCAAAATTTGAAAGCTGGCCTCAGGACAAATAAAACCTGTTAAGCCACCCAGATTCCCTTCCAGCCAGGAGGCCCAGATCCTGAGCCCAGCACGCTGTGAGGACGATAGACCACCCAGCAGGAGATGAGTTGAGGAATGGCCTGATGCCAGGCAGGAGGTCTTCCTCTGTGCGTGCAGCTCCAACGTGAAACGGCAGCTTTTTCCCTTCCTCTGAGGGGTGGCAGGCAGGTGGCCTCCTGGAGTAAAACCACAGGACCACAGGACCACGTGGGCAGCCCCAGGGAGTCAGACACACACGTGGGAACCTCGAAGCAAGACCCTGAACATCACTTTGTCCAGCCGCCTGCCTCCTCTTCATGTTCCTACACGATTAATGAGCCTCCCTCCTGGCCCCTGGGCATATGGGGAGCGCCTCCTCCTCTGGGTGCCAGGACCCCCCTGCCAGGGACAATCAGGCAGCCAGGTGTGGCCTGTGAGAAAGGGGAGGCCCTTGGGTCACATGAAAACTGATTCAAGGAAGGACTCCATGGTCACCAGAATGATGGGTCCCCAGAGGCCCACACTCTGGTTCCTAGAACCCGTGACTGTGATACTTTACATGGCAGAGGGAGCTAAGGTTGCAGGTGAGATGAGTGCTGCTCATCAGTTGACCTAAAAATAGGAAGAATATCTAGATTAGATTATCCAGGGGGCCCTATGTAGCCACAGGGATCCTTAACGCTGGGTGAAGGAGGAGAAAGAAGTGGGTCAGAGGTAAGTGTGGCTACTGAAAAGGTCAGAACGGTGCAACATGAGAAAGACTCAACTTCCATTCCTGGCTGTGGAGATGGAGGAAGGCGCCACAGACCAAGGAGTGCCGGCAGCCTCTCACTGCTGGAAAGGACAAGGGAACGGATTCTCCCTAGAGCCTCCTGAAAGGGACACAGCCCTGCTGACACCTTGATTTTAGCCCAGTGAGTCCCATGTCATATTTCTGGCCACTGAACCGTGCAAGAATAAGCCACCAAGTTTGTGGCAATCTCCTACAGCAGCCACGGGAAACTCACACACTGGGCAAGGTGGCTCATCAAGGTAGGTAACATTTGATCCTCAGGGACGAGGCTGGGTGAGATAGAGCAACGTGTGGGACTCACACTGCTGGTGTTAAAAGATAAATGGTGGCACATTAAAAAGTTAAAGAGTTTATTTGAGCAAACAGCAATTCATGAACTGGGCAGCACCAAATCGAAGGTGGTTCAGGGCTCCTCCAGAGGAGTTTGAAGGAAGGGCTTTGATAGAGTAAAGAGGAAAATCAGATAAATTAAATAAGGAATGTGGAAAATAAAGAAATTATTTGATTGGTTAAGGTTTGGGCAGTTGCCTTATTTAGATGATCCTGGTGGAAAGTTCCTGATCATGTAATTAATGCTTAGCTGGTCTTTTATGATTGGCTAAGGTTAAGCTTCACCTTGTTTATATAGAATCCCAGGGCATGGGAGCCACCTCAGCCTAATGGCCTCCCATTTTATTTTAACACTAGGTAAGAGAAACAGCTCACATTGGGCCAGACATGGCAGTTCATCCTTGTAATCCCAGCACTTTGGGAGGCCAAGGCAGGAGGATCACTTGAGGCTAGGAATTCAAGATCCAATAATAAAATTTTTTAAAAGTTGGCATCAAACTTGGTTCTAATGCCCATGATCTCAAGGTGTTGTGCCCCCAACAGACCAGGCAGCTTCTAAATGGCTCCCAATGACCCCACCTTTTGTGAAGTCCCCTCTCCTTGGTCATGTCTTGCTTCTAAGAATAGAATCCAGTAAAAATGATGGGCTGTCACTCCTGAGATTAGGTTATGAAAGACTGTGACCTCCATCTTGCTTGTGTATGTGTGGGCGTGCTCGCTCTCTGTCTCTCTCTCTGTGTGTGTGTGTGTGTGTGTGTGTGTCTCCTTATTTGCTTGCATTGATAAGGCCAGCTGCCAAGTTGTAAGCCATCCCATAAAGAGACCCATTTGACCAGGAACTAAAGTGGTCTCTGGCCAACAGCCTGCAAGGAGCTGAGTTCTACCAACAACCACGTGGGTAAGCCTGGAAGCAGGTCCCTCCCCAGTTGACCCTCGGGATAATGCAGCCTGTTAGGCATCTTGACTGCAGCCTGTGCCAGACCTTGAACCAGGAGCACCAGCTTTCATCCTGACTCACAGAACCTATGAAATAATACATACTGTTTTTCACAGAACCACTACGTTTTGGCATAATTTGTAACATGGGAATAGATAACTAATATGCCAAGGGAACAACAATTTGCAGAAACATTGCCCTTCCTCCCCCAGAGTGTGCAGTTGGCTCTTAAGAGTGTGTTGTGTTGAAAACCAGAGTAGGGGCCACTCCCAGGCAACTGATTCCAGACAACTAGTAAGTTAATGAGATGAATAATAGTGACAACATTGATAATAGTAATAGTTAACCTTGTGTAGTGCTTACTAGGTGACAGGCATTATTCTAAGTTCATTAAATATAATGAAATGTATTCGGTCCTCACAGCAACCCTACAAGGCAGGTGTTGCTATTTTCACTCTTTTACAGATGAAGAAACTGAGGCACAGAAGGGTTAAGCTGTATATAATAAAACAAATCGTTTTGGTTTGGTTTTTCTAGAAACAAGGTCTTACTATGTTGCCCAGGCTAGATTTGAACTCCTGGGCTCAAGCAATCCTGCCGCCTCAGCCTCCCGAGTAGCTAGGACTATAGGCGTGTGCCACTGTGCCCCGCAAATGTGAGAGTTTTGTTGGGTAGAATGCAAAGGTGGCATGAATTTGTTCAAGATAAAATGCAATATCTCAAAGCAAGTCTGTGCCTGCCAGGGTGCAGCCCCAGCTAAGCACATCCCTGCTCTCAACTGCATCTCCCAAGAGCACCTGTCCCCTCTCTTGTCCTTGCTTTGGTCTGGGCAGTGAC
Source organism: Homo sapiens (assembly GCF_000001405.40). NCBI lineage: Eukaryota > Metazoa > Chordata > Mammalia > Primates > Hominidae > Homo > Homo sapiens. Next base: position 15,131,866 of record NC_000001.11, read on the forward strand.
CAGACTGAGAAACAGCAGCTGGTTGGCTGCTGGGGCCTCCAGCCTGACTGAGCAGGTGTCTGCACGAAGCCGTTGCCCAGGATGGTGACCCCCGGCCCTCACAGCACAGCACCCAGACACAGACACTCCGGGCCAACATTTGGGTTAAGAGGGAGATGTGAACATTTTTCCAACAACACAAGTTCTATTAACTCTGGAATCAGTTTTTACATTTTCCCATCTAAAATCTTAGATGAGTTACATAAGTGAAAACTTACTCATGTTGTGATAGTACTTTTTTTTTTTTTTCAAGACAGAGTCTTGCTCTGTCACCCAGGCTGGAGAGCAGTGATGAGATTTCGCTCACTGCAACCTCTGCCTCCCGGGTTCAAGCGATTCTCCTGCCTCAGCCTCCTGAGTAACTGGGATTACAGGCACATGCCACCACGTCCAGCTAATTTTTGTATTTTTAGTAGCGACAGGGTTTCACCATGTTGGCCAGGCTGGTTTCAAACTCCTGACCTCAGATGATCCACTGCTTTGGCCTCCCAAAGTGCTGAGATTACAGGTGTAAGCCACTGCACCCAGGTTACTTTCTACAATTATATGAGTTGAATAGATATTTGTGGGCTAAGTTGGAAAACCACCTTGGTTTTGATAACACTGTCACTATAAGAAGAAAAAAAAAATACACACACACACACACACACACACACACACACACACACACACACACACAATTTGTAGAGATGGGGTCTTTCTATGCCCAGGCTGGTCTCAAACTCCTGGCCTCAAGCTATCCTCCCCTCTCGGCCTCCCAAAGTGTGAGGTTACAGGTGTGACCAGCCACACCAGGCCAAGGAAATATATTTTAATTCCCAGGCACCCACCTATCAAGAAACTTTTGAAATGTAACCAGCTCCGGTGTGGACTGGCCAGAACCCACAAAACAACAATCAGGGCATTCGTGTTCATTGTCAATTGAAATGCCATTGGGTAAATAAGGCCAGAATAACTTTTTCTCCCCCAGGCAGCCCTGCTATTAAAGAATCTCCATTTGTCTGTAGAACTGCATACCTGGGAGGAGAGAAATAATTTTTAACACAAGGGGCAAGGACTAGTTTTTTCCTCCAGGAATGAAAGATACTACTAATTTCATAGGAAAATGAGAACATCAAGAAATAAAACTGGGGTCCTTCTAAAGCGAACAGGGCAATTTTAAAGATTCTTAGACTCATACAAGAGACCTTGCATCAAGCTCCCCCTGCAGAATGGTCACGAGGTGCCTGAGATGTTTATTCTTTCAGCCCTCAGGTGACTAGCAGGTGATCTCATGTGACCAGCAGGTCACTTCTGGTCAGGACCAGCCTTATCTGTTGACCTCAGGGTGCCAAGCAATTATGGGAAGTAAGGCCCTTGTGCAGAGACCCTCAAGCTATAAATGAGCAGGAGAATCACCTGGGTGGTTGCTGAAACTGCAGATAGCACACCCCAGCCCCAATGAGCTAGCTGGTTTTTAGTACCAGAGTGATATGGTTTGGCTGTGTCCCCACCCAAATCTCAACTAGAATTGTAGTTTCCATAATCCCCACGTGCCATGGGAGGGACCCAGTGGGAGGTAATTGAATCATGGGAGTGGTTTCCCCCATACCATTCTTATGATAGTAAGTTTTCATGAGATCTGATGGTTTTATAAGGGTCTTTTCCCTTCACTCAGCTCTCATTCTCCTTCCTGCCACCCTGTGAAGAAGGACGTGTTTGTTTCCCCTTCTACCATGATTGTAAGTTTCCTAAGGTCTCCCCAGCCATGCTGTACTGTGAGTCAGTTAAACCTCTTTCCTTTATAAATTACCCAGTATTGGGTATGTCCTTATAGCCACGTGAGAACGGACTAATATACAGAGCCAAGGCATGTTTGAAGTACCTGGAGAGTTTAAAAACCCTAATGTTAGAGTTCCTTTCCACCCCAGAAGGTTCCTATTCAATTGGTTTGAGGTGGGTCCCACAGTTATTCTTTAAAAGAAGCTGCTAACATGTGGACAAGATTGGATATCACTGCTTTCTCAGCCCAACTGCACACCCAAGGTAAGAGTTTCCTAAGACACCTTGACAGGTGCATCTGGCCCAGGTCTCAGATGTTTTCCCGCCTTCCTGCTGCTGAGACCAGAGCAAGCACTGTGTTAATGCTGGCTGCCACTACTATTATTGTTGTTATCATTTTTATTGTCACCATTAGTATTGGATCATAGCTGCAAGTTCAGCCCACCTGTTCCCTCCCCGTATTCCACGTGGAACCCTGTGGTTTCAGTGAAGCATGGGAGCTTCGTGTTCCATTCTCCTGCCTGTCCCTGGAGATTGGGTCAGCAATGAGCATGTGACCTCATCAGAGCCAATACGATTCCATTCCAGGACTTATATTGAACTATTGGCCAAGAGAAATACTCTCTTTTCCCCTTGGAGGATGACAGCCTGGAGGAGCCAGAGGCACCACAATGAAAAAGAGAGGCTGCCTAAGAATAAGACAGTACAGAAGAGGTGAAGCCAAGAGCTGGAGAGAGATCTCGTCTAAGATGACACTGTTTGATATCCTATTCTGGGCAGAGGGAACAGCAAATGCAAAGGCCCTGGGGTCAGAGGCACTGGGGTCCGGGCTGAAGAACATTGAGGAGGACCTTTTGGCTGGAGTGAGGTGAGTGGGAGGGGGGTAGGAGCTGAGGTCAGAGAAGTGAGGCAGGCAGAGGGCATCAGTAGGGCATTATAGATTACCATAAGGACATTGACTTTTTTTTTTTTTGAGATGGAGTCTTGCTCTGTCCCCCAGGCTGGAGTGCAGTGGTACAATCTCAGCTCGCTGCAGCCTCTGCTTCCTGGGTTTAAGTGATTCTCCTGCCTCAGCCTCCCGAGTAGCTAGGATTACAGGCGCCTGCCACCACACCTGGCTAATTTTTTGTATTTTTAGTAGACACAGTGTTTCACCATGTTGGCCAGACTGGTCTTGAACTCCTGACCTCAAGTGATCTGCCCACCCACCTTGGCCTCCCAAAGTGCTGGGATTACAGGCGTGAGCCACTGCGCCCGGCCTCAAAATGGTCTCTTGAATGTTGAATAGAGTAAATGTGACATCTGGCATCTACACATGGACATAAAGATGGAAACAACAGACACTGGAGGCTATGAGGGAGGAGAGAGAGACGGGAGCAGGGGTTGAAACCGATCTGTTAGGTACCACGCTCACTACCTGGGTGACGGGTTCCATCAAACCCCAAACCTCAGCGTCACGCAATATACCTTTGTAACAAACCTGCACATGTACCTGCTGAATCTAAAAGTTGAAAAAAGAATAAATTTAAAAAATAAAAGCTTGCATCCAAAAACCATGGAAGAATGGTTACTAGAAAACCCTAAACATTGATGACAATGGCTCCAAGGTAGCCCAATTATCTCTGGGGAAGATCAATGCATCTAATTGTTCCTCCCAATTTACAGACAAAGCTGAAGGGGTGGGTTGCCCCTCCACACCTGTGGGTGTTTCTCGTTAGGTGGAACGAGAGACTTGGAAAAGAAAGAGACACAGAGACAAAGTATAGAGAAAGAGAAAAGGGGGCCCAGGGGACCGGCGTTCAGCAGACAGAGGATCCCCGCCGGCCTCTGAGTTCCCTTAGTATTTATTCATCATTCTTGGGTGTTTCTCAGAGAGGGGGATGTGGCAGGGTCATAGGATAATAGCGGAGAGAAGGTCAGCAGGTAAACACGTGAACAAAGTTCTCTGCATCATAGACAAGGTAAAGAATTAAGTGCTGTGCTTTAGATATGCATACACATAAACATCTCAATGCCTTGAAGAGCAGTATTGCTGCCCGCCTGTCCCACCTCCAGCCCTAAGGCGGTTTTTCCCTATCTCAGTAGATGGAACATACAATCGGGTTTTATACTGAGACATTCCATCGCCCAGGGACAGATGCCTTCCTCTTGTCTCAACTGCAAAGAAGCGTTCCTTCCTCTTTTACTAATCCGCCTCAGCACAGACCCTTTATGGGTGTCGGGCTGGGGGACGGTCAGGTCTTTCCCTTCCCACAAGGCCATATTTCAGACTATCACATGGGGAGAAACCTTGGACAATACCTGGCTTTCCTAGGCAGAGGTCCCTGCGGCCTTCCGCAGTGTTTTGTGTCCCTGGGTACCTGAGATTAGGGAGTGGTGATGACTCTTAACAAGCATGCTGCCTTCAAGCATCTGTTTAACAAAGCACACCTTGCACAGCCCTTAATCCATTTAACCCTGAGTGGACACAGCACATGTTTCAGGGAGCACAGGGTTGGGGGTAAGGTTACAGATTAACAGCATCTGAAGGCAGAAGAATTTCTCTTAGTACAGAACAAAATGGAGTCTCCTATGTCTACTTCTTTCTACACAGACCCAGTAACAATCTGATCTCTCTTTCTTTTCCCCACACAAAGCCACTGGAAGCTAAGGCACTTGGTGTTCCTGACCCTGTCATTTACCAGCTGTGTGGCTTTGGAAGCATCACTTCCCTTCCCTGGACACCAGTTCCTACCTGTAAAATGGGAAGATTAGACTAGATCATCTCAGGTCAACAGGCACCATCGGGAAGGGAACCTTCTCCCAAGGCTCAGAAAACCTCTCATGCACACATTTCCAGCAAAAGACCAGATGACCTTTTTAAAAGCGGAAGTGCTGTTGGCAAGAGGGTTTGTTTATTTGTTTGTTTGTTTTTAAGACAGAGTCTCACTGTGTCACCCAGGCTGGAGTGCAACGGGGCAATCTCGGCTCACTGCAACCTCCGCCTCCCAGGTTCAAGTGATTCTCCTGCCTCAGCCTCCCAAGTAGCTGGGATTACAGGCGCCTGCCACTGCGCCCAGCTGATTTTTGTATTTTTGGTGGAGACGGGGTTTCTCCATGTTGGCCAGACTGGTCTTGAACTCCTGACCTCAGGTGACCCAGCCACCTTGGCCTCCCAAAGTGTTGGAATTACTGGCATGAGCCACCACACCCACCTGGCAAGAGGGGTTTTTACATCTTCTTCTGAATGTGGCTGCTGCGGCGTGGTGCCCTCTCTCTTCTTTCTGCCTCTCAGCTCCCATGCCTGGAGCCCAGAGCCTGGTCTAGAGTGGGTATGGGGTGGGGAGGTGAGGGACACACACTAGGTCCCTTTTGCCTTATCTTGGAGCATTTTCAAGTAGAATGACTACAAGGCTTGGAAACACTCCTGTGTGCATGCCTGGCAGAAATGAATGCTCCTGGGTGCCAAAGCCATGCGCACAAATGATCATAGCTGTTTTATTCATAATAGCCCCAAACTAGAAACAACCCTAAAGCTCATCAATGGGAGAATGAAAATATAAATTATGGTATATTCATACAATGGAGTATTACACAGCAACGAAGAAGAAGAATACAGCTATACACAACATCCTGGCTGGATCTCCCAGACTCAATGATGATGAAAGAAGCTAGACACAAAAGAATACATACTGCATGATTTCTGTTTATTTGAAGTTCAAAAATAGGCAAAATTAATTTATGGTGATGAAGGTTCAAGCTGAGGTTATTTTTAGGGGTTTTGACTGGAAGAGGATACAAGGGGAACCTTCTTTGGGTCAGGGAATGTTCTTGATTTTGATCCAGGCAGTGGCTATATGAGTATATACATATGTAAAAATTCATTGGCTGGGCATGGTGGCTCACGCCTGTAATCCCAGCACTTTGGGAGGCCAAGGTGGGTGGATCACCTGGGGTCAGGGGTTCCAGAGCAGCCTGGCCAACATGGTGAAACCCTGTCTCTACTAAAAATACAAAAATTAGGCAGGCTTGGTGGCACATGCCTGTAATTCCAGCTACTCAGAAGGCTGAGGCAGAAGAATCGCTTGAACCTGGAAGGCAGAGGTTGCAGTGAGCCGAGATTGCGCCATTACAGTCTAGCCTGGGCAACAAGAGCAAAACTCCATCTCAAAAAAAAAAAAAAATTGATCAAGCCAGCCTCCTGAGAATTTTGCACCTCACTGAACATAAATTATGCATCAAGAAAAAGAAGAAACAAAAAATAAGAAAAAGGCCTAGAACCAGAGGGTGGTTCCAGTGCACAGAGGTTCTCAGCCACCCGTCATCAGGGAATTTCCACGAGACTGGGTGGCGGCTCCCACCTCCCCTGGCAGCCCACAAGGTCATTAACTCAGCACGTCTGGCCGTGGCTTCCTCCTCCTGAGCGACTGGGGCCCCAGCAGCCAGGAGGACACAGGGCAGAGCTGCTTGGGCTCCCCACTCATCTTCTACCTCTCCCCATCTTCCCACCCCCTTCCTGAGAGCCAAGGCCTCTAAGTAGCCTCCTCCTTCATCCTTTGCCCATCTCCTCCCACAGTTCATAATCCAAGGAGGGATGGAGAGGAAATCTCAGCCTGGTGCTCTCCTCTTGGCCTTTACGCCTCTCTGGGTGAATCCCACAGAGCCTCCATGGTTGGTTCTCCAGCATCTGCAGAGACAGCGGAGAGTCTAGTTCAACTACCAGGACTGTGTCCTTGCCATTCAAACCACAGGTCTGCTGAGACCAACAACCCAATCCCTCACTCAAGAGCAGCAACCTCACCACTCCAACCTCTCCCTGACTCAGAACAGTCTCGCTTACGTTAGGAGCTTTTCTCCAATAACAACAATAAAAGCTTCCATCTATCTGTCTGTCTATCTATCTATCTACCTACCTACCTACCTACCTATTTATTTATTTGACATAGAGTCTTGTTCTGTCGCCGAGGCTGGAGTGCAGTGGCGTGATCTTGGCTCACTGCAACCTCTGTCTCCCGGGTTCAAATGATTCTCCTGCCTCAGCCTCCCAAGTGACTGGGATTACAGGTGCCCACCACCACGCCCAGCTAATTTTTGTATTTTTAGTAGAGACAAATAGCTGGGATTACAGGCACCCGCCACCACGCCCGGCTAATTTTTGTATTTTTGGTAGAGACAGGGTTCACCATGTTGGCCAGCTGGTCTCGAACTCCTGACTTCAACTGATTCACCCACCTCGGCCTCCCAAAGTGCTGGGATTACAGGCGTGAGCCACTCTGCCCAGCCGAAAGCTTCTTTTTAGAGAGCAACTTTTCATGAGCCAAGCATTGCTTTCTACATTTCACAGACGTCTACTTGGTCAGGACTATTACTAACCCATTTTACAGATGAGGAAGTTGAGGCTCCAAAAGGTTAACTAACTCACCCAAGGGCCCATGGTCAGCAACCAGCAGAGCTGGGATGTGAACCCAGGCAGCTGAGCCACAGGACCGTGCACTTCAGCACCAAGCTGGGCTACCTCATATATGCAGGACTCAAAATCTAAGTACCAGCACTATCGGTGGTGACCAGTATTAGCTAAAAGGTGATATAAGGTGAAATAAACAGTGACGCTTCTAACAGGACAATATCATAATCCCAATTAGTGCAAATTTTTAAACTTTGAATTACATTGAATTAAAAAAAAAAAAATTCTGGCTGGGCACTGTGGCTCATGCCTGTAATCCCAGCACTTTGGGAGGCCGAGGTGGGTGGATCACCTGAGCTCAGGAGTTCGAGACCAGCCTGGCCAATATGATGGAACCTTGTCTCTACTAAAAATATAAAAATTAGCTGGGTGTGGTGGTACATGCCTGTAATCCCAGCTACTTGGGAAGCTGAGGCAGGAGAATTGCTTGAATCCAGGAGGCAAAGGTTGCAGTGAGCCGAGGTTGTACCACTGCACTCCAACCTAGGTGACAGAAAGACTCCATCTCAAAAAAAAAAAAAAAAAAAAAAACAAAAAAAAAAAAAACCAAAACCAAAACCAAAACAAAACAAAACAAAAAACCATTCTCCTTTCTGGTCAAATAAAGGGTCAGTAGGTCAATAGCGCCATCCAAATCAGTCCCAGGTGCAAGTGTCCAACAATATCACCCATAAGAGAACCTGAAAACATCAGAGTGTGTCAGTCTGTGCCTGGGGCTGCACTGACTCAGCCACTGATCCCAGCCCCGCAGACTGCACAGGGCCTGGAATACCAGCCTCCAAGCAAAGCCCGCTGGCGCACAGAGGTCTGGCCAGACAGATGGCTTATCAGGTGTTCCTGCCTACCAGGGGTGACAAAGGAATGCCTTCCTGCCGAGTACAAAGCGACAGCCGCTGTCAGGGGGCCCACTAACAAGTTCATCTGTTGCTATCAGGGCCCTCTGATGTGGGACGGCCCAAGGGCCAGCTGGGCCAGGCTCTGCAGGTTGCTGAGCAGCAGAAAATCCAGGCTGGCCCTCAAGGCTCTGAATTCTAATTGGATTTTCCGAGAAATGGCTTTGTCCAGGTTGCAGGGAGGACTGCCGATTTACAAACTGACGGCCGCCAGCCTCTCCCCCGACCCTGTAACTAGATTTTCCAAGGCTGTGACTCAGCCTCTGGTCTTGTCCTTCCATTTTGAACCCTGCCCTTCTCCGGGGAGCTGATCTATCTGCTCCGGCTGGCTGGACTCTCCTGCTGGGGTTGAGGGAGGGCTGTCAAGGGTCAGGCTATTTCACAGTGTCAGTAACTGGAACCCTATCCACCCCAATCAGCTGGGGATGAGTGAGCCACCCTCAGAGGTAGACTTTAGGAAAAGCTCGACCAGCAGCCTTTCACTGTCACCTAGGTAAGGATTCCCACCGGTCCCTGCCCTGTGGAGATGCACAGGGACCTGGAGTGTGGGAAGCAAGAAGGGGGGCTGTGAAACAAAGCCACGCCTTTGTGGCAAGTGAGTGGTGAAGAGGATAGGCTCCAGGTTCAAGTACCAGCTCTGCCCCCTCACTAGCTGTCAACTTCGGGCCAACAGCGAATCTCCCTGAGCCCCATTTCCTCTTTGACGTGGAAATGGGACAGAATGGGTGTAAGTGCTTAGTGCAGTGTCTGGCGTGGGAAGAAAGACGATGAGGGTGATATATTTGAATTCATCAATGCGTTTTTCATTCCCAGTTTTCTCTATTGCCCCAACATCCTAAAATTCAGGCAGCTGTTAGCTTACTGCCTCCAGGAAGGGGTGAACAGCAGGAAAAGGGAAACAGAGAGTCCTGGTTTTTGATTTTCAACAGTCGAGAAGAGGAGGAGAAACAGAAAGGACTGGTGTAGGTAGACGATAGAACAGATGTGGCACTGCGGGGAAGGGGACACAGACGCCGGACCGGCAAGGCTTCAGCCTCTTGAGATCAAATAAAAGTTCCCATAGCAGGAGGATGAGGTCTGAAAGCAAGCAAGGCAAACCGAGAACGAGGTCCCTGGGCCGTGTCCCACGGTGACCCATTCCTGTGTGGAGCCCGGGGTGGGCATAGGAGGCAGCAAGACCCTAGATGGAAGGGCCATCCCTCGGCAGGTGGGTCTGAGATAGCACGGCAAAGTTTTTCTGTACCCCAGCAAGGAGCAGGAGGAGAAAAATGATCCCCAGCGACCCCAAAATGGGACAGAAGTGAGGAAGAGTGAGGGCTGCCACCTCGAGCTTCCATGTTGCCAGGTAGGTTTTGTAAAAGAGTGAATCCAGGCCGGGTGTGATGGCTCACGCCTGTAATCCCAGTACTTTGGGAGGCCGAGCCTGGCGGATCACAAGGTCAGGAGTTCGAGACAAGCCTGACCAACATGGTGAAACCCCATCTCTACTAATAATACAAAAATTAGCTGGGTGTGATGGCGCGTGCCTGTAGTCCCAGCTACTCAGGAGGCTTCAGCAGGAGAATCGCTGAACCTGGGAAACAGTGGTTGCAGTGAGCCGAGATCGTGCCACTGCACTCCAGCCTGGGCGACAGAGTGAGACTCCATCTCAAAACATAACAAAAAAAGAGTGAATCCAGCCAAATGAAGGGGTCAGAAATGGTGGGGACCGTGATGAACCCACAAGGAGGCAAGCCCAGGTTCAAGGGGCAGCTGCCACACAGTGAGGTCCAGCCGATTGCTGCCCCAGGGGACGTGTGCAAAGAGGACTAGCCCAGATATCTACACTCGTATGTGAAAATGCCCCATTTCAAATATTGGCAAGTAGTGATTTAAAATACTCTATGGGCCGAACAAAACACACGAGGACTGCATTTGAACTGCAGGACACCAGGTAGTGGCTTGTCTTCCTGCCAGGTTTCCGTCGAGCACAGCATGGTGTTGGGTTTGGGGTGAAGGACAGCTTGGCAGGGGCTTACACAGACCGAAGGCTGACAGCCAGCCTGGGAACAGGGACCAGGTGTCCCCCTGGGGGGGCCTTTGGCACTGCATAAGGCCCTCGGAACTTAGATGCCATTCCAGCCAAAGGAGGAGGGGAATATTTCCGCCACCTGGCAGAATGGAGGCTTGTAAGATAAATTAGACTGAGTCATGGAAAACTAGTTCTATTTCCTGCCAGCTTGATTTGTGGTCTGAGTCTCAAACGTCCTCTGGTAATTTGGGGAATTTAACTTTTTCAACACTGCACATGCTTTTGATAATTTTTTGCCCATCTCCCTATGTATGATTTATTATGTGGGTTAAAAGTCTTTATTTTAAAGTAATTACAGATGCAAAGGAAACTGAAAAAGTTATATAGGGAGATCTTCTGTGCCCTTCACCCAGCCTCCCCCAGTGGTAACATCTTGTATAGCTATAGTGCAATATCACAGCCAGGAAACTGACATTGGTATAATCCACAGAGCTTATTCTATAACATTGGTTTCATGCTTCACCTATATTCACGTGTGTGTGATGCTATGCGGTTTTATCATTTCTGCAGATCACATTCCTGTGTGTGTGTGAGATTCTATACAGTTTTATCATTTGTGTAGGTTTGTGTAACCAGCATCACAATCAAAACACAGAACTGGGCCAGGTGTGGTGGCTCACGCCTGTAATCCCAGCATTTTGGGAGACCAAGGTGGGAGGACCACTTGAGTTCAGGAATTCAAGACCAGCCTGGCCAACATGGCAAAACCCTGTCTCTACTAAAAATACAAAAATTAGCTGGGCATGGTGGCAGGCGCCTGTAATCCCAGCTACTCGGGAGGCTGAGGCATGAGAATCACTTGAATCCGGGAGGCAGAGGTTGCAGTGAGCCGAGATTGCACCACTGCACTCCAGCCTGGGGGATAGAGCAGGACTCTGTCCCCATCTGCCCAAAAAAACAACACAAAACTAAGGAGAGAATATGGAGAATATGGAGAAAAGGGAACCCTCATACACTGTTGGTAGGAATGTAAATTAGTATAGCCACAATGGAGAACAGTTTGCAGGTTCCTCAAAAAACTAAAATTAGAGCTACCACATGATCCAGCAATTCCACTCCTAGGTATATACACAAAAGAAAGGAAATCAGTAGATTAAAGAGATATCCGCACTCCCTTGTTTTTTGAGGCACTATTCACAATAGCCAAGATTTAGAATCAACCTAAGTGTCCATCAACAGATTAATGGATAAAGAAAATGTGGTACATATACACAATGGAGTACTACTCAGCCATAAAAGAGGATGAGATCCTGGCCTTTGCCTGTTTTTGGATGGAACTGGAAGTCATTATGTTAAGTGAAATAAGTGAGGCACAGAAAGACAAACTTCACCTGTTCTCACTCATTTGTGGGAGCTAAAAATTAAAACAATTGAACTCATAGAGACAGAGAGCAGAATGATGGTTACCAGAGACTGGGCTGGGTAATGGGGAGTGAAGGGGAAGTGGGGTGGGTAATGGGTACAAAAATATAGTTAGAATGATTAAGATGAATGAATGAATAAGATCTAGTATTTGATAGCACAACAGGGTGACTACAGTCAACAATAATTTATAGTACATTTTAAAATAACTAAAAGATTAGAATTAGAATGTTCATAACACAAAGAAATGATACATGCTTGAGGTGGAGACCCCATTTACCATGTGATTATTACACATTGTATGCATGTATCAACATATCTCATGTACCCCATAAATATATACACCTATTATATAACCATAAAATTAAAAATAAGACATTTTCAAAAAATATAGAACTGTTCCATCAACATGAGCTTCCTCAGGTGACCCCACTGTGGCCACCTTCATCCCCAACCCCTGGCAATGTTCTTCATCTATATAATTTATTCCAAGAATATTACATAAATGGAATCATAGAGTATATAACCTTTTGAGATTGGTGTTTTTTTACTTAGCATAATTCCCTTCAAATCCATCCAGGTTGTTGCGTATGTCAATGATTTGGGGGTTTTGTTTTGTTTTATTTTTTGAGACAGAGTCTTCCTCTGTTGCCCAGGCTGGAGTGGAGCGTCACGATCTCGGCTTACTGCAACCTCCACCTCCCAGGCTCAAGTGATTCTCAAGCCTCAGCCTCTCAAGAAGCTGGGATTACAGGTGTGCACCACCACTCCCAGCTAATTTTTTTGTATTTTTAGTAGAGATGGGGTTTTGCCATGTTGGCCAGGCTGGTCTTGAACTCCTGACCTCAAGTCATCCACCCCATCCTCCATCTCCCCAAACGTTGGGATTACAGGCATGAGCCACCCTGCCCGGCTGATTTGGGTTTTTTTTTTCCTGTGTAGTATTCCATGGTATAGATGCACTACAGTTTAACCATTTACCATTGAAAGACATTTGGTTTGTTCCCAGTTTTTGGCTATTACGAATCTTTATGATTTATAAAATTAATTTAGAAAATGTCAGCTAGTGGCTGTTGTTTTCTGAGTTTGAATGGGGTGCAATATTTCCTGTGACCCCTCAGTCATGGAAGTTCTTAGACTTTTTCATTTGAACCCTGCAGAAGCCCTGGGTGTGGGGGAGGCGGAGCGGAGATAGAGTTCTTCAGTCAACCCATCTGTATAGAGTACTTCCTATGTGCCCTGTGCTATTCTAGGTATTGGGGGTACTGCAGTGAACAAAACAAATGAAAATCCCTCTCCTCATTTATTATTCCCCAATATACGTATAGGGAAACTGAAGCTCAGAAAAGCTATATGATTTGCTCAAAATCACGCAAGACGGAAGTGATGGAACTAGAGCTTGAACCTAGGTCTTCTGACCTCGAGGCCACCGATTTTCTGACTAAATTTTGCTCTCTATCCTCCTAGACATCAATTCCAGAGCAAAAGCCATATGCCGGGGATCCTGTGTTCAATGTTTTAAGCAATAGTTCTTTTGTTTGGTTGGTTGGTTTTTATTTTTTACACAGGGTGTCACTCTGTCACCCAGGCTGGAGTGCAGCGGCGCCATCTCAGCTCACTACAGCCTCGACCTCCCGACTTCAAGCCATCCTCTCACCTCAGTTTTCCAAGTAGCTGAGACTACAGGCACCTGCTACCACACCCGGCTAGTTTTTGTTATTTTTTGTAGAGACTAGGTTTCACCATGCCCACGCTGGTCTTCAACCCCTGGCCTCAAGTGATCTGCCTGCCTCAGCCCCCTAAAGTGCTGGGATTACAGGCGTGAGCCACTGCACCCAGCTAAGCAACCATTATTAATTGGGGCTGATTCCTCTGCCACCAGGGGAAACAGTTGGCAATGTCTGGAGACATTTTGATTGTCACAGCTGGGGAAAGGGGTGCTACTGGCATCTGGAGAGTAGAGCCAGGGAAGCTGTTTGGCATCCTGCAATGCACCAGTCTCCCACGACAAAGAATTCCCAGCCCAAATGTCAATAGTGCCAAAACTGCAACACTCTAATCTAAAGATCTCAAAGAGTCACAACAAAGACAACTGCTACCCAGACAACATTGTGTAATACTGAACTTCCACCCAAGTACACACAATGACAGGTAGGGTAAGAGCAGGTACACTGTTGGTTGAGGGCTTATGGTCGTTATGAAGTAGGTACAAAGAACCATCCACTCTGCTGTGTCAATACTGGGAGGCTTTTCTGCAGAGGAGGGGATTGGGACAGTTTGGATGGTAGGAAGGAGAGACTGGTGGGCTGCTCACAAGAGGATGCAGAAAGGGCAGGAGGAATATTGTGACCTCCACTCTATGACTCTGCCACATCTGTTTCTCCTAAAGAACCCTGGTAACCTCCTCCTTTGTGTAGAAATGAGCAAGAAAGCAGAGCAAGACATGCAAAGCCCTTTGAGGAACAGCAGGGAAACCAGAAGGACCTTCAGTCACATCCTAGAGGTGCAAGAAACACAACTTCCACTCTCAAAATTAGATTGAATTTCTATTTCAAGTCCCCATTTGGCTGGTAGAAAGACATCTAGCCATAATTAATCAGGGCCTCCCTACCTCTTGCCCTGGGTTGCGTCTAGATTTGTTTTTGGGGTAGAGGAGGCTCAGAAAGTGCCAAGGCCTGGGCAGAGGTCAGTGTCTGGTGTCCCCTGACATCTGCTATGTTGGCCTCACTTCCATCTTCCTGATGGCAGATGCAGCTGCCTAGGCCTCCTGGAAGTCTCTGTGCCTGGCCTCTTTCTCCTCCTCTCAGCTTCTTCCTCCCTCCTCTGGGGCACACGGGAGATGTTGGCAGAGCTTGGTAAACCTCTGCAAGGCTGCGTCACCCCTCTGCCAATTACTCCCTCCCCCACTGCATCTGTGCCTTGGGAGGGGAGGAGCAGGCACTCTCCTGAGCTTGCCTGAAAGCCACACTTATGAAGCTAGTGTGGGACTGCCGCTTGGGCACCACCCACCTCCCTAGCCCCACATCATCATGGCTCATCCACTCTCCTTAGATCCTCTGTCCAGACCCCTGGCCCAGGGCACTTGACCTCATCTTGGTCATGGGGAAATGACTTTTGCATCGTGCTCAGTCTTCAGGATGTCTTGTTAATGCCACAAATTTTATTCCTAGAAGCCTCTGGGACTTCTACTTTTGAAACTCAAAGCCCAGGCTCTTGTAATGCCAAAGTATTGGTTCTTGAAACTCAAAAGCATCTCTGCTTTTCTGCTGGATGAGGCTTCCCCTAAAGGAAGAAGAGCCACTGTCTGGAAAGAACAAAAGGGAGGAAAAAAAACTTTCATCAAGTGAAATATTATCACACTACAGCAGCAAGGCGGAGTACGCGGGCAACCAGGACCGTGGCAGGTGTGGAAGATACTGTCATTGCTTCTCCCTTTGGGCCCCTCTGTCCCCAGGTTTATGACCCATTCTCCAAACCTGGATCAAGAAGTCCCATCTGAAGGGTGTCACAAGCAACCAGTTCTATGAGAGCCAGGGTAGAGAAGCTGCAAGAACACAGCCTCCAGGCAGCCTGGGTCCATGCCCAGACCCCAGCTTTGCCAGCTCGGTGTTCATGGTCAGGTCATTTAACCTCTCTGTTTCAGTTTCCCCATCTGTGAAAAGGGGAAATATAGTACCTTCCTCATGTGGTGACGAGCCTGATCAAATGCAGCAGGCCTTGTACAGTGTGTAGCAGACTGCCTGGCCCTGGTCAGCACTGTATGACGGTTGGCTGCTATTATTGTTGTCATTGGCTTATCCAAGGGGTGAGTGGATTTCCTTGGAATCCCATCACACAGGGCCCTTGAGCAGTTAGTTAACTAGCAGAAGGTCAGGGCACCCATGCCTGGCCTCTGGCATTACTCCTCAGCTGCTTGTCGAAGCTTCAAAGGGACTCTCTTAGTGTCCTTTTATTTCAAGAAACAGAAACTCATCAGGAAAGGAAATTCCTGGGAAAAACAGAACAGGAGGGCCAGCAGTAATCCAGGCCTCCTGGATTACACATTAAGAGTAAGTGGGGACTGGCGCGGTGGCTCACACCAGTGATCCTAGCACTTTGGGAGGCCAAGGCAGGTAGATCACTTAGGCCCAGGATTTTGAGACCAGCCTAGGTAACGTAGCAAGAACCCCATCTCTACAAAAAAAAAAATTAAAAATTAGCCAGGTGTGGTGGTGCATGCCTGTAGTCCCAGCTACTCAGGAGGCTGAGATGGAAGAATCACTTGAGCCCAGCAAGTGGAGGCTTGCTTCTTTCTCCTGCTCCCTCTGCAGTTGGCTTTCCTGCTTCAGTGTGTGCCAGTCCAACATGGCAGCTTCCCTGGGCTCGAGGTTACCTGCTGCAGGGACCTGCTGGGGTCTTCTGACAGCCATTGGCATTGTTTCTGTTGTCAAAGCCTCCATTTGGTTCAGGTGTCTTCACCAACCCCCAGGTGACTCCAGGTGAATCCTGAGAGCCTATGCCCATTTTGAGCGTCCTTGCCAGTGACAGGCATATGACCCAGTTCCGGCAAAGGAGGTATCAAGGAAGTTTACTGGGAGCTTCTGGGAAAGGTTTCGTCGCTGATGAAAAAGAGACCCACGGGAAGATGAGAGAGCATGGAGCCCAAGGGATGACGAGTAATGAGGCTGAGCTTGTGAGAAGGGCCCACCCCCTTAGGAAGTCCCACATGTCCTTGCAGAGAAGGCTGGACTGCATGAGGGGACAACGGGGACCCACTGAATTGCTGACTTTACAATACAGAGAATGGATTAAAGGGGGAGGGTTTGGGAGCAGGACACCAGTTAGGAAGCAGCCAGATGAACTGCAATCATGCTGAGGCTTAGAGGGAAGTTTCTACAAGCTGGAGCACAAGAGGAGATGGGGTGATAGGGAGGTAGAATTGCTAGCTGGCTGTTCTCAGGGGTCTCAAGAACTTGTACCCCAATGCGACGATGTCCTCAGAAGCTTCATTCTGGGCTGTCTACACAGGTCCAGTTACACTGGTAACTCAGATAGAAACACATTTCCAGAATCAACATTTTTCAGCAAACGGGACAAAACTGTTTTATTTAAACTAATGGTCCAACTATCCAATTTTGCTTTGCGCTACGTGAGCACAATTTGTCTGCCACACAGACCTGATTCAGCCTTCAGTGGGGCTGGGCCAGTATATCACCAGTGAAACCTACACGCAAGACACATCCCTTCCCGGTGACTAATGTGCACCGTTTCAGGAAAAGGCCAGGTTGAAAGTGCACATACGTGATTTACTGCTGACTTTGGCAAGAGTCATACAGCAGAGACACTGCTCAGCTCCTCACAGGTTTAGAAATAAGCCCACATTAAGAGTAAGTGGGGGCTGGGCGCGGTGGCTGACACCTGTGATCCTAGCACTTTGGGAGGCCAAGGCAGGTGGATCACTTAAGCCCAGGATTTTGAGACCAGCCTGGGTAACGTAGCAAGACCCCCATCTCTACAAAAAAATTTAAAATTTAAAACTTAGCCAGGTGTGGTGGTGCATGCCTGTAGTCCCAGCTACTCAGGAGGCTGAGATGGAAGAATCACTCGAGTCCAGGAAGTGGAGGCTGCAGTAAGCAGAGATTATGCCATTGCACCACAGCCTGGGTGACAGAGAAAGATCCTGTCTGAAAAAAAAAGTCAGTGGGAAGAGAGAGTGACCTGCTCAGAACCAAGCAAGGGTAAAGAATGACAGATGGCAGAGAACAGAGCAAGCAAGGGAGGATACAGGGACAGATAATAGGAGGATATGCTCCTGGTGGACAATACAGGTGGTTTCCAGCCAACTTTATTATTAACACATTCTCACTAAAAAATAAAATTACCTCCCCAACACACACACACCCCCCCTCAGTTTCTAAGGGTAACCTGTTTGGTTTGATTCCTCCCATAGTCTTTCTGTACATAATCAAATATATGTATGTGTGTCTACATCTTTTTAAAAAGTCATTTGTGAGCCAGGCATGGTGGCTCATGCCTGTAATCCCAGCACTTTGGGAGGCTGAGGCGGGTAGATCACTTGAGGTCAGGAGTTCAAGACCAGCCTGGCCAACATTGTGAAACCCCATCTCTACTAAAAATACAAAAAATTAGCTGGGCGTGGTGGTGTACGCCTGTAATCCCAGCTACTCGAGAGGCTGAGGCAGGAAAATTGCTTGAACCGAGAAGTCAGAGGTTGTAGTGCAACCTCTGCACCACTGCACTCCAGCCTAGGTGACAGACACTCTGTCTCAAAAAAATAAAAAATAAAAAAAGTGGTTTGTGTAGTATCATCATATTTAGTGCCTTTCTCGGTGAATGATATAACTTGGACGTTCTTCCATGTCAGATAGCTCTACCTCATTCTTTCTGGTGACTTCATAGTGTGCCAGCATGAGTCTATGCCACAATTTACTTAGCATAGCTCCTAGTGCTGGGCATTGAGGTTGGTGACCACTTTTCACCGTTACAATTAATCAGCAATGAAAACCCTTGGACGTTCTGTTCCTGAGCACATGTGTGAGTTGTTCTGCATGATGATCTATTTCTATAAGCTGATTTTCCAGCCTCACTTTCATTGATGTGCCTGGAAAGTCAGTAGCATGACAGACTGGGGTCTTGGTCACTAACCAGGGACAGTCGAATATTTTAAAACTGTCGTTATTTACCCATTCAGCCAGAAAGAATAAAAATGTAATGCCACGGGAATTCTCAGAACAGCATCCTCTCCTCTTTGAATTCAGGCTTTCAGAACTAGACAGGCTAATGCTCCCACAACTCATGTTCAGGCCACACTGGGTACTTTGTCACATACTAGTTCACCTGATCCCCGAGTTGGTCCTGGAAAATAGGTATTATTAGCATAGAAATGCTAATAATTTTTTTTTGACACATGAGGAAACTGAGGCTCAGAGAGGACAAGACATCTGCCCAGGGTCACACAACTCACAAATAGCAGAGGATTCAGAAACCAAAGACAAAGGTGATGGAATCCTGCCTTCTTTCTAAATCCGTGATGTAGGCTAGATCATGGTGCCTCTTCAGAAGTTTACAGTGGACAGTTAGCCAAAAAAGCAGGTGAAGTGAACATCTGCCTAGGTGACTGAGTTTGCAGGATGTATTAGTTTCCTCCCGCTGCTGTGACAAATTGACCCAAACTTCATGGCTTAGAACAACACAGTGAACTATCTTCTTACAGTTCTGGAGGTCAGATGTCCAAAACGGATCTGCAAATGCCTTCCCACCTTCAAATCATAAGGCAGACCCAAACTTGCCTTTTTGTGGATGCCAAGAGCTCCTTCTGGATGCTCTGGCTGACACTCCATTCCTTTCCTTTTCTAGCTCCTAGAGGCTGCCCACATTCCTTGGCTACTGACCCTTGTCCAGCAACTGTATCATTCTGATCTCTACTTCTATCACCACATCTCCCTCTCTAACTCTGACCCTCCCGCTTCCCTCTTGTAGGAACCCTTTTGACAACATTGGACCCACCAGGAAAATCAAGGATAACCTCCCCGTCCCAACATCTTTAACTTGATCCCATCTGCAAAGTCCCTTTTGCCACGTAAAGTAACCAGTTCTGGGGATCAGGTTGTGAACATCTTTGGGCAGCCATTATTCTGCCTATCACAGAAGGGGGTTCCTAGCTTAGTGATTTAGAGCAAGGGCCCTGCAAAGACCCCAGATTCAAATACTTTGTCACTTGCTAGCAGATCCAGGTACCTAACTTCTCTGAGTCTTAACAGCCTCATCTGAAAAACTAGAATAATAGAATCTTCCTTCTAGGGCTGTTTTGAAAACCAAAGAACACAATGTATGCAGTGCACGTGAAACACAGGGTTCAATAAATGGTAGGGAAGATTCAGAGAAACTAACCATGTAGAGGGAGAGGGCTGTGGAGGAGAGGAGGATAAGGAGAGGCATGCTTCCTTTGGTAGCTTCTTCAGTTTTGCCTGGGCCTCAGCTTTGCCTGAGAATTTCGTCAGTCTCTCCCCAGATCAGCCAGGGTGAGCCTGCTTAAATGGAACACTCTGAAGATGATATCCTGTGATAAACAAGACCTGCCCAGTTGAGTCTGCAGCAGAGTGGGGCGGGTCTGGGATGACCCTGGCATGGAAAAGTACAGCAGCTCTTTGTCTTCAGATTAGGAGCTGGGACAGCTGTTCTGACATGATCACCCCCCGCCCCCACCCCAGGCCTCTCCAAAGTCCATCTTGCAGAGTCAAATGAAAACCAGATTCCTGGTCTTATCTGAGAGCTACGTGACTGTTTCCTGTCACTCCTTTGGAGCCTGGGAAGGTCCCCACATGCATTGTCTAAACTTTGGGATGAATACGCACAGCTCTTAAATGGGAGCATATTATTATAGGTACCTGCCTACACAAAGGGTCCTCCCTATTCACTAAAATCATGGGTTATTATTTAGGGCTTTCATTCATCCAACAAATGTTTATTCCGCATTTGCAGGTGGCCAGGCAAGGTGAACATTCTCTCAGGGTGGAGAGTATGTGCAGACAGGAGGAATTATGCTATGGGAGGGAGAGCAGAAGCTCTGGAGTGGATCATCTTGGGTCTAGATCCTGATACTTCCCAGCTGTGTTTTCACTGGGCAAAATGACCTCACCTCCTTAAGCCTCAGCCTTCTCTTCTATAAAGTGGGCATAACAAATAACCGCCTCCTAGGTTATGAGGATTAAATGAGATGGTTCAGGGGATGTGGGTGGTAACCCCGCCCCTGGTTCATAGCAAGGATGTGAGGAATAGCAGTTGCTGTCATAGACATGGAGACTGTTTCCCCAAATGCCTTCCCACCCCCAAATCATAAGGCAGACCCAAACTTGCCTTTTTGTGGACGCCAAGGTTCTGTCGAGCTGTTAGGGTGCAAGTTAAGAAGCCAGAATGGCGGGCTGAGGGGAGAAATGCCCGCATGTTACAACTCTGCAGGTGTACACACGTGGACACCATATGTACCCATGAATTCCGCCTTTGGAAGTGAACTTGATTGCAGCCTATTTTCGTCTGGAGGCGGTGGATTCCCGGTAGGAGGCGCCTTCAGTCCTCGGCTCGATCCTGTGACGCCAGCCAGCTGCCTATCGGCTTCTCAGTGTTTGAACTTCAAAGGGCTGGACGCTCACCCAAGAAGGGGACCCCGGCCTGACCTCTCTCGGAATTCAAAAAAATCTAAGGCTCAGAGAGGGAATGGGAGCTGGCTCTTCCCTCTGTGTTTAGCATCCACGTTTTTTGGCGGTCTGGCTGAAACCAGCCCACCCTAGTTCGGGCGCCAGAGCAACGCAGTTCCGAGGGCAGATCTCCAAGGGGCGGAGGCAGAGCCGCGGGTGAGAGGCTTCCGCGCCGACTTCGGGTTTGCACTCCCCGGAGCCAGAACTCCGTGGCGGCTCCGGGCCTCCGTGGATCCGAGCAGAGACTGGCTGCCCGCCTGCCACTCGCAGGCTGGGAAAACGCCAGCCGGTGCCTCGCCGGGAAAGTTCTCGGCAAAGCTGGGGATGAGCCCTCAGCAGGGCAGGCTCCCGGTGCAGCGCGCCCCCATCCATTGCCCGCGCGCAAGAACCCGGAATGGGCCCCACCTGGGCCGGGACTCGGGCGTGCGATCCCGAGGGCGCCCTGGGGACCACGCATCGGGTGGGGACCCTGGCCGAGGGCGTGAGCTGACTCAGTTTTTAAAAACTCGCTTCCTCCTTCCCTACTTGTGCCGGTCACTCACCTCGCTGGGAACCAGCCCAGGGCAGAAGGGGGAGAGGGAGGCGGTGGCCTCCCCAGGAAGGAGGAGAGGTGAGTATCCCGCCAGGTAAAGGCGGGGCGGCTGGCGGAGCTGTGCCTCGGCGTCTGCGCCTGGTGTGGGAGGAAAGCGGGTCTCCCAGCTCCACTTAAACCCCTAAAACCTGGGACTTCTAGCTTGAGACATTCCCCGACCACCACCCGTCACACACACGCGCGTGCGCGCACACACGCATGCACACCGATTCTCTGGGCCCTAGGGAGGAGGGGGGATCAGGGCTCTATTTTCTCCCGACCCCCTCTTATCCAACTCGGCTGGCAAGGGTTGGGGAGAACTTAGGCCCAGCCCCCGGCACACGCTCAGCGCGCTCCAGCGGCATACGCTGGGGAGTGGGTGCCCGCCTCGCTCAGCTGCGATCCCTCGCCTCGGGCCCGGGGGTGGTGCCGAGGGCCGGGAGGGAGGGTCGGCCGGTGGGCGGTGCTTCTCCGGGCTGGAGGCCGCTCCTGGCCGGCACCGCCCTCCGCCTCCCGCGGTCCCTCCCTCCCGCACGCCGGCGCTCCCAGGCCGCGCTTCCTGCGTCCCCAACCCGGTCCCTGAGAGGGCAGTGCGCCCTCTCCACCACTGCGTTCCCTCGGCTAAGAATCCCCCGAACCCCAGCCCCGCGATCGCGGCGCCCACCGAGGAGGCCGCCCGGGTGGGGCGCGGGGGTCGCGAAGCCCGCAGTCCCGGACCGCCCAGCCGAGACGGAGCCGGACCCGCCGCCTCCCGGGTGAGTCTCAGCCGCCGCGCCTTGCGCCCGCTGCTTCCCGCGGCGCGCTGTCGGTTCCCCACAGGGCCGTGTAAGGGGGCCGAGGCCCGTTTGGGTCTCCTGTCCGTCCGTCTGTCCGCCGAGCGCTTCCCGCCTGGGGTCGACCACCGGGAGGACTCCGCACCCCGCACCCTCTGCGGCCGCGCCCCGCCGGCGCGGGACGCTCCCGCCTCCCGGGCACCGCGCCTGGCCAGCTGGCCTCGGCTGGGGAAGGCAGCTGGCCTTGGGGGCCCCCTGTTGGCGGGAACAGGTGCTATCCGCCCGGCGGGCTTCGAACCCTTGGCTTCGCCAGAAGCGCTTTCAGCGCGTGGTTAGGAGCAGAACTTCCCAGTAGGTCCCAGGAAACCACCTTGGCGCTTTGCTCGCGCATCCCTTACTGTATGGAAGTCGGGGCCTTTTAGGGATTTAGATTCGTGTGTGTGTATGTGTGTGTGTCGCTCTACAAGCAAACACGGGGGTAAAGAATCGGGCATGAGCAAAGTGGATTGAAACTCGAGTCCTTCCCTGAGCGCGTCGGTTTCTTCATCTGTGAAACTGACATGACAACGTCCCAGGGTGCGGCGGGGCATTCATGCCCAGCACCCAGCAAGCACTCAGCGGTAAGTTACGTTACCGGGCCTAGGGGAGAGCAGAGTACAAATCAGATCTCAAATCAGCGCACAAACGGGAGGCGCTTGGCCCGGCGCGCCTGGTCTGCATTACAGGATAATGGTCTCTTTCCCAACCAGCGGTGGGGGCGAGAGACCTGGCCCCTCCCCCACGGTTTCCCCAGGGAGCAGCCCGTGGGGTGTCCTGCGCAGCGCTCCGAGGTGCCTGTGACGGTGCATGGGACTGCGGGTCCTTCCCAACAGCAGGGGAGGTCTGGCTGCTGGGAACCCGGGCGCTGCCGGAGTGGGGTGGGCGGGGACGAGGTGGGCGGGGCAGGGACCCGAACCGGGAGGTAAGTCAGCGGGTGGAAGGCTTTCCCCTCTAGGACCGGCCGGCTTCTGGCTTTCCTTTTGAATGGGTTACCCGGAGAACAGCTTGTCTAGGGAACTGTTGGCCCTGGGACCGTGAACAGCTTTCACACCCCGGAAACCTGTCACAAGAGGATCCTGACCTATTGGGACAGAGCCCCTGCCCCTCCAAATATCTCACTCCACCAATTGAGAGGTACCCCCAGACTGGGAGAAAAGGCCAAAGAAAGAGAGAGGAGGCTAGTGGTGAACCTGCTCCTCACGGCTTCGGAGCTGACAGCTCTCTGATGGGGTGTCTGGGGCCTGCCCCAGTGACCCAGAGCCCAGAAGCCTCAGGGAGCCCCCAGCCTAGTGAGGGAGTCAGGGATACTCATGAAAAGTGTTGCAGAATTGGCGATACAGTCAGGCCACACCACTTGCTGGCTGTGTGACCTGACCTCTCTGAGCCTCAGCTTCTTCATCTGTAAAATGGGATGATGATCTCCAAGGGCGAGGTGGGGTATTTATGCCTAGCACATGAAGTATTCTATAGTAAGTTATGTCACAGGGCTTAGACGAGAACAGAAGAAAGGAAATAACTCAGGAGGTCCTGCTAAGAAAAGAGTATTAGAATATTCATCAGGGAACTGGAGTCCCCCCAGGGAACAGGGGAGGAAGGGTGTCTGGGCAGATCGAACAGCACAGGCAAAGGCACAGCGACAGGAGAGTGCCTGGGGTGTGCTGGGCTGGGGAAGGTGCTCAGGCAGTGGAGGGTGTGGAAAAGTAAAGGGAATGGAAGGTCCGGAGTGAGCTGGACTGGACAGGTGGGGGCTTTCTTGGAATCATTCAACATATGTTGGCCGAGCACCTTCTGTGGGCCAGGCGCTGTTCTAGGTGCTCAACAAAGATGAACAACATGGAGAAAGACGTCCCTTTCATTCAAGTTCTCTAAGCAGGGAAGTCGTCTGATCCCATCCATATGTTAAGAAGATAATCCTGGCTGCCTGGAAGTTGGCGAGGATCCTAGAGAAGACTCCTAGGAGAGAGAGGCTGGCCTGTGGGTTGGTGGGGGCAGTGGGAATGAATGGGGGAGCTGGAGGAGAGGCCCATACAGGAAGCAGAGAGTAATGTGTGGCCTTCACTCATGACTGTTGGTCAAGGGTAAGATTCTGGGGTTCTACATGAGGCCCAAACTGCCAGCCTGGTCCCCTGCCAGAGAGAAGTAGTGAGTGAGTGTCTGGGGTATTGGCAGGACCCAAGCCCCTCCAGCTGCGACTCTCCGGCTCGCTGGCTCCAGATGTCACGAGGCCTGGGAGTTTCTCTGTCTGCGTGAGGGATGGGAAAGCTGGAGGCAGAGGCCAGCTGGAGCTTCTGGGGCTCCCGTTTTAATAGGTTGTGTTTCTGGTCAACGTTCCTCCCTCCCTCTGCAGGCCTGGCTGTAAACCCCTCAGGCTTCTTGGGCTGGAAGAGGCCAGAGTGTGAGGAGCTTTAGTGTGGATTCTCTTCCCCCAGCCCCAAATTAAGGTGGGAGTCATGCAAAAGAGAAGCATTGTCTCCCTCGGTGCTGGGAAAGTTTCAGAAGCTCAGGTGTCTTCTGACTTGGGATGTGGTATGGGGGCTGCTGACTTTTGCTTTCACTTTTGTTTCTGCTCTGAAGCTGGGAGGAATCCTCCTCTTGCAGCGAAAGCTGTGAGAATATCCTTCTCCATGCTTCAAGTCTCCCTTTGCTTGGAGGGAAAAGGAAGGTCCTAGAATGTCTCAGGTGGAGGGGACCTTCAGGTCATCAGAGACATCATTCTCATTTGACAAACAAAACTCAGAGAGGGGATGGGACTTACCCAAGGACACACAACAGTTCAGCAGCAGAACTGGGACTGGAACCCAGCCCTCCTGACTCCCTTCTAGGGCCCTTTACTTTAACCCAGGAGACCTGGCCACATTCGGGACCAAGACTGTTTTGGGCCCCAGGTTTCTCAACCTCTCAGTCTTTCAAGCGGCTTCATAGAGTTGAGCTCCTCCCCAGCCTGGACAGGTGGTGCAGCCTCCCCTGCCAATGTTTTATTCTCCCTTCCTCTGGATTGAGCCCTCGCTGCCATGGCCACCCCTCCTGGGAGCTCTTGCTCCTGAGAAAGAAAACAGGCCGTTTGTTTGGAAGAAACAAGCCACCTGTTTGGTTTCCCAATACCAGGCCACACAGCCCTGTCCCTCCCAGACAGCCCCAAGATGCTGACCAGAGATAGCCCTCTGAGGGTCTCTGCTGAGCTCCCCTGACCCTCGACTCCTCCCCTCAGCTCCCGTCTCAAGACTGCTGGTTGGTCCTCACCTTCTGTCTGTGGTGTTTACTTGGGCGGAGCAACCTAAAGTCTCCACATTCTCTCTTGCCCTGGATTTATCAGACTTAGCAGCCCTTAAACCTGAATGCGTAGCTTCAGATCTTAGAATATCGGGGCCAGAGGGATCTTAGCCATCAGAAAATCCACTCTGCTTATTTGACAACTGGGGAGACCAAGACCCAGGGAAGAGGAGATTTGCCTGAGATCACAGCCAGGACCAGAACCCGAGGTTCCAGAGTTTGTCTTGAATGATTTTGAGGATGATTCTTGAAAAACAAAACAGGGCACCCTCCCCCTCCAAGATCCCCTTTCTGTCTGCACTTCACACTACCAGGTGTTTTTGTGGCATCCGTGGTGACATGGTCAGGAGGAGTAAGGGCCAAGGGTCCTGAAAGATGAGGTGTGCACATTGAGGAGTGTGTCTGCGCATTTCCAGGTCCTGTCTGTTCAAACTGGCATTAACACCACGGCATGAGCTAGTGAGTGCATTTATCTGGCACTCCCTTAGCCAGACTTGATAATGTGTCTTTGGATGGCAGGCTTTTAAAGTTGTCTTCGTCCACAGATTACAAAAGAAGTAGGTGCTCCTTGTAAAAACGAGCAGATGACATCGTGAAGGCTGGCGACCACTGTTAATATGGTGGCGTTTTATTCAGGTTTTTGTTTGCTGAGCTGTTTCATGTCCTGGTTTGTTGTTGTTGCTTTTGAAAAAATAGAGACAAGGTCTCTGTGTGTTGCCCAGGTTAGTCTTGAACTCCTGGGCTCAAGTGATCCTCCCACCTCAGCCTCCCAAAGTGCTGGGATTCCAGGCAAGAGCCACTATGCCCAGCCCGTATCCTGGTTTTTCAACTCGTCATTACAGTGCCTGTTATCTTCATGAGATAATGTGAGTGACTTCACGCAGGATCTAACCTGTAGGTCTCACGTGCTTCCACCCCTTGATGGCTAGCAGGTATTCCCTTGGCCAAAACCCTGTGACGCTGTGCAAAGTGCAAAGACGTTTCCAATTCACCACTGTGGGAGTCCAGAGGGCCGTTTTTCTGCATCACCATGGGGTTTGGGAAAGCAATTCTCTCTGAACTCTTAGAAATGGAAGCCACGGGCCATCTGGGTGTGATGCGTGTGACCCAAATTCATACAGAGGGAGGGAGACAGCTTTGTTTCTTCTGACTTTTATGTGTTTATTTTTGCTGTGTTTGTTTTAACCCATCCAAGTGCCGCCACCCCACCATCACTGCCCCTTGCCCCAAATCTCCCTGGGATTAGGCATGGGGTTAGGCAAGTTGCAGGTCTCTAGAAAAATCGGTATTTGGCATGCTCATCTCCAAACCCTGGCTCTTGCAGAGTAGGCGTTTCAATAGCAAAGATGTGCAGAGAATTTGTTTCCTAATCGGTGATTCAGGTAGGACACCCCATTCTGGGAACAGGATGGGGCGGGGTCTCTGTCTCTCTCTACCAGGATCACAGCTTTGTTAATGCCATAAATCATCAGTACTGGAAGTACTCGTATCTTGGGGATTTTCTAAGCTCATGTTCACAGAATGGACAGCCACTTACTAGTGGATTTGAGCATCGTTGAGTGGTTTTCCGCTGGATTTTTAAAAGTGAAGTAGAAGACAGTGGACTAGAAAATAGCATGCATTTCCTGTCACGAGAAATATTCCTTAGTAAAACTTTCAGTTATCTGTTTGTGGATGTGCACTGAGTCACTAGGTAAAAACGTCTCTCCTCCTGCATGGTAAGAACCTTGCGCAATGTAGCTCCGGTTATACTGTGATCCTGGGAAACCTTGGATGGGTCCTAGAAGCAACTCAGGGGTTTGCAGGGACAGAGCTGAGTGGTGGAGGCAGGGCCGACAGGAAGGAAGCTCGGCTTATGCTAAGGATACAAAACATCCACTTTTAAAACTCTGTGACTTTAAAAATAAAACAGAAAGTTGGAAGCCATTGTTCGTCTAGCCTCCTCAATTCCTAGAAGAAACTGAGGCCACAAAACAGAGGCTGGGGCCTTTGCTGCAGGGGAGGTAGCACTCAGGCCTCACATTGAGGAGAATCTGCAGATGTAGACCCTTGACCCCTCCACAAATGAGCGACTCAAAACACACGTTCACGGTGCAGCCTGTGACCCCCATAGGCCTCACTGTTGCGTGCACTAGGAATTCATGTTTATCCTAAAGCCTGTCGCTCTCGTGCCAACAACCCAATTTATATTGCTGAGATGCACAAAGCATTAATTTTTTCAATGCCACATTTCAAACAAAGAAGAGTTAATAACCCTGTTCTGGCATTTCTTTTTTTGTTTTGTTTTGTTTTTTGAGACAGAGTCTCGCTCTGTTGCCAGGCTGGACTGCAGTGGTGCAATCTTGGCTCACAGCAACCTCCACCTCCCAGGTTCAAGCGATTCTCCTACCTCAGCCTCCCTAGTAGCTGGGACTACAGGCATGCGCCACCACACCCAGCTAATTTTTGTATTTTTAGTAGCGATGGGATTTCACCATGTTGGCCAGGATGGTCTCGATCTCTTGACCTCGTGATCCGCCTGCCTCGGCCTAGGCATGAACCACCACACCTAGCCTTCTTCTTTTTTTAATGTCCCCAGAGCTTTACCAATGGAAGCTTCCCAGGCCCATCCCCTGGCCTGAGAGGCCTTTGAGATGATAAGCCCAGGGTCACCAAATCCTGGCAGAACCTGGCAGAATGAGAACTCACCACAGGGAGCAAGTTCTTTTTTTTAAGATCGTGGACTCACATGATGTGCAGTTCTGGATGTCTCCAGGAGGTTTTGCTATTTCCTCAACAGGTAAAATTAGGTGGCTCTAAATCTTGGGCAATTTTATGTCTTTTCCATGTTTTTCTCCTCACATGTGGTCTAGGGAGGGGTGTAGAGAAGCAGGTGGAATTTACTTGCCTTACCTTATCCTACCTTTTCCTGGAACCCACAGGTTGGGCCTGTGCTGGTTAGGGTGTGGGGCATGATTTGTTGATATTTGGTGAGGGAAAATGACTTTATTTTATTTTATTTATTTCTTTTGAGACAGAGTGTCACTCTGTTGCCCAGGCTGGAGTGCAGTGGTGCAATCTTGGCTCACTGCAACCTCTGCCTCCTGGATTCAAGCAATTCTCTTGCCTCAGCCTCCTGAGTAGCTGGGATTACAGGTGCATGCCACCACGCCCGGCCAATTTTTGTATTTTTAATAGAGATAGGGTTTCACCATGTTGGCCAAGCTGGTCTTGAACTCCTGACCTCAAGTGATCCACCTGCCTCAGCCTCTCAAAGTGCTAGGATTACAGGCGTGAGCCACCACACCCAGCAAGAACATGATTTTAAAAAACAAAACAAACACTCAAACTTTCTTAAGTTACCATAAGAGGCCTCACATACAGCTTCCTTAAAACTGCCTGCAATTTGGAGAGAAGCAGTTAGGTACTGGAACTGCCTGTGGGTAATTATTGTTTTCAAACAGTGACAGATGCAAATTCTCTTCTTTTGGGGGAAATTGCCTGTAGCTAAACACCGGCGCCATCACTTTAAACAAATCTCCTGATACATATGGTATGCCAGGCGCTGAGCCCAGGAACGAGGGAGAGTCAGCCCCCGCCCCCCACCCCGATGGAGCTGATCCCCCACGGGAGGCAGCAGGGATTGTACCTTAACAACATGTGAATAAAGATGAGGAAGCACAGCCCGTGAAGGAGGAGGCTTAACCCAAACTTGGAGAGTCAGGAAGGATTTTCAGAAAGAGTGCAGTCTGAGCTGAAATGGGGAGCGGGGAGGGCAGGTGCAGCCGCCACCGCCAAAGGTCTTCCTGGTGGAGGCAACTGCCTGTGCAAAGGCCTCAAGGTGTAAAAGAGCTTCGTTAACACAGGCCAATACTGAGTGTAGAAACGCTGCACTCAGGGCAGATGCTGAAGGCAGAGGTGGAAAAAGTATTTTATATAGTTTCTTCTTAAAAGTCATTTTGGGGGCTGGGCATGGTGGCTCATACCTGTAATCCCAGCACTTTGGGAGGCCAAAGCAGGTGGATTGCTTGAGGTCAGGAGTTCACGACTAGCCTGGCCAACATGGTGAAACCCCATCTCTACTAAAAATAGAAAAATTACCCGGTATGGTGGCAGGTGCCTGTAATCCCAGCTACTCAGGAGGCTGACCACAGGAATCGCTTGAACCTGGAAAGCAGAGGTTGCAGTGAGCCGAGATCGTGCCACTGAACTCCAGCCTGGGCAACAGAGTGAGACTCATCTCAAAAAAACAAAAGTCATTTTTCTCAAAAAATTAAAATCGAATAACCATAGGATCCAGCAGTTTCACTTCTGGGTGCATACTTGTCTTAGTCCATTTGTGTTGCTGTAAAGAAATACCTGAGATTGGGTAATTTATAAAGAAAAGAGATTTATTGGCCGGGCGCAGTGGCTCACGCCGGTAATCCCAGCACTTTGGGAAACCGAGGCAGGCAGATCACGAGATCGAGACCATCCTGGCCAACATGGTGAAACCCAGTCTTTACTAAAAATACAAAAATTAGCCAGGCATGGTGGCGGGCACCTGTAGTCCCAGCTACTCAGGAGGCTGAGGCAGAAGAATGGCTTGAACCCGGGAGGCGGAGGTTGCAGTGAGCCGAGATGGAGCCACTGCACTCCAGCCTAGCGACAGAGCAAGACTCCATCTCAAAAAAAGAGAGAAAGAGGTTTATTTAGCCCATGGCATCTCAGATGCATCAGCATCTGCTTCTAGTGAGGGCCTCGGGCAGAAGGACAGCAGGCGTCATGTGGTGAGAGAGAAGAGGAGAGAAGGAGTGGGGAGCAGACTCTTTAACAACCAGATCTTTGGGCACCAAGCCATTCAAGAGGGATCCACTCCCAACAACCAAACACCCACTAGGCCCCACCTCCAACATTGGGGATCAAATTTCTCTTCTTTTTTTGAGACAGTCTTACTCTGTTGCCCAGACTGGAGTGCAGTGGCACAATCTTGGCTCACTGCAAACTCTGCCTCCTGGGTTCATGCGATTCTCATGCCTCAGCTTCCCAAGTAGCTGGGATTACAGGCATGTGCCACCATGTCCAGCTAATTTTTGTATTTTTAGTAGAGATGGGGTTTCACCATGTTGGCCAAGCTGGTCTTGAACTCCTGGCCTCGAGTGATCCACATGCCTCGGCCTCCCAAATTGCTGGGATTACAGGCATGGCCACCGCATCCAGCCTGGGGATCAAATTTCAACATGAGATTTGGAGAGGACCAATATCCAAACTATATCAATGCTCAAAAGAATTGAAAACAGGTTTTTGAAGAGATATTTGTACACCCATGTTTATATGAGCATTACTCATAATAGCTAAAATATGAAAACAACCCAAGTATCCATCAAAGGATGAATGAATAAACAAAATGTGGTCTATCCATACAGTGGAATATTATTCAGCCTCCATGTGGAAGGAAATTCTGACACCATGCTGCAACATGGACGAACCTTGAGGACATCATGCTAAGTGAAATAAGCCAGTCACAAAAAGACAGATACTATATGATTCTACTTGTATGAGGAATCTAGACATCATAGAAATGGAAAGTAGAATGTTGGTTGCCAGGGGCTGGGGGAAGAGGAATGGGGAGTTAGGGTTTAATGGGTAAGGGGTTTCAGTTTTGTAAAATGAAAGCGTTCTGTGAATGCATGATGGTGATGGTTGCACAGCAGTATGAATGTACTTAATGCCACTGAACTGTTCATGGAAAAATGGTTAAGATAGTCAACTTTATGTTATGTGCATTTTATCACACTAAAAAGTTGGTGGGTGGGGGAGTCATTTTGGAAACAAGACTCAGATAGTCATTTGGCCATATCATTGCGTTCTCTCTACAGACCAGGTGTTCTTCCAGGCTTTGGGGGGAAACGGTGCCTAAGACAGGCTCAGTTCCTGCCCTCTTGGAGCTTACACCTTATTAGGCAGCAGGGAGGAGTCAGTCAAGTAGGAAACCAACAAGTAAAATAACAAATCAATAACATGTCAAATGCACTGATCTGAAATCTTTGCCCCTTCCCTATGCTGGCAGGATCAAGCCAAAGCTAAGCTCTTTAACTTTCAACACTATAAAGCCCGGACTTCTTAGAGTCAGCCTCTGTTAATCTTTTCAGACCTATTACTGCTGCCTTACCCCAACTTCAACTGCATCAGTCACAAGGAACTACTTTCCACCCCCACCTACCTCGTACCCCTGCTCAAAGCCAGGAACTTTGGCGGCTTTTTTCCTTCCTGTTCTTTCTGCTTTTCTTTCTAGACTGCCCAGAGGCTTTAGAAAACACCATAATTTCAATTCTAGAAGTTTATCCTAAGAAAACAGTTAATGAGTATAAGGAGTTAGTTTCGAGACTGTTATTTTTTGTAATAATAGCAACAAAATTAGAAAGCCATTTTGTTTTTAATCTGTCCAGAGATGGTCCTAGCCACGACCCTTTAAATAAATTTTTGTTTAATTTTGGAATAATTTTAGATTTATAGAAAAGTTGCAAAGGTAATATGGGGCATTTTTGTCTACCCTTCACCCAACTTCCCCTAATGTTGGCTTTTTTTGGGGGGGGGGAGGGGGGAGGGGACAAAGTCTCACTCTGTTACCCAGGCTGGAGTACAGTGGCGTGGTCTCGGCTCACAGCAACCTCCACCTCCTGGGGTCAAGTGATTCTCCTGCCTCAGCCTCCCGAGTAGCTGGGATTTACAGGCATGCACCACCATGCCTGGCTAATTTTTGTATTTTTAGTAGAGACAGGGTTTCACCATGTTGGCCAGGCTGGTCTTGAACTCCTGACCTCAGGTGATCCGCCCACCTCGGCCTCCCAAAGTGCTGGGATTACAGGCGTGAGCCACCATGCCCGGCCTAATGTTGGCATCTTACATAATCGTATTATACTTATCAAAGCTAAGAAATTGACATCACAACTAACTAAACTACAGACTTTATTTTGATTTCGCTGGATTTCCCACTGCATTTTTATTCACCAGGATCCAATTCAAGATGCCACATTGCATTTGGTCATCTTGTCTCCTTAGTATCTTCTGAACTGTGACACTTTCTCAGTCTTTTCTTAAATTTCATGACCTTGAGAACTTTGAAGAGTACTGGTTAGTGTTTTGTAGAACTTCCCTGAATTTCGGTTTGCCTGATGTCTTCTCGTGACTGGACTGGGCCTTTGGGTTTTGGGAAAGAATCCTACAAAGGTGAAGTGTGCTTCTCACTGAATCATGTTAGGATGGAGATAATATCAATGTAACTTCTTATTGATGACATCAGCCTTGGTCACTTGGTTAAGGTGGTGTCTGCCACATTTCTCCACTGTAAAGTTACTACAGCCCCTTTTTGGAAGGGTATTCTTTAACATGAGAGCGAAAGGCAACATTATAAAAGAGATTATTGAAACGATTTTTAGATTAGGCACCTAAAATTTAAAAACTTTGATATATCAAATGATAAACTGGGGACAATATTTGCAACACAGAACAGACAAAGAGTTGTGTTCTGAATCCATGCGGGAGCTTTGCTTTTTTTTTTTTTTTCCTTTTTTTTTTTTTTGAGACGGAGTCTCGCTCTGTCGCCAGGCCAGAGTGCAGTGGCACAATCTCGGCTCACTGCAACCTCTGCCTCCCGAGTTCAAGCAATTCTTCTGCCTCAGCCTCCCGAGTAGCTGGGACTACAGGTGCGCGCCACCACACCCAGCTAATTTTTGTATTTGTAGTAGAGACGAGGTTTCACCATGTTGGCCAGGATGGTCTCCACCTCTTGACCTTGTGATCCGCCCACCTCGACCTCCCAAAGTGCTGGGATTACAGGCATGAGCCACCAAGCCCAGCCTGCTTTTCTAGTTAGTAAGGAAAAGCTGAATGCCCTAGTTGAGAAATGGGCTAAAGAAGAAATGCTGAGGCCAGGCACAGTGGCTGACACCTGCAATCCCAACGTTTTGGGAGGCTGAGGTGGGAGGATTACATGAGCCCAGGAGGTAGAGGCTACAGTGAGCCGTGACTATGCCACTGCAGTCCAGTCTGGGTGACCCTGTCTCAAAAAAAAGAAGAAGAAATGCTGGTGGCCAATTAGTACATGGGAAAAAAAAGAATCAGTATTCAGCCTCATTGTATTAAAGGAAATGCCAATTAAAACAATGCCGTCTTTCACACAGGAAATCTAAAATGTTTTAAAAGTTTTAAAATTTTAATTTAAATAATGCTAACTGGGAGGTAGTGCTTTCAGGAGCTCAGCATAGAAGTGTAAACTGGAGAACAGTCTGAAAACACAGGCCCAAACCTTTAAAGCACTTAGCTTTAAAACACTTTTAATTCCAAGATTTTAACCTTGTTATTAATATCTTCAATACCAAGATTTTATCCCGAGGTAACAATTTATGGTTGTATACGGAGTTAATTTCAACAGTATTTTTTATAATAGCAATAAAACTAAAAATCAAATATATTTGCAGCAACAGGGAATTGGTGACATAAATTGCAGCTCTTTCATATACTGAAGTGGTCCTCAACCACTAAAAATTCCAGTATTGATGAATACTGATGATACGAAAGATTGTTCATTGTACATCAAATTTTTCAAAATTAAGGTTATACTGGGAGGTGGAGGTTGCGGTGAGCCGAGATTGCGCCACTGCACTCCAGCCTGGGTGACAGTGAGATTTCATCTCAAAAAAAAAGTTAGGGTTATAAAACATATTGCAGCAATATCCCATTTTTGTAAAAAACAAAAAAGTATTTTGTTTACACAGCACACAAGAAAGCATGGATACCATCATAGATATTTATCAGCAGTTATGGATGGGGGTAGCCATGGGGGGTTTCGATATTCTTTCTGCTAATCTGTATTTAACTAATTTTTATTTCTTAAACAAGCATTGTTTTCATAACAAAACTGTTATTGATAACACCTTCTCCTCCCATTTGGAACTTTAATGACCTGTGCTGAAGACCCATAGGCTTGTTATGCATCCCACAGGGATTACTGCCAGGCAAGGTGCTTTGGGAACTGTAGAGAGCTTTGAAGACATCAGCTGCCACTCCTGGTGGTTGGTTTACCCTTCAAACTTCGAGTATCTGGGCCTCCCTTCTGAGACTTAGGAAGCTGAGATAGGAGCATGGTGGAAGCCACAGCAGCCGACTCATAGGCAACTGTGAGAAAATACTCACCCAAGGCTGGGCACGGTGGCTCACACTGTAATCCCAGCACTTTGGGAGGCCAAGGCCGGTGGATCACTTGAGGTCAGGAATTTGAGACCAGCCTGACCAACGTGGTGAAACCCCGTCTCTACTAAAAATACAAAATTAGCTGGGTGTGGTGGCAGGTACCTGTAATCCCAGATACTCAGGAGGCTAAGGCAGGAGAACCCCTTGAACCCAGGAGGCGGAGGTTGTAGTGAGCCAAGATCAGAGCACTACACTCTAGTCTGGATGACAGAGTGAGACTCTATCTCAAAAAAAGAAAGAAAAGAAAATACTCGCCCAGCATTGTATTTTATATATATGTATGTAATTTTCCATTTGAACACAGTTCGATGAGTTTTGACTCACAAGCAATCATGTAACCACCACCACAATCAAGATGTAGCAAAGTTCCATCACCCCCCAAAATACTCTCCTGCTGCCTCTTTGTAGTCTTTCCTGTCTCCACCCCCCAGCAGCCACTGATCTTTTTTCTGTCCTTATAGTTTTGCCCTTTCCAGGATATCACGTAAATAGAATCATACAGTATGGTGCCTTTGGAGTCTGGCTGCTTCTACTCAGTAGAATACATTTGAAATGGCTGGGTGCGGTGGCTCACGCCTGTAATCCCAGCACTTTGGGAGGCCGAGGCGGGCAGATCACGAGGTCAGGAGATCGAGACCATCCTGGCTAACATGGTTAAACCCCGTCTCTCCTAAAAAAACAAAAAATTAGCCAGGCGTGGTGGCGGGCGCCTGTAGTCCCAGCTACTCGGGAAGCTGAGGCAGGAGAATGGCATGAACCTGGGAAGCGCAGCTTGCAGTGAGCCGAGATGACGCCACTGCACTCCAGCCTGGGCGACAGAGCGAGACTCCATCTCAAAAAAAAAAAAAAAAAAAAAAAAAAAAAAGAATACATTTGAGATTTCCCCATACTGCATTTATTCCATGGTATGAATGTGCAGGACGACAGTTTACTTATCCCTTCACCTGTTAAAAGGATATTTGGATTGTGTCTACTTTTTGGTGATTACGATTAAAGCTGCTATAAACATTCAGAGGTTTTAGTATCAACATATGATTTCATTTCTCTTGGGGAAATACCTAGGAGTGGAATTATTGGGTTTGTATGTGAGTGTATGTTTATCTTTATATGAAATGACTAAACTTAGGAGGTTAGGGCCAGTTCCTCCAGCCAGCACCAGGGCTATGCAGGGACCTAATGAAACATTGATAATATCCTCCCCTCCCATTTGGAACTTCAGTGACCTATGTTGAAGACCCGGTGAAACCATCTGTCTTTTCTGGAGTGATGCTTTCACTTTGCCAGCTGATGTGGGTTTCACCCTGCTGGTAGGAGGTTGACCACCTCCCCATTGATGACTCTCCCTTTCCCATATCACAGGCATGGAAATGACAATGAGTAGTGATCGTTCTTAACTTAAATAACTTTTTCATTAACTCTTTTTCTTTAATTAGGAAACTAATATATGCACATGGTATAAAAAAATCAAATGGTGTAAAAGGATGTCCAATGAAAAAATATACATCTCCCTCTCATTCCAGGCTCCCAGTCCCTTATACGAGCGTAGCCACCATCTGCTATTTCTTGTATATACTTCTAGAAATTGTCTCTGCATATAATGATGCTTTTAGATGCTGCTTTTAGATGTTTGCCTGGTCATCAAAGCAATAAAGTATTATAGTGGTCAGGATCATTATGAAATTGTTGGGTAATTTCAAACTTGTAATAACTCCTATGAGGGTCCTCAATCACCTTTAAGGACCCACTAACCACCTGAAATGGTCTGTCAAGCATTCTCTGTCAAGTATTCTATCTCTGCATTTTTCTGTGGCAGGTCAGTAGCTTTCATCAGATTCTCAAAGGGGTCTGTGCACCAAAAGAAAGAAGGGGAATGGGGAAGAAAAGAAGGAAGGAAGGACTGTAGAGGCAATCTTTTACAGACAAATGGTAGATAAATGTATAATGAGCTTGGATACATCTGCAATTAGCTGTAACTCAGAATGTATAAGTTCCAATTTTATGTATTATTGCCCCTTGGTTTTATGATTGGAAGCTGGTAGAACCACTGATTTAACAGCATAGGCTGTTTTGTCTTGGGCTAAGAGGAACTGTGCCTGGCTGAGCCAAGAGAGACGAAGGCCATAGAGTTCTTCAACCTTGCCTGTGTGTTTGTACTGACTCACTGCATCTGAGGAAGTCTGTTGGTAGCTTAGAACACGCGTACTGTCTCTCCCAGGGTGAGCCAGTGACTGGGAACGTCTCACAGAAAGGAGCAGACAAACTTGCTTCCCACAAGAGGGCTTCAGGCTGAAAAATATTCAAGAAGAGTTTAGGGGAATTCCTGGGAGTCAGAGCCATATCCGGCTCATGATAAAAGTTACAGATATTTGGGGACTACCCTTATTAGAGTCAATATCTGGAGTTGGAGTGGGGAGCAACTAAGCTTTCCCATCACTCTTAAGTCATTTGATGCTCAAAACAGTTCTATGTTAGGGAAACCGAGGCAGGAGTATGCTAGCTACATACAGTGCAAACTACCCCACATCTGAAGGACTTAAGGCACTCCAGTTACATTTTCATATATTGGGTGGGAAGGTGGGGTCTTGGCTCCACACAGTCATTCAGAGACCCAGGCTTCTATCTTTAGCACTTCTTCTCCAAGAGTTTAGTGAGCTAATAACAGGGCCCACAGCTAGAAAGTGAGGGAGTCGGGATTTGAACCCAGCCAGTCTCATTCTGAACTATGATGCTATGGTGAGAAACAATAGTACTGGCATCTAACTAGATCTACCTGGCATGTAACTTCAGAACTGGGAAGTGGGAGATAACTTGGGATTCTGAGGAACATTTGTTCCTTGTTGCCAAGGAATCAAGCTCTTCTTTTTAAGGAGTGAGATGGGTAAATCTGAGAGACTTTTTTTTTTTACTTTGTCTTCAGTTGAGAATTTTCAGATTCAACACATAAAAATGAGAGCCTTTTCCCTCCAAAAGTTTGCCCCTGAAATAAATGTGCGTGAGACTATGTTGCCTGGTGCTTGGGTCTTTTCATTAGCAAATATCAACCCCCAAAAGCTGATCGCCCTTCCACCATGTTACTGCTCATTGCAGGGAGGAAGTTTGAGACATTTCAGCAACCTGATTAAAAGATTTTTTCCCAGTTGAAATGTCTTCTTGTAGAAACAACCCAAATGTCCCATAAAAGCCTATGGTTTCTACAAGGTTATACAAGGGGAACACCACATGGCCATTCAACATGGCAATGACACAGAAGGCTCTGAAAGACATAGAAAGATGAGTCTAGTGTGCCAATGTAAAAAGGCAGATTACGAAGCTGTCCATTTTTTATTTCAAAATTCCCTAATACGCAAAGAATAAAAATTTGACTATTTACTATAATGTTTCTAATGTTTATTCCTAACAGATTACAAGTAATTTTTATTCCCTTTCTCCCTGTCTTCTCTTTTCTAACCTGTACTTTCTGAGTTTCCCACAGAGAAACATGTATGACTTTGTATTAAAGTAACAGCTTTAAGTTCAAATGGTCCTAATGATCTGGGTGACCTTGAGCCATGGCTCACTTTCTCGAAATGGGGAGAATAGTTTTAGGATGTTGTGAAGATTCAACTATAAATGTACTTAAAACAGTACATGCTCAATACATTTTTAGGTGTTACTGTCATAATTATTTTTGAAAATCTTTCCATTCTAGTAAGTCCATTCCAAATCCAAGCCAAACACACCTGAGAGTCGTGGGGCTTTATCTCAGAATGCCTGGGAGTACAGACCCATGAGCAAGCCAACTTCCTCCTTTCCCTCCTCTCCCCCGGCCCTCTGCTGCAGGGCAAGGTAAAGCTAGGTGCCTGGGATACTGCTGGGTTTTTTTTTATCTTTTTTTTTTTTTGAGATGGAGTCACTGCAACCTCCGCCTTCCAGTTTCAAGCGATTCTCCTGCCTCAGCCTCCTGAGTAGCTGGGATTACAGGTGCGCACCACCACGCCCGGCTAATTTTTGTATTTTTTGGTAGAAACGGGGTTTTGCCATGTTGCCCAGACTGGTATCAAACTCCCAGGCTCAAGTGATCTGCCCACCTCAGGCTCCCAAAGTGCTGGGATTATAGGCGTGAGTCACCACCACACCTGGCCTATTTTAACCATTTTTAAGTGTACAATTCTGGGACATTAAGCACATTTACAGTGCTGTGTGACCATCGCCACTGTCTTTTTTCCAGAACTACTACATCATCCCAAACAGAAATGGAGGCAGGTTTTCTTTTTTTGAGACGGAGTCTCCCTCTGTCGCCCAGGCTGGAGTGCAGTGTTGCGATCTCAGCTCACTGCAAGCTCCGCCTCCCGGGTTCATGCCATTCTCCTGCCTCAGCCTCCCAAGCAGCTGGGACTACAGGCGCCCTCCACCACGCCTGGCTAATTTTTTGTATTTTTAGTAGAGACGGGGTTTAACCGTGTTAATCAGGATGGTCTCGATCTCCTGACCTCATGATCCGCCCGCCTCGGCCTCCCTAGAGGCAGGTTTTCTAAATGCTTGCATGAGTGGTTCTCCATCTTCAGCTTGTGTTAGAATCCTCTGGGGTGGGGGGCTTGTTAAAACATAGATTGCTGGGTCCTCCCTCCTCCTCCACCCCCCGCCACATCCCCCACCCCCAGTTGCTGATTCAGTAGGTCTGAGTGGGGCCCCAGGATTTGCATTTCTAACCAGCTCCTGGGTGACGCTGATGCTGTTGATTTGGGGCCACGCCTGGAAGATCGCTGTTTGAGATCAAAAGGTTTGCAGGTCAGAGTGGATGACGGCATCCTTCCAGGTCAATGAGAGAAGCCAAACTTCTATGACCTATGAGATAAGGGGTTTGTTATAGGAATTAGTTCTTATGCATTCATAGGGGGGGCGGCAGAAAGGAAGGTGGAAGAGTTGCCGGGGACCAGGGGCATCGCCACCTGGCCCTGGGTACACGGGCAAACTGGTGGAGAAGTCTACAGCCAGCCGTTGTCTGGTCCATCCCCAGCCAAGTGTCCGCGGGGGGGCCTGGGCTGCTGTTGGTTAACAGGACCAGCAGTCAGGAGAAAGAGCTGGATGCAGAATGGAGGACAGGCTCGAATGTGCTGGAACCCACGGGGCTGTCTCTCACCTCATCCAATCATGATGACCTCTAAAGTGTAATGGTCGCTGCTTCACTTCCATCTCCCAGCTTTCCACAGATTCCTCTTTTGACCAATTATAACCCAGAACCAGTCAGAGAAGGGGATTCTGGGAAAAGTAGTTCCAGCTTAACCAAGCCCGCACAGCAGGAACTACCACAGCTGATCAATCAGTCCTTGCCGCGGAACCTCCTCCTTGAACCCACAGGTGGTTTCTGGGGCTCTGCTGGGCGTTCCCTGACTCTCTTGACAGGACCTTCTAGCAGAAACAGATGTGGTCCATCCCAACAACCCCTTGCTCAGATCATCAGCTGAGAACTTAATAAAAGCAGATTTCCAGGCCCCAGCCCAGGCCTGCCGAGTCAGACTTCAGCAGTGGGACTCAGGAATCAGATTTTCAAACAAGCTCTCTAGCTGATTAACATACCCAGCCACGTTTGAAACTTCTGAAGTATGGAAAAGAAAGTGGACTCTGTCCAGGCACAGTGGCTCACACCTGTAATCCCAGCACTTTGGGAGGCTGAGGCAGGTGGATCGCTTGAGCCCAGGAGTGCAAGACCAGCCTGGGCAACATGGCAAAACTCCATTTCTGCAAAAAAGAAAAAATACCAAAATTAGTGGAGCATGGTGACACGTGCCTGTAGTCCCAGCTACTTGGAAGGCTGAGGTGGTAGGGTCACCTGACCCTGGGAGGTCAAGGCTGCAGTGAGCCAAGATTGTGCCACTGCACCCCAGCCTGGGCAACAGAGTGAGTGAGACCCTGTCTCAAAAAAAAAAAAAAAAAAAAAGGAAGGAAGGAGGAGGGAGGGAGGAAAGAAAAGAATGGAAAGGAAGGAAGGAGAGAGAGAAAGAAGAAAAAAGAAAGAGAAGAAGGAGAGAGAGAGAGACAGAGACAGAAGAAAAAGGAAAAGAGAAAGTAAGTGAACTCTGGGGCTAGACAGCCACGGGTTAGAATTCTGGTTCCACCACGTGCCAGCTTTGTGATCCTGAGCAAGTGACTTAACCCTTTATGATCCTATATTGTCTACAAGAGTTCCTCCTTTTCTATCATTTCACTCTCCACTGTTTCAGTTACCCATAGCCAACTACAATCTGAAAATATTAAATGGAAAATTCCGGAAAGATATGATTCATAAGTTTTAAATTGCATCCCATTCTGAGTAGTGTGATGAAATCTCACACTGTCCCACTCTGTCCTGCTCCAGACGTGAATCGTCTCTTTGTCCAGCAGATGGGTGCTGTCGACACTACCTGCTCATTGGTCACTTAGGAGCGGTCTGGGTTATCAGATCAGAAAACGTCGTCGTTATGTGTAAGGTCGGGTGCTGTCTGTTGTTTCAGGCATCCACTGGGGGTCTTGGAACGTATCCCCCGAGGATATGTACTCAGCTGTTAAATGGGCTCAATGCCTACCTTTTTCATGGAGGGTTGTGGGAACCGAATGAGGCCATGTGTAATAAACTTCTGGCAGGTGAAATATTATTGTGCTTAATCCAGTTAATAGTTGTGCCTGGACATGCCTAGGGAGTAGGTCAGATGGGCCCAGCATCTCCTCTTTCTGCTTAGGAATCTGGGGTTTAACCTGATCATATTCTTTTTTTTTTTTTTTTTTTTTTTGAAACGGAGTTTCGCTCTTTTGCCTAGGCTAGAGTGCAGTGGCGCAATCTCGGCTCACTACAACCTCTGCCTCCCAGGTTCAAGCGATTCTCCCGCCTCAGCCTTCCGAGTAGCTGGGATTACAAGCGCACACTACCACGCCCAGCTAATTTTTTGTATTTTTAGTAGAGACGGGGTTTCACCATGTTGGCCAGGCTGGTCTCGAACTCCTGACCTCAAGTGATCCACCCACCTCAGCCTCCCAAAGTGCTGGGATTACAGGCGTGAGCTACTGCGCCTGGCCAACCTGATAGTATTCTTAACACAGATTGTTTTCCTGCCATCATGAAAACTAGACTTGCTTTAAAGTCTTTAGAGTCTCAGTTCATATTCCAGGCATTGTTTTACATAAATATCATCTGTTTATTTTTTCTTTAAGCAAATTTCACAAACTCCATCTAAAAAAAAAAAAACACAAACAAAATTCATCTGTCAAAGAAGAGCCTTTCAACTTCTAGTTCTGTTTATCTAAAAACACCCTTTCTTCAACCTGGAATCTTGGACATTTTGCCACATGCTGAACGTTTCTATGAATTTCTTTTTGTGTCTGTCACCTTGACGTTAGTTGTCACCTTAACTAGGTAAGACTTAGGTTGTGGTCTGCATGAGTAGAACAAGCTAGTTTTTCAAGAAAGCAAGTTGGAAGGTTTCATAACACCTGCTCTTCAATGGGTTAAGGCAGTGCTCCGGGGCCAGGCCATCTGATAAAGGGAGTGGTAACTTTGAAGTGTGGCTTATAAAGAAGCTGTTATTTCCACAGCAAGCGAAAGCAGCAGTAAAGAAAACAGGGTTTTGCAGTTCCGCTGGAAGGAGGTTGGGGAAGGTCAGAAATCAGGGCGGGAACTTCGAGAGCAGCTGTCAGCACTGGGCAAAGGCTGAGACAGGTGAGCATTGGGCATCTCTGAATGACATGCAGGGTTCTGTGCCTTAGACACACTTCTGTAGCCTTCGTTGATAGAATCCCATCATTTTCCTTTTTCTTTTTCTGATGGATTTCACTCTCTTGTCCAGGCTGGAGTACAGTGGCTTGATCGTGGCTCACTACAGCCTCCACCTCCTGGACTCAAGCAAACCTCCCACCTCAGCCTCCTGAGTAGCTGGGACTATGGACACGCTGCCACCACACACAGCTATTCTTTAGTTTTTGTAGAAACCGGGTCTTGCTGTGTTGCCCAGGCTGGTCTCAAATTCCTGGGGTCAGGTGATCCTCCTGCCTTAGCCTTTCAAAGTGCTGGGGATTACTGACATGAGTCACCACACCCAACCCCCTCATTTTCCTATATCGGTCTCAACTCTGAAGTGTTTCAACCTGGAGACCTAGGTAAATTTCATTCGTTATTTGAGATTTTCCTATGTCAGTAAAGGGCTCAGGTTGCCATATAAATATCATACACTGGGTGGCTTACACAATAGAAATTTATTTTCTTGAAGTTCTGGGGGGTGTAGTTTAAGACCCAGCAGTGTTCAATTTCTGGCGAGGGCTCTCTTCCTGGCTTGCAGATGGCCGCCTACTCACTGTGCCCTCACATGAACTTTCCTTGATGCACGTGTGCAGAGAGAGCTCTCTGGAGTCTCTTTTATAAGGGCACTAATCCCATTAGACCACCTTCATGACCTCATCTAACCTGAATTACCTACCCAAAGCCCTATCTCCTAATATGTTGGGAGTTAGAGCTTCATATGAATTTTGGATGGACACAAATATTCAGTCTGGACAGCACCCTACCATCCTTTTGGTCGCTGACACTAAAATCCTCTGTCCCCTTCATCTCTCCTGCCCAAATCAAACTCATCACAAGTTCTTCTCCATTTGTC
The DNA here is from genome assembly GCF_000001405.40 of Homo sapiens. Classification (NCBI taxonomy): domain Eukaryota; kingdom Metazoa; phylum Chordata; class Mammalia; order Primates; family Hominidae; genus Homo; species Homo sapiens. Next base: position 15,175,092 of record NC_000001.11, read on the forward strand.
AACTTTGACTCTAAACTAGGGCCGTAGGCTGGGTGCAGTGGCTCACACCTATAATCCTAGCACTTTGGGAGGCCGAGGTGGGTGGATTATCTGAGGTCAGGAGTTCAAGACCAGCCTGGCCAACATGGCAAAACCCCATCTCTACTAAAAATACAAAAATTAGCTGGACGTTGTGGCGAGTGCCTGTAATCCCAGCTATTCGGGAGGCTGAGGAAGGAGAATAGCTTGAACCTGGGAGGCAGAGGTTGCAGTGAGCCGAGACCATACCACTGCACTCCAGTCTGGGCAATAAGAGCGAAACTCCATCTCAACAAATAAATAAATTAAATAAAATAAAATAAACTAGGGCTGTAAGCTCCTAAGTGGTTTTCTGTTCCCCTTCTATCTTGCCCATCCTCCAAGGTGATTTCTGCCTCAGGGCCTTTGCACTGGCTACCTCTGTGTATTAGTCTGTTCTCATGTGGCTAATAAAGACATACCCGAGACTGGGTAATTTACAAAGGAAAGAGGTTTAATTGACTCACAGTTCCACATGGCTGGGGAGGCCTCACTGTCATGGCAGAAGGTGAATGAGGAGCAAAGTCATGTCTTACATGGTGGCAGGCAAGAGACAGAGCTTGTGCAGGGGAACTGCCATTTATAAAACCATCAGATCTCATGAGACTTATTCACTACCAGGAGAACAGTATGGGGGAAGCTGCCCCCATGATTCAGTTATCTTCACCTGGCCCCGCCCTTGACACATGGGATTCATTACAATTCAAGGTGAGATTTGGGTGGGCGCACAGCCAAACCATATCACTCTGCCTGGGACTTCCCCACCTCCCCAGTCTGCTGCCACCGTGTCAGTCTCAGTGAAAATGTTGTCCTCTCTGAAAGCCCTTTCTTGATCACTCTGTCAAAAGAACCCATCTTCCACCTTGACTCTTACATTCTTCTGTTTTCTTTTCCAGACATCTTGTGATAGGTTATCCCTTTACTTGTTTGTCTCTTTCAGGAAAAGAGAAGCTTTGTGAGAACAGGCCTTTGGCTTGTTCACTTCTGTGTTTGTAGTGCCCAACAACCCAGTGGTTGCTCAGTCAATGTTTATTGAAATGAATGAATGAAGTCAACAGAGATTTGTTGAGGCTTCCTGTGAACAGTCCTATGCCCAGTGTTAGAGGAGTCCCAGAAAAATATAAAAAGCCCCAGAGGCGGCAGTGAGAACACAGGTGTTCAGCCCTGCGTGTTAAACTTTAGTTAGAGAGAGAAAGCGGGAATGAAACCAGCACCCTCAAGACGACTCTAAATGGCCGGTAGCAATTGGCTGATACAAACAACCTGCATGAACAGAACTTGAGAGCCACTCCCCGCTGGCCATGGCAGGAGGCTTCTGGAAGAAAGGGGAATAGAACCGGATGTGGAAGGAGAGGCCTTCAGGATGGGGTAGGGGAGGAGAGAAAGGCAAGACACAGAGAGTGGAGGGCTGCAGAGGCTGGAAGATAGACCCAGGACCGTTTCCCTCCTTGGACATGTTCAGGACATTACTCTGGTCTTCCCCTGAGAGAGAACATGTTTTTCTCCACCCTGCATCATTGGTGCCTGGTACAGGGCCCTGCACAAAGTGCATGGTCAAGGAATTAAAGAATTCAGGTTGGATGAGGTAGTTCACAGCCTCCCTGGGGAGCTGGGGCTTTATCCTGTGGGCTGTGAGGGACACTGAAGTTCTGATAGACACAGTGGCTGGAGGGTTAGCATGGCTGGGCCTGAAAGCTAGGGAAGACTTAGAGGAGTCAGTTATCACCATCAGCCAGGCCTGAGAAGTGAGAAGGAGATGGATGAGGCAGGAAGAATCACTGAAAAGGACTCTGACAAAAAGAAGCAACGTATTTGGGAGCCAACTGAACATGGATATGGGCGGGAGTTGCAGATGTCTGAAAGGAGCCAGTGGGGGATATTAAGGAGAGAGTCTGGCCAGATGGGAGGCAGCAGGGAGTAGTGGGGATTGTGGCAAAGTGGGGTGCCAAGCCCCTTCCCTAGGACAGAGCCATGACTCAGCACCATGTGAGAATTTAGGCCAGAGACGCCAGATTTTCAAGTTTTACATGCAAGATCACCCATGTTCTCAATATTGGCAATTACTCCATATTACATAAAATAAATAACAAACACTTCACAGGCCAAAGAAGACACTTCCATGGGCCAGATATAGTCCTGGAGCTGCCAGTTTGAAACCAGAGAGTGTGTGTATGTTAGAGGGGTGGAGTCAGGGAAGGGAGAGAATGCCCAAGGTCACTGAGATTTCAAGCCCAGGCCACCAGGAAAGTGATATGTCCTTGCACTGGAATAGGGAAGTCGGGAGGAACCAGGGGCCGGGGAGGATGGGCAGGGAGTGGAAGATGCTGCAGCAATGGGGATGGTCATTTGACAAAAGAGGACACAGACTGAGAACAGCTCATCCCGAGCAAGCAGCTGGATCCCAAATGCAGTTGGTCACAGACTGAAGGGGGGGGCCTGTCCCTGTGGTTAATTGGTGATGGGCGTGCAGTGTCTCTCTGGGACCTTGTCTATGCTTCTCTTAAGCATTTGATTGTTTTAGATTTGGGGGATTTTTAAATTTGATTGATTGATTGATTGATTAAGATTGCATGATTTGCACCCTTGTATGAAGCAACTGTAAGAACACCGGTGTTAAACCTCAGAGAATGGGTTGCAGAATATTTCCCAGGTTATCAGTGGTCACCAACCCCATCCCCATCCCTAAAGAGGAAGCGAGATAAGCCCAGCGCTGTAGCATAACAACCGCGCATAGCATGCCTAACGTCACGCGAAGTCTTCTAACCCATACGCGCTGATGAATCCTGGCAACTCCGTTAGGGAGACACGACTTATCAAACCCTTTTCATGGCCCAGCTGAAATGACACACTGACGTTCACCCAGCCAGGAAGGAAGTAACACAGCTGGGAGTCGAACCTAGAACCAGAACCTTTGACCCTGGCTCAATAATGCCTGCCTTGCACAGGCATTTAGCACTTAGCTGAGTTGACCCATCAGGCCACATGAGGTCCTTGTGGCTGGAGACCTGTGTGGCCAGGCTGGAGTCTTGCTAGGTGAGCAGGGGTGGAAGAGGGATTCCCTGGGGCAGAGCCAGGAGACAGTCCTGGTGGAGGAGTAGAGCGGTCCCTTCGGTTGCCCATGGTGGCTCTTCCAAGCCTTAACTCCCTTCCTGGTCCTCCCACCCCACCTGTCTCTATATCCTTGAGCTCAGCCGATTCCTCAGAGTCCTCTTGGGTCCACACCCCAGGATGAGGACTCTGAGGCTTTAGTGAGCATCAGGATCACTTGGCTAATTAAAAGCAGATGCCGGGCCTTACCTCGCATTCTGATTCTGTAAGTCCTTCATCTGGCCCAAGAATCTGCATGTTTAGCAGACCGCAAGGTAGTGCTTCCGGGGTCTTCAGATAACGGCCGGGTCTCAAACTGCTGCTCCCTTTGCTTCCTGACCCCCATCTGCTGCTCACCTACCATCTCCTTTTATATACCTCATATACTCCAGTATCGTGAGTTAGTACTGGTGGTGTGCCCATTTTACAGATGAGGACATTGAGGCTCAGAAAGTTGAAGCAACTTGCCTAAAACCATCCAGACAGACCTGGATTTTTATCTCCACTGACTCTAACCACCTTGCTTTACTGCCTCTGCTAGATCTGCATTGGTCCCCTGGAGGTCCCTTAGCGGAGAGTTTAGGGGAAGGACTGAGAATGGTGCGATTTAGCAGTGTGTTCAATGGGCATGAAACCTGGTTGATGCCTTGGCAGCCGGAACTTTCCTTGTGTTATCTCCATGGGCTTTTAGCCCTCATATGAACGGCTGACATCATTAGTCAGAACAAACCACCCAGAATCGGTTCAACTTTCAAAGCTAAATGGAAATCAAAATGTGGAATGACTCAGGGACTGCTCGTTAGGAAAACTGATTCCTCTGTGACTCAGAGCAGATCTTGTAACCTCCAGGGGCTTGGCATCTGGACATGGGGCTTAAAAGAGAACAGACTGGGGAATCGCACCCCAACTGGGCAGCTGTGGCACCTGGACAGGTGATTAAAATTAGCACTTCTACCTGTGACCCAGCAATTGCACTTCTGGGTATTTATAGAGAGAAAGGCAAACAGCTGCCTTTTTCACACAGGCTGGTACACAGAGGTTCAGAGCAGCATTATGCCTGACATTATGCATTTCCTCTAGTGGAGGAAACATCCCAGCTGTCCCTCAGCAGGCCAACAGCTAAACAAACTGATACAGTCACACAGCTGATGGCTACTCAGCAAGTTAAAGGAAGGAAAGGAAACGGGATACAGGCCACACCATGGGTGAGCAAAGGAAGGCAAACAGAAGAGCACTTTCTGGGTGATTCCACTTCCCTAAACTTTTGGCCGGTGCAATAGCTCCTGCCTGTAATCCCATCACTTTGAGAGGCCGAGGTGGGAGGATCACTTGAGCCCAGGAGTGCAAGACCAGCCTGGGCAACATGGCAAAACCCTGTCTCTACAAAAAATATAAAAATTAGCGGGCGTGGTGGCGCATGCCTGTAACCTCAGCTACTTGGGAGGCTGAAACGGGAAGGATGGCTTGAGCCCAGGAGTTGAAGCTGCAGTGAGCCAAGATCATGCCATTGTACTCCAGCCTGGGTGACAGAGCACGACCTTGTCTCAAAAAGCAACACAAACAAATGCAAAACCTTCTAATATAAGCAAAACTAACCGCTGTTAAAATAAGGCAGAAAGGTAGACTGAAAGAAGGTATGCACATATGAGGGAACTTTCTGGGATCATGGAAATGTCTTCTCTCTGGGCAATGGTTACATGGATATATACAGTTCTCAAAAGTGCATCTAAGTGTACACTAAGATCTGTGCATTTTACTATATATAAACTGCATCTTAAGTAAATAAATAAGTAAAGGGCAGATGCCTCCGCCCCAGCCCTGGCAACTGAGTCAGCAGACCTAGGGTGTGGCCCACGAGCATCTCCATGCTCAGCAAGTGCTGAGTGTTGATGCCCAGCCTGCGGTGGGCACCACCAGACACTAATTGCTAAAGTCTCTTCTGGCTTTAGCAGGATGGCTGAGTCTTTGCAGTTGTTGAGCATTTACCATTAGTCTGTTTTTAAGCATAAACCTAATTGCGGTCAAAGTCTGGTCCCAGGGCTGTCTCCTGATCGTCAGCAAGACCAGCTCTAAGCTATGGACAAAGGCTCCTCAGTCACCAGGCAGATCCTGGCCATGTGCCGGGCATCACAGGGCCCGCTGTGCTGGGAACAGAGGCCAGCACTCACTTGCAGGGCTGCAGACACACATCAGGTATTGGGCGTCGGGCAGAACCAGACAGGCACTCTCTGATCAGTTTCTGCCTCCCTGGAAGCCCTCCAGATAATGATTTTGGCTGTGTGCTGAGGAGCTTTTGTGTTATAGACACTATGCTGATTGTTTTGGGGGCATGTTTAATTATATGAGCGGATGCATTGTGTAGTTCTTAGAGGCTGGAGCTAAGAGCCCCCACTTCTCCATGATTGCCTATGTTTCTCTGTATAAGTGACCTAACCTCTCTGAGGCTCAGCTCCTCTTCTGTAAAACGAAGACAGTGGCCGTACTTCTTCCCTCACAGAGCCTTTAGCACGGGGAGCATTTAGCAAATGCTGGCTATTATTATCTAATTTAATCCTTATAATAACCCTATAGGCAAGGTGCTATTCTTATCTGCAGAGCAAAAACCAAGGCTCAGAAAGGTCAAGTCCCTCGCCCAAGGTCATATAGCTAGAAAATGGAGGAGCTGGGATTGAAACTTGGGTCTGCTCAACTCCTGCCTCTGTTCACTGCACCATGCTGTCATCAGCTTTGTGGGATGGGGATCAATGCAGAAGACCCCCTGCAGACTGGACGGAGAATCCATCGCTGGCTGAGTGAGAGCCTGTCCTTCCGGAAGGCTGTGTGCACTGGTTCCAAGAGTGATTTCACATCCCTCTTCTACCAGCTGTGGGACCTTGGACAAGTTACTTAATGCCTCAAGCCTCAGTTTCTTCATCTTTAAAATGGGAGTGCTAATACCAGCCTTAACAAGCTACAGTGAGGATGGAATGAGTCAATAGATGTAAGGCATATAGAACGGCACCCTGAACACTGTAAACCTTTTGTACTTGTCTGCTGATATTTGCTGTCATCTGCGAGGTCACTCACCTGTCTAGGTTTGTAACTGAGCTGGGTGGGGCTCCAGGTTGCAGTAGGATGGGAAGTTGTCCTTCATGCCTTTGAGGAAGTGACAGGATAGCCTCCAGGTGGCATGTGGCAACAGGTGTAGCAAAAAGCCTTTTTGAACTACATCCAGGGACTCTTAAGCGCTCAAATTAAACCGTCTTTTGGATTCTCTCATTTTTAAAAACTCAAAGCCTCGTTCCCAGGCTTCGGTTCCTAACCATCTTTCTTTACTCCCTTGCAAGAGATTCGGGCTGATGGTTACCGTCATGTCTAAGTAAACGATGAGCTTCCCACCCCACAGCCCTGGCTCTCAGGTCATGGCAGCAGGTTCTCGACCAGACGGGGCTCAAGGTGAACAAACAACCTTTCTGTTTATTTATTTTGTATGCTTGCTTTAGTGTTTTGCCTGTGTTGTGGGAACCACAGCATGGGTTTCTCAAGCTGCTCTGTTTTCTTTGGGTTGAAAACAAAAATAAAAGGTGAACCATCAAACCGTGACGTCTGGCTGCCTGCATGAAACTCCACGAGGGCTGGTTTATAAATTTAAAATGTGTGACTGTCCGGGAGTGGTGTCTCACGCCTGTTAATCCCAGCACTTTGGGAGGCCAAAGTGGGTGGATTATCTGAGGCCAGGAGTTCAAGACCAGCCTGACCCATATGGCAAAACCTTGTCTCTACTAAAAATACAAAAATTAGCTGGGCGTGGTGGTGTGCACCTGTAATCCCAGCTACTCGGGAGGCTGAGGCAGGAGAATCGCTTGAACCCAGGAGGTGGAGGTTGCAGTTAGCCGAGATTGCGCCATTGCACTCCAACCTGGGCAACAAAAGCAAAACTCCATCTCAAATAAATAAATAAATAAATAAATAAATAAATAAATAAATAAATAACTGCACTAGGCTGAAAGCAGAATGGCAGTACATAATAAGAGCATCCCTTCTGGAGTCAAATCCCTGCTCTCTTCTTGGCTGCATGACCTTGAGAATGTGTCACTCTTCCTCTGTGAGCCTCAGTCTCCTCATCTGTAAAATGGACATAGCCATGGCGCCTGCCCAATCGGACTGTCGTAAGATCAAGCAGGCAAGCTTTTGGCACAGCGTCAGCAAGCCTCAGCTTATGTGATCATCAGTATACCAGGACCACTCCGAGTTGAGCTGTTCAAGCTCTGGGTCTCTCGCCAACTGGCAGTGTGACCTTGAGCAAATAATTCACCTCTCTGAGCTTCAGGTTCTTCATTTGCAAAATTGAGGCCCCATGTTCTATCTAAATGGATTGTCCTGCATATTAAATTCTGGAAATAAGTACCTTAGGCAGTTGGGAGCAAGAAAGAGGACAGGCAAGAAGGGCCATAGAAGGAAAGTACTGGATCCCCAAAGCTAAAAGATTATTTACCTGGTGGCTGTGAGGAGGGAAGGCCAGCCTGACAGAGGACACAGAAATATCCACTGTTTCTTCTTTTGGGGGGCACAGAATCTCACTCTGTCACCCAGGCTGGAGTGCAGTGGCGTGATCTCATCCCACTGCAACCTCTGCCTCCTGGGCTCAACTGATTCTCCTACCACAGCCTCCATAGTAACTGGGATTGCAGGCACCTGCCACCACACCCAGCTAATTTTTGTGTTTTTAGTAGAGATGGAGTTTCACCATGTTGGCCAGGCTGGTCTCAAACTCCTGACCTCAAGTGATCCTCCCGCCTCAACCTTCCAAAGTACTAGGATAACAGATGTGAGCCACCACGCCCAGCCAATGGCTTCTAAATTTGAGTAGCCCCAGCATCTTCCCTGTTGGACTTGTTTTATGTCTGCTGGTAGAATCAACACTCTTTGGGAACATATGGATCTATGGACTTTGCTTAAACAGATTCTGAATCCAAGATGTCATTTACCAAAAAAGCACACAAGGGATAAATATCCCCCAACAGCAGAATTCTTTATTTTATAGAAGCATTCACTAGGAAATTCCTTTCAATGTTATGCATCCGTCATGTGCGTAATATGCTACTTGATTTACAAATAAGGCAGTATCGTGCAGAGGTAAAAGGTACAGTGATGGGAGCAAGATCACTCCCCACCTAGCCCCAGGTACCCCGATTCTGCCGATTACCAGCTGCAAAACTTTATGTCCCTTTGCCTCCATTTCCTCATTTGTAAAAGGGAGATTATCGTACATGGTATCTATCTCGCCTATAGGTTGCATGAAGAATAAACAAGATAACTATAGATTGCATGAAGATAATTCTTGTAAAGAAAACTTACTACCACATAGTAAAGGCACAATATATGTAGCTAGTATTCCTTCCAATACTATTTTCTGAGTGCCTTCTGTGTGTTTGGTGCCATCTGCCCTGTGTCTGCCTTCATAGAGCTTACACCAGGGATGTGGGCTATGGACATAGAAACAGGCAAGGCAACAAATAACATAAATAAACAAGATGATTACATGTTGTGGTCATAGCTATGTCCAAAACCAGCAAGATGCTGAGACAGAGAACTGCATGGACAACTACTTGCAAATGTCCGGTTTGGAAAGCCTCACTGTGGAGGTCACATTTAAGTGACAGATGAGAAGAAGCCAGCGAGAAGGACAGTGGGGCCGCAGCCGCTCATTTCAAACATGAAGGTGCACGTGCCTCCTGCAAGATCCAACTCAGCAGGTCCGGGGTGGCCCTGAGTGTCTGCATTTCTTTCTTTCCTTCTTTCCTTTCCTTCTTCTTTCCTTCCTTCCTTCCGCCTTTCTTTTTTTTGACGGAGTCTCACTTTGTCACCAGGCTGGAGTGCAGTGGCACGATCTCAGTTCACTGCAACTCTGCCTCCCAGGTTCAAGTGATTCTCCTGCACAGCCTCCCGAGTCAGGCGTGCGCCACCACACCAGGATAATATTTGTATTTTTAGTAGAGACGGGGTTTCACCATGTTGGCCAGGATGATCTTGATCTCTTGACCTCGTGATCCGCCCACCTCGGCCTCCCAAAATTCTGGGATTACAGGTGTGAACCACCACGCCTGGCCTTGCCTTTCTCACCAGCTCTCAGGGCTGTTGACACTGCAGGACCACACTGTGAGTGGCCAGGGACTAGCAGAGGACAGGGGGCAGAGGGTGGATCCAGGTCCAGACGACAGAGTACCTTGAAGGCAAGTGGGGAGTTTGGATTTTATTCTCAGGATAGTAGGAAGCCAGGCAGAGGAGTGACATGACTGAAGGATGCTTCTAGAAGCTCATTTTGGCTGCTGCGTAAAGACTTGCTAGGGCCAGGGCAGCTGCAGAGAGACCAGGTTGGAAACTGATATCGTTGTCCAGGTGACAGTGGCTTAGACAAAGGTGGTAGTGATGGCAGAAGCAGGAAGTAGGTGGATTTGAAACCTTTGGACAGGTAAAATCAACCACACTTGCTGAGGTGTTAAATAAAGCCATCCATCATCATATAAGATATGTGCTTATCTTAATTTTTTAAAACTCAATAGTATAGAGTATAGAGCTCTCAAGCAGGGGTGATCTTGCCCTCGCGTGGGACATTTGGCAATGTCTAGAGACATTTTTGGTTGCCCCCAGCTGGGGAGATGCTATTGGTATCTAGTAGGTAGAGACCAGAGATGCTGTTATACAACCGACATTGCACAGCACAGCACTCCCAACAAAGAATTATCTGCCAGTATGTCAGTGGAGCCAGGGGAAAGAAACCTTGCATAGAAGTACAGGAAGGCAGAAATGTCCTGCCTGCCCCACCCCCATCTGACCCCCACACCCCAAAGATAACTACTGTTCCCAGTGTGCTTGATGGTCCAGACTTTGTTCTGTGCGTATACGCAGATTTCCCATAAGCCACCTCACCGGTGAAGTAATGCTTGGGAAATGCTCAAAACTTAGGAGCCCTGAGCCCACCATAGGAAAAGACTGTTCATTTTGTCAAATCTGTTCTATTCCTACCCCATGGGGAAGGTTACTGCCACATTGCCCAAAACTGTATTCATTCTATCAGTTGTGATATTTTTTCTTTTTCTCCAAAGAACTTTCCAAAAATTGCTATCCTTGTGACCTAGGCAGCCTTCTCTAACTGGGACTAACTCATGAAACCTGAGAATTTCAGTGCAGGAAGAAATGTTGGGATAATATAGTCCTACCCAAGTTCTTACTGTACAGGTGGGAAAACTGAGGCCCAATACTTCTTGGAAGTGGGGAAATCCCCTTATAATAAGTAGTCTCTTCTTCATTTACTGGGATATTAATTTCAGATTTTCAGTTTAATACACGGTTATGGCTTATGTTTCTGATTTATTTTTCTTGGTCGTGTCTATATGTGAGGTTGGTTACAATGGGTGACGAAAGGGACATTCTTAGCCTTGTACTTCCAGAGTGCTGTGACAGGTGATCTCCAAAAGATGGGAGGAATTTTACCAGTCTGTGAACTTGAATTCTGTAGTCTGGGAAGACCAGTTGAATCTCTTTTCACTGGCTGAACTGAGTGTCATCTTCCTATGCCCATCTGTGGGTACCACAGCTGTGCAGAGGTCAGTTTTGAGTTCAGGCTCATACGTGGAATGCTGTAGCCTGTGGCCATCCTCCTATTATCCATGCTGTCATCCTTTTAAACGTCCACAGAGACCTCCAAGTGGAAAGAACCATGTCTACCCCATTAGAACCCCAAGCAAGGACTCTGCAGGTCAGAGAGGCTGACTCCATGGCAGCAATGAGGGCTCCAACAGCTGGAATCCAGTCCTGTCCTCCAGCTACCTGTGTCCTGAGCCCAAGGGAGGGACCCTGCCCCCTCCTCCCACTCAGCCAGTAGAGAGAGGCGGGAGCCTCTTGAGAGGCTTAGGAAGGCACCCTGGGAAGCCTCCCTACTTGTTTTCCCAAACCCCTCAGGTTGGGGGTAAATGGCGTGAAGGAGTCTGGTCTTTGATTCTTTGGCACTGGGGAGCCACTGAAAGTTCTTGAGCAGGAAGTAACTGGATAGAAAATGGCTATTCCAGGAGGATCAAAATGGCAGCAGTGTGCTGGGTGAATTGGATGGACAGGAAAGACGGGGAAGGAAGCCTGGTGGGTACAGTGAGGAATAACAGTCTACCCCAGAATGGCAGCAGTGAAAACAGAAAAGGGGGAAGAGATGGGCATTTGTGACTAATGGATGTTTGTGACTTGCCCCTGAATGAGGGAGAGCGGGGGGTCATGGATGACCTTGGTTTTGACCCTAGATGAGGAAAATAGTGACTCTGCCGATAGGGGAAATGGGCAAAGTTTACTTAGCCTCTCCCAGCTTCACTTAAGACATCTGTAGAATGGGGTTGTGTATTGAGTGGTGGGGAAGATTAAATGAAATTGTGCATGGAAATTAACCCAGGCCTGAGGGGAGTGGCAGGCACTAGGACCACGAAGAGCCTTATGAGCAGGGCTTTATCCTGCTAGGCCATAGGGAGCCATGAAGGGATGTTGCCTGAGGGTGGGATGGTCACATTTGCCTTTTGGAAGGACCTCTCTGAGAGCAGTGGAGAGAGGGCAGGCCAGGGGGCAGGGAGACCACAGGGGAGGCCTTTGCAGTCTGTATCCAGGTGAGGTGTGGGGTTGGTCCAGACCAAGCAGAAAGTAGGGGGCAGTCCTGAAGCAGGCCGGCTGCCTTGTGTGCCTCCTCCCCTTTGTGCTTGGGGAAACCACTGGGAGGAATGCGAGGTGGCCAGCATGTGTCCCGGCAACCCCACTGTCGGGGGGTATGTGTGACTGATGGGCCATCTCTACACAAAACCTGCACTGGGCCGGGCCCTCCAGCAGCTGCAGGACATCAGAGGCTGAGCTGTTTGACCAGAGAGGCCACAGCTATCCAGTGGGAGTGTGCGGCCCCAGGCAGAGTCACCCTCCTTCCAACACAGCACCCCCATCCCCCAACCCCCATCCACCCCTCCCCGAGTCAGATCCCCATCCCCCACTGACTCCTTGGGGACTGGATCTTAATTCGCCCTGTTGCCACCACTCTGCCCTCATCTCTTCCTCCCCTGCGCTTCCACAGGTCCCCTGCACTTCTGCTCGCTTTTCCCTCATCTGTGCTGTCCATGCCTCTCTGTTCCTTCCTGCCCCTGGCCCCTAGCATGTGGTCTCACTGCGGCTTCTTCTCTCTTTGCCCATCTTGGGCATGCAGGAGGCTGAGGGCAGAGGGTGGTGATGCCTGTAGGTCCTAGTACCATGCCCGGCCCATGGGGGCAGATGGAGCCCCAGGGGCTGTCTGCCTGCTCTGTCAATCCATCTCTGCTTCCTTTCTTTTCTCCTGTATCTGTTTGCTGGATGTAGATCATAACCTTGACAATAACGTTTTCAAGGGCAGGCCTGGTTCTTCCACCCTCTATTTCCTGCTAACAGCCCAGAGGCATTCCCACCACGGTGATTTATGACCCTCTCTATGGGGTGGCGTCTTCTAGGGCAGTGGCCTAGGAGACATTTTCCAACTTGCAGCCCCGGGACTCTGTCCTTCTTCCCTCACTGCTGGGGCCACAGCCCTCTCTCAGTGAGTGACCTTAGCAGCCATCCTCAAAACACCCCGGCCAAGGAAAGAGCTCTGATAAAACCCTCAGAGCCTGACTCTCAGCCCCCATTCCTGAGCCCCCACTTTGCAGCTGCCAGCGACCTGACTGTGCAAGCTGAGAGGATGCATGGGCACAGGTGGCATTAGCTGCTCGCGCTGTTGGCACCAAGCTGGCCTCAGAAAAGGGGGGGTAGGTTTTGTTTTACTGTTTTGGTCACTTATTTCATTTAAAAAAATTTATTAGATGAGAGTGTTTTTGGCTCATACAACGGAAACATTGCTAGGTCCAGCTGGATTTCTGGGTCCAGTGGTACCCTCTGGAGTTTCTCTGAATCTCCACCTCGGCTCGCGTTAGCTCCCTGCTGGTCCCCTCCTCAGGCAGCCTCTCCCCTTGTGATGACAAGACGGCCACCAGCAGCTGCAGGCTGCATCCTGTCCTTCCTGCAAACCCAGAGGGACAGGGAAGTCTCAGTGTTTCCCCCAAAGCAAAGAACTGAGCCTCACTGGTGCTGACTGGGCCACAGCCCCACCCCCTGGGACACAGAAGAACTGATTGGCTAGGCCTGACCATGCCCAGCCTTAGAACCTGCAAGGAAGAGGCCCTGCCTGGTAGGCAAGCACATGACATGGCCACCACATCACCTGAGTGCTCAGCAAGGTAACCCAGGGCAGCCCAGCTCACCCAGCCCAGCATGGCCATACCCCAGGGCCCCCAAAGACCCTTGTTGGGAATCACTTGTGCAACAGGCTTGGATAGCTTTACACTCCAGAAAGACAGTAGCATTCTACTTGAAGGGTCTCTGCAGTGACTTCTTTTCTGATAACAAGAAGCATTCCTCAGTTTACCTGTTTGGGACATTCCTATTTGGTGTTAGGCTTTTGTAAAGAGAGGGCGTACCTGTGGGGGACCTGGCACTGGGTCATTTCCCCAAGATGCCATTGCCGTGTCCCCCAGCACCTGGGTGACTGCTACATCACTGCCTGTGACCTCAACTCTCTTCCTTCCTCTTACAGCAGGGATGAGATCACAGCCAGGAAGTGTTGGGATGATTCCATTACAAAGATGATGTTTGTTGAATGGATGTCTGGAGAGAGACAGCAGCCAGAGGTCAGCAGCTTTGCTCCTGCCTCTCCAGGGTCCACCCTTACTGGGCAGTACCATCCAACCATCCATGCCCAGCTCATAGAGGGCACTCAGGAAATAGCAGCTGATATTTGGTCATTATATATTTTTTTGGAGACAGAATCTCGCTGTGTTGCCCAGGCGGGAATACAGTGGTGTGGTCTAGGCTCACTGCAACCTCCACCTCCCAGGTTAAGGGATTCTCCCACCTCAGCCTCCCGAGCAACTGGGATTACACGCACCCTTCACCACACCCAGCTAATTTTTCCTTTTTTTTTTTTTTTTTTTTTTAGTAGAGACAGGGTTTCACCATGTTAGCCAGGCTAGTCTCAAACTCCTGACCTCAGGTGATCCACCTGCCTCGGCCTCCCAAAGTGCTGGGATTACAGGCGTGAGCTACCTCGCCCAGCCATTGTCATTACTATTGTTATTGTGCTGGTTGTTCAGCCTGGAAGTTTCTCCAGGCTCAGGAAGCAGTCTTGACCCTTGCTGGCCTTCACCTCTCTGGCTGCCTCCATTCCATGCCTAAACATTTGGAGTTACAATTCCTTAGCTCATCTTTTGGATCTAAACACCCCAGAGGGTAGAGATGATGCTGGCATAGCTCCTGGCCTGAGGGAACACTCACTGATCTACCAGAGGCTGGGACACCCACCGTGGGGCTTGCAGGAGGATGATCTGGTTTTGAATCTGCACAGTGCTGGTTATGAGCCTGTGATCTCCACTCCCTTCCCTCCTCTTACAGCAGGGACAAGACAGCAGCCAGGGAGTGTTGGGATGATTCCATTTACAAAGATGACATGCAAAATGTCCAGCTCAGTGGCTGGTACCGGGGCAGGGCTCTAGGCCTGTGGGTTGTGATTCATCTGTGAAGCCCAGAGAGGGCAAAGTTCCTGGACATAAGGCCTCAGGCAGCCCCGTGAGCCCTGGATAGCAGGGGCTAACCCAAGGTGGCAGAGAGGCCCTTTCGGCATTCAGCCTTGACCCCTGTCTTCCAAGGCAGGTTGCTTAAGACATTGGTATTTGTCTTTGCTACTGACGGCCTGGGACAACCCCTCATCCCCTTCCCTCTCTCTGTCATTAGCAAACCTCTGCTTCTGACCTTAGATAAAGGAGTGCTTTGTTCATGGAACTGGTGTGTAGATTAAAAACTCCTTCTTTTAGAGCAGGGCTTGGGGGCAGGTGAGAGACGGGATTTTAGAGGGGTTCAGAGGATGGACTCTGGACTCACTATCTGTCTCACAGCCGTGCTCTGCTACTTATTAACATGAGGCTTTGGGCAGGTTAAGGAACCTCTCTGGGCTCGAGTGTTTGTGACTCTAGCATGGGATTGGCAGTGGTGGCTGCTTCGTGATGACATGAGGTCATCTGGGCTCAGAGGAAGCATTCAGTGCATGTGAACTCTTCTAAGCACAATGTGAAGATGCATCTTTTAAAAATGAAACGCCCTCTGATAAAATGTGTACTCCTCCCAATTTGGAACCTGACACACATTGTCTAGATCCACCTGAAGCTGCAAGAGCCCTGCTGCCAGATACCAGGGCAGGAAATCTTATCCTGGGGGACACTCCAGGAAAAGCCAGTGAATTCCCTTTAAATTATACAGGATTGTGCCTGTGGCCCTTGTGGTAGGCTAAATAATGCTCCCCTACCCTACCCCCAAAAGATCTACATCCTAATCTTAGAATCTGTGACTATTTACGTTACATGGTAAAAGGGCCTTTGCAGGTGTGATTAAGTTAGGGCTCTTGAGACAGGAACATGATCCCAGGTTATCCAAGTGAGCATGATGTAGTCCCAAGAGTTTTTTTGTTTTGTTTTTGGTTTTTGGTTTTTTGTTTTGTTTTTGTTTTTGTTTTTTGAGACAGAGTCTCACTCTGTCGCCCAAGCTGGAGTGCAGTGGCCCTATTTCGGTTCACTGCGACCTCCACCTCCCGGGTTCAAGCAATTCTCCTGCCTCAGCCTCCCCAGAAGATGGAATTATAGGCACGTGCCACCACACCCGGCTAATTTTTTGTATTTTTAGTAGAGATGGGGTTTCACCGTGCTAGCCAGGATGGTCTTGATCTCCTGACCTGGTGATCTGCCAGCCTTGGCCTCCCAAAGTGCTGGGATTACAGGCGTGAGCCACTGCTCCCGGCCCCACAAGAGTTCTTATAAGGAGGAGGCAGGCAGGCCGGAGTCAGAGAAGGAGGTGTGGTGACCAAAGCAGAAGCTGGATGCATATGCTTTGAAGGTGGAAGAAGGTTCCAGCAGCCAACAAGGGCAGGTGGCCTCTAGAAGCTGGAAGAGGCAAGGAAATGGATTTCTTCCCTGAAGCCTCCAGAAGGAACACAGCCGTTGGTCACCTTGATTGTAGACCTCTGACCTCCAGAACGACAAGAGAATACCTTTGTGTTGCTTGAAGCCACAAGTTGGTGGCAGTTTGCTATATCAGAAGTGGCTGGAGAAGCAACATGAAATTAACACAGCCCTTCTTGGGGCGGTGGGTAGCCGTTTATCAGGTTTTCACCCACGTCGAGTCAGCTGAGGAACAGTCACTGGTCCAAGTCGCCTCACCTGGCCCCCAGAGGCCCCTGCTGGGAAGGGCAGCCACCACTGCCATTCCCATGCTAGAGGCACAGACACTCAGGCCCAGAGAGTTTCCTTCATCTGCCCAAAGCCTCACTTTAATAAGTAGCAGAGCACGGCTGTGAGATGACTGCTATTTTCTCTTCCTCCTCCTCAGCCTCCGTGTTCCTAGATCACTCATCCCAAATGCAAATATATTTTTCAGTAGTAATTGCTTCTCTGGGGAGAAATTTTTTTTTTTGAAGTTTGCAAATCTTTTTATTTCCAGCTGTTGAGACAATATTTTTGAGAGCTGATGTTACTCTAGTGGCCAAACCAGTGCCAGCTATTAAACAGCCAGAAAGCTACAGTAATTGACTTACGTGACCATTTCTCTTTTAGCACGTTGTTTGTTCTCCTTTTCCAGAAGTTGTAGGCGTCTATTTAGTTTGATTATGTGTCGTCTTAGTGAAGCTGCGTCTACAACAGTCAGGTCATCCGATGTTCCTTCAGTTGTTGCGTCTGTATTTGAAATGCCATACGTGATGTTGTCATGATGAGGATTAGAAGTGGCCGGAGCAGACCTGCCACGCGACACAGGGAGAGAATCATTTCTGACCAGCTGTCCGTTTTGATGAACAGCATTTTCATTCATAGACCGTGCCCTCTTTAGTCTGCCGGCTGCAAAGATTTCTTCATTTTCAGGGGTTGTAAGAGATCTTTCTAAATCCAGAAAATCTGGTGGTCTTTCACTTAGTTTTTAGCACCAGGGGTTTGAAGGGAGTTGATTGAATAAGGTCAGGATCTACTGGTCTTGAAAGTGGAATATCTTCATTATTTCTTACAACACCAACCCTCTCCAGAACCTGCACACTAGTATCAGGAACTCCTTCTTGGAATCCTTGCTCCAGGTCAGCGTTTGGCAGTGCTACTTTTTTTCTTTCTTTCTTTCTTTCTTTTCTTTTCCTTTTTTTTTATGACAGAATCTTGCTCTGCTGCCCAGGCTGGAGTGCAGTGGCATGATCTCCTGGCTCACTGCAACCTCCGCCTCCCGGGTTCAAGCAATTATCTGCCTCAGCCTCCCGAGTAGCTGGAATTACAGGTGCGCACCAGCACACCCGGCTACTTTTTGTATTTTTAGTAGAGACAGGTTTCACCATCGTGGTCAGGCTGGTCTTGAACTCCTGACCTCGTGATCCACCCACCTCGGCCTCCCAAAGTGCTGGGATTACAGGCGTGAGCCACTGCGCCTGGCCGGTGGTGCTACTTTTAACTTTTCTGGGATCCTCACTTACTGACTAATGCCTGCAGTCTATTCCATTTCTTACTGAATTCAACGGATTTCTGCCATCTCTGCAGCAGTGGGAGAAGGAAATGCTGCCCCACTCACAAATGTGTACTTGCTATTTGGCACGGTTTGCTTCTATGCTTCATAGTAAATCCTTTGACTTGCTTCAATGTGCATGTGCTGGATTGAGAGCCACTTTTGTCCCCCTGGGCCCACAGGAGGGTCCCAGTGAGGGCTGCCACCCGCCAGTTCCCGGGGGCATTGGGGCGGGTGCTTAGAGGCTGTTGGCTGAGAGCACGGAGGCGCCCAGGCACAGCACCGGCGTAGCAGCCCGCAGAGGGCCCCTCTGGGGAGGAATCTGAGAAGCCCACAGAACAGCCTGCGCTGTCATCTGGGGGTTTCTGAATTAGAGCCATTCCAGGTGACCCATGGAGGTACCTCTCCTAGTCCCCAGTTGCACCAGCTGCCGGCCCTAGGCCTCCCTCTCCAGGCTGCCACTGCCTGTCTTTGTGGGGAAACTGGCTGTAGTTCCTGCAGTGGGATGGATATGGGCCCTTCTGTCTTGGGATAAACCTCTGAGCAGCTGCTTGAGATCACAGGCTGGCACCTAACGTGGAGTTATCATTCACACACCCAGAAAGGCAACAGCCCTGTGGCACTGTTCTCTGGCCTCCCCAGGTTTCCCACAGCAAATGACAACAGCAGCTTGCAGTGTGCCTGTCCTGTGCCGGACCTGGACTCTCAGAAGTGGCTGGGGAAGTAGACAGCATTTTCTTTTTCTTTTCTTTCTTTCTTTTTTTTTTTTTTTTTTTTGAGACAGGGTCTCACTCTGTCGCCCAAGCTGGAGTGCAGTGGCACGGTCTCGGCTCACTGCAACCTCCATCTCCTGGGTTCAAGTGATTCAGGATTACAGGTGCGTGCCACCACGCCCAGCTAATTTTTGTATTTTTATTTAGTAGAGACAGGGTTTCACCATGTTGGCCAGGCTGGTCTCGAACTCCTGACCTCAGGTGATCCAACTGCCTTGGCCTCCCAGAGTGCTGGGATTACAGGCGTGAGCCACTGCGCCTGGCCAGCATTTTCTTTTTAACAGGTGAGGAGGTGAAGGGCATTGCCAGGGGTGTACAGAATTAAACCTACATCCCACAGACTCCAAAATCCATCTATATTCCACTCTACTGCTAAGCCAACTACTGATTCACTCAACAGATTCCACTATACCACTATGCTGTGCTATTCCTTCATTCAACAAACATCTATTAAGCTCCTCTGGCCTGTGCCAGGCTTGTTCTTGGACTAGAGAGGGCAGTGAACAAAAATGACAAAAATTCACACCCTTGAAAGTTTACCTCCTGCAGCCACACTTTCCAACAGAAATAGAATTCAAGGCCCATATATAATTTTAAATTTCCTGGTAACCACACCTTTTTTAAAAAGGACAAAGAAACAGGCAAAATTAATTTTAATAATATATTTAGCTCGACATGTTCAAAATATGTCAACATGAAATTAATATAAAAATGTTAGTGAGGTATTCTTTTTGTCCTCCTAAGCCTCAGAAACTTGATGAAAGCTAGTTCCCTCTGGCCACCTGACAGCAAGCTGGGTGTGATTGTCATTGGGTCACCTGGAGCTCAGCCCCGCATTGTCCATCAGTCCATTCCTGCCACGTGCCCCTTGGGACTGCACTGGCCATAGCAGTGGGCTCCGTGGCTCCCTGTTGCTGTGGAATTGGGGAGCCACCATTTCTCTGGATTTAGAGAGGTGCTGGGCCTCAGCTCAGAGGGCTAGGTTAATGCACCTCTCAGTTTGTAACATGTCATTGTTACTGGGCCCTACACAGCCGCTTCCTATCTTTTCGTTGTTATTCTTTTATTCCTCTTTTCTCCCCTCTCCTATTCCATCCAGGGCACCCATCCTAACATGTTTAACATGCCTCTTGTTGGCTGTGGTCTTGTACATTGTGTCTTTCTCATTTCCGTGGATGATATTGCGTTCTGTCTCATTCTGATTGGTTATCCCCTACCTTACGTTTTTCAGCCAGCAATTTTATTTTCCTGGCCATAAATTCAAGAGCGCACCTGCAGCAACACTATCCAATGGAAAGAGAATTCAAGCCCCATATATAATTTTACTTTTTTTTTTTTTTTTTTTTTTTGAGACAGGGTCTTGCTGTGTGTCACCCAGGCTGGAGTGCAATGGCGCGATCTCATCTCACTGCAACCTCCACTGCCCAGGCTCAAGTGATCCTCCCACTTCAGCCTCCCAAGTAGCTGGGACTACAGGCACTCACCACCATGCCCCGTTAGTTTTTTTGTGTGTGTATTTTTTGTAGAGATGGGGTTTCGTCATGTTGCCCAGGCTGGTCTCGATTTCCTGAGCTCAAGCAATCTGCCTACCTCGGCCTCCCAAAGTGCTGGGATTACAAGCGTGGGCCACTGCACCGGCCTGCCCCATATATAATCTTAAATTTCCTGGCAACCACATCTTTTTATAAAAGGACAAAGAAACAGGAAAATTAATTTTAATAATAGATTTTACTTGATATATCCAAAATCTGTCATCTCAACACGTAATTAATATAAAAATGTTAGTGAGATTTTCTTTTTGTCCTGATAAGCCTTGGCAATCTAGTGTGTGTTTTACACTTGAATAGCACATCCCAATGCAGACTGGCCACATCTTGAGTCCCATAGAGTTTATTGGGACTCTCTTGTCCCCATAGTTTGTTCCCATGAGTCCCCCACCCTCGTTCATCTTCTCTAGGCTACCTCAAAGGAACCGGTTTGCCCTCATTCTCTAGGATGTTCTAGCTCCTTCTCTGAGTCTCTTGACTCATCGATTCTTCCTTGAGTTCTGAGATTACTACCAGCTAGGGCTTGCTATATGACATGTCACTTTGTCCTCACATCACCCCCATTCTGAGACTGAGGGAAGAGCTGGCCCAGGGTTGCACACCTAGTGGGTACTGAGCCTGATTCCAGACTCCAGCAGCCTGAGCACAGAGCCCAGCTCCTAACGAGCATCTCCTGCCCAACCGACTGCCCTCGGCCTTGACCCAGCAGGATTCCCAGGAGACGTGGCTTGTGGGAAAGAAGCCCAAGCAGTCCTGGCTGAACTTCTTTTTCTGAGATGTGTTGAGAGTATCAATTATGTGTGGGTCCTCAGAGACCTGCAACTCCGTGGCTTACTCAAGGCAAAAAGTTCCCTCCCCATCACTTAAAAGATGGAGGCAGTCCTCAGCCCTGAGTTTTTATTCCTGCGACTTTGCTGTGTGTGCATCTCACTCACTGCATCTGACAATTGCATGGCACTGCATGGTGTGCGCCTAGCTCATCCACCCATCCATCCCCCACCCAGAGACACCCAGACTGCTGCAGTGGACAGCCTCACCCACGGGCCCTGTGTGGGATGTGAACTCAGCTGGAGACCTGCCGTGCTGTGCCAGAGTGAGCTTGGACCACTTTACAACAGCCAATTATGCACATCTCCTCCCTACTCCGAGTTCAGTGACATCGTGTCAGTAGCTCGATAGTGCTGTGATGGGAATATTTACACCACAGCGATGGGCCGTGGCAATCACTACAAATCTGGGCTGTGTGTGTGTGTGCATGTGTGTGTGTGTGTGCGTGTGCATGCACACATGTGAAAGAGAGAGGGGGAGGGAGAGAGAGCTAGTTTACCAGCATACCACTGTGAGGGAGTATGTGGAGACTTTGTTTTCTAGAGACATGGTGCACCAGCACACACAGCAAGAGACAGGGTCTTTCTATGTTTCCTGGGCTGGTCTCAAACTCCTGGCCTCAAACAATCCTCCCACTTGAGCCTCGCAAAGCACTGGCATTACAGGCATGAACTATTGTACCCAGCCCTTTAATTTTATTGAATTAAGTGCTTCCAGACTGGTACCAGAATGACCATCCAATTTTACATGTCATTTCAAAAAAATTGTTTTCCCAGTTTCCAATTTAAAAAGACTTATGAACAAGTATGTGCATTAAACAACAGTGACAACATAATTTCAAGTCACCTATTAATTCAGCTAGTTGGCCCTGGGATGTAGTGCAGAATTCTAAAGATAAGTGTTGACTAGAATTCAGTTTCTAGTTTTGGCATTCTAGGACTCTTTCAAATGCAGGAGACAGAAAACTCAGTGTAATGAATGAGCTCTTATCACTCAGCCCTCCAGGGTTCTTCAGACACAGCGGGATCCAGGTTTGCAAACAGTGCCATGAGGACTCACTCCCTGCCGTTTGGTTCTGCTTTTTGCTGTGTTCATTCATTCCCAGGCAGGCTTTCTCTGCCCAATGCTCTGAGCTGCCTATGCAATGGAGGAGTGTCTCTTTCTCAGCAATTCCAGGGAAAGTTAAAATTTGAAACTCATTGGCCCAGTGTGGGTTACGTGTCCGTCTTGAAATTATCACTGTGCCCCAGAGTGTGGGAGGCCCTGATTGGCCAGGCCTGGGCATGTGCCTGCCCCTTGAGCCAGAATCAAAGTCATATGGACTGAGAATGGGGAGGGCCCTAGAGAAGGAAAACCAGGCACTGTTCCCAGCAGGTTAGGAGTGCCTGCTGGGCAGGTAAAACAACAGCATCCTCTCAACTTCTCTGGGGCGCTTGAGACTGACCGGTGCCCCTCCCTGTTGGACACCTCCTCCTGTGACCTTTGGACCCTGCGTTTTCAGGGCTTCCCGGCCTCTCTGACTGAAGAGGCCTTCTCTGCATCTTTACCCAGGCCATCTTCTTACCCTGCTTCTGGCTGAGGCTCTCTCCAAAAGCCCCGTACTGAGGCTCTCTCCAAAAGCCCCGTACTGAATCACTCACCTCATTCCTGCTAAGTGTGTGTTGTGACCAGTGCTCCGATTATGGGCACAGGCTCTGTGTACTCTCTTGTCGGGATGGTATCATTGTTGCCATTTTACAGATGAGGAAACCGAGGCTCTCAGTGGTGGAAGGAGCAGCTAGTGAAGCAGATGCACACCAGGGTCCTTTCCTTCAGCTGCCGTAGCCCTCCACTTCCCTGATCTCGCTGTGTCTGTCACCAGGGCCCTCCAGCTCTGAAACTATGTCCCTTTCCTTGTGGTATCTGCACCCAGCCAGCCACCACCTTTCCTCCCACAACCGTGAACCTCTCAGCCTGTGTGGACAGGCGTAGCTTTGGCTATACATGACAAAAAAAAAAAAAAAAAAGCAGATTCAATAAGATAAACCTTTATTTTTCTCTTATGTAAACAGAGTCCAGAGGTCAGCAGTCCAGGGCTGAAAAGGCAGCACCGTGATCCTCAGGGACCTAGGCTCCTTCTATCTTGCTGCTCTGCCAGTCTCTACCTCACATCCTAGTATGGCTGCTTGAGCTCCAACCATCACATCTGCACTAGAACCAATAGGAAGTGGGAAGCAGGGGGAGACATGTCTCCTCATTTAACATGTTTCCCTTCCTGAATGTGCCCCACCCCCTATACACACCCTGCTTATATCCCATTGGCCAGAACTTAGTCACATGCAACCGCTAGTGAGCTGCCTAAGAGGCTGGGTACTGCTATCTTTATTCTAGGAAGCCACGGAAAGCCGAGCATCAGCTTACTATGGAGGAAGGGGAACACGGATATTGGGAACCACAAATAGGCAAAATTAGTATTACTATTATTTTTTGAAACAGAGTCTCACTGTGTTGCCCAGGCTGGAGTGCAGTAGCGTGATCTCAGCTCACTACAACCTCTGCCTCCCGGGTTCAAGTGATTCTCGGTGCCTCAGCCTCCCGAGTAGCTGGGACTACAGGTGTCCGCCACCACGCCTGGCTAATTTTTGTATTTTTAGTAGAGACGGGGTTTCACCATGTTGACCAGGCTGGTCTTGAACTCCTGACCTCAAGTGATCTGCCTGCCTCGGCCTCCCAAAGTGCTGGGATCACAGGCGTGAGCCACCCCACCTGGCCAACTGGCAAAACTCAGCCACCCTGCCGACCAAATGAAAACATCAGACCAGTGAATTGGCACGCTCTCTTTTCTTTCCCTCCAGCACAGGGAGAAGGAGGAAAGAGCAGCAGGCTCACTGTGCTTGGAGGTGAGCTGTGCCGGGCAGGTGACATCTCACCTTGGCCAGATCTCTCTGGTGCATTCCTCAGGAGGTCAACCCCGTTTCCGGCCCTTAGCTGGGACCTGCTTGGTGTTTACAGATTGACGTGGCAGAGGGGAAAAACACCCAAGATGTGCCCACTGAGCCCTGTGAAATCGTTTTCCAGCATGGAAGTTTCACCAGGGCTTCTCTATAGACAGTGAGGCCACTTCTGAATGCCATAATGCCATGCTGGCTGTGAAGAAAGTCGATTGTGTCTTTTTTTAGTTCACGGAGACTTTTTTTTTTTTTGGAGACGAAGTTTCACTCTTGTTGCCCAGGCTGGAGTGCAACGGCGCAATCTCAGCTCACTGCAACCTCCGCCTCCTGGGTTCAAGCAATTCTCCTGCCTCAGCCTCCCGAGTAGCTGGGATTACAGGCGCACGCCACCATGCCTGGCTGATTTTTTATATTTTAAGTAGAGATGGGGTCCCACCATGTTGGCCAGGCTGGTCTCAAACTCCTGACTTTTAGCTGATCCACCCTCCTTGCCCTCCCAAAGTGCTGGGATTACAGGCATGAGCCACCACACCCGGTCAGTTCACAGAGATTTTAAAACCCAGGGGGGCAGGTGGTTGTGAGGGTGGGCTAGCCACGGGTTGGGGGAATCATAATGCCAGCTTTCCCTGCAGCATCATGTCTTGGCAGCACCAAACACAGAAGAGGAAACTGAGATTCTGAGAGGCGTAAGGAGCAGCTACTGAAGCAGATGCATGCCAGGGTCCTTGCCTTCAGCTGCCATAGTCTCCCATCTCCCCAGTCTCCATGTTTCTCTGTCACCAGGGCCCTCCAGCTCTGAAATGATATACTTTCCCTGTGGTACCTGCACACAGCCAGCCAAACACTCTGTTGGATAACCCTCCACGTGGATAACACGCTCACCCCTCAACCCTATGAGACCAATATTGTATCCTAGCTGCTGCTGGGCAGAGGTGGGATTTAGTTCCCTCCTGTGAGCTGTTGTGCCCTGACTTCTCTGCGAAGTGGGGACCGTAGCACTTCCTTCCCGGGGCTGCTGGGAGATGATGTGTGAAACATATTAGCAATACCGTGGAGGTTGTGAGCACTCGGCCCAGGGTAGATCTTTTTTATTACCCAGTGGGAAAGAGGGCCTAAGCGAAGCAAATGTGGGCTGGATTGCGTCCCCCGCCAAATTCCTTTGTTGAAGCCCCCTGTCCCCAGTACTCAGAATGGGATTGCATTTGGAGATAAGGCCTTTACATAGGGGATCAAGGTGAAGTAAAGTCATATGAGTGGGCCCTAATCCAATATCACTGGTGTCCTTGTGAGAAGAGGATCTCCTGAGCCCAGGATTTCAAGACCAGCCTGGGCCATACTGGGAGACTCCATCTTTACAAAAAAATGCCAGGCTTGGTGGCATGCACCTATAGTCCCCAGCTACTCAGAAGGCTAAGGCAGAAGGATTGCCTGAGCCTGGGATATCGAGACTGCAGTGAACTGTGATCATGCCACTGTACTCCAGCCTGGGCAACAGAGCGAGACTCTGTCTCAAAAAAAAAAAAAAAAAAAAAAAAAGAGAGAGATTAGGACAGAGACACACACGGAGGGACAACCGCGTGAGGACAGAGGGAACAGGTGGCCATCTACAGGCCACAGAGAGAGGCCTCAGAAGGAACCAACCTTGCTCAGAAGGAACCAACCTTGATCTTGGACTTCCAGCCTATAGAATTGTGAAAAAATAGATTTCTGTTGTTTCAGGCACCCTGACTGTGGTACTGGTTATATCAGCCCCAGCAAACTAATACAAGCTCTTAATCTCTCTTCCCCTCCCCTTCCCTGCAAGCTGTCCCCTTTTAACCTTAATTCCAGTTTTATGATTAAACATCTCAGCGTCAATTATTTACAACACATCCAGATGAGTATCAGAGCTGCAGGGGACTGAATGACTCACACTGGGGAAGCTGGTTTTCATGAAGGGAAAAACGACACTAAGAAAAACAGGGAATTGTATCTCCTGACCACAGAGACTGAAACTGACCTAGGGAAAGTTTCTGTCAGCCGCAGCACAGGGAGGATCTCTTCGTGGGAGTGGGGGGCCCGGGAGGCACCAGGCAGTGGAGTGTGCCACAGGTGCCTCACACCTGTATATGGCACCTGCCAGCACGCAGGCTGTTTACTTACCCAATAGTTGGTTTGACTGGGCACAATTCCTTCATCCAGATAAAACTAATCACTCGGAGTGAGTCGTGTCTAGTTTGAATCTTTGCTGCACCATTCACTGTGTGACTTTGAGCAAGTTTCTTAACTTCCCTAACTACAGGCTCCTCTTCTGTGAAATGGGGCTTATTCTAGAAACTTTTTCATCAGCTTGGGAAGTTTAAGCATGGTAATAAATAACTGAGAAATTAGACTGTGATTATATTAAGTAAATAATATTCGTAATAGGTCGTTAAGAAAAATAAATATATTAAAATTTTATAAATAAAAACAAAACAGAATACATAAAATTAATAAAGAAAAGTAAATATATAATGAGTATTAAAATTGTATAAATAAAATTTAAAAATGGAATACATAAAATTAATAGTAATAATAAGTAATAAATAATAATAAAGGCATGTAAGGCACCCAGCACTGGCATTTCATAGGAGCTTAGGAGAATGTTCACTGTAGTTGCCACAATTCCGAAATGTAACAGTTGGAAAAAGAATCAAGTGTGACAAGTGACTTCCTAAAAATCGAAGACAGGAAGGAAACCCAGGACTCGAGAAAGCAGCTCTGGCTAAGATGCTTCGAGTAGGAAAGTCAGGTATAAAGTGGAGATGAGGGAACGGGGAATGGCGAGGGGAGGGGGACAAGCTCGGCTCAATACCAAAAGAGCTCTTGGCAGCAGGTTTGGGAACCACTTCTACAGAGACAGCATTGCGGTGGCTAAAAAAGAAAATGTCCAGATATGGGCAGGACAAACTTTCTCAAACGGCGTCCTAATCTCCAGAATCAGAGCTGGTCTAAGAAAAGTCTGGGAACACAGAGGGCTTGCTTCTGCAGGACTCGTGGGCCTGCAGAGGGCTGGCTGTCTGCTTCACGTACCTCGACTTTTGGCTTAAAAGCCCTCATATAATGAGTACTTAAAGTAAACGTCAGTCTTGTCCTGTCGTCAGCACTTTGGAACTGCAGTTTTGAGCCCCCAGGAAGTGGGGTGCCTGCTGACTCAAGCACGAGAATACCTTTATCAAGTTTGTTGGTCCCAGCAATGTTAGAACAAGTGTAAACTTGGCTCGTTAGCAGAATCCTGGGTTAAAATGTAAACTTGGTAGAGGAGCACCGCCATGCCAAGCCTCCCTCCAACCTGGCCACACGAGGAAAGGGCGCATAATTCACCAAGCGATTGGTTTTATCAGGATTGAGAAACTGTGCCTAATCAAATCAGCTATTGAGTAGGTAAACAGTCTGTGCTGGCAGGCACCATACACAGGTGTGAACGGGAATGCCACCTGCAGGAGTTGCCTGGGTCTGCCATAACAAATTACCCCAAACTTCATGGCTGAAAACAACACACATTTATTGTCTTGCAATAAATGTGTTCTGGAGGCCAGAAGTCCAGCCTCAGTTTCATGGGTTAACATCACAATGTGGGCAGGGCTGGTTCCTCCAGAGGCTCTAGGAGAGCATGCGTCTTCTTGCCTTTTCCAGCTCCTGGAGGCACCTGCATCCCTGGACTTGTGACTCTCTCCTCACATCCTCCTGCTTCCATGATTCCATCTCCTGCTTCCTCCTTTGACCTTTCTGCTTCCCTCTTATAAGGCTACTACTCATCAAATTGGGCCCACCTGGATGATCCAACGTAATCTCCCCATCTCAAGATTCTTAACTTAATCATGTCCAAAAAGGCACTTTTTCCATATAGGCTAGAAGTTACAAATTTTGATTAGGACCCGGATATCTTTGAAGACCACGATTCAGCCTCCCATGTGCCTGTTCCCAAATTCCAAGAAACACAGGGTGGTGAGCAGCAAAGAACCCTGTGCAGGACCCCGCTTCTTCTCTGCCCCTAACTTGAATGGCCTTCAGTTAGTCTCTGACCCCTTCTGGGCCTCTGTAAAGATTAATGGACGCCCACCTGCCTCCATAGGCCTTTAAAGGATTTCTGGCACAATTAGAGCAGCTACTGTCTGCAGGGCATTGGGTCAAGGCCCTCAATGTATTCACTCATGGATTCTTCAGCTTTATGGTCCCTGAAAAGTGCTGGGCAGGCTCCTGACTTAGAGCCTTGGCTCTGTGGTTCCCTCCTCTGCCTGGAATGTTCTTCCCCAGGTATTCATGTGATTCCTCCCTCGCATCCTTCAAATCTCTGCTCAGATATCATTTTCTTGGTGACTGTGTACCTGGCCACCGTTTTTTGTTTTTTGTTTTTGAGACAGAGTCTCGCTCTGTCACCCAGGCTGGAGTGCAGTGGCGTGATCTCGGCTCACTTGCAACCTCCGCCTCCCTGGTTCAAGCCATTCTCCTGCCTCAGCCTCCCGAGTAGCTGGGATTACAGGCGTGCGCCACCCCTCCCGGCTAATTTTTGTATTTTTTTTTTTTCAGTAGAGACAGAGTTTCACCATGTTGGTCAGGCTGGTCTCGAACTCCTGACCTCATGATCCACCCGCATCGGCTTCCCAAGGTGTTGGGATTATAGACATGAGCCACCACACCTGGCCTGTTTTTAAAATCACTACCCACAGCTCTGTTATTTTCTTTTAGCTTGTATTACCTGCTACCATACCACAGACTCTAATGTGAGCTCTATGGGGACAAGGCCTTCTGTCTGTTTTGATTGTTTCTATGTCCTCAGTGCTTAGATCAGGACTTGGTCCATAGTAGGTGCTCAGTTAATATTGTGTTAGGTAAATGAATAAACACCTGTAATCAAAACTCTGAGCTCGTCACTTATAAACCCAGTGAGGTAGATCCCAGTAAAATTTACTTTGTACAGATGACAGAGCTGAGACTGAGAGCCCTAAGAATTGTCTTGTCTAGGTAATTACTAAGTTACAGAGCTGAGATACAAACCCGGCCTCTGATCTGGAGCCCAGGCTCCCAGTCCCACGGCATAACAGGTGGAGTGGATACTCACCAGCACCCTCTGCAGTCCCTGATTTGATAAATTCTCATCTGTGACTTCTCTCCTTTTTTCTGCAAAATGCCCCTTGGGGAAGACAAACTAAATGAGTCCAGTCAGTGTCCAGAACTGCCTGTCACACAAGGACAAATGCTGAGTCCAGATGGCACCGAGGTTCACACAAGCCTGGCTGGCCACCAGGAACACTGACCACAGGCAGCAACGTGGGACAGGCTCCAGCTTCTCTTCCAGGCCCCCAGTCCTCCCACTCTTCAGATTCCAGGGCTGAGCCTCCAAAGTTGTCCACCTAGGCTGGGTGAGGTGGCTCACGCCTGTAATCCCAGCACTTTGGGAGGCCGAGGCGGACGGATCACCTGAGGTCAGGAGTTTAAGACTAGCCTGGCCAGCGTGGTGAAACCTCGTCTCTACTAAAAATACAAAAATTAGCCGGGTGTGGTGGCGCACGCCTGTAATCCCAGCTAGTTGGGAGGCTGAGTCAAGGAGAATCACTTGAACCTGGAAGGCAGAGGTTGCAGTGAGCCAAGATCGCGCCACTGCACTCCAGCCTGGGTGAGAGAGCGAGACCTCATTGATGGGAACTCTGCCCTGCCTTGGTGGAAAGGCTGGCTTTTCTGCTGCTCCGTGAATGAGGACGGCCTAAACAAGGGGCTTTGTGGACAGGCGCTGCCACTTACTAAACTGAGACTTTGGGCAAGTTTCTCCACCTCTGTGCCTCAGCGTATTCCTTGATAAAATGGACAGAGGTGGGGATGACAGTACCTCCCTTATATGACTGTTGGGTGGGATAAATGAGCTAAATTGTGTAAAGTGCCTGGGGTGTCAGTGCCCTAACTATGTGCTGGGGGTTGGGGGACTAGAGTACTGGGGGTCTGGCTGATGGTCAGAGCCTGTGCTTAGCCTTGTTTGCCAGGGTCGGGGGGCTGCTGCTGTTGTCCCCAGAGACACCGATGGCCAGAACCTGGAGAAGGTTCGAGGTGTCAGACTCACATTGGGCTGACGGGGACAGGAGATCTGCATCCCTCAGTGCTATCCTGGCAGAGGAAGTCTCTGAAATGTGAGATGTCACATTTCCCAAGAAATACTGAATGTGACTGGGTCCCCCGTGCCAGCCTTCTAAATAAGGCTGGACACCAGCCACCTGCTTAGAGAAAGACACTATGTCAAGTGCCTCAAGAAAAGATGTATGGTTCATGAACTCGCTGCTTCTGCTTCTGGTCCCTTGAGTCTTCAAGATGAACTTGTCTTCCTTAATTTCTCCAACACTTACGTGGATTAGCAAGGACCCTGGTGATGTCAGGTTTTATACAATGCACCGACAGCTTGTGTTTGGAGTCGGGGAGGGAAGCTGCCTCTTTTCTCTGCAAGCCATGACATATTCTGGAAGATGCCCACTTTCCCATCGCTGTGGGATTACTGAGGCTGAGCCCTCACCCTGGAATATCCTGATCTCTTACCCCCAAATTCCACCCACAGGAAGGCCACAGAGGCCTCAAGGCCCTGCAGAGCTGCATGCGTATCTTCCTTCTCCCTGCCCTCCTCAAATTGAATCCGTCATTCTTTTTGGAAGCTCTTCAGACACGCTCCATTTTGGCAGTGCTACTTGGTGTTTAAAAGTGTGGGTTTTAGGATCAGGCGTACCCTACCCCTGCCTCGTACTCACTGTGTGACCTTAGAAAAATTACTTTCCGTCTTGGAACCTGTGTCCTTATCTATAAAATAGAACCAATAACTATTAAATGATGATGCACATAAAGAGCTCCACAGAGGGCCTGGCACAGAATTGGCATTCAACACACATTGATGCTTTCTCTGACGCTGACTTCCCTTCTGTTAGGCAGAATCGCCTGTCTTCCTGCTGGATTGTAAAAGTCTGTCTCATGTATCTCGGTATCCCCCAAAGCTCCTGGCATACAGTAGGGGAACCGGGAATTGTTTAAATCAAAATCTTCAACAAGTCATTTTAAAAGAAATGTTCAGGTCCAGTAGCTCATGCCTGGTAATCCCAGCACTTTGGGAGGCTGAGGCAGGCAGATTGCTTGAGCCCAGGAAATCGAGACCAGCCTGGGCAACAGAGCGAGACCCTTTCTCTACAAAAGACGCAAAAAATAGCTGGACATGGTGGTGTGTGCCTGTAGTCCCAGCTCCTCGGGGGCCGAGGTGGGAGGATTGCTTAAGCCTGGGAGGTCAAGGGTACAGTAAGCCATGATCATGCCACTGCAGCCTGGATGACAGAGTGAGACCCTGTCAAAAAAAAAAAAAAAAAAGAGAGAGAGAAGAAAGGGAAGAGGAGGGGAGGGGAGGGAAGGGAACATTTACCTGTCACCCCCTCACACTTTTGTCCTGAAACACCTCTGGGAAGAAGGAAGGAGGGAAGGAAGGAGGGAGGGTAGGGAGGGAAACATTTACCTGTCACCCTCACACTTTTGTCCTGAAACACCTCTGGGAACCTCGGTGCCTTGCCCAGAAAGTGGCCCCCAGGGACTCAGCTTTGTGGGAACCCGCATAGTGCAGGCACAGGTGGACTTCACAGTCAGCTGGATTTGATTATGAGTCGACTGTGCCACTTACCGGCTGTGTGGCCCAGGGCAAATTACTTACCCTGTCCAAGACTCCAAGATGGTGGGGCAGATCATTCCTTGAAGGGTGGCCGTGAGGATCGGGTGAGTTTAGGAATGCACCTGATTCATGCTGAGTATCAGCTGCTGCTGATTTCATGATAGCTGCTGCGGAGACTGCTATTCTTGTTACCATTATTCTTCTTACCCTGCCTTGTGTATTACTTAACATCCTTTCTTCTTTTTCCCATCAGCTCTCTCCAGCTGGGCAGCCCTCCTCCCAGCTCCCCTGCCTCTATGCCTCATTTGCACATTGCTTTTTGTTTTTCCCTAGTGCACAGTCTAAAAGATCCCTGGTGCTCTGTTGAAACAGGAACCTGACACCCTTTGACCTTGGTCCGTGGGGAGGTAGCCTGAAACTCCCTCCCAGGCAGGACAGGAGCAGGGGCTCAGCACCTTTTTTCCTACCCCCACTGCATGGGACTGGAAATTGTGACAAAAGTGATTGTGGGCTGAAACTTGGCAGAGAGAGCCCCACTGAATTCCTCCTTTGTGATGTGAATGTGGCACAGCCCGGTGGAACCGGGGATCCCTTTCCCAATTATGCAGCTTGGCAGGAAGAGGTCGGTGCAGGGAGAATGCTCAAGGAGCCCCTCTGTCATGGGGGTTGGTAGCACCGCCAGCCGCCTCCGACTGGCAAGACCTCCTCCCACTAAAGCCAGCTGGGCTGGGCGCTTCTGCAACTGCACCTTCCGGGGCCACAGCACAGAACTCAGTGGTCACGTGAGGGTCTACATCCGATTCCCAGTTTCTAAACTGTGTCCTGGAGAGTTTCTGCAATTCAGCGAGAAGAGGCAGCGGAAGGCCCAGCCATCAATGCTTGGGCCCTTTACCCCGTTTCAGCCGGGGCAGCGCTGCTTTCCATCGTCCCATCTTATTTCAGTCGTTGTCTTCACGTTCAAGTTCATGGAGACTCAATCCAGATGTGCCTGGCTGTGATGGCCCCACTCAGGTCTCAGCCACTCTGATGTCTGGAGCTGGGTCTACCTCCCTGGCCCCGACTCCTCCACACCCACTGCACAGCCCCTCCCTGCCGGCTCTGGTTGGCCAGGGGTGTGCACACGAGTGGAAAGAGCCTCTGCCCAGCGTGGAGCGGTGAGGCTAAAGGCTTCCATGTTCCCTGCTGACTTCCACCTGCAAAGGCCAGGCAACCGCTGAAACCTCCAGCCCCACCAGGGAATACTGATACAGTCACTTTCTCAGGTCACAACGGAAATCACATTTATTCTGCATATTTTCCTCATGTTGCCGGCAAATTATTTGCATACGGATACAAGATTTGGGTATCTGGATCTTCCTGCAAGTTAGCTTTTATTAATCCTCTCCCCTTCAGGCTTGGACTGGGAATTTCCCCTCATTGATATGAGACATTGGTTCAACTTTTAAACTTGCCAGGTATTCATTTGTTTGTTCTATAAATATCTACTAAGTACCTGTTAAGTTCCTGGCATGCGGTGCTGGGGCCTGGAGCAGGCAGTGGACAAGACAGACAAGAACCGTGTTTCAGAGAGTTCATACTCCAGTGAGGGAGACAGGGAGCCAACAAGAAAGCAAAATGAGATTACTACTGACTGCAAAGTGTTATCATCACCCATGGGAAGGAAAGGCAAGGAACTCAGCAGGGGACCCAAGTGTAGCTGTGTGAGAGAGGAGGCATTTCCACTGGATGGTCAGAGAGGTGCTCACTGAGGAGGTGGCATTTAAGCTGAGAGACAGAGGTCTCTACTAAAAAGTAGTAAGATAGCCAGGCATGGTGGCTCATGCCTGCAATCCCAGCACTTTGGTAAGGCCGAAGCAGGAGGATCGCTTGAGGCCAGGAGTTCAAGACCAGCCTGGGCAACACAGCAAGATTCCATCTCTACAAAAAGATTAAAAATTAAAACATTAGCTGGGTGTGATGGTGTGCACCTGTAATCCCAGGTACTTGGGAGGCTGAGGCGGGAGGATCACTTGAGCCCAGGAGTTCGAGGCTGCAGTGAGCTATGGGTGACAAAGAAATATGCTGTCTCTAAAATAATTTTTTAAAAAATTTTAAATACAGAAATAAATAAATAAGTAGCCAGACAAAAGAGACAGGTGGAAGGGTGTTTTCAAGCAGTAGGTATAGCAAGTTCCAAGGCCCTGTGGTAGGAAGTAGTTGGTGCCAATGAGGAGCAGAAAGGAAACCACTGAGGGCTGGTGAGCAGGAGATATGAGCTGTGACAGCAAGACAGGAGCCTCGTCCAGGCTGGTGGGGCTTGAGGGTCATGGCCAAGGAGTTTGGATTTTATGCTAAAAGTAATAAAAACACATTGATGGGCTTTTGGACATTCTTGTTACAAACTATTTCAGTCATTCAAAAGAGTATATATAAGATATATGTGAATTGTAATGAATAGTATAATAAAACGCTCATGTACCCTTCACTGTTCGCCTCCCCAGTACTATTCTTCACTCTTCATTTCTCCAGGAGGTAGTGTGTGTGTGTGTTTGTTTGTTTCTATGTTTGTTGAGACAGGGTCTCATTCTGTCACCCAGGCTATAGTGCAGTGGCGTGCTCAAGGCTCACTACAGGCTTTACCTCCTAGGCTCAAGCAGATCCTCCCACCTCAACCTCCCAAGTAGCTGGGACTACAGGTGTGAGCCACACACTGGGCTCATTATTATTATTATTATTATTATTATTACTATTATTATTATTGTAGAGACATGGTCTCACTATAGTGCCCAGGCTAGTCTCGAACTCCTGAGCTCAAGCGATCCTCCCACCTTGGCCTCCCAAAGTGCTGGCATTACAGGTGTGAGCTACTGTGCCTGGCCAGAAGGTAGCCTGAATTTGTCCTGAATTTTAGTTTATAGTCTTTGCGTTTCTTCCTAATATTACAAAAATAGAGCAACATATTGTTTGGTTTTGAACTTCATTTAAGTGGATTTCTGCAGTGTGTATTCTTCTGCAGTTTGCTTTTCTGTTCAACATTATGTTTGTCAGGATCATCCTCACTGGTGCACACAGCTGCAGTTTACTCACCTTCACTGCTGCGTACGTAATACTCCACAGAGTGACACGTTGTGGTTTATCCTTTCTCCTGGGACCAATTTCTAATGTTGAACCAAACCCTGCATTCTTGGGATAAACCCAACTTGATTATGATGTGTTATCTTTTTAAAAAATATGGTTGGGCTGGGTGCTCCCTTCTGTAATCCCAGCACTTTGGGAGGCCAAGGCAAGAGGATCTCCTGAGGTCAGGAGTTCGGACCAGCATGGCCAACATGGTGAAACCCCGTCTCTACTAAAAATACAAAAATTAGCCAGGTGTGGGGGTGTGCGCCTGTAGTCCCAGCTACTTGGGAAGCTAAGGCAGGAGAATTGTATGAACCCAGGAGGCGGAGGTTGCAGTGAGCTGAGATCACACCACTGCATTCCAGCCTGGGCAAAAAAGTAAGACTCAGGAAGGAAGGAAGGAAGGGAGGAAGGGAGGGAGACGGGGAGGGAAGGAGGGAAGCATGGATTCCATTTGCCGATTTTTGTTTAGGCTGGTGGGTCAGACTGGCCTGTCATTTTCCTCTCCTGCCTTGTTCTTTTCTAGTTTTGGTGTCAAGGTATATACATTCCTTATAAGATGACCTGAGAGTATTTCCTCTGATATTCTCTGGAGCACATGTCTAAGATGGATAATACCATGAAAGAGTTTGATAAATGTTAGCTACCATGTTGTCATCCTTCTGCAACTCATATTTTTTTGTACAGAATTCTGGCTTCTTCTGGTACCACTTGTCTTGCATAGATACCTACCCTAACCCTTGCCCTTTTCCCCCTAAAAAACAAAGAAAACACATGGCTCCCCAACATGTAACTCCAATTGCAATGCTCACAGCTTGCTTAGAAAGCTGCATCTCTGTGGTTTTTTTATAGGTGGATCTTTAACTCAAGACTAGCATGAAGAGTTGCCTTCTGGCCTGCCCTGAGTCTCCTCAAATAACAACAGGTAGATACCTCTCTAACTGGTTAATAATTTTTCTTTAAAAACTCAGATATAGAATCATTCATACCTCCCTTAGGGCCTCCTCAGACATGAGCAGTGATGGGGCCAACCCCAGGGTCTAGAGGTTGAGTTTGGCCAAGCCAGGACCCCAGACTGCCCACCAAGCCTACTGTGTTTTAGGGACATATTGGAAGCCGTGTGGTCCAAATCCTCTAAGCATAAAATTAGCTTCTTTCCATATTTTTAAAAGGAAAAGAACACCATGCTAAATATAGCTCGGGTGCTGTCCAGGGTCAACAAGCCAAGAACAGGACAAACAGCTGACCAGATGCCCCGCTGGGAGCTGGGTTTCTACAGACCCCATAGACCCATCAAGATCACAGTCCCCAAAGAGAGGGCTGAACTTGAAGAACAAATCTACGCCACCGTTGCACACATAACCCTGCCATGAACCCAAAAAACCAAAACTATTTTATGAAAGCAACACATAGATATTTCTGTTTTCTAATTCTTATTCTCCCAGTAAGAAAAAGAAAATGAAAATCATGGTGAATCCCATCACACACAGAAAATAACTATAAATATCATAATATATAATCCGAGTGTTGTGAAACTTAGTATGATACATTCAACAGTGTTTCTCAACCTTTTCCGCCACCTTGCCCTCCCTGAGAAGTCTTTTTAGACATTCTTTTTGGAATACTTGAAAATTTAATGCCAAGGATGCCCTGTGTATCTATTTATATTCTGTGGCCCTGTGGAGGGCCACAAACCATTATAATATCCAAGATTTTTTTCACCCTGTCCCCAAGAAACAATTTTTGCTCCTTGTGGGTGATCTTACCCCATTGAGAATACAAGCTCTAATTAACATTAAATAACAATTTTTTTTGTCTGTTTAAGAACTTACTGTTGTGCTGGTCACATACTGTTCTTGGTGCTTTATGTATATTATTTATTTATCATAACTCCCCTATGAGGTAGGTACTAGAGAGTTTTTGTCTCCCTTTTACAGCTGTGGAGACTGAAGCACAGAGAGGTTAAGTAACTTGCCCGAGGTCACACAGCTGTGAAGGAATAGAGTGAGGATGTGAGCCCAGGAAGCCTGGGTCCCAAGCTCACTCTTAACCACTCAGCTATGCTACCTTGCAGCAATACAATCAGATTGTGAAAATTCAAAAGAGAGAAATAGAAAGTAAAGGGTACACTTTCCGAGTTTCCTTCGTCCCCAGAAGCAATCATGGTACAAGTCTGAAAGGTGACCCCCCCCCCCCCCCCGGGATTTTTACATACGTGTGTATATATAAAAATACACTGTCTCTTTCATTTCAATGTAAGTACAATCATCCAGGCTTTTTCCCATATATTCATCTGTGTATGGAGAATTTTTTAAAAATTAGAATCACGCTGAACACACTGTTGTTTCAATCTTGTTGTTTGATTTAAAAATACATTAGCTGCTTTGAGACCATAATTTCCTTAAGTGCGTGAACCATAATTTATTACCCTGATCTGGATTATTGGCTATTGAAGTAATTTCTAGCTTCTCACCACTATAAAGCTGTGATGATATCTCTGTACATAATTCTTAGAAGTTGGAATTATAGAGCCAAAGGGTATAAACATTTTTGAAACTTTTGTTCTATAAATGCCAAAACTTGCCATCTAAAAAAATGCCATGAAATTGCCATCCCAATACCTTTCCCCACACTGAGTATTATCACCTGTTTTTAATCATTGACAGTTTATCAGACAAAAAGAATGTATTAATCCCGACATTTTAATCTCTGCCCATGATTCACATCTGGAGCCTGTCTTTCTCTCGTGCAGCATAAGGCAAAGCTGGAATGGAGAACGAATGAGGGCAGGCAGTGAGGGGGTTAAAGCGGCTCAAATCACTAGTCTGCTAACCACACTCTCAGCGTCCCACGTACAAGGCCTGCCTGTCAGGCACTTAGCATGTGCTCAGAACGTGGTATTTTCATCACTCCTGCTTCCAGCACAACCCCCTGGCTGTGTACTTCTCCACCCTCCGAGTCTGACCTTGTCCCAGATCCATTTGGTAGAACCGGTGCATTCCTAAGGCTGCCAGAGCCCCCATCCTTCCTTTTGCCAGCCATGAGTGATACTGTAAGAAATAAATATCCTTGTGTACGGTCCCATCTGGTCCTACCGCAGCTGTCTGCAGTGGGATCCCTGTTCAGCGCCCTGCACGCCACACACATGCCCATCCTACCTGTTCATATTCCATACATATGCATGCATATGTACATAGGTGCTCGCACGCATGCACATGTGCTCATGTGTGCATAAACATATATGCACACGTGTTCATGCCCCAGTGTGCCTTGGTGCTTCTTCTTAACTCCTTCAAGAGCAGAGCCAGTGCGTTCACGCACGTGCACATACACAGTGCTGTGCATTCAGGGTTCAGGCCCAATTAGGCCAGTGGGAATCCTCTCCCACATAGACTTTCTGTATGTCCCACAGCCCTGAGCTAGGACACCCTGCTGTCTAATCCCACAGTTCCTGTACTTCCTTCTTACTTTATTGGTATTCCCTATAGATCATTTTCCTGCTGGCCTAGAAGCTCTGCTAATCCTTAACTTGCTCACTGCTGTTTCTCCAGTGCCTAACTCGCTACTTAGGAGGTAGTGAGATGCACAAGAAATATTTGTTGGGTGAAAAAAAGAAGGAACAGACTTAAAGCTGATAAAGGATGTTGTTCCAAATATTTTTAGAGTCTCTTTTAACAAAGTGGCCAATTTCAGATAAACTCATGGTTTCACAAGAAAATATCTTCGCAGCATCAGATTTCAAGCAGCCTGGTCAGTCATCCTTTCGGAGAGACTGGAAAAAATGCAGAATTGAAAACAGGTCCTTGCCCAGCTAAACATCTTGTAAATTTTACTGTTTTGCAAAAGTTCCTGTCACAGGAATAATGTATGGGGGAGAGGTTTAGCAAGGGGCATTGCTTGCTCCTCCTCCTCAGTCCTTGAGAATGTTCTAAACTAAAGCCTTGAGTGACTGCTTCTCTGGCTCGCTCTCAACCAACAAATGCTGTGGAATCCCAGGACCGCTGGCTGCTCCCTTTAGCGCAGGGTCTCTGGGCTGCTTTGTGGAAAGAAGGTTTATTTTGTCCAGCTGGGCACAGGAGCGGAGAGGAAGAATGTGCAGGCCTGTGTCCCTTTTAACAAAGGGAGAACTCGATGTGGTTTCAGAGAAGCTTGTCTTGCTGGGTGACTTCATGTGGCCTGCATTCATTTCATCCAACATTGACTCTGCAAACTTTTTTTTTTCGAGACAGAGTCTTGCTCTGTCACCCAGGCTGGAGTGCAGTGGCACAATCTCGGCTCACTGCAACCTCCATCTCCCAGGTTCAAGCAATTCTCCTGCCTCAGCCTCCCAAATAGTTGGGATTACTGGCACGTGCCACAGCACCCAGCCTTTTTTTTTTTTTTTTTTGTATTTTTAGTAGAGACGGGGTTTTACCATGTTGGCCAGGATGGTCTTGATCTCTTGACCTCGTGATCCATCCACCTCGGCCTCCCCAAGTGCTGGGATTACAGGCATGAACTCTGCAAACATTTTTTGAGTCCCTGCTGTGTGCCAGGCTTAGAGATGATGACAATGTGGTCATGGGAAGAGAGAGACTCACCACGGTGGTTGCTGGAGGATTTGGGGAGCACATGAAAGGGGCATCTGAGCTATGGGTGACCAGAGAAATGTTCTGGAGGGTGGTTGGGGGTGGGTAGTGCAAAGAAAGGCAGGCTGAGACATGCAGTAGGAGAGGCAGGAGCCAGGCTAAGGCCACCATGAGCAGCATCATTCTAAGAAGCTGGATTTTCTCCTGCAGGAAGTAGGGAGCCATTGAGGGTGGGGAACAGATGACAGTAGGCTGTTTGGCCTGGTCATACCATTGGCTGAGGCCCTGTCCCCCAGGTGAGTCTGTTACAACCATCGATTGTGGACCATTCATCCCATCGCTCACTCTCCCAGCAGCCTCCAGCAAGAGCTACGATTTTACTGCACTTCATTAAATTCCACACAATGTTTTAATGACCTGAGCTCCGACCTTTCTGGCCTCCAGCAGGGAAAGGTCTGGCTTTTCCTTTTCAGGGAGTAGCGGGCTGGGCAGACCGGCCTCCCTTCTCGCAGCCTCGCACAAGGAGCCTGAGCACGTAAGACATCTGGAATGCATCAAAGGCGAGGCCCAGCCAGAGCCGGCGTGCTCGGTGCTGCTGCCTAACTCCTTCAAGAGCAGAGCCGCCACATTCACAAAGCGTCTGGAATCGGAACTGATCGTCCTCTCTGCTCTTTCTGCTTTCCTTCCAGGCCCTTCCACCGCAGCCATCCGCACGGGAGGCCTCGCGATTGCTCGGAACCATCCCGCAGGAGTTCAGCTGATATTTTCTAGTGTGGGGCGAGAGATTTTGTGGAGCGCATTTAAGGGGTTTTTGTTGTGACTGCTGCCTTGTATACATTTATTTTCTTTCTTGGAACTGGGCCTCGCCCTCCTCCCACTGACATGATGGCCCAGTCCAAGGCCAATGGCTCGCACTATGCGCTGACCGCCATCGGCCTGGGGATGCTGGTCCTTGGGGTGATCATGGCCATGTGGAACCTGGTACCCGGCTTCAGCGCGGCCGAGAAGCCAACAGCTCAGGGCAGCAACAAGACCGAGGTGGGTGGCGGCATCCTCAAGAGCAAGACCTTCTCTGTGGCCTACGTGCTGGTCGGGGCCGGGGTGATGCTGCTGCTGCTTTCTATCTGCCTGAGTATCAGGGATAAGAGGAAGCAGCGGCAGGGCGAGGACCTGGCCCATGTCCAGCACCCGACAGGCGCTGGGCCTCACGCCCAGGAGGAAGACAGGTGAGGCCTGACTGTCCCCTTCCCTCCCCGGATCGGGGATGGGCACGCACGCATGCACACACATGTTCACACCTTTCCGTGGTGAAAAGACTGTCATCTACAGGCTTTATTGTCCCATGTTCGCCCATGACGCCTCTGTCAAAACGGTTTATCATTTTACAAATAACTTTAGACTTTTCTACCAGAGCTTCCCAAATAGCATGGTACAAATGGATTACAGGTAAACCAAGATTTTTTAAAAATTTTATTACAATAGATTTTTACACCATGGAATACTATTCAGCCATAAAAAGGAACAAAATACTGTCTTTTGGGCCAGGTGCAGTGGCTCACTCCTGTAATTCCAGAACTTTGGGAGGCCGAGGCAGGTGGATCACTTGAGGTCAGGAGTTTGAGACCAGCCTGGCCAACATGGTGAAACCCTGTCTCTACTAAGAATACAAAAATTAGCTGGGCATGGTGGCACATGCCTGTAGTCCCAGCTACTGGGGAGGCTGAGGCATGAGAATCGCTTGAACCCAGGGGAGTGGAGATTGCAGTGAGTGAGCTGAGATACCGCCACTGCACTCCAGCCTGGGTGACAGAGTGAGACTCTGTCTCAAAAAAAAAAATACAAAAACAAAAAACTGTCTTTTGCAGCAACTTGGATGGAGCTGGAGGCCATTACTCTTAAGTGAACCAGCATTTTGACCCGCCCAGGGTCACTGAACAGGGCCTGGGGTGGCCAGCATATTTGCTTGTCCCTTCACCCCAGCATGCTGTGTGTATGCTTTAATTTGAAATGGCTGGGAAGCAATTTTCCATTTGAGCAAAAATGCCACCAACAAATTTAAAAGATAAGTGATACATTGGGGAAGATATGATAATAGTTGATATCCCTATTATAAAAAGAGCTCTTAGAAATGAATATGTAAGATGAATATACCAATAGGAAACAGACAAAGATTATGAATATTCCATAGATGTTCAACCAATAGATGTTCAACTTCATTAGTCATGAAATGCAAGCAAAAAGATGTCTTTTCTTTTTTTTGCCTATCATATTGATCAAGATAGACAGCCCCTACTGTTGGAGAGTTGTAGGGAAGATGGATTGCTGATGAAATGTTGACTGATAGAAACTTTCTTAAGAGTTTCACCATAAGGGGCAGTACTGAAGATGTGCGTATTGATCCTATTTATAAGAGTTTATCCCTGGGAGACAGTCCCACAGGTGCAAAGGAGTTTGTACCAGTATATTTATCAGATCATTGTTTAGGATAACAAAAACTTAGAAACAACCTAAAAAACCACCTACTGAGTTAAATGACGTACCTATTCAATGGAGTTCTATGCAGCAACTGTTGATCTATATTTGTTAATGTGGGACCATATCCACAACAATGAGAAAAGGGGGATATAATACAGCATCTTTGGTCAGGTTATGGTCCCATCAAATGTTGTGGCTGTGGGATTGGAGAGGGGTAGGAAAGGTATACACCAGAATGTTACAGTGGTTTGTCTCCAGGTAGAAGGATTCGGGATGTTTTTCTTTTCTTCATTAGATGTTTCTGTGTTGTTTGAATTTTCTACAAGCATTTCTTATCTTTATAGTGGGAAGGGAATTGTTCTTAATGTAATATGGATTAAAGGGAACCCTTGGTACACTAATGGTGGGAATGTAAATTAGTGCAACCACTGTGGAGAAGTTTAGAGTTTCTTCAAAAAACTCAAAATTGAGCTGCCAAATGATTCAGCAATGCCACTTGTGGGTACACACCAGAAGAAAAAAAAATCTCATTATATTGAAGGGATTTCTGCCCTCCAATGTTACCAGTTACCACCCCTTTCCATGGTAATGACCTGGAAGTTACCATCCCTTTCCTAGAATGTTCTAAATAGCTTGCCCTTCAATTTACATTAACCCACTTCTTACTTTTGCACATAATTGAAAGTGGGTGTAAGTGGGTACAAATACAATTTCCAAATTAAACTCATTTTCTGATAGCAAAGAATAATATATGCTGTATTGGTCAGGGTTCTCCAGAGACACAGAACCAGGGGGATATATATTTTTTTAAATGGAGATTTATTATGAGGAATTAGTTCCTGGGATCATGGAAGCCAAAAAGTCCCACAATTTGCCATCTGTAAGCTGCAGACCCAGGAAAGCAAGGGGTATAATTCATTCTGAGTTTGAAGGCCTGATTGAGAACGAGGAGAGGTGAGGGTATAGATCCTAGTCTGAGAGCAGGAGAAGATGAAATGAGATGTCCCAGCTCAAGCAGTGAGGCAGGGAGAAATGAGTCAAATTCCTGCTTGCTCTGACTTTGGGTCTATCTAGGGCCTCCATGGGTTGGATGGTGCCACCACACTGAGGAGGGGAATCTGCCTTACAGAGCCCACCGAGCTGAATGCTAGTATCTTCCAGAAACACCCTCACTCTCACAGTGTTTAATATGGGCAACCATGGCCAGTCAGGTTGACACCTAAAATTAACCATCACACATGCTTATTCTAGAAAACTTGAGAAATATAGAAAAGAACAAATATCAATCACTCATCATTCCCCACCCTAGCTGTGAGCACATTTGAG
Source organism: Homo sapiens (assembly GCF_000001405.40). Taxonomy (NCBI): domain Eukaryota; kingdom Metazoa; phylum Chordata; class Mammalia; order Primates; family Hominidae; genus Homo; species Homo sapiens. The sequence goes on from NC_000001.11 coordinate 15,218,007, forward strand.
TTCATTCCTAAAGGAGGGTGGGAGGAAAACCAAGGCAGACTTTGAGGTTTCTGATGTTGGCCATGATCACCCCACAGGTTCAAGTATAGAGTCCTGGAAAGTGGCTATTGGCGTTAATTCTGACAAATGTGTAGAAAATATCCTGACTTTTTGGTTTTCTCTTTCAACAGTCAAATGAGAATAAGGCTGAGAGGACCTGATCTTTTTGAGTCTTGGGATAAACTTGGAAGATAAAATTACAGAATAATTTGAGACACACATAAATGTTATATTTCAGATATTCTTTCTCTACTGAAAGTTGGTAGCAACTTTGTACATTTCTGTGTTGCCTTTGACCAAAGGACCCAGCTGAGCATTGGAATAGCTCACGCAGCATGTCGCTAAGTGGGAAAGGCTTAAAGGCAAAGGAGGTTTAACACCCAGATAACATGGTGGAGTAGTTGAGAGTACAGTGTTCACTTCCTGCCCTCCCATTTCCTGAAGGTCTGACCAAGTCATTTAATCTTGATGTATCTCAGTCCATCTATAAATTGGGTATTATAATAATAGTGAGATAGAAAACAGGCAGGACTTGTTTTCTGATCATAACCCTGCTGACCAAAACAGGATGTGGTCCAGATGAGATAAGGTTTAAAAAAACACTAGCCAAAGCCAGCAAACGGGAACGAGGGTGATCCCTGGCTGCCCTCATTGCTCATCAGCATGGGACACTCTCACCAGTGCCATGACAGTTTACAATTGCCATGACAACGACCTGGCAGTTACCATCCCTTTCCATGGTAACGACCCAGAAGTTACCTTTCCTAGGAAGTCTTAAATAGCTTGCCCCTCAATTTGCATTAACCCACCCCTTAATTTGCATGTGACTAAAAGTGGGTATAAATACAATTTCCAAGAGCCCCTATGTGGCCAACTCAGGGTGTACTGCCTATGAGTTAGCCCTGCTCCACAAGAAGCAGTGCCCTTCAATAAAGAATTGTGGTCTAACACCACTGGCTCACCCTTGAATTCCTTCCTTGATGAAGCCAAGAACCCTCCCAGGCTAAGCCCCAATTTGGGGACTCACCTGTCCTGTCCTGCATGACTAGTACTTAACTCATAGTGTTGTCAGGAATCTGAAATTGGTTCATATTTGCTAAAATACTTAGAAGGGAGCCCAGCTCATAGTAAACACTTGAAGTATTCACTTTTATTGCCTCTAAGACCCATTTGTTATTTACAAGGCTGCTGTGTGTGGACTCTTTGGAGCCCATCCCTTTGGGATTTTGAATGACTTGAGCACAGGCTAACACTCTCCCTGTCTGTGTGTCTTCTTGCAGCCAGGAGGAAGAAGAGGAGGATGAGGAGGCTGCCTCAAGGTACTATGTTCCCAGCTACGAGGAAGTGATGAACACAAACTACTCAGAAGCAAGGGGAGAGGAGCAGAACCCGAGGTTGAGCATCTCTCTCCCGTCCTATGAGTCACTGACGGGGCTCGACGAGACCACCCCCACATCCACCAGGGCTGACGTGGAGGCCAGCCCTGGGAACCCCCCTGACAGGCAGAACTCTAAGTTGGCCAAACGACTGAAACCGCTGAAAGTTCGAAGGATTAAATCTGAAAAGCTTCACCTCAAAGACTTTAGGATCAACCTCCCAGACAAAAACGTCCCTCCTCCCTCGATAGAGCCTTTGACTCCTCCACCGCAGTATGATGAAGTCCAGGAGAAGGCCCCCGACACCCGGCCGCCCGACTGAATGGCCCCACTTGAGCCACGCTCCCTCCTGTCTCTCACACCTTTCACCCCCAAGACTCTAACAAAGCCACATGAGCCACAGTTGAGAAGCGGAGGGGCCAGCTGTGCATGGAGCCATTTGGATGGCGGCGGGCGGGGGGGGATTCTCTGTATCAGGAGTGACTTTGTTGCCCCACACAGCCTCCTGCTGCAGGTGCTTTGGAAAGAGATGCTGCCTTGGAGCTGGTGAATCTGTGGACCACATTCAAGGGTGTGGCACAGGCATCTTCCCATCCTTTTCACTCCGAATCGCTGGCGACACATTCTCCTTTCCAGCTAGGAAAGGGTTCCTCGCGGCTGGTTTAGATTGTGGTTGTTTGTTTTGCTTCTACTAAGACTGTTTTGTTTCAAAAAGGAAACAAGTTTTGTGTTTGCTGTCTACGCTGGAGTCCTGAACTGTGGGTAGAAAACACGACCTGGCTTTGTAGAAAGGACACAGGGCTGTTTTATGAACTAAGCGGTGAGGCTCAGGTGGCGGCTCTCGCAGAGCCCCTGATGCTGTTGTTCTTTGAGGGCTTAAGGCCTGATGAACGTAGGCACGTGATGCATAATAGTCTTCAATGGTACACTTAACTAGTCTCTTCTGTGTAACAGCAAAAAAAAAAAAAAAAAGAAGAAGAAAGAAAACTGTAGGAAATGTTCTTTTTGAAATGCCATGCAATGGAGCTTTTTGTAATAAAATATTTTATATGTAGTACATTTGGGTGCTGAGTTACTTTAGCAGCTCTCCCAATACTGACTTTCTTAGGGGAAAATGGCAATAATAATAGCTAATATGTACTGAATACTTATGCCCAGTGTTGTGCTAAGCATTTCACACATCACCCCATTTTGTCTGGACCCAAGTCTGGTAATAATGCCATTCTGTTGTCAGCTCACAGAGGCTTTAGGTTAATGTAAGTGCCCTGTGTCACACTGCTAGTAAGCAGTAGAGCTGGGGTTTGAGCCCAGGTTGCCTGGCTCCAAGGCCTGAGTTCTTACACACCCCCCATACAGCTCAGTGTAAAGAGCTTTTCCAGACTTTGAATGAAGACTTGCACTTCTCAAGTTCAGAGGTTGTCTCTGTCAACCTATGCACCCAAAAGAAAGTTCTGGTTGTTTGAACAGCAGCTTTCTACCTGTCTAGGCATCCTTCCTATCTCCCTCTGCTGAGAACTGGCCCAGGAGGGAGCTCAGTGCAGCCTGTCCTCTGCCCCCAGAACTGACAGGCTATGTAAGTGTAGGGGGTGGGTGAGCATGTCCCCCTGGAGGGGGAAAGTGAGTCTATGCAGCTCAGAAAAGCAGTGCAATGAATAAGAAATGCTCAGGGGATCGCACGCTGTTGAAGAGGGGACATAGGAGGGGAATGGAGACCTCTGGGGTCAGGATCTTGACCGTGGAGTGAGTGTCTGGGAAAACAGACCCAAGTCCAAAGGAAGCCTTCCTGCTATTGGTGGGCATGGAGCCAGCCTGCTGAGGAGTCTGTGTCAACCTGGTTGGAAGAGTAATTCCCAGGCCCAGATGTTTTCCTAACAAGCTCCGGTGGACAGGGAAGGGATGACAGGCACCGAGTTACCTTCTTATCTCAAGATTAGCAGTAGTGACTAAAGTTCGAAACTTTCACTTTCCTTATGCGATGCATTATTAAAAGGGGAGATGTTGGGATTGGCTTTGTGGCATGGGACAGACACCCAGAGGCCTGGTCCGTTCCCCGGCCCACTCCTGAGCCGACCCATGGCTCTTTGTGTCTCATGTCTCTGGGCTGGGCTTGCTTTCCTGTTACTTTCTGTGCTTCTTCCAAACCAGAGGATAAATGGGAGGAAAATAGAAGAGAAGAGTAAGGACCCAGATGAGTTGAGAAATGACTTTCTGGAAGAGCTCTCAATCTGGCTTCTGGTAGAAACCTTTTGGGGTGTCTCCCTAGTCTAGATCCTCCACGGGGGAGAAGGAGTTGTGAGGCTTGGGTGGGCTGATTGGTGGTCCCCAAAGGTATCAGACCCTAATCCCTGGAACCAGTGAATATTACCTCGTATGGTAAAGTTTTTGCAGATGTGATTAAGGATTGAAGATGATGGGATTGTCCTGGGTTTGCCAGGTGGGCCCTTAATGCCAACCACAAATGTCCTCACAAGCAAAAGACGGGGAGAGTATATACAGAAGAGGAGGAGACAATGTCATCCCAGAGGCAGAGATGGGAGTGATCAATCTACAAGTCCAGGAAGGCCGGCAGACACCGGAATCAGGAAGAAGCAAGGGATGGACTCTCCCCTAGAGCCCCTGAAGGATGCAGTCCCCGCTTACACCTTGATTTCAGGCCAGTTAATATGATTTTGGGCTTCTGGCCTCCAGAACTGTGAGAGAACAAGTCTCTGTTGTTATGGGTCACCAAGTTTGTAATAATTTGTTATAGGAAACCAATACAGAGCTCAATCTTCAACTCACTCGATATCAGCCCCCCTTTGGCCTCAACACTTCATGAGTCTTCCCACAGAGAGGAGTGCAACGGAAATAGCATTTAGGACCCCTGCTTGTATGTGTGGAAATGATCAAGTAGAAAATTATTCATATTATTCAGAGGATTATAATGGATATGTGGTATACACAATATAAAGCCTAGGCTCACCTCTTTCTAAAATGGGCAGAAAGAATGTTAGCTGGAAACCTTAACCACAGGTTTGGAGTCCTAAATAGTGCCTCGAGGCAAGGAAGTTCTCTGCAGTACTGAGTTAAAACCACCTGTCAAAGCAGGAGGCCACCTTTACTCAAAATTCCTCAAAGCACATTTGCCCTGTTTGTTTATTGGTTCAGAGCTATCATTATCATCCTCAGGACTCTCTCTTTCTCTTTGGACTAGAAAAGAAAAGAAGAAAGGAAGAAAAAGGAAGAAGGATAGAAAGGAGGAAGGAAGATAAATAGAAAGGGGAAGGAAGGGAGGGAGAGAAGGAAAGGAAGGGAAGGGAAGGGAGAAGGGAGGGAAGGGAAGAAGGAAAGGAAGGAAGGAAAGGAAGGGGAAGGGGAAGGGAGGAGAAGGAAAAGGAAGGGAAGGGAAGGGAGGGGAGGGAAGTGAAGGCGGAAAAAAAAGGGAGAAGCTAAGAAGGCAAGAACCAGAAGACTAGTTCTTTTCTTTGCTCCCAATCATGTTTTTGTCCCTAATGTAAACATAAGAGCACAAACATGGGGGAAATGCAAGTAGCAACCCAAATGGCCCCAGGGCTATGAAAGAGCAGCAAGAAGAAATCTGAATGAATTCCAGTTTTTTAAAGTCCCACTCAGCACTCCCACCCTACTCAAAAGGACAGATCTTAGCAGCTTGTTGGGATCATGTGACATCCATGCTTTCAAGTCACAGCTGATTGGATCTGAGGTATGTATCCGGGATACCCAGGGAGAACCAATCAGAAGCTGAGTTTGGCTAGGCAAGTCTTTCCCAGGAGCCCAGCTTTGGATGGAGAGGTCAGTTCTGAGTGATGTGGTCTCAGGGGTTAGGTGACTGTTTGGGGGCCATCAGGGTGGGTCACGGACACGTGAGGCAGGAGAAGCCACTCTGCAGACAGAGAATGGAGTTAACTGCTCAAATACACAGCCATGAAAAATGAGCCTCAGAGACCGCTGCCTCCTGGTGACTTTCTGGTCCTTGGTCTTTGGGAAGCCCAACTGTGCTGAGAGATGGTGTCCCCCAGTCAATTTCCTTCTTTAGCTTTGATCTTCTCTTTATTTTCTTTTTTGAGATCGAGTTTCGCTCTTGTTGCCCAGGCTGGAGTGCAATGGCGCAATCTTGGCTCACTGCAACCTCCACCTCCTGCCTCAGCCTCCCAAGCGATTCTCCTGCCTCAGCCTCCCAAGTAGCTGGGCTTACAGGCGTGTGCTACCACACCTGGCTAATTTTGTATTCTTAGTAGAGAAGGCATCTCACCATGTTGGTCAGGCTGGTCTTGAACTCCTGACCTCAAGTGATCCACCCGCCTTGGCCTCCCAAAGTGCTGGGATTACAGGTGTGAGCCACTGTACCTGGCCCGCTTTGATCTTGAATTTAACTGAAATCCTTGAGGACAGAATGGCCTTTCCATTGTCCACAGTGCTGGGCCCAGAGTTGGTACTCCACCTAACCTCGATTTTGATTTTTCCTTTCCTCTGACTGGTTGCAGTTCTGGGGAAGGGGAGCCACGAGCAGGTGCTTAAGGCACAAGACTGGAGCATGACTGTGACTGCAGTGTAGACCACTGCCTGGGGAGTGCAGCTGAACCAGCTGGATCCATCCATTTCCACGACTGCTTACTCAGTGCCTGTTAGATGCCAGGTACTGCTCTAGGCTCCAGGATACAGCAGTGAAGCTAAAGCCTGCTCTTCATGGGGAAGATTCGTGCTTGGGCACTGCTTCCCAAAGCAGGTCCTGTGGCCTTGGGTGACAGTCACCTTTGGGTGATCATTCGGGACTGACTAGTTGAACTGGGTGCAATACATTTGAAAGCTGCAGGGTAGCCACATGCACAGAGAAAGCCAGTCCTGCAGGAAGAGATGGAGGAAGCAGAAGGGCACGGAGGAAACAGCCCTCCACAGAAAGAGACAGATTTGCTGCTTTGTAGTTCCTGGTTGGGGAGCCTGGCCACACACTGTGACCTTTGGGTATATACAACACACCAGTCTGCTTTCAATAATGCCTATCTTTCCTTAAGCAAGTTGGAGTGGGCTTCTGTTATTTGAAGCCACATGTCCTGAAATGACTCACTTCCGCATGGACAAGCATGAGATGGCAAAGCCGAAATCAATCCACAAGCGTCCTGAGATACTGAAAATGGGACGCAGCTGTATCGCTGGAAATGTGTGGATCAACTGAACCACAGGTTCTAAAAGGCAGTACAAGAAAAGCCCTTCTGAGGATTCGTGGACTTCTTTCTTATTGTAAAGGCCCTGACAAGGACCATTTAGCTCCTAGGACAAACCATGCTGCATATTCTGGTGTGGAGTTACAGAAGGACAGCCCTTGTTATGTCTGCAAGCATGGAGGGTGGGAGAAAGTCTTCCCACCTGAGCCTCGATCTCTTCACCAGCAAAATGGAAGTTCCTCATTTTGTGATGAGTACCTGAAACCAACACAGGTAAAGTGCCCCCACTGCACCCGGCACAGACAAAGCAAGGGGGCCAGGCACAGTGGCTCATGCCTATAACCCAGCACTTTGGAAGGCCAAGGCGGGCAGATCACTTGAGGTCAGCAGTTCAAGACCAGCCTAGCCAACATAGTGAAACCCTGTCTCTACTACAAAATTTAGCCAGGTGTGGTGGCACACTCCTGTAATTCCAGCTACTGGGGAGGCTGAGGCACGAGAATCACTTGAATCAGGGAGGTGGAGGTTGCAGTGAGCTGGGATTGCATCACTGCACTCCAGTCTGGAAGGCAGAGTGAAACTGTGTCTCAAAAAAAGGGAAGGAAGGAAGGAGGAGGGGAGGGGAGGGGAGGGAGGGGAAGGGGAAGGAAGGTAGGACAGTGCAGCTGTGATGAAGCCACAGTCGGATGGAAAACTGACCTGAGATCTAAGCGCTTCTCCCTGCATGAGCCTCACACTCACTTCTACAAGTGTGTTCAGAGAAAATTCACCAAACGCCACAAGTCTGTGAGGCATCTTCACAGAAAGCCAGCTTCAGGGAAACAGCAGCCAGGCCGCGTAATGAAGGCCAACTGAGGCAGCCCCCGGGGTCAGCCTAGCCCAGGGCTTGGGCCCTCCATCATGGAGAGTGGTCAAGTCAGTCTGTTTGGTTTGGTTTTCAGTCTGATGCCATGTTGTCAGCACATTCAGAAGGGAGCAGCTTGTCCTAAGACAGTGAATCTCAGGAGGCCACAGCTGTCAGGACTTTTGATTTCCTGGCGATTCCTCAAGTGTATTCTGCTGGATTTTAATGGGTGGGTGTGGAAAAGTCCCTAATTAGATCCATTTGGAAATCCCTGAGTGAAACAAAGTCTATTTTTATTGCGCACCTACGAGCCAGCAGGAGAAAGCTGTGTGCTTGTCTCTTTGCAGCAATGCAGCTGACCTCGGAAATGATGTCCAAGAATGCCTGAAGCTGAGATGGAAAGTGGCAGCACCTACTATGTGCCAGGTGCTCTGGATAAAGCTGCAAAAAAAAAAAAAAAAAAAAAAAAATGGACCAAGTCCTTGCCGACACAGAGGTGACATTCTGGGTGGAGCCCGAACAGAGGATGAAAAATATGTATACGGTATAAACTCAGAAAATGAGAAGAAAAATAAAGCTGGGTGAAGAACAGGAGGTGAGAGGGGCTCACCTTCAGGGTGATCAGGAAGAGCCTCTGGAGGGTAGCACTGGAGAAAAGTAGGCAGTAAGCCCCATGGGCATCTGGGTGCAGAGAATTCCAGAGAGCCTCTCATATGCTCATGTGCATCATAAATCTCAAAGGAGGTACCGCAGGACATAACATCTGCCAAACCAGTTTAACACAGGCCCTTTTCCCCCACAAAGCCTTTTCCATGGCCAGCATTCCCAGAACACACAACAGGGAATGATGATTGAGCCAAACACAGTCCTTCTACAGCAGAAAGAAATGGGCCCAGGGAAGATAAGACACTTGTCCAAAGTCCCACAGCTTGTGGGCAAAGATATCCGTTAGCCTCCTCACTGTGTGGCATTCGGATCACAGATCACCAGCTAAGGCAAGCCACTAAGATCACCCCATCCCCTGACAACTTGCGGGAGGTGGTCAAGACCGTAGATCCAGGATAAGCCAGACACAGGTGCCTGGGGCCTCCCGGCTCTCAGACCCACTGCAGACCTTCCTGTGTCCACCCCACCCCTCTGAAGGGAGGCTTGCCCCCCTCGTGACAGCCCCCACCATGAAGAGGAGTGGATGCTTCCCCGAGCTTTTGCCATCTGTGTGGATGACAGTTTGCCCTCTGGGGTGGTTTTCGAGTCACCTCCAGCTCATTCAGAAGTACCTTCACATCAGGCTAACAGGGGAAAGCTGTGTCCCTGTCTCTTCGTAGCAATGCATCTGGGAAATGATGTCTGGGAATGCCTGCAGCTGAGACGTGACAGTGAGCTGCAACACATCAATCTCACATTCTCCAATAATGGATGGAGAAGTCAGATACCAGCTCTCTTCAGATACCGTGGAGCAGGCTGGCCAGGAGAGGGAGGAAAAGACCCCAAGAGACAGAGGAAAAAAACAATATGTGGATGCAACCATCCAGAAAAGTCACTGGAGAGAACGCACATCCTTACACGAGAGGCCTTGAAAACGTGGCCCTTGCAACAAAGGTTTCCTCAGGGCCAACCAGGCTGCTTGCCACACGTGTTTCCTCCACACCAGTCTCCCAGGGGACACGCAGCCCCTGGAACTCTGCACATTCCAGGAAGACAGTCAGATGGAACACACATCCATACAAACCAACCAACCCCCAGATACAACATACGCAATGAAACATTCTCCGCTCCCAGGAAGGCTGTGAAACAGTTGCACCAACACCAGAACTCTCTGTTTCACCTTAGGTCAGTGACTCTCCACCAGGACTGATTTTGCTCCCGGGCAGCACTTGGCAATGTGACAGTGGTGGGGGAGAGGGTACTGGCATCTAGTAGGCCAGGGATCCTGCTAACCCTCCTACAACGCCTAGGACAGTCCCCACAGCAGAGAATTATCCTGCCCCAAATGTCACTAGTGTGGAGGTTGAGAAGCCCTGTCCTAGATGCTCTTGGACATGGGGACTGCAGTCATACAGCCTGGCCACTCAGTGTGGACCCCGTCAAAAAAAAGCAAGAAACAATCATCCTTGCATTGCTTATCATTTTTCTTTTAAAAACCTGTCAAGACTGTTTTTCTGTCCTTCGCCCCATCCCAGAACTGCAAATCTAATTCTCCATGTCATGGTATGCACAAATTTATCTTCCTTTCTCCTTTTCTCCATCCATTCTCAGCCCAACATCTGTTCATTAAAAACCTGATATGTAGCAACTGTAATATAAATGGTGTGGGAAAGATAATGGTATAATACTTACAAATTCAAATAGACTCTGAGAAATTTTGGACTATTGAAAAAGCATACTTAAAACCAATGAAAGGTATGTAACAAAATAAAACAACTGGAATACAATTTCAGAAGCAAAAATTATAGCGTGACTTTTTCTGGGTTATAAATCTTCTCAGAAAAACAGTATCAGATAATACAGCATGATTCTGAGAGATAAGCTAGGCTTAGTACTTTGTTTTGTGGAGTTTTTTTCTTTTTCCGTTTTTTTGTTTTTGTTTTGTTTTGTTTTTTTTTTTTGAGACAGAGAGTCTCGCTCTGTCGCCCAGGCTGGAGGGCAGTGGTGCAATCTCAGCTCACTGCAACCTCCACCTCCTAGGCTTGAGCGATTCTCATGCTTCAGCCTCCTGAATAGTTGGGATTACAGGCTTCTGCCTCTATGCCTGGCTAATTTTTCTATTTTTAGTAGAGACGGGGTTTTGCCATGTTGGCCAGGGTGGTCTTGAACTCCTAGCTTCAAGTGATCCACCCGCCTCGGCCTCCCAAAGTGCTGGGATTACAGGCATGAGTCATCGCACCTGTGGGCTTAATACTTTGTAAAATTTAGGAGTTGTGCAGGAACTTTAAGAAGAAGAAAATGTTCTTAGTGTTTATTCTCAAGATGTCTTATTTCAGAATGTATCCTTGTGATACTATCTAGTCAAGAAAAATCATTAGCATCTATTTTAACAAAGCATAAAAGAGAGATAAACAATGGAATAACATGATAGCAAGATTCTTCTTTTATTTTTTGGGGAAAGTATGACAAGTCAAGTATGTGTGTTCATAAAAGAAATTGTATAAATACTTGACATAAGCCAGTGAATAAATGCCCCACCTTACCTAATTGCTGCAGCTTTCAAAATTAAACCGAGAGAGAGAGAAAGCTGCATCTTTTGGTTTCTGACAAATTAGTTACCTTTTAAAAATCAGATTCAGGCTGGGCGCCGTGGCTCATGCCTATAATCCCAGCACTTTGGGAGGCCGAGGTGGGTGGATCACGAGGTCAGGAGTTCCAGACCAGCCTGGCCAGCATGGTGAAACCCCGTCTCTACTAAAAATACAAAAAAAAATTAGCCGGGCGTGGTGGCGGGCACCTGTAATCCCAGCTACTCAGGAGGCTGAGGCAGGAGAATGGCGTGAACCCGGGAGGCAGAGCTTGCAGTGAGCCGAGATTGCGCCACTGTACTCCAGCCTGGGTGACAGAGCGAGACTCCGTCTCAGAAAAAAAAAAAAAAAAAAATCAGATTCAAAGTACTGGTTCACCAATTGACTTTTTGAACAGGAAGGGTCATGCTGTCCTAGAAGTTACCAATGGTACATTCATTTAGCACCAACTGGGGTGTTGTTTTTTTTTTAAATCAGCACAAATGCAGTAGAGAAAAGGAAATAGGAATATACCTTTTATAGGAGAAGTTGGGGCATATGAGGCCAATAATTTTATTGACTTTAAAAGGTAATCCTAAGCTTATTTAAAACATTCATTGAATCCATGAAAATGGCAAGGAGGAGTCGGGCGTGGTGGCTCACACCCGTAATCCCAGCACTTTGGGAGGTGAGCAGATCACTTGAGGTCAGGAGTTCGAGACCAGCCTGGCCAACATGATGAAACCTCGTCTCTACTAAAACCACAAAAATTAGCTGGGTGTGGTAGTGCACGCCTGTAATCCCAACTACTTGGGAGACTGAGGCAGGAGAATCGCTTGAACCCGGGAGGTGGAGTTTGCAGAGAACGGAGAACCACTGCACTCCAGCCTCAGTAGCACAGTGAGACCCTGTCTCAAAAAAAAAAAAAAAAAAAAAAATTGGCAAGGAGAAATCAGTACAAACATTCTAGCTGCTATTTGGAATAAACCTTGATTTTGATGTTTATTTTTCCAGTTAAAAAAGTTTTAATGCCTAAAATTTTTCCAATGGCTGAAAGTAGTAAAAATCATCCACTCATCTTCCCTTAGGCCAATAATAGAAAGGTCTCACGGGGCAATATAGGAACCAGGAATAAGACCAGAGGGGGAGGAGGAGGAGAAGAACACCATTGACTAAGTCCTACGCATATGTTGAAGGCAGACTATCCCTTGCTCCTACTTCCTGGGTAGTAATTTCATAGACGTGTACATTATCATACACCCCTCCAGTGAATAAACACTGAATTAAATGGAATATGATTTTATCTCTGTGTATTGCTTCAACTCTGGGTTTCTGAACCTTGGCACTATTGACATTTTGGGCTGGGTAACCCTGACATGGGGCAAGGCGTGGCTAGGTGGAAGGCTGCTCTGTTCCTTACAGGAAGTTTACAGCATCCCTAGCCTCCACCACTAGATGCCAGAAGCACTGCCCAGGTGTGGCAATCAAAAATGTCCCGAAGCATTGTCAAAAGTCTCCTGGGGGCCTGGGTCAGGGCGCAAAATGCCCGTGGTTAAAAACTGTACAAACTGAAGCTTTAGGTCTACTGGCTACGGGGGGTTGCGGGGAGAATGTAGTATGGAGAAGTGGAAAAAAAGATTGTCATCTGAGCGGCAATTTCCATGTTTGAAAAACGAAATATTGATTATTGCGTTGGGCCACAAGACTGGGAGAATCAAATGAGTTAAATTATATGCTACAAAATGCTATAAAAAGTAGAATTTTAAAGAGAAATGCTTCTAGAGTTCATCTTGCTCAGCTTCCTTGTACAGGAAAGGAAAACCGAGTAAAAAGATGTTTCCCTAAAGACCACAGTAATGCTTCACAAACACAAATGATTATAATGAAATATTAAGTTGTTTCCACCCAGAAAAACAAACAACACAAGAACCAACCCAAATGCCATGATGCTGGCACCATGTGAGCATCAAACCAAATAGTGACTTCAATGGATTGAAACACATCTACATAATTCCAAATCAAATATTCCTGATGATACTTTTAAAAACTCATTGGTCACTTTGGGAAGTTGCTTGTTACTGTGAATATTGATACATAAAGGGAAAGAATCCATCATTTATTCTGCCTTTCCTGAACAAACTGTGTTTTACGGTAAACATATAATTGGCCAGGCGCAGTGACTCACGCCTGTAATCTCAACCCTTTGATAGGCCTAGGCTGGAGGATGCTTGAGCTCAGGAGTTTGAGATCAGTCTGGGCAACATGGAGAAACCGCGTCTCTACAACAAGTTTAAAAATTAGCTGAGTGTAGTGGTGTGTGCCTGTGGTCCCAGCTACTTGGGAGGCTGAGATGGAGGGATCACTTGAGCTCAGGAGGTTGAGGCTGCAGTGAGCCATGATAACACCACTACACTCCAGCCTGGGCAACAGAGTGAGACCCTGTCTCAAAAATAATAATAATAATAATAGTTGATGAAGAAAATGCATTGACAGTTGATGAAGAAGAATTCTAGCAATAATTAACAAAGGAATATCAGAAAGATCACTATTCTGCAACCTCAAAGGAAAGAATGGAGCTAGGGAATGATCCTCAAAGAATGCTAAAACTATTAGGTAAAAAGTTGATGAGGCCGGGCACAGTGGCTCACACCAGCAATCCCAACACTTCGGGAGGACGAGGCAGGAGGATCATTTGAGGTCAGGGGTTCAAGATCAGTCTTGCCAACATGGTGAAACCCCATCTCTACTAAAAATAAAAAAATTAGCCAGGCATAGTGGCACTTGCCTATAGTCCCAGCTACTCAGGAGACTGAGGCAGGAGAATTGCCCGAACCTGGAAGGTGGAGGTTGCAGTGAGCCGAGATCTTGCTACCGCACTCCAGCCTGGGTGACAGAGGGAGACTCCATCTCAAAAAAAGAAAAAAAAAATGTTGATAAGCCCAAGTGTCCACCGATGAATGAATGGACAAACAAAATATAGTCTATGCATACAATGAAATATTATTCAGCCTTAAAACAGATGGAAATTCTGACACATGCTACAACACGATGAACCTTGAGGACATTCTGCAGAGTGAAATAAGCTAGTCACAAACACACATACTGTGTGATGCCACTTATACGAAGTATCTAGAATAGCCAAACTCATAGAAACAGAAAGTACAATGATATTTCTCAGGGCCTGGGAGGAAGGGGAATTACAGAGCTAGTGTTTGGTGGGTACAGAGTTTCAGTTTTGCAAGATGAAAAAGCTCTGGAGGTTGGTTGCACAATGATGTAAATGTACTTAACACTACTGAACTGTACGCTAAAAATGATTCACATGGTAAATTGTATGTTATGTGTATTTTACCACAATTAAAAATAAAAACTGTCTGGGCCTGGTGGTTCATGCCTGTCATCCCAGCAATTTCGCAGGCCAAGGCAGGAGGATCACTTGAAGTCAGGAGTTCAAGACCAGCCCGGCCAACACGGTGAAACCCTGTCTCTACTAAAAGTAAAAAAATTAGCCAGGCATGGTGGTGTGCACCTGTAGTCCCAGCTACTTGGGAGGCTGAGGTGGGAGGATCACTTGAACCCAGGAGGCGGAGGTTGCAGTGAGGCGAGATCTTGCCACTGTACTCCAGCCTGGACATCAGAGCAAAATTCTATCTCAAAAAAAAATTAAACATAAAAATTAAAAGTCACTGGAGAAAAATTTGATGAGAACTTTATGATGGACAGATCAGCCTGTCAGCACTGATCCTACCTAGCCATCTTGGCATCATTAAAAAGGGCCAACCAAGATGTTACATGTCCACGATGTGACACAGGAGGAATCAAACAGCCTGCCTATGAAGTAGTCTTGACAACAAGAAGACCAGATCTCATCAGGCCTCGAGATTTCACTCTTAGTTTGCAGGAAACATGGGGAAGAGAGGAATAAGTTAATTGAAACTATGAAGAAGCAATCAGTCAAATCTATGGTGTGAATATTCTATAGGACGAAACACCCAGTTTCTCCAGCCGATCAGTGGTATGAAAAAGGTAGGGGATGCTGTTATGGAATAAAAAATATTTCAAAGACATAACAACCAAACACAACGTGTGGATGGCGTCTAGATCCCGATGTCAACAAATCATCAATACAACGACATCTCTCAGAGAATCAAGAAAGTGTGAGCATGGATGGATGTTAGACGATATTCAGGAACTGTTACTAGTATTGCTAGTGTGATAATGTCATGGGGAAAATAATGTCATAAAGGTGGGGAAGCTCCTTTTAGTCAGGAAGTATTTATGTATGAAATGACACAATGTGTTTTAAGTTAATCCAAAAGGAAGTTAATCAAAAAGGAAGAAAAAAGCGATAAAACAAGATTGGAGAAGTATCGAAGCTGGATTATGGGTACATGGGGTTAATGGTACTCTTTTCCCTACTTTTGTGTTGTATGTTTCAAAAAACTCCATTATAAACCCCAATTTTTTTCCATAGAGAAGCAATATGTTTATATTAAAAACTATAACTCTCTTCTATAAGACATTTCTAATGCAGACGTGAAGATTAATTTGATTTCTAGCTACTTCTAGCCCCCAAACTACCAGCATTTTTTTTAGTTTCAATTTTTATTTTAGACACAGTGAGTACATGTGCAGATTTGTACATGGGAATACTGCATGATGCCGAGGTTTGGAGTATGGATCCTGCCACACTGTCAGTGAGCACACCACCTGTTGAGTAGGTTTTTTTCTTTTTTCTTTTTTTTTTTTTTGAGATGGAGTCTCACTCTATCACCCAGGCTGGAGTGCAGTGGTGCAATCTCGGCTCACTGCAACCTCTGCCTACCGGGTTCAAGCAATTCTCCTGCCTCAGCCTCCCGAGTAGCTGTGACTACAGGCGCATGCCACCACGCCTGGCTAATTTTTTTGTGTTTTTAGTGGAGACAGGGTTTCATCGTGTTAGCCAGGATGGTCTCGATCTCCTGATCTCGTGATCTGCCCACCTCAGCCTCCCAAAGTGCTGGGATTACAGGCGTGAGCCACCATACCTGGCCCTGATGGATAGTTTTTTAACCCTCCTGCCCCCACACCCTCTAGGAGTCCACAGGGTCTATTGTCCCTATATATTTATGTCTGTGTGTGCTCAATGGTTAGCTCCCACTTCTAAGTGAGAACATGCCATAGTTTTATTTTCCTGAGTTAATTTGCTTAGGATTATGGCCTCCAGCTCCATCCATGTTGCTGCAAAGGACACAATCTCATTCTTTTTTATGGCTGCATAATATTCCATAATGCATATGTACCACATTTTCCTTATCCAATCTACTGACCACTGATGGGCACCTGGGTTGATTCCATGTCTTTGCTATAGTGAACAGCACAGTAATGAACTGACAAATGCATGTGTCTTTTTGGTAGAATGATTTATTTTCTTTTGAGTATATACTCAGTAATGAGATTGCTGGAGGACACCCAATTTTTTTAAGTAAGTAGTCCCAAAGGAACATACACACACACACACCATAGGCAGAGCTAGCTATAACCAAAGTATAAGCGAATGAGGAAGCCAGGAATTCCTGAGGATAAATACCTCCATCAGTGTGGAGAGTTAACAGGTACAGGAAATAAGAAGTCAGACCTCAGGCCTTTGCAAACTGAGCTAGCAAAATCTACAATGTCCATATTAAGCCAGGACCTTGAAAGGTGCTCTACCTCCTGAGAAAGGGAAGGCTTTAAGTGTATTTTTCTGGACTGCCAGAAAAGGGAGCGCATGGGCTCTGCAGGGTTTCTGGAGGGGAAAATTAACAATGGCCACCATAATAATGACGATTGTTAACCCTGAGGATTCGTAACCACATGGTACTAGGAATTAGTTTAACACTCCGTGCATTCAAGGGGGAAACTCCAAGCTGAAGAAGTAAATGTAAGGGATCACAGGTTGGTAGCAGCCCTGGCATCCAAATGAAACAAACAAAAATCATTCCTAGAGGAACGCAGCCAGAAATCAGACTCCTCAGGACTCCCGCAGATCAATTTCAATCAACACTGAGATCACATTCAAATTATTAACCCTCCAAGAAACAAGTCAGTATGAGCAAGAGTGAGCAGAAAGAACAAACAGTAGATTGAGACACTTCCTCGCACCCCAAGGACATCAGGTGTTGGAATTCCCAGATACTGATTCTACTTTGTATTAAATAGTTTTTAAAAGAAGGATTTAAAAATGAGCAAGGAATGAGATGATCAAAAATGGCCAGGCTCATCATCTGTAATCATGAGAGAAATGCAAATCAAAACCACAACGAGATACCATCTCACAACAGTCAGAATGGCTATTACTAAGAAGTCAAAAAAACAAACAAACAAAAACCAGAAGCTGTAGAGGATGTTGAGAAAAGGGAATGCTTATACACAGTTGGTGGGAATGTAAATTAGTTCCACCACTGTGGAAAGCAGTTTGGAGATTTCTCGAAGAACTTAAAACAGAGTTACCATTTGACCCAGCAATCCCATTGCCAGGATATACCCAAAAAGAAAAAGACCATTTTACCAAAAAGACACATACGCTCCTACGTTCATCGCAGCACTATTCACAATAGCAAAGACATGGAATCAACTTAGGTGCCCATCAATGGTGGATTGGATAAGGAAAATGTGGCACATATACACTACAGAATACTACGTAGCCATAAGAAAGAATGAGATCATGTCCTTTACAGCAACATGGTTGCAGCTAGAGGCCATTATCCTAAGTAAATTAACAAAGGAACAGAAAACCAAATACCGCATATTCTCACTTAGAAGGGGGAGCTAAACATTGAGCCCACATGAGCATAAACATGGGAACACTCAACACTGCAGACTACTTGAGGGGAAAGGAGGTGGGGGAGTGGGTTGAAAAAGTACCTATTTGATACTATACTCACTACCTGGGTGCAATGTGCCCATGTAACAAACCTGCACATTTACCCTCTGTATCTAAAATAAAAGTTGAATTTTTTTTTTTTTTTTTTGAGGCAGAGTCTCACTCTGTCGCTCAGGCTAGAGTGCAGTGGTGTGATCTCAGCTCACTGGAACCTCTGCCTCCCGGGTTCAAGCGATTCTCATGCCTCGGCCTCCAGAGTAGCTGGGATTACAGGCACCCGCCACCACGCCCGATTAATTTCTTTATTTTTAGTAGAGACATTTCACCATGTTGGCCAGGCTGGATTTGAACTCCTGACCTCAAGTGAGCCGCCGGCCTCGGCTTCCCAAAGTGCTGGGATTACAGGCGTGAGCCACTATGCCCAGCTAAAAGTTGAATTTTTTTAACGGCCAGGCATTTGACCTCAGAACTTTGTGGGAACACAGGGAGAACTACTTGACCCCTGTACTTTTAGCACTTCCATTCTGGTAGGATAAACAGATCCACATAATCAAAATACATCAGGGGTAAAAACTCAAGCAGTTATAGAACAGAGAAGGAATAAGAATAAGCGCGGCGGACAAGGAGGACACAGGCTGTACCTGGAGGCGGCAGCCTCTCCACACGCCTCACAGATTGTTGCTCTGTGTGCAGGAACAGAGCCCAAGTATTGCCTGATGTTCCAATTTCCCCAGAAAAGACATAAATCCAAATTGTAAAGTAAGTCAACGTGATTTGTACGTTAGCCACTGCAGGAGACACCTGAAGCTTCTGCCACCCAATATCAATTCACCTTTCTTCTAAAATATTACGGTGTTATGTATGATTCCCCTTTGGGGACCACCCCCTTTCCTGTTCTCAGCCCAGTCTCAGTCTCTTCCTGGTTGAGTTGACTCCATCTCCGGCTGCAGGGATGGGCATGTGACTCAAGCTTGGCCAATCAGAGCACAGCAGTCCCCCGGACCACACTAATTGGCTTAGAAACGGGCCTGTGAGTCAATCAGAGAAAATGAGAAGCCATGAGGCCTTTGGGAGAATCTTAGGAAAAAATTCTCTCTCATCCCCTTGGGATTCAAAGCTGAGAAGATGTAAGGACTGGAGCTGCAGCAGTCTTTCTGGGACCATTATACAGAGATTCTGTCTGAGGTTGGATCCACGTGGTCAAAAGTATTGCTGAGGAGCCAGAGAGAGACTGAGGTCTGATGACATCACTTGAGCCCTGCAGACTTTTCATTTACGGTAACCAGTTAATTTGCTTTCATGCTGAAGCTAGTTTGAACTGGGCTCTGATATGGTTTGGCTGTGTCTGCAACCAAATCTCATCTTGAATTGTAGTTCCCATAATCCACACATGTCGTGGAAGGGACCCAGTGGGAGGTAATTGAGTCATGAGGGCGGTTACCCTCGTGCTGTTCTCTTGACAGTGAGTGAGTTCTTGGAGACGTGATGGTTTTATAAGGGGCTTTCCCCTTTTGCTTGGCACTGCTCCTTGCTGCCGCCATGTTAAGAGGGACGCGTTTGCTTCCCCTTCCACCATGATCGTAAGTTTCCTGAGGCCTCCCTTGCCCTGCAGAACTGTGAGTCAATTAAACCTCTTTCCTTCATAAATTACCCAGTCTCAGGCAGCTCTTTATAGCAGCATAAGCATGGACTAATACAGGCTCTTTATCACTCCACAGAAAGAGGCTGTATCCTCCATCAACTAGTTGAAAGTATTTTAACACACTGTGAAAGCCAAAGAAACATGGAGGCTGACTGTGGCCTTCAGTTTGCAGTCTCAGCACCTGGCCCTGCCTCCCTCTGTCCCACGGTTGCGTAGCCTCCCTCATTCCCCATCTTCCAGCTCTTGTTCCCACTGCTCCTTCCTCCTGCAATGCCTTTCTCTTCCTTCTCTCCCTCCTGAAATCCTACCCATCCTTCAAGACCCAGGTCAAGTGATTCCTTTTTCTCAAAGCCCTTCCTGACCCCACAAGCTCCACCCCACGTGGAAGCACGTCCCTCCCTCTCCAACCCCAGCCCCTCAGCCCCTGGTGAGCACTCGGCCCTTCTACTGAGAATCCTAGTGACCCAGGAACATTACTGTCCCCCTTGTTTCTTGACAACGATTCAAATTCAGAGCCAGATTAGAAGGGACAATCTTTGAGACTTAAGTTTCAAAAAACAATCAGTTCTTAGGAGAGGTCAGAAAACACGGTGAAAGGTGAGGATTTGGGTAAAGTATCAGAAAGAAAAGAACAGTTGTTCTCGAGAAAAGAGAGAGTCTGTGTTGAGTGCTGTAAGGAAGGCAGAAAAACTGGACATGTTTAGACCAAATAAAATGATTCAGAGGAAACCTGAGAAGAAATGTCCAGCGTGAGGGGATTGATCAGCTCAGAAAGGAAGATCAGCAGCGAGCGATGGGGATGACCTGAAACAAAAGCAAAATGCCTAAGATAGGAGCACTGTTGGCCAGGCGCGGTGGCTCATGCCTGTAATCCCAGCACTTTGGGAGGCTGACATGGGCAGATCACGACGTCAGGAGTCCGAGACCAGCCTGACCCCTGGTAAAACCCTGTCTCTACTAAAAATATAAAAATTAGACAGGCATGGTGGCGCACACCTGTAACCCCAGCTACTCAGGAGGCTGAGGCAGGAGAATTGCTTGAACCCGGGAGGCAGAAGTTATAGTGAGCCGAGACTGCACCACTGCACTCCAGCCTGGGCAATAGAGTGAGACTCCATCTCAAGGAAAAAAAAAAAAAAAAAAAGGAGCACTGTTGAAATGAGAAGAGAATGCAGATGGCAGTGAGATGCTACAAAACCTCCAGAAACCCAGAGAGGTGACAAGGGCTGAGGTCATCTCAAACTAGACCAACAGGGAGGCCTGCTGTTGATTGGAAGCAGCTTTCTCAAAAGGTAGGAATCATGTTGGCTTGCTGTTGATGGAAACTCAGGGCCACCAAGGCCTTCTGGAATTTGCTATTCAATAAACAGACACAAGGGAGGGCACAGGAGGCCAAGCAGTGGCTAGATGTGCCAAAAGAGCCACCATAAGTCAAAGGACAAAGTGAGCAGGGGTGTCAGCTTATAAGCCACCCCAGGCAGAGACTGTCTCTCTTCTCACTTCCTAAACCCTGCCAAGCACCACAGAGCCTTGTACACAGCCCCTGTGCCTCCTTCCCCAGGCCCAACTGTTTCTTTATAGGATAAATCAACTACCCCAGACCACGTCCAATCAAAGAGGCTCTTAACCTTTGCTGGGGAGAAGTCTGGTTAAGGCTCTGGGCCCTCTTTCCAGAAAAATACACATAGGCCCAGACACATCAAAGCTTCCTCCCAATTTCAGTGGTTCACACCTTCCCTGAGGCCACCAGTAGGTCTTCTTGGACAATAGTCCTAAACTCCTTCATTCATTTACTTTAAGAGACGGGGGTCTCACTAAGTCACCCAGGCAGGAGTGCAGTGGCATGATCATAGCTCACTGCAGCCTTGAACTCCTGGGCTGATGCAATCCTCCTGCCTCAGCCTCCAGAGTAGCTGAGACTACAAGTGTGTGCCACCATATCCAGCTAACTTTTTTATTTTTTGTAAAAGCAAGGTCTGTCTATGTTGCCTATGCTG
Source organism: Homo sapiens (assembly GCF_000001405.40). Classification (NCBI taxonomy): domain Eukaryota; kingdom Metazoa; phylum Chordata; class Mammalia; order Primates; family Hominidae; genus Homo; species Homo sapiens. The sequence goes on from NC_000001.11 coordinate 15,239,123, forward strand.
GTTCAAACTCCTGGGCTGACATGATCCTCTCACCTCAGCCTCCCAAAGTGCTGGGATTACAGGCATGAGCTACCATGCTCAGCCCCTAAACTCATTCATTTATTTAAATCCTTATTGAATGTTGGCTGCATGTCAGGTACTGCTCTGAGCACCAGGGATGCTTGGGTGAACAAGAAAAGGATGGCCGGGTGCACTGGGCCATGCCTGTAATCCCAGCACTTTGAGAGGCCGAGGTGGGCGGATCACTTGAGGTCAGGAGTTTGAGACCAGCCTGGCCAACATGGTGAAACCCCGTCTCTACTAAAAATACAACAAATTAGCCAGATGTGGTGGTGCATGCCTGTGGTTCCAGCTACTTGGGAGGCTGAGGCAGGGGAATCGCTTGAACCTGGGAGGCGGAGGTCACAGTGAGCCGAGACTGTGCCACTGCACTTCAGCCTGAGTGACAGAGCGAGACTCTGTCTCAAAAGAAAAACAAAAAGAACAACAAAGAACCTTCACCACATGGAGTGTAGCTTCCAGGTTATATCCCAGCCATCCAACAATCAGAAAGTCTGGAGGTACAGCCCAGGAACAGTGATTCTGACATGGGGCCAGGTTTAGGACCTCCTGTTCCAAGGAACTCCTGGTCAAACTCCTTCTGTAAGTAGAGAGGGGAGAGTAATATTTGAAGGCATGTGCTGCGACTCAAGTATTCATGCACTGCTGGGGGGTGTAGATTGGTACCAGCGCTTTGGAAAAATGTTTGTCAGAATCTTTTAAAGCTGAACATCTGCTGAATCTGCAACTCAGCACCTCTATTCCTAGGTCTATATCTAATAGACATGTGCACATATGCATACCAACGGACATACACAGTGGCGCCCAATTACCTCTGGTGTTCACACCTCTGTGGTATCCTCTCCCTTGAGTCGGGGCAGGACCTGTAACTTATTTTAAGCTGTAGAATACAGCAAAGGTGATGGGATGTAATTTCTGTGATTATGTTACATAAGATTATAACTTCCATCTCTCTATTGAGAGTCTACTGGGGGTCCAGAGTCGCAGACTCTGTCTACTGACTCTTACTGACTTTGATGAGGCAAGCCAACTTCCAGAAAGGCCCACATGGCAAGAAACTGAGGGTGAGCTCAGCTAATACCCAGCAAGGAGCTGAGGCTCTCTTTCTGATACCCTCAAAAAAACGAATCTTACCAATAACAATGTGAGCTTGAAACTGGATCCAGCCAGGTGTAGTGGCTCATGCCTGTAATCTCAGCACTTTGGTAGTCCAAGGTGGGAGGATCGCTTGAGCCCGGGAGTTCAAGACAAGCCTGGGCAACATAGTGAGATCTCATCTCTATTAAAAATAAAAATTAAAAAAATAGGCTTAGTGGTACATGGCTGTGGTCCCAGCTACTCAGGAGGCTGAGGTGGGAGGGACACTTGAGCCTGGGAAATCAAGGCTGCAGTGAGTTACGATCACATCACTGCACTCCCAGCCTGGACAACAGGAGAGACCCTGTCTCAAAAAAAAAAAAAAAAAGAAAGAAAAAGAAAAAAGAAAGCAGATCGGGCCGGGCGTGGTGGCTCATGCCTGTAATCCCAGCACTTTGGGAGGCCGAGGAGGGTGGATCACAAGGTCAGGAGTTTGAGATCAGCCTGGCCAATATGGTGAAACCCCTTCTCCACTAAAAACACAAAAATTAGCCAGGGGTGGTGGCACTTGCCTGTAGTCCCAGCTACTCGGGAGGCTGAGGCAGAAGAATCGCTTGAACCTGGGAGGCAGAGGTTGCAGTGAGCCAAGATCATGCCACTGCACTCCAGCCAGGCTGACAGAGCGAGACTCTATCTCAAAAAAAAAAAAAAAAAAAAGAAAGAAAGAAAGAAAGCAGATGCAGATTTATCCCCAGTTGAGGCTCAGATGAGATCCCAGCTTGGCCAGCTCCTTGATTGCAGCCTGTGAGACCCTAAAGCACAGGACCGTGCTGAGCCCTGCCCAATTCCTGACCCACAGAATCTGTGAGATGATAAATGTGGGTTGTTTTGAGCTGCTAAGTTTGTGGTAGTTTGTTAAGCAGCAATTGATAACCAATACAATGGAATACGACAGAGCAATGAGAATGAATGAACCACAGCTACTTGAAGAGACATGCTTGACTTTGGGAGATGAAAAGACATCTCCCAAACATAACGTCAAGCGAAAGAAACCAGACAGAAGATGGAATTTGTAGGATCCCATTTACATAAAGTTCAAAAACAAACAGAACTGGCCAGGCGCAGTGGCTCACGCCTATAATCCCAGCACTGTGGGAGGTGAGGCGGGTGGATCACCTGAGGTCAGGAGTTCGACTTCCGGACCAACATTGTGAAACCCCACCTATATTAAAATACAAAAATTAGCTGGGCATGGTAGCAGGTGCCTGTAATCCCAGCTACTTGGGAGGCTGAGGTAGGAGAATCACTTGAACACGGGAGGCAGAGGTTGCAGTGAGATCATATCATGGCACTCTACCCTGGGTGATAAGAGCAAAAGTCTTGTCTCAAAAAAAACAAACAACAAAAAAACAAACAAACAAAAAAAACCCAGAACGAATCTATGACATTAGCAGTCAGGATAGGGGCTACCCCAGGGGGTGGGTCATGACTGGAAGGGGTCACAGGGAGACTTCTAGGAGTGCTGGTGATGTTTTGCTTCTTGATCTGGATTCTGGTTAGGTGGGTGAGTACACTTAGTAAAAATTCAAATGGTGTCTCAGCCCATTTGTAATGCTATAAAGTGCAATTATGACCTGAGACAAAATGTATATTTTCAATATGTATATTATCTTCGATAAAAAGTTTACAAAAAGGCCGGGTGCAGTGGCTCACGCCTCTAATCCCAGCACTCTGGGAAGCTGAGGCGGGTGGATCACGAGGTCAGGAGATCGAGACCAGCCTGGCCAACATGGTGAAACCCCGTCTCTACTAAAAATACAAAAAGTAGCCGGGCATGGTGGCGTGTGGCTGTAGTCCCAGCTACTCAGGCGGCTGAAGCAGGAGAATCGCTTGAACCCGGGAGGAGGAGGTTGCAGTGAGCCGAGATCGCACCACTGCACTCCAGCCTGGGCAACAGAGCAAGACTCCATCTAAAAAAAAAAAAAAAAAAAAAAGTTTACAAAAAGTACAGCACTTTGTAATCTGGCAGCCAGAGTTTGAATTCCAGAACCACCATGTGCAAGATTTGTAACTGGTTAAGTTACTTGACTTTTCTGTGCCTCAATTTCTCTTTCTGTATAATGAGTTGGGCTAAGAACTAAATAAAACTGTGCATGACATGGTGGTTGGTACCTTGTTAGCTTTAATAAATATGAGCTGAATTTGTTAACCACATTCATAAAGGTTCACTGTCACTCAAAAAAATATAGTGAAGGTTTGCCCACATGCCTGGAAGTAGAATTTATGGAGTTGTCCAGCAGGTGCCACCCCATAGAGACTGCTGGGTTCCCAAGAATCACCTCTAGTTGTGACTAGAGGAAGGAGCACATCCTATCTCTTATATCCATATCCACATATAGAAAGGTCTCAGAGCAGCCGGCCAGATAATATGAGACTAGTCATCCAGAGATCAGGTTTGTTCTGGAGTAGGACTGAGTCTTGATGCAAATCAAAGTTTCTCCAGAGTGTTTGTGACCTGGGTTGAGATTGGGGCTCTCTTCGCACAGCATCAGAGAAAAAGAAAACAGGCAATAATCGTAAACACTCATAGAGCCATTCAGTTGTACCAGCCACTGATCCATTGTTTCATACGTCTTAACCCATTTAATCCTTTCAATAAAATGGATTGTTGTATACCCATTTTACAGGTGAGGGAAGTGAGGCACAAACAAAATACAACAAAAACCAGGCCCAGGACAGGTGGGGCCAGCACACTTTGCAGTTTTTGAACGGATGGTACAGACAGACCCCCCCACAGCAAAGCGCAAGGAACCAAGGGGAACTGACTTTGAAAAATGATTTGCAAGATAACTGAATGCTCCAAACCAGCATGAAAGAGTCGACATGAGACGAAGCTCCATATTTTCTCATTTTCTGCCACGGGAAAAGGCAAGGATGGCTGCAGAAAGCCTCAGTTGCCAGTTATTCTCTCCATGGTTTGAAATTATTTTCATGAGTCTCTGTGTGTAGGTCTGTATATAAAAATCTGTACTTTCTAAGCTTATATGGTCAGGTTACTAATGGGCCGTGGAGTCTCTAGTGGGCCCTCTGCTCTCTGTCATCCGTCACCCTGCGCAACAGCTTGGCTATTTCCTGCACTCTTTACTCTCTTGTTCTTGCTCTTTCTCTGGCTCTCTTTCATGCCATAGAGGCTGAGGAAGCCTCCACACCTCTCCTGGCCGCGGCTGGGGCCTGAAGCCAGCATTCATTTCATGTTGGAATGCAAGGGCAGCAGGAGAAACATCACACAGTTCTCTGAGGATGGAGCACAGGGTTAGGCTCTCCCCAGGCAAGAACAGCCCAGAGAAGGTGGCTGGGAAGGAATGAGATTTTACGGGGGCAGAAGTTCTGCAGGAACGAAGCCTAGTGCCCAATGTCAGCAGGTAATGTGGGTGGCAGGCCTAAGCTGCCTCCTCTGGGCTTATGCCCCCTTCACTCCCTGCCCTGGGCACTGCCTGAACCTTTGGACAGACAAGAGTGCAGGCTGCTCAGAAGTGAGAGAAAGCAGTTGTGAGTAAGTGGCATCTTGTGATTGTGACAGCTGTCACCTGTAGTTCCCCAGGGGAAATACCTTCCTTGTCACATTCATCTCGATTCAAATCCTGCCAGATTTTCTAGCTGTGTGACTTTAGGCAGATTTCTCCCTGTCTCTGAGCCTTATTTCCTACAATATGGGCTTCGTCGTCACCAAGAGTTCAATAAAAGGTTAACTGTAGGCACTGCCAAGAAGCACAAGTAATCTAGAAACATCTATTTTTTTTTTTCAGGGACAGTATTTTTAATGCCGCATCACTGTTTAATTGCAATGTACAACTCTCTTACTCAGCCCAGGAAATTATATCATAAAACCCTAAGTTATTGGGTATTTGATTTTCTGTTTTTGAAATGAAAATGGATGATACGGAATTGGGTTTCAAGAACTTTGCACACCCTTGAGATAACAGTGGCATCCTGAGGGACAGAGGATCCAATTAAGATTTGGCAACTTCGGCTCCACTGATTCTGAGTGTCAGCTTTGCTCTCAGTTTAGGATTTTTTGTTTTTCATTGAGATATCAGCTAACAGCAACAGATGATCTCTCAAAGCCTGGTGAGGGGCATGGGCTGTTCCAGCTCATGGCCAGCCTGGGTTTCACTGGGGTCTGTCTGATAGCAAGTTTGTGTCCTGGGTTCATGTTAATGACAAGAGTTTGACCAAAGACAAGCATGGAGGGGTGGTGGTAGGGATGGAGGTGGTGTTCAGGCCTGGGCAGGGGACTAGAGAAGCCGACATCCTGGGGCGAGGACAGGTCAGCCCAGCAGTCCTCAGAGGACAGGAGGCCGGGCTTCAGAAGGGTGGCAGGGGCTTCCCCCTGCATATTTATTCATTCAGACATTGTTCTAGGGACTGGTGGCACAGCAGCAAACAAAACATGAAAAAAGAAATTCCTGCTTTCATGGAGTTTAGATTCTACCAGGGGTCAGGGAGGGAGACACAATAAATAACATAAATAAATAAAGAAATAGTATGTGAGTTGATGATAAGTGATGTATTAGTCCATTTGTGTTGCTATCAAGTAATACCTGAGGCTGTGTCATTTATCCAGAAAAGAGGTTTATTTGGCTCACAGTTCTGCAGGTTGTACAAGAAGCATGGTGCCAGCATCTGCCTCTGGTGAGGGTCTCAGGCTGCTTCCACTCCTGGCAGAAAGTAGCGCCTGCATGTGCAGAGATCACATGATGAGAGAGGAAGTGAGAGTGAGCGAGGGGGAGGTGCCAGGCTCTTTCTAACAATCAGCTCTTTAGGAAACTGATAGAGTGAGAACTCATGCACCCTACAGGAACAGCACCAAGCCATCCATGAGGGATTCGCCCGCATGATCCAAGCACCTCCCGCCAGGCCCCACCTCCAACACTGAGGAGCAAATTTCAACATGAGATTTGGAGGGGTCAAATATTCTAACTATAGCAAGTGGCAAAAAGAAGGGAAGAGGGATAGAGTGTTGAGGTTTTTATTTTGTTTGGATGTGCTTTTGTTGTTCTTATTTTTATTTGCTTTTGTTGTTCTTATTTTTATTTGCTTTTGCTGTTCTTATTGTTTTTATTTGCTCTTTTTTGTTGTTTATTAGATTTCATGGTGGTTGTTTCATTGTTTCAAAAAACCAATTTTAGAAAAGATGATATGTGAGTAAAAAGCTAAAGTAAAGAAGGCAAAGGAGACTCTTGAGGGGAAGTGCATTCCAGGCAGAGGAATGGGCAAGAGCAAAGGCTCTGAGGCAGAAACGTGTGGGAAGCTGAGCTTGACCCTCTCTGTTCCTGTGAAGCCATCACTTGGGTCCCAGCCCTTGTGGTCCCTCCTAACATTTTACGCCTAGAATCTTTCTGGTTGTAGGAAACTGATCCAGGCAGAACCTTCCAGACTGAGGGCCTGGAAGAGATTTGTAGGGACAGGCTCCGGGAGAGGTCTCTGCAGTTCAGCTGCATAAATCAGGGTTTTGTCAAGCTTGTTGCAAATGCACATTCCTGGATTATGTCCCAGGCCTGCTAAATCAGAATCTCTGGGGTCTGTGCCCAGAAGTCCGCATTTCTAAAAGCCTCCAGGCACGTTTGAGCATCTTCACTGTATATTCCACCACAAATCGATGTCCATGATTTCTCTCTCAGATCCTCTTCCTATTGACTAGGTGTATTAGTCTGTTCTCACACTGCTATAAAGTAATTCCTTGAGACTGAATAATTTACAAAGAAAAGAAGTTTAATTGACTCACAGTTCTGCACTGCTAGGGAGGCCTCAGGAAACTTACAGTTATGGCGGAAGGCCAAGGGGAAGCAAGGAAGCTAGCATGTTGTAACATGGTGTAGCAGGAGAGAGAGAGAGCAAAGGGGGAAGTGCCACACTTTTAAACCATCAGATCTCATGAGAACTCACTCGCTATCATGAGAAAAGCAAGCGGGAAGTCTGCCCCCATGATTCAATCACCTCCCACCAGGCCCCTCTTCCAACACGTGGGGAGTGCAATTCGAGATGAAATTTGGGTGGGGACACACAGCCAAACCGTATCACTAGGGTAGAATGTGCCATAGTTCATCTCTCTTAGAAAAACGTTTAGAGTTTTTCTTGAGGTGTCTGGTCAGCCATTTCCTGCCAGTGAAAGGAATCACTCTCCAGGTAGAGTCAGCAGGAGATAGGATTTCCTGCTGGAGATAGTGGCGGGAGATAGGATTTGCACATCTGCTCAACACACTCCATCCCGCGAGTCCTGTGCCGGCTGACAAGCGGTTTCTTAAGGACAGTAACTGTTCCAGGTGTATTCTGGGATCAGCGTGTGACACTCATAGGACTCAAAAGATGTTTGCAGAGATAGAGAAAGGGCAAAAGAATGAATAAATGTCACTCTTAACAGGGAGGAGCAGAGGCAGCAGGATTGTGAGTTTGGAAATATTTTTTCCCCAGCACATGGAAGAAATCCTCATTCTTTCAAAATTTTTCATTCCACCCCATCCCTTTCCCAATCCCCACCCCACTCCCAGAGATCCCCTCTTCTTACTCTTTCTATTTTCTGGCCTGTAACGGAAAGGACTAGAGATTTGGGTAGGGCAGGGGGCATACTAACCTCCAAGGGTCTCATGAGTTCAGCTCCATCAATCTCCTACCTCTCCCTATCGCCCCCGACCCTCCCTCAACGCATCCAGCTTACAGTGAGGGGTAATGGAAAGGATTCTTGAATCAAATCTCCTCCCTGCTCCTTCCTCGCTGTAAAACCTTGGGCCATTTCTGTGACCTCTGAGCCTCCGCTTTCCTATCTGTGAAATGGGGCAGGCTCGTGGGGCCTGGAGCATTCAGCAGGCGGTAACCCAGTGGGCGTTCCCTGCACGGTGCCACGCCCCCTCTGCCGCGCAGGCCACGCCCTCATCTATTAGGCTGGACCCCGCGGCGCCTGGCGGCGTTGCCATGGCAACGCGCGTACACAGGCCGGCCGGGCGGGCGGGGTGCCGGGTGCGAGCTGGAGACTCCGCGGGAGCGCGGCCGGGAGGCTTCGCCCCGGAGCTGGCCCGACGCCTCCCGAGCTGGCAGGGCTCTCGGCGGAGGTCGGAGCGTGGGCTTCCTCCTCCCGCCAGGTGAGTGCGGCGCGGGAAGGGGTGGCGGGCCGAGACCGGGGACCGGAAGGGGCGGCCCAGCGAGGACTAGCCCTGGCAGGAGGAGGGGTGGCTCCCCGGCCCCATCCTCCTGGATCCAGGCTCCGGTCCCCAGGAGCACCCCAGTAGCTACCCCAACACCAGCCCCTCCTTTCCAGATGCAGGCCCCACCCCGCCCGCGGAGGAAGCCCCCGGGAGCCTTAGACCCTCCTTGGCACCAGCCATGCCACTCTGGGAAGTCCTGGGGGTTACAGCTGGGATTAGGAGGGGCATCCCTGCTGCCCCTGACTTACGAACGACACCCACCCGGCGGTCAGAGAGACTCCCCCCTTGCCTAACCTCTCCCTTCCCAAATACAACACTGAGGAATTTCTAGGGCTCCCAGGCCACTTAAGATCTGGTAACCCCTCAACAGAAATTTTGCTTCTCTATCTCACTTGTGACCTATAAGCAGGGAGTGCAGATGCCTGAAGCTCTTTTGCTCTTTTGCATGGTCGGTGCCCTGTGTCTTAGAACTAATTTACAGAGTTTAACGCATCTAATCACTTTCTACAGTGTTTTCAGGTAGGAAAGTGACTGCACAGGGCAAGATTAAAGTGGGGAAATAGGGCCCAACCCATTCAGCTAAAGAAATAGACTTTTTTTTTTTTTTCCAGAATGTCATCTAGGATAAATACTGAAGGGGAAAATGAAAGGTAGTTACTGTCAGAGGTTCTTAGGCTACCCTGACTTACTTTTAAGCATTGTTTTGTACTTTCATTCATTCATGATTTACTGAGCACCACTATGTGTCAGGCATGGCAGCGCTGGGGGCCAGAGGGGAGTAATGAACAGACTGTGAGGAAATGCAAAGGGTCTGAGATTTTTACACTACTTGCAAGCTAAGTTAGCCTGCCACTGCTTAATGATGCTAGCAGAAGACCAGAGACTCCAGGACCAGAGACAAAGGATGTTATTACTCACAGCACAGCAGGCACTGTGAGCTCATGTTTGCGTTGGTTCCCCTTGCCCTGCAAGTACCCCGGGGTGATGCAGGACAGCTCAGGTGGATGCTGTGCACACTGCGAGTCTGTTTCCCAGCTAAGGAACCCCAAGCTCAGGAAACTCCAGTCTTTTAAAAGGGGCTGCTAGCCAGTGCCCAACCTTTGCCCTGGAAGGAGATGACCTTTTTTTTTTTTTTTTAATTGAGACAGAGTCTTGCTCTGTCTCCCAAGCTAGATAGAGTGCAGTGGCACAATCTCAGCTCACTGCAACCTCTGCTGCACGGTTTCAAGTGATTCTCCTGCCTCAGACTTCCGATTAGCTGGGACTACAGGTGCAAGCCACCATGCCCGGCTAATTTTTTTGTGTTTTTAGTAGAGACAGGGTTTCGCCATGTTGGCCAGGCTGGTCTCAAACTCCTGACCTCAGGTGATCCGTCCACCTGGGCCTCCCAAAGTGCTAGGATTACAGGCATGAGCCACCGTGCCCAGCCAGAGATGACATTTTTATCATAAATCTGCACTCTGCCCTGGATAGGGACACTATCCCTATCCTCTCAGGATATTTGCCCTACAGATGTCCTTGGAAGATTGTCTGGAACAAAATCTGTCAGTGTCTTTGCTCTGAAGATGGGTACAAACACAGGAAACCCATGGAGAATTGAGTTTAACAAAAACAACACAGTTTGGGCTCTCTTGGAACGTATCTCAGTGAAAGGGAAACAGTAAACAGCTAAGTAAAGAACAAGAAAATGACAGAGAATGATAAGCTCAAGGAAGGAGCCACAGCAGTGACACATGCTAGCTAGACAACAAAGTGACTGGTGACGCCTTTAGCTGGGGTGGTCAGGTAGCTACCGCAAGGCACCAGCTGTGGAAACATCGGGGGGAAGAGCTAAAAAAAAAAAAAAAGCCAGTCATTCAGATTTGGGGTTTTACTCTGGAGGCATTTCCTGTGGCTTTCCCACAAAAGAGACATTTCTCGAAAGTTGACTTTAGATTACTTTTACTTTAGTTTGGATGTGGTGCTTGATGATGTAGTCCTCTGCAATTGAAGATTAATAACTCAGGCAATTTGAGGGCAACAGGGCATGGTTCTTTTGGAAAAAGAAGTGTCTTTTTATCCCTATTAAAGACAGCAGACTTAAAAATAAAATTCTCATTATATGAAAGTATTAATATTTCTGAGGATTTCTCATAGGCTTCGGAATTTACAAACATAAACTATCTGGCTTGTTTTTATTTCTCTTACTCCCAAGGGTCTTTTCTTTTTTTGCAGAGGATAGAATTCTGGTGTTAAGGGCTATCTGTTATTTCATGTCCTAAGTGTCAACAAAACAGTGACAACCCCACTATCCCAAGTGACAACCTCTCCCTCCCCCCACTCAGTCACTCTCTCTGCTCCCCCATCCCATCCCCTCCCCACCCAGCAGTGATGGAGGTGTGAAAAGTTGAGCTGCCTGAGGATTATGTAGTGGTGACATGCAATGGCAATCTCCCTGCCCGAATGCTAGGGGACCTTAACCTCTCTGCATCTCAGTCTCCTTTTCTGTAAAGTAGGGACAATAATGACACCCACCTTGCAGGGTTTCTCTGAGGATGAAAAGAGTATATTCAAGGAAAAGTGCCTGGCACTTACTAAGGACTCCATAAATGATGATAGAGATGATGATGAAAAGCAGAGCCAGCCCCGAGAGTCCGTACCACCACAACTAGTTGATTTTTGTTTTTACCCATAGTCCAATAATTTGTCATTTCACTGACTTTTCAATTGAATGGAAAAGAGAGAGACTGTTGTTGTTCTTTGACAAGGAATTGAGGTGGAGGATATCACACTGCATCTTTAGACGTAATCTCAAATCGGATTCAAGCATCGAGATGAATTACTGTCAATATTTTAGAACTTTCTGAAGTCACTGAAGTGTTTGTCTTAAAAGATGTGTATAGAACTTATTTCGAAATGCACCACAATATAAAATGGATGGACACACGGATAGATGGAAAGATCTGTGATAAAGCAAATATGGCAAAATGCCGATGGTAGAATCTAGTGGTGGGTACATAGGAGCTCATTATCTGCTTCTTTCAGCCTCTCTGTATGTTTGACATTTTTATAGTAAAATGCTGGGGGGAATACTGTGCAGGGTCCTGATTACATGGCTGAGCTATAATCTTGATATTTTGCCTTTAGAAGTAATCTTTTTTCCCCTAACTAAATAAATGAAGAAATACAGCGATTTAAAAAGAAAAACATCATCTAATGCCTGCCTCTCCAATGATAACTCTTTAAGAAACTCCAAAAGCAGACATGGTGGTGTGCCTGTATTCCTAGCTACTCTGGAGGCTGAGGCAGGAGGATCAGTTGAGCCCAAGAGTTCAAGACTGCAGCGAGCTATGATTGTGCCACTGAACTCAGCCTGGGCAAAGAGCAAGACCTCATCTCTAAATATGAATGAATGAATAAAATAAGCTCTATAGAAGTTTAGGGTTCCTTGGATCAGAGTTTGAGAAGCCCAGGTTAACAACACTAATAAGAGTAGTACAAATGAGTGTTCAGTGTGTGCCAGGCACCATTCTAGATACCTCACGTATATTATTGCATTTAACCCATTTTAGGCTGGGTGTGGTGGCTCCTGTCTGTAATCCCAGCACTTTGGGAGGCCAAGGCAGGAGGATTACTTGAGCTCAAGAGTTTGAGACTAGCCTGGGCAACATGGCAATACCCCGTCTCTTTAGCCAGGTGTGGTGGTGCACACCTGTAATCCCAGCTACTGGGGAGGCTGAGGCAGGAGGATTGCTTGAGCCCAGGAGATCGAGACCTCAGTGAGCCAAGATTGCTCACTGCCCTGCAGCCTGGATGACAAAGTGAGACCCTGTCTCAAAAAAAAAAAACAAAAAAAACCACCCATTTTATAGATGAGGAAACTGAGTCACAGAGAGAGAATAAGTAACTCACCCAAGGTCACAGAGCTAGTAAAGGATGGGTTAGGAACACAGAACTTGAATACTTGGTAAGTCAGATCACTAAGCTTATACTAAGCTTGATGGGAGGTGGAGAGCAATCATCACTGGAACTCAGATTTGTTGTCAGGTTGTTTTAGCTTTTGTTTGTGTCCTGAGTTACTTAAGAAATGCCCTCTGTTTGATTATTAGAACCAGGCTTTTCTATGCTAGATATCATGGTTAGAAGAGATTGTCTTAAAAACCTGCAGAATTGTCCTTGTCGTCATTGTTGACTGATCTATCTAATCCCCCCTCTTCTGATTTCTCACTTTGGACATGACTCTGTGGTTATTTCATTCATTTTAAGTATGATGTTGTTGAATAATTAGAGAACTACATTTTCTAACAAAATTCTTTCTGAAAACCTTATGTAGGGAAAACAGAGAGGATGAAGGCCTATCTAAAGAGCGCAGAAGGCTTTTTTGTCCTAAATAAAAGTACCACAATTGGAAGGCATGAAAATTCAGACCTTGTTTTACAGGTAAGAAGTCTTCCCACCTGTTCCCGTCCCCTCCCTGACCCCTTCCTTCTCCCTCTCTAACAGTCCTTAGCGTTATGTGGACTCCAGTCTCTTGTACACCACAACCTGGGCAAGCAGCCATACCTTTCCTTGGTGTGCTACCAATAGCCAGTTGCCAAGGGTACCCCATTTCCCTGGCATAAGGAGTGAAGCTGAGTGCTGTACAGAGCATGATGCGCTCCCATCCTTTGCTGAACGCATCTGTCACTGTCCCACCCATTGCAGAGCAGATGAGCCCCAAAGTAGGGCTTATCCCGAGAGGGTTCTTGGCTTTGCACAGGAAAGAATTCAAGGGCAAGCCAGGAGTAGAAGGAAACAGCCTTATCGAAGCAGCAGTGTTACAGCTGTGTGGCTGCTCCTACAGAGCCCGGCCGCCCTGTAGACAGAGAGCAGCAGCTCAGGGCAGTTTTGCAGTCATATTTATACTCACTTTTAACTGCATGCAGATTAAGGGCTGGTTTATGCAGGGAAGGGATAATAACTTTGGGATCATTGGATGCTATGGAAAGGGGAGATAATGCCCAGGTGTTGCCATGGCAACAGTACGTTGACATAGCACACTGGTGGGCAGGTCTGATTGAAAGTTGCTTTCACCCTGTCCCTATTTTAGCTAGTCCTCAGTCTGGTCCGGTGTCTGAGCCCCACCTCTGGAGTCGAGTGCCACCTCCTACCTCACACCTGTGGTCATCTCCCCAGCAGCCTGATGTGTGGTTCAGAAGGTGGGCACAGAGCTGGTGCTTTGGCCTTTGCCTGCTCTGGGCTAGACCTCTCTTCCTTTCAAGACCCCATGGGACTGCCGTGGGCCCCTCAGAGGCCAGGGAGGCCACGGAGCTCCAAGCCCCGGGCTTAGCCTGGGCATTCTTTCATTCCATTCTCTGAATTAGCTGTGGTTTGGTCCAAAGCCTCAGCTCATTGACAACCAAAGAAGTTGAAAGAAGGAGAATAATAATAAAAACAGTGGATTTGAGCCTTTTTAAACATGGAAGGGGGTTAAAATATTGAAGTGGAAAGAGAAAAAATGCCGTGGAATCTCTTTATAACTGTGAGAAGCAGATCTCTTTCAGACCTCACTCAATAGACTTTTTTAACCCTTCATTTTGAAATTAGAGATTCACAGGAAGTTCCAAAAATAGTAGGTAGAGATCACACCTACCTTCCACCCAGTTTCCTCCAGTGGTTACTTACTATGTGTGACTATAACAATATCAAAACCAGGAAATTGACATAAGTGCTGTGTGTGTGTGTGTGTGTGTGTGTGTGTGTGTGTGTCAGAGAAAGAGAGAGAGAGGACAATGTGTGTAGTTCTGTATCATTTTATAGATCACATGTGTATTCATAGATTTGTGTGTAGCAATCAAAAAATTGTCTTACCTCTTCTGCTTCCTTTCCCTTCCCATATAAATTTTAGAATAAGTCTGTCTATATCTATGAAATGTCTTGCTGAGATTTTGATAGAAATTGTGTTTAAATCTATATGTCAATGTGGAAAGAATTTATATATTTACTATGTGGTTTTTCAATCCATGAAAATGGTATGTTTCTGCGTTGATTTAGATCTTCTTTGGTTTCTTTCATGAATACTTTGTAGCTTTCAGCATACAAATCCTGTGCATGTTTTGCTGGATTTATACTTAAGTACTTTATTTCTCCTTTTTTGTTTGTGATGGTAAATGGTATTATACTTTAAATTTCAGTGGCCACCTCTTCATTGCCAGTATATAGAAACATAATTGATTTTAGTATGCTTATATGGTATCTTGCAACCTTAACTGAACTTTCTAGAAGTTTTTTTGTCGCCTGCTTAGGATGTTACCATGTCATCTGCAAATTAAAAGTTTATTTTTACTTATTTGATCTGTACACTTTTAATTTTATTTTCTTGAGATGTTGCATTGGCTGGGACTTCCAGTAGTCTGTTGCAGAAGAGTGGTGAGAGCAGTATAAATCTTTATATTTGCCTTGTTCCTGGTTTTAAGGGAAAAGCATTCTGTCTTTCATCATTAAATATTATATTAACTGTAGGGTTTTTTTATAGATGTTCTTTATCAAATGGAGAACATTCCCCCTGCATTTCTAGTTTTCTAAGAGTTATAAACGCAATCGATTTTAAAATAACTCAACATACCTTCCTTTGAGATTCTCATCCGTGACATGGTCTCCCTACAAGGACACAGAAAACTGTTCAGTGTACAAAGTGGAAAAATCAAATAAAAAGAATCGTAGTTTCTTCTGTATCATAACAAGGGGTAGATTTAAGGTAGTTTTACTTTCTGGGTGGCCAAGGTAGAAACAGTGATCTCTGTTTTGAACTGGACTATGATATTAGAAAACTGTAGTAATTTTTAAAAGCACAGGCTTTGGAGATAGACCTGGATTTGAATCTCTTAGACCGTTTTCTGGCTGTGTGACTTCAAGCAAACTACTTAATCATACTGAGCTCATTTTCTCCATTTATAAACCACTTATTTCACAGGGCTGTAGGGATTAAATGAGAAAATGCATATAAAGTACCTGGCATATGGTACTAAGTAAATGACGCCACAATCGTTATTATGGTCACATAAAGTGGAGACTGAGAATTTTTGTTCACAGTAAGGTGGGTATCCACTGATACTAACAAGCTATTTGGAAACAGGAACTAATGAGGACAATTATTATATATATAGACAGAAATTGAGCAGCATTGATTGTATAAAAATAATTGACTGCTTACTGCTGCTTGGCCTTAGTTTAAAAAGTAAGTCACCACTGTCAGCAACAGTTCCATTGATTTATGAAGGAATCAGTTGCATTTCCAGAAGCATGAGCTTACACTGGCTCCCGAGAGAACAGATGATACATGAATTGCCAAATGCTTTGTGAATAGACTTTTAATGGGCTTTTATATCTTCTCTTAGACAAATCCTCTTCCGAAAGCTTAAATGGATTTGGGAGAGATTTGCTTTAAGAAGGGATGTGGGGGACACAGGTCTGTTTTGAAGAACTGAAAGCTACAGGCATGTCCATATTTTTCAGAAAATATTTTATAAGACAAGATAAGGTGAAAATTGCCCCTCTTTTGCCTTCACTGGGCCTTTCTGATTAACCTGAGAATCATGCTGGATCAGCTAGAAGCCACCCCGAGTAATAATTCAACAGTCAATTTATCATTTGTCTTATTTGTGCTGCTAGAAGTCATTCCACTAAATAAAGTTCAGGAATCTTAAAAAAGTCAGCTGTGAAATTACCCAGCATTTACACCTAGCAAAGAAAGAAGATTGTTTTATTTACTTGGATAAATCCTAAAGAGTAGGGAGCTATGCTTGTAAAGATTTATTAATATATTCATTTGCAAAGCTGCCTTTTTTGCTTATTGATATTATAATATTCTGACATCATTCACATATTCTGATAATGGAAGGTAATTATGGGCCTATTGTTTTTTAAAAAATTGGGAGAAAGCAAACTGTAAAGAAGAAAATAAAAATCACTTGTAATCATGTGACTCAGGGACAATCAATATTGGTATTTGTAGGGTTTTGCCCTCCAGACTTTTTTTTTCTGTATCATGAAAGGAGTTTGGTTTCCTAATGGCAATAGAAAGCCTGTTTTAGCCAGCCTGGTTTTTGCCGTTATTATCACTCATTCATTCCACAGACATTGGCCTGGAGCCCCAGCACGGAGACAAGCCTGGGGACACTCACACATGGTCCCTGCAATCAGGAAGCTGCTAGGAGACAGACATAGGTCAGAGGATCTGCAGAGCCTGGATGGTTTCAAGCCTACGTCAGGGCTCTAAAGGAAAGGAATATGGAGGATGAGAAGGACTTAACTAGACAAAGGGAGAAGGAACAGTGTGTGCAAAGGCCCTGGGGTAGAAGAGCATATGGAGAGCCTGATGGACTGAAAGAAAACCAGTGTGTAGAGGTCAGAGTGGGAAGGGGGAGAGCTAAGAGCCAGGCAGGACTCCTTCATGCCACCGTAAGGATTTTGATCTTGATCTGAAAAACAATGGGAAGATGCCACTGATGGATTTTCAGCAAGTGGAAGGCCTGCCTGTTGAAATGGGCTCCCTGGCTGCCTTGTGCAGAAACCAGGAGCTCCTTTCAGAATCTGCCCCTGCCCCCACCTGCATTGGACAGGGCTGGAATACCTCGGCCACCAGCCTCGCTCATTTCAGAGCTAAACCTTCTGGTTATAATCTGTATAATTTGATGTGGGTTTTGAACTGTAATGTTTATAGTTGGATGTGGCTGTTACTTGAACACTGATAAGAAAGGGACTTAATTCTTCCAGAACGCAGCAATGTCACAAGCCAATGGTTGCTGGGTTTTTCATGTGCATGAGTGTGATTGTTAAACATGAATCCCAAGGCTTTCTGACACAGTGGGGTTAGGTGAGGTCAGGAATCTGTCCATTTCTCTGCTCTGCAGGTTCAGGTGAGGGTCCCCACAGAGATGCTTCCAGGACCGCACAGCCAGGCACGGTGGCTCACGCCTGTAATTCCAGTACTTTGGGAGGCCGAGGCGGGCGGATCACTTGAGGTCAGGAGTTCGAGACCAGCCTGGCCATCATGGTGAAACCCCATCTCTACCAAAAATACAAAAATTAGCCGGGTGTGGTGGTGCACACCTGTAATCCCAGCTACCTGGGAGCCTGAGGCAGGAGAATTGATTGAACCTGGGAGATTGCAGTGAGCTGAGATTGTGCCACTGCACTCCAGCCTGGGCCACAAAACAAGACTCTGTCCAAAAAAAAAAAAAAAAAAAAAAAAAAAGAGTGGAGAGCTGATCTCCTCCTTAGGACCTCACCCTGCCCTGCCCTACACCGAGGAGATTTCAGGATTCCCTTTACAATTGACTTGTAGGGCAGCCAGAATCAATGCAGTGCCGTGGCTAGGAGGGCGAAGATCATGGAGAAAAGCAAAGGACAGAAACTGCAGGGGGATGCAGGTGAAATGCTCATGCCTGCCCCTCTGCCCTTTGTGGACAGCATCCTACTAGTTGACTCCTTTCTCTCTAGGGGAACTGTTCTCTATAGCATGTCAGCTCCTTCTCATATGGGATCAGAGGGTCAGGGCACAGGAGTGATCTAACACAACAGAACCATCCAACCCAATGAGTTGTATCCCTTTGCCTGGCACCTGCCATTTCTGGGCTGCCTGTAAGAACTATAAGAGCCTGCATCAAAGTCTTTTTTATTATTATTAAACAATGCTGTACTGAATACCTTTTACCCATCATTTCACGGACGTGCGAGTCCATGTGCCATGTCAAAGGACATGTATGGCTGCAGCTCTGTTGGCATCGCCACACTGCCCTCCAGTGAAGGCTTATAGGGTCAGTTCCCCACCAACAGTGAGGGCACCCCCTCCCCTCCCGAGTGGAGCATGTGACCTACCTGACAAATTTCTGCTCATCCAAGAGGCGAAACATGGTATCCGTGACATTTTAATTCACATTTCCCATGCTATGCGTGAACCCCTCAAGTTTTGAGAGAGAAGGTGACAGGTGGACATGAACCTGGATAAAGATGCTCACCCCTCCCCGGTCCTGTGACGAAATCCACCAAAAGAAGCAGGCCTGGGGGATGTCCAGCCACCTGCTGTCCCATCAGGACGCGCCCGTTCACCTTCCTGCCTCAGCTGTGCTCGCACACTCAGCCCTGGCTCCTCACCAGGCGTCCTGCGCTCTGTGATGTGCCTCGTCTGATCTCGTCAGTCCTCAGGGAACTCTTCTTTCCCCTGATGTCACTGGTCAGTTCCCAACACAGCAATGCATGGGCCTACTTTCCCTTCAGCACGTGGAGGGCTTACAAGAGGAAGAAGTTCCAAGAAAAGGACTAGATCATCATCTCTCTTTTCAATAAATACACACAACGTAACATTTATCATCTTCGCCATTTTAAGTGTTCAGTTCAGTGGCATTAACTGCATTCATGTTGTTTTTTTGGGGGGAGGGGAGACAGAGTCTCGCTCGCTCTGTCACCCAGGCTGGAGTGCGGTGGCACAATCTTGGCTCACTGCGGCCTCTGCCTCCTGGGTTTAAGTGATTCTTGTGCCACAGCCTCCTGAGTAGCTGGGATTATGGGCATGAGCCACCATGCCTGGCTAATTTTTGTATTTCTAGTACAGACGGGGTTTCGCCACATTGGCCAGGCTGGTCTCGAACTCCCTACCTCAGGTGATCCACCTGCCTCAGCCTCCCAAAGTGCTGGGCTTACAGGTGCAAGCCACTGCACCTGGCCTCACTTTGTTACTCTGCCACCACCATCCATCCACAAGAACTCCCTTCATCTTGCAAAACTGAAACTCTGTACCTATTGAAGAAGAATTCCCCTTCCCCTCCCAGCCCCCCAGTCCCTGGCAGCCACCGTCTTTCTGACAAAGTACTTTCTGTCTCTGAATTTGCCTGTAGCAGGTTCCTCATAGACTATACTATACGCTGAATCGTATAGTACGTGTCTTTTGTGACTGGCTTATTTCACTTGGCATAATGTTCTTAAGGTTCCTCTGTGGCAGCATGTGTCAGAGTTCCCTTCCTTTTGAAGGCTGAATAGTGGCTGCTGCATGTCTGTCCTACATTTTGTTGATCCATTCATCTGTCAATGGACACTTGGGTTGCTTCCAGCTTTTGGCTGCTGTGAATAATGCTGCTATAAACATGAGTGTCCAGATATCTCTGTCTCTCTTTTTTTTTTTTTTAATGGAGTCAGAGTCTCGCTCTGTTGCCCAGGCTGGAGTGCAGTGGCACAATCTCGGCTCACTGCCAACCTCTGCCACCCGGGTTCAAGTGATTCTCCTGCCTCAGCCTCCTGAGCAGCTGGGACTATAGGCATGTACCACCACGCCCGGCTAATTTTTTTGTATTTTTAATAGAGACTGGGTTTCACCATGTTGGCCAGGCTGGTCTCAAACTCCTGACCTCAGGTGATCCGCCCGCCTCGGCCTCCTAAAGTGCTGTAATTACAGGTGTGAGCCACCACCGATATCTCTTCAAGCCCCTGCTTTCAGTTCTTTCAGATCCATACCCAGAAGAGAAGCAGAACCGCCAGATCAGATGACAGTTCTATTTTTAATTTTTTGAGGAACTGCCATACTGTTTTCCACAGTGGCTGCACAATTTTGCTTTCCCAGCAACAGTGCATAAGGGCTCCAGTCTCCCCACATCCTCACCAGCACTTGGTATTTTCTGGGGGTGGTGGTTGTTTTTACAGTAGCCATCCTAATGAGAGTGAGGTAGAAGATCATAATCTTCTGAGACACATTGCTGTCTCAGCTCAAGGTTCTTTTGACTAGCACAGATAATACAAACGGCCACACCCCCATGTATAGACTAGTTATGAGGCATCTCGTGTGGTTTTGTATGTGTTCTATGTATATGCCGTGTATGTGTTACAGAGCTTTATCCTCAAACAGCCCTATCAGGCGAGAACTACTATTATCGTTATTATCCTCATGTAAAGATGTGGAAATGGGGCTCAGAAAGGTTAAATAACTTGCCCCAAATCACACATCTAGTCGGGGACGGTGGGGCTGAGTTTCAGACTTGGGGCTGTCTGATGCAACGCTTCTACTCAAAGATACTTCATTGTTTGGTTGTAAATTTGGCTTTAGGGAACATCTAAAAATCTAAATATCTGAAATTCCTTGTGAGTCAGTTAAGATAATCGGTAGTGGGAAATCCCACAGTTTGGACTCCTAGGTGGGGATTATCAGCAGAACAGCGAAAATCACTTTTCCTGTGATCCTCATCGATGCAACAAACTGAGGTGGCGCCCTCAGTGTGGGATTGGGGTAAAGAGGAAATGTCGACCCAGGCTGCAGGTGTTTTCCTGGGAAGAGGTGTGCTGAGGGCTGCGTGGATGACCCACGAGGATCCTGTCTCAGGTGTCGGGGACAGCTCCTCAGAGCAGACCAAGCTGGAGCTGCCTCTTACAAGAGAAAGCCTGGTTTGCCAGGTATGACAGGCCAGAAAGGGCCCCCCTCTCCCTGCCAGGTGTAAGAAACAGCGCACACAAAGATCCGGAGGTGTTGCTTGAAGCACTTGGCATGGCATGATGAGGGCTGGATGGCCCTGCCACCCACATGCAAAAAGGCCACGTAAGCTAGGCTAAGCGTTTCATGTTTAACTTGCTGCGAAAATGGAACCCCCTCCTCAAAAGGCTTTGAGCTGGGGAGAAATTGATTGTCTTCGTTATTTTGAAGAGAACACTGACAAACGTAGGCAGAATGGGTGGACAAAGAACAGAAGGGCGGCTCTAGAACAGGGTGGTCAAGAGCATGAACTCGGTGCTAGGCCTCTTGCCTGTGATCCTGGCTCTGCCCTCTGAGTTGTAGGGTCCCAGGCAAGTTACCCAGCCATTCTCGGCTGCAACTTCTGTGTGTGTATGGTGGGGAACTGTGTTACGAGACTGAATTACCATGAAGTGCTTAGGACAGTGCCTGGCAGGTGGTTAATACTACAGTACATTTTGGTTATTGTATTCGTTTTCTATTTATAACAATGAGTGTTTATTATCTCACAGTTCCTTAAGTCAGAAGTCTGAGTGGACTCAGCTGGTTCCTCTGCCCCAGGTCACTCAAGGCCAAAATCAAAGTGTTGGCCGCCTGGGCTCTTGGCTGGAGGCTCCAGGGAATCGTCTGCTTCTAGCCCCACTCTGTTGGAAGAATTTAGCTCGATGCTGCTATAGAACCGAGGCCTCTGTGTCCTCACTGGCCATCGGTTGGAGGCCAGCCTCAGCTTCAGAGGCCTCCCAATCCCGCATGGCTCAGGGCCCCTTTATCTTCAAAACCAGCAACAATGGTTCTAGTCTTTCTCATGCTTCAGATTTCTCTGACCTCCCCGTCTGACTCATCTCTCCAACTCCAGCCAGAGAAAGTTCTTTGTTTTTAAGGGCTCACGTGGTTAGATTAGCCCCCTCTGGATAATCCAGGTTAACCTCCCTGTTTCAAGATGAGTCATCGTTATCACTTCTGCACCATCCCTTTGCCATGTAAGGCAGCAGCACACTCACGGGTTCCAGGGATTAGGACACGGACACCTTTGTGGGACCATTCTGCCAATCACAGTTATTACCATCTCTTGCTTGGACTCTGGCCATAGAGAGGGAAGCGATAATATGGGATGTTGAGAGCTTTTCAGAGGAATCAGTAGGGTCACTGCCAGGGACAGTGGAGAAAGATGGTGGATGAGCCAAGAGGATGATGCTATCATTTGTGTTATTGTGGGTTTACTTTGTGCCAGGCACTGTTGTTTGCACTTTTGTGTGTATTAACTCGGTTAATCCTTTCAGCAACCCTACAAGTTAGGGATCTCCCTTCCCCCATTTTACAGATGAGGAAGTTGTGGCACAGACAGACTAAGGAGCCTGCCCAAGGTCACGTATGACGGGCACAGAGGGTGGGATTCATAGTCAGGCTGTCTGGGACCGTGCAGGGACAAGAAGCTTCAGGAAAAGAGGACTTCCGGAACGGGGGTGTGGACACGAGGATGACTAATCGCTGCTCTATCATGAGTGCCTAGCAAGTGGGCACGCATTGCTGTCTCAGCTCAAGGTTCTTTCGAGCCGTCAGTGCACCGAGGGGAACTGTCACAGACTCCATTACACAGGACTCTCGGAACTCTCCCCTCCCTCTCTCAGAGTAGCACTGATTCTGGGGAGCTCTCAGAGATACCGCCTGAAACAGCGTCTTCTCGGGGACTTGCCTGCTTCTCAAGACTCTCCCAGAGAAGCTGAGCAAGGCTCTGATTGACAGGAGGGAAGCCGACAAACTTCCTCTTTCCCTCTGCTCCCAGACTCACAGTCTTACCAGAGCCCTGGCCATTTCCTCATATCCCTATTCCTTTGAAAACCCCAGCTTGTTCTGTTTCTGCATTACATCCCTTTCCTGAGGCAGTGACAGGGGTCACAGTGGGGGCGCAGGATGGCCAAGGACCAAAAGGTAAAAAGAAATATGATTTGATACACACAGGTGCCTGTCGTCCCAGGCACTTGGGTGGCTGAGGCAGGAAGATCACTCGAGCCCAGGGGTTCAAGGCTGTATTATGCTTTGATGGTGCCTGGAAATAGCTACTGCACTCCAGCCTGGGCAACATAGCAAGCCCCTGTGTTTTTAGCACACACGCACACACACACACACACCAGTTAATTTCAAAAATGTTATCCCACCACACTGAAAATTTTGCCAAATAGTATCTTTTGTCAGTCCTTTGAGGTAGAGCTTATCACACTCATTTTTGCAGCATAGGAAGCAGCCTCAGAGAGGCAAAGAAACTTGTCCCAGGCTGCACAGCAGGAATGCAGCAGAGGTGGGACTTGAACTCAGAGCTTTCTAAGTGCAGAGCCCATCCTTCTGCGCATAATAGTGAACATTTTAACACCTGCTATTGGGCTAAAATACTCTTCTAAGTGCTTTTTATATATACTGTTTCATTTATTCTTCACCACAAACCCATAAGGGCCATTCTGCTATTATCTCTGTTTACAGATGAGGAAACTGAGGTCCCAAGGGAATAGATCACTTGCCCAGGGTCACCCCACTAGGAAGTAGGAGAGCTAGAAACGAGGTCTCACTATGTTTCCAGGCTGGCCTCTAACGCCTGGGCTCAAGTAATCCTCCTACCTCAGCCTCACAAAGTGCTGGGATTACAGGTGTGAGCCACAACATGTATTTTGTGACTGCTTTATTTCACCAGCATATGTTCTCAAGGTTCATCCACGTTGTGGCAGAATTTCCTTTCTTTTAAAAGCTAAATAACATCCATTGTTTGGATGGACCACGTTTTGTTTATCTTTTGTCTGTCCATGGACACCTGGGTTGCTTTCACCATTTGGCTACTGTGAATAATGTGAATAATGCTGCTAGGAACACGACTGTACAAATGTCTCTTTGAGACCCTGCTTTCAATTCTTTTGAATATATACCCAGAAGTGGCATTGCCGGATCATATGGTAATTCTATTATTACATTTTTGAGGAACCACAATATTGTTTCCACAGTGGCTGCACTATTTTACATTCCCAGCCACAGTGCACGAGGGTTTAACATCTCCACGTCCTCGCCAACACTTATTTTCTGTGTTTTTATAGTAGCCATCCTAAAGGGTGCAAAGTGGTATCTCCTTGTGGTTTTGATTTGAATTTCTTAATGATTTGTGATCTTGAGCATTCTTCTCATATACTTGTTGGCCATTTGTGTATCTTCTTTGGAGAAAGTCCATTCAAATCCTTTGCACATTTTTTAATAGGGTTATTTTTGTTTTGTTACTGTTGAGTTGTGGGGTTCTTTATATATCATGGAGATTAACCCTTTTTCAGATATGTGATTTGTAAATATTTTCTTCCATTCCGTAGGTTGCCTTTTCACTGTGTTGAGTGTATCCTTTGATATATAGAAGTTTTAATGTTAATGTATTCCAGTTTATCTATTTTTACTTTTGTTGCCTGTGTTCTTGGTGTCATTGCCAAGAAATAACTGTCAAATCTATTGTCCGGAAGCTTTTCTTCTATGTTTTCTTTTAAGGGTTTTATAGTGTTAGCTCTTATGTTTAGGTCTTTGATCCATTTTGAACTAATTTTTGTTTATGGTGTAAGTTAAGGGTCCAGTTTTATTCTTTTTTTTTTTTTTTTTTTTTTTTTGTCTGAGACAGCGTCTCGCTCTGTCGCCCAGGCTGGAGTGCAGTGGCGCAATCTCGGCTCACTGCAAGCTCCGCCTCACGGGTTCATGCCATTCTCCTGCCTCAGCCTCCCAAGTAGCTGGGACTACAGGCACCTGCCACCACGCCCAACTAATTTTTTGTATTTTTAGTAGAGGCGGGGTTTCATTGTGTTAGCCCAGATGGTCTTGATCTCCTGACCTCGTGATCTGCCCGCCTCAGCCTCCCAAAGTGCTGGGATTACAGGCGTGAGCCACTGTGCCCAGCCTAGTTTCATTCTTTTACTAATACATGTGGATATCCAGTTTTCCCAGCATCATTTGTTGAAAAGACTGTCCTTTCCACCATTGAATGGTATTGACACCCTTGTCGAAAATCATTTGACCATATATGCAAAGGTTTATATGGGGGCTTTCTAATCTGTTTCACTGTCTATGTGTCTGGCATAAATGCTAAGCCCACAGTGTTTTGATTACCCTATCTTTTTAATAACTTTTGAAACCAGGAAGTATGACACTTCCAACTGTTCTTCTTTTTCAAGATTGTTTTGGCTCTTCAGGGTTCCTTTGAGAATCCATATAAATTTTAGAATAAAATTTTCTATTTCTGGGAAAAAAGAACACCATTGGAATTTTGATAAAGATTGCATTAAATCTGTAGGTTGCTTGGGTAGTATTGATGTTCTAAACAATATTAGGTCTTCCAATTCTTGAACATGGGTTGTCTTTCCATTTATTTGTATCTTCTTTAATTTCTTTCGGCAACATTGTGTAGTTTTCAATGTACAAGTCTTTTGCCTCCTTGGTTAAGTTTATTTCTAATATTTTCTTCTTTTTGATGCTATTGTAAATGGAATGGCTTTCTTATTTTACTTTTCAGCTTGTTTATTGTTAGTGTATAGAAATACCACTGATTTTTGCATGCTGATTTTGTATCCTGAGTACAAAATAAATGATTTTGTATCATTTATTATGAATTCAGTGTTATATGTATATATGTGTGTGTGTGTGTGTGTGTGTGTGTGTGATCTTTAGGGCTTTCTACATATAAAAATCATGTTGTCCAACAATACAGGTAATTTTATTTCTGGGATATATTGAATGCCTTTCACTTCTTTTTCTTGTCTAACTGCTCTGACTAGGACTTCCAGTACTATTTCAAATAGAAGTGGTGAGGGTGGGCATCTTTATCTCATTCCTGGTCTTAGAGGAAAAGTCTTAGTCTTTCACCACTGAGAATTATGTTAGCTATGAGCTTTTCACATATGGCCTTTATTATGTTGATGTAGTTTTCTTCTATTCCTAGTATTTTTTTGTGTTTTCATCATGGAAAGAGTGTTGAATTTTGCCAAGTGCTTTTTCTCCATCAGTCCAGATAGTCACGTGGTTCTTCCTTTTCATTCTGTTAATGCATTATGTTACACAGATTGATTTTCATGTTGAACCATCCCTGCATTCCAGGAATCAATCCCACTTGGTCATGGTGTATAATCCTTTTAATAAGCTGTTGAATTACGTTTGCTAATATTTTGTTGAAGATTTTTGCATCAGTATTCATTAGGGATATTGGTCTGTAGTTTTCTTATAATGTCTTTGGTTTTACTGACAGGGTAATGCTGGTCTCTTACTTCGCCTTTTGAGTCTCAGCTTCTCCATCTGTAATATGGAGATTATAGTAGAACTCCCTGTAAAGGGCTGTTTTGCAGATTAAATGAGGGAATGAACACAAAGTGCTTTGGTAAGGCCCAGTTCACAGGAACTTCTCAAAATATGTTAGCTGATAATAATAATAAAAACAGAACAGCAGTTAATCTCATAATGAGACAGTTCAGCAGAGTGGAGCTTGTACATTCAGCCTATGTTGGCAGCAGAGCTTTCTACTAACATCAGTTTTTTGCAGTTATCTAAATACAGGAGGGAGTGGTATTATCAGGCAGTCCTCAGAAACTCTCCCTTGGCCTAACACAAGGCAGAGGCTTGTCCCATTTTGTGGTATCATCCAAAACTTCCTCCTGGCTTTGATTTCTTAATCACGGCTTGACAGCTTCTGAGGAGCTGAAAGTAATGGGATTTGAGAAGAGAAAAACAAAATGTAACACATAGAACTTATCTCTTTGATGAGTTATTAAGAGTTCATAGGCTGGGTGCGGTGGCTCACACCTGTAATCCCAGCACTTTTGGAGGCTGAGGCGGGCAGATCACCTGAGGTCTGGAGTTTGAGACCAGCCTGGCTAACATGGTGAAACCCTGTCTCTACTAAAAATACAAAATTAGCTGGATGTGGTGGTGTGCCCCTGTAATCCCAGCTACTCAAGAGGCTGAGGCAGGAGAATTGCTTGAACCTGGGAGGCGGAGGTTGCAGTGAGCCAGGATTGCACCACTGCACTCCAGCCTGGGTGACAGAGCAAGACTCCATCTCAAAAAAAAAAAAAAAAAAAGAGAGAGAGAGTTCTTAGAGCACAAAGAAATGTGGTCAGTAGGAATGGAGATGAAGATGATGTGGGAAGCATTTCCCAAAGGGCGAATATGTTTTCATGTTTATTTAATAAACTTTATTATTTTTGTGTGTTTGTTTTGAGACAGGGTCTCGCTCTGTTGCCCAGGCTGGAGTGTGGTGGTGCCATCATGACTCACTGCAGCCCCAACTTCCTGGGCCAAAGCAATCCTCCCACCTCAGCCTCCCAAGTAGTTAAGGCCACAGGTGTGCACCACCACACCTGGCTAATTCTTTCATTTTTGTAGAGATAGGGTCTCCTTATGTTGCCTAGGCTGATCTTGAACTCCTGGGTTCAAGCCTCCTGACTTGGCCCCTCAAAGTGCTGGCATTTCAGGCATGAGCCAACATGTCTGGCCTAGACTTTTTTTTTTTTTTAGCAGTTTTAGGTTCACAGAAAGTTGAACAGATAGTACAGAGAGTTCCCACATATAACAACCCCTCCCCCACAACACTCACACATACACACGCAGTTTCCCCTATTATTAACATCTTCGTTACTATGATACATTTGTTGCAATTGATGAATCAATATTCATATGTTATTATTAACTCAAGCCCAGAGTTTACATTAGGATTCATTCTTCACGTTATAAAGTTCTGTGGGTTTTGACATAGGCATAATGTCAGGTATTCACCAATATAGAATCATACAGAATAGTTTCACTGCCCTAAAGATCCCCTGTGCTTACCTGTTCAACACAGCCCCCCACCTTCCCCTGACCCCTGGCAACCACAAATCTTTCTATAGTTTTATCTTTTTAAAAGTTTCATGTAGTTGAAATCATACAATATGTAGCCCTTTTAGATTAGCTTTTTTCACTAAGCAATATGCATTTAAAGTTCCTCTGTATCTTTTTGTGGCTTGAGAGCTCATTTCTTTTTATCATTGACTGATGTTTCTACCAGTTTGTTTATCCATTTACCTTCTGAAGAACATTTTGGTTGCTTCCAGTTTTTGGCAATTATGAATAAAGATGCTATAAACATGCATCCAAAATAAATGAATCTTAAATCCCAACAATAAGAAAACAACCCAAATTAAAGATGGACAAAAGATCTGAACAGATACTTTGCCAAAGAAGATATACAGATGGCAAATAAGCATATGAAAAGATTTTAACCATCATATTTCACTTAGCAATTACAAATAAAAGAATATATCTCCCCATTTTTTTTCTTTAGCCTCTTGATGCAATGGATTACATTAATTGATTTTCAAACGCCAAATCAGTTCTTGAATACCTGGAATAAATCCCACTTAGTTGTGGTGTATAATTATTTTTATACATTGTTGGATTATATTCACTAATATTTTGTTGAAGACTTCACGTCTATGTATATGGGAGATATTGGCTTCTAGTTTTCCTTTCTTGTAATGTCTTTATCTTGATTGGGTATTCAGGTGATATTGGCCTCACAGAATAAGTTAGGAAGTATTCCTCCTGCTTCTATTTTCTGGAAGAGATTGTAGGGAGCTGGTATCATTTCTTCCTTAAATGTCTGATAGAATTCACCAGGGAACCCATCTGGGCCTGGTGCTTTCTGTTTTAGAAGGTTATTAACTATTGATTCAAATTCTTTAATAGATAAGGGCCCAGATCATCTATTCCTCCTTGTATGAGTTTGGGTAAATTGTGTCTTTCAAGAAATTGGTCCATTTCATCTAAGTTATCAAATTTGTGGACAGAGAGCTGTTCATAATATTCCTTTATATATCATTATAAATAATATATAAAATAATAATATAAATGATATATAAATTATAAATATAAATTTTATATAGCATATATTTATAAAATAAATATTTTATATATTATAAATATAATATAAATATATTGATATGATATAAAAATATGGTATATATAAAATATGTTTTATAGCATATAAATAGGAATATAAAAAATATATATATATTTGCTGTTCTTTACATTTTCTTTTCTTTTTTTAATTTTATTATTATTATACTTTTAAGTTTTAGGGTACATGTGCACAATGTGCAGGTTAGTTACATATGTATACATGTGCCATGCTGGTGTGCTGCACCCATTAACTCGTCATTTAGCATTAGGTATATCTCCTAAAGCTATCCCTTCCCCCTCCCCCCACCCCACAACAGTCCCCAGAGTGTGATGTTCCCCTTCCTGTGTCCATGTGTTCTCATTGTTCAATTCCCACCTATGAGTGAGAATATACGGTGTTTGGTTTTTTGTTCTTGCAATAGTTTAGTGAGAATGATGATTTCCAATTTCATCCATGTCCCTACAAAGGACATGAACTCATCATTTTTTATGGCTGCATAGTATTCAATGGTGTATATGTGCCACATTTTCTTAATCCAGTCTATCATTGTTGGACATTTGGGTTGGTTCCAAGTCTTTGCTATTGTGAATAGTGCTGCAATAAACATACGTGTGCATGTGTCTTTATAGCAGCGCGATTTATAGTCCTTTGGGTATATACCCAGTAATGGGATGGCTGGGTCAAATGGTATTTCTAGTTCTAGATCCCTGAGGAATCGCCACACTGACTTCCACAATGGTTGAACTAGTTTACAGTCCCACCAACAGTGTAAAAGTGTTCCTATTTCTCCACAACCTCTCCAGCACCTGTTGTTTCCTGACTTTTTAATGATTGCCATTCTAACTGGTGTGAGATGGTATCTCATTGTGGTTTTGATTTGCATTTCTCTGATAGCCAGTGATGGTGAGCATTTTTTCATGTGTTTTTTGGCTGCATAAATGTCTTCTTTTGAGAAGTGTCTGTTCATGTCCTTTGCCCACTTTTTGATGGGGTTGTTTGTTTTTTTCTTGTAAATTTGTTTGAGTTCATTGTAGATTCTGGATATTAGCCCTTTGTCAGATGAGTAGGTTGTGAAAATTTTCTCCCATTTTGTAGGTTGCCTGTTCACTCTATATTTATTATAGAATATAAATATTCCATAATAAATATATCCATGGGATCAGCTGTGATGGCCTCTCTTTCATGTCTGATATCAATAATTTGTGTCTTCTCTCTTTTTTTCTTGGTTACCTACTAGAGGTTTGTCAGTTCTATTGATCTTTCCAAAGAACCAACTTTTGTTTTCTTTGATTCTCTCTATTGTCTTCAATTTCATTCATTTCTGATCTAATATTTCTTTCAGTTCTTCTGTCTATGTTAGGCTTATACTGCTCTTCTTCCTCTAGTCTCCTAAGGTAGAAACTTTGATTATTGATTTCAGATCTTTCTTCTTTTCTTATGTGTGCATTCAAGGCTATAAATTTCCCTGTAAGCACTGCTTTCACTGCTTCCCACAAATTTTAAGTGGTATTTTCATTTTCATTTAGTTAAGATAATTTTTAATTTCTCCTGAGATTTCTTCCTTCACCGTGTGTTATTTAGAAATGTGTTGTTTAATCTCCAAATGTTTTGGGATTTTCCACCTATCTTTCTGTTACTGATTTCAAGTTTACTTCCATTGTGGTCTGAGAGCATATTCTACATGATTTCTATTCCTTTAAATTCATTGAGGTGTGTTTTATGGCTCAGAATGTGGTATAGCTTAGTGAGTGTTCCATGTCAGCCCAAGAAGAACGTGCACCTTGTTGTTGTTGGGTTAAGTGTTCTATAAATATCAATTAGATCTTGTTGATTGACGGTGTTGTTCAGTTTAACTATGCCTTTACTAATTTTCTGCCTGCTGGCTCTGCTAATTACTGACAGAGGGTTGTGGAAGTTTCAGCTGTCATATTGGGCTTATCTGTTTTTCTTTGCAGTTCTGTCAGCTTTTGCCTTGTGTATTTTGGCACTCTGTTGTTAGGTGCATGCACATCAAGCATTGTTATGTCTTCTTGGAGAATTACCCCTTTACCATTATTTATGGCTCTCTTTTTTTTTTTTTTTTTTGAGTTTCACTCATGTCACCCAGGCTGGAGTGCAATGGCATGGTCTCAGCTCACTGCAACCTCCACCTACTGGGTTCAAGTGATTCTCCTTCCACAGCCTACTGAGTAGCTGGGATTACAAGTGTGCACCACTACACCCAGCTAATTTTTGTATTTTTAGTAGAGATGGGTTTTCACCATGTTGGCCAGGCTGGTCTCAAACTCCTGACCTCAGGGGATCTGCCCGCCCTGGCCTCCCAAAGTGCTGGGATTACAGGCATGAGCCACCACACCTGGCCTAATGCTTCTCTTTATCCCCAGTTTTTCTTGTTCTGAAACTGCCTTGGCCGCAGTTAGTATAGCTACTTCAGCTTTCTTTTTTATTTTAATATTTTGGGTGGCAAAGTGTTTGGTGGAAACTTGGAAAGTGGCTAATAGCACAGACATTTGAATCAGGCGAACCTGAGTACAAGCCAGGTGACTTGTCAAGCGGGGTGACTTTGGGTAAATTCATTCTGTGTCTCAGTTTCCCTATCTACCAAATGGGAAACTATCTCTAGATTGTTGTGAAGATGAAATAGGGCAATGCAATAAAGCACTAAGCAATCTCCTGGCTTGTAATGTGTAAGTAATATGTTTTATTGTTACTCTAGTATACATATTAATATATTCTATTATTAATATAAGCTCTAGGTTGTTATATGATGGAACTTTAGTTGTCTACATGCAAGTACTTTTATATAAAAGCTGGACAGGGCACCCTGAGAAGATAAACTTAGAAAATAGTTGCAAAGTCTCAAGCTGGCATGGATGTCTGGTTGACAGTGCCCTTAAAAGATGAAGACTTTGGCCGGGCACGGTGGCTCACGCCTGTAATCCCAGCACTTTAGGAGGCTGGGGCGTGCGGATCATGAGGTCAGGAGTTTGAGACCAGCCTAGCCAGTATGGTGAAACCCCGTCTCTCATGCCTGTGATCCCAGCATTTTGGGAGGCCGAGGTGGGTGGACCACGAGGTCAGGAGATGGAGACCATCCTGGCTAACATGGTGAAACCCCGCCTCTACTAAAAATACAGAAAATTAGCCAGGCGTGGTGGCAGGCGCCTGTAGTCCCAGCTACTTGGGAGGCTGAGGCAGGAGAATGGCGTGAACCCGGGAGGCAGAGCTTGCAGTGAGCTAAGATCGCACCACTGCACTCCAGCCTGGGCAACAGAGCGAGACTCCATCTCGGAAAAAAAAAAAAAAAAAAAAAAATTAGCTGGGCGTGGTAGCACATGCCTGTAGTCCCAGCTACTCGGGAGGCTGAGGCAGAAGAATTCCTTGAACCCAGGAGGTGGAGGCTGCAGTGAGCCGAGATCGTGCCACCACACTCCAGCCTGGGTGACGGAGCGAGACTCTGTCTCAAAAATAAAAGACGAAGACTTCAGTGTGCCCTGCAGCTCACAGTCAGAACATTTCCCTTCATCCCTCCAGGGCCCTGCAACCAGGGGAACATGCAGTCACCTCCTTTGTGCTGAGCTTCACTCAGTCCTCTTATTAAAGTGAAATTACAGAGGAGCTTCTGTCCCTTGCCATCAGTTTGCAGACACACTGGCTGGGGCCCCTTTCCTTTGGGGAAACATGGTCACACCAAGCCCCCTTTTGAAAAGCGGGCCATCTGTGGTTAGGCAAATCCTGAATAGCTTTTAAAAAGCAATGGAAATAACTAATCGCATGGGAAATATTTATTGTACATCAAGGTTTTTCAAAGGTAGTTATAAAACTATGTATGTAGGGTGTGATTAATTTTGTTTAAAAAAATTTAAAAGGACGTAAGCATAGAAAAAAAACGTGGAAGGATGTGAACCTCAATGTTAACCATGGCTGCCACTGGTGAGGGTGGGATTATAAGTAACGGTAATGGCTTCTTTAGTACTTTTCTCTATTTCTTGTTTGGGCCATTTTTGCCTCCTGTCCTGGTACTGAGTACCACCATAAATACCCATGTGGAGTCAGGGAAAAAGAAAATGGCCAATTCCTTGACGATTTTCGGTTTTGGTAAAATAAAAAATAAAAATAAAAACAAAAACAAAAAGAAAAGAAAATGGCCAATTCCCTGGTCCCATATTTGTCCAATATGACTCTCCCAAGATCCCTTTGCCTTTGTGTTGCCTGATTTCCCCACTCAACAACTTAGGTACCTGTCCCCAGGTCTGGTGTCAGACAGAGCACATATCCCAAGCTCCTTCACACACTAGCTGTGTGGCCTTGGGCAAGTCGCTTAACCTCTCTGATCCTCAGCCTCCTCCTTTTAAAATGAGGATTGTCGTGATGATCTGGCGGCGGCAAAACAGGTAAGGCACTCAGCTCAAAACATTAGGGGCCGTGTCATTTTTGTTTTCATGGCTACGACTGTCCTCCTTCTCCGTTGCAGTCTCCTGACATCGACAACCACCATGCACTCATTGAATATAACGAGGCGGAGTGCAGCTTTGTTCTCCAGGACTTCAATTCCCGCAACGGCACGTTTGTCAACGAGTGCCACATTCAAAACGTGGCTGTGAAGCTCATCCCTGGAGACATCCTGAGATTTGGGTCTGCAGGGCTGACCTATGAACTGGTCATTGAAAATCCACCTCCGGTGAGTCCGGGCCACTGGGGGATAGAGGGGCCATGTCGCCTTCGTGCAGCCCGGCGCTCGGATGCAGCTGCAGGGTGGCGCTTATCCACATTGGTGCCACTGTGATCGCACGCTGCACACAGGCAGCAGAGACAGAGTGGACCCTGTGGAGTTCTGAGTCATTCTGGCGGGTCCCAGGAAGGAGAGAATCTTAGCACCCTCTTCTGGGCATTTCTTGGAGTTGCATCTTGGCTCACATAGAACCAGTTTTCCAAAAATGTGCAACTTCCTGAGAGGAGGCGGAAAACAAGGTGTGCTTTTGAAAATGCAGAGGTGGATTTCATTTTTAGGTAGATGAGCACGCTGCTCCTTCCTAGCTCTGTGACCTGGGCCAGACTTCTTCATATGCCCAGGTCTCTGCCTTCTTGACGGCACATGGCATCAAGAGAATGTCTGTAGAGCCTGAAACTCAGTGTCCAAGTAGACGCTCTTAACACATAAGCGCCTGAAAAGCCAAATCTGTGAAGTCCGAGCCAGTGTTTCCCTAAACATGTCTGATTATCAGAATTTGAGGGGGACTGTTCAGTAAAATTACAGGTTCCCGGGGCCCCTCCATGGGAGATTCTAATTTTGTGACTTGCCAGTGGGGGAGGAGGAGGATGCACAATATCTCTATTTCTTTTTTTTCATACAAAGGTATTTATTGAAGTATTATTTGTAGTGGCATAACATTTGAAACCTAAATGCCCATCAAAAGGGGCATTGTTTAATAAAATATAAGGGGTTCATTCTTATGTGGATAACTATGCTGCTTTTTTTTAAAATGCAGCTTTATTGAGGTATAGTTGACATACAGTAAAACTGTACATGTCCAAAGTACATCATTTGCTAGGTTTGGGAACATGGATATACCTGTGAAGCCATTGCCACAACCAAGACATTAAGTGCACCCGTCACACTACAGGGTTCCTCATGACCTTAGCATTTCTTTGCTTCCTTGCTTTGAACAGCTTTATAGAAGTATAATTTATGCAGCATAAACCCTGCCCATTTTAAGCGTACAATTCAACACATTTCAGTATATTTACAGAGGGGTGCAGCCATCACCACAAGCCACTTTCAGAACATTGCCATCACCATGTACATCCTAGAAAGAAACCTGTGAGATACTTGACTTTTTGTGTTGGTTTGTGCAATTTTTTATGTTTTAAACTGTGGTAAAATACATATAACATGAAATTCACCGTATTCACCGTTTCTAAGGAACAGTTCAGTGTTGAGTGCATTCACATTGTGGCGCTGCTGTCACACCGTCGATCCACAGAACTCTTTTCATTTTGCAAAACTGAAACTCTGCCCCTATTAAACAAGAGCACACTGTCTCCCTGTTGCCCTCTCACCCTAGCCTCTAACGACCACCGTTCTACTTCCTGTCTCTGTGAATCTGACTACTCTGGGTACCTTGTATAAGCGAAATCATACGATATTTGTCCTTTTGTGTCTAGCTGGTTTCACTCAGCACCAAGTCCTCAAGGTTCATCCATGTTGTAGCATGCGTCAGACTGTCCTTCCTTTTGAAAGCTGAAGAATGCTCCCTTGTATGAGAGACCACATTTTGCTTATCCGTTCTTCCATGGGTAGACACGTGGGCTCCTTCCGCCTTTTGCCTATTGCAAATGATGCAGCTGTGAACCTAAGTGTACAAATTTGGGGAGGGGTATTTTGTTTTAATCACATAAGTGTGTCACCCAGTGGTAAAGATGTCCAACCTTCACTTCTGAAGGAGCAAAAGAATGTATTATAAAAGATTCTGTTTTGGCCAGGCATGGTGGCTCACACCTGTAATCCCAGCACTTTGGGAGGCCGAGCCGGGCAGATTGCCTGAGCTCAGGAGTTTGCGACCAGCCTGGGCAACACGGTGAAACCCCGTCTCTACTGAAATACAAAAAAAAAATTAGCTGGGCATGGTGGCGGGCGCCTGTAGTCCCAGCTACTCTGGAGGCTGAGGCAGGAGAATTGCTTGGACCCAGGAGGTGGAGGTTGCCGTGAGCCGAGATCATGCCACTGCACTCCAGCCTGGGTGACAGAGCAAGACTCCGCCTCAAAAAAAAAAAAAGATTCTGTTTTGTATAATAGTTTATATTTTGTTAGTGAATGAGAACGGTAGAGTTATTATAATGGAATAATGAGGAGGAGCAGGAGGGACACTGTGCTAAGGCATTTACCTGCTTTCCCTTATTTAATGCAACAGCCTAGGGCATGGGCTCTCTCATGATCCCCATTTTGCAGACAAGGAATCTGAAACTCAGAGAGGTTAAGTAATTTGCCCAGGACCACACAGCTAGTCACTGTGAATTAAACTCTGTCTCCACTTGCAGGTAACAATTGGGAGAAAACCATTGGGTCAGCTGCTAGGTGCAGC
Source organism: Homo sapiens (assembly GCF_000001405.40). NCBI lineage: Eukaryota > Metazoa > Chordata > Mammalia > Primates > Hominidae > Homo > Homo sapiens. Next base: position 15,274,931 of record NC_000001.11, read on the forward strand.
AGTATCATCAACTGGTTTTCAAAGACAACAAAGCACACTTTTTTTTTTTTGAGACGGAGTCTCACTCTGTCGCCCAGGCTGGAGTACAGTGGCCCGAGCTCGGCTCGCTGCAAGCTCAGCCTCCCGGGTTCACGCCATTCTCCTGCCTCAGCCTCCCGAGTAGCTGGGACTACAGGTGCCCACCACCATGCCTGGCTAATTTTTTGTATTTTTAGTAGAGATGGGGTTTCACCGTGTTAGCCAGGATGGTCTCGATCTCCTGACCTCGTGATCCGCCCGTCTCAGCCTCCCAAAGTGCTGGGATTACAGGCGTGAGCCACCGCGCCTGGCCAACAAAGCACACTTTTACAGTCACTTGGCTGTACATGAATTTTAAAAATTCTTATTTCTACATGCAGTTGCCTCCTGCTTTATTAGCTAAGGGACTTTTGGCAGCCAGACATCTGCCCCCTGGCCCATGCCCAGAGTACCTCACAGCAGCCCGAGCGTTTCCAGGGGGCAAGCCGAGCCTCTGTCCCTGCCAGGTTTTCCTCAGAAGACCCCCTGTCCGCCTCCACCCCATCCTCACAAAACTGCTCTCGGCTCCCTTTCAGAGCATTCCTAGATCAAGAGACATTCGTGCAGGCTTCCTCTTAGTGACAAAGGGTCCTTTGCAGGCCTGAGTGAGGGCAGCCATGTGGACTGAGTTTCTCTTTCTGATGGCTTCCCTTTCTATTTGCCTGATGACCTCGACCTGTGAGCTATAAAAAAGAAAAAAGGAGGTAGTGAAGAGCGTCTCTCATCAAATCTCATCTCATTTTGGGGTCCAGTTTTTCTAAGAAATGTGTAGCTGTCTTGATTCCAGCATGCTCTTGTCTCTTATTGATTCTTTGAGTCCCTAGAGAGGGGGCTGTGTCTTCCCCGCGGTAGAGTTTTCAAGGATTGTTTCCTTTGGAAGAGGACTGTCCTAATATTGTAAGGCTTAGCTGTTCTTTTCCCAAGAAAGAGTTCCCAAACAGAAAAATTTATTTCAGGCTTTGTGGTGACCATAACCAACAGAGAGGGACGTGACAGCCATTTCAATAGGAAATGGGAGGTGGAGGCAGAAGTTAGAGACCCAAATGTGTTTGTAGACATCACAGTGGCTAGCGTGGGTGTCCTGAAGTTCAAGTGAGTCTGCCCCACACAGTTCTGCCCTGCTCTTGACCAGCTGTGGGATCATGCACAAGTTGCTTCACCTCTCAAAGCCTCAGTTCCCATTTCTGTAAAATTGGAATCCTAATAGTTCCTCATGTGGGGTTACTGTAGTAGTAAACGGGTCATTGTTTGCAAATTGCTTAGCCCAGTATCTGGTGCCTATGATAGCAGGAAGGTAAGAGGAGCACGCTAGCAGCCACCTGCCTCCACTGTGAGCCTTCCCATGGACAGAAAACCTCCCAAGACCTCCCAACTACCAGGTGGATGCCTTTGCAAATAACTTACCCATGGAGTGACATACAAGGTAGAAAAACAGAAAGAAACTCTTGGTTTACAAAGTACATTGGCACCCACGATATGCTTAAGAGTACACGTTATATATCATAGCTTTTTTGCCAAAGTATAGCCTAGGGGCCGGGCGTGGTGACTCATGCCTGTAATCCCAGCACTTTGGGAGGCCAAGGCAGGAGGATCGCTTGAGGCCAGGAGTTCAAGACCAGCCTGGCCAACATAGTGAAACCCCATGTCTACCCAAAACACAAAAAATTAGCCAGGCGTGGTGGCACATACCTATAGTCCCAGCTAGTCAGGAGGCTGAGGCACAAGAATTGCTTGAACCCGGGAGGCAGAGGTTGCAATGAGCGAAGATCATGCCACAGCCTGGGCAACAGAGTGAGACTCTCTCAAAAAAAAAAAAAGTATAGCCTAGGGCCACCACCTTGCACAACTCCAGTCACCATTCACAGTAGAGTCCACAAAGATGGCACCCCCTGGAGTTGTGCGAGGCATAACCTACAGGGCCATTTGCGATGCCCTGAAGCAACTGTTGAGTAGTAACACTGACTCCCTGCCTAAGTGTCAGGCGTGTGAAATCCAAGTCACAAAGTCAGATGTGCTTGCCGCGTTGTTTCTGCCATTATGATGTTTGCTTGTTGGTTTCTTTAGTGCTTTATGATTTCCAGGAAAGGAGCTGTGAGTGAGGGTTGTCCTGTGAACACTAGTGCTGTTCTTATAAAGCAGCTAGGTAAGGAAACCTACGTTGGCCTGTTCTGCCCTGCTCCCATTCCAGCCAGAGCTTCCCACATGACTTCTGGATGCAGTCCTTCGACCCTCTTGCAACCTCATGACATCCTGCCCAACATAAAGAGTGCCCATATGCCTGGCTACTCACTGCCTTAAAGGGGAAGCTCTTTGGGAGTGCAGTGAAGAACACAAAGGCTTTGGAGTACGATAGACTGAAGTTCAAACTCCAATGGCAATCTAGCCTTTCTGAGCCTCAGTTTCCAACTTTTGCCGGGCAGGAACACATTAACCACAGGCTCCCTTTCCCCCTTCAGAATTTGCATACAGGCCTTTGGGACCATCCCATCACTGTATAAACTGAAGCCCAAAGAGGTTCTGCAGTGTTCCCAAGATTGTGTAATCAGTTATGGCCAGAACCAGGATTAAGTCTCCTGAGTCCCGGTCTGGGAGTCTTTCCCAACAGCCCAGAGCACCTCGGTCACCTGAGAGCTCAGGCAAGTTCCTCACTGCAGTGCTGCCAGCCTGCCACTTCACATGCTCATGGGGGATGATATATCGTGTGGGTAGAAATGAAAGCCACCGATGATAGAAGAAAATGCAGTTTCAGATAGGGGCTTCCTCATTCGCCTCCACTATCTTTTCACCAGGGATGCTGCTGAAGTTCCTGGACAAACTCAGTTCCCCCCTTGCAGTTTCTTTTTTGATGGTGATGATAATGTCTGGCGGCTAATGTTTAATGAGCATTTACTATACGTACCAGGAAGTGTCCTAAGTACTTAATATATATGATCTCATTTAGTTCTCGCAAAGTAAGAAGTATCTGTTGTCATCTCCATTTTACAGGTGAGGCACAAAACGTAACACATTTTTCGGGGTTATAGATGGTAGGAGGCAGAGGAGGTAGATTAACCAATTCTGCTTAATTCTAAATCCCATGTTCTTAACCAGAGGTCGGCAGACTACATCCCATGGGCCAAATTCAGACCATCTCCTGTTTTTATAAATAAAGTTTTATTGTAACACCTCCATGCCCACCAGTGTTTTTCTGCTCCAATGGCAGAGTTGAGTAGACAGAGATCATATGGCACACAAAGCCAAAAATATTTACTCTCTGGCTCTCTTAGCAAAAGTTTACCAACCTCCACTCATAACACTATGCTATTCTGCCTCTTTCATTTACCCAGTGTCTGAAAGAAGGGCTAAAAAGGAGGATAGGAGATTCTGGGGATAGGAGAAAGAATGAATGCCCCCACTATCTGCTAGGAACTGCGCTGGTTAATAGTTTACTTAGTTAACTGAGGAATAGGAAAAAGGGAAAATACGCTTTGAACAGTCTTCATTACCTCTTTTTTTTTTTTTTTTGAGACGGAGTCTCACTCTGTTGCTTAGGCTGGAGTGCAGTGGCACGATCTCAGTTCACAGCAACCTCTGCCTCCTGGGTTCAAGCAATTCTCATGCCTCAGCCTCCCAAGTAGCTGGAATTACAGGTGTGTGCCACCATGCCCAGCTAATTTTTGTATTTTTAGTAGAGACGCAGTTTCACCATGCTGGCCAGGCTGGTCTGGAACTCCTGACCTCAGGTGATCTGCCCACCTTGGCCTCCCAAAGTGCTGGGATTACCCGCCTTCATTACCTCTTTAAAACAGAACTTGGAGATATGTGGTTCTAAATATACACATACATGTATATGCATTTGCATATATAGTAATATAATCATATTGATACATCTGATAAATATGCTTGACATTAATGTATAATATACACAAGAGATGAATATTTATAAATTTTACCTGTTTCTTCAACTGGAAGTTTTTTTTTAAAACTTTGGAATGTTTTCCCTGGGATAACTTTTGAAACAGAAATTTGAGGTTTATAGTCCAGAGGCTGCTGTAGCTAGAGAACTGTTTATTTGTTCCAAATTTCTCCACCTAATGTTTTACTACCTGTGGTTGGTTCCTTGGTCTTAAGTCACTTCTTCTCTGGGGCCACTGCTTTACTCTTACAAGTTTAAAGGTAAATTTGGTGCATGATTATAGCCTGGTGGGTTTTACTCAAACAAGTCAGAACTCGCATTAACACCTTTCATTCTAAGTACATAGTGATATTTGTGCTCAAGTGTCAATAAGCATATTTTCCAGGAAATTTTACTGTTTGCAAGTGTCAGAAACCCAACTCAGACTAGCCTAAGCAAAAGAAGGAGAAGAAGAAGTAGCTGAAGTTATTTTTCATGTAACTGAAAAGGCCAGAAGCATCAGCTTCAGGCCTGGCTAGATCCAGGTGCTCAAGGGATGCTCAGGAATCTGTCTGTTAGGGTTACCTCTCTCGGCTTTGGAGCCCCCCCTCCCTCTTTCTCTGTACCGGGAGTTTCTTCCTTCTGTCTTCTTCCTTCTTTCTTGCCTATTAAACTTTCCGATCCTTAAAACTCAAAAAAAAAAAAAAAAAAAAGGAATCTCTTTCATCTTTGTGAGCTTCACAGTCTCAAGCAGATTCTTGCCCCACCTGTAATGAGGTGGCCACTGGCAACCCCAGCACCTTCCAAACTCAGCAGCTCTAGGAAAAGAGCAAGCGTCTTCATTGGCTTCGTTTGGATCACATGACTATCCCCGAACCAATCAGTGAGGCCAGAGACATGGAATGCTCTGACTGGCCAGGCCTGGGGCATACTCCCTCCCCTGGAGTGGAGGGGATGAGCCCCATTGTGGGAGGGAGGGGTGTCTCCCCCACACCCATGCAGGAGATGGATGCAATGTAGGGAGGAAAAACAAAAAAAAAGCCCATGGCAAGAAAGCATTCCTCCTACCTAAGCTGAGCCTCCGTAATGAGATTCCGTGCTAGGAGCTTGGGGTAAGAAAATGATGAATAATCCATTCTCTATCAGGGAAGTTCCAGGCAGGTCTCCAAGGAAGTAGCGTGGCTTGTTTTTCTCCTCGGTGTATGATGAGAAGGACACAGAGTTGGGGGTTTAGTCATCCATCCCAGGGAAGGTGGCAGTTCCCATCTTCATGGGACCGTTAAGTACTCCCCGTTCTTGAGAAGAATGTGGCTTTGCCTGTAACCAGGCCGAGTAACTGGGGATTGAACAAAGAACCAGAGAGCATGGCACACTTCAGAAGAAACGTCTCGATAGCCAAGCTTTGTCATCTCCCATCCCGATCGTGTAGTATTTTCCTCTACACTGTGCTGTTACAGCTCTTGGAGGGGACCTGCTGATGTGATGAAAGATCCTGAGACCAGGTTTTTTTATATCAAAGGACATTTTCCAAAGCCCATGAAGTGGAGGGCATGGGGCAGCAGACAGCCTCAGGCACAATGTCCTCGGCAAAAACACAGAAGGACTCCTGAAGTTTGCTTCCTCCTCAGATGTCTACAGAGTGTGCAGACAGCCTAGGGGACTGCAGGGAGGAGCGCAGGTGGAAGCCTTAGCATCCTGGTGAAACAGAACACGGACGACCCGGCCCAAAACCCCAGGGATCAACCGTGGCTGTTTCCTGCAGGTCACACTCTTCCCAAACTGCAGCCACATCGCCGCTTTTCCTAAGTTAGTTGATCATGCATTGGTTCATTCAGTCACTCAATCTGGCAAGACTGAGCTCCAGCAGGCCGAGTCTAGGGTAGAAAACGCAGTTTGCAAACATCTAAGTGTTTTCTCCTTAGATTCTCTTTCCCATTTTATGGACTGACCAGGAAATGAATTAGAACTTAAAGGAAAAGGAAAACTTTAAGCTAGAAGGTTTACAAAGATGGAAAGTAAGATGGGCCAGAATGCACTTAGGTGTCCCCTAACCCACCTGGCCAAAATCCAGATAAATGGCCTTTTTGAATAGCTCAAAGGGACCTACTTCTTTAAGTTCTAAAACGTGGAAATAGTATGTAACTTGGCTGTTCTGTGTTCTAACATGTATAATCCCAATTTCTGGAATGGAAAATCCTAGACATAATTGATCCTTTTCTTGGAGACTTAGAATTATTGCCCCATTTTGAATCCTGGCACCCGCCAGGGGCTGTTGAGATGGAGAAGGCTGTCTTCCTGGGCCGCACATAGCACCCTCTGCTGCCCTGGGGCTCTTCTGTCTGCGTTTTAGGGTCTGGCAGTCAGTTCCTGCTCTCTGCTGGGATCAGTGTGCCTCCTTTCCCCCTTCTTTCTTGCCCCTTCCTGTCCTTGTAATTGTGTAGTTATTAGGGTAAAATTGAGTAAGATCAGAGGAAGTAGAGGCTGAAAGTAGACCTAGAGGACTACCTGTATGAATAAGCGACATTAGTGGTTCCATGTGGATTTTGTATTATTTTTTTCTGGTAACTCAAAGGTCCCTTAAAAGAGTTTTGTTTTTGTTTTTTAATTAAATAACCTGGCCAGGCATGGTGGCTCACACCTGTAATTCTGGCACTTTGGGAAGTCAAGGTGGGTGGATCACTTGGGGCCAGGAGTTTGACACCAGTCTGACCAACATGGCAAAACCCCGTCTCTACTAAAAATACAAAAAATTAGCCAGGTGTGGTGGTGCATGCCTGTAATCCTAGCTCCTCGGGAGGCTGAGTCATAAAAATCGCTTGAACCCAGGAGACGGAGGTTGCAGTGAGCTAAAATCGCGCTACTGCACTCCAGCCTGGGTGACAGAGTGAGACACTGTCTCAAAAAAAAAAAAAAAAAAAAAAAAGGAGAGGGGAGGAAGGGGGCATTGATTAAGACTCAGCTCCACCTCCTGGTTGGGGATTACTTATGTGTGTTACATTCTTCTGTAAGGAAGTGTCTCTTCTCTGCCATTGAATTATTTACTCATTCATGTATCTATATCAGTACGGACTCCTCTGTCTTTATTTGATTCTCTGTGCTATAATCCACCTGATGTTATTTATTTTGTAGCTCATATTGTCCTAGCCTTGGCCACTGGAGCGCTTTTGGGTTGGTGCTTATCCCTCTAACAGGGCCCGCACCTTCTGTTTTTGAGCACTTACTCACTTTCTGCTGTTACAAGATGCCCCAGGCTCATAGTGTATTCTCCCTGCCCCAGCCCCAGAATCAGCTGAAGGGTATTTTTTAACTTTGGCTCTGTTTGCCAATTGTTCAATTCAGTTCGGTCAGCAGGCACCTAGAGTGTGTGCCAGGCCCTTCACTGGGCACTGGGTCCAGCCAGTGCTATGCTGATGAGTGTCTGAAAAAGTAAAGTATGCAGGTATAGTATAAAGCTTACTGACACAAAGAATGTGTAGCACATTCTTTATAAATAATAACAAAATATGCAGGACTCTTTATGGCAAATTTATCATAAATTCCATAGAGCCATTGATTCTCACAGAGGGTTTTTATTGATTTTTGCCAAACTCTTGTATCCCTAGCCAACTTATGGTAGCAACTGATGAATGTTTCCAACCGGAATACTGGTGGATATATTTGTTTACCTTTGTGAGTAAGACGAAAGTGAAATGAGAAAGATTTGTATTGGAACCTCACATGTTCATCAATGACATGAGCACCTTCTTTGCTATCATAGTTTATGAATACCAGAAGAAACTATTGGATAATAGTTTTTGAATATCAGAAGAAAATTTCCTCCATATCTTTTGTGCTACTCATAATGTGATGGCTACAGACATAAAACACTTTTAAATCTCATCTGTATTACTAATATTTTATCCAACACCTTCCTAAGAATAGACAAGCAACAAAACAAAAAATCAATCCCTGATTTGTAACATTCCCTGATTTCTGTGGTGTAAATACTCCCATTAATGCAGAATAGGCAAGCCCCAAAATTGGGACTTAGCCAGGGAGGGTTCTTGGCTTTGCCCAGGAAAGAATTCAAGGGCAAACCAGCAGTGTGAGACAGCACCTTTTATGGAAGCAACAGTGCACAGTGGCAGGAGCGGGGCTGCTACTTGCTCAGCAGGGCTACCCCATGGGCAGTGCGCCCAGAGTAGCAGCTCAAAGACAATTCTGCAGTCATATTCATATCCACATTTAATTACACAGAAACGAAGGGGTGGTTTATGCAGAAATTTCCAGGAAAAGGGTATTACCTTTCAGGTAGTTGGGTCATTGCCATGGAAAGGGGTGGTACCTTTTGGGTGTTGCCATGGCAATGCGAAACTGACATGGCACACTGGTGGGCGTGTCTTATGAAAAGCTGCTTCCACTGCGGCCCTGTTTTAGCTGGTCCTCAATTTGGTCTGGTGTCTGAGCCAAACCTCCAGAATTGAGTCCCACCTCTTACCTCACCATCCTGGCCAATTTCAAGCTTCACTAACACAGAGCCACAGAGAGCTGGGTAGCAGCACATCACTCTACAGCACTGCCAACACACAGACGCAGTAGGAAGAATAACTGTAAGAGCACAGATTATCATGAAATATAGTAAAATAATTAGGAGGCTAAGTTTTAAGTATTTATTACTGTTGTTTCTGGTATAATTTAATTGTAAGTATATATAATTTATTTTTTAATGGCTGTGTTTATCAGCCAGCTCACAGAATTCTCAACATTTACTCATCGGCTCTCATGAGCCAGCACCAACAGGCCCCAGCTCTCCTCTGGCACAGCAGTGAGCCAGCTACAGCCCTGCCTGGGGGGAGACTGCAGTTCTCTGAGTGGCATCCAGGGTGCTGCACATACCCTGTGACTCAGACTTGCAGGAGGGAACCTATAACGTTCCTGGAAAATCCTGTCCACACATCAATCCTGTCCATGCACCATCTTGGGGATTTTCACACCATCTATTTCTCATTTTCATTTTTTAACTCAGAAAATCTATTCTTCATTAGCCAATCATCTAAGATCCTTTTGCAAGTATGGAAAGCAAGTGCAAATCATGACTTCAAATGACCTGGAAGCTCCAGGGGCACAGAGTTTGGAGTCAGACAGCATCACCACTTCCAGGCTTCAGGACCTGGGGCAAGTCTCTGAACCTCACTGAGCTTCTGCTCCTTTAATGCACAAAATGTGGGTAAAAATGCTTCCCCTACCCCAGAGTTATTCTCGTGATTAGATGGGGCCACATATACAAAGGGCACAGCACAGCCTAGCACCTAGAGCCTTCTCTCCTTGGTGGTTCAAAGCCAAGTGGTAAGAATTGGAGGCCAGGCACAGCGGCTCACGCCGGTAATCCCAGCACTTTGGGAGGCCGAGGCGGGCGGATCACGAGGTTAGGAGATCGAGACCATCCTGGCTAATACGGTGAAACCCTGTCTCTACTAAAAATACAAAAATTAGCCGGGCATGGTGGTGGGCGCCTGTAGTCCCAGCTACTCGGGAAGCTGAGGCAGGAGAATGGCATGAACCCGTGAGGCGGAGCTTGCAGTGAGCTGAGATTGCGCCACTGCACTCCAGCCTGGGCGACAGAGCGAGACTCCATCTCAAAAAAAAAAAAAAAAAATTGCAGATAGCAGAAAACATGACAGATGCTCCAAGGGCAAGGTCTACTTCCCCACCTTGTCCACAGCCTCCAGGGCTTCCTGGAAGAATGCATGGGTCCTGTAGGACTCTGGGCAAACTCCCTTGGCGTTTTAGGGTGTCCTTCTCACCCTGAAGCCTTGACAGGGTCAGAAGCAGATGTTAGCGTAATAACACAAGAAACAAGGAGATCATCCGGAAACAATGGATTTGGAGTTCTCGAGTACATTACTGGTTGGGTGTTTATTCAAGCTGATAGAAATTCAGCCGTGGGTGTGGTCCAGGTGGTTGGCAGCCTGCTATTTTAGACAGTGTGGGAGAGATCAGGAAAAGCACATGCGGCCTCAAAAATAAACAAAGAAAAAACCACCACGCCACACACCATATGGTCAGAGAGAAAGAAAGAGGAGGAAAGAAAGAAAGAAAGAGAGTGAAAGAAAGAAGGCACTAGCAAGTATTTTTTAACTAATATTTCTAAGCCAGACTTGTTGATAACTGACCTTGATCCCAAACTCTATGTACATTCTAATGTGAGCTCAGCCAGGAGCCAGTTTTTCAGGAGTCTTTTTTTTATGTTTGTTTATCCTCCTCACTGTTTCCTTGTAGTTACCAGCAGCAATTTCTGAGAAAACCTTGACCTTGCTTATGATAGAGTAGGCCTGTTAAGTAGAGAAGACTGACATTAACCTTCCAACTAAAGCCACCCTAAATCAACATGCTTTCAAAAAACAAACAATGCCGGGCGCTGTGGCTCATGCCTGTAATCCCAGCACTTTGGGAGGCCAAGGCGGGTGGATCATCTGAGGTCAGGGGTTGAAGACCAGCCTGGCCAACATGGTGAAACTCTGTCTCTACTAAAAATACAAAAAATTAGCTGGGCGTGGTGGCACATGCCTATAATGCCAGCTACTTGGGAGGCTGAGGCAGGAGAATCGCTGGAACCCAGGAGGCGGAGGTTGCAGTGAGCCGAGATCACGCCACTGCACTCCAGCCTGGGTGACAAGAGCAAAATTCCATCTCCATAAATAAATAAATAAATAACAAAATAAAACTTTTTTTTTTTAACTGAAAGAGCTGATTGCAGTCTTTGCTGCATTTACACATCATGCACTGGCCCCTTTAGAGACCCTCTCATTAGCACTGTGGGGGCTACAAGTGACAAAACCAGCTCAAACTAGCCTCACAGTACTGAGCAGTTAGTGCAGGGTGCAACGCGAGCCAGGGCTCAAAACCAGCTTCTCTGTTTGTTCATTATGCACAATAGCCAAGAGGTGAATGCAGCCCAAGTGTCCATGGACAGATGAATGGATAAATAAAATGTGATCTGTCCATGCAATGGAATATTATTCAGCCATGAAAAGGAAGGACATTCTGACACATGCTACAACATGGGTGAATCCTAAGGACATTGTGCTAAGTGAAATAAACCAGTCACAAAAGGACAAATGTTGTATGAATCCACTTATATGAGGGACAGAGTATTTAAATTCATAGAAATAGAAGGGGAATGGTGGTTACCAGCGGCTCTGAGGAGAGGAGAAGGGAGAGTTATTTAATGAGAATATATTTTCACTTTTGCAAGATGAAAAAGTTCTAGAGATCTGTTTCACAGCCATTAGACTATACTTAAAAATACTGAACTGTACACCTAAAATGGTTAAGATGGAGAATTTTGTTATGTATTTTTTTACAATTAAACAAAAACCAGACCAGGTGTTGGGGCTCATGCCTGTAATCCCAGCACTGTTGGAGGCTGAGGCAGGAGGATCACTTCAGCCCAGGAGTTTGTGACTAGCCTGCACAACATGGCAAAACCCCATTTCTACAAAAAATACAAAATTTAGCTGGGCCTTGTGGCCTGCGTCTATAGTCCAAGCTACTTAGGAGGCTGAGGCAGGAGGATCACCTGAGCCCGGAAGGTTAGGCTGTAGTGAGCTGTGATTGCACCACTGCACTCCAGCCTGGATGACAGAGTGAGACGCTGTTTCAAAAAAAATGGAGAAAAGAAAACCACCTTCCCTCTCTCCACGTCTGGGCTGCACCCCTTGGTGCTGGCTACATTCTCAAGTCCCCAGTTCTCTGTGGCTAGAGATTCTGGTGTCCAGCCTAGTCTCCTTGGCTCTGATTGGATCACATGCCCCACCCCTGGCCAATCACTATGGCCACTGAATGTGATTTGTTGCTTAGCCCCACCCACAACAATTGGCCGAGAGAGGGAGGGAGATTTACCCACAATCTCCAAAAGATGCTGAGTGGGTTCTGGCCTGGCCACTGCAGAAGTGTTACCCTTGAGACAGGAGACACGCTCACTCCCATTAGCACCTGTGCAGTTAGTTGGCATGAGGCACCCTTAACTTAGAGCCCTGCCTACTGAATGTCCTAGCATGAAAGTAGATTCCTCCACCACACCCAATACTCTCTACCTTTGTGTTCCAGAAGGCTGGAGTAAAACGCATTGGAGTTTGCCCGCTGTCATCTTCAGCCCATTCATTCAATGAGTACTTATTAAACCCATAGGAAAAGGTCATGGGAATGAGTGAGGCAAGACAGCCCTGAGGATGGGGAAGGACATGATGGACGGAGAAGTCAGCCCAGGGCAGGGGCACAGTGGCTCAGCTTCTGAAACCAAAGAATGGAAAAGAGGGTAGGTGGAGAGGCTGAGATGTTGACAGTGGAGAGAAATGGGAAACTACACGTAAGGTAACAGAGTTCTGGAACTCGGCCCAGACCCACTCCTGAAAACAGACTTCAAGTGGGCCAGTGTCATTTGAATGCCTGGCCAGGTGTCCCCAGATGTATTAGTCCATTCTCACACTGCTATAAGGACATACCAGAGACTGTGTAATTTAAAAACGAACAGGTTTAATTGACTCACAGTTCCCCAGGGCTGGGGAGGCCTCAGGAAACTTACAATCATGGCAGAAGGGGAAGCAAACGTGTCCTTCCTCACATGGCGGCAGCAAGGAGAAGTGCAGAGCAAGGGGGTGGGGAAAGCCCATTATAAAACCATCAGATCTTACAAGAAGTCACTCATTATCACGAGAGCAGCATGGAGGTAACTGCCCCCATGATTCCATTACCTCCCACCAGGTCCCTCCCAGTCCGTCCTAAGGGGATTTTGGGAACTACAGTTCAAGATGAGATTTGGGTGGGGCACAGCCAAACCATGTATCACCAGGTGATCGGAGTTTGGTGCCAGATTTCCCAGAACACTCCTCACTGACTCCAAGAAAGAGCCTTAGGGGGAATGCATAGGATCCCTGAGCAGCTGTAGACAGACTGCAGCTTGGAGATTAGGATCCTGAGTGGAGAGCCCTCCTTTTCAATGAAACCCAGCTGAAGTTCTAGGAAGTGCTGTCTGCTGGAGCTCTGATTTTGGAAGCATTCTGTCCTTTTCCTCATTGTGTGTGTCTGAGCTCATCTTCTCTCTGGGCTACAGAAGGAGAACCATGAGCCCTGGGAAAATAGGGATGAGTTCTATTCTAGGAAGCAAACCTTTGAATTTAGCTCTTACCTGGAAAGCATTATTTCTGCCAAGACAATTGGGAGACAGAGGAGGGGAAAGAGAGAGAGAGAGAAGAAGGAGAGGCCATCAGATCTTGATCCCAGTTCCCTGTCCACCACTGCCTGTGCTGGGTAAATCCCTTAACCTCTCCAAGCCTCACTTCTAACAGGAATAAGGAGAACCCTCACACAAAGGGTCATGGTGAGGAATCAATAAGCTCGGTGCAATAAGTGATAGTGCTCATCAGTGCCACCTTCAACCACTAGGCACCAGGGAGAAACCACCACTAAAGCATTAATCCACGGCAAAAGCCAGGTGTCAGCACCACTCCACGTTTGCTCATCCACGGTTAGATGGATTTTGACATGCTCTCCACTGAAAGCAGCTGGAGCATCTTCCCCGGGGCCTCTGCCAGAATCAGCTGTGCTGGTGTGGAAAAGCAAAGGCTAATCAGACAGTCAGTGTCCCTGCAATCCCAGAGCTCTGAACTTTGAGGGATAGAGGGACCCACAGTATGGACAGAAAGAGAAAAGGCTGTGGAGTCCCAGGGAGCTGGGCTGGAATCTCAGTGATTGGCTTGTTCTGTTATTTTGACCAACATTTGAGGACCTACTAGGTATGTGCCAAGCATTTATTCTAGGGGCTGAGGATACAGTGGTAAGGTAGATGAAAAGTCCCTAATCCCTTAGAGGGGACATTCTCCTGACTCAGCAGATCAATACCACGTCTGTGGGTGTTCAGAGTCCCTTGTTCTTGCCTGGCCTGTGTCCTCCGAGTGTTGATATCACAGAGTGTTGAGTGTATTAAATGAGTTAATGCAGGTGACTCTTTCGGCAAGATGCCTGGGTAAAGCATGCACTCACTCAATGGTGGTGTGATCGTGTGCCGTGTGGTCCAGGCAAGGACCCCCATCCCAAACTTGAGGAGAGTCCAGGAAGGCTTCCTGGGGGAAGTGACTCATTGTTTTTTTGTTTGTTTATTTTTGAGACAGAGTCTCATTCTGTCGCCCAGGATGGAGTGCAGTGGTGCTATCACAGCTCACTGCAGCCTCTACTTCCTAGGCTCAGGTGATCCTCCCACCTCAGCCTCTCAAGTAGCTGGGACTACAGGCATAGGCCACAAGGCCCAGCTAATTTTTGAATTTTTGGTGAGGCAGGGTTTTGCCATGTTGTCCAGGCTGGTCTTGAACTCCTGAACTCAAGCTAGCTAGCCTCCCACTTTGGCCTCCCAAAGTGTTGGGATTATAGCTGTGTGCCACCCTGCCCGACCGGAAGTGACTCATAAACCAAGACCTTGGGCAGCAATGCTGTGGCTGGGACAAAGAAATGGAGACCATCCCAGCCGGTCATAACCTCCCCTGACCCTTGTCTGCCCCTGCAGGTCTCTTTCCCATGGATGAGGGGCCCAGCACCATGGCCAGGGCCACAGCCACCTCGTGCCACACAGCAGCCAAACCAGGCCCCCCCACCATCACATATCCCCTTCCACCAAGGTGTCCAGCCAGCACCGATGCAAAGGAGCTGGTCCCAGGCCTTTCCCAGACCCACCGTGGTCCTGCCGGCCTCCCACAGGCGGCCTGTGAGCGCCAACAAGGAGATGTTCTCGTTCGTGGTGGACGACGCCCGCAAGCCACCCGTCATCAAGCAAGGTATGCGTCAGGGCTGCCATTGGTGGCTTGGGGGTGGTTCACGGCCATGTGGATGGGTCTTGGTTTTGGTTTACTTTCTGATTCTAAAAGTAGAACATATTCAATTGTAAAAAATGAAAATAAATTCAGGATAAGCAGAAAGTAAGAAAACAGTTAAAAAATCAGCCGTAATCCTTATCCCCAGGGTCTCCCTATTGACTCTCTGCTGCGTATCCCTCCAGCCTCTGTGCTGTGTCCGTATACACACACCAGGGCACCTGCAGTGGGTGTGGCCTCTGTGTGTGTGTACATATGAGTGTGTCATGGGATCACGTCAACACACTTTGACTCAGTTGTGCAAAAATATTAGTAATTGCAATCCCCTTTGCCCCCAACAGCCCTAGGAGCTTTTAAAATATTTTACCACCATTTTACAGGTCAGAGGAGAGTGACACTTACCAGGAAGATGACTTCTCCCGAGGAAGTGTATTCAGTCCCGTCTAATCTAATGTTTTTCAGTCCCATTTAAAGGCTGGTGAGCTCGGTGACAGCCCACTCACAACCTGGTCACTCTGGGACACACACAACCTTCAGGGTGTCCTTCCTTCCCCACTACCCCCTTGAAAGCCTCATGGCACTTGGGGAGGAAACTTCCCATCTGTCACTGTCCTCTTGGCCTCAGCAGCCTCACCAGCAGAAGAGCTGGTCAGTTTAGTCCCCAGGCATGGTTCCCAGAGTTCCTCCCTAGCCTATGGCATCAAGGTCCCATTTTCTGTCCTCTTTGTCCCAGCCCCAGGCCCTTCGGAGTCCCCAGACATCTCCCAGCGGCTTCCATATCTTTTTCCGGTCTTGCTCAAGACCATTCATGTAGTCACCTTCCTCAGTCACTAAAATCATTATTACTGTGACATACGCAAGCTGAAGAGTAAAGGCCATGTGTCTCCACGGTTTACATCATCATCACCGTCATCATCAAATGCACCACCACATACCTACCACCCACACTGAGAAATGACTCAGCCATTTTCCCCCAACATTTTAATATGAACTTTTTTTTTTTTTTTTGGACGGAGTCTCCCTCTGTTGCCCAGGCTGGAGTGCAGTGGCAGGATTTCGGCAGTGGTGCCATCTCAGCGCACTGCAAGCTCCGCCTTCTGGGTTCACGCCATTCTCCTGCCTCAGCCTCCCGAGTAGCTGGGACTACAGGCTCCTGCCACTATACCCGGCTAATTTTTTGTTTTTGTATTTTTAGTAGAGATGGGGTTTCACCATGTTAGCCAGGATGGTCTTGATCTCCTGACCTTGTGATCCGCCCACCTCGGCCTCCCAAAGTGCTGGGATTACAGACATGAGCCACTGCGCCCAGCCTTAATATGAACATTTTTTAAACATACAGCAAAGTAAAAATAATTTTACAGTGACCCCCTCCCCACCTAAATCTACCATTAACATTTTACTATACTCTTTTTTTTTTTTTTTTTTCTTGAGACAGAGTCTCACTCTATTGCCCAAGCTGGAGTTCACCTTCTGGGTTCAAGCGGTTCTCCTGCCTCAGCCTCCCAAGTAGCTGGGATTACAGGCACACACCACCATGTTCAGCTAATTTTTGTATTTTCAGTAGAGACGAGGTTTTGCCATGTTGGCCAGGCTGGTCTCAAACTCCTGACCTCAAGTGATCTGCCCACCTTGGCCTCCAAAGTGCTGGGATTACAGGTGTGAGCCAACCACGCCTGGCCCATTTTGCTATACTCTTATTGTATATCTCTCTATCAATCATTTTGTGAATTCATTAATTCATCTTAATTTTAGATACATTTTAAAATAAGTTTCCTACAGCTGTAGACTTCCCCCTAAACATTTAGCACGTATACCATTAACTGGAGTTCAACAGTTTTTGTCTTTTTGTGTAAAATTAACATACGGTGTGTATTAGTTACCAATTTATAACCAATTACCCTAACATATAGCACCCTAAAACAAACCAAAACCCTATGCGTTATCTTACACAGTTTCTGGGGGTCAGGCATTTGGGAGTAGCTTAGCAGGATGGCTGTAGTTCAGGGACTCTCAGGAGGTTGCATTAAGCTTTTGACGAGAGCTGCGGTCCTCTGAAGGCCTGGGGCTGGAGGACACATCTCCTGGGTAGTTCACTCACATCCGTGTGTGAAGAGGCCTCAGTTCCTCACTAGCTGACAGCAGGAAGCCTCAGTTCTTCACCACTGCCACCTCTCCTAGGCTGCTTGAGTCTCCTCATGAAATGGCTGCCAGCTTCCTCCAAAAGAGTGGTCCTAGAGAGAAAAGCAGCAGCCACATGTCTCTTAAGATCCAGCCTCAGGAGTCAAACTCCATCATTTCTCCAGTAGCCTTGGTTACATAGATAAGCTCTGTTATGGCTGAATTGTGTTCTCTCAAAATTTATATGTTGAAGTCCTAATCCCCAGTACCACAGAACCTAACTGTATTGAGAGAGTGCCTTTCTTTCTTCCTTCCTTCTTTTCTTTTCTTTTTTTCTTTCTTTTAGAAACTGAGTCTCACTCTGTCTCCCAGGCTGGAGTGCAGTGGCATGATCTCGACTCATTAAAACCTCTGCCTCCCAGGTTCAAGTGATTCTCCTGCCTCAGCCTCCTGAGTAGCTGGGATTACAGGCACCCACCACCAGGCCTGGCTAATTTTTGTGGGGTTTTTTTTGTTTTGTTTTGTCTTTTTGAGACGGAGTCTCGCTCTGTCGCCCAGGCTGGAGTGCAGTGGCACGATCTCGGCTTACAGCAAGCTCCACCTCCCAGGTTCACACCATTCTCCTGCCTCAGCCTCCCGAGTAGCTGGGACTACAGGCGCCCGCCACCACGCCCAGCTAATTTTTTGTGTTTTTAGTAGAGACGAGTTTTCACCATGTTAGCCAGGCTGGTCTCAACCTCCTGACCTCAGGTGATCCACCCGCCTTTAAAGAGGTAATTAAGTTAAAATGAGGTAGTTAGGTTGGGCCCTAATCCAATCTGACTGTTGTCCTTGTGAGAGGAGGTGATTAGGACACAAGCAACACCAGAGGAAAGACCATGTGAGGACACAGTGAGAAGGTGGCCGTCTGCAAGCCAAGAAGAGAGGCCTCAGGAGAAGCCACCCGGCCAACACCTTGATCTTTCAACCTCTAAAACTTGAAAAAATAAATTGGTGCAGTGGCTCACCCCTGTAATCCCAGCAGTTTGGGAGGCTGAGGCAGGAGGATCCCTTGAAGATAGGAGTTCAAGACCAGCTGGGGAAACACAGCAAGACCCCATCTCTATTTTTAAAAGAAAGAATTAAACATTTAATAAAGTAAAATTAATTTCTGTTATTGAGCCCCCTAGTCTGTGGTATTTTGTTATGGCAACCTGAGCATATTAATACAAGCTTCATCCAGCATGGGAGATGACTATATAGGGGCATGAATACAGGGACAAGAATCACCAGGGTCATCTTGGAGACTGGCTGCCACTCAATGAAATGCACAGATCTTGAGTGAACACTCACTACGTTTTGACAATTGTATACACTTGTGTAACCCAAACCCCTGTCAAGAACATCACCATCATCCCAGGAAGCTCCCTCAGGTCCCTTCCAAGTCAGTTCCCAACCCTTGCCCCCAGAGGTAACCACTCTTCCAAATTCTTTTTCCACCATGGATTAGAGACTCCTGTTCTAGATTCTCAAATACATGGAATCATGTAGTGTATGTTTTTCATGTGAGGCTTTTTTCACTCTGCATATTTCTGAGATTCATCCATTTTGCTGTATGTCTTACAAGTTGTTCCTTGTGGCCAGGCGCGGTGGCTCATGCCTGTAATCTCAGCACTTTGGGAGGCCAAGGAGGGCGAATCACAAGGTCGGGAGTCTGAGACCAGCCTGACTAACATGGTGAAACCCCATCTCTACTAAAAATACAAAAATTAGCTGGGTGTGGTGGCACGCACCTGTAATCCCAGCTACTCAGGAGGCTGAGGCAGGAGAATCGCTTGAACCCGGGAGGCAGAGGTTGCAGTGAGCTGAGATTGTGCCACTGCACTCCAGCCTGGGCGGACAGAGCAAGATTCTACCTCAAAAAACCAACAAACAAAAAAACAAAAACAAGTTGTTCCTTGTTATCATTGAGTCACATTCCATGGATGTATCACAGATTTCTTTATCCATTCGTCCATTGGTAGACACAGATGCTGTTTCTTTCTTTTTTCACTCAGTCTTTGATGAGTAGATTTCTCCACCTGTTTCTCCAGTGCCATGTTGAACTTGGGAAGTGAGTGAGCCATGAACGGTCCTAAGGCTTTGAGGCCCTCAGATCTGCCTGGGCGTCACCACTGCAGCCTCCCACCGGGGTGTCATCTGGGTGGGGAAGGCACCATGATGTCCGCTCCCAAACTTCCACCGTGTTTCCCTGATGCGGAGAGGGGCTTCCATCTTCCTGTAGTGAGGAGTTCCCCTGTGTCAGACCCGGGCCTCTCTGCTCCAGGCTTAGGAGAACACTTCCGGCTCCAGGCCTCCAGGTTGGCTCTCCATTGAAAGCACCGAGTTTTGAGGAATCTGAGGAAGCCCTTTCCTCTCTTAACAAGGCTGGACTCTTCAAACAAAATGGTTTTGCCTTTAGACCATTGCTTTGCTTTCGATTTGAAAAATTCTATTTGGAAACGCAAAGCCAAGGACTTACTTATTCTAGGTCAGGGTTTCTCAATCTCGGCACTGCTGACATTTGGGGCCAGATAATTGTTTGTTGTGGGGCTGTCCCGTGCATTGTTTTTGAGACAGAGGCTCACTCTGTAACCCAGGCTGGAGTGCAGTGGTGCAATCTTGGCTCACTGCAACCTCTACCTCCCGGGTTCAAGCGATTCTCCTGCCTCAGCCTCCCAAGTAGCTAGGATTCAGGCGCCTGCCACCACACCTGGCTAATTTTTGTATTTTTAGTAGAGTTGGAGTTTCGCCATGTTGGCCAGGCTGGTCTCGAACTCCTGTCCTTAAGTGATCTGCCTGCCTCGGCCTCCCAAAGTGCTGGGATTACAGGTGTGAGCCACCAGGCCTGGCCCGGCCTGTGCATTGTTGAGTGTTTAGCAACATCCCTGGCTTCTACCCACTCGATGCTCTCAGCAGTTCTCTCCCACTCAAGCTGTGATACTCAAAATTGTCCCCAGATGTTACCAAATGTCACCTGAGGGGCAGAATCGCCCTGGTCAAGGCCCCCGTCTTGGTGGTGCTCGCCCTTCTCCTCGAACAGGCAGTAAGGCCGCAGCTCTAAGGCCGAATCTTAATGGCAAAGCTCATACAGGTGAGGGAGGAAGAATTAGAATGGAGAATGGAAATGCGTGGGGTGATTTTTAAAGATACCATCCTGATTTATATATACTGTAAGTAATGGAATAATGATGAGATTGTTTGACCCTAACACTGGTATCCTACTTTTTAAAACGTAACACTGCATCATGAAGGTCAATATATTTACTGCATAATGGTTATGAGTACAGGCTCTGGATCAGGCAAACTTGAGTTCAAATCTTGACTCTATCACTCACCAGCTGTGGGACCTTCAGCAAGTACTTGACATCCCGGTGCCTCAGTTCCCTCACTTACAAAATATGATATGAATGTCATGTCACTAGTTGTTATGCTGTATTTTTATTGTTGTATTGTTATTTTTTATTGGGTTTTTAAGAAGTATTTTTGGCCAGGCATAGTGGCTCCCATCTGTAATCCCAGCACTTTGGGAGGCTGAGACAGGAGGATCACTTAAGCTTAGAGGTTTGAGACCAACTTGGATAACATAGCAAGATCCTGTCTCTACAAAAAATTAAAAATTAGCCAAGCACGGTAGCATGCACCTGTAGTCACAACTACTTGGGAGCCTGAAGTGGGAAGATCAATTGAGCCCAGGAGGTCAAGGCTGCAGTGATCCATGATCATGCTACTGCACTCTAGCCTGGGTGACAGAGCGAGACCCTGTCTGTCTGTGTGTGTGTCTCTCTCTCTAAACATATATATATATATACACACATACTCATACATATATATTTTCAATCCACAGTTGGTTGACTCCACAAATGTGGAACCCACACATATGGGGGGCCAGCTGTATCTATTTCTTGTTATAAATCCCAATATCACAGAACCAGACATAAATAAGGCTTCGAGGGCCATACAGTCTGTGTTGCAACTACTCAACTCTGTGTTTGTGGCACAGAAGCAGCCATAGATGATACATATGTGAATAACTGTGGCCACATTCCAGTAAAACTGTACTTTCAGTCATAGGCTGGATTCAGCCCCAGGGCTGTAGTTTGCCAGTCCCTGCTCTACCTAACGTTTCGTTTACTCTTCACAGTAGCCCTTTATGATAGAGACTATTCATGCCCCTAAATGATATGTGTGGAAACTAAGGCTGAAAGAGATTAAATGACCTGCCCGAGAGATTAAACGATCTGCCCAAGATCACCAGCTCTTCTGTGGCATAGGAAAAAGGTCTGGAAAGAGACACATCACGTTGGGTAACAGCAGTTATCAAAGGAAGAAGGAAGGAGGTGGCCCTTTCCCTTTCTAGTACTTCCGTGATGCTTTCACTGCTTTTCAGTGAACACACACACCACTTTGTAATTTTTTTTTTTTTTTTTTTTGAGACAGAGTCTCGCTCTGTCACCCAGGCTGGAGTGCAGTGGCGCAATCTCGGCTCACTGCAAGCTCCGCCTCCCAGGTTCACGCCATTCTCCTGCCTCAGCCTCCCGAGTAGCTGGGACTATAGGCGCCCGCCACCACACCTGGCTAATTTTTTGTATTTTTAGTAGAGATGGGGTTTCACCATGTTAGCCAGGATGGTCTCAATCTTCTGACTGCATGATCCGCCTGCCTTGGCCTCCCAAAGTGCTGGGATTACAGGCGTGAGCCACAGCGCCCGGCCTTTAATTTTTAAATTACATAAAATATCAATCTCTGGGGGGAAACAAACAGGAAGGCTAACGTGAACATCTTCTTCAGGCCTCAGGGAAACTCATGATGTCTTTTGTGCTCTCTGCTGATCTCACGCCTTAGTGTGGACCAATGCCATGAAACTGTCAGAAAAATCAGTGGCCGAGGGGATTCCTGGGGCAGTTCCCCCTGCGGAGATTTATGTGGAGGAGGACTTGGCCCAGCAGGACAAGGTGAGGGAGGGGTCTGGGGAAGGGTGGAGCTGCAGCAGCAAGCGCACTGCAAAGGGACTTGCCGATGCCTGTTCTGTGTGGCCCAGGAGTGCCCTTATCCTGCTTCCAAGAAACCACCTCTTACTCCCCAAGACATTCAACCAAATGTTTTATTCTAAATTACGACCTCCGCAACCACTGTTTATTAAGCATCTACTGTGAGCTGGACTGTGTCCTGTGCACTTAACATTCATTCACTCATTTAATCTTTGCTGTCTTCAAAATAGGTTTTTTAAATCACCATCACTTAACAATGAGGAAACCGGAGCTCAGAGAGTTTAAGTAACTTGCCCAAGGTTGCACAGTAAAAGGGGCAGAATTGAGATTCACACCCAGGTCTGGTTAACTTCCCTAGTGGGAGGAAGTGAGAGCTGAGGTCAGAGATGACTAAGCAAATGAGAAAGACTTGTTAAAGAACCAGAGAGGTTTAGGGAGTGAGACAGGAAGAGAGGTCAGAACAGATAAATTGAAGCAAACTTGGGAAGGATGGATCCAGGTTGATTTTGCCTCACTTAGCCACAACCTGAAAATTATATGATAATCGACTACTTTTGCACCAACCTAATACTAAAAGCAATGATCCACAATGCCTTGCTTCCCCTAAAGATCAGGGCCTGACCTTGCAGCCATTCTCAGAGTCTGTAAGGAGCAGAACCACCTGGAGCTCTTGTCACACACGGGAGTGACATGTCCAGGAATCTGCAGCAATGGTGAGTAAGGTGGGAAGTCAGGTTTGGATGCTCTGTCAGTTACCCACTGCTGTAAACAAGCCAGCCCAAAACTTAGTGGCTTAAAACAGCAATTTATTTCCCACAATTCTATGGGTTGCCTTGGAAGGTTCTCCTGCTGGTGTCTTCTGCCTCACTCATGCAACTGCAGTCAGCCGGTGGCGTGGCAGGGGCTGATGGTCTCAGAAGTCCTCATTCCCATGTCTGGGACCTCGGTTGGGACACCTGGAATTAGTTTTTTTGCTTGTTTGTTATTTTTTTTTAGTTTCTTCCCACAGATTTATTTTTTTAAGTTTTTATAGAGTTTTTATTAGTTTTCTTTTTTTTAATTTTTCCATAAGTTATTGCGGTATAGGTGGTATTTGGTTACATGAGTAAACTAGTACAGCCAATATGGAAAACAGCATGGAGATGCCTTAAAGAACTAAAAACAGAGCCACCATTTGATCCGGCAATCCCACCACTGGGTATCTACCCAGAGGAAAAACAGTCATTATTCAAAAAAGATACTTGCACATGCCTGTTAATAGCAGCACAATTCACAATTGCAAAATCATGGAACCAATCCAAATGCCCATCAATCAACGAGTGGATAAAGAAACTGTGGTATATATATTCAATGGAATACTATGCAGCCATAAAAAGGAATGAATTTACAGCATTTGCAATGACCTGGATGAGACTGGAAACTATTATCCTAAGTGAAGTAACTCAGGAATGGAAAACCAAACATCGTATGTTCTCACTGATATGTGGGAGCTAAGCTATGAGGACGCAAAGGCATAAGAGTGATGCAGTAGACTTTGGGGATTTAGGGAGAAGAGTGGGAGCAGGGCAAGGGATAAAAGTCTACAAATATGATGCAGTGTATACTGCCTAGGTGATAGGTGTACCAAAATCTCACCACTAAAAATCACCACTAAAGGACACTTGGAATTTGAGCCCTCTCTGCACATAGTTTTTCATCCTGGGCTTCTTCATAGCAGTGCAGTGGCCTCTGGGTTTCCAGAGGGCCAGGACAGAAGCTGTACAGCCTCTTAAGAACTTGCTTGGAGACCACCCAATATCATGTCTATCACTTTTTCTTGGTCAAAGCAGATCACAGGGCCAGCCTAGATTTAGGGGCTGGGGAAAATAGACTCCACTGCTTGATGGCAGAAGCTGCAAAGTTATTTGTAGCCATTTTTAATCCACCACAGTTGTTAAGCTGGAAATAGGATCCAACCACGTTTCTAAATTTTTACTATTTATGAAATATTTATGCCCTGACTTGTCAGGACTCCTTCAAGTGCAAGTGACAATAAACAAATTGATTTAAGAAAAAATAGGCTGTGCTCAGTGGCTCGCGCCTGTAATCCCAGCACTTTGGGAGGCCAAGCAGGAGGATCACTTGAGCCCAGGAGTTCAAGCCCAGCCTGGGCAACATAGTAAGACTCGATTTCTGCAAAAAAAAAAACAAAAACAAAAAACAAACAACAACAACAAAAAAACGAGCCACCCATAGTGGAACTTGCCTATAGCCCCAGCTACTAGGGAGGCTGAGGTGGGAGCATCACTTGAGCCCAGGGGATCAAGGCTGCAGTGAGCTGTGATTGCACCACTGTGCTCCAGCCTGGGTGACAGAGCAAGACCCTGTCTCAAAAAAAAAAAAAAAAAAGGAAAAAAAAAAAAAGAAAGAAAGAAAGCATTTATTGTCTTATCTTATTGGAAAATGTAAAAGCCAACCAGCTTCAGGCATGACTGGATCCAGGAGCTTGAATGATCAGCTTCCCCTCCCCCGCTATCAGTTTCTCCACTGTTTCCCTCATAGTTTTGCTTTTGCAGCAGGCTGGCTTCTTATGTTGGAAAACATGACTGTAGACAAACTGAAGTCTGTAAGTTTAAAGTTTATGATCCAAAAGGAAGCAAGAGCTTCTTCCTCTTTTAAGTAATACATGAAATCTCTGAGAAAATGCCAATTGACCAGGCTGGGTCAATTGCAGGTGGGACAGGAAGGCAGGTGGGACAGGAAGGATCAGGGCACATAACTGACCCTCCTACCAAGACCGTGTGGAAGGGTCAGGGGTGCTCCCTCAAGGAAGTCACAGGGTCCCCACCAGAAAGGCAGGAACCATAGCTGTGCACCATAAGCTGCAGGCTTCTCTGTACTTCAGTGCCCAGCACAAGCGTGGCACACAGTAGATGCTCAATACATGTTTGTTGTGTGGATATTGAACAAACACCTGGCTGGAAATGGAGCCCTCGGGTAACTCATATTGGATAAGGCAAAGGGCTGCCCCAGAGCATGGACTCTGTTTGAGGCTGTCCTTTGAAATGTTGCCACAAGCACTCACAGGGACCCAATGACAGACCCTGGTCAGCAGTTGGGCTCCATCATGACCAAAACCCTGTGGTTCCCCAGGTTAGCAAGCTAGAAGGTCGAGCTCTCCAGGCAATGAGCTGGCCTAGAAACTGCCCACCCGCTTCCTTCCCACCAGTGGAAAATTGCATGGAGAGCAGTTTCCTCTCAAAGTAACTGATCAGGAACTCTGTAGCTGCCTATGAATCACATCGGGGAATTTTTGTTCTCAATCTTCCTGATATTTTATTGATGCGTTCTGGTGAGAAGTTTGGGGGATTTTTTCCCCCTTTTTTGGGAAACCTAACAAATTCTTCGGCTACGGTGCTTTTTCTTTTGGAGAGATGGGGGACTGGGTTAATGATACCTGTGGGTACAGCCTGCCAAGCCCAAAGTTTTTTCCAGCCTGAAATTTACAAGAGCCTATATACATAAATCACCATTCCCCTCTCATTTATTTTTCATGACTCAGTTACCTGGAATAAATTTTTATGTGAATAACCAAAAGAGCCAGGGAATAACAGAAGAGAGGAAAGGGGAAAAGCTATTTCAGAATGTATTAAATTTGTAAAGTTAAATAGCCCCATTATAGTCAGAATGTGGTTGAATAGAGTCATTTCCTTAATTACCTTTCCTTCGTCCCCAGATGTTAGACTGAGGCCTGGTAAGTTGATTCCTAAAAATATTATAAATAAACTTTTTGGCAACAAAAATTCCCAAGTGGGATGGTGGTTCTTAATATGAAAGTATAATTTTAGGGGAAAGGAAAGTTTCTGTCGCTCTAAGGTATACACATGACTTATAGAAGTCTGTATGCAAGTAATCATTTTAACCAAACTCTTGTCTCTATG
The DNA here is from genome assembly GCF_000001405.40 of Homo sapiens. Lineage (NCBI taxonomy): Eukaryota > Metazoa > Chordata > Mammalia > Primates > Hominidae > Homo > Homo sapiens. Next base: position 15,300,750 of record NC_000001.11, read on the forward strand.
AGTTGCCAAGTGACAGAGAGCCTCAAAGTCTGCCTTTTCCCTGCCTGCCTGCCCTTACTTTCCCAAAATAATTACACTATAATTTTCCTACCTTTTTTTGAGACAGTTTTGCTCTTGTTGCCCAGGCTAGAGTGCAATGGCATGGTCTGGGCTCACTGCAACCTCTGCCTCCCGGGTTCAAGCGATTCTCCTGCCTCAGCCTCCCAAGTAGCTGGGATTACAGGCGCTTGCCACCACACCCAGCTAATTTTTGTATTTTTAGTAGAGACAGGGTTTCACCATGTTGGCCAGGCTGGTCTCGAACTCCTGACCTCAGGCGATCCACCCATCTTGGCCTCCCATAGTGCTAGGATTACAGGCGTGAGCCACCGCACCCGGCCCCTACTTTTTTTTAATGGGCTCAGCCTCACACCTAGGCCCACACCTAGTAAGCCTCCCATCTGATCTCTACCCAGGATGAAATAATTCTGCTGCTGGGAAAAGAGGTCAGCCGTCTCTCAGATTATGAAATTGAATCCAAATACAAAGACGTCATAATAGCAAACCTGCAGAATGAAGTGGCTGAGCTGAGTCAGAAGGTGTCAGAGACCACCACCTCCAGGCAGAATGAGAAGGAGATCTCGCAGAAGTGTCAGGTTCTGGATGAAGACATCGATGCCAAACAGAAAGAGATCCAGAGCTTGAAAAGCCAGGTAGGCAGAGCCTGAGAGGTACAGCACAGCTCTCAGGCCAAGGCCCGGGAGGCCCCAGGACCACCAACCAAGGTGAGCCACCCAGAGTTAGGGAACGCGTGGTCAGTGGAGCATGGTGGTTAAGAACACAAATCCACAAGACTGGGAGATTCGGCAGTTTCCTAGCATGGTAAGAACAAGATCAGCCTTTGTTCAGCACTGGCCATGTGCAAGAACTAGTGCAAAGCGCTTTAGATTAACTTATTTAAACCTCACAATCCTCTGACACATCCATTCTACAGATGAAGGGTCTAAGGCAGGCCCAGGCCGGGCGCTGTGGCTCACACCTGTAATCTGGCACTTTGGGAGGCTGAGGCAGGCAGATCACTTGAGGTCAGGAGTTTGAGACCAGCCTGGCCAATATGGTGAAACCCTGTCTCTATTAAAAATACAAAAATTAGCCAGGCGTGATGGTGCATGCCTGTAATCCCAACTACTTGGGAGGCCGAGGCTGAACCTGGGAGGCAGAGGTTGCAGAGAACTGAGATGGCGCCACTGCACTCCAGCCTGGGTGACAGAGTGAGACCCTGTCTCAAAAAGAAAGAAAGAAAAAAGTCTAAGACAGGCCCAGAGACACCCAGGAACTGCTTACAGCTTGCACAGCACGTGAGAGGTGGCAGTGCAATTTGAACTCAGGTCCGCCTTCTCGCAGACCCCATGTTCTCACCTCGATTTCCTATTTCCCCACAATGCTGTCACTTCAGTAACCGCGTCTCACCCAAATCCAGCCCCAGCCAGAGAGAGCTATGGGAAGTTAGCTAAGTGGGGAGAAGGAACTGCCCGGTGTTCCAAACACAGAGGCCTTTACCAAACCCTGAAGGCAGTTAGTTACTGGTTCACTTATAGGGAATTTCATCAAACAAAAATTCTTCACCTGGAATTTCTGAATTTACCAGTCATGTACGTTTCTCTTGAAACTTGATTCAAATTCTTTTTTTTTTTACTTTAAGATTGGTCAGTGATGGCTGGGCGCGGTGGCGCACGCCTGTAATCCCAGCGCTTCGGGAGGCTGAGGCAGGCAGATCACAAGGTCAGGAGATCAAGACCATCCTGGCTAACACAGTGAAACCCCGTCTCTACTAAAAATACAAAAAATTAGCCAGGTGTGGTGGCGGGCGCCTGTAGTCCCAGCTACTCGGGAGGCAGTAGAATGGCATGAACCTGGGAGGCAGAGCTTGCAGTGAGCCAAGATAGCACCACTGCACTCAGCCTGGGCGACAGAGCGAGACTCCGTCTCAAAAAAAAAAAAAGTGGTCAGTGATATTGTATATCAGTCAACAAAGTTGTTAAAAGAGTAATGGGCCACTGGTGAATTTCACCCTCAGTGCATCATGCTGGTTAAACTGTGGACATGCCTGGGGCCTCTGTTCGCCGATTCACTGCTTTTGGCCTCTGCCTTCTGTACCCAGTTCAGGGTGCACAGTTTCAGCCCTGGAAAAAGCCTAGGTTAGACATGGTGAACCTCGAAGAGTCTTTCCGGGACTATAAACTCCACAAGGGCAAGGGCTGGGCCTAGTTACCTTCCAGAATAGGACAGTGTCTGTTCATTCATTCATTCATCCACTCATTCGTTCATTCAAACGTTTGTTGAGTGACTACCCAGTGCCAGGCCCTCTTTTGCGCTCTGGGAATTCGGCAGAGAACAAGGTTGACCTGATCCTTGTCTTCTTACAGTTGTGTTCCAATGAGGGGGACAGAGTAGACAACAAAACAGACAAATATATGCCCTAATATTGAGGCAGTGACCCTCCTTCAGACCTGTTTTTGAAAGAGCAATGAAAGGAGCTGGTCCTATAGGAAATACTGCTGCAGACAGCTGCCTGGACATGTCTCTAACTCCTTGAGGAGCCTCTTTCTCTTCTCATCTGAACCCAGTTTTGCAACCAGATCTCCATCTTTTTCAGTAACTCTCCCATTTCAGAGCTTTCCTGCACTAAGTGAAGTGTCTTGTCCAGATACAAGGTTAAGGATGAGTAACTGTCACATCTCTTTGAGTCTGTGTCCACATTTTGGGTATTGTTTAAAGTGCTCACATTATCTGGAAATTTATCTTTCACCGTGAAATTATCTATAAATAATTACTCTGTAGCCGGGCGTGGTGGCTCACGCCTGTAATCCCAGCACTTTGGGAGGCCAAGGCAGGCGGATCACCTGAGGTCAGGAGTTCGAGACCAGCCTGGCCAACATGGCGAAACCCGTCTCTACTAAAAATACAAAAGTTAGCCAAGCGTGATGGTGCGTGCCTGTAATCCCAGCTACTTGGGAGGCTGAGGCAGGAGAATCACTTGAACTTGGGAGGTAGAGGTTGTAATGAGCAGAGATCATGCCACCACACTTTAGCCTGGGCAACAGAGTGAGACTCTGTCTCAAAAAAAAAAAAAAAGAAAGAAAGAAAGAATTACTCTGACTTATTAATACTCCTCCCCCCACTTTGATCTTGGCTCATAATTGAAAGATGATACTTTATAACAAAGCATCTCTGAGCTAAAGGATGCAGTTGGTCTGAATCCAAATCAAGTTTCATCTGCTCACATTTTAGTCTCTTAAATATTCTATTGCCAACAGAACATTCAAGCAGACGTACAAGCCACATGGCAGGTTGATTTATTGTTCTGATTACTTTATTCTCCTGGGTCTCCTGAAAGTGTGTGCATAACGATTTGCTCTCAAAGCCCTTCGATCTGATACAATACCCCAAGACAATGCGTACCGCCATGCGGCCTGCACTGCCTGTGCTAATTAGAAGCTGAATTAGTATCTTAAAGCAATCAGTCTTCCTAGCACTATTAACTTTCTTATGACCCAGTGCCCATTTTATTACACAGTGTAATAGGCACTAACACCTGGGGATTTATGCCAATTATAGACAATATGGATATTTATTTTGGTCATGAAATTGATGAAGATGTTTGAAGACTACTTGGAGTTTTCCCACAGTCTGATATCCTAAAGCTCTGGTACTTAGATTGAAACATTTCCTATCTGTCAGACAGCACTGGAGTCTGGGGGATGTATTTTCCCATCCCTTCTGGAAGTTTCTCTCTGTGTTGTGCCTCTGGTATACAAACAAAAGCATTAAGCTGAGAAGAGCTGTAACTTTTTTAAAAAAAAATTCCAAGTGCCTTTTTATGGGAGAGTTGCATGTCCCCACAGAAAACAGGAAGAGGTGAAATAATTTTTTTCACTCCAAGTTTCCGAAGTGGAGACCTGCGCAAGTATGGCCTTGGAGAGGGTTGGGACATTGCAGCCCATGTCCCTCCATCTTCTAGTGAGCACCCCTTCTCCAGTGTCTCAGATGCCCCAGGGAAGATGTGACTGGTGCACGAAATGGGCCGTAGAAATTGTGAAACCTTGATCCTTCTGTTAATTCTACCACCGAGTCATAGCCACAAGGTTTTCAGGGACAGACACTAAAAACAGACTGTGAGCGCCACCTGGTGGCCAGGTGCAGGGCACACCGTATCTGCATTGTCGGGGTCCCCCCCGACTCCCACCCTGTCATATCTTATGATATGCCTGCAACACGATGAGATGATTAACAGGGATTCTTGCACTCCTCTTAATAACAATCACACTGGTGTTTAAGTGAGCCTAGGCAAGGCTTACAAATGCACACAAAAATACTATCAGTCTACCTTCCTGGAGACAGGCAAGAGAAGCAGAAGCTAAAACGCACCGTAGAATAATCAGAGCTAGTGTCTATGTGGGGAGCCAGGCATGGTCTATGTACTCTTACATGTACTAACTTATGAAAATGCTTTCAACAACCCTGAAATTACGACTGTCACCACACTTACAGAATAAAAAAATGGGACAGAATTGGTGTCCTCCCTACCTTCACACAGAGACGGATTTTGCAGATGGCAGTCTGGCTCCTGAGTCCCTACCATGCTCCACGGCCTCAGGCTGTTAATGCTGGTTCCTAGAGCCACGTGGAAAGAACTGGAAGCAGGCAACTAAAGCCTGGATTTGGATCGTAACTCTACCACCGACTGATCCGTGCAATCCCAAGCAAGCAACCTCACCCCTCTGAGTCTTGATTTCCTCACTTGCAAAATGGGAGCTGATGTGGTTTGACTGCATCCCCACCAAATCTCAACTTGAATTGTATCCCAGAAATCCCACATGTTGTGGGAGGGACCCAGCAGGAGGTAATTGAATCATGGGGGCCAGTATTTCCTGTGCTGTTCTCGTTATAGTGAATAAGTCTCATGAGATCTGATGGTTTTATCAGGGGTTTCCGCTTTTGCTTCTTCCGCATTTTCTCTTGCCGCCGCCATGTAAGAAGTGCTTTTCGCCTCCCACCATGATTCTGAGGCCTCCCCGGCCATGTGGAACTGTAAGTCCAATTAAATCTCTTTTTCTTCCCAGTATCGGGTATGGCTTTATCAGCAGTGTGAAAACAGACTAATACAGTAAATTGGTACCAATAGAGTGGGGCATTGCTGAAAAGATACCTGAAAATGTGGAAGCAACTTTGGAACTGAGTAACAGGCAGAAGTTGGAACAGTTTGGAGGGCTCAGAAGAAGAGAGGAAAATGTGGGAAAGTTTGGAACTTTCTAGAGACTTGCTGAATGGCTTTGACAAAAAGCCTGATAGCGATATGGATAATAAGGCCCAGGCTGAGGTGGTCTCCGATGGAGATGAGGAACTTGTTGGGAACTGGAGCAAAGGTGACTCTTGTTATGTTTTAGCAAAGAGAATGGTGGCATTTTGCCCCTGCCCTAAAGATTTGTGGAACTTTGAACTTGAGAGAGATAATTTAGTGTATCCAGCAGAAGAAATTTCTAAGCAGCAAAGCATTCAAAAGGTGACTTGGGTGCTGTTAAAAGCATTCCATTTTAAAAGGGAAACAGCATAAATTCAGAAAATTTGCAGCCTGATGATGGAGTAGAAAAGAAAAACCCATTTTCTGGGGGAGAAATTCAAGCCAGCTGCAGAAATTTGCATAAGTACCAAGGAGACTAATGTTAATCCCCAAGGCCATGGGGAAAATGTCTCCAGGACATGTCAGAGACCTTCACAGCAGCCCCTCCCATCACAGGCCCAGAGGCCCAGGAGGAAAAAGTGGTTTTGTGGGCCAGGCCCGGGGTCCCCATGCTGTGTGCAGCCTAGGGACTTGGTGCCCTATATCCCACCCACTCCAACCATGGCTAAAAGGGGCCAACATAGAGCTTGGGCTGTGGCTTCAGAGGGTGGAAGCCCCAAGCTTTTGCAGCTTCCACATGGTGTTGAGCCTGCAGGTGCACAGAAGTCAAGAATTGAGGTTTGGGAACCTCTGCTTAGATTTCAGAAGATGTGTGGAAATGCCTGGATGCCCATGCAGAAGTTTGCTGTGGGGTCGGGGCCCTCATGGAGAACCTTTGCTAGGGCAGTGTGGAAGGGAAATGTGGGGTCAGAGCCCCCACACAGAGTCCCTACTGGGGCATTGCCTAGTGGAGCTGTGAGAAGAGGGCCCCCGTCCTCCAGACCCCAGAATGGTAGATCCACCAATGGCTTGAATCGTACTCCTGGAAAAGCCGCAGACACTCAACGCCAGCCCATGAAAGCAGCTGGGAGAGAGGTTGTACCCTGCAAAGCCACAGGGATGGAGCTGCCCAAGACCATGGGAACCTACCTCTTGCATCAGCGTAATCTGGATGTGAGACCTGGAGTCAAAAGATCATTTTGGAGCTTTAAAGTTTGACTGCCCTGCTGGATTTCAGACTTTCATGGGCCCTGTAACCCCTTTGTTTTGGCCAATTTCTCCCATTTGGAATGGCTGTATTTACCCAATACCTGTACCCCCATTGTACCTAGGAAGTAACTAGCTTGCTTTTGATTTTACAGGCTCATAGGCGGGAAGGACTTGCCTTGTCTCAGATGAGACTTTGACTTTTGGGTTAATGCTGAAATGAGTTAAGACTTTGGGGGACTATTGGGAAGGCATGGTTGGTTTTGAAATGTGAGGACATGAGATTTGGAGGGGCCAGGGGCAGAATGATATGGTTTGGCTGTGTCTCCACCAAATCTCAACTTGAATTGTATCTCCCAGAGTTCCCACACATTGTGAGAGGGACACAGGGAGAGGTAATTGAATCATGGGGGCTGGTCTTTCTCATGCTGTTCTAGTTACAGGGAATAAGTCTCACAAGATCTGATGGGTTTATCAGGGGTTTCCACTTTTGCTTTTTCGTCATTTTCTCTTGCCGCTGCCATGATTCTGAGGCCTCCCCAGCCAGTGAAACTGTAATTCCAATTAAACCTCTTTCTCTTTTTTTTTTTTTGGAGACGGAGTCTCACTCTGTCACCCAGGTTGTAGTGCAGTGGCACGATCTCGGCTCACTGCAAGCTCTGCCTCCCGGGTTCACACCATTCTCCTGCCTCAGCCTCCCGAGTAGCTGGGACTACAGGTGCCCGCCACCACACCCAGCTAATTTTTTGTATTTTTAGTAGAGACAGGGTTTCACCGTGTTAGCCAAGATGGTCTTGATCTCCTGACCTCATGATCCACCCGCCTCAGCCTCCCAAAGTGCTGGGATTACAGGCGTGAGCCACTGCGCCCGGCCTAAACCTCTTTTTCTTCCCAGTCTCGGGTATGTCTTTATCACAGCGTGAAAACAGACTAATACGGGAGCATTCCCAGGAGCCTTCTGTGGAGAGGCCATGAGGCTCTGTTGAAGGAGTAGTGTCTGTGAGTGGGCTTTGTAGGTTCTAGAGTGTTCTGTGAGATATAACCTATTGTTATCATTTGAGGGAATTAATTTTATAACATGCTTCCCTCTCTTGAACTTTGCTCTGTATCCAGTCAGTACTGGGCGACCTGGAACCAACAGGTGATCTGTTTATGGCTGAGAGTCCAAAGGTCATCAGAAGGCACATTAAGAAACCAGGTGTCCCCAGTGGCAGCCAGGCCTGGGCCCCTTTATGGGCACAAAGATAAGGTTCATGTTTTGATGACATAGGAAGTGGTGGTCCTTGAAGGAACAGGCCCTCCCCTGTCCCTTCCACTGGTTAAAACTAAAAAGCTTGGTTTCCCCAACACCCCAGCCAAAACTCAATCTGAATCTTTCTGTCAAGCTTGTGAGAAGTACCTGTGTGTCTCCCAGACGTGGGCCAGCCCCCCTCTGACTGTGCCACCTCCTCCCACAGATCAGTGCCCTACAGAAAGGCTACAGCAAGGTGCTGTGCCAGACCCTGTCAGAGCGGAACTCAGAAATCACATCCCTGAAGAATGAGGGCGAGAACTTAAAGAGAGACAACGCTATCACATCAGGTGAGCCCTTGGAGTCGGGCCTGGGAGCTGCCACTCCCGCACCCGTTGTTCTTGGCCACAGCAGACATCACCAATCAACCACATACTTTTTGTTACTGAACTTGGCTGCAGCCTCAGAGTTCTTCCCAGCAGCCCTTTAGGCAGTTCCTGTCCATGAATCTGAGTTCACCCTCAGAGGTTTATGTGCCATCCAGTTCCTAGCATAGGGCCTGGTTTGGAGTGAGCCCTTGATAAATATTTGAGCAAATGTTATCTGTTAGCTAAAAGGCCTGCTGAGCATGGACCTCACCAGGGAACACACAGGACAAGCTGCAGCTCAGGCAGTCCCATGAGCCAGTTTGCTGTGAATGCAAACTAGAATGTGGCTAAAATGGGGTTGCCAGTTTAAGGCACCCAGCCTCTTACCCATCTCACACTGGTGCTCTTGGGCCGGAGCGAAAGCATTTTGCTAATTGAGAGGTAGCTGGATACTCAAGAACTTGGGTGGGCAAGGGGGCAGCCAACTCATGGCCCACCCTTGCCAGGCACAGCTGTTTCTTAGCCTGGATTCATTCATTCATTCATTCATTCAGCACATTTATGGAGCAGCTGCTAGATGCCAGGCACTGTTCTAGGCACTGGGGAGAGAGAGCCCTGAGCAGTCAAGATCCCTCTGCCCCTCTGCTCATGGGGCTCACACTTGGGAGAGGATGACAGACAATAAGAAGTAAAAAGATAAATGAACAAGCCCATACCAGAGAGAGATCAGTGCTCCAGAGGAAATAAAGCTGGACACCGTGGTGGGGAAGCACTCAGGGGGTGAAGTGAAGGAGAATAGCTTAGTGCAAGCTTGTCCAGCCCACGACCTGCGGGCCACATATGGCCCAGGACAGCTTTGAATGAGGCTCGACACAAATTCCTCAACTTTCCTAAAACATTATGAGATTTTTTTTTTTTAGCGATTTTTTTTTTTAGCTCATCAGTTATTATTAGCGTGAGTGTATTTTATGCGTGGCCCAAGACCCTTCTTCTTCTTCCAGTGTGGCTCAGGGAAGCCAAAAGATTGGACATCCCTGGCTTAGTGCCTGGGCAGGGATATCTCTGAGGAGGTGGGAGGGGCTGTCGGGAGGCCCCTGGGAACGGTATGCTGGGCAGAGAGCACAGGTGCAAAGGCCCCGAGGCTGGACCAAGCCACGGTGTTGGATCAACTGCCGGCGAGTGTGGCTGGAGTCAGGGAACAAGGGGCTATGGGACCTGGTGGGGTCAGGGGGGAGGCAGGGCCACATTACATGGGAGGGGTTCAGGTTTTCTTCTAAGTGTGATGGGACACGTTAGGGTTTTTAAGGCAGAGAATGGCATGTCTCGAGACCTGCAGATGATAGGGCCATGGACAGAGAAAGGGGGAAGAGAGAAAAGCAGGTGGTGGAGAGGGAATGAGTCCAGATTGGGCATATTGCTCCTAAAGTCCCCCCTGCACAGCAGGAAACATGCCCGTGGCTGTGAAAGCAGAGCGTAGCATTGAGTCAGACACAATCGCTGTCTCCGCAGGACCCAGGCCGCCTGGCCGTGGCTTTCCCTCTGCCTCACTCTGCAGTCCCCCTCCCCACTCCAGGCTTCTACCTCTGTTCTTCCCTAACATGGAATGTTCTTGGATACTTGTGAGCCCTATGGGCAGGGCTGCTCTGGGCACCAGGCATCCCAGGGGGATCTCGCTGGGCCCTGCCCTCCTCCCCAGCGTCTGTCCATCACACCCCATCCACGCTACAAGCCTGTCTCAGACACCACTCCTCTAATCAAGGAGTCAGACAGACCTGGGCTCAGGTATGGCCTGGGATGGGCTACACTCTCACGGCCCCAAGTGTGGTCCCTGGACCAGCAGCATCAGCATCACCTGGATCCTTGTGAGAAACTGGGAATTTCAGGCCCCACTCCTGACCTTCCGATCAGAATCTTCATTTTCACAAGCCTCCCGGCTGCTGCTTGTGCACACTTAAGCTCGAGAAGCACTGGGCCGGGTTACGCTGCAGTGACAAACAGTCCCCCAAGTCTCAGTGGCTCACAATAGACAGGTTCAGCTCCTGCTTCCACCCTGAGCCCATCATGGGTCAGTAGGGGCTTTGGTCATTGTGGCCACACAGTGACCCAGGCTCACAGAAGCCATCACAACACATCACAAACCCCATCTTCCACAGGAAGAGAGGCAGATGGAGGAACAAGGTGCGGATTTCCTCACCTGCCTGAAACAACTCAAACAAACAAACAAAAACCAAACAAACAGAAAAAAATGTCTGAAATAATGGTTTCCATCTATTGGCCCCAAGAAGCATGTGACGATGATCTGGGAGGGAGTGGAAACAAACAAGATGAAATCTACGATTGCCCCCGGCTGGCTTGCGCTGGAGAGAGTTTCCAGACCACAGCAGGGAGGGGAAGCCAGACAGAGCCCAGTGGTCAGCCCGACTTGAGGAGATGGAGGTGGAGAAGCCAGCACAGCTTGAGTTTGCTGGGTGGCGTGCCAGGCGGGAGGGGGCTGCACGGAGAGCACCCCGGAGATCTCAGAGGGTCCGCCTCAAGTCTTCAGCAGAGTCAGGTGTGATGAGCACGTGCATGTGGGCAGGGAAGGAACCACCCAGGAGGAGCAGAGGGAACCATCTCGAAGCCCACGTAGGCCTGAGAGTAGCTCACTTTCCCACCATCCAGAATGGGGCAACCTTGCACTACACAGGGCACCTGGTAGAGACTCAAGCCAAATTCATTCTAGAGAAAAGGTCACTCTGGTCCCGCCTCACAAAGCATGCAGGCAAGCCCCAGAGAGAGCAGTCTGTTTCTAAGGAACTTAACTGTGTCCCCGGACGAAGCTCATTTTTACAATGAAATTCTGAATCATGTTGTTCTTTATTACACATCCTTGATTGTGCAATAAAGATTGATTCTTGATTGATACCCACCAATAAAACTAGGATGAATGTTTTTCTAAGAAAAGGACCGTATGAGATAACCCAATACCACTGCATTATGCACCCTTCTTCTCACTTTTTCTCAATGTGATAATACAATAATATATTGACTATCTGCTGTCACATAAGTTATCCCAAAAAAGCAACAAATATGTTTATCTTACCCGGTTTCTGTGGTTCAGGAACTTGGGAGTGACTTAGTCTGGCTCAGGGTCTCTCACGAGGTTGCAGGAGCTACTGCTGTCATGTCATCTAAAGCCCGACTAGGGCTCGAGGATCCCCTTCTGGAATGACTCGCTCACATGGCTGTTGGCTGGAGGCCTCAGTTCCTCACCATGTGTGTCCTTCCCTAGGGCTGCTTGAGTGTCCTCACAACATGGCGGTTGGCTTTCCCCAGACTGAGTGATCCAAGGAGAGCAAAGAAGAAACCACAACATCTTTGATGATTCACCCTGGGAAGTCACATTCACCACTTCCACAGTGCCATATGAGTTACACACGTCAGCCCTATTCAGGTGGGAGGGGGCTACACGAGGCCAGGTATTCTAACAGGCAGGGATCATGGGGGCCATTTTGCAAGCTGGCTACCACATATACTTGTGGGTGGCAGGGAATAAACACTATGTGTTAGCCACTCTACTATGTTCTTTATACAACTCTGTAGATACAATGAGAGGTTAAATAACTTCTTCAGACCACTAAGCTAGGCTGGGCATTGTGGCTCACATCTGTAATCCCAGCACTTTGGGAGACAGAGGCTGGTGGATTGCTTCAGCCTGGGAGTTTGAGACCCGCCTGGGCAACATGGGCAAAACTCCATGTCTACAAAAAATACAAAAATTAGCCAGGCATAGTGGCACGTACCTGTAGTCCTAGCTACTTGGGAGGCCAAGGCAGGAGGATCGCCTGAGTCCAGGAGGTCGAGGCTGTAGTGAACCATGATCGTGCCACTGTACTCCAGCCTGGGTGACAGAGTAAGACCCTGTCTCAAGAAAAAAGACGACTGAGCTAGTAAGTGCTAGAGACGGTTTCCAAACTCAGATGAGTGTGAATCAACACGTCCCTTGCTGCCACAGGCCCATGTCGTGGCCCCTCCTGGTCCCTCTCTCTGCTGAGCCTTTGTTCCCAGGCAGGGCCGATGCCCACAGCACCCCGACAGATGTTTCCTGTCTCCAGCAACACGCACTGACTGACCTCTCCTTCTCACTGGGACCTTGAACAAATGATGTGCAGTGGATATTGGTCTCAACCCCATTCAAGCTCCTGGGATCCTTGGAGACACCTCCCTTCTCAGTGCCAGGCTCGTCACAAACTGGTTGACAGCGGCAGCGATGACAGTCATCCTCACTGCCTCTTTGACCTCTGCGAGTCTTCTTTTTTACAGGGATGGTGTCATCTTTGCAAAAAGACATATTAGCAAAGGATGAGCAAGTTCAACAACTAAAGGAAGAGGTCAGTCACCTAAAAAGTCAGAACAAGGACAAGGACCACCAGCTGGAAGCCCTTGGCTCTAGAGTGAGTAAGGATGACTGCGTCACCTTGTAGCCATCCGGTGAAAAGCAGCTAAAGTGAAGTCACGTGATATGCTTGTTTCATTCACCCTGGGCCCTTAGTTTAAATTTCATTCCTTCCTCTCACACCATTGTGCTGGGGGCGGGGTGGTGGGGGGGTGGGCGTTGGGGGCAAAACATGAAATGCCTACCTAGAAAAACTAAAACAGCTGGCCACATTCTTTGCACCTTTTCAAAGATCGGCGTGCACGTGCCCCAGAATAAGCAAGATGTAGCTTCAACTCCAGGAAACATTTTCTAATGCCCATTATAAATGAGTTTGGTTAATTCCAGCAGTAAATGCACCTCTCAGCTTGGCTATTTCCATGGCAAGGCTTAATATTAAAGCAGAATAGAATCACTGCATGCAAAAGAGGACACGGTGGGCTTCCCCTCATCCCAGTAACCACTGGTTTGCACAGTCACCTTCGAAGCAGAATGTTTGCAGGCCCAAGTGCAGTTAGACAGACTTTCATTTCTTCCCTTAGACTTTAGTGTGGGTAAGAATATTCTGTGTGGAGTGAACCTGGTAGGCAAGTCAAGAGCTGTTTAAAAGTAATTTTGAGGCCAGGCACGGTGGCTAATGCCTGTAATCCCAGCACTTTTGGGAGGCCGAGGCTGGTGGATCACACGAGATCAGGAGTTTGAGGCCAGCCTGGCCAACATGGTGAAAATCTGTCTCTGCTAAAAATAACAAAAATTAGCCAGGCGCCTGTAATCCCAGCTACTCAGGAGGCTGAGGCAGGAGAATAGCTTGAACCTGGGAGGCAGAAATTGCAGTGAGCTGAGATCGCGCCATTGCACTCCAGCCTGGGCAACAAGAGTGAAACTCCGTCTCAAATAATAATAATAATAATAATAATAATAATAATAATAATAACTATTTGCAAAATGTACCTCAATGCTCTGACTTTAGAATCCTGAACCTATAGGATTTCTCAGTATTTGTGAGATGTGTCTGTTTCGGTGAGTCAAGGTAAAACCTAACAGCTTTCATCTCAGGTGTGCCTGAAGAGTTCGCCAAGTCTGCATGGGCACCCAGGCAGGGTGGATCTGGGGGTCCAAGGATGAAGCAGCAGTAGTGACCTCTGGCTCTGACCGCAGTGCCCCAACTGGAGCTGGGGAAAGGCAGGACAGGAGCCCCGGGGGCACACAGACCAGGGTCCGAGCCCAGAGTGGGCTTTTGTTATAACTGATGTGGCCTCCCCTTTGTCATCAGCGAAATGGGAACAACAAAATCAGTTTTGAGAAGTGAGAGGCCGGTTTGCATTGTGCGCTTCCGCCTCTGCGGCTGGTTAGCCCGCCTCGCCCAGCCCTCTGCATCCGTCCCCCGAGCAGGGTCACCGCCTGGATTACATGTGTTGTCGCCCTTTCAGGTGTGTGGGTATGTGGGTGTGGGTGTGAGGATGTATGTGGGTGTGTGGGGGTATGGATGTGTGGTGTGGGGGTGAATGGGTGTGTGGGGATGTGGATGTGTGTAAGTGTGTATGGGTGTGTGTGGATATGGGTAGGTGTGTGTGTGAGTGTGGTGTGTGGGGGTGTATGGGTGTGTGGGGGTATGGATGTGTGGTGTGGGGGTGAATGGGTGTGTGGGGGTGTGGATGTGTGTAGGTGAGTGGGTGAGGGGGCGTGTGGATGTGTGGGTGTGGTGTGGTATGGGGGTGCGTGTGGGGTGTGTGGGGTGTGTGGATGTGTGTCGGGGCTGTAGAGCTGATGTTAGGTGGGAGAAATACGGAGAAACAGCAGCTCCGGAGCTCTTCTGCCCACGAAGTGCATTTGGGTTACTTGTGTCCCCATTTCCCTTCCCCGTTGACCTTGGAACAGGTCTGCCTTCTTCTCCAGGCCGCACCTGGCGTTCATCAGCACGTGGGCTCCTCGTGACCAAGGGTATTGCTCATGTGAACATCCGAATGACTGTCTTTATTTTTCAAATTACATGTGCTGTGTTAATTTTAGAATAAAAAGTAGATAAAACTGGAGAGCAAAATTAAAGAGAGAAGAGAAATGCCACCGCCAAGAAATCTATGTCAGTACTTGAGTGCATATTCCTTCTGTTTTGTTTCTAAAATTACCTGGAAAAAATATATCTGTAACAGATATATAACAACAAATTTACACTATATACATTTTTTAAACTTTAAACAATTACTGTTTCCTCACATGGATAAGAGCTTTTCTCATGGGTCTTTAAAGCTCCATGACATTCTCTTGTCTGTGCACAATGGAATCAAACAGCCCCGGGTTATCGGACATGGGTGTTTCCTTTTTTTTTTTTTTTTTTGAGATGGAGTCTCACTCTGTCACTCAGGCTGGAGTGCAGTGGCGCGATCTCAGCTCACTGCAAGCTCTGCCTCCCGGGTTCACGCCATTCTCCTGCCTCAGCCTCCCAAGTAGCTGGGACTACAGGCGCCCGCCACCACACCTGGCTAATTTTTTTGTATTTTTAGTAGAGACAGGGTTTCATCGTGTTAGCCAGGGTGGTCTCAATCTCCTGACCTCATGATCTGCCCACCTCGGCCTCCCAAAGTGCTGGGATTACAGGTGCAAGCCACCGCGCCCAGCCGGGTATTTCCTTTTTGTTCACTATGGCTAACAATACTCTCAAAAACATCCCTGAACCTACAGACTTGCTGATTTGCCCAGCCATTGTCCTTATACATTCTTAAAGCAGAATTTCTGGGTCAAAAAGGAGGCCCATTATATATGTTCTTAATGCCCGTTGCCAAATTGCCCTCCAGAACGGCTGTTCCATTTTCACCGCCGCTCCCAGGGCAGTGGTGTCTTGGAGGAGTGAATTGCATGAAGCACTGAGAGCCGTCCAGGCTCGCTAGTGGCCCTCCAAGGACATCCGTGTTTATTCCTCAGCACAGACTCTCCAAAGCTGGATTTTCCTTGTGGTTTAGATTGCTGGCTTTTGAAGATGAGAGTAGTGGCTTTATTCCTCTGATTTCCTGAGTGGAGAAGCAGGAACAGCTTTGGGATCCTGTGTGCCCGTCAGACACCATGGGATGCCTTTTGGGATCTCAGTGCGTGACTGGATGGAAACAGCAGGAAATGCTCTCAGGGGCTCACATGGGGCCTTGGAGCCCCTCCTTCCCCCGACAACCCTACCTGGCCAACGTTGGCCTCTTTCTGTGTTGCCCTTTTCTCCACAGTGCTCGGTGCTAAAGGAAGAGTTAAAACAGGAAGATGCTCACAGGGAGCTCAGGGAAGCCCAGGAGAAAGAGTTAAAACTCTGCAAAACCGTGAGTTGAGCTTCCTCCTTTGTAGGTACCACCAGAAAAAACAGAGTTTGACCTTGAGGTTCTTGGTGGGATCCTGGGCCATCACTAAGCATGAAGCTCTGGGGCTCTGTGCTTGCTTGTTTAACATAGTCTCATTGCTCTTTGATCTGCTGCTTCTGCAAGAAAGAGATGGGTGAAGGGGCCCCAGGATTCCCTGGGCAGTTGGCTCTAGCTCCCTCAAGGGTTTCCCCTGGGGCCAGGTTGGGGTTGAGACCGGGGACAGGGACAGGAGGCTGGCCAGCTGGCCACCACATGGTCCCCTGCCCCACCCCTGACCTGTGACTCCCAAACATGTATTCCACTGTCCCAAGTTTTATCCTAGCCACAGGCACCATTGTTGACACTTCCTGAAGTATTTTTATTTAAACACAACTATTTAACACCCACTTGTAAAAACAAAACAAGGCAGTGGCTCACATCTGTAATCCTAGCACTTTGGGAGGCCAAGGTGGGTGGATTGCCTGAGCTCAGAGGTTCTAGACCAGCCTGGGGAACACGGTGAAACCCCGTCTCTACTGAAATACAAAAAAATTAGCTGGGCATGGTGGCGGGTGCCTGTAATCCCAGTTGCTTGCTTGGGAGGCTGAGGCAGGAGAATTGCTCAAACCCGGGAGGCAGAGGTTGCAGCGAGCCGAGATCGTGCCATTGCACTCCAGCCTGGGCAACAGAGCGAGACTCTGTCTCAAAAAAAGAAAAAGTTATTTGCCTTATGTAGAAGGTAACCATAAAAATAAATACAATGAAAATAAGACCATTAAAAGTCAAAGGAGGTGTATTCCTGACGCCCTCCGAATCCACCCTGCACATCACCAGGTGTGCGTTTTCCACTCGGGAAGTTCAGCTTCTCCAACTTGCTCTTCCCCACGCCAGCACCGTTCCTCCAGGCCAGGAACATTTTACTCTCTGCCTCAAACAAAAAAGAAAAAACATTTCATTGTTCCGTTCTTCCAGACCTTGCCTGTTGAGTCTTCCAAACAGTTGGCCCTTTAGATTGAACTCAAAAATATAACCCAAGAGCAGGGTTTCAAGTGAGTTGATGGGTGTCCTGTAGTCCTTAATCCAGGAGCTGTACTGACTTCCAAAAGAAACTAATTTCCTTTATCCAGAACTTTTAATATATCAGTCGAAAAATAAAGTCTATTTTGCTGAGAGATGTAAAACCTTCCTCCAGGAGAAGGAATTAAATAAGCTGATACCAGACAAGGTTTCCACCTTAATGGATGGGATGCCAGGGGATGATGAGGGCTCAGACCTCTCAGCCAAGAAGGCAGCTCCTGCCCCCATCAGGGAGGTTCACTCTTGTTGAAACTTTTTCAGCAAATCCAAGACATGGAGAAAGAAATGAAGAAGCTTAGGGCAGAGCTGAGGAAGAGTTGTACTGAACAAAGCGTGATCTCTAGGACTCTGAGAGAAAAAAGCAAGGTACGTAGTGGACAACAGGCCCAGAGAGTGGTGTGGGCGGTAGCTCCCCACTCATCATCCCTGTTAGTCCTCTAAGTGGACTATGCTGGTATTAACCCTTCTTACAGCTGAGAAAACTGAGGCTCACACAGGGACAGGGACCAGGTTCACTGCATAAAGTAGTTGTGGCAGGACTTGAACCCAGGTTGGTCTGACTCCAAGGCCCCTGTGAGTAACCCCACTACTCCTCACTGCCTTCTAAAACTGTTTCTTGCTTTTTGGTAATGAGACCCACCTCTGGCCTCCCAATCCCAGTTTTGAGTTTCGTGTTGCTTAATTATTTTAATGTCCCTTCCCATCATGGGAAAAAAAATTGTATTGCATACTCCAGACCTGCGCTATCCATAACAGTAGCCACTAACCGCGCATGGCTATTTACATTTAAATTAAAGCCGGTAGCTCACGCCTGTAATCCCAGCATTTTGGGAGGCTGAGGCAGATGGATCACCTGAGGTCAGGAGTTCGAGACCAGCCTGGCCAATGTGGTGAAACCCCGTCTCTACTAAAAATACAAAAATTAGCCAGATGTGGTGGCGGAGGCCTGTAATTCCAGCCACTCAGGAGGCTGAGGCAGGAGAATCACTTGAACCTGGGAGGTGGAGGTTGCAGCAAGCTGAGATCGTGCCACCGCACTCCAGCCTGGGCGACAGAGCAAGACTCCGTCTCAAAAAAAAAAAAATTTAATTAAAAATAAATAAAACAAAACGTTGCTCCTCAGTTGCCAGCCACGTTCCAAGTGCATAGTAGCCACGTGTAGCTGGTGGCTGCTGCACTGGACAGCACAGATATGGAAATTTCCATCAGCACAGCAAGTCCTATTGTTTTAAATTAATGGTGACCTCTTTTAGCAACATAACCAATTGAAGAGTTGTATAAAAGATGCTTATGGATCACACATTTATTTTAATTTTTTTAACTGAAAATATCTTCGAGAGTCCTGAGCAGTGTGGACAGAATCTCTTTCTTTCCATTTGAATCATCTAGTTTATTTGATTAGAAGATGGTTGTCATTGAGAAAACTAAGAATTTTTTTTTTTTAATAAATAAAGACAGAGCTTCACTATGTTGCCCAGGCTGGTCTTGAACTGCTGGCCTCAAGCAGTCCTCCTGCCTCAGCCTCCCAAAGTGCTGGGATTACAGGTGTGAGACACCACGCCCAACCACAACTGAGAATATTTTAAGAACAAATCTAAAAGGCAGAGGAATTCTATGTGAAGGGAGGTTCTCAGGGATGATCTGAGAAATAAAAGCAAATAATCTATTTTTCTCCAATTTTATTTAATATGAATGTGAGTATAGTCAGCAGAAGTCAAATCATTAAAACCTCGTGAGCTGAAATGTATACTACACAAGGATCACATCTTATGGATAGTATTGAAGCCTGCAAAAGTTGGCCAGACATAAGTAGACTTGGCAGAAATAATTAACACAAAATTAAAATCAACAGTTAAGACTATACAAAGTAAAATTTATTTATCAATTAAAACTTAAGAGAAAAATCAAATATTCTTGTCCAGGTGCAGTAGCTCACGCCTGTAATCCCAGCACTTTGGAGGCCGAGACAGGAGGATTGCTTTAGACCAGGAGTTCAGGACCAGCCTGGCCAACACAGTGAGGCCCTGTCTACAAAAAATTAAAATAATCACTTAAAAAAATCAAATATTCTTGAAAAAGTTTAGACTTGTAAAATATAATATGGGGAAAATGGACATGGTAGAAATGAAAACTACAAAATAAAACACAGACAGACAGACCTGTGATTGGTAAATATTTGATAGGGTCCAGAAAAACTTATGGATGAATCAAATCATAATTGTATAATTTGCCTACAAAAGAACTGATCCAGATCAAAATAATTTCAGGAGACTAAAGTGAAAATGGAAACATTTGGAAATCTGTTAAACAACTGGCTTAATGAACTTTGCTCTAGAAAATACCCTCTCAATGAAAATGAACTTGCTATGGTATATTTTTCTTTTAAATAGTTGTAGTCATGAACATGGAGTCAAAATGCTCTCTGGGCTATCAATTTTTCTCTAAACAAGGCTTTGGCTGCATTCCACAAGTCTTAGTACGTAGTATTTTCGTTATTATTCAGATCAAAATATTTTCCAAATCCCTTTGTGATTTCTTCTTTCACCCATGGGTTACTATGCAGCTTATTTCCTAATTTCTAAATATATGAGGGTTTTCTGCTTACCTTTTTTGTTACTGATTTTTAGCTTAATTACACTGTGGTCAGAGAACATTTTCTGTGTAACTTCAATCTTTTGATATTAATTGAGACTTGTTTTATGGCCTGCATGTGGCCGACTGCAGTTCCACGTGCACACTTGAGAAGAATACGCATCCTGCAGTCATTGGGTTTAGTATTCTGTATATGGACATTAAATGAAGCTTGCCGATAATGCTCAAAACTTAAATGCTCTTGTTGATTTTTTTTGTCTGTGTGTTTTGTCAGCCACTGAGAGAGGCATATTGTTTGAAGATCCTAACATGATTGTGGATTTGTCTGTTTCTTTTTTTAATATTGTCAATCTTTGCTTTATATATTTTGAAGCTGTGTTAGTAGATGCATATGTATTTACCATTTCATTACTTCCTATCGAATCAAATCTTTGGCTATCACAAGATGTTCCTCTTCATTGCTAGAGATGTTTTTCCTTTAAAGTCTTTGTCATTAAGGTAGCTCCATCAGATACACTAGCTTTCTTTTGATTTGAGTTTTCATAGACTATCTTTTTCATACTTTTTATGTCAATCTTTATTTTACAATGTGTATCTCATGTGAACAGCACATAGGTTTTATACAGTTTGACCATCTTTGTCTTTCAGTCCAAGTATATTTAATATAATTGCTGGCATATTGGGATTTAAATTTATCTACTTGCTCAGGGCCAGGTGTACTACCTATGTTCCTTTTTCTCCCCATTCTTTCCTTCTTTTGAGTTGATGGGTTTGTTTTGTTGTTGTTTGTTTGTTTTTTGAGACAGAGTCTTGCTCTATTGCCAGGCTGGAGTGCAGTGGTGCGATCTCAGCTCACTGCAACCTCCACCTCCTGGGTTCAAGCAATTGTCCTGCCTCAGCCTCCTGAGTAGCTGGGACTACAGGTGTACACCACCATGCCCAGCTAAACTTGTATTTTTAGTAGAGACAGTGTTTCACCATGTTGGCCAGGATGGTCTCCATCTCTTAACCTTGTGATCTGCCCACCTTGGCCTCCCAAAGTGCTGGGATTATAGGCGTGAGCCACAATGCCTGGGCGAGTTGACAGTTTTTTATCATTCCCTTTGCCCCCGTACTAGCTTGGAAATGTTCTCTCTTTTACTTTTCTTTTAGTAATCATAAGACAATAGCACGCATTCGTGACTTATCAAAATCTAATATTTAGTGAGTTTTTAACTCTTACTATTTTAGTGGTTATTCTAAATTTTACAATATGCATTTTCAACTTACCAAAATTCAATATTCATTAATAATTATGTCCTTCTTCTTAACACAATGACTTAGAGATTGACACTTTAACTTCGCTTACCCCATCCAGACTTATATGCCATTGTTATCATTTTCTAAACTTCTCTCTATATTTGAAACTCCAAAAGACATTATTAATATTTTTCTAGAGTCAACATCCATATCTACACATTACTATTATGTGTTTTCTACATTTCTGATCATCCATCTAGATCATTTTTCTTCAGCGTGAAGAACATCCTTTAGTGTTTTCCTTCAGCATGGCTCTGCTGGTGTCATATTCTCTCAGGAGTGTGTGTACATTTGTGTGTGCAAGCACGTGTGTGCATATGTGTGATTGTGCATGTTTGCATGCACATGTGTGCATGCATGTGTGTGCATGTGTGTGTATGCATGTGTATGTGTCTGAAAATTTCTATATTTATCCTTCATTCATGAAACATATTTTGACTGGGTATTGAATTCTGCACTGGCAATTGTTTTCTTTCAGCACATTACAGATGACAGTAAGTCTATCATTCCATTGTGTTTTGGCTTCATTTGTTTCTATTTAGAAGTAACCTATAACCTAACTATTGCACCATTGTATAATCTTTTTGTATTCTGGATTTTTTAAATGTTTCTTTTCCTTTGATTTACAGCAGTTTTATTAGGATGTATCTAGGTGTGAATTCATTTTTATTTATCTTATTGGGGTTCGTATGGGCTTCTTGAATCTTTGGCTTGCTGTTTTTCATTAGTTTTGGAGTGTGGGCTGTGTACTACCTAGGCAGTGGGGAGCTACTGAGGCTCTTGAACAGGGAACTAATATGTTTAAATTTGTGATTAATAATAATGGTGAAAATGATAGCCACAATTTTGCATGGACTCAGCATTTTGCCAAACATTTCATCTCTTTTCATCCTCACAACTCTGACCTAGAAATTATTATGCCCATTTTATTATTTTTTTAATATATTGGAGCTTTTCAAGATGCCTGTTTACAGTTGAGGGAGTCAAAGCATAGAGTCAAGTCACTACCCAAAGGCACACAGTCAGTAAGTGGCAAAGCCAAGATTGGGGGAAGCCAGGCCTGTCTGACTCCAGTTACTGTGGCATAGCCACTAGCCACGTGTGGCCATTTAGGTGAAATTAAATATAATGTAAAATTCAGTCCCTCAGTCACATGAGCCACACTTCAAGTGCTCAATAGCCAGATGTGGCCAGTGTCCACCCTATTTGACAGTATGGAGTTAGAGCACTTCATCATTGCAGAAAGTTCTACCAGACAGTGCTGCCCCACCACTTGGTAACCCTCTCACAGGACCATGAAGGATGTTCTGGAAGGAAATAAATTAGAGGCAAGGAGGCGTCACGGCCAAAGGTGCTCAGGGCCTAGCCTCAGACCATGTGTATTAGTCCGTTTTCACACCGCTGTTAAAGACACACCCGAAACTGGGAAGAAAAAGAGGTTTAATTGGACTTACAGTTCCACATGGCTAGGGAGGCCTCAGAATCATGGCGGGAGGCGAAAGGCACTTCTTACATGGCGGTGGCAAGGGAAAAATAAGGAAGAAACAAAAGTGGAAACCCCTGATAAACCCGTCAATTTCGTGAGACTTATTCACCATCAGGAGAACAGCACGGGAAAGTCCGGCCCCCATGATTCAGTTACCTCCCCCTGGGTCCCGCCCACAACACTTAGGAATTCTGGGAGATACAATTGAAGTTGAGATTTGGGTGGACACACAGCCAAACCCTATCACCATGCACAGAGGAGGAGCTCAATAAATAAATCTCTGACAGCTGGTGCCAAAGGCCTGCTGTGTGGCAGTGATATGAAGAACAGGACTGCCAGAGCTGGGGCTGGGGGCGGGGAGGCCAGTCATTGAGAGGAGGAGCCAGAACAGAGCCCAGGACAGCCTCTGCTTTCGCAGCATTTGAAAAACGTCCGCCGAAACAGAAGCTGGGGTATGTTTACACCTGAGAGGATGTAAGTGAGGAAACTGAGGCCCAGCGAGCTTAGCCGGCCTTCCCGGGAAACAGCTCACTGGGGACTGGCTGCACCCTGCCACTCAGAAGAAAGCTTTACAGGTTGCTCTGGGTGTTTTACATGAAATCTGTGTGACCCCTCTCTAGCCCCCTAATAAACCACTTGTGAGGCTGTTTCAGAACAAAATCCTCTCATCTAGGAGAGTTTGTCTCATTTCCTGCAAGTGCCTGAGCCCTGGCTCAGCAGATGCCCAAAATGTTCATGGTTCAGACATGAACTGAGCAGC
The DNA here is from genome assembly GCF_000001405.40 of Homo sapiens. Lineage (NCBI taxonomy): Eukaryota > Metazoa > Chordata > Mammalia > Primates > Hominidae > Homo > Homo sapiens. The sequence goes on from NC_000001.11 coordinate 15,323,700, forward strand.
TGCAGGGTCCTGTAATGGCCAGCAGAGGGCAGCACCGAACACGCCCAAGCTCACCTCGAGTTGCCCATTACTCGAGCAAGCGGGGGAAAATGGGCAAGTTTCCCCACTTTAAACGCCTTCTTTTGCAGGCTACAATTCTTTACTAGCCATTGCTTAGCTCCCAGAGCAGTTTCCCTTGGTAAGTGTGCTAGAAGTGGTAGCAATAAACAGTTACAATAATAAACCCAGCAGTTAACATTTACCAAGTGCCCACGATGGGCGGCAGTTCCTTATGGTGTTAGGATGACTCTGTATAGTGGCTACTGTCATCCACCTGTTCTAGGTCACAACATCTAACACACTTATAGAGCCCTTACGAAGCGCTGTCACTATTCCAAACTTTTTAAAATCCCCACAATAACTCTGCGAAGAGGGAACTAGTATCACCCCATTTGACAGATAAGGACACTGAATCACAGAGCAGTGAAATGACTTTGCTGAGGTCATACAGCTTGCTAGGGACCGGGCTGGGATTAGAGCCTGGGGTAGGACAAATATTGAGCCCAGGGTGCAGAGCCCAGCCCTTTCCCCCAACGGACAGTGCCCCCCTAGCCTGGCTCCACCCCGCGCACGCCTGTGACCCCTGCCACATGGGCTGCAGCTGTGCCTACCCCTCTGGGACCCCCCACGGCCATTAGACATCCTAGAGGAATCTCCCCAGAGTGCATTATGATCACATTAGCAGCAAGTACTCGCTTTCATCGTCATTTCAGGTTGAAGAGAAGCTTCAGGAGGATTCCAGAAGGAAATTGCTTCAGCTGCAAGAAATGGGGAACAGAGAGAGCGTCATTAAAATCAATTTGGAGAGGGCAGTAGGTCAGGTAGGCATGTTCCAGAGCCCCCCTCATTGGCCCACGCTCTCCAATGATTGCACCCAAGCAGCCAGTGGGGGTGAGAGAGGAGGACGCCCAAGGTAGAAAGACAGACGTGCGTTAATTCTCCCATTTATCTCATGAGCAGAGGCTGTCTGCAGCTCCCCACCCCCATGGACATCGCTTAACAGGTTTCTGCTGCTGGGAGGCCTCCCACTCGAATAGTTTACGATGACCCGAGACCCGGACCAGGCAGCCAATCCCGGCTCGATGCCTGCCCCCAGTTAACCGAGCTCCTTGCCCCCAGTGGTGTTTCTAGCATTTTCTCCTTAATGTTTTTAGTCCTGACATTTACCACAATCTTTCTTCCCCTTGGGCCCCAGCAGACATTACAGACAGTGTCTATAAGGAAATGCCACTTTTCTTAATAAGGTAAAACCCTGGAGTGTCCAAAGTGCGTGCTGGATGGAGAAGCTCCCGGCTGTGGGTGAGCCACTCCGACCTGGTCTGGAGGTGCTGTTTCTTTGATGCTGTGGCCTGAAATCGCCGGTGGCCCTTCCTGGCAAATGTGACACAGTCATGGGGGCCGGAATGTGCAGACGAAAGTTTACCAAAAGCTAAGGGAAAGCAAACAGGAAACCAAGATGGGAGGGCATATGACCCTGAGGAATGTGGTCCCCCAGGGGCAGCCCACCCTAGATTCCTCCACAGGGGTCCCTCTCCTGGAAACCATGACTCCAGGGGATCCACAGAATGGTTTGCACACACACGTGTGTGTGCGTGTGTGTGTGTGTATTACTGGGAAGGAGGGCCCCCCATGTCTCCCACTGGGTTCTCAGGAGGGTCTGTGAACTACCAAGAAAGGTTAAAAGCCAGGATCTCTCAAACCACCCAGCTCAGCTCCCAAAGCCCTTCCATTTTCTACCATCCAAGCCTTACCAGGCAGTGTGACCAGGCCTTTGTCCCTGTACCCTAAAATTCAAATATTCACCACTGTAACCGCCAGCACCATTTCTCCTGTGGGGGCGCCAGCCCCTTATCAAGGGCAGAGAACCTGCCTGTCTGGGCCTCTTCCTGTGCACATTGGCTACCCCCAATCTTCCCCCTAACACATACCTGATTTGAGGGTCTGACCCGTGCTCCTTGCCCAAGGGCCAAGGTTCTTGTTATAGCTCTGGGCAGAGGTCATCCAGGAGGAGCCCTGGAGGTCCTGAGACTGCTCCAGGTCTAGACTTGAGAGAAAGGACAAGCCCTCTCTCTGCCTCCCAGTGCCTTCCCTCTCCTGTATCTCCAAGGCCCTGCTCCCTGTCCAATAGTCTGCCCTTCCCCAGCCAAGTGACCCCAGGCCCGAGGCCATGTCTAAGATGACCTCTCCCTCCCAATGGCCCTGGGCAGCCATTCCTGTGGGGAGCCCCTGATGGCAATGGGGGACCATCATTCATAGGGCTTCCTCTACACAGTCAATTCTTTGGGTGAGCTGGGACCCTCCACTTGGCCATGAAACCAGAGGATGGCTTTGAGAACCTCATGTCACCTGGTCTTCTCCTGGCAGGGTCACTGCAGAGATGTCCGTAAGACGTTTCCCATTAGAACTCCCCTGTGCAGTAAATACCTGTGTCTTGGGCCCCAGGTTGAGGCAGTAGCCCTTTTGGTCCCTTCAAGGCTCTGCTTTGGAGTATTTAATAACCACGTTTTGCCAGTGAACTGGAGACTCACGCCAGGGGCTGCCATGTTGGTAAATTCTCAGAGAAAGTCGGGCTCCTTTTTACCTCTAACTACTAATGGAATCAGGACACCTTGGACTTGTCATTCTGTAAGTCCGGACTTAATGTAACTGCTATTTCATCAGCCTTAACCTGAAAACACTAGCACCCAGGAGGGGCTCAGTGAAAGCCACTAGAAGTAGAGGCCCTTGGCTTAAGGTGATGTTTCTGTGTACAGGCATCCAGCAAAGGTTAGTTGGGTGTCTGAGTGTCTCCTCTACACCAGGCACCGTAGTAGGCTCCAGGGATACCGAGATGAACAGAGTGGACATAGTCTTCAGGACTCTTATGGGCTCAGGCATGAAATGGAGAAAGGGAGAACACTCTCCTCTCCCCGGGCTTCCTTGCTGACTACACAATTTACTTGGACTGACAGCCTCAATATTTATTTCACAGTCTGGTGCCAACTTAGCAATTACGGAAGAGCGCTCCCGGCCCCAGACTTCCCATTGGATAATTGGCAGCAAGAGGCTCTTCTGAGGGTTTGAGACATGTGTGTGCACTGACCACAGGCATCGTTCGGGTTAGGCAGGCGTGCCTAAAAAGTAATTAAAGCCTGCTGTTCTCTTTTCTTCTGTGGGTCCCGCCACTCCCCGTGAGCGGTGAAGATTCTGATAACGCGGAATGGTCATTCAGGCGTGCAAACCCTGCTAAGTGGTGTTTCCCGCACCCTGCCATGGAAACGCTGCCCCCACTTGCCGGCCCCTGCTGACCCCCTGACACTGTTGCCCCCTCTCTGCTGCAGCTGGAGCACTTCAGAAGTCAAGTCATCAAGGCCACCTATGGACGGGCGAAGCCGTTCCGGGACAAGCCCGTCACCGACCAACAGGTTAGTCTGCCGTCCCTGCCACGTGGCTCCTTCACTTTCCTCTTCTTCTTCTTCGTGGATCTGGATTCCAGACCCTGGGAGCATATGTTTCTGTTTTTGTTGGTGGCATATTTTTCACACTGTTGCTACACCATAAAGATTTGTTTTGATTTTATGGGATTTCCTGGCTTTTAAAGTAAAAGCCAGTTAAAACTCCCTTGAAATGTGTCTGTGAAAATCAAATTAAACCATTCGGGCTTACTTCTGGTCTCCAGACATGCATGTTTCGCCTCCATTAGCACTGGGAGAAAGGGAGCCGCCTCCCCACAGCCAGTGCGTTCTGGCGCGTTCCTTCAGAGGAGAAAAGTTGACAGTGGCAGTGAGGGTGGATGTCTGGCTGTAATGATTGCCTTGCTGTTCTTCCACTACACTTTCTAGCCCCCTGTGTCAAAGCACAGATGGGAAAATGTGCCGTGGGCTGCTCTCAGTGGGTGTGGGAGAACCTGACCTGCTGCTTATGAGCCCATAATATCAGGCTCAGTGTTCTGAATCCCTATACAACACAGAAGAATCTGGAACAAACTCAGGGCCACAAGACAGGCCTTTGGATCATAAAAATAATCTCTGATCGGCAAGGAGTGGTGGCTCATGCCTGTAATGCCAGCACTTTGAGAGGCCGAGGCGGGTGGATCACCTCAGGTCGGGAGTTCGAAACCAGCCTGACCAACATGGTAAAACCCCATCTCTATTAAAAATACAAAATTAGCCGGGCATGGTGGCGCGTGCCTGTAATCTCAGCTACTTCAGAGGCTGAGGCAGGAGAATCGCTTGAACCCAGGAGGCGGAGGTTGCGGTGAGCCGAGATCAAACCATTGCACTCCAGCCTGGGCAACAAGAGTGAAACTCCGTCGCAAAAAAAAAAAAAAGAAAAGAAAAAAGAAAAGAGAATCTCTGATTCTGGGACTCATTCCCTGGTGACAGGACCAACGTCCCCCTTGACAGCCATCACCAAGACATATCAGGACCTCTGTCCTCCCGTGCTTAGACAGGGACTTAAGTTGCATCTCTCCCCTCTCCCATTCCCCTTCCCTCAGGGCCCCCCACCCCTGTATGTTACATCTTTTTTTTTTTTTTCCTTTTTCTTTTTCTCACCAGTTAATAGAGAAAATTACCCAGGTCACTGAGGACAACATCAATTTTCAGCAGAAAAAGTGGACCCTCCAGAAAGAGACCCAGCTGAGCAACTCCAAGCAGGAGGAGACCACCGAGAACATCGAGAAGCTGAGGACGTCGCTGGACAGCTGCCAGGTGGCCCCTCCTTACGCTTTCCACAAATGGTCTCTTTGTCTAATTTTTGTGCGGCTTATTTGGGAAATTGCCCAGCTTTTTTGGAGCAAGTTGGGCAGAAATGCTTGGCTTTTCTATCCACTTTTTCCTCTTGTTGGAGAAACTTGTTGGAGAAGAAAAAACAAAGGGCCTAAAAAAATGCCTCCCGGGAGAACTTGGCGTGTCCAAAAAAGATGCCTGAGCATCTTCAATTACTGACTTTGAGCGGCCCGCATCCCCAGCCAAAAAGAAATTGTTTTCATAGCCCCTATGTTATTTCCAGAGAAACCAAAGAAACATTCCTGCTTTTTATTTGCATTTTCTTGTTTTGGCCCAGCCACAAAAGGCGGTTTCCACACCGTTGCTTTTGACTCTGGAGGAGCAGGGACGGGAGGACTTGGCCACAGCCCTGCGGCCCCCACCCTGGGACATGGCTTATCAGAGCAGGCGGTGGCTTCTGCTTTCTCTGGAAATCAGCAGCTCCTGTTTGGGGAGTTTGTGCAAATGCTGGCTTGTCAGCACTCTTTCAAATCAGGAAACCACGCTTTCCGACCAGCTTGTGTGTTGATCTTGGCAGGAATTCTGACGAATGGAAAAAAGAAGTAGCCACATTTGCTTCTCATTGCAGCCAAACTGTTGATGGTACTTTGGCTCTGGGGTTTCATAGACCTAAAAGGGGGTTCGCTTTGACCATCAAAAGTCCAAATTAGAGTATTAAAAAAAAACCTGTCAAAACATAAAAATTTTAAAAAAGAAAAAAACTGAGTCCTCCCAAGGCGGCCAATACGTGGCGCTGCCTGCTTCGTGGCAGAGTCAAGAACGCTGTTCCTCGAAGGTCACGTCAGGGGCTATTTCTGGCCACAGGGCCTGGGCTCCTCATGATCTCACCTCTTTGCAGGCTTGCATGAAAATATCCTGTTGCAGCCATGACCTGAAGAAGGAGGTCGACCTTCTTCAGCACCTCCAGGTGAGCCCACCTGTCTCGGGGCTCCAGAAGGTGGTGCTGGACGTCCTGAGGCACGCGCTGTCCTGGCTGGAGGAGGTGGAGCAGCTCCTCCGGGACCTCGGGATCCTGCCCTCCAGCCCCAACAAAGGTTACTGGGACTTTTTTTCTCACATGGTTGCATGACTCTAAAATGTCGCGTTGAATCTCAGCATGATGGGACATCTGTTGAGGAAGTCTTCCTGGGTATCTGGCCAAGTCTATTCCCTTCTCCAGAACCCCCTGCTTCTCTGCTTGAGGCGTAATTTTCCATTAAAAAAAAAAACACACACATACAAGTGAGACACGATAACTGAAGAAAAATGAAACAAAACAGAGGCAAAAGGAAAATTAAATCGAAATTATGCAAAGTCTAATTACGCTGTTTAACCTCCAAGGCATTTTCCCATGGAAATAACCGCGTGATTCCAGGCAAGTGACTTACCCTGTCTATGCCTCAGTTTCCCTATCTGTAAAATGAGGCTAATAGGGAGTACCCACCCTTTAGGGCTGTTGTGATCATTAAAATGCATGAATATATGGAAAGTACTTGGAATAGTACCTGGCACACAATAGGCATTACTGAATGTTTATTGACTTTTAATTTGACAAAAAAATAGTGTCACGTTACCCTCGATTTTCTTTGGTTTATTCCTAATGGTACGTCATCCATGTCAGTAGACACAGACCTACATCATCGCTGTTACCGACGGCAGTTACTGATTCCATTGTGTAGGATGTGCCATTGTTTTAGACAATCCCCTATCATGGGCACTTAGGTGATTTCCAGTTTTTCACACTCATAAATCATGCTGGGATGAACATTGTTGCACACATACCTGCTCATATTATCTTTATTCTCCTAGAGGTGGAGAGGTATGAATCACTTTCTTTCAACAAATAGTGATTGCATGCATGCTTACCAGAGGCCACATGTTGTGCAGGGCAGAGACGTAACGGGGTCAGGAACAGGTAGAATCAGGTCATGGGTATATGGTTCACTGTAAAATTCTTCCAATATGTCCATACATTTGAAATTTTTTATAATAAAATACTGGGGAAAAAAACAGGCCCTCCAAGAGCTTATGGTCTCAGGGGGAAGGATGAGGTGGGCATTAATGGGAAAATCACTCGAACAAACATGAAAGTTGAGTGGTGACAATTGCTATGAAGTGCAGGGTTCGATCTGGTCAGGGAGAGCAGGGCATCTGCAGGATGCATCGGAGTTGTTGCCAAAGAAAGGGGAGAGAGCATTCTGAGTACAGGAGCAGCGTGGTGGCAGGGGAGCATGGAGAGCACAAGGGGCTAACAGAAATGGGAGCTTCCCAGGGCCATGCATGTGGGGTCTCGCAGGGCCCTGATAAGAAGCTTTATTCTAAGGGCAGAGAGAAGCCTGTGAAAGGCCTTAAGTAAGGAGCTGGACAGGCTTGCATTCTGAGACAATCATCTTGGTGGCAAGTGGACAACGTCCTGGAGGGTGGGCAGCATGGTGCCCCAGGAGCCACTTGGCGGGCTGCCGTAAGAGATGACAAGGCCACCCTAGGGCAGGGTGGGGATGGAGAAAGAAGATTCAGGGGCGAGTAAGAGGTAAATCAACAGGCCTCAGTGGTAGGACTGGATGGTTGGAAGGAAAGTGACAGAGAGTCAACAAGACCTCTAGGTTTCTGGTGTGTGTAAAAGACGGATGTGATTTCTTTGCTAAAACTCAGAGCAAGGAATGCAGGATGAGGCCCAGGTTTGAGGGGGAAGAGGAGTGTGAGGTGCCTGTGAGACATCTAAGATGAGATGCCCAAGAGACAGCTGTTTCCCCAGGTGTCTTGTCTGGGGATAGGTAATAATGATGTATCCTCAGCACCCAGAGAGCATGTGCCACACAGCGGGGGCCTAATACATATCTGTGGGTTGGAGGGATGGATGGAAGGAAGTGCAGATGGATGGATGGACGGACGGATGGAAGAAAGGATGGATGGAAGCATTGGTGGGTGGGTGGATGGATGGATGGACGGACGGGTGGAAGAAAGAATGGATGGAAGGGTGAGTGGGTGGGTGGGTGGATTGATGGATGGATGGATGGATGGATGGATGGATGGATGGATGGATGAAAGGATGGATGGAAGTGTGGGTGGGTGGGTGGATGGATGGGAGGAAGGGTGGGTGGATAGAAGGGTGGGTGGGTCTGTGGGTGGATGAATGGATGGATAGAAGACAGGAAGGCAGGAAGGAAGGCAGGAGGGAAGGCAGGAGGGAAGGCAGGAAGGAAGGCAGGAGGGAAGGCAGGAAGGAAGGCAGGAGGGAAGGCAGGAAGGCAGGCAAGCAGGCAAGCAGGCAGGAAGGAAGGAAGATTAAAGCCATAGATATGAATGGTATCAGTTAGGAAGATTATTTATTCTTCAGTCTTGAAGAACAGCCAGAGAACTTTGCTCCATGTTTTGCCTGATGTCATGTAAGCTCATGACCTACATGAAAGTAACGAGAGAGAAGGGAAAGAGCACAGGGCCGCACCTTAAGGAACTCCAACATTTTGAAGCTTGTTGCTACTCCTTCTTGCCAAATCACCCTCCAGAGAGCCTGCATCAATTTTATATTCTTTCCACAATGAATAAGAATAGAGAAGTGATTTTCAACCCTGGCACTTCAACATCTGCAGCAGGATGCTTCCAAAGTATCCAGAAGGTGGGGTAACATTCTTAAAAAGCAAAAGCAAAACCAACATTAATTTTTATGTAGGAACCTTCCCCTCATCATATAGCAGAGAGCGTTACTGTTCTTGCAATCAAGGCAGAGTCGTGAGCTTACTTGAAATAAGGTAAAACATGGAGCAGAGTTCTCGTTGTTCTTCAAGACTGGAACTAAAACAAAGACCATGATCTCCATCCTGGCAATAATAGAGCCAAGCTACGTGTGCACTGTCCCCTTCCCACTCCCAAGACCATTTTAGTCATCTAGACTAAGTCTATAAATCTAGTCATATATTATTGTTAAGAAATGTGGGTTGTTGCCAGGTGTAGTGGCTCATGCCTGTGATCCCATCAACATAAGAGGCTGAGGCAGGAGGATCATTTAAGGCTTGAAGTTCAAGACCAACCTGGGCAACATCGTGAAACCCCTCATCTCCAAAAAATTTAAAAAATAATAATAAATTAGCCAGGCATGGTGGCACAGGCCTGTAGTCCCAGCTACTCATGAGGCTGAGCCAGGAGAATCCCTTGAGGCTAAGATTTCAAGGCTGCAGTGAGCTATGATTACTCCACTGCACTGCAGCCTGTGTGATAGTGAGACCTTGTCTAAAAATAAATAAACACGGATTGTAAAGTTAAGCTTTCAGGCCAGTAATTCCAGCAGGGCTAAGAAAGACTGATTTTAGGCAAGCATTCCTCAGACCAGCCATTTTCTTCTCCTGACTTCATGGAGTCGTGAGATTTGAACAACATTAAGCAGGTTTCTGCAGAATCCCTCCCTTGTTAACACGCACCCTGGGTCAACAAGAAGGGGATAAAGAAAACAGTATTTCCAAACTACTGGTCTCCTTTCTTGATGCCCTTGCCCCGCCCCCAACTAACCTCTTGGAATAATGTTCCATGGAACAGTCATTGGGGAAACGGTGGTCTGCTGGCTACATATTCTGTGATTACAACTAGTTGGTTCTAAGAACTCAGGAAAAAAAGAATAGAGAATAACAGAAAGTTCAGTAAGCAGGGCCCATCTTTTGTCCACTCAGCAGAAGAGGAAGTTGATGGTAAAAGGCATTTTCTCTTCTAATACAAGCAATATTACGTCAAGCGCCCAAAAGACTAAAAGAAAAGGGTAAGCTAGCGTATGCCCCATATTCTCTACTCTTGTACCTAATTCCTAGCCCAGAGCTAATCCAGAAGGAGGAGCGGGAAGAGGAAGATGAGGAGGAAGGATGGGGAGGAGGAGGGAAGAGGAGGAAGGAGGAGGGCGATGATGATGGTGATGATGGTGATTATGGTGACGATGATAGTCATTCATCACTGAGGACTTATATTCTAGATACGGTTCTCAGCATTTTATACACATGATCTCATTTCATCCTCACAGTAATTCTATGAGTTAATAATTTGCCCATTTTCCTCATTTTAGAAATGAGGAAACTGGCTCAAAGCTGGTTTTCTCATTACTCCACCAGGATAAGGTGATTTGAGGCACTTCATGTTACAGAGGCTGACAGGGAGTCCCCAGTCTATTCATCGCCATCCTGCACACTCCCAGGAGCTGCCTGCGTTTCTAGCTCCTAAGAGAAGGGTAGAAAGCATGGGTTGTTTAGCTCCTCCTGGGGATTTAGCACTGTGTTCGGTGTTTCACACGCATTGTGTACTTTTATCCTCCCACCTACCCAGTGAGGCAGGTATGATTACCATCTTTATTTTATTTATCTTTTTTTTTTTTTTTTTTTTTTTTTTGAGTAAAAGTCTTGCGTTGTTGCCCAGACTGGAGTGCAGTGGCATGATTTCAGCTCATTGCAATCTCCATCTCCCAGGCTCAAGCGATCCTTCCACCTCAGCCTCCCAAGTAGCTGGGACTACAGGCGTGTGCCACCACGCCACCTAATTTTTGTGTTTTTTGTAGAGACGCGGTTTCGTCATGTTGCCCAAACTGGTCTCAAATTCCTGGGCTCAATCAACCCACTCAACTCCCAAAGTGCTGGTATTACCAGCGTGAGCCACTGCGCCCAGCCTTCATTTGAAAAGTAAAGAAACTGAGACACAGTAACGTTAAAAAGTTGCCCAGAGTCACACAGCTGGTACATTAGGGTTAAGACTCAAACTGAGGTCTTTGTGACCCTAACACCTGTGTCTTCCCTATGACCCCCTGCCCCTTCACCCCCACCCCCTGCACACATACACACTTCCTCTGACAATGCAGCAATGTACCAGGCACATGCCCAGTCCCTAGAGAATGGGTGCTGTCATCGGCTCAGGCAGTGACAGAGCTAAGAGTTGTCTTTCCCTAAGCTAAACCGCATCTGATTCCTACCCTGAGCCATAACCACAGAAAGCCCCATTTGTATCACAGTGATGTTCCAAGCTGGGACTCTGGGTACCACTGCCAAGGCTTGAATTTCAGCTGTGCACCTACTAGCTGTGTGGGCAGTTACGTGACGTGGCTGCGCCTCCATTTACTTGCTCGTGAAATGGCCATCCAGTCTCCTAGCGGCATATGAGGACTGAGTGATGGGATACATGCATGGCAGTGCTGGTCACAGTTAGCTCGTAATCGGTGGGGGCTGCTGTCATCGTCAGCCTCAAATACTGGTTGACTTCATCTGACCTAAACATGGGTAGCCACCAGGCAGGTAGGCATGTGGACCGCATAGCCTGGTTTACTTGCACCCAGGTAACATCCTCTGGAGCCTCTGCCCTGTCTCCATTTAGCAGCAAATGGGGTTTCTTTAGCCCTAAGCCCTCAGTTGGGTTGAAGCCAAGAGCCCTTTCTAGAGGCCTCCTCCTTAGAATCTGACAGTGGGCCTCGGGTCCCGGCTGCCAAGTGGCCAAGCTGCAACTCAGTCCACGCCCCTCCAACCTCAAACTCCCTGCTCTTGACCACCAGGCTACCTGCCTTTTAGAACATCCTCCTAAGAGATAAAACACGCGTCACAAACTAGGATGGAAATCCTGAAACGAATCCCCCAGGGGAATCCAGGCGGGGTAAACGTCAGGGAAATGACTTGTGGTGTTGTTGGGAGATGTCACGTGCAGCCCACAAGGTGAGGCCTGCTGGGGTCCAGTGTGTTCGGAAGGGTGGAGGATTTGCTGTGTGGTTCAGCTGGGAGGATAAGAATGTTTAGGCGGCACCTTGAAAGTCAGCTGAATACTCCTCCTGCCTGGTTTCTCAGGGTTCCTCTGATAAGGGAAGGAAAGGATTTTTTACATTTTTCTCTGCAAGCTCCGTCGTTTGTGTCTATTTCTGCAAGACTTTGTTACAAATAAAAGACTCTTCTTGCATGCATGGCAAATCACTCAACTATCCAAGATACACTGTGTCTTTAACTGAAAAGAAAGCAAGTTGCAATACAATATGCTTGGTGTGCTTTTTTTTTTTTTAAATGTCAGTATCTGAGCAAAAGAACAACCTTGAGAAAAAGACATCAAACTGTTAGGAGTATTATCCCAGCAGGGTGGGATTGCACTGGACCTTGACTTCCATTCAGTTGTTCAACAACTGTTCATTGAGGGCCCCTGTGTGCCAGCCACTGTGCAGAACATGAAGACGCAGTGGCAAACACTTCCCACATTATGAATTTCTGTAACATTTGGGTTTTTATAACCAACATTTATAACTTTTGTAAACAGAAGTATAAGAAAGACTTGTTCCTTCCCCCAAAGAGCAAAATCCCCATTATGATTACAGTTAGTCATCTAATCTAGAAATAGAAATGTGATCAAATACTGGCCTCCCCTTCAGCATCCTCAGCTACCTCTCCCCTTAGTCCTCCTCAGATCCCAACCATGATTTCATCCTTCCCCTTTGATTCCTGGGTCACACGTTGCAGCCGAGCAAAATCCCAGACTCATCCCAACAGAGCCTCCACAAATCCCTGTATTCACCAGGTCCAGTGGGCCAAGCCAATGTCAGCCCGGCCATCTCACCTCCTCCGCCATCTTGGTATCCTTGCAATGCACCTCTCCAACGCACCAACCCAACCCTGTACTCTCAAGCCTCCAAACCCTTTGAAAAGAGATTGACAGATCTAGGTCTGAATTCTGATTCTAACACTTACCAGCTCTGTAGCTTAACCTTGGGGAGCTTCTGTCGTTTCACCTATAAATATGAACATACTTCCTTACCAGGTTGTTTATAATGATTAGAAAAACGTATCAAACTCTTGGCATAGCACTGGCACGCACCAGGTCTGCTATTATTATAATATTGCTGTTCTCACGCTTCTGTGCTGGAAATCCTCCGAATGGTGCATTGCCCCACACAAGAACATGTTCTCCTCACTTCCTTTTTCTCTCTTGGCCCACCTTTTATTCCTTCCCTCCATTATCCCCACTAGGTCTTCCTCCTACATGCAGCACGTACCCTGCCCTGTCTCCCCTTTCCTCTCCTTCCCAGGGACCTTGTGCACAAATTCTTCTTTCTTTGGCGTCAGCGGCCTTTCTTTTCCTCTTAGTTCCTTCCCTTTGCCATCAAAGGGGCACTTCAAGATGGCTGTACCATCCTGAAAAAAATCATTCTTCTCTGGAATCCATCGCTTCTTTCGCTCCTTTTCAATTGCTCTTACTCCTGTCTTCACCTGTGATCTTTAAGAAGCGTGTTGCACCCTCGGTCTTCATTGCCAGCTTCTTGGCCTTTCTGCCAAGTAACTGACACGGGCCCCCTGCAGCACTGACTAGGCCACCACCCTCTCGGGGACTGTGTCTCTGACCTGCCCAACGCTCTTCATTCTCTTTTTTGAAACCCTTTAGGCGCTCTGCTTCCCTCCTGATCTTTTCCATTCATTCCCAGCAGCCCCCTTCACCAACTCCTATCCCTAACGAGGGTGTTTTCTCCTGTGCAGTCAGCCCTTGGTCCACCCCATCTCCTTTCTCATGAAGAAACTCTGCACTTCCGGGCTTCCCCAGCCACTCCTATGTGTTTTCCACACGGACGCCTCTGCAGGAGGGGCTGCCAGGAAAGTGGTGCAGGGAGTCCAGCCAAGGCAGTAGGTGGGGTCCCTGGCCAGGGGCCATGGCCACCAGGAGGAAGGGGGCCTCTTTCTTCATTCACACAAGGACCCTGGATGGGCTGGGCTGGGCCGGCATTACCGATTGGCATGTCCGGCTCTCTGCTGACCCTCCCTCCCCAGAGTCCTGCCAGTGCCTCAAATTCAGCATGTCTGAAACAGCCTGGGGGCTCCTTCTCTCTCCCTGCCACACCCCACCGCAACCCCAACCTGTCTCTCTCCCGTCTGATGACGAGGCCACCATTCTACCCCTTTAAAAGGCTTTCCCTTTCTTCCCTCTCATCCTCACTTCTCCCACCCTCAGTTAGAGGATCAGCACTGAATACCTGGGCGTCTCTCGGGCCCTTAGCGGAGCTCCCTGCCTCTCACTCAGAGGAGGGGAGCTTATCACAGGCAACATCCAGGATCGTCTGGCGACATTTTTGGTTGTCAAAACTGGGGTGGGGTGAGTAGGGGTGCCCCTGGCATCCAGTGGGTAGAGACCAGGAATGCTACTAACCATCCCACAATGCCTAAGACAGCCCCAACAGCAAAGACTTGACAATATCAGCAGTGCAATACCAGCAATACGGCCCGACATAGCAGCAGTGCTCCAGCAAAGAAACCCTGCCAGCTCCAGCCTCTCGAATGCAGCCCAGCTATTTTTCTTTAAAAAAAAAAACAACGCTCTTCATCAGGCCACTTCACTGTTCTGTCAGCCGCTGGAATAGGAGTGACTCAGACCTCGAGTCACACCAATTAGTCTTGGCTCAACCACTGGCCTGCTGTGTGGCGTTGGGCAGGCCTGCGTCTCAGAACGCCACTGCCTCATCTATAAATTGGGGACCCACTGGGCACATTTCAGTCATGTTTAAATCAAGTTTCCTCTCTCAAGCCGACGGTTTCAGGAGTGTCACGGCTTGACCTCACCCTTCCATGCCTCCTCCACTGTCTGCTCCTCCCTCTCCCATCATCTACTCCAGCCCAAGTAAGCTCAGCACTTCCCGGGAGGAGCACTGCCTTTTCCAAATCCCACCCCCACCACCCCCACATCCCGGTGTGAAACTGTGGCTTCCTGTGACTATTGTAACAAATGACCACAAGAGACTGGCTTAAAACAACACATTATTCTCTTAGCATTCAGGATTAATTCAGTTTCACTGGGCTAAAGTTCCTTCCGGAGGCTCTAGAGCAGTATCCGTTTCCTGGCCTTCTTCAGCCTCTAGAGCTTCATTCCTTGCATTCCTTGGCTCATGGCCCCTTCCTCCATCTTCAAAGCCAGCGATGTGGCATCTTCCAGTCTCTGCTTCCATCACATCACCTTCCCCTCTGTCTGTGGTCAAGCCTCCGTCTGTCTCCTTATAAGAAGCCATGTGATGACATTGGGTCCACCCAGATAATCCAGGATAACACCCCATCTCGAAATCCTTAACTTAATCGTATTTGCCAAGCTCTTTTTGCCCTGTACGGTCACACCCACAGGTTCCAGGGATTCGGACCTGGAATCGTAGGGGGTCATCATTCAGCCCCGCGCACCCCTGTTCTGAAGCGCCCTCCCCCGGCTCTCTGAATTCTGCCCACCCAACAGCATCCACACCCAGTAGTTCTTCAACCAAGTGGTCTTACTCGCTCACTCCAGGTGAATGATCTCCCCCTCCTCTGACACCCTCACCCTCCCCTCTCCTTCAGCAGTCACTCACATGCCACCTGGGGTCACTGCATGTTTCCAGCAGGCATTTACACCTTGTCTTTCGGACTGAACTGTAAGCCCCTGGAGGTCTTGGCTTTAGACCATCCCCCACACTCAGCACCATGCTTCACACACAGTAGACAGTAAATAGGTGTTCTGTTGATGGGTTGTTTTCCACCTCCAAAAAGAAAGTTGGATGTGAGCTCAACCAAGGCTTATCAACTACTTTATTTTTATTTTTATTTTTTTGAGACTGAGTCTCGCTCTGTCACCTGAGCGGGAATGCAGTGGCACAATCTGGGCTCACTGCAACCTCTGCCTTCCAGTTTCAAGCGATTCTCATGCCTCAGCCTCCCAAGTAGCTGGAATTACAAACATGCGCCACCACACCCAGCTAGTTTTTGTATTTTTAGTGGAGATGGGGTTTTATCACGCTGGCCAGCCAGGCTAGTCTCGAGCTCCTGACCTCAGGTGATCTGCCCATCTCAGCCTCCCAAAGTGCTGGGGTTACAGGTGTGAACCTCCATGCCCAGCCTAAGCCACCGTGCCCGGCTGCTTATCAACTACTTTAAAACCACAGGTTGGATGGCAGCTCACGTTGTTTTGATGGGATGGCAACGTTGCTTTCATCCACCTGTCTGCAAGCTTTGGAGTTGAATTGATACTTACATTCTTCCTGCTTCTCTTTTTTTAAGGGTTCTCTTTGTATCTGATATATCTTCTGGAACATTATAAAAAACTTATGAGCCAGGCCCAGGAACTTCAGGTAATTCTTTTAATTTCTTTTTTTCCAAAGTTCATTTCGGCCCCTGGTTGGCATTTATATAGCACTGTGCATTTGAAACCTGTTTTTTCTTTATCAGCTAGTCCAGTCCACACCCTCCAATAGGTGAAATGATTTCTTCATTTGCACACAAAGAGGTACAGAAAAGGTTGGCTAAGATCTCCCAGGAGGGTAAGGACAATGACAGGGTGCTGCCCTCTGGCCTCCTGGGCCAACCACACTGTTTGTTTTCCTCTGTCAAAGGCCCAGAAGACTTAATGCCATCAGATTTTTTTTTTTTGAGTCTCGCTCTGTTGCCCAGACTGGAGTACAGTGGTGCAATCTCGGCTCATTGCAACCTCTGCCTCCCGGGTTCAAGTGATTCTCCTGCTTCAGCTTTCTGAGTAGCTGGGATTACAGGCGCCTGCCACCATGTGTTGCTAATTTTTGTATTTTTAGTAGAGACAGGGTTTCATTATGTTGGCCAGGCTGGTCTTGAACTCCTGACCTCAAGTGATCCACCCACCTCAGCTTCCCAAAGTGCTGGGATTACAGGCGTGAGCCACTGCACCAGCCTTAATGCCATCAGATTTTGAAAACTGTGTTTACTAAATCCAGTGGACAAAGTACAGCTATCTATAGCACAGGCAGCAGAATTACTAAAAGAAAAGAAATATTCTAGAGGCAAATGAGCTTTACGGGTTATATCATTCTGATAGCTATTGCCATAATAGTATTATATAATAAACAACCACAAAACTTCAGCGGCATTCAGCAATTGCTATTTACTCCTCACGTGTCTGGGGTCAGTGGCAAGGCGGCTCTGCTGACCTTGGATGGGCCCACCCACTTGTCTGGGTGTTAGCTGGCCTTTGGTTGATCTAGACTGGCCTCAGCTGGAGTGACTCAGCTCCCTGTGTCTCTCATCCCCCAGCAAGCAAGCCTAGGCTGTTCTCATGGAGACTACGAGGTATAAAAGAAAGTGGCCCAATCACATAGTGTTTTTCAACCTTCTGCTTGTGTTATGTCTGCTAAGATCCCATTGGCCAGAACAAGTCACATGGCTGAGTTCAGTGTCTGGAGGCAAAATATGGGCGGGCACTGCAAGTTACATAGCCCTAGACATGGATAGAGTGGGGTAAAGAAGGGACCACCATGCCAATCAGCCACAGAGGCTTGAGTCCAGGGATTGGCAACTTTCTCTGTAAAGGGCCAGATGGTAAATATTTTATGCTTTGCAGACCATATTCATACCTCTTCCACTCTGCTATGGTAAAATGAAAGTAGCCATAGACAATATGTAAGCAATGGACATGATAAGCATGGCACTGTTCCAATAAAACTTTATTTACGGCGGGCACGGTGGCTCATGCCTGTAATCCCAGCGCTTTGGGAGGCTGAGGCGGGTGGATCACCTGAGGTCAGGAGTTCGAGACCAGCCTGGCCAACATGGTAAAACCCCATCTCTACTAAAAATACCAAAATTAGCCAGGTGTGGTGGTGGGCACCTGTAATCTCAGCCACTCAGGAGGCTGAGGCAGGAGAATCACTTGAACCCGGGAGGCAGAGGTTGCGGGGAACCAAGATTGTGCCCCTGCACTGCAGCCTGGGCGACAGAGCAAGACACCATCTCAAAAAAAACAAAACAAAACAAAAACACCACCTTATTTACAAAAGTATGCAGTGGGCCCGATTTGGCCTGTGGGCTGTAGTTTGTCAACCCCTGGTCTAGTCCCTTCTCCTTATTTTTCAGATAAGGACAATTTCAGTGTCACACAGCTAATGGGTGAAGAATCAAGACAAATGTTCAAGCGTCCTGGCTCCTACATGACTGCTTTTTTTCCTCACACCCACCTACCACTTACTGAACACCTACTATGTGCTCAGCACTGTGCTAAAAGCTTTCCATCATTATCTCACTTAATCCTCACAACTCTAAAAGATCAATACTGTTATTAACTTCATTTTCTAAATGAGGAAGCATCTAGAAACAACTAGAGCTGGGATTCTTTCTAGATCCAGAGTCTGAATTCTTAACCACAGCATGCTGTAGTGTTCTGTGATTTTAAGAAACTTTTGGGTAAACCTTTGTACCCAGAAAGGTAAACAATTGGTAAACAAATGGGGAAAGACTCTTTAGTTAGGCCTGTCCCCCATCAGCATCGGTTTACTTTTCTCACATTTCAGATCAAGTTCAACAGTTCTCAGGAAACTCAGCAGTCTTTACTGCAGGAAAAGCTGCGGGAGCATCTGGCAGAGAAGGAGAAGCTGAACGAGGAGAGGCTAGAGCAAGAGGAGAAGCTCAAAGCCAAAATCAGGCAACTGACGGAAGAGAAGGCGGTAAGGTGGTCCCTGCCATTTGCTTTACTACTGGAAACTGATGAAATGGCCTTTTCTATGGGAAATTGAGGGCATGTACTTAGACAGAGAAATCTCAGCTACTCTGTTTGGTGCCATGAAACTAAATTAATTAAACAGGGTGAATAATTGGGGAGGATTTAACATGAAGTTTGAATTCTAAAACTCACAGCAAAATCAACTTGAAAAGGCAGCATGATTGAAATTTCAGGAAACGGTGCCTTGTTTGTGTATGTATTGCAGTCGGCTTTATGAGATCTGAGTCATCGCTGCAGGTCCTGGTTTGTAGCTGACAGACTGTTTCTAAATGTGCGCAAGATCAACTTCAGATGACAAATTTCAGTCTTTTGCTTTCTCTTTATACATATCGGGGGAAACAAATGGTCAAAATTGCTACTGACTTTTCTAGAAATCAAGCCAGTTAGAAGATAGCAGCATCTCTAAAACTCGAACGTGCCCATGAATTGTCTGGGGATCTGGTTAAGATGCAGATTCTGTCTCAGCAGGCCTGAGACGCTACATTTTCAACAAGCTCCCAGATGGTACTGACGCTACCAGTCTGCAGATCCACATTTTCTTAGGGCGAAGGCTTAGAGGAAGGTTTTCCCAAAGTTTCCTGATAAGAACCATCCAGATGCTTTGCTAAAAATGCAGATCTTGGTCTCCACCCTCCAGACCCATTAAATCAGAACATCTGGAGAGGGCCAGGAAACTGTATTATTTAATGAGCTGATTCTCATCACTGTCCTAGAGTTGGCCCTTTTTTTTCTTAAGATGGGGTCTTGCTCTGTTGCCCAGGCTGGAGTGCAATAGTGTGACCATAGCTCACCACAGCCTCGAACTCCCAGGCTGCAGTGGTCCTCCCACCTCAGCCTCCCAAGTAGCTGGGACCACAGGCATATGGCACTACACCCAGCTAATTATTATTTTTTTTTGTAGAGATGGGATCTTGCAATGTTGCCCAGGCTGGTCTTGAACTCCTGGGCTCAAGTGACCCTCCCACCTCAGTCTCTCAAGTAGCTGGGACCACAGGCACACACCACCACACCCAGCTAATATTTTTATTTTTTGTAGAAATGAGGTCTCTCTCTATGTTGCCCAGGCTGGTCTCAGACTCCTGGCATCAAGTGATCCTCCCACCTCAGCCTCCAAAAGTTCTGGGATTACAGGTATGAGCCACCATACCTGAGGGTTGGCCCTTTTTGATATTCAGGGACCCCTCCCATGAATTTCACTGTCTTTATGACTTTTGTCATTTAGGAGATTAAAAATTACTAATGCCTTGCACCTCTCCCCGCCGACTCTCCACATTCTGATCTTAGTGGGGTGAGGGTGTGGCCCCTGCTGTGGGATTTCTAAGCACTCCCGGGTGGTCGCAAAGTGCAGCCACGGTTGCGAGCCACTGTTGTGGGTGGGTGTGGAGCAGCGTGTGCATGCTGCCCCTCCTCACAGCCCCCTCAAGACAGCAGCCCCCCAGATCCACCGGACCCCAACTCTTCCCAGATATCTCCTCTCTTCCCCGGAAGAGTACTGGACCTGCCCCCTTCTCCATCTTTCCCCAGCTCCTTCTCTACCACACACACCTGCCCTCCAGACCTCTCCCTCTTTCATCTCCATCCTCACATGTGTGTCCAGTTACCCCAAAACATCAGTCTCCTCCTCCTTCTTCTCTTTGCCTCTTTCTCTGCTTTTCTGCATTTGCGAAATAAAAGATTAAAAAAGAAGAGCCATCTGACCAAATCATGTGCAATCCGCATAAAGGTAATATTAATGATAGCTATAAATCAAGATGGGCACATTTTGAAGGGCATTTAGATACGGAAAAAGCCAGCACCGTTCCATAGAGAAGAAAATAAAACCAGAAAGTACCTAGAAATCTTCAAAATCTTCGCAGAACTCTCCACCGACTTCCTTTTTTCTTCTCTGATTACCTTCTCCTTTTAACATCGGCATCCCAAATGCCTTATTTTCTCTTTTTAATTTTGGATGGACTTTTTCCCTTGTCAGGGTTTGGTATTTCAGCCCCACCATGTTAAACACTGCGTTGGGCGCCTGCCTAGTCTTCCTAGACAACCCTGGCGACACTGGCCTGGCAGAGTGTTTTAAGAGCTGGCGTCAGCCCCTCTTTTAAACCTGAAAACCTCGGTGCACCCTACCCTCCTTGCAGAGGGAGGAAGCAACATCAGGTCCCTGCCAGACAGACTGTGACACTCGAAGGTCGCCCTTCCTCTGATACTCGGATTGATGGACTTGACCCTGGGGACTCCTTGGAAAGTTACCTCTTGGACTTCAGTGCCAAGTGTCCTGACTAAATGAGCCTTCCTTAGACCTTCTGACTCCCATCACCTGCCCTTTCCGAAAATACATGTGTCCAGGGTCATTAATCTCATGAATCTTGACTTGTTTGAGGACTTTGTTTCAAAGGGAAAAAAAATTCTATGTTCCTTTATCAATCTAACATTCTTTTCTTATTGCCAGTTGTTGACAACAATCCCTTGGTTTGTGCACACACCAATGGGTTAGATCAGGGATTGGCCAAATTGTCCCATAAAGAGCCAGATAGTAAATATTTTCAGTTTTGCAGGTCATATGCTCTCTGCTCTTCTGCAAAAGCAGCCATAGACAATACACAGCAAGCACAGTGTTCCAATAAAACTTTATTTACAAAAACAGACCAGATTTGGTCTGTAAGCCATAGTTTGCTAACCTCTGGTTTAGAACACAGGCTTCAGAATCAAATGGGTCAGAGTTAGAATCCCTCCTCTTGTGATTTACTAGTAAACTGGGTGGATTCTTGAATGTAAGCCTGTTTCCTCCTCTGCAAGGTGGGAAGCATGGTTATCACTGTGCCAAGCATTTCGTGTTCATCGTCGCATCCACCCCTCACATCAACCCAACACAGGAAGACTATTACTGTCTCCGTTGTACAGGCAGGGAAACTGAGGCTCTGGTAGCTTCACTTCCCCAGTGCCTTACAGCTGGAAAGGATCAACCTGGGGCTCTACCCTGGGTCTCCTGACTCCAGAGCACATGCTCTGAGCTCCTAGGCTCTGCTGCCCACAGCCTCCCCAGGGGAGTGCGGTGAGGAGTGAAGAGGTAGCACATGCAGTGCCTGGCAGCGTCCAAATTCCTGCCATGGTAACCATGTCTGTTAAACAATGGTCATTGGTTTCCAGGCTTTGGAGGAGTACATTACTCAAGAGAGAAACAGAGCGAAAGAGACTTTAGAGGAAGAACGGAAGAGAATGCAAGAACTGGAGAGCCTCCTGGCCCAGCAGAAGAAGGTATGTGGCTCAGGGAGACAGAGTCAGCTCGAGCCCCACTGCAGCTAGGAAGGGTGGATCTGGGGCTCTGGTCTGGGCCCGCCGGCTCTGAGCTCCAGGGCTGTGCTGTCCACAGTCCCCTAGGGAGGTGTAGTCTGGAGGGAAGAGGAAACCTGTGCGGTGCCTGGCAGAGTCCAGTTTCCTCCCATGGTAACCATGTCTATTGAACAATGATCGTTGACTCAGGCTTTGGCGAAAAGCATTACCCAGGAGAAGAACAGAGTGAAGGAAGCATTAGAGGAAGAGCAGACAAGAGTCCAAGAGCTGGAGGAACGCTTGGCCCGCCAGAAGGAGGTACGCTCGGGGAGATAGAGTCGGCTGAGCCCCAGTCGGCTTGAGGGCCATGTGGAAGGAAGTTCAGAGCGGCGATGATGGGGGTGAGATCGTGGTGGAGCCTTCCTCGTGGAGTTTGCGTTTGGGTGGGCTCAGCTACTTTGGGAAGCGTGGGAGACTCAAGGAGGGAACCCTGGAGTTGTAGCCTTGACAACCAGTTGGGAAAAAATTGTAAACAGTGTAAAACACAGTCAGAGAGAGAGAGCGCTTGGGAGACAAGTAGGAATGGTGACATGGGCGTCTTCTGTGTTCCAAAGCACAGAAACGGGAGAATGACAGAGTCATGGGACCTCAGGGCTGCGTGGACCCTCCACCAGCATCCTAAAAGCCTCCAGCCTTCAGCACCACCACTAAGGAATGTTCTCCACCCCAGGACAGTCCGTCCCAGCATGGATGCCTCAGGCCGACAGAAAGTTTTCCCTTTAGGTTGAGTTGTGTCAAACTCTTACGCCCCGGAGGAGTATCAGTCCTCCGCCCTCCCCTGCGCTCCCACAAGATACATCTACTTCCTCTTCCACATGATGACTCAGATGTGTGAAAACAGGGGCGCCCGCACCCTGTGTCTGCTCCTCCCCGGGCCCAAGCGCCCTTGTTCCTCAGGTCCCTCACAGGACTAGAGCCTGGCCCTGGCTGCCTCCTGTGGCCTGTGCTGCTCTCCAGAAGTCACAGACTGGTAGCTCAGCGACTAAAAAGGGCCTGTGGAAGTTATATTTGGCCCCGGAATATTTTACTTTGAATTCATAAAATCTATTTAAAAGTTCAGATTTCCAGCCTCTCCCGAAAAGTCAGAAAATCTAGCCCTTGTTTCTACTTAGCAAAAATGGACTAGAAGCCTTACCGGGTAGCAGCAGTTTGCCAGAGTCCTCACCACTCCCCGTTGCATTAAACACAGCCCACGTCATTTTTGGTATCTGTCCGGGCTTCATAGGCATTGAGTTTGTCACCCATCACCCATTTTCTTCCTAAAGGGAGGTGGCCAGAACCACTGTTCTCCAGCCACGGTAGCCTAGGGGAGGACTCCTCCCTCCCGCATTGAAGATATTCTACTTCTGTTAATGCATCCAAACTAGCTTTTGGGAAAGCTCTGTCACATTTGTGGATTCATGTTTAGCTTGTGGTCACCCTCAGATCCCTGATCCTTTTTCACATCTGCTTTCATGAATTCCTCAATCCTGACACAGCACAGAGGAGTGCGGGCTTTGCAGCCAGATGAGACACAAGTTCAAATCCGAGCTGGGCTACTTCCTGGCTGCAGCAGACCTACCGCTGCCTCCCTTCTCGAAGGGGCGGCTGTGGGCTCAGATCTAGTGTATAATGGAGGGCCTGGCCTGCGGAATGATTGCCGAGTAAACGGCAGCTGTTACTACTGTCTCTGCTGCCACTTGTGCCTCTTCTTCTGTTTGGGCATTTGTTTTTCTTCAACACTGACTCCTTGAGTAAAATCCTTGCCCACCCACTGCTGCAGGAGAAACAAAAAGACCTCTGGGCAAAGCCTGTGCCATTTGATCTGACCCAGGACAGAGAGACGTTTACATGTCGGTTCTCCCTTGGCGTCTCTGGCACAGGTGTGCCCTGCAGCCCTCTCACAGAGCGTCACTGAGGTTTGCCCCCAAGTGATTTCTCCAGGGGTGGGGATGAGGAGGAGGGTCTCCAAAGAGTTACTTGAGTCAAATGCCCCAAGATGTCAACAGCAAAAGCCTGGGGAAGATTCTTGAATTTAGAGACTTTGAGGCCACGGGGCTCAGGAGATAAATTCAAGCTTCATTGCAGAGGATCTGTGGTTGGGTCACCCCGCGTCTGTTAAAATGTCAGCCTACTTCTGACAGAACTTCTCTGTGGCTTCCTATCGGGGGAATTTGAAAGAGCAGCCCCAGCCACAGGCTCCATTCAACTGCCAGTGGCTATTTGATTTTCTTTTTTTCTGTCTCCCAGGCTGGAGTGCAGCGGCATGATCTTGGTTCACTGCAACCTCTGCCTCCCGGGTTCAAACGATTCTCATGCCTCAGCCTCCCAAGTAGCTGGGACTACAGGTGCACCACCATGCCTGGCTAATTTTTTGTATTTCTAGTACAGACGGGGTTTCACCACGTTGGCCAGGCTGCTCTTGAACTCCTGGCCTCAAGTGATCTGCCTGCCTTGGCCTCCCAAAGTGCTGGGATTACAGGCGTGAGCCACCGCTCCCGGCCTGATTTTCTTTTCATTAGATCTTCCGCCACATCATCAGGGTTTTTAAGGTCAACAGAATCACTAGGTCATAATCTGGGTCTTGAGGTCATGTTCAAAGTTAATCCCCATTATCTGTTGTGAACTTGGAAGCACAGCAACTGAGCATGTAGGGCCTGTGTGTGAGCCAGGCAAGGCCTCTCTTACCAATAGTACCTGTCCCGACTGCAGAGAAGCCACCCAGAGGAAGGCCTGGCGAGTGTAGACGCAGAGTCAGACACAGCAGAGCCAACCCTAAGTCCCTAGGAAGTGCCTCAAAGTCTCTTTTACAATTCACAGGAAAATGTCCTACCCTGAAACCCACTTCAAAGGATCCAAATAAACGTGAAATTCTTATGATGTCACTTTTCTTCTGCTTTAAGGCTGGTGTTGGGACAGCAGAGTGTTAGAGTTTTGTCAACTACTTTTCACTGCAAAGTATACAATATCTCAGCCATATTCTGGATTAAACACTTTTTACAGGCTCATCTGGGGCCCTAACCAGTGGTTATAATGGAAACCATGTTCCAAGTTCTAAATGCCTGACAGTGAACCTCGTGTTTGAAAGACAAGCCGTTAGAAAATAGAGGTGGCCCTTCTCATGGTGACTGGAAACAGGCTGGCAGTGTATTTCCTTTGGTGATTTGCATTAAGCTGTTTAGTTGAATAGCTTACCAGCAAGTAACTTCCCAGACAAAACTCCTTGATTAGGGCCACTAAATACTGGCCACACTTTCTTCCCTACATCCTACCAGAACATTGCTTGTCCCTTCTAGAAATTGGTGTATCGTGGCTCATTAGTCCAACATACTGCCCTTCTCTTGAAACTGGATTCTGTTGGAGAGACTTATTTCAATAATGGAAATTCCATTATTAATGAGACTCTTCTTTTGATCAGAGAGGCTGCCTGGCCTCGTGATAGGAAGCTGCCCCCGCTGCTCCCGGGTGCCCTGTCGAGAGCTCTTTATTCAGGCTCAGTGCTTTCCTCTGCGCAGGCTTCAGATCCTGGCCTCACCACTGACAAAGGGTGTGGCTCTGGGCCCTCTCCGACTTCCTGCTCCTCGGTTTCCTCATCTGTAAAATGGGCCACTCTCAGCACTTCTCTGACAGAGTTGCTGTGAGACTGAAGGGCTGGCCAGGGGCCCAGGTGTATTTAATAGCCGCCCCAACACTTTGGCTGTTATTGTTACTATTATTATTATTATTATCATTATCATTACTAGCAATTTCCCCCCTAAATGTGCAGGCCACCAAGAGCACTGGTCGTTGATTTTCAGGTTTTGGAGAGCAGCATAGCCCATGAAAAAAGAAAAGCAAAGGAAGCCTTGGAGTCGGAAAAGAGAAAAGTTCAGGATCTGGAGAACCATTTAACCCAACAGAAGGAGGTATGAGCAGCAGCAGGAAAGAATCCTCTGGAAGGAACTACAAAGCCAGATCCCTGGGAGAGTACAGTGGGAAATCGGGCAGATATCAGAGCCATGCCTCCCTTTGAAGTGGCCAAGATCTGCCGTTTACTGGCTGTGTGACCTCCGGCAGATCGCCACCTCCCCATCCCTCAGTTTCCTCATCTGTGAAATGGGAATGCTAACAGTCCCTGCCTCATCGGATTAGATGCTCTCAGGTGTCAAGTACATAGGACTGCACCCTGCATCCTAGAGGGCCCTCGGGAAGATTTTTCTGCTCTCTGGTTCAGCTACCTAGGAAAGAGGGATCCTCCCAGGAGAGAATCCTGAGTTTCAGCCAGGGTCAGGGGCTTAGTGAGCATCATCCTCACAGTAGAGCGGCATGTGTGCCACACCTGGCATGGCCAAGGGAGAAAGCACTGCTCCTGGCCCGGCCTCCTGGTGTCATGGACTCCGGAGCAGGCCCTCCCTTGACTGGCTGAGGAGTAAAAGCACAAAGAGCACAAAGAGAGATGGCACAGGTAGGTGCATAGTAAGCACGTATGGTTGTCACATCAGATAAGCCCCAGGGATCAGTGCCTTCTGGAATGGACGAGAAGATGGGCACCCCAGGACAGACTGACACCAGGGAGGAAAGGAGGGGTCAGAGCTGGAGACATCCACATCCACCCACCCCAATGCCACCAACCTAGGGACCTGGC
Organism: Homo sapiens; assembly: GCF_000001405.40. Classification (NCBI taxonomy): domain Eukaryota; kingdom Metazoa; phylum Chordata; class Mammalia; order Primates; family Hominidae; genus Homo; species Homo sapiens. The sequence goes on from NC_000001.11 coordinate 15,349,869, forward strand.
CCACCAGACACACCTGCCCCGAGCAGCATGAAAGGCAGGCCCTCAGGTCAGCCTGGACACCCAGGTCACACCCTGGAAGTAAGAGCTGGGGGGCCAGGAGGAGGTCACTCAGGGACCCACATGGCATCTCCATGAGCTGGGCTTCGGGGACAGAGGTGGCACAGACACACACGTGCCAGCCCCCACAGAACTTCCAGAAACAGAGCTGATGGCTCAGTGAACGGTTCGATTCGGTTTCATTCATCCGCCCATAAATATTCATTTATCCACCCACCGATTTCAGTTTCATTCATCCACCCACCGTGGGCCAGGCCCGGTTCTGGGTGCCACAGACACCGCAGTGAGCAAGACAGACCAGGGCCAGGCTGCCAGAGCTTCCATCCTAGCGCAGGGGAGACAGACAGCCTGCGGAAGCAGGGGCGGCTCCAGGGCCACAAGACCAAAGCTGAGAAGCAGGCTGGAGAGTGCCCGAGGGCAGGACCGCTCAGGAAGTGACATTCCAGTGAGAACTGGAAGGGAAAAGGAGCCTGGGGGCCAGAGAGGACCACTGGATAAAGTGGCACAGGTGTGAAGGTCAGGACCTGAGCTTGCCAGGAGGTAGACGGGGGAGACTGTGTGAGGAATGAAACCAAAGCTGGCCCAAGATGGGAGGCACCAGGGCGCAGTGGAAGGAAATAGGTGGGAGAGGTGGGGAAGGAACCACAGAGCTTGGTGGGCTAAAGGGTTCATTCTGGGCTCAAATCTCAGCTCTGCCCTAACAGGCTGTGTGACCCTGGGCATGCCCCTTGCCCTCTCCATGCCCTCATCTGCCATGTGGGTGTGGTGGCAGAACCGCCCTAGAGGTGTAACATGAGGAGTCAGTATATTCATGGCTTGGGATACACCTGCCCTGGTGAGGTCAGAGTCCAGGTGGGGTGGGCAGTTGAGTGGGCACAGCAGGGTGGGGGCTGCACAGCCTTAAGTGAAGCCCTTGGCAGTGGGACAATAACAAGCCCATGAGGGAAGTGAGGTCAGAGTCCAGGTAGGCAGAGGGAGCACAGACATGCTAAGGGGTGGGATCCAAACTATGGTCACCACTGCCCCCAGAGCCTCCCTTATACATACGAGCCAGGGATGGGGTCCTGAAGCTCAGGCTACAGCCAGGCAGTGTCTTGGGCTCTGTGCCAGCCTGGATATGAACATATAAACACATCTTGCTGGGTGCGATGGCTCACGCCTGTAATCTCAGCACTTTGGGAGGCCAAGGCAGACAGATCACTTGAGGTTGGGAGTTCAAGACCAGCCTGGCCAACATGGTGAAACCCCATCTCTACTAGAAATACAAAAATTAGCTGGGCCTGGTGGTGCACACCTGTAGTCCCAGCTGCTCGGGAGGCTGAGGCAGGAGAATCTCTTGAACCTGGGAGGTGGAGGTTGCAGACAGCTGAGAGCACGCCACTGTACTCCAGCTTGGGTGTCAGAGTGAGACTCCATCTCAAAAAAAATTAAAATTAAAATAAAAAAATTTTTTTAAAAAGTCTCCTGCCTCCAAGTGGGCAGGGTTTGAATCAGGGCCCAGAGGCCGAGTAGTTAAGGCAAGGGCACTGGTGTCTAAGCCTGCACCACTCCTTCCTGGTGCTGTGACCTTGGAACACTGCTTGTCTTTATACTGCCTCGGTTACAGCCTGCGTTTCCTTTCTTGTGAAACAGGGATAATCAGATAGATGCTCTCTGGGGGTTTGCAGATTGGATGCACTAATACATTCTGTGCACAGGGTCATTGTGAGTATTTTCATTTGTAACACACCAAGTAGTGCATAATAAGAGAAGGGAAAGAGCCCTCACCACGGGGCATGCAGAAGAGTGTGGGTGACCTTGTAGGACAGGCAGGACTTAGCTCTCCAGGGCACAGATTGGACCATCTTAAGCAAAGACTCAACAGTGAGAAAAAGCCAGGTCTGCACTGGGAGATGTGGTTGAGGGGGGTGCCTGGGAGTTGGATGTGCAGAGGCGGGTAGGGTGGGTGGGTGCCACACAGGTAATGTTAAAACCGGGAACATTGGGAACATTGTCTTTCCTTGAGGGCCACACACACCTCGAGTCTCATACTGTCCCTTGAATTAGGATGTTCCCATCTCCTATCACTGCATGCCCTGTAACGATTTTCATTCATTTTTCTTTTTGCCAATAATACCTGTGCATTAAAGAAAATTTAGAAGATATAGACCTGTGAAAAGAACAAAATAAAAGTTGCCATAATCCCAATTCCCCCCAAAAAACTGTCACTTACATTTCAGTACATACCCCTCTGGTCTTTTGTTGTACATATACACGTATATTTAAAATCCTTTTCTTGTGAACTTTATGTTGGTGCGGGGGAGGTGTATAATTGCAAGAGTTTCAACAGCTGCAGATAGAGTTTTTCAAACCCTCCCTAGCTGTTTACCTCCCAGGGCGTGTACAGGTGAGTCTGGGCCTCCAGTTCCCTCCAGGTCTATGGCGTTTGTGTTCTCAGCTCCAAACTGACCTAGACAGGAATTTTGAAAACCCATGGCTTTGTAGACTGGAAGTGGCTGCCTGGGTCCTCATTTGGAGCCATTGGCATGGGTCTGCAGGGACAGAAGGCACCTCCCCAGCACTGTCTCTCCTGCCCCACCTCCCAAAGGGCCAAGTACTTCCAACAAAAGCCAGCATCGGTGCCAGCACATGCCAGTTTATTTAGTAACTCAATGCCAAACACCAGGACCCAACCATTCACCAGCATGTCACTTCCTGAACACCAGCCCTGAAGTCTTGAATGATGACTCACTCTCTCCTTTACACACGTGACTAAGATATGGCTCCCGGGTTCTCACCATGGTGGGCATGCCATGGTTCTCACCTCTGTCCCCAGTGGGTGCTTTGTTCTTTGAGATCTTTCTCTCCAACCCTGACTTGGTGGCTTCCACGGTGACTCGTCCTGGTTTCCCTTTCCAGTGTCATTTCCCTTTGAGGGCACAGGCCCTCAAACCACTTTCATTGACTTCCAGATCTCAGAGAGCAACATTGCGTACGAGAAACGCAAAGCAAAGGAGGCCATGGAGAAGGAAAAGAAAAAGGTGCAAGACCTGGAGAATCGCTTAACCAAGCAGAAAGAGGTATGAGCCGCAGGGAGGGAGAGACGAGAGGGGCCCAGCACAGCGAAGGGCAGTGCTCTAGAGCCAGGCTCTGGGTTCAAATCCTACCTCTCCCCATCCCTGGCTGGGGGACTTCAGGCTAGTACCTTACCATCTCTGTGCCTTAGTTTCCCCACTTATGAAATACACTCAATACACACAGATCAATCTCCTTGAGTTGTTGTGAGACATGACTGCTGTTATACACACAGAACATATGGAGAGGCACCCAGCACTCAGCACTCCGCATGTATGTGTCAGCTGCCCATGTTAGCATGGTGAACTCATGGCTGGGAAGTGGAGGGACAGGATCCGAAGCCTGGACTGTCTGACTCCCCAATGCTAAATCTTCATCCCTCCTTCTCTACTACACTTCAGCTTTGTGTGGGCTCAGCTGCCTGGCTTAAGAGAGGAGATGTTGGCTGGGCGCGGTGGCTCGCACATGTAATCCCAGCATTTTGGGAGGCTGAAGTGGGCAGATCACCTGAGGTCAAGAGTTCGAGACCAGCCTGGCCAAAATGGTGAAACCCCATCTCTACTAAAAACGCAAAAATTAGCTGGGCGTGGTGGCACGCGCCTGTAATCCCAGCTACTCAGAAGGCTGAGGCAGGAGAATCGCTTGAACCTGGGAGGCGGAGGTTGCAGGGAGCCGAGATTGCCCCATTGCACTCCAGCCTGGGTGACAGAGCAAGACTCCATCTCAAAAAAAAAAAAAAAAAAAAAAGAAAAGAAAAAAAAAAAAAGAGGGATGTTAGGGTATGGATACCTGGATCTCTGATCAGGCTGATATCAGTTTTCCCAGCAGAGTTTGTCATCATAATTGTCATCACCTTCATAATCAAAATGCATTTACTGTTATCACTGAGAATTGTAAACGCAGTAGGAATAGAAGTGGATTTCGCACCTGACCCTGTCTTGGGTACCTCATAAGCAATAGGGCATAATTCACTTCGCCTGAGTCCCAGCAGTACAAAACACACACACAATGACCAATATGTCAAAGTCAAAGCAGTTGATAAACATGCAGCCTGGCAATCATGGGTTAAATTTAAATATAGGTGACTATGACTTCAAAGGATTTTCAGGACCAGCTAGGACTAAAAAGGTCTCTATTCACATCAACCTTGGATCATTTTCTTCAAAGAAAGGTTTGCAAACATTAGCATGCATTTGAATCTCTGGGGAATTTATTTTAAATGCCTGTTTCTTGGACCCCACCCCAAGAAATTCTGACCCCCTGGGTGGAGGACAGACTCAGGAAGCTGCATGTTTCATAAGCAGCCCAAGTGGCGCTGATGCACTTTAAACAACGCTGCTCTAGGGAGAATAGTCCAGAAGGCACATCTGGATCGCACGTCAGCCCTGGACACCAGTCTTTAAGAGGGGCCTTGAGTAACTGGCATGTGTCCAGAGAAGGCAGACGAGAGTTGGGTGAAGTGATGCCGGACTTGTCAGCCCAGGGCTGTCATGGTCACAGAGGACCCCTGCAGGGAGGCACATGCTGCAGGCTGTGGGAGAGCCCGAGAAAGGCAGTCTCTTCCCAAGCAGCCGTGTCCCCCAGATGATGTATCATGGATCCTCCGTGAAATACACTATGGGTAGGCAAAAAGGAGAGGTTAAAGTTTTAAAAGTAGGTAAGTTGGGACATAAAAGGGATCCAGAATGAGACTAATGAAAAAAAAAAGTATATCATGAAATCAACGAATGAGTCACAATTTTTACTCCAGCAATTACAGTGCAAGGGAAGGCCCAGCTGGTTGTACAATTTACTAGACAAAAATAGACCAACTGCTCGTGGAAATATGACCATTCTTGATACTAGACTAGAGAGAATCTCTCCTAAGGGTCATTACTTAGAGGATTCTGCAAGAAGCAACCTTCTCAACAATATCCTTAGAACAGTAACACCAGAAGGTAGAGTCTTGGCCGGGCGCAGTGACTCACGCCTGTAATCCCAGCACTTTGGGAGGCCAAGGTGGGTGGATCACCTGAGGTCAGGAGTTCAGGCCCAGCCTGACCAACATGGTGAAACCCCGTCTCTACTGAAAATACAAAAATTAGCCAGGCATGGTGGTGCATGCTTGTAATCCCAGCTACTTGGGAGGCTGAGGCAGGAGAATCACTTGAACCCGGGAGGCAGAGGTTGCAATGAGTCAAGGTCATGCCATTGCACTCCAGCCTGGGCAATAGAGTGAGACTCCTTCTCAAAAAAAAAAAAAAAGAAAGTGGGGTCTTACGGCATCCCTCAAAGTAGACAGGTGACATTACCCTAGACAAGCAGGAACAGGACCCAGCCCAGGAATTCACCATTTACCAGGAAAATCCAAGGAAATACAAGTACAGTCAGGCAGAGAGTTGCTTGTTTGCACATTATTTTATCTGTACACTCGGAAGAGCAATCAAAGATTGATTTCATCCATATAGGCAAAATAGGAAAGGGAGAGAGGAGAGAGGAAAGGAATTTCAAACGCATGGGACCGGTGAACTTTGTTCTCCTATCCTTGGACAAGCTGCTGAGTAGCTGCCAGGGAGCAAAGATGGCAGGCTGCATGGTCTACTCGTAAGCAGGGCAGCTTCACAGCTCTTCAAAGAAACAATTGCAGTTTGTTGTGAATTATTTGGGACCCCTGGGGTGCATCGCTGAGCTGTACGTGACAAGCTACTCCGTGGCATGCCTGCCAGTGTCCCCAGTGAGCACCTCCATAGGCCAGGTCTGCATGAGGTCCTCCGTGGAATATCCCAACAGTAACAGCAAGGTTAAGACCCTGAAAAAGGATCAGACGGAGTTAAGCGGAGGTACACAGAGGATGCAGCAACTCCCAGGCAAGGCTTGCAGGAATAACACAATGAAAACGGTATAGGGATTTAATTTATTCAAAAAAAAGTGTTTTCTTTCCTGATTATAAAAAAAAACCTGTCATTCTAGAAAACTTGAAAAAAAAAAAAAAACAGAAAATCACTCCAAAGAAAATAATAACTAACATAGAGTCCACTGAGCACAGTTGCCACTATCGACATTTTGATGTGATTCCTTCCAGACAGCCTTTGTGTTGAGCCTCAGCATCGATATCGATAACTACCGATTTATGACCAAGTTAGTGATTGACACTGTGACACTGTGCACACTGCTTCGGATGCTATTTTTGATATTTACTATACGATGTGTCAACCTTAAATAATGAGATTCTCTAAGCATAGAGTTTATTCGAGCTCAAAGCTTGAGGACGGCAACCCAGAAAACAGACTTCAAAAGAATGAGTCAGTGTTCCAAAGCAGGGAGGTGAAAGTTTCACTTTGATAGGCAGTTAACAGGATCGCAGTGTCTTCCACACAAGGTCAGCACATGCGGTTATAGCCCTTTGGTTGGTTACAGCTTGCTACATTCCTGGGAAAATTGCTTTACTATTCCAGGATGAGGGGTGATCATCTGAAGGAGTCATCTCTGGCGTGGCCAGGGCTTTCCCACTCATTTACAGAAAAGAATAGAAGTTGCAGGTGCGTGCTACGTGACCCAGGCCACACAGCCACATTCCTCTCGAGTCTCAAAATAATTTAAGGTTTCAACCGCTTTAAGTTTGAATGATTTTGGCCAGGCACAGTGACTCACGCCTGTAATCCCAGCACTTTGGGAGGTCGAGGTGGGAAGATCACCTGAGGTCAGGAGTTCAAGACCAGCCTGGCCAACATGGCAAAACCGCATCTCTGCTAAAAATACAAAAATTAGCCGGGCGTGGTGGTGGGTGCCTGTAATCCCGGCTACTCAGGAGGCTGAGGCAGGAGAATCACTTGAACCTGGGTGGCAGAGGTTTCAGTGAGCTGAGATCATTCCACTGCACTCCAGCCTGGGCAACAGAGCAAGACTCCATCTCAAAAAAAAAAAAAAAATTGAATGATTTCATGTTGCGTAGAATGTCTCAATGTCATCGAACAATCTTCCATGGCCTGGGTTTGCACTGTGCTGGATGGAAGCCGATTTCTTTTCTTCTCCCCTGGGGTGGTTTCTCACTCTTCACTAGTGCAGCAGATGCCCGGCTGACCCACCCTGTGCATCAGTCTTTACGTCCTTAGGAAAAATTCCCTAAAGTGGAGTTGCTGAGTCACAGGACATGCACATTTTCAGGCTCATAATACACATTCCTGAGTGAGTGTCTAGAAAGGTCACAGCAGTTTGCACCTCCACCAACAGAGTTTAAGAATGCCCAGTACTTTGAATATATTTTAAATTGGATTAAATAATGTTCGTAAGATGCCCAGCACAGTGCCACTCAAGAAGCCCACACTTCACATTATTGCAGGAGGGACTCAGAATAGAATGTTGACTATGAAAGATCAAAAGAATGGGGCCAGGCGCGTTGGCACACGCCTGTAATCCCAGAATTTGGGAGGCCGAGGCAGGCGGATCACGAGGTCAAGAGATCGAGACCAGCCTGGCCAACATGGTGAAACTCCGTCTCTACTAAAAATACAAAAATTAGCTGGGTGTGGTAGCGTGTGCCTGTAGTCCCAGCTACTTGGGAGGCTGAAGCAGGTGAATCGCTTGAACCTGGGAGGCGGAGGTTGCAGTGAGCTGAGATAGCACCGTTGCGCTCCAGCCCAGGTGACAATGCGAGACTCCTCCGTCTCAAAAAAAAAAAAAAAAAAAAAAGGAGAATGGGTTCCGGGAGGAGGGATAAGAGATGCCCAGGACAGGGCCGCTGGAGCCCTGGAGGAAAGGGGGGTGTCCTGAAGGCAGGTGTTGCAGTGAAGGAGAGAAGGGACTCAGCACATTCATCTTGGAGAACAGATTTAGAGACAGACATGACAGCCCTCCTCAAATATTTAAAGGGCTGTCTCATAAAAGAGAAATAAAACATACTCAATGAGCTCCAGGTGACAGAACTGAGCTCAGAGACCAGAAATCACAAGGAGACAGATCTCCGCTGAATATAAAGACGAGTTCTATAATAATTGGAACCTTCCAGAGAAGGCATGGACTTTGTGCTTTAAAAGAATCGACAGAATAATTAGAGAATAGACTTTACCCTGTCCTTGAAGGTGGGGGATAAGGGGGCTGGGTAAATATGTATTCCTGAATGTCTGTTATTTTGCTACTTGTTTTTTTGTCTAGGAATTAGAATTAAAAGAGCAAAAAGAGGACGTTTTAAATAATAAATTAAGTGACGCACTGGCCATGGTTGAAGAGACTCAGAAAACAAAGGCAACTGAAAGTCTAAAAGCAGAGAGCCTCGCCTTGAAATTAAATGAAACATTAGCCGAACTGGAAACTACCAAGACAAAAATGGTAAGTCGGTGCCTTCCGGGAACGGGAGAATTTTTCTCTCAATGGAAGATTACAGTGCCACGAGAATGTGTGGTTTAGACCGGGGCTTCTCAGCCTCAGCACTGCTGATGTTCTGGGCCAAGTAGCTCTTTCCTGTCAGGGGCTGTCCTGAGCATCTTAGGATATTTAGCACCACCTCTGTTCTCTACCCACCAGATGCCAGGAGCCCTCTCCCCACAGTCGTGATCACCAAAAATGTCTTCAGACATTGCCAAGTGTCCCTTAATGGACCCCTAATGAGAAGCGTTGGTTTAGAACGAAATGTACACAGAGCTAGGATGCCCTCTCTGCACGGTGTTCTGAGATGTTGTAATGCAGGGTCCTCACAGGATCAGAACGCCTGGAGAGCCTCAGGATTGAGTGATGAGTGACGATTCCACAGGCTTTAAGACAATGCATTAAAGTGTAGGCTCGGCATTCGAGGCCCTCCACAATTAGGGCTCGATGTGCATTCCCTCTGTCATCCACACGTTCAACCGACAGGTTTCTGGGCAAGGAATTCATGAAGGTGAATCTCCCAGAAGAGCACAGAGTAAATTTCACGAGGGTGTGGCGTTGGAGAGAACAGCTCTGGGTGTGGAACGTGGTGTAGACCAGAATCATAAGGAGCTGACCTTGGCGGGAGCTGGGGGAGGCGTGGGGGGAAGGGAGTCTCTGGAGAGAGTTACGATGGCAGGACTTGATAACTGCTGGCAGGACGTGAGCACCAAGGAGAGGACAGTGCCGAAGGAGACTGCACACTTCAGGCCAGGGCGCCTGGGGACCTGATGGCATAGGGACGACATAAGGATGGGAGTATGGAGGTCTGGGGTCATGGTGGGGGGTTCTCTTGGAGCGACCCTCTTTTGGAGAAGAGGAGACAAGAGGAGTAAGGCGAGGATAGGGCATCAAAGTCCAAAAGCTCCCGAGATTTGGGTGCACAATAGTTTTGGGAGAGAAAGCAAGACAAGAGCCTAATCTGGAAGGCAGCCTCTTAGGTAGGGTCCTTGGAAGAGCAGGCATGTGTGAGTGTCTCGGGCAAAGAATGTATCTGTCATGGGTAGATCAGAGGCCAAGGCCCAGCACGTCACCTGGGAATAGGGAGCAGGACAGGGTGAGGTGGGAGCAGAAGGCGGGCAGTGAGGAGGAGGTGCTGGGATGGAAACGCCAAGGGGAGCCTTAGGAGGTTGTAGGCATGGGAAAGCAGCAGATTTGCCATTCGGGGGTCATTAGTAATTTTTTGTTTTTAAGAAATGCAAATTCTGGCTGAGCACAGTGGCTCACACCTGTAATCTCAGCACTTTGGGAGGCCAAGGTGGGTGGATCATCTGAGGTCAAGAGTTTGAGACCAGCCTGGCCAACATGGCAAAACCCCATCTCCACTAAAAAAAAAATACAAAAATTAATGGGAGGCCGAGGCGGGCGGATCATGAGGTCAAGAGATCGAGACCATCCTGGCTAACATGATGAAACCCTATCTCTACTAAAAATGCAAGAAAATAGCCAGGCGTGGTGGCGGGCGCCTGTAGTCCCAGCTACTCAGGAGGCTGAGGCAGGAGAATAGTGTGAACCCGGGAGGCGGAGCTTGCAGTGAGCCGAGATCGCGCCACTGCACTCCAGCCTGGGTGACAGAGAGAGACTCCGTCTCAAGAAAAAAAAAAATTAGCTGAGTGTGTTGGCGCACACCTGTAGTTCCAGCTACTCAGGAGGCTGAGGCAGGAGAATCGCTTGAACCCAGGAGGCAGAGGTTGCAGTGAGCCAAGATAGTGCCACTGCACTCTAATGTGGGTGACAGAGCAAGACTCTGTCTCAAAACAAACAACAACAACAACAAAAAGTTTACATTTCTAGCGGGGAAGAGAAACAAAGAAACAAAATTAAAGGCTTCAGGGACAATGAAACAGACGCTGGAACAGAAAGTGTCTGGGGCTACTCCTGATAGGTAGTCAGGGAGGGCCTCTCAGAGGACGTGATGCTGGAGCTGAGCCCTGAGAGTCAAGAAGGAGTTGGCCATGCAAGGAGCTGGGGAAGAAGTGCACAGGGCAGAGGGAACTGCATGTGCTAAGGCCCTGGGGTGGGGCCCAGTTTAGCACCTATGTGTGTGCCCAGGGGGCATATTATTGTTGCCGTCATACACAGCTCCCAAGACCTCACTGAGTGACTCTCTGTTTCCCAGATCATGGTGGAAGAGCGGCTAATCCTGCAGCAGAAGATGGTAAAGGCCCTCCAGGATGAGCAGGAATCACAGAGACACGGGTTTGAAGAAGAGATCATGGAATATAAGGAGCAAATCAAACAGCACGCCCAGACAATTGTGAGCCTCGAAGAGAAACTCCAGAAAGTCACTCAGCACCATAAAAAAATAGAAGGCGAGATTGCAACATTGAAGGACAATGACCCAGGTAAGTCCGAAGGGAGGCCAAGGAAATCTTAGTGTTCGGGGCAGGTTCTGATTGTCCGCTGGGTCCCAACAGGCTGATGGCTAAGAAAAAGGCCGTGCCTCATTCGAAAGCTCATTCATTCTCTGAGGCCCCCTTTTGTTCTTGTTACACAACGATGTCAGAAGCCCTCCGAGGCCCAGGTTCAGCAGAAGTCATGGCAATGAGTTGGGACATCCTTTGTGCCTACTCAGTGAGCCGGCGAGACACACAGGCTACCGGGGCTGTCAGGGCCAGCGAGGGCAGCGCGAAGTGGAATCATCTTTTCCACATGAAAACATCTCATGCAGGGGCCTTTCAAAGGTTTCTCTCTGCCATCGGCCTTTTGCATCTTCACTAATGCACTCATTACCAGCCAGGATTTATCCCTTAAAAAATTAACCCTAAAGAGGCTGAAAAAAGAACTCAGACTTGTGAGCACTTATTTGCCCCAAATGGCCAAGGTAAGCTGTATTATTGTAAGCTCTTGAAGAAAGTTCTGGAAGTAGAGGACTCAGGCCAGGGTATCCCAGCCTCAGCCCTGTTGACATTTGGAGCAGGATCATTTTTTCATGGATGGGACTGTCCTGGGCACTATCAGGTGTTAGCAGCCTCCCTGTCCTCCATCCATCAGTTGCCAGTGGCACCCCTACCCCAGTTGGGACAACCAAAAATATCTCCAGACATTGCCCAATGTCCCCTAGAGGCAAATTCACTCCTGCTTAAGAAACATGGCTGTAGTCCCCAGCAAGCTGGCAAGCCATCAGGACTTACCTCATTCATTCACTCACTCAGCTCTCTCGGTGGAGCTTCTGTTATGTTCCAATCTCATGTAGGCACTCAGGATCCAATGATGGACAAACCAGATTTTGTCCCCGTAGTAACAAAATTATTGCCCTGACAGGTGATCCAGGATGAATAGGGCACCATGACAAGGACAAAGAGTGGAGTTCAGTTTCCCAATCCAGAGTCCAGGTCAGAGGGAGGGTGTCTGAGATTGAGCTGGGGGCCAGGTCAGTGGCTCACGCCTGTAATCCCAGCACTTCCGGAGGCCGAGGCCGGCGGATCACTAGGCCAAGAGATCGAGACCATCCTGGCCAACATGGTGAAACCCCGTCTCTACTAAAAATACAAAAATTAGCCGGGCCTGGTGGCGCGCGCCTGTAGTCCAGCTACTCGGGAGGCTGAGACAGGAGAATCGCTTGAACCCGGGAGGCGGAGCTTGCAGTGAGCCGAGATCGCGCCATTGCACTCCAGCCTAGCAACAAAGCGAGACTCTGTCTCAAAAAAAAAAAAAAGAAAGAGAGAGATTGAGCTGGGACCTGAAGGGTGACGTCCAGGTCAGAGGGAGGGTGTTTGAGATTGAGCTGGGACCTGAAGGGTGACTGCATCTTTGTCACCCCCGTACTTAGACCAGTATGCACTCCACAAATGTTAGTTGAAGGGATAAACAAGTGAGTGAACACGTGAGGATAAACAAGTGAGTGAACATGTGACTGAGTAGTGAGACAGGACGCTAGAGGCGGTGCACTGAGGTGTAAATGGGAGGTGAGGAGAGGAAGGCGCTAAACACAGATTCTTCTTCCAAGAGAGACAGGCAGGCGGTGGGACCAGGGGCTGAGACTGCACTGCTCACCAGCTTAGCCAAGTGGGTCGCCGGCAGCTTCCATCACTCCGGTGCCCCTTTCCCTGTCTGTAAGTGGATTTGATGGCCCCTGCCTTCTAGAGTAGCTGGGAAGATTGCATGGCCACACACTTGGGGAGAGCCCCCAGCCTGTGACATGGCACACGTGCAGGTCTCACAAGGTGGAGAGGGCTGCAGGTGGAGGCAGGGTTTGTAAGTTGTGAAAGACACAGGTGTGCTTGTAAGCAAAGGGGAAGGACAGTTTCCTCTCACAATGATCACATGTCCCTCTGATACAGCCCCAAAGGAGGAAAGGCCGCAAGACCCTCTGGTGGCTCCCATGACAGAGAGCAGTGCCAAAGACATGGCGTACGAACATCTGATGTGAGTACCCGTGGGTGTGTGAGCGCCAGGCATTCTCACCGGCACCACCTGGGTGGGGGCAAACAGGCAACCAGCCCCTACCTGGGCCACATTGTCAGAAGCCAAACAAGGAGCCGGGCCTGCTGCCTTCCCAGTGCTGCTTCCATTTCCCCATTCCTTCAGCCCAGACCACATTGTCAGAAGCCAAACAAGGAGCCAGGCCTGCTGCCTTCCCAGTGCTGCTTCCACTTCCCCATTCCTTCAGCAAGGCAGGGCAGTGTCGTGGAAAGATTTAGGTAGACCTACATTCAGATCCTCAGACTGTTTTCTGCTATTTATAGCAGAATACCCAAAACTGGGTAATTTATAAAGAAAAGAGATTCATTTCTTACAGTTATGGAGACTGAGAAGTCCCAGGTTGAGGGGTTGCATCTGGTGAGGGCCTTCTTGCTGTTGGGGCTCTGCAGAGTCTGGGAGTGGTGCAGGGCATCACATCCAGGGGCTGAGCGTGCTAACTCAGGTCTCCCTGCCTCTTTTTATAAATCCACAGTCTCACTGCCATGATAACCCATTAATCCACTAACTCAGTAGTCCACAAATCTATTAATCCATAATTGTACCTTCGTGACCCAATCGCTTTATAAAGGCCCCACCTCTCAATACTGCCACATTGGGGGTTAAGTTTCAACTTGAGATTTGGAGGGGATGAACATTCAAACATAGCAGATCCCAACTCAACACTCCAGCTGTGTGACCCTGGGCAAGTCACGCCACCTCACTGAGCCTTAGCTTCCACATTTGTGAAGTAAGGCTGTACATGCCTAGTGCTTGGGAAATCTAGCTAATACTGTTATTAGCTAGTTTTCCCGAGGATCAGCTAGAGGCAAGCCCACTCACAGGTGTTATTAAGCAGACAGAGATTTCAAACAGTGGAGACCACTTGGTGGGGCGGGGCCCTGTAAAGGGTGAGAAGTTAAGGGGTCGGCTAAGTGACCTTAAATAAATGATTTCAACTCTCCTGACCCTGAAAGCCAGTGAGTCTACAAAGAAGTCTATCCTCAAAGAACTGACAGTTTTCAGAGAAACAAACGTATGAATGGGAAAGATCCAGAAAGCAGCACGTAAAGAAGGAGGCGCCGATGGGATGCAGTGGAGGGATTCAGAAGCTCCCCCAAGAGGAGAACCACCTGCCTGACCCTTGCACCAAATCCTAGTGACCGAAGTCTAATGTCACAGGGTTTTTACCCCAAAAAGACAAGGATACTCAGCCTCCGCATTGTGAAAAGTTCCTGACTCCTCCTCCTGTTTAAAATCTAGAAACGGTGGTGCCCATGACTTGGAGAAGACTCAGCACCACCCAGCTCTGCTCTGGTCCACTTCCTTGGCGTGTGAACATGCTTGAATTCTAAGGTTTTATCCTCAAGTTGGAAGATTTGTGGTTGCAGCCAAGAACACACTCACGTGGACACACACGCATGCATGCACACACAGAATATACTATATCTATGTAGTTATTTTCATTCTGATGATCACCAGTCTTTTTGTTTGTTTGTTTGACATGCAACCTGCCAGTGTTTTACTTTAATTCATAATAAACACAGTACCTTCTAAAGTCTGTATAAGGCGGGGCGCAGTGGTTCACACCTGTAATCCCAGCACTTTGGAAGGCCGAGGCGGGTGGATCACCTGAAGTCAGGAGTTTGAGACCAGCCTGGCCAACATGGTGAAACCCCGTCTCTACTAAAAATGCAAAAATTAGCCAGGCATGGTGGCAGATGCCTGTAGTCCCAGCTACTTGGGAGGCTGAGGCAGGAGAATCACTTGAACCTGGGAGGTGGAGTTTGCAGTGAGCTGAGATCACGCCACTGCACTCCAGCCTGGGCGACAGAGCAAGACTCCGTCTCAAAAAAATAAAAATAAATAAAAAATAAAGTCTTTATAAGAAGAGCCTGGATTTCAAAAGCCTGTGAACTCAAATGAAGTGGCATTAATACCTGCAAAGACTAAGGCTCCTAACCCCCTTCCAAAAGGGCAAGACCCACTCCCTGCAGCACACACATGACCTATCTCCGCCAGGCTGCAGTTTCTCAACTTGCTGAGACATGCACCCTGTGTTCTTCCAGTCAAATCCCCACCAAGGCGCCTCCCCTGCCATTCCTGCTGGGCGCCCTTCACCTCTCCACTGGGCGCAGCCTCCCTCCCATCAACCATCCTGAGTCTCAGGGCACCAAACGTGTGCTGCCCTCCAGGGGTGTGGGAGGGGAAGTTGTCCCATCACCATCACTGTCCCCCTGTTGCCTGGGCCCCTGTTGCCTGGGCCACACTTCCACTGGCTCCCAGAAGAACACCATTCATTCACATCTGGCCCCACCTCTCTCCACCAGGAATTCAAAGGGGCTGCTGAGAGAACAAAGCCACATTGTCTTCCTCTCTTTTTTCTTCCCTGTCCCCAAAGAATCCCTGAACCTCCCCAAAATAGTCTTCCCATGTCCCTCCACCATCAGAAGTCCACAGGCACATCCATTCATGATGGTGGGTAGTGGGTATCAGTCTCATGCAAGGCATGTTTGAGCCGCAGACTCAACTCAGCCAGATCCTGTGTTCTATCTCAGTGGATTTTCTTTTTTCTTTCTTTCTTTTTTTTTTTCTTAGAGATGGGTTCTTGCTCTGCCACCCAGGCTGGAGTGCAGCCTTCAACTCCTATGCTCAAGCAATCTTCCCACCTCAGCCTCCCGAGTAGCTGGGACAACAGCCACACACCACTATGCCTGGCTAATTTTTTTTTTTTTTTTTTTTGTAGAGACGGGGTTCTGACTTATGTAGCCCAGGCTGGTCTCGAACTCCTGAGCTCAAGTAATTCTCCAGCCTTGGCCTCCCAAAGTGCTGGGATTACAAGCACATGCCTGGTGCCTGGCCTTAATGTATTTTCTTAAATGAGGTGCATGAAAAAAGTCGTTTTTCTTTTAGAGTTTTTGAAGACTGTCCTCATCCTTTGCTGGGACTGGCGTTGCATGGACCGTGATTGAGAATCTCTTTGCATTTGTACTTGGCCCCTCCTGACACTCAGGAGATAACATGGAGTTTGAGTTGAACTGACTTCACCTGTTTTTGTGAATTTCAGAGATGACTTATTGGCTGCTCAGAAGGAAATTCTGTCTCAGCAGGAAGTCATCATGAAGTTAAGGAAAGACCTTACCGAAGCCCACAGCAGAATGTCGGATTTGAGAGGTTTGAACAATTTCTGGTGTCTCTTGACCTCCTGACCCACTCGAGAAAGGAAGGAGATGAGGCTAAAGAGTCGGCCGGGCGCAGTGGCGCACGCCTATAATCCCAGCACTTTGGGAGGCCAAGGCAGTTGGATCACAAGGTCAGGAGTTCAAGACCAGCCTGGCCAATATGGTGAAAACCCACCTCTACTAAAAATACAAAAATTAGCTGGGTGTGGTGGTGGGCACCTGTAATCCCAGCTACTCAGGAGGCTGAGGCAGAGGATTGCTTGAACCCAGGAGGTGGAGGTTGCAGTGAGCTGAGATCGCGCCACTGCACTCCAGCCTGAGCGACAAAGCGAGACTCTGTCTCAAAAAAAAAAAAAAAAAAAAAAAAAGAGTTGAAAACCTTGGCATAAAAAATCCTGCTTCCCTGTGCTGTCGCAGCACCTTTAACTCAGGGTCAGCAAAAGCCGTATCCTGGATATGTCCCTGATTCCTACCCGCACTGAGTCTCTGACTCAATGCCAAGGGGCGCAGGGCACATTCTCCAGAGGACTTTGGACCTCTGCACTGAAATGCAACTTACTTCTTCAGGGATAATTTTCCTTTAGCACAGATTTGCTTCTGGAAGCAAAGGCTTGGAGGGCAATCCTGGGATCTCCCTGCAGCAGGCCAGTTTGCACAAGCCCCGGCACTCACTAGCTTTGGGACCTAGGGCAAGGGGGCCTCTCCAGGCCTTCTCTTCCTCAGATGCCAAGTAGAGACAACACACCTTCTTCCTACGGTTGACATGGACATGAGTGGCCCCTAGAGTAGGGGCAAAATAACTGAGTTCTGTGCTGTTCTGGACAGACACAAACAATGCCGCCTTCATATTCCTGCTTTGTTCCTCCTTGTCTCTGTGCTTTTACTTCTGCCTCCCTCCTTCTTGCATCTGATAGCAGCCTCTCTTTCCCATCTCTACTCTCCCTCAAGCCAAAGGGCATAAACAGGCAGGAGCTGGAAGATGGAACTAAGCCCGGGGAAGTGGAGGAAGGGAAGAGAATGCTCTTATCTTGTCCCCATCCCAAACCCTACAGGATATTTGCTCCCTGTAGCTATTCCTGTTAACACCCCCAAGACATTTATGGCTGAGGTTTTTTTGTAATAAGATATGAGAAAGTGTGGGGTAGAGGCTACAATGCCAAGTTCACGGGAGATGTTGGGCCCAATTCTATATCTGCTCACTCTTAGTTGCATGACCCCAAGTAAGTCCCTTACCTCATTGAGCCTCAGTTTCTGCATCTGTGAAGTAAGGATGCTAATAGTAGCTACCTTACACCTGTAGTCCCCGCACTTTGGGAGACTGAGGCGGGTGGATCACCTGAGGTCAGGAGTTTGAGACCAGCCTGGCCAACATGGTGAAACCCTGTCTCTACTAAAAATACAAAAATTAGCCAGTCGTGGTGGCGCATGCCCGTAATCCCACGTACACAAGAGGCTGAGGCAGGAGAATCACTTGAACCCGGGAGGCAGAGACCCCCTTACCGGCCCTCCTGTCACTCGCAGGGGAGCTAAACGAGAAGCAGAAGATGGAACTGGAGCAGAACGTGGTGCTGGTCCAGCAGCAGAGCAAGGAGCTGAGTGTGCTCAAGGAGAAGATGGCCCAGATGAGCAGCCTGGTAGAAAAGAAAGATCGGGAGCTGAAGGCCCTTGAGGAGGCACTCAGGTTGGGTGGGCGGGGGCCGGGTTGGGGGGATGGTTTGCCTGCCGTGGGGAGCCGCTGAGTATTGCAGAGAGAGGGCTCAGTACATGCTGCTTGAGGAGTTGAATGAATGAATGATATGTGTTTCATGGCTTGGCTTATTCTGTGCTTCTCAAACTTCCTTGTCCAATATTCCAGATGACAGGTCTCTGCTTAAATGCCACTTCCTCCAGGAAGCCCTCCCTCACTCACCCTCACCAAGCATAGCCAAGGGATCCTGCTGTGCTTGGGCTCCCTCAGCCCCTGCACTCTGTCTAACCTACCACTTAGCACACAGCAAGGCTACCTTTGCCTGTTTTGTTGTTGTTGTTGTTTGTTTGTTTTTTTGAGACAGAATCTCACTCACTCTGTTGCCCAGGCTGGAGTGCAGTGGAACGATCTTGGCTCACTGCAACCTCTGCCTCCCGGGTTCAAGCCATTCTCTTGCCTCAGCCTCTGGAGTCGCTGGGACTACAGGCATGAGCCACCAGGCCTGGCTAATTTTTTTGTATTTTTAGTAGAGATGGAGATTAACCATGTTGGCCAGGCTGGTCTCGAACTCCTGACCTCAAGTGACTCACCCACCTCGGCCTCCCAAAGTGCTGGGATTACAGGCATGAGCCACCGCGCCCGGCCCCATTGCCTGTTTATTGTCTGCCCTCCCCACGAGGACAGGGTCTGTGTAGACCTTGCCCACTATTGATTTCCCAGCCCAGCACATAAGGGAACTTAATATTTATTTAACAAATGAATAAACTGGAGGTGTCAGCTTAAAATACATACAAAATATTGTCATTGTCCCATGGGTTCATCTTTAAAAATCCCCGTGAGTTGCATTTTTACCCTCAGCTTATCCATATTTTAGAATGAGTCCTGTTTTCACAAAAAAAAGAGTTTGACTGAAATTGATGTTTTGTGGCTATCTGGTAGCTTTGTGTGCCTCGTGGCCAAAGCAGATTCACATAGTGGCTAAAGGAGCAGACTCCAGACCTGGCTGCCTGGTTTCAAAGCCAGACCCTAGACCAGGCCCAGTGGCTCACGCCTGTAATCCCAGCACTTTGGGAGGCTGAGGCAGGTGAATCACCCGAGGTCAGGAGTTTGAGACTAGCCTGGCCAACATATAGTGAAACCCTGTCTCTACTAAAAATACAAAATTAGCCAGATGTGGTGGTGCATGCCTGTCCCAGCTATCTGGGAGGCTGAGGCAGGAGAATTGCTTGAACCTGGGAGGCGGAGGTTGCAGTGAGCCAAGATCACACCATTGCACTCCAGCCTGGGTGGAAGAACAAGAACAAAACTCCATCTAAAAAAAAAAATAGCCAGACCATCCACTTACAAGAAAGGTGACTGCAGGCAGATTGCTGTGTGTCTCTTTACTTGTCTGTAAAATGAGACAAGCAGAGTACCTAACTTGTGGGATTGTTATGAGAGATAGAAGGGTTAGCCACACATAAAGTGTTAGAAACAGCAGACATGCAGTGAATGTCCCTGTAAAGCCACAGCAGGTGTCTTCAGCCCCCGTGCAGGAACCAAGGGCAGGTGTTCCCTGCCCTGGCCACTCTCCCATAAGTCCCCTGAAACTGAATTCTCTAGAAATATGGGAACAGGAAACAAGTCTCAAAAGAATTCTGTTTCCTATAAAAATAGAGCTCCATGTCCTGGTCTTCCAATGAGTGTAAAAGTAATTTGTGGTTTCCAGAACCTCGTGCCATCCTCCTCTTCTCTACCCTAGGGCTTCCCAAGAGAAACACAGACTCCAGCTGAACACAGAGAAGGAACAGAAGCCCCGGAAGAAGACCCAGACGTGTGACACCTCTGTGCAGATAGAACCCGTCCACACTGAGGCCTTCTCCAGCAGCCAAGAGGTGAGTGCCACCCACTCCTGGGTACTGGAAGGATGTGCAAAGACACAGCCCAGTGGTGGCTGTCTTTCCTTTTGAAGACACTTTCATTCTAAGTTCCAAAAGTATGGCTTGCTGGTGTGAAATGTATAAAGTAAATCGCAGAATACTGCCTCTTTAGTCACAGTCACCAGAGGTCACAGCTGTCCACGGTGTGATGTGCATGCCATGAGATCTTTCCCTCGGAGAGGCCTCCACGTTCTCACATGGTCAAGAAAATGCAGTGACTGAAGATCAGGTGTGGATTCGTTCCACCTGTGTTCGAATCCCAACTCCTCCACTTAGAAACTCTGTGACCTTGGGGAGGTCACTGTACACCAGTTCCCTGTTCTGACAGTAATGACCACCCCCACCTTATGGGTTGGTTGAGAAATACATTTTATGTATATACACACCTGAACAAACACACACAAACCCATACATATATTTATTTATTCATTCATTCATTTATTTTGAGGAAAGGTCTCACTCTGTCACCCAGGCAGGAATGTAGTGGTGCAATCACAACTTCACTGCAGCCTCAACTTCCCAAGGTTCAAATGATCCTCCTGCCTCAGCCTCCCTAGTAGCTGGGACTACAGACGCACACCACCACACCTGACGAATTTTTGTATTTTTAGTACAGATGAGGTTTCACCATGTTACCCAGGCTTGTCTTGAATTCCCGGACTCAAGAGATCCTCCTGCCTCAGCCTCCCAAAGTGCTGAGATTACAAGTGTGAGCCACCACGCCTGGCCCATATAGATATTTGTTTAGTAGATAATTTTTTTGCTAATGGTATCAAACCATGTACATTCTGCAACATGGGTTTATTTTTACATAACAGTATTTAATGGGCATATTTGCAAGTATATGAAGATCTGCCTTACCCTTTTAAATGGTTGTGTAGAATTCCACTGTGTTTCTTTTTTCCAACCAGTCCCCTCTTGATGGACACTTAGGTTATTTCTCCTCTTGTGCAATGCTGTCGTTAATGTACTTGTTCTTCCTGAATTGTGCTTGATGGGGCCAAACTGCCTTCCCGAAGAGCCACGTAGTGAGTGCCCCATGGCTGTGTCTTGGTAGCTGTTCCATGCACCTGCCCAGAAGCATCTGATGGGAGTGTGTCTTTGAGTGAAAACAGCCTTCATTGGGCCGCCCTGGAAGCAGGTGCTCACACTCTGTCCCTATGACTGGGGCTGTGATACTCCCGATGATCCGCAGCATGCAATGGTGAGACTCAGTGGTTCCTCAAGGCCCTGGTTTCCTGGAGCCTGGGGCTATTCTTTCCCCAGGGCTTTTTGAGCCTAGAGAGCATGGCGTTCCAGTAATGGGCTTTGGATTTTCACCGGGAAGCCAGGCCAAATGTGTCAGCTTGCTTTCCGGCTCTCTCAGAGATGCCTTTCCCCTGCCAGACAGCATTGAGCCAGGGCCGCAAACAGCTTGAACGAAAGGGCTCGAGGTCCAGCCAGCTGTCCTTGGCATCGATTGCTGTCCAGAGCACTTTAACAGAATTGTCTCCTGGTTGCTCAGGGCAACCAGGAAGGCAGGGGCTGCAGCAGGTCCACGTGGCCGTAAGCTCCGTGGGGCAGGGGGTGTGTGGCACTCCTGTTGGAATCCCAGGCTCTTACAGCAGAACCTGACCCATATTCATTCACTCCTTCAACAACTATTGAGCACCTGCTGTGTGTCAGGCCCTATGCCAGGGATAGGAGAAGACGCACAGGGTCCCGCCCACACCAAACGCCCTTGGACTCTGTGCACGTCTGTTGGACTGGATTGTTGAACTGGGATGCCCTTGATTTTTAGTTTATATTATGTGGAAGGATTAGTGGAGGAGGACGGGGGAGGGAGACTGCAAGATAAAAGGGAAAATGTATTTGTTCCTTCTTGGAATGGTTTTCCTCCTTCGGGCTCCTTCCTGCTTTCTAAGCCAGAGTGGGTCAGAGGGCTTAAGAGTTGTATGAGAAAGAATCTCATCCTCTCCAAATAAATAAATTCCCAGCAGATCCGCAAGGAGGGGTCACATGGAGCTCCTGGTACCCCTCAGGCCAAGCACAGGCTGTGACGGAGCCTTAATGCATGGCTACCCCTGTGCCCCCAAAACTCAGTATCTGCTGCCCCCTGCTATACACAGAGAGACAGAGAGCAAGGGAGAACGTTCCAGGTTGTTTACTGCCGGGGCAAACACGCATCCTCAAGAGGTGACCAAGGCCAGTGTAGAGCCAGCGCTGGAAGGGAACCAGCCACGCATCCTGTGAGCAGGCTGAAGACAGGGTCCAAGGACAAGCGAGGCCGTACTAAGCGCAGGCAGGGTGGGCTGCCTCCCTCTCACCGCTGCTGAGCCCTGGTCCCAGCTGGAAAGCCAGGGCAAGCTCCTTACAGCTCCTGTTTCTGACAGGCTCTGTATTTATTGAGTACCTACTGTGCTCAGACACAGTGCTGGGCCCTGGGAATAGCACAGTCTTCAAAGGAGATAAAGACTGCTCTCACGGAGCCTGTCATCTGGGAGGAGAGACACAGAAATAAACAAGCCAAGATCAAGTAAAATGTCCAGTGGGAATAAGCGCTCTGAGGAACTGCACAGCAGGATTCAGCACAGTGACGCGGGGGCATGGGGGTGGTCAGGTGATCAGGTGGTCAGGGAGGCCTGTGCTGGAGGAGACCTGGAGCAGAGCCAGAAGGAAGGAAGGGAACGAGTGGTGGGGACATGGGGGTGGGGGTAGGGGACCGTCCCAGGAGGGCCTCAGACGGCACTGTTGAACCCCTTGTAGGAGGCCACGGGCCCTGTTCCCCTGGTGGCAGTGTGGCTAGCACAGGGCCGGGGATGTGTCATACAGGCCTCTGATAAGCATTTGAACCATCAAAGGAGGAAGAACAAACAGATGTCTCCTTTGCTCTCCTCTGCGTTCTTTTCCCGGAGCACTTATCATTCTCCAGAATCAGAGTATTTGTGCGCCTGTCTGTCTGTTACCTGTCTGCCCCATAGAAAATGCACCCACAGCAGCAAGGGCTGGTCTGCCTGCTCCCTGATCTCACCCCAGTGCCTAGAACAGTGTCCGGCATGCAGCCACTGCTACCATTCAATAGATAGATGGATAGGCAACTTCTAAAATAATTTTGGTTCACTTCATACTACATATATATTATCTTCCATATCTATAGCTATCTATATATGTATATGTATATGCATGAAATGAACCAAAACTGGTATTTTAAAAAGTATTATAAAAGAGCCAGATTGTCAGTTTCTTCTCTTTCTTGCCAATTTGACTGAAGCCTTCCCTGGCAACTCTATCTACAAATGAAAACGGTTCCCAACATCCCACCCTGTTTCCCCACTTAATTTTCTCTTTACCATTTATAACTTCTACCAGATATTTTCACCTTGTTGTCTGTCTGCCCACATGAGGATGCAAAATCTATGACAACAGGGATGTTGCTGGGTTTAGCAACTACTCAATCCCCAGAGCCTAGAATAAGCCTTGGCACATAGAGGTGCTCAATAAATCGATGTGAGATGAATGAATGAATTTCTTACCCTAGAGAAGCATTGTTTAGCTCAGAGTTTATGAATGGACTTCAGGAGGTCTTGACCCTCTGGACGTTGTATGCAAATATTTGTGTCGATGTGAATTTTTCTGGAGGAAAAAACCCTGCATGCTTCCAAATCTTAAAAGGGTACATGACCCTTAAAAGATGAAAAAGACGGCTGGGCACAGTGGCTCACACCTGTAATCCCAGCACTTTGGGAGGCCGAGGGAGGCGGATCACGAGGTCAGGAGTTCGAGACCAGCCTGGCCAACGTGGTGAAACCCCGTCTCTACCAACAACACACAAAAAATTAGCTGAGCGTGGTGGCATGCACCTGTAATCCCAGCTACTCAGGAGGCTGAGGCAGGAGAATCGCTTGAACCCGGGAGGTGGAGGTTGCAGTGAGCCAAGATCACGCCACTGCACTGTAGCCTGGGCGACAGAGCAAGACTCCGTCAAAAAAAAAAAATGGTGAAAAAGGCCTTTCTTTGTCTGTGCTCTTAGTAAACCCAACTCTAGGCTGGTTACAGTAGCTCATGCCTGTAATCCCAGCACCTTGGGAGGCGGAAGCAGGAGGATTGCTTGAGCTCAGGAGTTTGAGACCAGCGTGGGCAACAAAGCGACATCCTGTCTCTACAAAAAAATAGAGAAAAATTAGTCGGGCGTGGTGGCACACACTTGTAGTTCCAGCTGCAGAGCTGGAAGGATCGCTTGAGCGCAGAGGTAGAGGCTACAGTGAGCCGTGATCATGCCATTGCATTCCAACCTGGGCAACAGAGCAAGACCCAACAGAGCAAGATCCAAAAACCAAAACAAACAACAAAAACACACACGCACAAAAAAAACCCAACTCTAACCTGAGCTATTTAGGATGGTCCATCTGGGTCTAGTGGCCACCATATTGGACAGTGCAGGTATAAAACATTCCCTTCACCACAGAAAGTTCCGTGGGGTTCCAGAAGCTCCGAAGCCTCAGAGGAAGGTTTTCATTTCTCCAGCCCAACCAAGAGCCAATCTATCAAATCCCCCTAGCAAATATTAAATAATCATCCTTATCACCAGTTAAAAGAAAGCATCATGGGTTCTCATCTGAAAATGCCCCTCCGGGAGTAGAATTGGCTGTGATTGTTCAGAAACAAGACCAGCATGACAGCGAATGGAAACCTAGGCATAGAACAGTATTAGAAGAAAAAATAAAACGTGGAGAGGGAACGTGGAGGGGCTTTTATTTATAGTAATGCTAAATAAGAAAGTTGGAAGTCTTCCTACATGTGACCCGATATTTGAGATGAAAAATGTAAATTCTATCTCTGCTGAAGCCCTAATGCTATTTTTCCAAAGGTGCTAAGTGACTGGGTTCCTCTATACATGAATTGTTCACATTTCTGTGAATGTAAGAGAAATCTTCTAATCCCTGATCAAATGCTGCCCGCCCCATTCTGCCCACAGCAGCAATCCTTCAGCGATCTAGGGGTCAGGTGCAAAGGGTCCCGGCACGAGGAGGTCATTCAGCGTCAGAAAAAGGCCTTATCTGAACTTCGAGCGCGAATTAAAGAACTCGAGAAGGCGCGCTCACCAGGTAAGTCTCCTCCTTCCTAGTCAGAGCAGTGGACCCCAGACTCCGGCTCACTTTGGGGACTGACCAGTTTGCCAGGACTACCATGTTTTATCTGCATCATCCCAGAACTTGGAGGACATTGTAATACACAAAAAGATGGGCAGACCATGATCTCAGAGTCAAGTGCAGGCCTTGATATTAAATAAATAGGATTTCATGCATAACTCACTATTGTACGTTTTTTTTTTTGTTTGTTTTTTTTTTTTGAGACAGAGTCTCGCTCTGTCACCCAGCCTGGAGTGCAGTGGTGCATTCTTGCCTCACTGCAACCTCCGCCTCCCAGGTTCTAGTGATTGTCCTGCCTCAGCCTCCCTAGTATCTAGGACTACAGGAACTAGCCACCACACCTGGCCAATTTTTATATTTTAGTAGAGACGGGATTTCACCATATTGGTCAGGCTGGTCTTGAACTCCTGACCTTGTGATCCACCCGCCTCAGCCTCCCAAAGTGCTGAGATTACAGGCGAGAGCCACCACACCCAGCCTACTTTTTCTTATTTCATGGTGGCTGGGTGAGAACTTTGTCATGGATGAATACTGTCTAAGGATCAATGTTGGAGAACCACTTACAGTACCCCCTTTAGAGGGGGTAGAACTCCCCTAAGACTTGGGGCCCACTGCAGGCTGGGGCACTGGTCTAGGACCTGGAAGCCTGGGTTCAAGTTCCGTCTTGGTTCCATGGCTGAAGGACCTTAGCAAAGTCCACCCTCAATGGTCTCGGCGCTGATACCTGTGTGGCTGCAGCCTCCTATGAGCCGGGTGACCTTGGCCAGGTCATTTAATCTCTCTAGGACTGTGTCCTCATCTGCCACGGGAGGTCGTAAGGATTAAAACAGGCCTGTGTAAGTGTCCTGTAAATAGTTGCTATGGTTATTACATGAAACAACTTCTTCCTGAGCCTTTCTTTTGAGTCTACTTTATTTCTTTTACAGATCATAAAGACCACCAGAATGAATCATTTCTAGATTTAAAGAACCTCAGAATGGAAAACAATGTCCAGAAAATACTACTGGATGCAAAACCGGATTTGCCAACTCTCTCAAGAATAGAGATCCTAGCGGTAACCAAAGAAAATTCTCTCTGCTGTGACTGGCATGTGGAGAGGAGGGGCCTGAGGGCAGACACTAGCTTCGTTCCCTGGCACAGCCATACATGTCAGTGGTTTGGGGCTGGCTGCTGTCTATACTCACTAGCTGGGGCCCCGACCATACCCGTTGTCCAGGGTTTGCACAGAAAGGTAGCCTTCCACTTGCCCACAGTATGGTTCCGCATGGTGTTGACATTGGGCCACGTTAATCGCTGAAGCATGGCGGGCCCCCTTTCCAGATCATGTATGATATTCTTTATTTTATTTTTTATTTTTATTTATTTTTATTTTATTTATTTATTTATTTATTTATTTATTTATTTTTTTATTTATTTTTTTATTTATTTTTTGAGACAGAGTCTCGCTCTGTCACCCAGGCTGGAGTGCAGTGGCACTATCTTGGCTCACTGCAAGCTCCGCCTCCCAAGTTCATGCCATTCTCCTGCCTCAGCCTCCTGAGCAGCTGGGACTACAGGCACCCGCCACCACACCCGGCTAATTTTTTTGTATTTTTAGTAGAGACAGGGTTTCACCTTGTTAGCCAGGATGGTCTTGATCTCCTGACCTCATGATCCGCCCGCCTCGGCCTCCCAAAGTGCTGGGATGACAGGCGTGAGCCACTGTGCCCGGCCGATCACGGGTGATATTCTGCAGAACATGTTCAGCAGGCTAATAGATCATGTTATGCCATGAGTTTGCCTAAAGTTTGCTTTTCGCTGTTACCTGAAAAACACAACCACATAAAAGGCAGGAGAAGGGATCCGTGATTCAGAGCACACAAGTTCCTAGAGTCAGAGGGACCTGTGTCCAGATCCGAGCTCTGCGAGCTGTGTGACCTTGGGCAAGGCTCTTGACCTTTCTGGGACTCCATTTCCCAGCTGTAAAATGATGACAAAAATACTGAAGGAGATAATTCTGGAAAGCGCTTAGCCTAGTGCCTGGCTCAGAGGAAAAACTTAATAAATGATAGATGTTATTATTAAAATTATTTAAATAGGCCAGGTGTGGTGGCTCACGCCCATCATCCCACCACTTTGTGAGGCCAAGAGAAGGGTATCGCTTGAGGTCAGGAGCTTGAGACCAGCCTGGGAAACATAGCGAGACCCCATCTCTACAAAAAAATTAAAAATAACGCTAGTCAGGCATGGAGCCAGGTACCTGCAGTCCTGGCTAGTCAGGAGGCTGACATGGGAAGATCACTTGAGCTCAGGAGTTTGAGGCTACAGTGAGCTATGATCGTGCCACTGCTCTCCAGCAGGGACAACAGGATTTCCAGAAGTGATTTGATTGTGCAGTTGAAGGTGCCTTTTTACCCTAAATGGATGTTTGGGCATTTGATGGACACGTGACAGGTCAGCATCTGTCACAGGACCCGCCGAGGGCACGTGTGCTGCCGCAGCTGGATCCACACCACACAGGCTTCTAGAAGAAATAATGAGGCTATCCTACATTCTCTTGGCAGTTTTTCTGGACATTTGCCAGAGTCCAGGAAGAGGGTCTTTGGAAATGAGCTGGTTTTCTAGAGAAAATCAAACCCTACTTCCCTGAGGGTGGGAGTGGAGGGACAGCCTCCAGGTTGAGATCAGTTTGATTCCCAGCCTGACCCGCTCCCAAGACAGGCCTTCCCCTTGGCAGTGCTCCAGTCCCACCACAGACTGACCCGCTCCCAAGACGGGCCTTCCCCTCCACAGGGCCTCAGTGCCACCACAGACACCATGCAGCAGGAAACCTCTCCACTCTCTCAGAAGTCCTCAATCTTCCGACACAACACTGGCAGCAATTCAAATTAAGATAAAGGGGCCAAGCACAGTGGCTCATGCCTGTAATCCCAGCACTTTGGGAGGCCAAGGCGGGCAGATCACTTTGAGCTCAGGAGTTCGAGACCAGCCTGGGCAACATGGCGAGACCCTGTCTCTACAAAAAATTAGCCAGGCATTGGTGGCTCATGCCTGTAGTCCCAGCTACTCAGGAGGCTGAGGCTAGAGAATCACTTGAGCCCAGGAAGTGGAGGCTGCAGTGAGCCAAGATCACATGATTGCACTCTGGCCTGGGTGACAGAATGAGACTTTGTCTCAAAAAAAAAAAGAAAAGAAAAATGAAGAGAAGGAGCAGGAGGAAGAACAGCTGGCATTTACTGAGTGCTTACTGTGTACCAGGCATTGAGCAGAGCCCTTCACATGTGTTATTTCATTTAATCCACACAGCAGCCTGGGTCAGTTACCATTGTTATCCCCGTTTTACAGATAAGAAATATGAAGACTTCAGGCCAGGCACGGTGGCTCACGCCTGTAATCCCAACACTTTGGGAGGCCGAGGCAGGCAGATCACTTGAGGCTAGAAGTTTGAGACCAGCCTGGCCAACATGGCAATACCCCGTCTCTGCTAAAAATACAAAACTTAGCCAGGCATGGTGGTGCACATCCGTGCTCAGGCACGAGAATCACTTGAACCCGGGAGGCAGAGGTTGCAGTGAACCAACATCGCACCACTGCACTCCAGCCTGGGCGAAAGAGTGAAACTCCGTCAAAAAAAAAAGAAAAGAAGAGAAAGGAAAAGAAAAATTAAGGCTTCAGAAGGTCAAGCACTTCACCCAAGGTCACAAAGATAATGAATGACAGAGCCAGGACTGTGTCCCTGGAGGTCCGCCTCTTGCAGCCTGCTGGTCTGCAGAGAAGGAGATGGGGATGGTGTGATCGAACCTGCAGCCTGGACTCTTCCTTAGGTCACCCTCCCTCCGGACTCCTGCAAGCTGCAGGAAAAGAGAGGGGATTCTGAAGGGGAGTGCAGAGGATGCAGTTGAGGGAGCTGGAGACACCAAGCTGCGTTTTAGGTTCTTTTTGTAGCAAAACTGCCCAATTTATTGTCATCTTTAAATACCTGCTTTATTCTCATCTCATAGATAGATAAATGTGTCCACTCTTAATATAGACAAATATGTCACACTTACCTATCACAGTCACCTTCAGGCTTTTAGATTTTTGTGAATGGGTTTTTTGTTTTTATTTTTGTTTTTTTTAATCTCCCAGGTTTACAGTATAGAGCCGGTAAATGCTGCAAGCTGACATGCTCTTGGTGTTCGTGGCGAGCACTTAAAACCCAATTTAGTTGTGAGGGGATGTATGGGGGTTGTCCGTGGCCTCCAGACTCCCCGCTTGGCCTGGTGGCTTTTCTATGCCTTTGGCTGGGGCTTTCAGCAAGCAGCCGGCTGAGCAGGGTCTTAGCAGGTGCACAGCTGTCTCCTCTCTGGAAAGGGTCTGAAGTGAAGGGGTGGGTTGCCCTCCACACCTGTGGGTGTTTCTCGTAAGGTGGAACGAGAGACTTGGAAAAGAAAAAGACACAGAGACAAAGTATAGAGAAAGAAATAAGGGGGCCCGGGGAACCAGCGTTCAGCATATGGAGGATCCCGCCAGCCTCTGAGTTCCCTTAGTATTTATTGATCATTCGTGGGTGTTTCTCCGAGAGGGGGATGTGTCAGGGTCACAAGACAATTGTGGGGAGAGGGTCAGCAGACAAACACGTGAGCAAAGGTCTTTGCATCATAGACAAGGTAAAGGATTAAGTGCTGTGCTTTTAGATATGCATACACACAAACATCTCAATGCTTTACAAAGCAGTATTGCTGCCTGCATGTCCCATCTCCAGCCCTAAGGCGGTTTTTCCCTATCTCAGTAGATGGAACGTACAATCGGGTTTTATACCGAGACATTCCATTGCCCAGGGACGGGCAGGAGACAGATGCCTTCCTGTTGTCTCAACTGCAAGAGGCATGCCTTCCTCTTATACTAATCCTCCTCAGCACAGACCCTTTACGGGTGTCTGGCTGGGGGACGGTCAGGTCTTTCCCTTCCCACGAGGCCATATTTCAGACTTTCACATGGGGAGAAACCTTGGACAATACCTGGCTTTCCTAGGCAGAGGTCCATGCGGCTTCCGCAGTGTTTGTGTCCCTGGGTACTTGAGATTAGGGAGTGGTGATGACTCTTAAGGAGCATGCTGCCTTCAAGCATCTGTTTAACAAAGCACATCTTGCACAACCCTTAATCCATTTAACCCTGAGTTTGACACAGCACATGTTTCAGAGAGCACGGGGTTGGGGGTAAGGTCACAGAATCTCAAGGCAGAAGAATTTGTCTTAGTACAGAACGAAATGGAGTCTCCCATGTCTACTTCTTTCTACACAGACACAGTAACAATCTGATCTCTCTTGCTTTTCCCCACACTGAAGTGATGCTCACCCACCATCTGCATCATCTCTGGAAAGGGTCGGAAGTGAGCGTCCAGTTTCCGCTGCGTGAAAATGGCATTCCTTTAATAAAAGGAGGGGGGATGTTTTCTATTTAACCTGCATTCATTCATTTGACAAACATGCCCACTCTGTGCCAGGTGCCATGCTGGGCACAAGGAGGGGGAGAGTGAGCAAACAGCAACACCATCCCTGCTTCTATGGCACTCTCCTCTGGACCAGTGTTTCCAGGCCTTAGCACTGTTGATATTTTAGGGCCCCACAATCTGGCGTGGTTTGTGGGGGCATGTGTGGATGTCTAGTAGCGTCTTTGCTCTCTACCCCCTAGATGCTAGTAGCACTCCCCGCCTGCAGTT
Organism: Homo sapiens; assembly: GCF_000001405.40. Lineage (NCBI taxonomy): Eukaryota > Metazoa > Chordata > Mammalia > Primates > Hominidae > Homo > Homo sapiens. The sequence goes on from NC_000001.11 coordinate 15,380,357, forward strand.
GTGACAATCAAAAATGTGTCCAAACACTGCCAAATGGCCCAGGGGAGGGGACAAAACCACCCCAATTGAGAACCACTGTTCTAGAGGGAAGACAGGCGGTGATCAAAGAACAAGACAAGTGATGTATAATTACAGAGACTTCAAAGACAGAGTCATTCTCTGAAGGGTGGGAATACAATTATAAGAAAGCAGTTGACAAAGGAATCAGACGGAATGATCAGGACGCGGACTGAAAATCAACTCTCTTGAGTTAATCTTCGGTAATCACACAGTGCTTTAGCTTCCAGTCATAGAAAGTCATAATGGAATGTCAAGAGAGGCCTTTCATTTCTTTCTGATTTCAGCCTCAGAATGGCCTTTGCAACGCAAGGTTCGGCTCAGCCATGGAGAAGTCAGGGAAGATGGATGTGGCTGAGGCTTTAGAGCTCAGTGAAAAGCTGGTATGTACATCCAGCATCCACCCTGCTCCTATCCAAAGCCTGGGGCCCCTGCAGTCAGTGTTGAACGCAGGATAGTTTAAATATCAACCTCACATGCCTATTTAGTTACTCTAATAACTCTGCAGGACCTACCTACTATCCCAGCATGGGTCAGGAATCACATAGCCAAATTCCTTGAAAAACTGGGTGGTTAGAATGAAGTGTTTATATCTGTTGTCATTTTTCACCCCCGGTTCTCAAAAAAGGCATAGCGTAAATGGATGTGGGAGAAAGGAAAGTCATGCTGAAAGCCCCAGTTGCACATCCTTTCAAAGCATGTGCGTGTTCTCTGCAATTGCAGAAAGTGAATGAAACAGAATTAGACATTGGCCTCCTTAAAGCGGCCACCAGCGGCCGCGGGTAATGCCTCTTATGCGCGAACGTTTTCCTTGTAGTACCTGGATATGAGCAAAACCCTCGGAAGTCTCATGAACATCAAGAATATGTCAGGCCACGTGTCCATGAAATACCTCTCCCGCCAGGAGAGGGAGAAGGTCAACCAGCTTCGACAAAGGGACCTCGACCTGGTGTTTGATAAGATCACCCAACTCAAGAACCAGCTGGGGAGGAAAGAGGAGCTGTTGAGAGGATATGAAAAGGACGTTGAACAGCTCAGGTACCTCGGCACCCCCATGTCCCCACAGAAAGGCCCGGGCCTCCCTTCTCCTGGCTAAACTCAGGCTAGCAGCAGACCTCTAGGCCTGGGACAGGAGGACAGAGACCCACGTGTGGAATACCTGCAATGTCAGAAGGGGACCAGGGAGGGCACTGACTAGGCCTGGTAGAGGGAATTCTGTCCCCGAGATCACGGCTGCAGAAGTGCACGGTTTCCCCATTCTGTGAACTATTTTCTGTGCAAGCTGCACCTCTTGCGACCCTTGACTTATGGTTTCCCAGTTGTGTAGCATTGACAGCTCCGTCATATTTTCAAGAGTCGCAGTTCCCCACTCCCCAGGAAGTCAGGAGGGGCTGGTAGCACATCCTTTATCCCCTCCCGCTACACACATTCGGCTGATGAATGGCTCGTTCTGCTCTCTGTACCCCAAATCTTCGTCATGCTCTCCTGCTTGTGATGACACTCCTGAGTGAGCCCCCACTGTGGATGTATTTTGAGAGACTTCCGGGTCTGGCACATTGATGATGATTGGGAAAGATAAGGGAAAAACAGACGCCATCTCTCCTGTGCACCCAGGCGGAGCAAAGTGTCCATTGAGATGTACCAGTCGCAGGTGGCAAAGCTGGAGGATGATATCTACAAAGAGGCCGAAGAGAAGGCCCTGCTGAAGGAGGCCCTGGAGCGCATGGAGCACCAGCTGTGCCAGGAGAAGAGGATCAACAGGGCCATCCGGCAGCAGAAGGTGAGGCGCTGCTGCCCAGGGCAGAACCTCCCAGGCTGCCCTGCAGCTCCCATTAGCAATGGCCGAGGGTGGTCCCTGGAGGATCCAGGTAGCACAGAACACAGGGATGGATGCAAAGGGAGGCAACTGGATAGCTTTTGCATCAGACAGACCTAGATTTAGACCAGAGCTCAACCACTTGCTATGTGACCTTAGATAGGTTTCTTAACCTCTCTGAGACTCATGGTGCTCATCTGTATTTTTTTTAATGGTGGTTGTTATTCATATTTATATCAATCTGCCAGGTGCTAGGGATACATAAGCTCTCAGAGAGTGGAGATTTGGATTCACTATTCTGAGTGCCTGGCACGCGGTAGACACCCAGTAAATATTTGGTGAACGGATGGGTGGAAGGACAGACAGGTTGATGGACAGATGGAAGAATAGATGGACTGAGGAGTATACAGGTGGATGGGCAGATGGATGTCCTTGAAGAACATATCCCTTAGTGTGGAACAGAGAGCTGACTTCAGGTGGATTTCATAGCTGAAGGCTGTCGAGGCTGTGCAGTCCAGGAAGGGCACTCAGCCTGGTTAGAACATGCAGCGAGGGCCTGCCAAAGCCACAATGCCGCCAGTGACCGCAAAGGAGAGCTGGAGTTTGTCCACCAAAGGGATGAGAGGGTGGACATTCCCGGCTGAAGGAGCCGCAGAGGAAAGGTGTGAGGATGAGATTTGCTCCCTGGCACAGAGTTGGAAATAACACTGGCTTGAGAAACCGAGATTCCAGTCTCAGGCTGGTGACCCAGCGAAAATGGGTCCCCCTCCCACCACACACACACACGCGCACGCGCACACACTCTGGTATCTCATCTGTAGCATGGTACAGGAGTCAGCCGGTCCTGGGCTCAAATCCCCGCACTTATTAACTGTGCGACCTTGTGCAGATCTCTTTGCCTCTCTGAGCCTTGCTTTCCTCATTAGTAGATGGGAGCTTCCAGCCCCTGCCTCGCAGACAGATGGTGAGGATGAAAGAATGCAGGCATCCCTCGCTATCTGCTGTCCACTCTCGCTGTCGTCATACCTCAGGAGCCAAGTGCTTTTGGATGGTGAGGGTGCTTGTCCCGTCTCTGAAGCACCTGCCCAGGGCCTGGCACCAGCCGGCGGACACTGCCTTCCCCATGCTGCCCATGACCCATGCTGCCCGTGACCCATGCAGGTGGTCTCCTGGGTGAGTCCTGCCTCAGACCCGGTAGGGTCTACACACTGGAAAGTTTCCCCAAAGCAAGTCACACATGAGCAGCACCCGGGCGGCTTCCAAAGCTCCCTGAAAGCTGGCAGAGGGGCTTTCCTGTCTGCTTTGCAGTTGACATATTCATCATCCACTCCTGCAGTCCACAAGGCACTGGAACAGTGACCTCTAAATAGAGCCAGACTCTCCCTTTCCTTCACTCTTGCCTAAGGTGGAGCAGATCCCAAGGCTGGGGTTAGGCAAGTCAGGGAAAGAACCACAGTCACTGTTTCTTCATGACCGTCTCCAGGCCAGGGACTGGGCTCACCTGAGCTTTGCAGCCGTGATAGGGCTTATTAATGCCTCTAATAGCCCTGCCTGGTACGATGATCCCTATTTTACAGATGAGGAAACTGCGCCTCAGAGAGTTAAGAGGCGCCCAAGTGCACACAGCGGCTGGTAAGGACAGCTGGGACCTGACCCCAGATCCCTCTGACCCTGGTTCTCCTGCTGTCTGCAGGGTTGGCCGTGAGTCCCCTCCTTGTAACTGTCAGCTTTTATGTGTGTGTGCATTCTCGTGTGTGTGTACATTCTCATGTGTGTGTGTGTGTGCACATGTGTACCATGTGCATGAGGGTTTGGCTGTGTGTGACACTATGTGTGTGTGTTTGTGTGTGTTGCCTGCCTGAGCTCAGAGAGAGCCAAACCCCCAGAGAAGGGTGCCCCCTCCACCAACCAGGTGAGCTCCTTGCAGAGGCCTGGCCTTCATCCCACAAACCTTGCAGACCACAGGCTCCCTGGCTTGCAGCCCCCAAAAATGAAGGCAGCGCTCTGCTCTGGACGTGGCCTTTCCAGCACTCACCACTCTGAATTAAACATCACAGGCCCCCATCTGCACATGTCGTGGGGCTGCCTCGGGCAGAGGACCGTTTCCTTTTACGCTGTGCCATGCCAGGGAGATCTGGGCAGCAGCAGAGTCCTGAGATGTCCTTTGATGTACCCACAGGAGAGTTCGCTCCTTCCCGAGGCAGTGTCCCCCAGGGCTTGGCAGGCCAGGCCCACAGCAGAGACACCAAACCACAGAATGGGACGGCAGAGGGCCCTAAAAAGCCCATTGTCATGCACTGGCTGAAAATGAAAGAAAACCTGCAGATTTACATAATCAGTCCACATGCATTATTCATGGCCTCCCTAGGCACACACAATGCGGGCTGGCCAGCCTTCCACCGAGCGGGAGGAGGAAGGTCCGAAGCGGCCAAGCCAAACCTGTGTCAGCGTCCCCAGCTGGAGCTGGGAACTTTCAAATTCATGGAATTCACAACGTAGGGAAAGATTTGATAGGAAGTAGAGCCACGATCACAGCAAGGCTGATGGTATTATGTAAGGAGCACTTGCTGTCAGATGCACCCCACAGGGCACGGCCCACCCTCACCTCACATCAGCCTGCGAGGAGGGCTGCCGGGCATCTGCCCGCTGAGAGGGGAAACTGAGGAGGTCGGAGGGCAGTGTCACCGGGCTACTCAGCTACAGAAACGGGACCTCAGCGACCTCCGATCCCGGCCCTCCCAGCCCATCCACTCATCCCCCCTATTCCTTTCCAGGATGCACCCCGCCTACTCCATCACCATTTCTCTCGGGGTTCATCCCCAGGCTCAGTTTGCATTTAAGGTTTGTGACTAACATGTCATCAGAAACTCCTGTTTGTCAAGGGAAAAAGGGGGAAAATCTTTTTTTTTTTTTTTGCTTGCTGTTCAAGAATTTGACAACATCAGAGAAAACAGTTTTTTTTCAGTGGTGCAAGACTCGAAAGGGAACCTGTATACATCTGTTTAGGCAGCAGCTGCTCCCTAGGAGAGGAAAGTAGAATTCCTTTAAGTTTCACACCTAACATTTTCACAAAGAGTCGATTTTTTTCCACGTCTCCTGTATAAAATCTCAGTGCCCCTTCATAAAGATGGAACAGTTGAGGCTCTGGGAAACGAAATTACTCACCTTGAGTTTCAGAACTATCCGCCCCTGACACACAGACAACCACTGTAGTTTTAACACTTGAACATCTCTTCACGGAGCAGAACTTCCCAGAGTCCAAAGTCATACTTCCAGCTGGGCAGGGTAGCTCACGTCTGTAATATCAGAACTTTGGGAGGCTGATGCAGGAGGATCACTTGAGACCAGCCTGGGCAACATAGCAAGACACCACCTCTAAAAATAAAAATAAACAAATTAGCCAGGTATGGCACCACACACCTGTAATCTCAGCTACTTGGGAGGCTAAGGCAGGAGGATCAATTGAGCCTAGTAGTTTGGGGCTGCAGTAAGCTATGATCGCACCACTGCCCTCCAGCCTGGGCAACACAGCAAGACCTTGTCTCTTTTAAAACAGAAAAAAAGGCATAGTTCTATACTAATACCTCTGGCTGTGCAAATCAGACCTGACATAAAATGTTGGGGAAAACCTCAGTGCTGGTCATTCACAGAGAACCTCGTGGTCATCAGCCTCCTGACTCTGGGATGCCCTGGGTCCACAGCTCCCTGCAGTGACAGTGTGACAGTGACAATGGCCCAGGCTGTGCCCAATCTAGTCCACTTCCCACATCACTAAACAAGGCAGCAGAGTTTCTCCGAGATAAGAGGCAGACTTGGAGTCCAACAGATAGGGCTTAGGGTTCAAGCCCACCTCTGTCCCTGAGTGAGCCTCAGTAGGTGACTTTACCTCTGTCGCAGGTTTCTCAACAACAGCACCAATAACGGTAACAACAGGACCTGCTTCGTGGGGTGGTTAAATGGTGTGATGCCAGCAGAGCCTGTCACAGAGCAAGCTCAGTTACTCGGTTACTGTGGGGAAGAGAAAAGGCCACTCGGGGGCGGGGGCAGTGCCTGCATCGCTTTCAATGAGCTTCCTGCCCGCTGGCGAGTCCTGCAGACTCCGAGACTTTTTCCCGGGTCCTCCTAGAGCCGGCAGCGCCTTTGTAAAGCTGTCTTTTCTCTTTAGTGAATACAGCTAGGGCTACAGCCAAGAAACAGCTGACACTTTTCGTGAATGGGCTAAGACTGGGATTTTCAGTAGGAACATTTTAAATGCACAGAAGTTGCCCTTGGAGAAGGATGCAAGCCCGTTCTTCGGCCTTTGTTAGGACTTGAGTGTGAGAACCACTGAAATGCACTAGCTGCTTCTGGTGGGGAGCAGGCCAGCTCCCCTTCCGGGCTCCAGCCAATCAAATCCTCCCCAAGGGGCTTGGCCACAGCTTTGCCACGCGGTCTCAGCTGGGCTGGAGCCCCTAACCTTGCCTCTGCATTATGAGCTCAAGTTCCTCATCTTTAAGATGAAAATGAAAATGTGCCTAACCCACAGGAGTCAATCCCGTGAAGGCATGCATATAAAACCCTTAGCGAACACAACCTCTCAATCGTGCTCTTTTCTCTTTTTCTTTTTTTTTCCTTTCTTTCTTTTTTTTTTTGTTTGTTTGTTTATTTGTTTGAGACAGAGTTTCGCTCTGTTGCCCAGGCTGGAGTGCCGTGGCACAATCTCGGCTCACTGCAACCTCTGCCTCCCAGGCTCAAATGATCCTCCCACCTCAGCCTTCCAAGTAGCTGGGATTACAAGGCACCCACCACCACGCCCGGCTTATTTTTGTATTTTTTTTAGTAGAGAGTAATCTTTGTATTTTTTAGTAGAGAGTTTTACCATGTTGCCCAGGCTGATCTGGAACTCCTGGGCTCAAGTGATCTGCCCATCTTGGCCTCCCAAAGTGCTGGGATTATAGGCATGAGCCACCACACTCAGCCATCATATCAGTACTGTTTTATACATCATCATATCAGTAGTATTTTATTTAACTCATTATTTCCCAAGATTTTCTTGGGCCCAGGTATTTTCAAGATCCTGGTTTCCTCAGCACCACTATGTGTTTTTGACCAAAAAGTAGAAATTGGTAGATGTGTGGGATGAGAATGGGATGGGGGTTTGGGGGTGGTAACCACGCGCCCTCACCAGAATGGAAAAGTAAAATGTGGCTAGAGTGGTGCAGTGTATGGATAGAAGATGGCTCAAGAAAAAGACACCAGGCTGGGTGCGGTGGCTCACGCCTGTAATCCTAACACTTTGGGAGGCCGAGGCAGAAGGATGACTTGAGGCCAGGAGTTTGAGACCAGCCTGGGCAACATAGCACGACCCCCATCTCTACAAAAAACAAAAAAATTAGCTGGGTGTGGTGACTCACACCTGTAATCCCAGCACTTTGGGAGGGTGATGTAGGAGGATGGCTTGAGCCCATGAGTTGGTGACCAGCCTGGCAATATGGCAAAAACCCGTCTCTACTAAAAATTAAAAAAATTAGCTGGGTGTGGTGGCACACGCCCGTAGTCGCAGCTACTTGGGAGGCTGAGGTGGGAGGACCGCTTGAGCCTGAGAGGTCGAGGCTACAGTGAGCCATCGTCGTGCCACTGCACTCCAGCCTGTGTGACAGAGTGAGATCCTGTCTCGAATAAAAAAGAAAAAGACTCTCCCGCAGTGATCCCTTATCTTCTGCCCACCTATCTCAGTGAGTCCCAGCGTCTCCTAGAAACCTCAGAGGCCTGTCCCAGATTGGAACGGGTAAGGACACACTAAGGTTAGCACTCTCTTGCTAACCTGATACTTTTCACTCAGGAAAGTGTAGAGGAGCACGAACTGAGAAACGCAAAAGAATCGACACCTTGCAACTGTGCCTTCAAAGAGAAAGACAGGCAGGTATGGGAGGTGTTCTGATGTTGCAGACACAGAGTAGAGACAGTCTCAACTGGGGGTAAGAGCTCATGGCATGCAAATGCCTGCACGCGCTGCCCAAGGAGCACTGCACACCTCCCTCCTTCCCTTCCCTCCCCAGCCTCTGCCCCTCGTCCCTCCCTCCCTCCTTCCCTTCCCTCCCCAGGCCCTGCCCCACCTCCCTCCCTCCCCTCCCCAGGCCCTGCCCCACCTGCCTGCAGTTTGAACGGATGACCTAAGAGACAAGCACGCGTCCAGCCCCGTCTGTCCATTAAGGTGAGAAGGCAGAGGGGATATTCCAGCACAGCTTCAGCTCATGGAGCAGCCATCCTAGGCCACTAAGTAACTTGGGGACTTGGAGGCAAGGTCCTAAGAGAAGAAAGAAGGGAGGAGTGAGGAGCTTCAGGAATCCCTGTCCTAAGAATGAAATGAGGGGGGTGAAAGAAGGTGGGAGTGGCTACAAAACAGAGCCAGGAATGAGGATGAAAGTGCCTCGCATAAGCACTTCTACCCCCGCCAAGGGGAGCCCTGTTTTACTCCGACCTTCCTGGCAGCCAACGAGAAATGGGAAACCAACTTGGTCACAGTTCACAGTGTCCATGAGATACAATGGATGGATGCTCGTAAGTGCTCTTAGAACAAAGACCTTGCTGGACTTTCCCCCTAGAGGGGACGGTGTGTGACGTAAAGAGCAGCATCTTTAAGAACAGCCTTCGTGGGGTGACATGGGCTGAGCCGTGGCTGAGAACAGCTCTTGAGACAGATCGATGTCATCACATCCCACTGAATCCAGTAAAGTTCAGTAAAGCAGATCTGTACGGGGCTGGGCTCTGCTCTCCAGTGCTCAGGTGTCCACTGAGCAGACTTAATCCAGGGATGGATTGTGGAGCAGTGTTCCACCTGGGATTCCTGGAGCCCTTGTGCCCCGTGGAAGGGTATGAGTCCCAACATCCTCACATCTTGTTTCCACCAGAGCAGATGTTTTACATACCAAGTTCCTCAAAGGATTTTGTGTGGGTAAAGAATCCTACTGGTACGCCTGTAATCCCAGAATTTGGGGAGGCCAAGACAGCCGGATGGCTTCAACCCAGGAGTTCAAGACCAGCCTGGGCAACATGGCAAAACCCTGGCTCTACAAAAGCACAAAAAATTAGCCAGCCATGGTGGCGTGCACCTGTAGTCCCAGCTACTCAGGAGGCTGAGGTGGGACAATCTCTTGAGCCCAGGACTTCAAGGTTGCGATGAGCCACATAAGCATCCCGCTAAACTCTAGCCTGAGCAACAGAGGAAGAACCTGTCTCAAAAAAAAAAAAAAAAAAAAACCTGCTGGAAGAGAAAGGAGGGAAGAGAGGTTTAAAACCATTGCTTGACAATACCTGAAATGATGGCTCTCTGCTGAATTTGTTCCTCTCACTAACTTTGTGATAAATGTTTAGTGGCTGCAGGCTCCAGGCCTTCTAGAGGGCAACTGTCAGCTAAATACAGGCCACGATTCTTCGCAGACTGTTGCTTTGGGAGAACAGTGGAGACTTACGAGCACCTATGCCCCTATCCTAAAAGACAGCCTGACTCACTGTCCCCGTGGGTCTGGGGAATGCCAAATGGGGTTGCCAGATTTAAAGGAAAAAAATAAAACAAGATACCCAGTTACATTTGAATTTCAGATAAATAACAAATAGTGATTTAGTGTTAAGTATGTTCCAAATATTGCATGGGACATAGTTATACTTAAAACAAAGTATTTGTTTTCATTCTGAAATTCAAATGTAACTGGGTATCCTGTATTTTATCTGGCAACCCACCAGCAATCCACTGAGCACCAGCTAGATGCCAGGCAGGGCGGCCCTGAGGCAGACGTCACAAAATAGCAGCCCACGGCTATGCCTCATTTGGTCCATTTCAGAATAAGGTGCTTTTGGCAGGGCATGGTGGCTCACGCCTGTAATTCCAGCACTTTGGGAGGACGAGGCAGGCTGATCACTTGAGGTCAGGAGTTCCAGACCAGCCTGGCCAACATGGTGAAACCTCATCGCTACTAAAAATACAAAAATTAGCCGGGTGTGGTGGCAGGCGCCTGTAATCCAAGCTATCGGGAGGCTGAGGCAGGAGAATTGCTTGAACCTGGGAGGCAAAGGTTGCAGTGAGCCGAGATCGCACCACTGCACTCCAGCCTGGGTGACAGAGTAAGACTCTGTCTCAAAAAAAAAAAAAAAAAAAAAAAGGCACTTTAAGAGAATACTCCAGATTTCTGGCTTCTTTGGGAAACTTGGATCTGCTGGTGACACTAGGCCCACAGTCCCACACGCCACCAGCTTCCAGCCCCTTAGAAAGGACCCCGGCCCCTGGGTTTGCTGCCATCTCCATCTCACCGCCTTCTTTGACTTCCTGGCCCCTGTAGGCATGAGGTTGGTGACCCCCATGGAAGGTTGGGGATCTCTGAGAGGGGGGCCCAGCTCCCTCCCTCCCTGAGGTGTCCCCAGTATCTGGGGCTGCTCTTTCTTCAGGGAACTGTTGCTGAGGTGCCACATCTTGGGGACCCCAGGGTCAGCAACTGTAAACCAAACCCCAGGGAAATAGCAAGCTTCAGATTCTGGGTGACGATGACATTCAAACAGGCCCCTAAAGGGAGTTCAACCATCATGGGCCCCACCATCCCTGAGCCATTGGGATACCGAGGTGTGAACCACCGGGCATCTGCAGCCCCTTCCACTTGCTCTGGGAGGCGCTGCCTCGAGCTAAAACAGACGTGTCCTCCGAGAAGAGCATTGTTCCTCACAGGCCCTGGGTTGAGCAGCCTCCACCTCTGCTGGAATCTAGAACAGAGACCCCCAAGAGACTCAGCAAGATGGGGCACTGTGGCTCCCAAAAGCTGTGCCCCCTTCTCGTTGAGAAAATGGATTTTTCTCAATTTTCAGATGCTACCTGTTTGGAATGCTGTCCCTGGGAAGGCCCAGCGTTCCAAATGGTTAGCATCTAAAAGTGGAGAAAAATCCATTTTTCTTTGATGCAAAAGGCAAAGAGGAATCTAAGCTAGATTTTGTTCTTATTCTTTCTGTATTGAAGAGACGAGTATTTGTAGAGATGGTGAAGAACAGGATGCAGAACTCAAATTCCCAGGTGAGCAGAAAGAGCATCCTTTAGAATTCTCTTTTTTTGTTGTTTTGTTTTGTTTTGTTTTGTTTTGCTTGAGACGGAATCTCACTCTGTTGCCCAGGCTGGAGTGCAGTGGCTAGTTCTGTGGTTTCACTGTGTTAGCCAGGATAGTCTCGATCTTCTGACCTTGTAATCTGCCTGCCTCGGCCTCCCAAAGCACTGGGATTACAGGAGTGAGCCACCGCGCCTGGCTGAACACTCTTTTTTAATCAAGTCTATAAAATCTTAAACATGTTGAATCATTGCCATTCACAAATCAGCCCTGGAACTGGAATTGATCCAATCCACACTCCTGCTTTGCAGAAAGTAGAGGCAAGCTATCAGGAAGCTTGAAAGCAAAACACATTTTTGTTGAATAAGAAAGGCTTATTTAACAAGTTTGATAAAAGGCCACAGTTATTCTGAGACAACAAAATTGTCATTGGAAAAACTGAAGATATTCTATGCAAGGGACATTTTTGGAAAATAGAAGCCTCTTCTTAACTGACACCATTGTCCTAGGACAGAAGGTGGCTGCTGCTGCTCTGGGTGTTAGGAGGGTAGAGAGTGTCCCCAGGGTCCCCCTAGACCTGAGACTTTTGCCACCTGCAAAGTGGGAATGAAGGGGAGGCCTGTTGCTTACTCATCCACACACTTGGAGAGACTGGAGCAGGCAGACACTGCCCTGCTGCCAGTTATTGGCTGAGAATGACATGGAGATGTAAAATGACAGTGTTGACATTGGGATGGGCCCTGGATGTAGGGATATTGTGGTGCTCTTAGATGTGAAGCTCCCTGGAATTTCAGGCTTAACAGAATGGGGGCAGATGGTGCTTCGCCTAAGAACAGAGTGATCTTCCCATTTATCCAGCCCTCCAGCCACAGCTTGAGAAAAAAAATCCATTTTTCTCTGATGCAAGAGGCAAAGGGATTGATGGCTTGGACCTCCTTGGTGCAAAAAGGTTTCCTCCAGGCCAGGCGTGGTGGCTCACGCCTGTAATCCCAGCACTTTGGGAGGCCAAGGCGGGCGGATCACGAGGTCAGGAGATCGAGACCATCCTGGCTAACACGGTGAAACCCCGTCTTTACTAAAAATACAAAAAATTAGCTGGGCATGGTGGCGGGCGCCTGTAGTCCCAGCTACTCGGGAGGCTGAGACAGGAGAATGGTGTGAACCTGGGAGGCGGAGCTTGCAGTGAGCCGAGATTGCGCCACTGCACTCCAGCCTGGGGACACAGCGAGACTCCGTCTCGAAAAAAAAAAAAGTTTCCTCCAGGTTCCTTGAAATACATAGCTTGGGGTCTCCGTCCTCTATAGTGTGCTTCGAGTCCTTAAGGTGATGGAGTCATCATGACCACCCTGAGGAAGATGCGACGTGGAAAATCTACTCTTTCAGGCTTGCTTGCTCATAAAAAAAGTGTCCATCCCTAACAAGCTTCAGAACTGGATTTGTGCCTTTCTTTTCAAGGCCCTACGGGTTTTTGTTTTCTGTCCTCCAAAATACCATTCACTGATTTTTTTTTCCATTTTGGCCAACAGTCTTTTGTTCGTGGGCTATATGCTATAAAGGAAAATCTTCCAGTTAACAAGTACTTACTGAGGACCTAGGCTAGGCCACCTACCGTGCTAAGCACTGGGGAGAGAAGGGCGAACAAAAAGAGAGACTGCCCTGGCCCTCATTCGCACAACAGATATTAAGAGTCAGCAACGTGGCAGGGCTGTCCAGGTGTTAAGGTTGGATGATGCATCCTCAGTGGGGGCAGCATCACCCCCGAGGGGGCAAAAATTCATTCCTTTTTTTTTTTTTTTTTTTTGAGACAGAGTCTTGCTCTATTGCCCAGGCTAGAGTGCAGTGGTGCAATTTCGGCTCACTGCAACCTCCACCTCCCAGGTTCAAGCGATTCTCCTGCCTCAGCCTCCCGAGTAGCTGGGACTACAGGTATGCACCACCACGCCCAGCTAACTTTTGTATTTTTAGTAGAGACGGGGTTTCACTATATTGGCCTGGGTAGTCTGGAACTCCTGACCTCAGGTCCACCCTTCCAAGGTGGAGGGATTACAGGCATGAGCCACCGCGCCTGGCCAAAAATTCATTCTTTCTATGTATAAAGCAATAGCCATATCTACATAGATGTGGACACACACACACACGCACACACACACACACACACACACACTGCTATCTGTAAAAGGGTGAGGGGCTGGGGAAAAAACCTCTAAGAATTCTCAGGGGGCGAGGTTGATAGTGAAAGAAAGGCTGAGAAACACAGAGTTAGACTAATGAAGACATAAAGATCCCTGCCTGCCTGCCTGGCTTACAGTCTTGGGCTTTTTTTTTTTTGGAGACCGTGTCTTGCTCTGTGGTCCAGGCTGTAGTGCAGTGGCACCATCTCAGTTCACTGCAACCTCCACTTCCCAGGCTCAAGTGATCCTCCCACCTCAGCCTCCCAAAGTGCTGGGATTTTAGACATGAGCCACTGCCCCTGGCCTCTTTTTTTTTTTTTAAGTAAATACACATAATGATTAAATAATAACTTTGAGCCCAGTGTTTGGAGGACAAAGGCCCCTGAACTGAGCTGAGCATATTTCACAGGGACGTCTTCACTCCCAGTCCAAGCTCCAGGAGAGGCCTTCCTGAGGACCGTATATTTAAACTTAGACCTGAGGTTGTGTGGGAGTGGGCAGGGGGCTTCCTAGAGCCGAGGCTTGCAGTTTCCTGAAGCAGACACCCCAGGATGGCCTGAGTTCATTCACACCTGGGTGTGGCTATTTAAATGACCGGCTTCTACCCCTGCCTTTTCATTCTAAGGGTGAGGCACGTGGTTCCAAATATCTCAAGTGGAATCTGTGCATTTCACATTCCCCATTCCCAGGTCAGCGGTCCTGGCTGCCTTCTGCTGCCCCATCCTTTGTCATTTCATAAAGAGAACAAAGCCCCTTCCGTGGTGCTTCCCATCCCATGCTTCTGGCAGCCCTGGGGCTGGAGACCTGGGGACCTGGGACTCTTTAACAAACTCCCTGGCTCCAACTCTGACAGCCAACTCCACACCGGCTCAGGGCACTGGCATTTGGAAACCATCCACAGTCAGCAATTTTATTGAAAATCAAATGAAAAGGAATATAAAGTAAGGGTTGTTTAGGGGGGAAGGCTTTTGAGTTTGCTGTCTGTTTTCTTTTTCCCTGCGCATTTGGACCAATATTTACTTTGTGGGCTGGTATGGGACTGACTTACCCTTTCTTGCCCTGAAACAATCTTGAATGCAGAGTCTCAAAACACGTTTGAGGCTCCTGTCAGCCACTGTCACAGGCCTCAGGAGGTGATTTTTAAATCCATCTTAAGGTGAAAAGAGCTTAAGTGATGGTCCTAACAGACTCTTCCATTGAAATCTTCCCAGAATCTCCTCTGTGCCCTCTGAGGAAGGCAGGATCGATATTCATCCCTATTTGGCAGATGAGGAAACTGAGGGTCATGTAGTGAGTGGCAGAGCTGAAACGCGACTAGCCACCCAGCCCTCTTGCCCCAGGTGTATGTGCAGCCTGAAGGCTGGGGGCAAAGCTTTGCAGGAACAGAGTTGGCAAGGTAAATCCTGTTGGAAAGAAACTTGCAAGCCACAGTATTATCCACAGTGTGTCCAGAATTGTTTGCGAGAGAGATCTTGGGTTGCAGTTAACAAAAATCTACTCAGAAAAGGGGCAGGGCGGGGGGCTTTTATAAAGATACAGAAATGAATGCCTCATAAAACCTATGGGAAAGGCTGGGTGCGGTGGCTCACGCCTGTAATCCCAGCACTTTGGGAGGCCGAGATGGGCGGATCATGAGGTCAGGAGTTTGAGACCATCCTGGCTAACATGGTGAAACCCCATCTCTACAAAAAATACAAAAAAATTAGCCGGGCATGCTGGCGGGCACCTGTTGTCCCAGGTACTCGGGAGGCTGAGGCAGGAGAATGGCGTGAACCCGGGAGGCGGAGGTGAGCAGAGATCACGCCACTGCAGTCCAGCCTGGGCGACAGAGCAAGACTCCATCTCAAAAAAAAAAAAAAAAAGCTACGGGAGAGAACTAGGAGGATAGCCCAGGCATCGTCTCTCTCGTGCATGCATGCACTCGGGCACACACACGTCTCCATGTCATTTCTGCCCCTCTCCATACCTCTGCTGATTTCTTCTCTCTCCAGTGGTATGACAAGAAGGGACAGCCTCACAGTCCCCCAGTTCAAAGGGCCAGCCCAGGGAGCGAGTGGCATCTCACAGCCCATTACCCCGACTCCTAGGAGTGGGCATCGGAAAAGCCCAGCTGTGCCAAGTGTCCAACAAATATGGCCCGGGAGTGGGGTCATGCACACGGCTGCCAGGACGCCCCCTCCTTTGAGCTGGGAAGTGCTCAAGGGGTTAAACAGACCCCCTTAAATATACTTCACTTTCTCCTTCTAAGCCAAGCTTGTCCAACCCGCAGCCCAGGACAGCTTTAAATGCAGCCCAACACAAATTCGTAAACTTTCTTAAAACATTATGGGATAATTTTTTTTTTAGCTCATCAGCTACCATTAGTGTTAATGTATTTTACGTGTGGCCCAAGACTATTCTTCTTCCAGTGTGGCCCAGGGAAGCCAAAAGTTTGGACACCCAGTTCTAAGCCATCAGAGACTTTAGACACATTCAAGTCAGTAACAGCCTTTCAGGAGAAACACCATCACAATGAATGTGTTACTGTAAGAACCTCCTGGTTTCAAACTAAAAAATATGTAAAGGGACCAGGCTTGGTGGCTCACACCTGTAATCCCAGCACTTTGGGAGGCCAAGGAGAGCAGATCACTTGAGCCCAGGAACTCGAGACCAGCCTGGGCAACATGGCAAAACCTCATCTCTACAAAAAGTAAAATAAAATAAAATAATTAGTTGGGCATAGTGGTGCACACCTATAGTCCCAGCTTACTCGGGAGGCTGAGGTTGGAGGATCACCTGAGCCTGAGGAGGTCGAGGCTGCAGTGAGCGGGGATTGCTCCACAGCACTCCAGCCTGGGCAACAGAGTGAGACCCCATATCAAGAAAAAAAAAAAGAAAAAATAGAGAAAAGGAAAGCAATATCTGTATACCTGGAAGGGTGCACCCCAAAACCTCACTAAAGCTCATCTTTGAGTAACGTGATAATGATGAATCATTTTATCTCTTTTGTGCTCATATCTGTGTGTGTATATATATATTTTTTACAACAAATATTTTATTTTGTGTACAAAAAAATAACAAAACCAGCCGGGTGTGGTGGCTTATGCCTGTAATCCTAGCACCGTGGGAGGCCAAGGCAGGCAGATCACTTGAGGTCAGGAGTTCCAGACCAACTTGACCAACATGGTGAAACCCCCATCTCTACTAAAAATACAAAAATTAGCCGGGTGTGGCGGCATGTGCCTGTAGTCCCAGCTGCTTGGGAGGCTGAGGCAGGAGAATCACTTGAATCCGTGAGGTCGAGGTTGCAGTGAGCAGAGATCATGCCACTGCACTCCAGCCTGGGCCACAGAACAAGACTCTGTCTCAAAAAATAATAATAATAAGTAAATAAATAAGTACAATACAATAAAATACATGGGAAGTGTCTAGTTCTCCTCATGTTAAAAATAATTAAATAAGGCTGGGTGCGGTGGCTCAAGCCTGTAATCTCAGCACTTTGGGAGGCCAAGACGGGCGGATCACGAGGTCAGGAGATCAAGACCATCCTGGCTAACACGGTGAAACCCCGTCTCTACTAAAAAAAAAAAAAAAAAAAAATTAGCTGGGCGTGGTGGCGGGCGCCTGTAGTCCCAGCTACTCGGGAGGCTGAGGCAGGAGAATGGCATGAACCCAGGAGGCGGAGCTTGCAGTGAGCCGAGATCACACCACTGCACTCCAGCCTGGGCGATAGAGCGAGACTCCGTCTCAAAAAAAAAAAATTAAATAAAATAAAAAATAACAAAACCACTTGAGTGGAACAATTGGAGTCTTGCTGCAATGGAGTTTGTGTGTTTTTTCTCTTGCTTGTTAAAGGTTGGAACCAGAAAAGCCTCCCTAAAGATGGACCAAGAAAGAGAGATGCTGAGGAAAGAGACCTCCAGCAAGTC
Source organism: Homo sapiens (assembly GCF_000001405.40). Classification (NCBI taxonomy): domain Eukaryota; kingdom Metazoa; phylum Chordata; class Mammalia; order Primates; family Hominidae; genus Homo; species Homo sapiens. The sequence continues at coordinate 15,397,371 of NC_000001.11, forward strand.
CAGCCAGAGCCTTTTGCATTCTAAGCCCAGTGGAAAGTACTAGAGAAACCTCGTCCCACCAGGCCTCATGTGATCCTCTGTGAGTTCATGTGACTCTTCTGTGTCATCTGTGTCAAAATACTGAGTTGCTTTTGTAAGTCTTTAAAGATTGTTACCCTAGTGTTTCATTTCCTAGACCAGTATTTTGAACAATATTATATTTTGGAGACTGTGGGGAGAAGGGTTCTTCTTTAAAAATACCTATGAATGTACACGAACTCAGGTATATGAAGAATAGAAGTGTGTAACCCAGATGTCCAGGCCTGGTAGATATAATTATGTGGTCCACGTTGGGTCATGATGTTCCCAAATATCAAACCTCCTAAGACTTCCAACAGACTCACACTTGAGAAAACCTAAGACTTGTACTGGAGCCTCAGGGCAGAATTGTAACCTTGGAGCTCTCAGGGCCTTGGGATAGTGAATTCAAGTCTCCGTTATGGCCTGGCAGGATGGCTCATGCCTGTAATCTCAGCACTTTGGGAGGCCGAGGCAGGCGGATTATAAGATCAGGAGTTTGAGACCAGCCTGGCAAACATAGTGAATACCTGTCTCTACTAAAAATACAAAAATTAGCCAGGTGTGGTGGCACATGCCTGTAGTCCCAGCTACACAGGAGGCTGAGGTGGGAGAATCACTTGAACCTAGGAGGCAGAGGTTGCAGTGAGCCAAGACCACGCCATTGCACGCCAGCCTAACAGAGTGAGACTCTGTCTTTAAAAAAAAAAAAAAATGGCTGGGCCTGTAATCCCAGCTACTCGGGAGGCTGAGACAGGAGAATCACTTCAACCCGGGAGGTGATGATTGCAGGGAGCCAAGATCACACAACTGCACTCTAGCCTGAGTGACAGAGCAAGACTCCATCTCAAAAAAAAAAAAAAAAAATCTGTTTATTGTAATAAATTTAGAACACCAATCAGTTTTATTGCTTCCATAATAATGACTAACGTCTGTATAGCACTCTACAATTTTCAAAACACATCTCATTTAATCCTCCCCCTGCCCCTGGGAGGTAAATAGTATTAGATTCCCCATTTGACAGATGAGGAAGCCAAGGCCCTGAGAACTTACATGGCCTGCCTAAAATCACACAGCTAGTCAACTCAAGAGTTGAGTCTTGAACCCAGGTTTCTAATTCCATCTCATACTGTCCATTCGGATACACCAGATGGCCTAGTTGTTACAGTCCCAGGCCACAAGGACAGACCAAGTCCCCAGTCACCAAAGAGCACACACTGCCTAGGTACACACACTCCTGTTCCACGGTGTTTGGAGAGACCCCCATTTTCCTTGCTGCACTCTCTGCTCCTTCCAAGTTCTGCCTTCTCTCCATCTATCCGTGCCCTCACTGCCATTCTTGTGTGGCCAGGCAGCCAAAAAAAAAAAAAATGGAAGAGCCAGAAATCATGAATACTTTTTTTTTTTTTTGAGACAGAGTTTCACTCTGGTCGCCCAGGCTGGAGTGCAATGGCGCGATCTCTGCTCACTGCAACCTCCGCCTCCCAGGTTCAAGCCATTCTTCAGCCTCAGCCTCCTAAGTAGCTGGGATTACAGGCACCTGCCACCATACCCGGCTAATTTTTTGTATTTTTAGTAGAGATGGGGTTTCACCATGTTGGCCAGACTGGTCTAGAACTCCTGACCTCAGGTGATCCACCCACCTTGGCGTCCCAAAGTGATGGGATTACAGGCATGAGCTACCGCGGCCAGCCTACTTTTTTTATTTTTAAAAAGCCACAATAAAATTTTTTTTATATTTTAAAACCAAATATATTCTTTAAACCCATTAAACCTGGGGGAAGTAGGACAAACTCTTTGTGTGATATTCCATTGGAGGCACATCTTACACATGGTTAGGACCTAAAGCCAGTGAGAGGCCAGGCATGGTGGCTCACATCTGTAATCCTAACACTTTGAGAGGCTGAGGCAGGAGGATTGCTTGAGCCTAGGAGTTCCAGATCAGCCTGGACAACACAGTGAGACCCTGTCTCTACAAGAAACTTAAAAATTAGCTGGCATGGTGGTGTGTGCCAGTAGTCACCACTATTTGGGAGGCTGTGCTGGGAGGATCGCTTGAGCCCAGGAGGTTGAGGCTGCAGTGAGCTATGACTGTACCACTGCATTCCAGCCTGGGCAACAGAGCAACACCTTGTCTCAAAAAAAAAATAAAGTCAGTAAGAAAGGAGAGTGTAACTTGACTTTACAAATACACTAGAAAATCTCAGAAATGTTCAAAAACCTAATAAAGAACCTGGTATTAGACTGTACCATATCCCCAAATATAGAGCTGAGAATCTTGATGCAGTTCCAGGGCTAAAGCAGACATTTCCCCACTTGTGTTCAGGGAAACAAAGCCAGTCTTCAGAAAAAAGGAGGCTGGAATAAATATGCAACAAGGAGAGATAAAAAACCCACAGAGGCAGTGCAGCAGATACTGCAGCTGCTCAGCAGATACTAAGTCTACTTAGTCATTGCTCAGCCATCACTTTCCTCTACCATATAGGCTCAAAGCTAATCACCATGATTTTCCCGCCTCCCTTGCAGCTAGGACGGGCCATGTTGGACCAATCTGGCTAATGACATATAAGGAAAAGCTCCTGTGGAGGGCTTCCCTTCCAGCTTCTCTAGGTGAAAGCATTCACCCTTGGTACCTTTGTCTTGTCTCCTTTCTCACTCCTGGAGCTCAGACCAGAAGCTGGAGCAGCCACCTTGGGGATCAGCAGACACCAGCAGCAGGCCAAAGGATAGTGGAGTGGAGGGACAAGAAGGCCTGGGTGAGCCTTCTCTGAGAATCACTGAGCTCTGAACCATGAATGAACTGCCTACCTCTGTACTTCCTGTTGTATAGGACAAAGAAATCCCTATCTATTTAAACCACTGTAGTCAGGTCTATGTATTTGTGCTGTGGAACAAACCACCCAAACTGAGTGACTTAAAATGACAAATATTTATTATTTCTTTTGATTCCATGGGTCAAGCTGCACACTTTTCCTGTCTGGACTGTCTTGGCTGGGGCTGGATGGTTTAGAATGGCCTCTTTCATACACCTGGCCTCATACACCTGGCCTTGGCAGGCAAGTTGGGTTAGGGTAGTAGTTCTCAACAAGGAGCAATTTTGCCCCCCAAGAGAACTTTGGCCATGTCTGGACATAATTTTAGTTGTCACAACGAAGGAAGGGCAGGTGCTCTTCTAGAGGTAGAGGCCAAAGGTGCTGCTAAACATTCTACAATGGACAAAAGAACTCCCCATAACAAAGAATTATTTGATCTAAAATGTCAGTAGCACTGAGGTTGAGAAACCTGGTCTAGAGAGGCCTTCCACTGCCACGCTTTGTCTCTGCTCAGCAGGCCCACTCATCCTTCAGCCGACTGGACTAGGCTCGTTCACATGTGGTGGCCACAGGTTGCCAAGAACAGCAGGTGAGAACAAGCCCCAGTGCACAAGCACTTTTCAAGTTTCTACTTGCCTTATGTTTGTTAATATCCCATCAGATAAAGCCAGAGTCTGTGTGGGAGGAGCTCCAGATTTTTACAATCTACTCACATTGGGTTTTCTGCTATTTGAAGCTGAATACATTCCCAGCTGACCCAGAAGAAAGTTACCTTGATTCCCAATGACTTTCTGATTCCCAGTTCCCTTCCTTGTGAAGGCCAGTTCCAGTACCTGCCCTTGGGTTCCACTAGGACCCTTTGTATCACTCAAGATCCCTTGGTTGTAAACAACAGATACCTCCTGTGGCTAACTTAAACAGAAAGAGAGTTTACTGGGAGGAAATGAGGAAGGTCAGAGAATCAGTGGCTATGCAAAGCTGAAGAGTCAGGCTTGGACATCAGGAGCTGGCTTTTCTTCCCTATAGGTGCCCTCTTTTTGCTTTAGCTGGTTTGAGTTTCTGTTCATTGCAACCAAATGGGCATTTACTACGACGCTCTGCTACACAGCCCCCACCCACTACTGATTCTGAGAAGCTACCAGCAGTCTTTCCCCTGGGGGTTGCACCACAGTACAGTGAGGTACCTGTATACCCAAACCTCCCAATCTTCTTCTGATCTTTCAAGAAGCTAAGACACACAACTTCCTTCCGCCCTTGCCAGTGGGAGCCCATGTGGATCCTTGGATTCGTGACTTTGCAGATAAGGTGCCCTTCTCTTGAAACTTGGCAGCATCACCATCGCCTGCTGTTGTAGAAACCAAAGTCATGAAATGTCTGGAGGGAAAAAATAGCTTCCAGATCTGCATTCCAAAGTGTGCTCCTGGTAAGTGGAGTGGTTTCCAATTTTTTAGGGACTTAGGAATGAAGGCAATCCACTAAGGATGTGAGGAAACCTAAACCTAATAACGCTAATGCATGCCTCTTTGCCATGCTGAGGCCTCCTAAAGCAGGATGGAGGGCACCAGTGAGGCTATTTCAGCTCATCAGCTTGGCCTCATTTCCGTCAGGTGCACTGCTTGCATCCGTCTGCTCAGTGTCCCAGGTTATTTTGGGCCAATTCATGACCTTATGTGCCTGCTTTTGTTTTTAAACATTTTTCTTTGCCCATCTGTTGCCCAGGAATCCTTTTGCAATGCCTCCGTCCAGTTGGGGGAAGCATTAACAGGTCCTTGTTTTGAGTTTCCTGTCATCTTTAGCAAACTGTTTTCCTTTCTAAGACCCAAAAATATTGGAGGCAGAAACTTTATCTTCTGGCTAACTGTGGTCTTATCATCAGAGAGTATGGTTTGACAGTTAAACAACCAGCCTCCATCCATTCAGCCGGTAGACACTGGGGGCCTACTATGGGCCAGGCTCTGATGCTACCGTGTTAGTTAGACCTCATGGCCTTGACCTTTACTCCTTTTCAAATTCTGATCCACTGCTTTAACTGAAAAGGAAGTTGGAATCATTAATTTACTGGGTATGTTGCATAGGAGCACTTACTTTTTTTTAAAATTTTTTTATTATTATACTTTAAGTTTTAGGGTACATGTGCACAACGTGCAGGTTTGTTACATGTGTATATATGTGCCATGTTGGTGTGCTGCACCCAAGGAGCACTTACTTTTGACGTCCACATATCTTGTTGGCTACGTATGGGATTGCTGCTGGGCGTTCTTTAAAGACAGCGGCATGCAGCAATGACCCGCTTCCTGGGAGTTTCTTTGTACCTTTCATCAGTTGAAATATAATAGCTAATAATAGTAACTACTTTGTATAGAGTACTTCCTAGCCATGAGACACTATGCAAAGCGTGGTCCAGACAATATCCCACTTCATCCCCACCATGTCATTACTCCTGTTATACCTGTGAAAATGATGAGCCCAGACTAGGTAAGTAACTTGCCCAAGGTCACAGAGCAAGTGTTGGAGCCCAGACTTTATACCCACAACTGCTTAATATAGCACTTTCCTCAAGGAAGTCCAGGAACCAGCTGGTTGTCTACTAATGAATGAGGGCAGGATGACAGACTTTTTCTGTAAAGGGCCGAATAGTAAATCCTTTCTTCTGTAAAGGACTCTATTGACCATAGGTGTCTTATCACCACCACTCAACTCTAGCAGAGCAGCATGATATGTAAATGAATGAGCATGGCCATGTTTCAATAAAACTTTATTTATAAAAATAGGAAGTGGGCCACATTTGCCAACCCCTGTGTTAAACTGTCACCCAGAGTAGATTATTAGGATCTGCACAGCTGTTGCCTGCCGCATAACAACCTAGAAGCCAGATTATTGTCATCTTCATCATTGAGACATTCAATGTGCTTTTTCCTGTTCTCTCGATCAACATCAAAAGCAATCAACACAGACAGAAGATGCTGTGACCACATGTGGAGGGAGACTTCTCTCCACCACTAAGCAAACAATGAGCTCTGCAGCAGACACCAGCCAGGTGCCCGCCAATTCAATTCCATTGCTATCTATGTGGAGATAGCATCAGATCCCACAGGCTAGGGGCTCAGTCCCCAAGACTTGCCCACTTCAGACACCAGTCACAAGTCCAGGACTCTGGAACTTCTGACGGACAGGCTTCAAGTTGGGGTTCCCATGACCCTTCTGTGGATTTGATTAATTTGCTAGAGCAGCTCACAGAAGTCAGAGTAACACATTTACTGATTGGTTGTTTATAAAAGATATTATAAAGGATACAGGCCGGGCACTGTGGCTCACGCCTGTAATCTCAGCACTTTGGGAGGCTGAGGTGGGTGGATCACCTGAGGTCAGGAGTTCAAGACTAACCTGGCCAACATGGTGAAACCCCATCTCTACTAAAAATACAAAAATTAGCCAGGGATGGTGGCGGGTGCCTGTAATCCCAGCTACTCGGGAGGCTCAGGCAAGAGAATCTCTTGAACTCGGGAGGCGGAGGTTGCAGTGCGCCAAGATCGCGCACCACTGCATTCCAGCCTGGACGACAAGAGCAAGACTCCGTCTCAAAAAAAAATAAAATAAAATGAAGGATGCAGATAAAGGAATGCATAGGACAAGGTATGGGGGAAGGGGCAGAGCTTCCACACCCTCCCTGGCACACCACCCTCCAGGAACCTCCACCTGCTCAGCTGTCCGGAAGCTCCTGAACCCTGTCCTCTCAGGCCTGTTATGGAAACTTCATTGGATAAGCATGATTGGAGCATGGACAACTGTGTCAAAATGGGATTGGACAAAAAGAGATAAAAACCCAGCAAGGCCAGTCTGTTCAAATTCCTCTCGGCCTCTGTGCAGCATTCCTTCCTCCAGGGTAATACCGGCAGGACCCTCTCTGCAATGAGATTACACGCAGAATCAGATTAAAGTCCTGCTGTGGGCAGGTGAAAGGAGGGTAGAAGAATGTCAGGGAGGGAGATCGTGTTTACTGTAACAAGGGCCATGGGAGTTATAAGCCAGGAACCGTGAACAAAAAACAAAATATAGGCTTGGTGCAGTGGCTCACGCCTGTAACCTCAGTATTGAGGGAGGCCGAGGCAGGAGGATTGCCTAAACCCAGGAATTTGAGACCAGCCTGGGCAACATAATGAGACCCAGTCTCCATAAAAAAATTTGAAAAATTAGCCAGGTGGTGCATGCCTGTAGTTACAGCTACTCAGGAAGCTGAGGTGGGAGGATCGCTTGAAACTGGGATTTTGAGGCTGCAGTGAGCCGTATTCTTACCACTGCACTCCAGTCTGGGTGACAGAGTGAGACCTGTCCCCAAAACAACAATAACAAAAACTATATATATATAAAATATCACAATCACACTGCCTTTTGTCATCAGAGAGACGCACCTGCACACTAGGGAGCGTTGTCATTGGGTCTAAAAGACCTGCTTCTCCTGGACTGAGCCTCAAAAGACAACACCTTCATGGTACGTTCCTGTCCCTTAGGCATGCTGCTTTCATAGCCCCCCTGAGAATCACCTGCTTTCTTTAGTTAATACCTTAGGTCAACGAGGTGTGGTGGCTCACGCCTGTAATCCCCACACTTTGGGAGGCCGAGGCGGGCAGATCGCTTGAGCCCAGTTCGAGACCAGCCTGAGCAACATGGCGAAACTCCACCTCTACAAAAAAATACAAAAATGAACTGGATGTGTTGGTGCACACCTGTAGTCCCAGCTACTACTAAGGAGGCTGAGGTGGGAGGATCGCTTAAGCCTGGGAGGTTGAGACTGCAGTGAGCAGTGAGTATGCCACTGCACTCCAGCCTGGGTGACAGAGAGAGACCCCTGTCTCAAAAAACAAAACAAACAAACAAAAATACCTTAAGTCAGGTGTCCCTGGGCTAGGCACCATCCTATTTCTTCTGACTGGTTTTGCCTGTCTCTGCACTGGTCCATTATGTGTTGGTTTTACGACGTCCCTGTCTGTTTCCCAGGCTCCGGGGTATCCTCGCGGTGGCCACATGCAGTGTTTACCTGTACCTTCCATCTATTCCCTCTGCCTGTCTGCTAAGCAGAGAGCTGCTTAAATGACCTCTGGGCCACAGTGATGGCTGAGGACCAGCAGGTCACCCAGCCCCAACCCCTATCTGATGCCACTGATGCTGTCCTCAGGGAAAACAGGAGACAGACACTCGAGAGGCTTGTTTTTGAAGAGCTCCTGTTAACTTTTGTGTTAAGTCATGTGGGTGCACAGAGGTGTCACTTTAGCAGCTTCTCTTTCTTGGCAGTGACCTTGAGACCTAAAACTGGGTCACCGGATGCTCTGGAGGGGACACAGAAAACACCCAATCTGTCCCCAGCCCTCAGGCAGAGCAGGCCCTCATGCATTCATTCAACAGCTATTTCTACAGCACTCACCTCAGGCCAGGTATCCTGATGTGGGCACTGAGGATCCAAAGTTGAAGCAGACAGACAGGTCCCTTCCCCCAGGAGGTTGTGTTGGGAGTAACAGATATTTTATTAACACTTCGCTATGGAAAATAATTGCTGGGTCCCAACCAGAGCGGAGTTTAGCTGGAAGAGTGGTAGCCCCTCTCCATCAGTCACCTAGTATGGGGTCCAATAAATATCACACTTCAGAATGACTATTCCAGCTCTCACCTCCCTGTCCCCCAGCTTGCCTACAACCAGGAGAATTCCAGTGCCCAGTGCCCAGTGCCCAGTGCCCAGCACATTTAATAAGTCTGTCCGGATTGCCTGGCTGTTGCTGCACACCGCTTTCACAGAGTAGCTGTTGCAAGTTATAAAAATCGAAACCAGCTGCCCATATTATTCCCATCTTTGGAAGGGGCCCAGGAGAGCACTGTGGACACAGCATTGCTGGATTTTAAGGTGTCTCCCCCACATGCACACAAACACAAAAACACTTTTTGGGAGTTTAAAACAGAGCTAAGGCTAGGGCCTATCAGGGTGTTAAACTTGCACACCGAATTGCCTGTGGCTTAGAAGCAGAAAACACGCCCAGGTGGACACCTGCAGCTCACTTAAAGGATCAATCGTCTTGGTTTTCAAGTAGATTCATAGCGTCTAAGATAACCACAAAAAGAGAGCTGGAGGACCAGGCGCGGTGGCTCACGCCTGAAATCCCAGCACTTTGGGAGGCCAAGGCAGGTGGATCACGAGGTCAGGAGTTCAAGACCATCCTGGCTAACACGGTGAAACCCCGTCTCCACTAAAAATACAAAAAAATTAGCCAGGCGTGGTGCCAGATGCCTGTAGTCCCAGCTACTTGGGAGGCTGAGGCAGGAGAATGGCGTGAACCTGGGAGGTGGAGGTTGCAGTGAGCCGAGATCACGCCACTGCACTCCAGCCTGGGCGACAGAGCAAGACTCCATCTCCAAAAAAAAAAAAAAAAAAGCTGGATAAATAAGCTAGTTTCTAATAACCTGCAAATGGGTCTACCTGCAGGTGTCGACCCATCATCACTGGCTTTTTCTCCTGCCTCTTTGCCCCCACTCAGTGGTCCCATAAATGCCTGACATCAGCGCCTCTCCCCATGACACCTTTTGCATGGCTTCCAGATCTTGCAAGAGATAAGAAAGCCTCTGAGGCCAAATCAGGCTGTGATCCTGTGCTGCTCTCACTCCAATTGCCCCGGATGAATATTGGTGCTGCTCCTGAACTTCGATCTCTGTGCAGCATCCATCAAGGGTTTCCTGATGACTGTGGAGTGTTTGTAAGCTGGTATTTGTAAAGTGCTAAGGGAGCCCTGCATTTCATGAGCCAACTTCATCCCTGCCGTCTCCCGAATCCCTTCCTGTTTTCCCAGCATCTCCAGCTGGAGGGACCACACAGTTCTGTCAGGCTCCAGAACATCCCCAGTGCTATCTCCCCATCACCCAAGAGCTCTCCCCAACTCTTTCTCCCCTTCTTGTTTCTCCCCCTGTCCCTTTTTCAAAGTGCTGTTGTTTTTCTTACTATCACTTCACCCCTCCCCAAAAGACAGTTATACAAGGAGATGTGGGAGGAAGAGACGAAACACAAGTAATGATGACTGAGTCAGCCTGGCTCCCTTGCCACTGGAATATTGTCAGAATTGGCCGGCTCGCCCTTGCCTCTGTAAAAAGCCTTTGCCAAGGGTGTGATTTTTCCTGAAGATCATTCTTTCCACATGACCAAATGTTGTAGTGTGTCATCAGTCCAGACTGTTTCTTTCTGCCAGAATCTATGCTTGGGGCACAAAACTCGGGGTCATTCAAAAGTGATTTCCCCTAATCAAGAGGCAAGTGATATTTCCTGGAAGTTTCACCTCCATTCAGGGCTCATCAGCTTTCTCTGCTTTTCGTTCCATCACTGCTTCTTTGATTCCTGAAAAAGTGCTTTTCTTGGAGCCCAATGACCAATGACCAATGAAGAAAAAAACTTGGAGTAAAAGGCAGCCCCAGCGTCCATCTCTGGCCCAGGCCCAAGGCCTCTGAAATGGGGCCACAGTACTGGGCAGCTTGAGGTCTCACCCTGTGGTCACAGTCTCAGAGCTCTGCAAACCCCGAAAACCTGTGAGAAAAATCAACCCAAGAGGTGTTAAAAGGACTCACCCATCCGGGCAGCATTTCCCGAGCTCTGCCTGAGTTTAACAGTTGTAAGGCTCCGGCGTTCAGCAGCCCTCCTGCAAGATACTATAGGTAATGAGCAGGAATTCCACCACCCTCCCTCCTAAGAGCTGTGTCCACACAAAGCCAAATAGGTAACTGACCAGAGAGCTTACTACGCACAGGCAGTCCACATAATTCAAACCCCAACCCCAGTTTTTTCACATATATATGTAAGTTGTTTTGCAAGAAGGCAAAACCCTCACATTATCTCCTCACTGTGAAGTTTGCGCCCACGTCAAGCAGATGCAAACAATTTCATAAAACGGCAACCCAGTTTTATGCAGAACCATTGGAAATCATAAATTGGAGTAAATTGAGGCTCACTAGAGTCTTGAAAGTAATTAGCTGCTTTGTGAGGAAGACTAAGAATTCAACAAACTTAAGCATCTACAAACATCATCTGCAGACATCATCTTAAACATTTTAATCTGCATCCTGTCCCTAGTCCTTTGCATTCCTTAAATAACTATTTTACTTCTGTTGGGTCCTTCAGGGCTGCATACAGGAGATATGGAAGCCTGTCTTTTGCAAGTAGCTGGACCGAACTGCCCAAAACTAAGAGAAACTTAATTCTGAGATTTAAAACAAAAAAACCATTTTAGCTGAGCATCTTTATTGGACTCAAAAACAATTTCATAAACAAGTAAATGAGAACTTCACATTTTCTGAACCTTGAAGGTTTTTTCCTCAATTTCATTCTTTTAAAAATACCTTTTAAATTAATTCAGCAAGGTTCTTAAACACAGCAAATTGACAAATATCAACTGAGTGTCTGTTCTGTGCAAATCACTCTGTAACAGCTTGCTGGCTTTACATTCTCGAGGGCTCCCTGCCTCCAGAGCACCCTGGTTTTCGGCCCTGCACGCATCTTTTCTCTGCACCTTGGCTGGTTGGAGCAGTTTCAGTAGACAGGTCCTGATTGACCCAACATTTCAGAGAACATGCACAGAGCATAGTCCTCCTTCTAAATCAGGGATTCTCAAATTTCAGTGAGCAGAACTCCCCTGGGTGCTTGTTTACACGTAGATTCCTGGGTCCCACCCCAGAGATCAGTTTCGTCTGTCCAAATTGGAGCCTGAAAATCTGTATTATTAACCTAGGCCCCAGTGGTTCTGATGCTGGAGGTCCAGAGTTGTGCAGTTGTAAGGTGACAGCCCAGACCACAGAGATACTTATCTGAACTCTTTCCCCAGTCCTGTCCAGGAGCCGTTGGGGAGGACATCTCTCCTCTGGGGACCCCATCAAAATGGCGACATCATGATCTCCCTGTCAGTTTCCCTAAAGTACAGTCACAGGCGACAACACTGGCCCAGCAGCTATTGTGCCAAGTCATCCGTGTGATGGTGCGGGGCCTCGGGAGAGAGGACCACCAGCCCCTTCCCCTGTCCCTCACCCGCTGTCTCCAGGGGCCCTTTCAGGGGTGAAACCCAGTCCCATCTCCCTCGCAGCTGCTAGTCTGTCCTCTTCCAAGAGGCCATCGGCGCCCGCCACGGTTCACCCTAAACAGGGGTTTCTGCTCCCCAGGTCCGCCTCGGAACCCCTGCAACCCTCATTGAGAACGCCAGTGTTTAACAGCGAGTCGTTTCCATAGCAACCGACAGGGTGTCACAGACACAGGATTATGACTTCACGGCGTGGGGATTCCGGAGAAGGGGGTGGGGCGGCGCCCCCCCTCGCTTCCCCGCCCCCCGGCAAGCCCCGCTCCTCACCCAAGCCGCGGGGGAGGAGCCCTCTTCTTTCCCGCCCGGCCCCGGCCCCCAGCAGGACCCCTCCCGCTCAGCTGCTACAGTGGGCACGAAGAGGGGCATGGCTTTCGGCCGCGCTCCCCAGCCTCGCGGGGGGCAGACGACGGCGGGCGGGGCGCGCAGAGTACACTCGACCCCCGGCGGCCGGGAGCGATCACGCGCACGCCGCGCGGGCCCGGGGGCGGGGGCGGGGCGCGCGGTCCCCGCCAGGGCCCAAGTCCCACCTTCGGGGGCGGTGCCTGGCCCGGGGAGTGTCAGGAAGAGGAAGAGCGCGGCCGGCGGCGCTGCGCTGAGAGCAGGGGCCCGGCCAAGGCGAGTGCCGCGCGGGCCACCATGGCCACGGACGAGCTGGCCACCAAGCTGAGCCGGCGGCTGCAGATGGAGGGCGAGGGCGGCGGCGAGACCCCGGAGCAGCCCGGGCTGAACGGGGCAGCGGCGGCGGCGGCGGGGGCACCCGACGAGGCGGCCGAGGCGCTGGGCAGCGCGGACTGCGAGCTGAGCGCCAAGCTGCTGCGGCGCGCAGACCTCAACCAGGGCATCGGCGAGCCCCAGTCGCCCAGCCGCCGCGTCTTCAACCCCTACACCGAGTTCAAGGAGTTCTCCAGGAAGCAGATCAAGGACATGGAGAAGATGTTCAAGCAGTAAGTGCCCGCGCGACCCGGCCCCCCGCCCGCCCCGCGACCCGGTCTCGGGCCCCGAACCCCCCGATCCCCGGATCCCGCTCCGCCCCGGGAGCCTGCCGTCAGCCAAGCTTCCCCGAACCCAGACGCACCGGGGTTGGGGACCCGGCGGCCCCTTCCAGATCGAGACCCGGCATCTCACCGCGCACGTTAGTCTGGGGGACCCCCGGCCCCTGGCACGCGGCGGAGACTCGTATTTGTGCTGCCTCCGGTACACCATAGACGCGTCCACAGAGTGGGGGACCCCAGGCTTCCTTCCAGATAATCGCCAGGCCCCGCGAGCCCCACCCCCACCACCACACGTGTGGGTCCCGGGCCCTCCGCGCTGTTAGTGGGGCTTCTCCACCACCCCACACCGCACACACCGAGGCTGAGGACCCAGCGGCCTTCCTTCCCCGATCCCAGCTACTCGCGTTCCCCACCCCCACCCCAACACACGCTGGCCAAAGATACCCACCCCAGTGCCCCTCGACACCACATGCCAACCACATTCCCTCCCTTAAGGTCTTTTCGTTTCCTCTGCGATCTCAGGTCTCCCTCAAGGTGGGTTCTGGGCAGGGATCCCCCCAACTTCCTCTCCAGTTACTTAGCGTCTACCAGCAAACTGGGGGCAAAGACTTGCCCTTTCCATCCCCACCCACTCATTAGCCAGGACCCAAATCCTTCACTCACAAGTGGTCTCCTTAGGAAGGGACCCCTCGGCCCCTGTTGCCCCTCTGGTGTAAACCTCACTCCAGTCGTCCCTGTGGGCCGAGTCCCCTCCGGGTTTGGAAGGCCTCCCTCCCGCTCCTGCCCGCCCCACCCCCGTGCACCCAGCAGCTTGCAGTCACCGCTCCCCTGCTTCTGTCGCAAGGCCCCCCATCTCTCCTCCCCACTCCGTATATCCCCTTCCCTCCCCACAGGGACCCCCCATGTCCCACACCCACCCTGGTCAAAAGGGGCCCCTTCCTATGTGACTTGCCCTGTTACCCCCACCCCTACCCTTTATTCCATCAGATCCACACTGTGTGCCCTCACCAGGGTGGATGGGCACCCCCAGGCGTGTGGGCTCATCCCCCTGTCCCCCCACAAAAACAATCTTAATGTCTCTGTGGAGGGGCTAGGGAGAGAGGGCCCAGCTCCCTCCGGCCCATCCCTGGGTCCCACTCTGTTGGGTCTAAGATGCACAGCCACTCTCTCCCAGCCATGTGTGTGCCCAGGGGATGGGGAAGGTGCCAGTGCCCCTCCCTTTGGTAGCTTTCCCCACCTCCTGTTCCCTGTCCCCCTGCCCCTGGCTCCTGGAGAGGGAACAGCCTCGTTCCACGATCTGGGTGCTGGTCTGGAGTGGTTCTGGAAGGGGATAGAACTGGCCTGAGGCTGAGTCTTGGGGGTGAGCCAGGAGGTCTAGCCCCACCTGGCACAGGCAGCCCAGGGCTGAGGGAGGGATGCGGCAAGGCCGGCTCCCGCTTGGCTGGGCAGGAGGTGGGGGCAGACCAGGGGTGTCAGCCTCAGCCACATGCAGCTGTCAGTGCCCCAACATCAAGCCGGAAGCCCAGGAAGGGGCGTTTTGCAACTGCACTGTTTGAGAAAGGCTCTGACCCTACTCACCACAGCTTGCAGCAGCTTCTGCATTTGGCCCCAAGGCAGGGGGAAGGATTTCTGGTTCCCAGTTGCGGGTGGCTGAGGAGTCCCATACTTTCCCAAGGTCCTTCTGGGGGAAAATCAAGTCCTTGACCCCCGGCCCCTCTGAACCTCTTTGAGAAAGTCCCAGGGCCCAGAACCTCTTCAAGAAAGTCCCAGGGCGCCCACGTCCTTGGCTCCACGGTGTTTGGTTGGAGTTCTTCTAAAGTTTCTTCCCAGCAGAAGACTGGCGAGATTGGGAGAGCAGGATTTCCAGGATTCCTGGAAGAGTAACGTGAATGCTCCTGGGTGGGCAGACGCAGGGGTGGGTATGGATCACTGTCTGTCACTGCCCCCATCGGGCAGTGCAGAGCTGATTCAGACACCACGGAGATCCCTGTGCTGATAGTGCTGAGGCGCTCACCAGGTCCCTCAAACAGCCCTGTGACACAGAGCTCTTCGTCACCTTTGTGCAGACAAAGGGTGTTAAATAACTCGCCAAGACCACACAGCTAGAAAATGATAGAGCCAGGACTGAAACCCAGGTCTGTGACTCCAAATCCCGGGCTCTTCCCCTTCCGGGTTTCCCATCACAGACATCTACTTTCATGTTGGAAAACCTTCTCCAACACCCGCTTCCGTGTTCGTGGCGGATTGTCCATTCATGTCCCCAACCCCAGCCCCCGTCTCTCCTTTCCCCCAGAGCCTGCCTTCTCCTGGGCTTCCACAGCTTCCCTGCCACTGGCCACCAAAACAAAGATGGAGCTGTTCTGGGAGAACCCAGACACTTCAAATGAGCGGGACTTGGGAGGCTGCAGTGTGGTTGGAAGTGGCATGCAGCTGAGGGAACAGTCTGGAAGCTTCATTTGCGCAGCAAACTCACTTTTTTTTACATAGGCTGTTTCTGGTCTAGTTTGATGAGAGGTACTCTGAGGGCGACTGAGGGGAGCTGGACCCCTCCAAGCTACCCCTTGGCACCTGCACTTCTTGCCAGGGTTCTAGGAGGGCTGATGGGGCAGGCAGGGGCCAGGAAGCTGGACCTCTAGGGAAGCAAGTGCTGCCTGCCAGGGCCCGGGTGAGGGTGGAAAGCTGCAGATTGTGTATTCAAGGAAACAACGCTTCACTGTGCCAACCGAGCCCAACCCCGCCGCCAACAGACGGGCTCTCGTGGAAGACAAACCCCCGTTCTGCTTCCGCTGTCCGAGTGGGGCTGCAGCCTCCTGGGTCCAAGCAGGGTCCTAGGATCAAAGCCAGGGCATCAGAGCCAGGGCTCTGGGGAGAGCAGAGGGCAGAGAGGAGGGGAGCCTGCCCTCCTGGGAAGCCAGTCACTAGAGCAGGAGGCAGGAGACCATGAGGTCAGCAGGAGAATGGGAGCCAGCCTTTCCTTGGGGGCCAGGAGCGAGGAACCTGGGCTTCCATCCTAGTCTGCTTGTCCTCCCTGGGCCTCAGTCTACCCACCTGTAAAAGGGGCAGGCTATCCCTCATGACCCCCAAAGGTCCTTCAGCCCTGACCTGCGTATGTCTGAGGGGTCCTGAGCCCTTCTGGATATTGGAACTGCCTTCCAGGGCCTTCTGGTCCACCCCTCCGTGTTGATTCAGCAGGTACTTCCTGAGGCTGGAGATCGAGGGGGAAGAGAGGGGATGGGGGAAGATAGACAGACTGTCAGCCATCACTGGTCTCACACCTAGAGTCATTCAGGTTCCTCCTGAGAGAGACCTGAAGGGTTGACTCCAACCCCTCTCCCCATTTGACAGAAGAGGGAACCAAGACCCAGAAAGATGTGGCGGTGACTTGCTCGGGGTTACGGAGAGGTTCTCAGTGAGGCTGAAACCTTGTATGATGAGGAGAGTGGTCCCGGTGTCTCAGGGTGGGGCTCCGAGGACATGACACACTTAGAGTTCTGGGCCAGTGCCAGGCACAAGGAGGCTCTGCGTCTCCCTGGCCCTCGCAGCCAGGACTCTCCATCCCCGTCTCCGTGCGGCCTCAGGCTACGTCCAGCATCTCTGATCCCCCAGCTGCTCCCTCCCTCTCTTTGCTCCTCCAGGGCTGGCTCTGGAACCCTCCTGTCAGAGAGGCAAAGAGAATGGCCCTGGAGAGCCTCGGGAGTGCCCACCCCTGGGCTGACAACAGCCTAGCGGGGGCTCTGGAGGGTTTTGTAAGTTGAGACCTGCTGGAAAGGTAGGCAGCCGTGTAATTCTGAACCTGCCGTGGAATCTGAGGACGATGCCCTAGATCCCTGTCTCCCGCCTAGCACAGCCTTGCAGGCCCTGTCCCCACTGTCATCCCCAGCCACTTCATCTCAGGACACCTTACGTCAGAGAGGCAGGCTTTCCTTTCCTTCTGGCCAGCTCTTCCCTGCACAAGCTCTGGAAGCCTCCCGCCCTCTTCTCCACACCTCCACCTCCAGGGGACACACCTCTCCCAGGAGCCCTTCCTGGACGCAGTCAGCAGGGCCTCTGGAGTCTGCAGCCCTGGGTTTGAATACAGCTGTGGGCTGTGGAGCCCTTCTGAGCTTCTGTTCCTCACGCTGGAACAGCGGGGACAGGGGGACCCACGTTACAGGGTTGTTGTATGGCGCTTAGCCCAGTGCTTGGCACAGAGCAAGTCGTTACTAAATGACTGTCACCGCCATCCCCAGCTCAGCATACACCCTCTCCTGGGCCCCTCATAGGGCCCTGGCAGTGGTCATTGCGGCTGGCTCAGAGGCAGCTCCACAGTGCCCACTGGCTGCCTCCACTTAACCACCAGCGGAGCTTCCAGGTCTGCCAGGTTGTCGACAACCCTTTGCTTTGGGCCCTAGTGACAGGACGCAGGGTTAGAGCCCTCCTTCTCTCCTGCTGAACAGCCACTCTGATTGACAGCTACATATGGCTTTGATAAATAACAAAAAGGGAGAAATGAATTCATTATCACCTAGTTTCAGGGAAGGCAGGTGGCACAAAAAAGGGGAGAGCAAACAACAGCTCTGGAGGGTGCACAATGGGGATTCCCGTCTGCCACCACCCAGCTGGGTTGCTCCAGGCAAGGGACTCAGCATCTCTGAGCCTCAGTTTCCCCTGGGGCTCAAGAACCTACCTGGTAAAGTTCTGAGGATTAGGTATAAAAACACCCTGAGTCTTTGTGACGAGCCCATCATGGTGTCTGGGCTGTTTGCATGATAGATGATGTTTTTGAAAAATACAAGGTTCTCGTATGTGATCATTCTTCCAACAGATATTAAGTTTTTGCGCTACAAGATCCAGAGAATTAAATGAATCAAGTTCCTGCCCTCAAGAGGCTTATAGCCTTATATAGAACAAACATGTATAGAGGTTTGGGGATAGAGAGGATTGCACCCACAAGGCTAGCAATGGAAGGTTTTTTTCTTTATTTCTGCCATGATTACCGAAAGCTCTCATGAATGACACCATGCTGATGTTCTCTTTGTAGCCAGCCCCCTGCCTCTGTGCCCCCTCCTTGTTAAACAGAGCCACTAGTTCTAGCCATTCCTGGAGGAGCCTATGCATATTATTTAGAGAACTGAATTGAATTCTCACACCAGCACAATGAGATTGATACTGTCTTTGTTTTCCTTTTTTTTTTTTTTTTGAGATGGAGTCTCGCTCTGCCACCAAGGCTGAAGTACAGTGGCATGATCTTGGCTCACTGCAGCCTTCGTCTCCTGGGTTCAAGTGATTCTCCTGCTTCAGCCTCCCAAGTAGCTGGGACTACAAGCACACACCACCATGCCTGGCTAATTTTTGTATTTTTGAGTAGAGACGGGATTTCACCATGTTGGCCAGGCTGGTCTCGAACTTCTGACCTCAAGTGATCTGCCCGCCTCAGCCTCCCAAAGTGCTGGGATTACAGACGAGAGCCACCGCTCCCAGCCTGATACTATCATTTTTATCCCCATTTGACAGATGAGAAGACTGAGGCTCAAGGCGATTGTCACTTGTCTAAGATTATATTAAGTGGCAGTGACAGGATTAGAACCAGATCCTCCTGCAAGGAGCCCCTGGAGGCCAAGTGAAGCCGTGTTTGTGGCTGGGGCTTGGGGGAGCCTCCGAGAGCCTTAGAGAGGTGGAGAGGTGGGGTCCTTCACCTGCAGCTTAGGGTCAGTGGGTGGGGAGAATGCCCTGCACCCCTGGGGAGGAAGGATTTCCTGGCCTCGGTCCTTACTCCGTTCCTCCCACTTCCACTATGCATCAGCCTCTGAGTCACCTCTCCTTCCCCACACCCCCGGCCCAGGACTTTTGGTTCCTCTTTGGTCCACCCTTCCTGCCTTCTCCGGCTTCCTCGCTCTCCTCCATGCTACCTGGGTCCAAGGCCTGGTGGCTTGGACTGGCTTCCACTGTGAGAGTCTAGGCTCCAGGACAGCAGGCCTTGCTGCCTCAGGGGATGTCAGAGGTCGTTTCCTCAAGGCCAGCCCTGCCGGCAGAGGCAGAGTCACTTTGCAGCCTCAGCAGGGAAGGTCCCCACACCCTGGAGCAGCTGAGTTCCCCTGACTGCCGGGCAACCTTCTCCTTGGCTGACTTCTGCTTTTCAAGGACAACAGAGAGGCAGGGGTCAGTGCCAGAAAGGTGTGGCCAGATGGGAGCCGGGCCGCCCAGGGAGTCCTGAGCCACAGACACTTCAAACCAGATGCTTTGCCTCCCGTTCAGTCCTTTCTTATCCTGCAACATTATCCTCGCCCATTTCACAGTTAAGGAGGCTGGACTTTCAGAAGGGTTATGTGACTTGTCCAAAGTCACATAGCCAGTGAGGGGCAGAATAGGATTTGAACCTGGGCCTCCCCGGCTCCAAGTCCTCTGAACCCTTACAGTGGCCCAAACACCAGCAGCTTCACCGCCCGGGAGTATGTTAGAAATGCAGATGCTCAGATTCCACCCCAGATTTACCAGACTGTAATCTGCAATTTTTTTTTTTAAGAGACAGAGTCTTGCTCTGTCACTCAGACCAAGTGCAGTGGTACGATCATAGCTCACTGCAGCCTCAACTTCCTGGGCTTAAGTGATCCTCCCACCTCAGCCTCCTGAGTAGCTGGGACTACAGGCACATGCCACCACATCCAGCTAATTTTTTTTTATTTTTGTAGAGATGGGGTCTCATTATGTTGCTCAGACTGGTCTCAAACTCCTGGCCCCAAGCCACCCTCCCACCTCATCCTCCCAAAGTGCAGGGATTACAGGCATGAGCCACCACGCCCAGCCCATAATCCGCACTGTAACCAGCTTCACCAGGTGTGCACACTGACGTTTAAGAAGCGCTAAGCCTCGGCTCAGGCCCCCGCACAGCCGTCTCCCCACCACTTCCTGAGGTTGACCTAAGGTTATCCTTAGGTGGGTGACTTTGTCTGAGCTGTAAGAGGATAAGATGTATGGAGTAAAGATTAAGTTACGTTATAAACACTGGGTTATGTTAATATTAGGCATTCAATAAATATTCTTTATAATCACTATCATAACAATAATGACTATGAAGAGCAAGAAGCGAAAGGGGGTGGCTGGCAGGGAGTGCCGTGGGTGCGGTGTGAGGTTGTTGAACTCCAGGTTAGGATGCCTTTGAGCCCTGACAGCCCCCCAGCAAATTGCTTGGGGTCTCCCTCTTTATCCTCCGTGGGGGAGCCCCAAGCGCCACACTTATGTGCTCTCTATCTCTCCGTCTCTCTCTCTCTCTCTTTCTCCCCCAACCCCATACCCCACTTAGCTGAACTAGGGCAAGAGATCAAGTGTGAGATTCCCAGATAGGACTAGAGGAAGTGGTGAGCGCTGGGCTTTCCCTATATGAGTCAGGCAGTCTGGGGGTGGGGACATGCAGGAACTGGGGAAGCCAGGGGGGCCTGAGGGCTCCTGAGCCCATACCCAACACCCACCCTGTCCAATTGTCTGTTCTCCTGGGACCTGCACGCCCAGAGCGGCCATCAGTAAAGCCTGGGATGGGAGTCAGGAGAGACAGAATTGGGGTCCCTGTGCTCCCACCTTCCCGTGTGCAGTTTTTGCAATGACTCTGCTTCCTTCTGCCATCAGACTGTGCAGTGCAGCTTGGGGGCACCTGCACGAGGAGCAACTTTCTTTCTTTTTCTTTTTTTTTTTTTTTTTTTTTTTTTTGAGACAGAGTCTTGCTCTGTCACCCAGGCTGGAGTGCAGTGGCACAATCTTGGCTCACTGCAGCCTCCGCCTCCCGGGTTCAAACAATTCTTCTGCCTCAGCCTCCCTAGTAGCTGGGATTACAGGCATGCACCACCACACCCAGTTAATTTTTGTATTCTTAGTAGAGACAGGGTTTCACCATGTTGGCCAAGCTGGTCTCAAACTCCTGGCCTCAAGTGATCTGCCCGCCTCGGCCTCCCAAAGTGCTGAGATTACAGGCGTGAGCCACTGCACCTGGTCGAGGAGCAACTTTTTTTTTTTTTTTTTTTTTTTTGAGATGGAGTCTCGCTCTGTCACCCAGGCTGGAGTGCAGTGGCGCGATCTCGGCTCACTGCAAGCTCCGCCTCCTGGGTTCACGCCATTCTCCTGCCTCAGCCTCCCGAGTAGCTGGGACTACAGGCGCCCACCATCACGCCCGGCTAATTTTTTGTATTTTTAGTAGAGACGGGGTTTCACCGTGTTAGCCAGGATGGTCTCAATCTCCTGACCTTGTGATCCGCCCGCCTTGGCCTCCCAAAGTGCTGGGATTACAGGCGGGAGCCACGGCACCCGGCCGCAACTTTCTAATAGTTCCAAAGCCAAGATAGGCCCCCCCTTAAGTAAGCAATGAGCTTCCTGTCCTCAGAGGTATTCAAGGCACTAAACAACGAACTGCATCAGGAATCTGATTTTCAGGAACGACTGAATAAGATGGCCTCTAATATCCCTCCCAACCCCGAAGTTCTCTGCTGTGTCCTGATAGGCATCAGGGCATAGCATAGTCGTTAAGAGTGCATGTGTTTGATCAGGCCTGGTTCAGAGCCCAGCGACACCCTTGTCACCTATGACCTGGGCTAAGTCGCTTCCCCTCTGAGCCTCAGTCTCCTTGTCGGTTCATGTTCATGCCGCTTCATAGGCTTCTTGTGAGAATCTGATGCAAAACACCTGGCATCGTGCCTGGCACATAGCAAGTGCTCAGCAGAGTAGCCAGGAATGATGATAGATTATGACGTGGGGCTCACCTGGGTGCAAGGCTGGGACATCTGCACTGTGCATGGTTGACGCCTCCACTGCCTACCCCTGTGACTCCCTAGTTATCAGAACTGGGGAGAGGGGCAGGGGCAGGGAAGCAACCAGCTGGGGACCATGCTCACCCCAAAGGGAAAGGGTCGTCCTTGGGGGGTAACTGGCTGCTCCGCTTTCGAGAGGGGGATGGATGGGGATTTTGTCCCCAGCATCCAGGGTGCAGCTAGCTGCTGAGCCCTCCCTGACGAGAACTATTCAAGGGGAGGCAGATAGGAATGCGGGCACGGTGCCAGGCCCCGCAGCCTCCCTCCGGTGCTGGAGAAAAGTGCTGAGCTCCCAGGCTGGGCGCTTTCTGCCAGTACTGCCGAATGGCATTGGCCTTCCCAAACAGGCACCAAGCTGGGCTCTCAGTCCAGCCTCCACTGGCCCTGCAAGCTTGAGAATGTGGGACCCTCCATGGGACCAGGAAAAAGAGAGGGGCCAGGGAGGAGAAAAACTTCCAGCTGTTGGAATCCTGCAGTCTGCTGGCTGTGTGACCCTGGGCCAGTCACTGCCCACTGTGGGCCCCAGTTTCCCTACATAATGTAAAACGGGTAGACCAGGCTATCTGGGTGGATCTTGCGGGCTGATCTCTCTTTTTCTGGATCCTCTAAGCCAGCTGCAACCTCAGTTCCAGCTCAGGGAGAAGGGCTGGTGGGTGAGAGGCCCTCTAGCCCAGGAGATGCCTGTTTCCAGCCATCGTGGAACCTCGTTCTCTCCTGTGCTGCCAGTTGTCCCACACACACATTGGCACCATGAGAGTAGCCCCTTCCTCACTTTTCTCCAACCCCGAGGGAAGGTTCCTCGCTCCCTGAGGCTCCTCTCTCCCTGTTCAAGGGCTCTGTCCAGCGGTCTTCTGTCTTCCTACCTCCCAGAGATGCTGGGGCTTTGCGTCGGGCCTAGTAGGGGAAAAGTGGGCCTTTAGAGGAGAGGTCATGCTGGAGGGATCCCCTGGGTCATCATGTCCACCCCTGCCTCCAGGCCAAGCCACCACAAGCCCTGCCTCCCAACCCTGTACCACCAGTCAGGACTGGAGCCTGTGGCAGAAGCCAGTGTGTTTTTTATCATTATTTCTAATATCATCACCCTTTTTATATTGTATATGTGAAGTATATGATGTGCATATGTGACACACACAAACTTCTCAATATAACAACTACTATTACGATGATGATGAAATTAACAGGTTTGAAGGACTCACTATGTGCCAGGCATTTTATATCTGTCAGCTCATTTTCATTTTCTTTTTTGTGTTTGTTTGTCTTTTAAACAAGGTCTCACTCTGTTGCCCAGGCTGAAGAGCAGTGGCTCGATCAGGGCTCACTGCAGCCTCAACCTCCCGGGCTAAAGTGATCCTCCCACCACAGCCTCCCTAGTAGCTGGGACCAGAGGCATACACCACCACGCCCAGCTAATTATTTATTTATTTATTTATTTATTTTTTGAGACAGTGTCTCACTTTGTCACCCAGGCTGGAGTGCAGTGGCATGATCTCAGCTCACTGCAACCTCCATCTCCTGGGTTCAAGCAATTCTCCTGACTCAGCTTCCTGAGTAGCTGGAATTACAGGTGCGTGCCACCATGCCTGGCTAATTTCTACACTTTTAGTAGAGACGGAGTTTTACCATGTTGGTCAGGCTGGTCTCGAACTCCTGACCTCGTGATCCGCCTGCCTCAGCCTCCCAAAATGCTGGGATTACAGGCATGAGCCACCGCACCTGGCCCTTTATTTTTTTATAGAGATGTGGTCTCCCTATCTTGCCCAAGCTGGTCTGAAACTCCTGGGCTCAAGTGATCCTCAGCCTCCCAAAGTGCTGGCATTATAGACATGAGCCACCACGTCCAGCCTCATTTACTCTTTAATAATCTTAAAGGTAGATGTTAGGAATAATAATAACTGGTTTTTAGTATCATAGTAGGCATGTATGAAGTGCTTCCTGTGGACCAGGCTCTGTGCCAAGAGTCTGCTTGTATCGTCTCTTTTAATCCTTGCCTCCATCCTGAGATGAGTTCTTTGATCTCCATGATGTAGATGAGGAAATTGAGGTCTGTGGGGTTAGGTGACTTGACCAGGTCACTCTGCCAGCAGGTGGCAGAGCTGGGGTTTGGACCCAGGTCAGTCTCAGCGGAGTTGATGTAACCACAAACCCTCAAGGCCATCTTCAATCAGGTTGACCCTGGAACCTGGCTGATCCCCTGCACTAGACCACATCAGAGCCCAGGGCACAGGGCAGATGGCCACTCTCCAGGAGTCTCTTGGGAATGGCCTCCTCCACGGCTACCTCTGGGGGCTTCACCGCCCACCCCAGCACCTGGCCTCTCGCAGCCCCCGTCACCTCCTCTTGGTGATGGACTCTTTGGCACCGCAGCCAGCCCCTGTATTGTCCCCCTGGGGGCCAGAGCCTGCCCTGGATGGAGCCCAGCCCCAGTAATTGATTGGCCTTTGATTGATAGAGGCGGCCGTTCAAATCATGGTTTGAGCCACAGCCCAGCCAGGCCTGGGAGCTGCCAAAGACAGAGGGATCCACAGCCCACGTTTCCATCCAAGTTTGGACACTTTATCTGCACTTCCTCTGAAACTGAGCTGCCCCTGGCTGCAGAAGAAACCCATGCACTTGAGCAATAAATAAAGCTGGGGCTCAGGGAGAGACACGTGGGACCCAGGGGCTGGGGCGTGAACCCCTGACCTGCTGGTTATGGGACCTGTGGCCTCACCAACAGCCCTCCTGACCTAATCCGGACCTGGAGGATTGCTGAGCACAGGGATTGTAAAGAGAAAGTGCTGGTGCGTTGGGAGTTTAGTGACGGTGATTCAATCTTGTTTTAGCGGTGGTGACTGCCATTTATGCAGCTAGCTCTGTGCGCTGGGAGCTGTGCTGAGTGCTTGACAGGGATGGGCTCAGTCGTTCCTCACAGTGGCCCATGAGAGAGGCCCCATTGCAGCAGGGTTCTCAGCCTCAGCTCCACTGGCACTTGGGGCCAGGTCATTCCATTTTTTTTTTTTTTTTTTTTTTTTTGAGACAGAGTCTTGCTTTGTCGCCCAGGCTGGAGTGCAGTGGTGCCATCTCAGCTCATTGCAACCTCCACCTCCTGTGTTTAAGTGATTCTCCTGCCTCAGCCTCCCAAGTAGCAGGGATTACAGGTGCCTGCCACCATGCCCAGCTAATTTGTGTATTTTTAATAGAGACAGGGTTTCACCATGTTGGCCAGGATGGTCTTGATCTCCTGACCTCATGATCTGCCTGCCTCAGCCTCCCAAAGCGCTGGGATTATAGGCGTGAGCCACCGTGCCCAGCTGGCCAGGTCATTCTTTGCGGTGGGGCCACCCTATGCGCTATAGGAGCTTCCCTGGCCTCCACCCACCAGATGCCACTGGCATCCCCCCCACCTCCGCCGCCCCAGGTATGACAACCAAAAACACCTCTAGACATTGCCAGATGTCTCCTGGGGGGCACATGCACCCCAGCTTAAGAGATGCTGCATTTTGGCCAGGTGCGGTGGCTCACACCTGTAATCTCAGCACTTTGGGAGGCCGAGGCGGACGGATCATGAGGTCAGGAGATCGAAACCATCCTGGCTAACACGGTGAAACCCCATCTCTACTAAAAATACAAAAAATTAGCCGAGCGTGGTGGCGGGCACCTGTAGTCGCAGCTACTCAGGAGGCTGAGGCAGGAGAATGGAGTGAACCCAGGAGGCAGAGCTTGCAGTGAGCCAAGATTGCGCCACTGCACTCCAGCCTGGGCGACAGAGCGAGACTCCGTCTCAAAAAAATAAAAATAAAAAGAGATGCTGCATTTTGTGGCTGAGGAGCCCAGGCAATTTGGCTTCAGAGCCTGACTGTCATCGCTGACCTTGGGAGCCCAGGGTCAGAAAGCGGCAGGGCTTTGCTTTCCTGGGGGGCACTGAGGAGGGGAGTCCTCGTGACTTGGCTCAGGAAAGACTGAGTCCCTCACCAGGTGCTCCTGCACAGCCCCACGGTCATGTGGCGCCCGCCCAGCCCTCTACCAGGCAGCAAACAGGGACCAGAGATGGCAGGAGGCGCCTCCGCTGTGCCCCCCAGAACCCCTCCAGCTCCAGGTGGAGGCTGGACCACAGCAGCTTTGGCCTGCCTGACCCTCTGAGTCCCACACCTTCTACTGTCACAGAGGTGGCCACTGCCCACAGGGGCTGCTGGCCCATCCACCTCCACCCCAACCCTCATCCATCAGTGGGGCAGAAGCCGCAGGACCCTGTGTTCCCTCCAGGGCTCCCAAGACCCATCTTTGCTGTGTCACTTTCAACCACTGACTCACTGGCTCGTGAACTATTTATACCCCTCGCACAAATGCTCCCCTTGTGCTCCAGGCAGCCGTCTGTGTTCTGCAGCAGCCCCAGGACACGTTGGGGAGGGGCTGGGTACAGAGCAAATGTGCAAGTTTATGAGCCCAGCAGATCAAGTCTGGAAGCCCAGCTCCTTCCTTACTGCTGTGTGACTGTGGGTGGGTCACTTAACCTCTCTGAGCCTTGGTCATAAAATAAGGTTATTAGGAAAATTAAGTAAAGTAAGCAGTTCCCAGCATAAAGACAGATCTCAGTACATGGTTGCTATTAGGTGTTCAAAGTACACCTAACTAGAGAAGGCGAAAGGAGCTGGGGAGCCCGTAAGAAGGTGCAGAAATGAGACATATTCATGCAGAAGCTCAAGCGCCCGGGACATAGGGTTCTGGAACACATCCACCTGTGTTGCGCTGCTGTCACCAGCACTGTCACCCAGCCAGTTCAAGGCCTGGGGGACTGCACAAGCCTTCTTTAGGTGCAGAAAAACCCATTTTGGCTGGGCAAAGTGGTGCACGCCTGTAATTCCAGCACTCTGGGAGGCTGATGTAGGAGGATTGCTTGAGCCCAGGAGTTTGAGACCAGCCTGGGCAACATATTGACACCCCGTCTCTACAAAAAAAATACAAAACTTGGCCAGTCATGGTGGCATGCACCTGCAGTCCCAGCTACTTGGGAGGCTGAGGCGGGAGGATCGCTTGAGCCCAGGAGGTAGAGGCTGCAGTAAGCTGTGATCGCGCCTGGGTAACAGAGCAACACCCCGTCTCAAAAAGAAAAAAAAAAAAAAGAAAAACCCATGTTACCAACTCTGGGATCACTCTCCCCAGCCCCCATCTTGTCTTCCTCCTACGCTGTTCCCAGAGACCAGTAGGGCAGGTGTTTGGTTGATAAGAGAGCCCAGCTGGGCAAACAGCGCCTCGCCCTCTTTCACCAGGCTGTGTGCTCCAGGAACCAGTGGTGCCTTCCCAGCCAGGCAACAGGCAGAAAGGCCACCTAGACTCTTACTACACAGAAGCCAGTCAAGAGGGACTTGCCCCCAACCCCACCCCTGTCTCTGCCAGGTTGTTAGTGGTAGAAAAAAAGAGAACCTGAGAGTGCAGGGCAGAGGGGAGGCATCTCTATCGCCCGATGCTTGTTCCCGGCTTCCCCACCACCCCGCCAATCTCCGCCACTCCCTGCAGGCACTGCACCACACGTCCCTGAACACACCCAGGCTGCCTCCTGCCACCTGGCCCTGCCTCCTGCCCCCGTCCTGCTCTGTGCCCTCGACAAAGGCAGAGGCCCTGCCTTAGATACCCCTTCATTTATTCACGTCTTATTTCTTCATTACACATTTTTGAGCACCTACTGTGTGCTTTTTAACCTCCTTCCCAGTACCTAGGGCAAGCTGGGGGGCATGAAATAGACCCCCCAGTACAGAGGGTGCTGAGTAAGAAGAGTCATTTATCACATGGAAAGAGGCCGCCTTCCACACCCACGTCACATCCCCTATTCCAGTGCTTCTCAGCGGAGAATGCTTTTATCCTGCTGGGGACATTCGACAATGTCTGGGAGACATTTTTAGCTGTCACAACTCAGGAGGGATGCTACTATAAACATCCCACAATGCACAGGACAGCCCCTACGGCAAGGATTTGTTCTGTCCAGATTGTTTAAGGTCTGAGGTTGAGAAACCATGCCCTTGCCTGCAAGGTTCTGCCATCTAGGGTGGGGGTGAGATGTCCTCCAAGTGCCCATGGAGATGCCAGTAAGCCAGCTGGTCATGGAGGTGGTGAGTGAGTGCTCAGCTCAGAGCCTGATCCACCCTGCCGTGGTATTGAGAATTCCTTCTCGGCCAGGCACGGTGGCTCATGCCTGTAATCCCCATACTTTGGGAGGCCGAGGTGGGTGGATCACTTGAGGTCAGGAGTTCAAGACCAGCCTGGCCAGCATGGTGAAACACTGTCTCTACTAAAAACACAAAAATTAGCTGGGTGTGGTGGTGCATGCCTGTAGTCCCAGCTACTCAAGAGGCTGAGGCAGGAGAATCACTTGAACCCGGGAGGCGGAGGCTGCAGCGAGCCGAGATTGAGCCACTGCACTCGAGCCTGGGCAACGGAGCGAGACTCCATCTCAAAAAAAAAAAACCCAGAGAATTCCTTCTCACTGTCTGTGCCATCACATTCAGCACACGGAGCCTGTCATTTCAGCTTCCTTGTGCCTCAGGCTTGTCCAAAAGTTAGCGCTATTCGACATGCAGGAGGCTGCCAGGCCCTGTGGTGAGTTCCCCGTCATCAGAGGTAACCAAGCAGGAGCTGAGCCACATATGGGTCCTCTGCCTGGACTGAGGTCCCTTCCAACAGTGACGGGATTTTATGGTTGGTAGGAGATGCCCTCTGATCCCCCAGTCTCCTTGCACTCAAGCCTGCGGCCTCTCTGACTGAGCCAGTGCCAAGATGTCCTCTCTTTTTGCATCTGCAGGTATGATGCCGGGCGGGACGGCTTCATCGACCTGATGGAGCTAAAACTCATGATGGAGAAACTTGGGGCCCCTCAGACCCACCTGGGCCTGAAAAACATGATCAAGGAGGTGGATGAGGACTTTGACAGCAAGCTGAGCTTCCGGGAGGTAAGCCCGGCCCCCAGCCCCACTCCCCTACCAGGGGCTTCACCTGAGGACCTGGTGGCCCGGGAGAGACCAACCCCCACCCTTTGTCAATGAATGAATGACATTGCCATTGAACAGCAGCTGTGAGCAGCTGCTGCTTGGCTGAGTGAGGCTTCAGAGGGCCTGTTACAGCAGGCACCAGGGAGGGTTCTGAGATCCTCTCGGGGAGGAAGAGGAGGGAGGGACAGCCCTTCCTTCACATAGGGAGCATATATTGAGCGATTTCTGTATACTTGACCCTGTGCAGGCTCTGGGGTAGAGAAAGGCCCTGTGCTCGAAGGTTCCTGGAAGTGTAGAGGGGGAGACACCACAGAAGGAAATCAGGGCTGTGATGCAGAGGAAGAGGGCCACGGCACTGGGTGACTTCACGCCCAGGATCTCACTCCGAGACAGGAGCTAGGGGCAAGCCGGTTTCGCAGGGAAGGAAATGGAGGCCCAAGCCAGACAGCGATGATACTGGACCCCAGGAAGTACAGGGATGGACCCCAGGAAGCACAGGGTTAGGTGTGGGGACTCGAGGCCCAACTGGGGCCCAGGAGGTCTGGCAGGAAGCATGAAGGATGCAGGGAAGGAGAGAGGTGGCAGGGGCAGGTGGGGGAGTGCGAGTGGCTGGGCGGGAGGTGTGGGCAGTGCAGGGTAACAGCTTAGAGTTCGAGAGCAGGGTTCCATCCCTCTGACACGTTCAGGCGCTGAGACTTGGGGTGTCTTTTACTGTCATGGAGGCTCCCTCATTCTGTCATGACACCTGTAGGACTCAATACATGGAACGCAGAGTAGGTTCACTGGGCAACAGCGGGAGACAGAGGTAAGAGGTAGGCTGAGGCCGTGTCGTCGGGAGCTGGTGTGGGCGGGTCAGGGCTGCAGTAGGCCAGCATCCTGGGTGGCAGATGAGTCATATCTCCTCCCATTGTACAGTTGGGCAGAGGCCCAGTGAAGGGGCTCACGGGAGCAGCAAGGGGCGAGACCCAGCTCACTGCCCCCCAGTCCTTCTCTGCAGGGGAGGCCTGAGGCTGGGGCCTGGGTGCGGCCAGGGACTCCGGCTCCCCTCCTTCCCTCCCTTCCTGACACCGCGCGCCTCCCTCCCCGCTGCAGTTCCTCCTGATCTTCCGCAAGGCGGCGGCCGGGGAGCTTCAGGAGGACAGCGGGCTGTGCGTGCTGGCCCGCCTCTCTGAGATCGACGTCTCCAGTGAGGGTGTCAAGGGGGCCAAGAGCTTCTTTGAGGCCAAGGTGAGGAGCCCAAGGGGTGCCCTGACCCACGCTCCAGGACAAGGGGACCCTGGGTTGGTGCGAAGTTAATAGGTCCCCTTCCCGTCCCTGCTGAGGCTGCAGACAGAGATGGGAGCTGACTCCCTGCCAGGCTGGGCCAGGCCCACACGCTCTGTCTTCTGTCTTCTCCCACTCCTGGCTGAGATCCTTGGCAGCCGCCAAGGGGGTGGGTGAGGGGGGTGTACTCTTGAAAAGGGGACAGGGATTACCTTGAGGTGCCCTGGCCCTGGCACACAGAGCTGCTAACACAGAGGACTGGGCCTTAGGAGGGCAGGCCCAGAAACACAGCACTGGCTCTCCAGGGTCCCCGGTAGACACCAATCCCACCAGCCCCAGCCTAGGAGGAAGCCTGCGGGCTCAGAGACCACCTGCATGCATGACACCCTCCCCTTTCAGCAGGTTCTCAGATGGAGGAGACACCTGTGATCTAGTGGCTCCTGGGTCCTGCCCACCCGGGGCCCCAGCTCTCCCGCCTTGTTTCTCTCTTTCCTTGCTAAGAACATTCCTTCCAGAGACTGCCTCCCACCACCCTCTGGGCTTCGGAGCATTGGTGGAACTTTTCAGGGTTCATCAGTGGAACTGGGTGTGCCGCTGGGCTCCCCGGACAGGAAGCAGAGGATCAGGATGGCAGCAGCTTGAGCGACTCCCTTCGAGCGCCCTTGCTTTGCAGCAGCCACAGAATATAGGTTCTCTATTTCAATCCTCTCAACAACTCCCTAAGATCAGAGTTATTGGGTGCCAGGTTCTAAGTGAGGAAACTGAGGCTCAGGAAGGTGAATGAAGTGCCTGACCCAGGGCCAGAGCTGGTGAGGTCAAGCTGTTTGTGTTGCTGGGCAGGACTCAGCAGAAGCCTGAGCCAGAAGGGACCCCAGGAAAAGCAGTCATAAGGCCGGGCGCAGTGGCTCACACCTGTCATCCCAGCACTTTGGGAGGCTGAGGCGGGTGGATCACCTGAGGTCAGGAGTTCGAGATCAGCTAACATGGCCAACATGGTGAAACCCCATCTCTACTAAAAACACCAAAATTAGCCGGGCATGGTGGAGGGCACCCATAATCCCAGCTACTCAAGAGGCTGAGGCAGGAGAATTGCTTGAACCTGGAAGGCAGAGGTTGCAGTGAGCCAAGATTGCGCCATCGCACTCCAGCCTGGGCGACAGAGCGAGACTTTGTCTCAGAAAAATTAAAGAAAAAAGAAAAAGCAGCTGTAGCACAGAGAACCCCCAACATACACCATCCAGCCCTGACCCCCTCACCCCCATGCCCCCGCAGGTCCAGGCCATCAACGTGTCCAGCCGCTTCGAGGAGGAGATCAAGGCAGAGCAGGAGGAAAGGAAGAAGCAGGCGGAGGAGATGAAGCAGCGGAAAGCGGCCTTCAAGGAGCTGCAGTCCACCTTTAAGTAGCGGGGGCTGCAGCCGACCGCCCTGCTCCGGCCCCAGTGTGGTGGGCGAGGGTGGCGCATGGGAGGCCGAGCCTGAATCCTTGCCTGTGTCTGACGGGACCACTACTAAAAACCTAAAAATATCTGTGAATGGAGCAAGTTCAGGGGTCTTATGGAGGTGGCCCGGCCCCTCCCCGCTCCCTTCCACTCTGCACGAGGCCGCCACACCGGCGCTGGCTCCCTGCCCGGCCCGGCCCTCCCTGGCAATCCCTGGGCTCTCTTGCACCCCTAACTGCCCCCTGCCTGCTCCGGCACTGCCCCAGGCCCAGCTCCTGGCCCTAGGTCCCTCCCAGCCCCATGTGCCTGCCGCCTGCCCTCCACACATCCCTGTCCCCCCAACCCGGGAACCCCTGCCCTCCTCCAGCAGGCCGCACCGCCCCTGGGGCCCCCTGCCAGCCCCTTCCCAGGCTGGGAGACGGCAGAAGAGATAGAATCAGGGCTGCCCCCACAGAGTGGGACCCAAGGGGCTAATTGGAGGCACGAGGGGACCCCTCCCCAGGGCCTTTTCCTCCTCTGCGTCTTCCATCTACTGAAATGGGAGAGGGGGTGGGGAGCTTCTGTTCTGGTGAAGGGACCCGGGCAGGCCCCCAGCACCCCATGCTGACTTGGAGAACCCCAGATCTCTGGGGCCCAGCCAGGCAGGGTGTGGGGGCAGCTGTGCCAATCTACCTCACAGGCCCACCCCCTGCCGGGCATGCCGTGGGATCATGGGCAGGGAAGGCTCTGGGGGTCGGAGACACCGCTGCTTAGCACCCCCAGCCAGAACACCCTGAGGGTCTCGGGGCTCTGGAGAGAGTGGGGCGGGAGGAAGAATTGGCACCTTCCTAGGGAAGGAGACGAGCGCTTCGCCTTGATTCTCCGAGAAGCCTCCGAGAAGTGCTTTAAGTGTGTTTGCATGCGCCAGGCGGTGGGCAGCGGGGGCCTGTCCAGCCCTCTCCCGCCATCCTTCCCCAAGTGACGTCCACTGCCTTGTCACCAGCGACCTGCCTGTCATGCCCACCCCCTGAGGAAGCATGGGGACCCTAACACCCTGGTGCCCTGCACCAGACAGGCCGTGGTCAGGCCCAGGCCACCGGCCGGGTTCTGCCACAGCTTCCCACGTGCTTGCTGACATGCGTGTGCCTGTGTGTGGTGTCTGTTGCTGTGTCGTGAAACTGTGACCATCACTCAGTCCAAACAAGTGAGTGGCCCTCGAGGCCACAGTTATGCAACTTTCAGTGTGTGTCATAACGACGTCACTGCTTTTTAAACTCGATAACTCTTTATTTTAGTAAAATGCCCAGGAGTCCTGGAAGCTACGCGGACTTGCAGAGGTTTTATTTTTTGGCCTTAGAATCTGCAGAAATTAGGAGGCACCGAGCCCAGCGCAGCAGCCTCGGACCCGGATTGCGTTTGCCTTAGCGGATATGTTTATACAGATGAATATAAAATGTTTTTTTCTTTGGGCTTTTTGCTTCTTTTTTCCCCCCCTTCTCACCTTCCCTTCTCCCCGACCCCACCCCCCAAAAAAGCTACTTCTTCATTCCGTGGTACGATTATTTTTTTTAACTAAAGGAAGATAAAATTCTATATTCTTATGTGTGTATGGTTCTTGATGGTGAGTGGGCAGGGAAATGACAAGGTCACCTGGGTGTGGGGACAGTGGTGTCAGAGCCTGGGAGGGAAGGGGACCTGCCCTAGTGGAGGAGGTTGGTGTTTTATGCCCAGATGCTGTCACCAGGCATGAGTCTAGGTGCTTTGTGCCTATTAACTCATTTAAATCCTTGCAACCAGCCCATGCAAGGGATGATATTTTTATTCCTCTTTTGCAGATAAGAACAGGGAGGCGGCTGGGCGTGGTGGCTCACACCTGTAATCCCAGCACTTCGGTCGGCCGAGGCGGGTGGATCACCTGAGGTCAGGAGTTCGAGACCAGCCTGGCCAACATGGTGGAACCTCGTCTCTACCAAAAATATAAAAATTAGCCGGGCGTGGTGGCACACGCCTGTAATCCCAGCTACTCGGGAGGCTGAGGCAGGAGAATTGCTTGAACCCAGGAGGCGGAGGTTGCAGTGAGCCAAGATTGCGCCACCGCACTCCAGCCTGGGTGACAAAGAGAGATTCTGCCTCAAAAAACAAAACAAAACAAAACAAAAAAACAGGCCTGGAAAGTCTCCCAGAGACACACAGGCGAGTGGGGCGGCAAGAGGCAGGGCCCAGGCTGTCGAGGTCATGGCTCGCAAACCTGCCAGGTGAGCAGAGAGGAGGGGCTGCCTCTCCACAAGGCCACACAGTGGCCGGCAGTGGCATTAAGGCCCTGGGAGTTATGGCTTGTGCACCCCAGAGACCCCCAAGCACCCCTGCCATGGAGACACCCAAAGTCTTTCACAGGCTGGAAAACCCCAGGAGTGATGGGGCGGACACCAGCGGCTGTCTGTGTGTGGCTTTAGACAGATCAGGCCCCCACTGGGTCTCAGTCTCCCCATCTATTCCATGCGAGGGTGGGCGAGGGTCTGGGGTCTTCCCAGGCAGGGTGTGGGAGCTGGAGTTTGGATTAGGCAGGGCATCGCTGCCCCCAGGTGGCCAGGGATGGTACTACAGCAACCGGGATGCCTGGGGAAGGCAGTGTCATCCCCACATGCTACCCAGGGCCTGAGACGCCACTGTACGCCACCACCAACTTGAGACTTTCAGTTCCACACTGCCTTTCAAAACCCCTTCCCCAAGAGAGGAACATCCACATCCCTGATATCCTGCTGGAAAGGGCTTCGGGGAGAAGGGACGGGGACGCTGAAAGAGGGCATGGTGGCTCACACCTGTAATCCCAGCACGTTGGGAGGCCGAGGTAGAAGGATCACTTGAAGCCAGGAATTCAAGACCAGTCTGGGCAACATAGTGAGACCCGATCTCTACAAAATATAATAACAAATCATACTGAAAAGGAAGCTCCTGATGGTGATGGCAGTGGGCCTCGAGTCCTTGGACCATGAGAGACCAGGGCCAGCTGTGTCATGCCAGGGCCCTCCACCAAGGGTCTCAGCCTGTCAGGAGCCCCCAGCCTGGGTCTGCACAAGACCCCCACTCCCAGCTCTGGCAGAGAAAGCAGGTTGAGGAGGGAAGGGACCTGGAGTGATCCTAGGACCAAGAGAGAGGGCTCCTTAAAACCCTCCCAGGGCTGGACACAGTGTCCCATGCCTATAATTCCAGCAATTTGGGAGGCCGAGGCAGGAGGATCACTTGAGTCCAGTAGTTCAAGACTAGCCTGGGCAACATAGCGAGACCTCGTCTCTAGAAAAAAAATTAAAACTAGCTGGGCAGCTACTCAGGAAGCTCAGGAGGAGGATCACTTAAGCCCAGGAGTTCAAGGCTGCAGTGAGCTATGATTGTGCCACTGCACTCCAGCCTGAGTGACAGAGCAAGACGCTGTCGCTTAAAAGAAACAAAACAAACAAACAAACAAACAAAAACAACTCCCAGGTTCCCTCCTCTCATTAAGCCTCCTTGCACTGAGTCCCAGCTCCAAATCCCCATGGAACCCCCAGCCCCTCTCTCTGAACTGTTAACCCCTCGCTGAACGCCAACCCCGCATTGGGCCCCACAACCCTCTCTAACCCCCAGTGCTTCCATCTGGCTTGGAGGCGAAGCCCTGCCAGCCCCTCAGCTGGCCCCTTAGTGGGCCTCACCCAAGACGTAACAGCTGCCGCCCGAGAGTCCTGTCCCAGCGGCCAGAAAATCCCAGCCCTGTCAGTGACACCTGCCTCTTTTCTCAAGCTCTTATCCCGCCCCACCCCCACCTTGGCATTGCTCCTCCTGAGGCCCAGAGCACCACCTGACCACCACCCCTTTCCACGTGCCTCTGCCAAGTCGCCCCTGGTTATTTTTCCAGCACAGTCTGGCCCCAAGTGGCTCAAGGACTTTGAGGTCCTGGGTCCTGGGAGACACACTCCACCTCCTGAAAAATCCCAGGGTCCAGCAATGGGGCAGGGGGCGGATTCTGGCATTCTCTCACCCTCGAGGCCTCAGATTCATCTGGACATGGACTCTGTACGGAAGGAATCCTTTCCCTGCCTGCCCCCATCAGGCTCCCACCAGAACCAG
Organism: Homo sapiens; assembly: GCF_000001405.40. Classification (NCBI taxonomy): domain Eukaryota; kingdom Metazoa; phylum Chordata; class Mammalia; order Primates; family Hominidae; genus Homo; species Homo sapiens. Next base: position 15,432,840 of record NC_000001.11, read on the forward strand.
TCTCTTCTCATGCAGAACTCCACGCCCTTGGCCCATCTCTCCAAGGGAGACTATCTCCAAGGAACACTCCCCATGTCCAGCAGGGAGCTCCCCATGGCTGAACGGGTCTTATTATCTCTATACCCAATCCTATCATGGGGCCTGCACACAGTAGTTGCTCCGTGAATGTGGGAGGAATGAATGAGTGAATGAATAAGTGAGTGAATGAATGTTTTCTGTGTATGTTATGTTTCTGTGTATGACATATGGTATGTCAGTGACTCACAGCCTGGGCAAACAAAACAGTCACTTCTTTAAATATGCAAGTTAGGTCAGGCGGGGTGGCTCATGCCTATAATCTCAGCACTTTGGGAGGCCGAGGTGGACGGATCACTTGAGGTCAGGAGTTCGAGACCAGCCTGGCCAACATGGTGAAACCCTGTCTCTACTAAAAATACAAAAATTAGCCGGGCATGGTGGCTCGTGCCTGTACCCCCAGCTACTCAGGAGGCTGAGGCACAAGAATCACTTAAACTCAGAAAGCAGAGATTGCAGTGAGCCGAGATTGTGCCATTGTATTCCAGCCTGGACGACAGAGTAAGAGTCTGCCTCAATGAATAAATAAATATGCAAGTTAATCCAACTTCAAGCCCTGACCCCTCCCATCGCAGAAATCCACCCTCCCAGGGCTTCCGTCAGCCGATATCCATAGGCCCCCTCTGGGGTACTTCTTCAGTCTCGGTGATCAAGGCCAGAAAATCAGGTCAGCCAACCCAGCGTCACCACCATAACTTAGGCAGTTTGAGCCACTGGGATCATGGTGTCGCCTGACTGGCTGCTCCCTGCACCAGGCCTGGAGTCAGGAGGGGCTGGTGCCAGCCATGCACGTGCCCAGAGGCAGCTCCTACGCCTGTCCACCTTTTCCAGCAAGAACAAATTTCTCCTGGCTGCCCTGGGACAAAGCTAAAGGCACCTCCAGGGCCTGGAGAGGGTGCTCAGGGAGAGCCATAGACCATTCCCCAAACTCTCTCTGTCTCAGCCCTTGGGTCGTCTAGAACCTCACGGAAGGAGGGGCCACAGGGCCTGGAGCCCATGACACCTTTAGAGGCCCACAAAATGTTTTGATTTTTTTAAAATCAGTAAGAAAAAAAATGAAAAGGATCCAAACTGGATTATATTCAGTGTTATCACCATACAATAAAACATAATTTTTATTATTTTTTTTAAGGAAACATAATTTTTCATTTTTTTATGTTTTATTTTTTGGAGTTGGGGTCTCTCTATGTCACCCAGGCTAGAATGCAGTAGCATGATCATAGCTTACTGCAGCCTCAAATTCCTGGCCTCAAGTAGTCCTCCCACCTCAGCCTCTAGAGTATCTGGGACTACAGGCATGTGCCACCACACCCAGGTAATTTTTTAAATTCTTTTAGAGTCAGGGGTCTCGCCATGTTGCCCAGGCTGGTCTTGAACTCTTGGCCTCAAGGGATCCTCTCACCTCAGCCTCCTGAGTAGCTGGGATTACAGGCACGAGCCACCATGCCCAGCCAGTTTTTAATATTTTTTAAATGGAGAAAGGGGCCCATGAAGGCAAAAGTACTCAGTGACCAAGTCCAGTCTCAAGCTTTCTCATAAGAACCAGATAACAACAATAATAATAGTAATAGCAAACATTTAGACCGTCCTTGCCATATGCCAGGCACTTCTTCCAACAGCCCTAGGAGGGAGGTACCATTTTCTTTCTTTTTCTTTTTATTTTTTTGAGACGGAGTCTTGCTCAGTCACCCAGGCTGGAGTGCAATGGCACGACCTCGGCTCACTGCAACCTCCGCCTCCCGGGTTCAGGCAATTCTCCTGCCTCAGCCTCCCGAGTAGCTGGGATTATAGGCACCCACCATCATGCCCGGCTAATTTTTGTATTTTTGTACAGACAGGGTTTCACCATGTTGGCCAGGCTGGTCTTGAACTCCCGACCTCAGGTGATCTGCCCACCTCAGCCTCCCAGAGTGCTGGGATTACAGGCATGAGCCACCGTGCCCGGCCAAAGGTACCGTTTTCACTCTCACTTTATAAACGAGGAAGCACAGAGAGGTTGCGTCACAAGCATAAGGCCATAGAGCTATGAAGCAATAGTGGTGGGTTTAGTTCAACCCTAAGCAAAGCACTCAACATCCTGTCTTCAGCATCTGAAACAGATTAAGGGCGACCTCGGTTTTCTCCAGGGACAATTGTTTGGTGCTGCCTTACATAAAAGGTCCCTCCCTGTAGATGTCTCAAAACAAGCAAGTTTCCCTATAGCTGAGCAGCCAGCAACCTCCCTCCAAAAAGGTCAGTTTCTCTGTGAACCTTCAAAGAGCTGACAATAACTCTCTTCACCTGGGACCTCATCATCAATCCATTTGGCTATTTCTATGTTTGTGTACATGTTTGAATGGGTGGCCCATGGCTCTGCTTGGCTCTACACATAACCGAATGCTTTATATGTATTATATCATTGGTGTGTGCATATTTGTGGACGTGGAGGAGCGTGTGTGTGCATGTGTGTGTGTGCGTGTGTGCATGTGTGCATATGTGTGTGTATGTTTGTGTGTGCATGTGTGCGCGTGGGTGTGTGCATTGTGTGCATGTGTGTGTGCGTGTGTGTCCATGTGTTTGTGTGCGTGTGTGCATGTGTGCATGTGTGTGCATGTGTGTGTGCATGTGTGTGTGCGTGTGTGTGTATGTGCGTGTGTGCGTCGCCTGTCCACGTATACTTGTGAATCCATGGGCATGTATACACAGCTGAGATGCGTGCTAACAAGTTGCTGTATCTCTGAGTATAAATTGATGAGCTCCTACAAGGAGACGCCCAGTTAATTCATTTTCCCAAGTTGATCAAGGGACATGAGAGAAACTGAGGCTCAAAGAGGTTGCTCAGGGTCTGGGTCATCCATTCTGTCACTGAGATGGAAACCAGGTGTCCTGTCTCCCCGCTTCAGACCCTGCTAATTTCCAAGACCTATCACCTAGCTCAAGCCATATCTCTGCTTATGTTCCCAGTTTCCAGGCTAGAATGACCCTTTGCAAGGCTTGGCAACCAAAAGCCCTGGGTCTGAAGCAGACTGGCCAGTAGCCACTGATAAACCTGTATCATGCACAACCAACCTCCAAAATGAAACAGAAAATTCCCCGCAGGCTGAAGTCCCCAGACACCCCAGGACTGAGGCCTTGATGTCACCATAGCTGAGCAGAGCCCCCAGTGCACATTCCCACTTTTATCTTTCTTAAAAAATTAAACCTATTGATTTTTATACTACCAAGGTAACTATGTTTGTTTTAAAAAAGAATTTAAGCTGCATAAAAATGTGTAGTTAGAGGCCAGGCATGGTGGCTCACACCTGTAATCCTAGCACTTTGGGAGGCCTATGTGAGTGGATCACTTGAGGTCAGGAGTTCGAGACCAGCCTGGCCAACGTGGTGAAACCCCGTCTCTACAAAAGGAACAAAAATTAGCCAGTGGCACTGGTCCCGGCTACTCAGGAGACTAAGTAAGGTAGGAGAATTGCTTGAACCTGGGAGGCAGAGGTTGCAGTGAGCCAAGATCGCACCACTGCACTCCAGCCTGGGCGACAGAGCGAGACTCCAACTCCATCTCAAAAAATAAATAAATAAATAAACAAACCAGCCTGGCCAACATGGTGAAATCCGGTCTCCACTAAAAATACAAAAATTAGCCGGGCATGGTGGTGGACATCTATAATCCCAGCTACTCGCGAGGCTGAGGAAGCAGAATTGCTTGAACCCAGGGGTGGAGGTTGCAGTGAGCTGAGATCGCACCACTGCACTCCAGCCTGGGCCACAGAGCAAGACTCTCAAAAAAAAAAAGTGTAAGTTAGAATCCTCCTTCACCCCCAGATCACCGCTATGAATGGCGGGGTGCGTAGTGCTCTGAACTTTTCTATCAGGAAGGAATTCCTAAGGTGGCCAGTAGGCCCAGCTCAGAAAATGACCTTCAAGGGGAGCTCAGTATGAGTAGAGGGGAAACGAAAGACAGAATCTAACCAACCAGGCTGAGGCCAGGCCTTGGGGCGAATGGATCAAACCACATGTTCCAAGGGATGGCCAACCCCGAATGCCGGAGGCTCTGGTAGAATTTCTGCTACTCAGTGCTTTGGGCCCTCAGATCTGCCACTGACCTTGACATTCAAGTTACAGAATTGTAGAACTGAAAGGAGCCTGAAAGTCCATCTGGTCCTTTTGCCCATTTTAGAGATGGGGAAACTGAGGACCTACAACTAAGCTGACTCCAGGAAGGAATCTGGCCAACTAAGCACCTTCCAGAGCCTGCTGCATCCCTGCCTCCAACCACAGCCCTGGAGGCAGGTGCAGGAGTGCATCAAGCCCAGGCAATTAGAAAGATGAGACAGAGAGAGAGCCAGGAAGCGATCCAATAGCACTAGAAAGGCAGAGAAGGAGCAGCATGTCTCCACAGCTTGAAGCCCCAGGCTGGTGTTAGAAGCTTTGGCTTCAAAGTCTGGCTCTGCTGCTGCCCAGCCGTGTGACCCTAGATGGTCACTTACCCGCTGAGTCTCAGCTTCCTCACTTTTATTTTATTTTTTTAGAGACAAGGTCTTGTTCTGTCACCCGCGCTGGAATGCAGTGTGGCACGATCACGGCTCACTGCAGCCTCGAACTCCTGGGCTCAAGCGATCCTCCTACCTTGGCCTCAGGAGTAGCTGGGACTACAGGCATGCACCACTGCGCCTGGTCCTTTCTCATCTCACCTCAGAGCAGATAACCGCGTCTATTTCATGTTGTTGGAAGAATTAAGTGAGATAATGCAAGAAGAATTGAGCGCAATGCCTGACACACAGTAGGTGCCCAATAAATAACTAAAAAGAATAAGGTAACGGCCTGTAATCACACCTGTAATCCTAGCACTTTGGGAGGCTGAGGTAGGCAGATTGCCTAAGCTCAGGAGTTCAAGACCACCCTAGGCAACAGGGTGAAACCCTGTCTCTACTAAAATACAAAAAAAAAAAAAAAAAAAAAATGGTGGCACACATCTGTAGTCCCAGCTACTTGGGAGGCTGAGACAGGAGAATCGCTTGAACTCGGGAGGCGGAGGTTGTAGTGAGCTGAGACTCCAGCCTGGGTGACAGAGCAAGATCCTGTCTCAAAAAAATAAATAAAATACAAAAGATTAACCTGGCGTGGTGGCAGGCGCCTGTAGTCCCAGCTACACAGGGGGCTAAGGCACGAGAATCGTTTGAGCCCGGGAGGTGGAGGTTGCAGTGAGCTGAGACTGTGCCACTGCATTTCAGCCTGGGCAACAGAGCAAGACTCCATCTCCAAATAAATAAATAAATAGTATAAGGTAGGGAGAGAGAATGAACACACACGTCAAACAGAGTGGGGTGGGGGATGCCAAAAAGCACTGCAACTCAGAATTTTCTGTTTCAGGATATTTGGAAAATCCATACTTCTAAGAAAGCCCTGTCTCCTGCCCAAATTAAACAGTAACCACCCAAGGTCAGGGAAAGGGCCTTATCAGAGCAGGTTTCTCTCCAAGGGGCGGTTTGGCCTTGACCAGGTGCACTCACCTGCTCCTGCCTATAAGTGTGCCCCAGCCCATCCCGATGGTCAGCCAGTCCTGAGCACCTAACCATGTTGGGCATCACTGTCCTCGCTGCGCTCTTGGCCTGTGGTAAGCGGTGGGGTGGGGCTGCAGCTAGCAGGCTGTGAGCTCGGGCTGGCCTCCAGGGCAAGGACGGGATGGGGAGTGGGGGGGCCTCTGCTCTCCAGGTAAGACACTTTGGGGTCCCCTGTGGGTTCAGATGCTACCAACCAGCTGTGTGTCAGACAAGCCACAGCCTGCCTGCCAACTCTGTTTCCACATCTGCAAAACAGGGAAGATGATCTGACGTGTCCCCAGTTAGAAATGAGGTGTGGAAAGCACCACGCAAGGGGGAGGGACACGAGATGCCTCATCCTGGGTTCACCCCAGGGACCATCGGGGTCTGCCTTTCCCAGCATTCTCTCTCCCTTGAGGATTCTCCATTCCATCATTTTGGTGGCGTTTTCCCAGATTAGGAGCCCAGGGACTTAGCTTAAATGCCACTTCTTCTCTGCAGGACCTGGAAAAGTCATTTCACCTCTCTAAATCTCACTAACTTTTTTGGCAAAGGAGAGCACTTAATGAAGAGTCCTTCCAGCTAACAACAACAACAGTAATAATAGCAGCTCCTGTTTCCTGTGTGTTTACTATGTGCCAGACGCTATGCTAGGCCCCTTACATGTAGGAGCCAATTTAATCCTCAAAACAACCTTAAGAGGTAGGGTCTATTGCCAGGCATGGTGGCTCACGCCTGTAATCCCAGCACTTTGGGAGGCCGAGGTGGGTGGATCACTTGAGATCAGGAGTTTGAGACCAGTCTGGCCAACAAGATGAAACCCCGTTTCTACTAAAAATACAAAAATTAGCCAGGCGTGGTGGCGGGCACCTGTAATCCCAACTACTCAGAAGGCTGAGGCAGGAGAATTGCTTGAACCCAGGAGGAGGTTGCAGTGAGCCGAGATCGCGCCATCAAACTCCAGCCTGGGCAACAAGAGTGAAACTCCGTCTCAAAAAAAAAAAAAAAAGAAAAAGAAAGAAAAAGAGGTAGGGTCTTTTCATAGCCCCATTTTACAGATGAGGACATCGAGGTTCCGTGCGACTTAGTATCTTGCCTGACATCACATGGCAGGTTAGTGGAAGAGGCAGAATTTGAGTCCACGTCTGTCTCGCGGAACAGCACGTGTTCTTGACCGCTCCACACAGCTTCCCAGCTATAACAGTGGATTTACTGCTCTCTCACACACACACCATGATGCAGGGGCCTAAAAACAGACAGAAGAACACAGGTGTACCGGGCACTCGCACACATGCCAGCCAGTTTTGTTTTGTTTTGTTTTGTTTTTTGAGATGGAGTTTTGCTCTTATCACCCAGGATGGAGTGCAATGGCACGATCTCGGCTCACTGCAACCTCCATCTCCCAGGCTCAAGCGATTCTCCTGCCTCAGCCTCCTGAGTGGCTGGGATTACAGGCATGCACCACCACGCCTGGCTAATTTCTGTATTTTTAGTAGAGACAGGGTTTCGCCATGTTGGCCAGGCTGGTGTCAAACCCCTGATCTCAAGCGATCCACCCGCCTTGGCCACCCAAAGTGCTGGGATTACAGGTGTGAGCCACCGTGCCCGGCCAAACGCTTTCTTTTTTATGTGTTGTCTAATTCAGTTCTCAGGGCAAACTCACCGCATTAGTGTGATTCTTCACATTTCACAGAAAGGGAAAACAAGGCCTAGAGACCTGGGTGGCTTACCCCCGTGACACAGTAAAATATCAACCCCGTGTCTGCCCAGCCCCAACTCTGTGCTTCTTCCACCTGCCCACCCTCCCACCCCTTTCCCCGTGGGCTACCAGCCCTATTCACTGGTTCTTCTGGCCTCCTGTCTCCCCAGCCTCCAGCTGTGGGGTGCCCAGCTTCCCGCCCAACCTATCCGCCCGAGTGGTGGGAGGAGAGGATGCCCGGCCCCACAGCTGGCCCTGGCAGGTAAGCCTGTGTAGGGCTGGGAGGTACAGATAGAGAGGGTGGCGGGGTGAGGGTCCCAGGGACCTGCAGGCTGACACACAGCCCTCCCCACCCTCCTGCAGATCTCCCTCCAGTACCTCAAGAACGACACGTGGAGGCATACGTGTGGCGGGACTTTGATTGCTAGCAACTTCGTCCTCACTGCCGCCCACTGCATCAGGTGTGCGGGGATGATACCCTGAGACCTGGCCATCGTCCGGGGGCGGAAGCCTGATACTCTGCTTTTTCTGAGCAGCTTCTCCGCACTCCAGGCACTGGGCTACATAATCTACTCACACCCAGTAACTCAGTTGTGCATTTAGTCAGTCAAGTATTCATTGTGCATCTATTATGTGCCAGGAACCAGCAGTGAAGACAAAGTCTGTGCTCTCGGGAAGCTTATATTTTTGTGGAAGACAGAGCGGCAGACAATTAAACAAATATATAGCATCTCAGGTGATTTAAAATAATACTAATAATAAGGTATTGGCCAGGAGCAGTGGCTCACGCCTGTAATCATAGCACTCTGGGAGGCCGACGCAGGCGGATCACCTGAGGTCAGGAGTTCGAGACCAGCCTGGTCAACATAGTGAAACCCCGTCTCTACCGAAAATACAAAAATTAGCCAGGCGTGGTGGCGGGCACCTGTAATCCCAGCTACTCGGGAGGCTGAGGTAGGAGAATCACTTGAACACGGGAGGCAGAGGTTGCAATGAGCCGAGATGGCGCCACTGCACTCTAGCCTGGGCAACAGAGTGAGACTCTGTCTCAAAAAAATAAAAAATAAAAATAAGGTCAGAAGAGGACAAACAGAATGAGGGGTTCAGTTTTAAAAGGGATGGCCAGGGGAAGAGCTGAAAGGGGGATATTTGGCAAATATTTGGGACATTTCGGAGAGCTAAAAGGGGGTTATTTGGGCAAAGGCCTGAAGGAAGTGAGGGAGGAAATCATGGATCTAGGAGAAGGGTGTTCCAGGCGGAGGGAACAGCCATGCAAAGCCTTGGAGGAGAGACCTGTCAGTATGGTTGAGAAATAACGCGGAAGCCGGTGTGGCAGGGGCAGCGTGTGCTAGAGGAGAGTGGGAGGTGAGCTAGAGAGGAAATAAGTGCAGGTCAGTATCAGGACCTTGGCTTTGACCCTGAGTAAGATGGAGCTATTGGAAGGGTTTCTGAGCAAAGGAGAGTTGTGGGCTGACATATTTTTATATATTCCATAAAATATTTTTAATATATTTTATAAAAAATATATATTGCAACATATTTCATTTTATATATTTCATATACACTTTTTTTTTTTTTGGTAGAGACAGAGTCTCATTTAGTGGTACCATCATGGTTCACTGTAGCCTTGACCTCCTGAGCTCAAGCAATCCTCCCACCTTAGCCTCCCGAGTAGCTGGGTCTATAAGCACACGCCACCACGCATTCCCAGCTAATTTTTCTTCTTGTTTTTTGTTTGTTTGTTTGTTTTTTAACTTAGAAGCCCAAACCTCACCATAAGTTTTCTATTTTTTGTAGAGATGGGGATTTGCCATGTGGCTCAGGCTGGTCTCAAACTCCTGGCCTCAAGCAATCCCCCCGTCTCGGCTTCCCAACGTGCTGGGATTACAGGCATGAGCCAACGCACCTGGCCGGAGATATTTTTAAACCCACACTGCTGGGTTCAGAATAGACAGGAGTAGGCCAGCGTACAAGTGAGAGATAGTTAGATGGATGCCGCAACTGTGCAGGCAAGGGCGGTGGAAGCTTGGATGAGTTTATTCTCACAGCCGCCCTGGGAGTAAGTTCCAGCATTGCCTCCCCCTTACAGATGAGGGAACTGAGGCACAAGGCTACACAGCCAGGAGCAGCAAAGTCACAACATGAACCCAAGTCCCTTGACCCCAAGTCCCAGGCCCTTCCCCTCACCCTGGGAAAGGACAATGGGAACACTCTCTTCCCCCAAAATGAGTCCCACTAAAGCCCCGAGCTCCCTCTCTATCCCACTGGCTGGCAGGACCAGGGGGCCACCCTGACCTGGACCCCTTCCTCTGCCCAGCAACACCCGGACCTACCGTGTGGCCGTGGGAAAGAACAACCTGGAGGTGGAAGACGAAGAAGGATCCCTGTTTGTGGGTGTGGACACCATCCACGTCCACAAGAGATGGAATGCCCTCCTGTTGCGGTGAGTGACAGACTGCCCATCCCACAGCCACTGGGGGCAGTGTGGAAGGAGGGGTCCCCAAGACGGAGCCGCAGAGCCTGTCGCACCCCATACCTGACACCCCATCCTCACCCTGGAAAGCCAGCAAATGACTGTCTTACACAAAATGGCAAAATGCTAAGTGGAGACAAATACCCCCTCATATCCCCCTCATTGGCCAAGACTCCCAGGAAAGTCCACAAGGAAGGCCCCCCACAGTGTCTCTCCAGAGGCTGGGCCAGCGCTCACCTTTATTGAGTTCCTACTGTATGCCCACATTGCAATAGACACTTTATATGCCATCTGTTATGTAATCCTCACAACAGCCCTGGACAAAGAACCAAGGCTCAGAGAGGTTAAGAACTGTGTCCCAGGCCACACAGCCCACTTCGTGGCAGAACTAGGAATCAAACCAGGTCTGACTGGGCCGGCCAGCTTTTATTCTTGTAACATGAAAATATTAAAACTGGCATCTGCAAGTGCCGTCTTTTGGCATTAGAGTTCTCAACTTGCTATAGCCTCTGTTTCAATGGACCCACAGCCAGCAGTGGTTTCGGACACTTCCACTCTCACCTCCCTCTGTTAACCCTTTCCCGAGGTGATGACATGTGAGAAGAAGCTATGTCAACAGTGCGGGTGATCATGTTAGATGGTGAATCGTTTGTCCTGATATTCCCAAAGGCCAAGAAGAAGCTGGCAGTCAGGATGTTTGTGAAGGACCCCTGAGCACCCTGGGCCTGACTCCCAACTCACAGCCCGAGCCCCTTAGCCTGAGCTTGTGGGGCCAGGGCCCTCCTGCCCACTCACCCTCTCCACTTTGGATTCCAGCAATGATATTGCCCTCATCAAGCTTGCAGAGCATGTGGAGCTGAGTGACACCATCCAGGTGGCCTGCCTGCCAGAGAAGGACTCCCTGCTCCCCAAGGACTACCCCTGCTATGTCACCGGCTGGGGCCGCCTCTGGAGTGAGTATCGTCCCTGGCAAATCCTGAGAGCCTTCCTGAAGGAAGCAGGACGTCACCCACATTTGTCCACCACTTTGCCTTTTTGCCTTCACATTTTCATGTCTTTGTAAACTTTGTAACAATAACAGCTAATATTTACTAAGCACATACCATGTGACAGACACTCTAGCAAGGGTCTCTGAGAGATGTGGTAAAGTTTAGACGAATTAGAATTTGTCAAGTGCTCAGAACAGCACTTGGCACATAGTAAGTGTCACATAAATAAACTAAAATAAACCATTAGGGGTAGGGGATGACATCTGTGGTATACCGTATGCCCAAATAGGTCCCAGCTGAATTAAAAGTTAAATGCAAATCATGAAACTATGGGAGACTTAGAAAATGCAGATCACTATTTAGAAAATCCTGGGGGAGAAGTCAGCTGTGGCGGCTCACACCTGTAATCCCGACATTTTAGGAAGCTGAGGAGGAAAGATCACTTGAGGCCAGGAGTTCAAGACCAGCCTGGGCAACATAGTGAGACCCTGCCTCTACAAAAAAAAAATTTTTAAATAGCAGTGTATGGTGGTGTGTACCTGTAGTCCCAAACTACTCAGGAGGCTGAGGTGAGAGGATCATTTGAGCCCAGGGGTTTGAGGCTGCAGTGAGCTATGATCTTGCCACTGCTGTCCAGCCTGAGCAACAGAGTGAGACCTTGTATGTATCAAAAAAAAAAAGAAAGAGAAATAGAAAATCTTGGGGGTGAGAAAGGCTTTTTAATGGGTGACAGCAAAGACAGAGACCCACAGGAAATTATTGACAATTAAATCCCCAGAATCCAACTTAAAGACAACTCAACTCAACACTGTAGCTTCCTTCTGCCGGCAGCCTGCTCCTGACCCTCTGGGACCTTGGCTTGCCTCTTGATGAAGGGCAGGTGTGTGGTCCGCACACTGTCTCAGCCGGCGCTCCCCTGGGTCCTGTCCCAGGCATCTGCTCCCTGAAGGCCTGGGGAGGGGCTGGACTGGGCTTCCCGGCTGCCTCCCTGGTCACTGCTCACTCTCTCCCCAGCCAACGGCCCCATTGCTGATAAGCTGCAGCAGGGCCTGCAGCCCGTGGTGGATCACGCCACGTGCTCCAGGATTGACTGGTGGGGCTTCAGGGTGAAGAAAACCATGGTGTGCGCTGGGGGCGATGGCGTCATCTCAGCCTGCAATGTGAGTGGCTAGGTTCTGCACCTTGTCCCTACTCCAAGTGGCCAAGTGGATGTGGGCAAAGGGGGGTGCGATGGACCAAACCCTTCTCCTGGGAGGAGACTGAGCGAGCCCTGGCTGGGCCCAGCAGGCTCAGGGTAAGCCCATCACCCCCCATCACTGTGGTGAGAGCATGAGCATTGAGCACGAGTATCTGAGTTCAAGCCCCAGTCCCACCATTTATGAGCTACGTAAACTTGGGAGGGCCGTTGAACCTCTGACCTCAGTTTTTCCATCTGTAAAATGGAGTTACAGTAACCACTTCACAGGGTTAGGACTAAATGAGTTTAAAGGACAGAGAAGAGGCTTCACTGAAGTCTCTACACATGTTCCTCCATGCATTTGCTCCACCAGTCCAGGGAGACCAGAACCATAAAACATCTAAGACAATCAGGGAATGTCCTGTTTTCAAACACACAACCCTCTCCCCATTCTCACCCTCCTTCCTCACCTTCCCAGGCCTCTAGCACAGCTGCCTGCATCCTCACTGCTCTGAGTAGCTCACAGAGTCTTAGATAAGGAGACCTGAACAGCTAGGGAAACTGAGGCACGGAGAGGATTAACATCATCCCAAGATCACACAGCAAACCAAGAGCTAGTCTGACACCCCAGGGCCTCCCAGAATAAGGCCAAGGCAGCCGCAAACCACATTTCCTCTGCCTCCCTCACCATGGGCAGGCTGAGGCCAAATCTGTCCACTAACTAAGGCTGAGAAGCCAACCCACATCCCCCACCCCAACCCAGTCCTGCTTCCCAAGACTTCCTCTGGGGGGGGGCCTGGTGGCTTATGCCCTCCCGGTCTGGTGCAGGGGGACTCCGGTGGCCCACTGAACTGCCAGTTGGAGAACGGTTCCTGGGAGGTGTTTGGCATCGTCAGCTTTGGCTCCCGGCGGGGCTGCAACACCCGCAAGAAGCCGGTAGTCTACACCCGGGTGTCCGCCTACATCGACTGGATCAACGAGGTGGGTGCTGCCTCCACAGCTGTCCCTGCACCTGTCAGCCCCTCCCCCTCACTCACCCATCCCCTCACTCATTCACTCATTCATGCGTTTATTCATTCATTCATTTATTCACTCATTCATGCATTTATTCACTCATTCATGCATTCATTCATTTATTCACTTATTCAGTCACTCATTCATGTATTTATTCATTTATTCATTCACTCATGCATTCATTCATTCATTTATTCACTTATTCATTCACTCATTCATGTATTCATTCATTCATGCATTTATTTACTCATTCATCCATTTATTCACTCATTCATTTGCTCATTCAGTGATTCATTCATGCACTTCTTCACACATTCACTCTCTCATTCAAGTAATATTGGTTGAGTGCTTCCAGTAGCAGGCCTTGAGTTGGGTGCCAATAAGGAAACAGTCATTGACTCCTCCATCCATCCATTCACTGCCTTCATCAAGCACTTATGTCCCCATCCAGGCCCCACACCAGTCTCCCCCAAAAACTGACCCCCTGAGGGTATGGCCCAGCAGAGGAGAGGGATGGTGTGGATGGCCATTTCTCATCTTGAGAGTAGGGGAACAGAGGGTCACCCTGGGCTGGGGGCTTCCCCATTGGGGACAGAGTGTGTTCCAAGACCCATTTGCACAGTGGCCTGAAATGCTGAGGGCCTCAGACCCCTTGAACAGGGACAAGGCTGGCATGTGAAGGCCGGGGGCTGCTGGCCATGCCCCCATGGACCCACCCTCCGGGCAGAGCCCTGTGCCACCCTAGAAGGTGGCACAGCCCTGAGTCTCTCACACTGTTCTCTGCTCCTCCAGAAAATGCAGCTGTGATTTGTTGCTGGGAGCGGCGGCAGCGAGTCCCTGCAACAGCAATAAACTTCCTTCTCCTCGGGCCACCTGGATCCTTGATTTGTGCAGCTTCTGTTGCTTCCCTCCTCTCTGGTGCTGCCCCTTTCCACACTATGGAGCCAAAGAGAGACCCCACTCAGCCAGTTTCCCCCACCCTGCATTAGACAGGTGGGGAAACAGAGGCCGGGAGAGAGGGCCAAGGAAGGAGCCTCCTGGGGCATTAATGGGAGGCAGGGGGCTGGGGTGGAGAGCCCAGGGAGTCCTGCGTGAAGCCGGAGGGGATGGGAGTGAAGGACGCATCAGACACCTTCCCCGCTCCATCTCACAAGCTGCGAACAGGTGAGACCCTGATGAAATCACTCGCTTCTCCGATCCTACCTCCACCGAGGGGCCTGGCAGGTCCTCACAGCCCCCCAGCAGCAGGTGGAAGACAGGGTCTCCCCAAAAGCAGCGTCCCCCAGGCCAGAGAGACCAGGCCACAGGAGGATGGCCAAAGCTCAGGGACAACCACTCCTGGGGAAGGGGCTCCCTAGCAGGGACCCCCCACCCCCACCCCGCAGCACAGACCCCATGGCTGCTGTTGGCAGGGGCTCTCTGCTTTGAGAAGTGTTTAGTGAGCCAGCCCCTGTGTCCAGTCCTGTGCTGGGCATGATGAGGGTACAGGAAGAGGAAGAGACCCCAGCATCATCCTCAGGAGACATACGTTTGAAGAAGGCAATGGTTTCCACACAGAATCACAGTGGTCAGAGCTGGATATGCTTTCATTGCATTAGACAAGTGGGGAAACTGAGGCCCAGAGAGAGGAAGGAGTTGGGATAGCTGGCAATGCCTGATCCAGGAGAAGAGAGTTCTCCTGAGGCTGACAAGAGGCCAAGAGGAGCCAGAGATGAGATAGACCCAGTGTCCAGGGAGGGACATGCCAGTGGGATCAGACCCTGATGACAGGGGCAGCCAGAGATGAGAGAGATCCAATGTCCAGGGAGGGACATGCCAGGGGGATCAGACCCTGATGATAGGGGCCTCTGGCCTGGCCTGCTCCTGGGAATGTCCTGTTCTGTGGGGGTGCCCCCAGCCCAGCCTCTGGACCCCTCGCTGGAGAGCCCTCGGCTGCAGCTACCTCAGACTGGCCCAAGAGTTGTCCCTTTTCTCCACCAGACTTTGTCCCCTGGGAGTGGGGACCATGGTGTGACTCCCACACCCCCATGATGCCAAGGCAAGTCTCAGGAAAGACTTGACTTACTCAACAAGCAGTGGGAGCTACAGGGAGCCCAGCACCACCCAGACCCGGGAATCCAGGATGGGGGTACCCCAGCTGTGCAGGAGACAGACCAGTAAATAGATCATTAAATTCCCTGGTATACATTTGAAAACAGAAATACAGACCAGAAGCATAGAAACAGGACACCTGAAGCAGTGTCAGTTGGCGGGAGGAATCCAGGATGGCTTCCTGGAGGTGATGATGCCCAAGCTTGGTCTTAAAATTTGACTAGAAGGTACCCAAGTACAGAACGTAGTCCTTCTTAAGTTTGCTTAATCTAAACTTCATTCCCACCTATCCTCTTCTTTTTTTTTTTTTTTTTTTTGAGACGGAGTCTTGCTCTGATGCCCAGGCTGGAGTGCAGTGGCACAATCTCAGCTCACTGCAACCTCCACCTCCCAGGTTCAAGTGATTCTTCTGCCTCAGCCTCCCAAGTAGCTGGGATTACAGGCACGCACCACCATGCACAGCTAATTTTTTTTTTTTTTTTTTAGACAGAGTCTCGCTCTCTCACCTGGGCTGTAGTGCAGTGGTGCCATCTCGGCTCACTGCAAGCTCCGCCTCCCAGGTTCACGCCATTCTCCTGCCTCAGCCTCCTGAGTAGCTGGGACTACAGGCGCCAGCCACCATGCCTGGCTAATTTTTTTTTTTTTTGTATTTTTAGCAGAGACGGGGTTTCACCGTGTTAGCCAGGATGGTCTCGATCTCCTGATCTCGTGATCCACCTGCCTCGGCCTCCCAAAGTGCTGGCATTACAGGCGTGAGCCACCGTGCCCGGCCCCAGCTAATTTTTTTGTATTTTTTTAGTAGAGATGGGGTTTCACCATGTCGTCCAGGCTGGTCTCAAACTCCTGACCTCAGGTGATCTGCCCGCCTTGGCCTCCCAAAGTACTGGGATCACAGGTGTGAGCCACCACACCCGGTCTCATTCCCAGCTATCTTCTTTTGTGTATGTCTTTATATTGGGGGTTATAAATGCTAAATGCTTGCTGTCCTCAGATCCCTTGTAGTTAGGGAGCTAATTAAAATGTTAATTAATATTACAATGTTATTTAAGCAATGTTAAATAATATCTAACATTTATTGGGCACTTAGTATGTGCCAAGCACTATCCTATAGGTTTTACATTATCTCAATCCCCAGAAACAATCCCATGAGGTAGGTTACTATTAACATCATGCCCATTTTACAGATGAGAAAACTGAGGCCAGACAGGGTTAGTGACTTCCCAATGTGTGAACTAGAAGGTAGTGGAGCCGGAATCCAGACTTTAGTGATCTGACTCCAGGGCCTGTGCTCTTGTCCACCATGCTCTGCTGCCCTGCAATGTAAAACATCCTCCAGAAAAAAAATAAATAAATAAAAACTTCCCTGATGAGAAAGATCTGACATAGCTGGTGCTGCCCCTTCCCCTTCTTCCTGCCTTGAATATGGATGTGATGCCTGGAGCTGAGGCAGCCATCTTGTGGCCAAGATAATTACAGAGATGTCAGCTTAGACCTCATCAAGCTGTAGATCCCATGCCAGCCACCATTTTCCTCTGAATGTCTGGCTACGTGAAAAAAAATACATCTGCATTTGTTTTAGCCACCGAAGTAGATTTTCAGTTACTTGCTAATCAATTCACTAGGGAACAGAAGGGGTCACTTTCCAGCCAAGGGAACAGCATGAGCAAAGCTATAGCGACTGCTTGGAAGAAACTCCGGTGTTGCCAGAGCATAAAGTCAGGGGCAAGGGCAGAGTGACCAATTGTCCTGGTTTGCCTGGGCTGAGTTTTCCCAGACATGGGAGTTTCAATGCTAAAACTGGAAGAGTCCCAGGCAAACCAAGATGGTTGTTGCTTGGAGGGGCAAGTGACAAGGCTGGAGAGGAAGCAAACGCCCTTAGGGAAGGCCTTGTGCAGTGGTAGGGGCTGCTGGGACTTCCTGCTGAGGGCAGTGGGGGCTGTAGAGGGCTTTTAGATAGAGAAGTGGCCACTGTGGTCCGATGTGTACACTACAGTGTCCATCAGACAGCTGTGGGGAGGGTGATTTGGAGCAGGCAAGAGTGGAGGCAGACAGGCCAGTAAGGAGGCTGCTGCAGCAGTCTAGGCCAGAAATAATGCAGCCCGGATGGAGGCGGTAATGAAAAGGAGAAAAGGGAGGTTTCAGTAATTATTTAAGGGGTACAGTTGTAGCGTTGAGCAGCAAGCCTCCAGCCCCACATCTACACAAACTTCCAGGAATCTGATTAATTATCAAAACGATTGTTTGTCAGGAGCCAGGCATGGTAGCACACACCTGTAGTCCCAGCTACTTGGAAGGCTGAGGCAGAAGGATGCTTGAGCCCAGGAGTTCGAGACCAGCCTGGGCAACATAGCAAGACCCTGTCTCTACAAAGAATACAAAAATTAGCCAGGCGTGGTGGCATGTACCTGTCGTGGCAGCTACTTGGGAGGCTGAGACAGGAGGATCACTTGAGCCCAGGAGGTCAAGGCTGCAGTGAGCCGTGATCATGCCACTGCACCCCAGCCTGGTCAACAGAGTAAGATCCTGTCTCAGAAAACGAGAAAAAACAACAACAAAAATTACCATTTGTTAGCTAATACATGGTGAAACACAACCCACAGTTCGGTTTGTTCAACAAGACTGTAAAATTTGGCCAGGCGCGGTGGCTCATGCCTGTAATCCCAGCACTTTGGGAGGCCAAGGTGGGAGTGGATCACCTGAGGTCAAGAGTTCGAGACCAGCCTGGCCAACATGACAAAACCCTGTCTCTACTAAAAGTACAAAAAATTAGCCAGGCGTGGTGGCAGGCACGTATAATCCCAGCTACTCGGGAGGCTAAGGCAGGAGAATCACTTGGACCTGGGGGGTGGAAGTTGCAGTGAGCCGAGATCGTGCCACTTCACTCCAGCCTGGGTGGGCGAAAGAGCAAAACTGTCTCCAAAAAAAAAAAAAAAGAGTGTAAAATTCTCAGCTTTGGGGACAAGATCCATTATTATGCCCAAGAATCAATGCCTATGTATGGTAAACAGAATAATGCTCCCTGCAAAAGATGTGTACACCCCAACCCCCAGAACCTGTGAACATGTTACCTTACTCAGCAAAAGAGATTGTTCAGATATGATTAAATTAAGGATCTTCCCATGGAGTGACCATCTTGGATTATCTGGGTGGGGTCTGTGTAATCAATAAGGGTCCTTAGAACAGTGAGACAAGAGGGTCAGGGTCAGAGAGAGATTTAAGGATGCTGCACTGCTGGCTCTGAAGATAGAGGAAGGGGCCATGAACCAAGGAATGCAGGCGGCCTCTGGAAGCTGGTAAAGGCCAGGAAATGGATTCTTCTCTACACCTCCAGAAGGGAACAGTCCTGCCTATACCTGGACTTTAGCCCAGTGAGGAAAAACTGTGGACTTCTGACCTCCAGAACTACAAGATAATAAATGTGTGTGTTTTTTGCCACTAAGTTTGTGACAATTTATTACAACAGCAATAGGAACCAGATTCACCATCCTTCCTCCCGTGTTAGAAGGCAAAATCCAAAGCGCACTGTGGTGGGTGTAGTGGGGAGGGAGAAGGAGGGGTCAGGAAGGACTCCCTGGGATCTGGCTTGGGTGAGAGTAGGGATTTGTGGACTTTGTCCCAGAGGTCACAAACTGGTGGCTGGAAGGGAGGGAAACTGGAAACTTAGGCACTGACCCTCCCACCTCCACCTTCTGCCTGGGGGCTGGGAGGCCTGGAAGGGGCTGCTGAGAGCCCCACCAGCCACTGATCCACTAGTGTGCCATTGGATGCCTAATAGCCGTTGCGTGGCTAGCATATATTGAGCACTTGCTAATTTGTGTTAGGCTCCGCCCAAGGCTTCATATATATGACCTCATTTCATCCTCATGGCAACCCTGTTTATTATCCCTCTTTACAGATGAGGAAACTGAGGCTCAGAGAGATTTCAAACCTCAGCCCAGATCACACAGCTAGCAATGGGGCACCATGATTTAAACCCAGGTAGTCTAACTCCAGAGCCTGTGCAACTAACAACTTGTGGTTCTGCCATGAATCCTAAAGTCTAAGGATGCCCTTGCACGCTGACCTCCTCTAGTGACCAGGGAGGTGTAGCCTGTGGGGGTGCCGAGAAGCCTCAATAAAACCAGCAATAAGCCCAGAGAGACAGAGGCTTGAGAGAATTATTGCTCCCAGATGCTCACAAAAGACTTTCAGCCACTGTATCAGCTACCAGAGGTGTGATAATGCTGCCTAACAACCTACCCCAAACTCCTAGTGGCATGCAGTGGTGAGCACTTATTGCTGACACATCTGGGGACAGTTGGGGCTGTCAGGCAGCCCTGCTAATTTGGGCTGGACTCACTCATATGTTTAGGGGTCAGCCAGGGTTGGCTGATCCAGTGTGGGTCAGACTGGGCAGCCTGGCTCTGCATGTCTCACCCACCTCCCGGGAGGGCCCTGCATGGCAAAGGGCATGGATGCAGGGAGGATGAAGAATCAGGGCCATCTTGGTCAGCCACCACATCCACATTCTCTCTGACTCAAATGAGAAGCATAAACTAGGGCAGGGCAGAGGGAGGGCACTCACTGGGCTGGAGCTCTGAACTCACCACTGACAGGCAGTCAGTGGCTGAGTCACTTAACCTCCCTGGGCCTCAGTTTTCCCCATCTGTGAAATGGACACCTGCCCTGTCTCCTTACTGGGGAGCCAATGAAATGACAGAGGCTAGTGAATGGGGCAGAGAGGGCCATTACTACTACTGACTTCGCTCCCTGGACTCAAATATTCCCTCTGTCTTTTTTTGAGATGGAGTTTCGCTCTTGTTGCCCAGGCTGGAGTGCAGTGGCACGATCTCGGCTCACTGCAACCTCCACCTCCCTGGTTCAAGCGATTCTCCTGCCTCAGCCTCCCGAGTAGCTGGGATTACAGACACCCACTACCACACCCAGCTAATTTTTTATTTTTTTAGTAGAGACGGGGTTTCAT
The DNA here is from genome assembly GCF_000001405.40 of Homo sapiens. Lineage (NCBI taxonomy): Eukaryota > Metazoa > Chordata > Mammalia > Primates > Hominidae > Homo > Homo sapiens. The sequence continues at coordinate 15,452,837 of NC_000001.11, forward strand.
CATGTTGGCCAGGCTGGTCTCGAACTTCTGACCTCAGGTCATCCACCCACCTTAGTCTCCCAAAGTGCTGGGATTAAAGGCGTGAGCCACTGCACCCGGGCTTCCCTCTCTCTTTTTGTTCCTTAAGAGAGGAAGGCTCATTCCTAGCAGGCCTCAGACCTCAGGCCTCCGGCATATCCTTGGGGGTCCACTTCCCAGAAACTGAGTCCTATCAAGTTGAGACACAGGTTGAGTCTACAAAGGTCCTCATGGCAGTGGGCCAGGGGACCACGTGAAGGCAGAGAATAAACAGGCAGCATCTTCCCATAGCATCCATTTTCTGTGAAGATCAGAAGGGAAGAAAAAACTTTATATTGAAATGAACCCAGCTATATTATGAAGTTGCAAAATTCAAATTAAGCTTTCAGATGAAGAATGAGACTTCCAAGACATTTTGCTATTGTTAGTGCTGCGTGCTAGACCCCAGATCATCACTTTACTGCAAACTAGAGCCTGCAAACCAAATCTGTTTTGTAAATAAAGTTTTATTGGAACATGGCTATGCCCATATGGCTGCTTTTGCACTGCAACGGCCGAGTTGACTAGTTGTGACAGAGACCATATGGTCTGCAAGTCTGAAATATTTAGTATCTGGCCCTTTACACAGAAAGTTTGCCAGCCGCTAAACTACTTGGATTCTTTGATGAAAAGGTTTCAAGAATTCTGTGCTGCTCTAATATCGGAGGCCCGCAGGTCTAAGGAATTAAGAGTAAATGTTTATTGCACAGTTACTATTCTGAGTGCTTTCAGTGAATAAACTGTTGTTTGATTCTAACAATCCTAAGACATAAATGGTATTGTTATTGCTTCTCTTTGATAGGTGAGAAACTCAAGGAATAGAGTGAAATGTACCCTAGCCCAGTGCCTCTCAAATGTTAATATGCAGAGGAACAAAATCATCTGGGGATCCTATTAAACCACAGACACCGAAGATGGGAAATTCTGCATTTCTAACCAGCGACTGAGCTGTGCTGATGCTGCTGGCCCAGGCCACACTCCGTAGAGAGGAGCCAAACCACAGACTCACTACACAGAGGCACTGGGGGTCTTAAGCCCAGGCCCCCAGCCCCTAAGCCACGTGGCTCCTCAGAGTAGTTGTTCTGAATGAGTCACAAACCCCGTGAGAATTTCGCATCTGGCCAGGCACGGGGGCTTACGCATGTAATCTCAGATCACCTGGGGTCAGGAGTTCGAGACCAGCCTAGCCAACATGATGAAACCCCGTCTCTACTAAAATTACAAAAAATTAGCCGGGCATGGTGGCGGGCACCTGTAATCCCAGGAACTCAGGAGGCAAAGGCAGGAGAATCGCTTGAACCTCCTGATGGAGGTTGCTGTGAGCCGAGATGGCGCCACTGCATTCCAGCTTGGGTGGCAGAGCGAGACTCTGTCTCAAAAAAACAAACAAAAAACAAAGCAAAACAAAAAATCCTGACAGCAATGTGATGGAACAGACCAAGCATCTGTTCCTCTCCCTGTTTGTAGATAGGCACCCCGGGCCAGAAAGCCTGTGGGATTGGCCCAAGGTCACACAGCAAATTCACAGCAGGTGTTTGTTCAGTGGCCTCATACAGGACAAACTTTATTTTTATATTAAAACAAACAAAGATACAGAGCAGAACGCCAAATTCACATGAACCTTTAAGATAAAATATGAGACTTAAGAAATAGTTGGTTGCTGTAGTGACTCATACAGACCACAAATGAGTCCAAACTGTTACAGGGATTATGGGATGGAGTTGGGACTGGAATCTACATCTTCTGACATCCAGTCCCATGGGATGCTGCCCCCCACCCAATCTTTCTCACCTTTGCACCATCCTAGGGAGATTGCAGAATTCTTTCCCACCCATTTTCTTACCCGTACAACAATCCTGCAATCCAGGCCTGGATGGTTATCTAGGAAAGTAAGGCCCAGAAGATAAGTGGCTTGTCCAGACCACCACACTCAAAATTGATGGATCAAAGACTTGAACTCGGCTGGGCGCGGTGGTTCATGCCTGTAATCCCAGCACTTTGGGAGGCCGAGGCGGACGAACACGAGGTGAGGAGTTCAAGACCAGCCTGGCCAATATGGTGAAACCCCGTCTCTACTAAAAATACAAAAATAAGTCGGGTGTGGTGGCCGGTGCCTGTAGTCCCAGCTACTAGGGAGGCTGAGGCAGAAGAATCACTTGAACTTGAGAAGCAGAGGTAGCAGTGAGCCGAGATCGCGCCACTACGCCCTAGCCTGAGTGACAGAGCGAGACTCCGTCTCAAAAAAAAAAAAAAAAAAAAAAAAAAAAAAAAAAAAAAAACACTTGATATCAAGTCTTAAGAGTGTGGAGCTGGTCTTTTTTTTTTTTTTTTTTGAGATGGAGTCTTGCTCTGTTGCCCAAACTAAAGTGCAGTGGTGCGATCTCAGCTCACTGCAACCTCCACCTCCAAGGTTCGAGAGGTTATCCTGCCTCAGCCTCCTGAGTAGCTGGGACTACAGGCATGCAGCCCCACACGCTACTAATTTTTGTATTTTTAGTAGAGACGGGGTTTCACCATGTTGGCCAGGCTGGTCTTGAACTCCTGGCCTCAGGTGGTCTGCCCGCATCAGCCTCCCAAAGTTCTGGGATTATAGGAGTGAGCCACCGTGCCCGGCCGTAAAGTGCATTTTCATCCACCAGATGAAGCCCTCCTCTGCCAGCGTTCTGCTTCCCCCCATCATTAGAGTGGCCAGATCCTAATTGTGCATGTCGGCCTTGCCTTCTGCTACATGTGCACCTTCCCCGCATTATGCAAATTCTGCTACATGTGCACCTTCCCCACATTATACAAATCCTTACCACAATGTTGTGAAACAATACTGGGCATGGGTTTCTCTCCCTGTTTCACAGATGGGTCTAGAGACTTACATGACTCAGCCAAGGTCACATTGCAACCCCTGGTATGGCCTAGAACAGGCTTTCTCAGTCTCAGCACCATTGACATTTGGGGCAGGGCGAGTCCTATTGCCCAGTGCATTGTCGGGTGTTTAGCAGCGTCTCTGCTCTCTGCTCCCTGCCCACTGGATGCCAATTTACATCAACCCCAGCCATGACAACCAAAATTCTCTCCAGATGTTGTCAAACGTCTCCTGGTGGGCTGAACCAGCCCCATTGAGAAATACTGCCTTAGAATGCTGTGGGCTCAGCATGCCACCTTAATCTTTTCATTGAAAACACAACTCCTGGCCGGGCATGGTGGCTCAGCCTGTAATCCTAGCACTTTGGGAGGCCGAGGCGAGCAGATCACTTGAGGCCAGGAGTTCGACACCAGCCTGGCCAACATGATGAGACCCCCCGTCTCTACTAAAAATACAAAAATTAGCCAGCAATGGTGGCACACACCTGTAATCCCAACTACTAGGGAGGCTGAAGCAGGGGAATTGCTTGAACCCAGGAGGCAGAGGTTGCAGTGAGCTGAGATCACGCCACTTCATTCCAGCCTGGGTGACAGAGCAAGACTCCATCTCAGAAAGAAAAAAGAAAGAAAGAAAGAAAGAAAACACAACTCCTCTCCTCAGTCTTACCCAGGGAGGGGAACAAAAACAAACAAACAAAAAAAAAAACAACTCCGAGCACCAACAATTAGTATTTTTCTTCCTTCCCTAACACACAACATAATCTCTTCAAAACAGATGGAACCCATATTCCAATATCTACCTTTGGCATCTTTTTCAAAGTATTTCTAGGGTGACATTTGGGAGGAAATGGGAAAAAAAAAATATTTGGACACAGCTCTTTTTTCCACTGGGCTTTGAGAAAACCCCATCTTGCGTGCTCTTACTGTATCTCTCACTGATAAGTCCGCTCATAAAACCAGGGCCTTATCCAGGGCCACGCTTACAGAACTCCCACGGACACACCATGATAAGGACGCTGCTGCTGTCCACTTTGGTGGCTGGAGGTAAGTCCTGTTACCCAGAGGCACTGGTTTCCCATGCCCTGGTGGGGCTGGAAATGGGATCTTCCTGTCCTCCCCTCTCGCCCCCACCCAACCCCTACTGCATTCAGACCTATAATCATAAGAACATTGGAATGGAGTTTCAAAGAATTGGAGCAAAGAGCAGGATTCTATGACCTCTTGGGATCCTTCTAGAACAAGGGTTTTCTATTTGGGGGGTCAGAATGCGCAGCAAGTGTAGTTTACATTGTGTGGGTCGCTGCTTCCTGACTCAAGACCCTTTCTCTTTTCACAGCCCTCAGTTGTGGGGACCCCACTTACCCACCTTATGTGACTAGGGTGGTTGGCGGTGAAGAAGCGAGGCCCAACAGCTGGCCCTGGCAGGTGAGTTGACCACACTGTACTTCTCCCCGTCCCTGCCCCACTCCCTTTACATCTCCCCTTTGCCCTTCCACCATGGCGTCTATTGTGCTGGCAAAGTGAGTATTGATGGGACTCAGAGAGCAGCACAGGCAACTTTAGCAATAAGATATATTTCCGGCTGGGCGCAGTGGCTCATGCCTGTTATCCCAGCACTGTGGGAGGCTGTGGTGGGCAGATCACCTGAAGTCAGGAGTTTGAGACCAGCCTGGCCAACATGGTGAAACCTGCCTCTACTAATAATACACAAGTAGCCAGGTGTGGTGGCACACGCCTGTAATCCCAGCAACTGGGGAGGCTTAGGCAGGAGGATCGCTTGAACCCAGGAGGCAGAGGTTGCAGTGAGCTGAAATTGCACCACTGTACTCCAGCCTGGGCAACAAAGCAAGACTCTGTCTCAAAAAAAAAAAAAAAGATACATTTCTGTGGCCTTGGCCAACCTTGGGAGTGGAGGGAGAGGTGCCTCCTCCAGCTGCAGTAAGGAGCTGTCCCCTCCCCACTGCCCATAGGCAGCAAATATAGTATTACTCTATTAACCAATCAGAGGCTTGTTTACAAATGTACCATCAGTCTAGGAACCATTCAAGACTACCTATGCAAACATTCCTTGCTTTAAGGAACCAATCAGTGCTATTTGCGCAGATTAATCTTTAACCACAGGCAAATCAATGTTACCAATGAAAAAAATGTTTTCTTAAGTTGATATAATCATAGTGGTATCAAGACTAAACTGCCAAGTGGGGCACAGGTGTAAATTACTCAGACGTGTTAATGGTGGGGATTTTAAGAGAAATGTGTAAAGTTTACATTGACATAAACAAATATAGTGAAATCTCATTTATCTGATGTAATTGGGACCGAGTAATTGAAAAGTTGGTTATAAAGAAATTATTTTAAATCATATATATATAGTAAAGATTTTATCTTAGACTATGTAAACAATTTTTTGAGTTCTTAACTGTCTTTTTCATATAAGCCATGCCCCATATCTTATCTACAAACCCGTTTCTTTAAAGCAGAGCAGTAACTTTGAGACGTTCACAAAGCAATCTGAGTTATGAGCCCATCCAATCTTTCCATTTTCTCACAGACACTACTTCAAGAGCAATTTTTTAAGAGTCATGGTGATCCAGTCTCTTCCAAGCATTTAACTTTGTTTCCATATAAATAACGACTCTCTTTCTGAACTCATATTTCATTGGTTACATGTTTAATCAAATTTCATTATTACAAGCATAATTGATATAAACTGCTTTGGGAGCAAACCCAGCTGAATCAGGATGAGTTTCTACCTTAAGTAGGAGGAGCAACTAGCAGCCCACTAGCCTTGAGCATTCAGAGTGACCCATGCAGCAGTCACTGTGTTTAGAGAGGCCAGCGTTCATTCATCTGCTCCTTGATTAAGAGACTGTCAATGATAGGCCAGGCGTGGTGGCTCATGCCTGTAATCCCAGCACTTTGGCAGGCCGAGGCAGGTGGATCACCTGAGGTCAGGAGTTTGAGACCAGCCTGGCCAACATGGTGAAACTCTGCCTCTACTAAAAATACAAAAATTAGCCAGGCATGGTGGCGGGCACCTGTAGTCCCAGCTACTTGGGAGGCTGAGGCACAAGAATCGCTTGAACCTGGGAGGCGCAGGTTGCGGTGAGCCAAGATCACACCTCTGCACTCCAGCCTGGGTGACAGAGTGAGATCCATAAAAAAAAAAAAAAAAAAAAAAAAAAAAAAAAAAAAAAAAAAAAAAAAAGACTGTCAACGATAGAATGATGGCAGATATTTCACATTTTTTTCTTTTTTTGAGACAGAGTCTTGCTCTGTCACCCAGGCTGGAGTGCAGTGGCACAATCATAGCTCACTGCAGCCTCCAACTCCTGGGCTCTGGCCATCTACCTGCCTCAGCCTCCCAAAGTGCTGGGATTACAGGCACCCACCACTGTGCTCACCCATAGTAATTTTTTTTTTTTTTTGAGACAGTGTCACATTCTGTCACCCAGGCTGGAGTACAGTGGCTGGTGAAACATGGCTCACAGCGGCCTCGAACTCCTAGGCTCAAGCGATCCTCCCACCTCAGCCTCCCTATCAGCTGAGACCACAGGTGCATGCCCCCACACCCGGTTAAGTTTCTTTTTTTTTTTTTAGAGATGGGTCTCACTATGTTGCCCAGGCTGGTCTTGAACTTCTGGGCTCAAGTGATCCTCCTGCGTCGGCCTCCCAAAGTGCTGGGATCACAGGCGTGAGCCTCTCAACCCAGCCTCACAATTTATATACTTGGCTTTGTGTGCTTTTGCCAGTTCTTTTGCTTTTCTCACAGTCCCACAGTATTTTTTCCCTGAGAATTTGGAAGAAGGGCCACAGTCCCTCTGCTACAGGGCCCCATAACACCGGGCGCATTTGTGCTAAGAACTAATCATTGCTGCCTACAAAAATACTTCCTCACCCTCTTGCACAAAAGTATTCTTGCCTTGAGAACCAGTGAATGTTAATCCATGAAGAGTCCCTATGCTTTGTGCTTCTGTTTCCCTGCGGAAATAAGGCAGATCTAGCTGGGTGGGGACTCAGATGAGGCAAGTAAGACATTCACTCTGGAGGCAAAATGTAAGGGGGTAGCACAAAACTCAGCAACCAGCCAGGAACAGTGGCACACACCTTTAATCCCAGCTATTCAAGGGGCTGAGGCAGGAGGATTGCTTGAGCCCAAGAGTTTGAGACCAGCATGGGCAACATAGATAGCCATCTCAAAAAAAAAAAAAAAATACAAACAAACAAAAAACCTCACTAACGAAGATGAATGATATTTTAATGCAATTTTGTTTCTTCTCCAGGAGACAGAGTCTCATTCTGTCACCCAGGCTTAATTACAGTATGAGTCACCCTGAGAGCCCTGCACAGTGGCTTATGTTCCCCATTTCCAGAGAAGGCAACTGGGACTTGGAAAGGTTACAGAATTCCCCAAAGGCACTGGGTTAGCCCGGGGGGCGAATGAGGATTCAAATCTGGTTCAGTGCTACCTCTTTAGCTACACTTTGCTGGCCACACATAATACGTATTATGTGGGCTAAATTTCACATCTGTACGATGGTTTCAGCACATTTTTAAATTGGGGGGGGGGTACATCCTTTTAAGTATCTTTTTTCACTTTTTCTAATTTTAAACATCTTTTTTAAGACCTCTTAATGTCACACAAACGAGAAATGCCAAATGGCTAATTAAAAACAACAACGTTCAGAGAAAAGCAGGCATCTGCCAACAAACAGGTCATCGTTCCCCACAGTTATAGGGAGCCCGATCAGAGCAGTCCATGCCCTACTGTCACCTCCCTCCCCTCTGCTTGGCCGTGGCAGGGAATTGAAAGACAGGGGAGGAGGAATGAAGGAACAGGAAGGGCATGGAACAGCTTCATTAGAGACTAAAACAGTGTCAAATGTCACCACCTTAAAGTTCTTTTTTTTTTTTTTTAAAGACCTGGTCTCACTCTGTTAATTTTATTTTATTTTAAAATTTTTTTGGTAGGGTCAAGTTCTCACTATGGTGCCCAGGCTGGTTCACAAACTCCTGGGTTCAAGCAATACTCCCACCTCAGCCTTCTGAGTAACCGGGACTATAGGCATGCACCGCCGCACCCAGCGGCTCATTTTGGGCTATTTTTGTTGTAGAGACAATGTATTTAGTCCTGCCTCACACGGCTAATAAAGACATATCTGAGACTGGGTAATTTATAAAGGAAAGAGGTTTAACTGACTCATAGCTCAGCGTGGCTGGGGAGGCCTCAGGAAACTTATAATCATGGCAGAAGGGAAAGGAAACACATCCTTGTTCACGCAGCGGTAGCAGGGAGAAGTGCCGAGCAAAAGTGGGGGAAAGACCCTTATAAAACCATCAGATCTTGTGAGAACTTACTCACTATCATGAAAACAGCATGGAGGTGACCACCCTCATGATTCAATTACCTCCCACCAGGTCCCTCGCACGACAAATGGGGATTATAAGAACTATAATTCAAGATGAGATTTGGGTAGGGACACAGCCAAACCTTATCAGATGGGGTTTCACCATGTTGCCCAGGCTGGTCTCAAACTCCTGGGCTCAAGTGATCCTCCTTCCTTGGCCTCCCGAAGTGTTGGGATTACAAGCATGAGCCACCATGCCTGGCCTGATTGTTTTTCATGTAGATTGCATTAACACGTTTTTTATCTTGATGGCTGAGGTTTTGGGTGCTGCCTTAAGTTGTGCACATGAGGCGACTGCCTCACTCCCCCTTACCCTTGTCCCAGCCCCGTTCTTGGGAAACTGGAGTGCAGGGAGGCCCTGCTCTTTCAAACCTAGCCACAGAGCTCCTTTGCTTCTCCCCAGGTCTCCCTGCAGTACAGCTCCAATGGCAAGTGGTACCACACCTGCGGAGGGTCCCTGATAGCCAACAGCTGGGTCCTGACGGCTGCCCACTGCATCAGGTAACTGCCTTTCCCTGGGCGCTTGGCCTGCTCACCAGCTGGTGCTCATTTCTGAGCTGGGGGCTCAAATGGCCTGAACCATGCTACATAAAGCAGCCTTGCAAATAACCACTATACTGGCTGAGACACAAGCTGTAGTCAATCAATGGTTCAGTGTGTTGGCCCATCAATGTCAGTACATGGCATGGATGGAGTGTCTGTGCCAGGCAGGCACTGAGGGAGGATGAAGAGGAGGGGAAGGCCCAATCTCTGCCCTCTTGGGGAAACTACATGTGGCCTCTGGATCTGGAATTGGGTTCCCTTGAACAACTTAACTGACTTCTCAAAGCTTCAATACCATCACCTGCAGAAAAATGGAGTAACAGAATTTAGTGTGAATTCAATGAGTTGATTTACCAAAGGGCCTGGCACTTAGTAAGTGCTCAGTGAAAGCTAATTCTGAATTATAGATGAATTATAAAGGCCCACAAGGTTCTGCAACGTTGTTCACTTATCCTCTTCTTTGTCCGTGACCTCTGCTCATCACAGCTGGAACTCACCGGAGTTTCTGCCGGGTCGGCGTGACTCCCTACCAGGAGTGATCCCTTCTCCCATCCGATTTATAATAAGCTCTAGGAGGTATTGGGGAAAATAATAGAGGCCTACAGTCAGGAGTCCTGGCTTGTAGTTCTGGTTTCTCACTAACGGTGGGACTCTGGGCCAGGTTACGCCTCTCTGGGCCTCAGTTTCCCCATCTGCAAATGAAAGGTGGGAAAAATGTCCTTGAGGGCAAATGACTCCTGTTTTCTCTGTGTTCATCTCATTCCCTCCATAAGAACTATAGAGTTTGTGTTATTATAACTTTTATTTTATATTGTAGTTTATAGTTAGTATAGTAACAATTATTATATGATCATAGTTCTTAGGTTATATACTTTAGGCCCTATTATAACTAACTGATTGTCCCAGGGGAGGAAAGATCCCCAAGTCCCATCTAGTGGCTCACGCAGCAGCCAGTTACTTGGGTCTATCCCCAGCATTATCCAAAGCCAGGCCTCTGGAGGTGACCCTCTCCCTGGGCCCCCTTTCTCCCAGCTCCTCCAGGACCTACCGCGTGGGGCTGGGCCGGCACAACCTCTACGTTGCGGAGTCCGGCTCGCTGGCAGTCAGTGTCTCTAAGATTGTGGTGCACAAGGACTGGAACTCCAACCAAATCTCCAAAGGGTTCGTTTCTGTCTGGGTGCACTTGGGGGTGAGGTTGTCAGGGAACAGATGGGGGTCTCACAGAGGCAAGGGTCTCAACCACACCACACCCCCTCTGCTTCTTCTACAGGGAGGGGGAAGGAGCTCTGGCCTCTTAGATGTGGAACCAGCTCCAAAGATGTCTGGGGTGGGGATGTGACCTGGGGAGGGTGAAGCAAAGACTGCCAGAGCGACCTGGGTTTGCTGCCAGTTACACCTGCAGGGCCCCTGTCCGCTGAGCATGTATCTACTTCATGCCAGGTCCTGGGGACACAGGGACAGTGCTGTCAACCCTGTGACTGTCCCTGGAGTAGGACACAATCTCTCCTGCCTTCCCCCTTTCAACAAGGCCCTCTGCATTTTCAAACATGCCCTGGGGCCCTGCCAGTCAGAGCAACCTGGGGTAACAGGGTACAGGGAAGATGACAAGGTCTCCAAGCCCTCCAAAGCCCACAGGGCAGGAAAAGTCAACCCGGTCCTCATGCTTCGCCTCCACACTCACCCAGGAACGACATTGCCCTGCTCAAACTGGCTAACCCCGTCTCCCTCACCGACAAGATCCAGCTGGCCTGCCTCCCTCCTGCCGGCACCATTCTACCCAACAACTACCCCTGCTACGTCACGGGCTGGGGAAGGCTGCAGAGTAAGTGGGAGCCAGGAGCCCCCAGGCCTGGGAGGGAAGGGAGGTGATTCACGTCACCCCTGTCTGGCCGGGGCCTCTCACCTGTCATCCCAGGGTGTGTGGCTGCCTTGGAGAGACGGGATGGCATAGGCTGACGCCTGCCTGGGATCAAATGTCAGCTCTCCCACTTAATGACTGTGACACCTTGGACACATTACTAGGTCTCTCCATGCAGCACTTTTTTCATCTGTAAAATGCAAATATTTGGCTGGGCGCAGTGGCTCATACCTGTAATCCCAGCACTTTGGGAGGCCCATCCCGCGGATCACTTGAGGTCAGGAGACCAGCCTGACCAACACGGAGAAACTCTGTCTCTACTAAAAATATTAAAAAAAAAAAAAATAGCAGGATGTGGCAGTGTGCACCTGTAGTCCCAGCTACTCAGGAGGCTGAGGCACGAGAATCACTTGAACCTGGGAGATGGAGGTTGCAGTGAGCCAAGATTTCGCTACTGCACTCCAGCCTGGGGGACAGAGCGAGACTCCGCCTCAAAAACAAAAGGCATAATAATAGCACCTACATCACAGAGTTGTCACGAGGATTAAAGGAGATAATCCATAGGAAGCCCAGAATGGGGTAGGTGCTGTGTTAGTTGTTGTCACTGTCCCTATGATGGAGAGAAAGTTACAGAGACCATGTGACATCTTCTGTGTGGCCCAAGGCTAGAGTTCAGAACAGCATTTTCCTCTGTGACCTGAGACCCCTGGAGCCCTCATCAGACCCTCCATGCCCCATAGCAAAAGCTGTCCCCTGTGCCATTAGGTCTTGCTGCTCAGAACCTGAATGAGGGCGGGTCTCCTTTGACATAGACTCCAAGGGTCAGAGATCCAATGACAGTAGCCACCAAGAGGAACAGAGTTCCCGCCCTTCCCTTGTGAAATCACCAGAGGTTTGGAAGATTCTAGGAAGGGATGAGTAATAATGACCTTATGACCATAATGAGATTATGAGTGTTAATCACATTATGACATTTTTTCCTAATGACATAAACCCATAAGTATAATGACATGTTTTTCCAGGGGTACATCCACATACGTACCCTCAAATAATTCCCATTGCCCTCTTGACTGGCTTATCTGTAAACACAAGGACACATCAAATCCTGCGGTGAGCGGTGGTGGAAGAGGCATTTCATGCTTATTAAGATACAAGCACAACCTCCTGTTTGTTTCCCCAGACAACCCTGGGGCAGGCGCATTTCATCTGAGACAGTGAGAGTGGGGAGGCCTCCAAATGCTTGGCTTTTCGGCCCAGCTCTGTCAGTCACGGTGAAACCTTGGGCAAGCCACTTCCGAACCTCAGTTTCCTCATCTGTAAAATGGAAACACTGTTGGTGAAGACTAAAAGAGGTGAAAGGTGAAAATGCATCATACATTGCAAAATGTTATGCAAGTGTTAATTAATTACTTATTAGTGGTCTTAAGCCAGACACTTAACTTCCCTTTTTTTTTTTTTTTTTTTTTTTTTTGAGACAGAATCTTACTCTGTTACCCTGGCTGGAATGCAGTGGTGCAATCTCGGCTCACTGCAACCTCTGCCTCCCGAGCTCAAGCGATTCTCCTGCCTCAGCCTCCCAAGTAGCTGGCATTATAGGCGAGTGCCACCATGCCCGGGTAATTTTTGTATTTTAGTAGAGGTGGGGTTTCACCATGTTGGCCAGGCTGGTCTCAAACTCTTGACCTCAAGTGATCTGCCCACCTTGGCCTCCCTAAGCGCTGGGATTAGAGGGTGAGCACCGCGCCCGACCGACACTTAACTTCCCTAGGCTTCAATCGGAAGTGAAGAATTGTGTTAATCTCATCCTTGCCACTCATAGCTGTGGTAACAGTAATGGAGGTGATGGTGGCTGTGTCATTGGGGGCCATTATGAAAGCCCTCCCTTCACCACACCAGCATATTTTTCCCAAGGAGGGGGCTCTAACAGCCAGGAGGCTCACTTTCTTATTTCAGATAAGTGACAGAAAGCCATGGAGCTAGCTCAGCAAAAAAAGGGAAATTGTTATAAGGATTTAAAAGTTTTATCCCAAGGGCAGAGATACAGCCAGGCATCAGGAACAAGCTAGAATCAGGGGCTGGAAACCTGTAAGAAACACAGGAAACCCTCCCTCAGAATTTCTGTTCTTTGTGGGTCTACTTCATTCTCCACATAAAACAAAATGTCAGTCATTGCCAACAGCTTCCCAGAATTATGTCCTCTGAAACCGGAATCTCATAGACCCCATCTCAGAATCCCAGGGGAGGGAGCTCATTGGCTTAGCTTGAGTCAGGTGTTCACTGCTGAACCAATCAACCGTGAGGACACAGTATAGACAAACGTGGCTGTTCGCATGTTGCAATGGATGGAAGACAGGAACAGGGGAAACCTAAGACGGGTCCATCACTTCCTTTTTCTCAGGAGTCCCTGCATCCCTAATGGCTTCTCTCTGATCTCATTCAGCCAACGGGGCTGTTCCTGATGTCCTGCAGCAGGGCCGGTTGCTGGTTGTGGACTATGCCACCTGCTCCAGCTCTGCCTGGTGGGGCAGCAGCGTGAAAACCAGTATGATCTGTGCTGGGGGTGATGGCGTGATCTCCAGCTGCAACGTGAGTACCAAAATCAGGGGCTCCGCTCCATGACAAAATGTGGCTGGGGATAAGGCTATAGAGGTCCATCCCTCCATAGGTCCATCCTCCCACCTCCTGGCAGAATTACCCCGAAACATGTTCCAGATATATCTTTGGCCAGGCACGGTGGCTCACACCTGTAATCCCAGCACTTTGAGAGGCCAGGCGGGCAGACCACTTGAGGTCAGCAGTTCAAGACCAGCCTGGCCAACATGGTGAAACCTTGTGTCTACTAAAACTAAAAAAATTAGCCGGGCATGGTGGCAGGCGCCTGTACTCACAGCTACTCGGGAGGCTGAGGCAGGAGAATCACTTGAACCCATGAGGCGGAGGTTGCAGTGAGCTGAGATCACACCGCTGCAATCCAGCCTGGGTGACAGAGCGAAACTCAAAAAAAAAAACAAAAAAACTTGATCTTGGTTCTTTTTTGTTCTTGTTTTGAGATGTTTTGAGATTCTCCTTGTAGTATCCACCCATCTCACTGCTGGGAAGTCCTTCCCTGGGTCTCATCAAGGTCTCTCGTGACTGTCACTATGTATCCTTTCCTCTATGCTGGAAGGGAACCAAAGGAAAGTATTCCCTGGCTTAGGGCCTTTCTACGATGACTTCTGGTTTTTCTGTTGAATTAGTCTCATCAATGGCGCAGCGTGTCCCCTCCAGGTAGCTGCCACGGAAACCTTCCTGGAGACAGTGTCTTAACCACCAGGAACTGCTCTGTGTTGGACTTAGCAGTGAAGTGGGGATGGAGTAGGAAAGAGTTCCACACGCCCTTCAGATCACACTGTGCCCTACACACTCTGCCCACATAGACCACCCGCGGGAAGACGGAACCAGTGGGGAAGAGCCTGGCAGCTGAAGTCTGGGATGTGGCCTCAGCTCCTTTACAAACTGCCTGTGCAACCTTGGGCAAGTCCCAACCTCTCAACACTCCAGTTTCTCCTCTTCCGTGGCCTGGGGATGCTACGAATATTTACCTCATAGGATTTTGTGAGGATTAATGAGATGAGGCATAGAACATGCTTAGCTCAGCTCTGGCCACACAGGAAGAATAAGTGTTGGCTCTTGTTGGAATTATGGTACCACCTTGGGCTATGACCACAAGGGTCAGCTTCCGAGGACAGTGACCTGCAGCAGAACAATAGAAATGCATTGAGAACAATGGTTCCAATGGGCAGCCCCTTCCTCTCCCTTTACCTGCCTATAACTCTGGCCTTCCTCAGGGAGACTCTGGCGGGCCACTGAACTGTCAGGCGTCTGACGGCCGGTGGCAGGTGCACGGCATCGTCAGCTTCGGGTCTCGCCTCGGCTGCAACTACTACCACAAGCCCTCCGTCTTCACGCGGGTCTCCAATTACATCGACTGGATCAATTCGGTAAGAACCGGACCAGCCCTGAGCCCCAAGGCACTACCCTGCTCACCTGGCCTCGGGAGTGCCATGCCCACCTGGTGACTGAGAATCCCCTCCTTCCTCTTGAGAGCTAGATGGGAACCCCTTGGAGGAGGCTGCAGACCTGAGTAACTGCTGGGCCTGCCATGGGTCCCCCAAATTTCTGTGTGGATAAAGCTGAGTGAAAAGGAACATAGAGGGTGGCCTTGTCCAAAGAGGTTGGACACTCCTCAGGCATATGAAGAGTGAGTTCCGCTGGGCGCCGTGGCTCATGCCTGTAATCCCAGCTCTTTGGGAGGCCAAGGCGGGCAGATCACGAGGTCAGAAGTTCAAGACCAGCCTGACCAACCTGGCAAAACCCCATGTCTACTAAAAAAATCCAAAAAAAATTAGCCAGGTGTGGTAGCGCACTCCTGTAATCCCAGCTACTCAGGAGACTGAGGCAGGAGACTCCCTTGAACCTGGGAGATGGAGGTTGCAGTGAGCCAAAATTGCACCATTGCACTCCAGCCTGGACAAGAAGAGTGAAACTCCATCTAAAAAAAAAAAAAAAAAAAAAAAGAGTGAGTGCCATAGAAATGGTGATTTTATTTTTGTTTATCTGTGTGTAGGCCCAGACTCCACCATCCAGTGCTATAAACAGGTATATTTATCTGCAAAGCCCAAAACCTGATATCCCCATAGCATTAATTATTGGAAATTAGTCCACCTCAGGGGTCCTCCAGCTATTCTGTAGGGTGACCAACCATCATGGTTTGCCCAGGACTGAGAGGTTTTCCAGGATGTGGGACTTCCTGTTTTACACTGGGACCATCCCAGGCAAATAGAGCTGAGTTGGTCCCCCTGTCTTGTAAAAGTAAACAACTCAGAGAGGTGTCTCCTTTCAGCTTCCACAATAACTCAATTTGTTTTTAACAATGAACACATTTGTTTATAACAATGAGCATTAAAATTATTTATTAAAAATAATAGGCCAGGTGCCATGGCTCATGCCTGTAATCGCAGCACTTTGGGAGGCCAAGGAGGGAGGATTGCTTGAGCCCAGGAGTTCAAGAGCATCCTGGGCAACATAGCAAGACTCTGTCTTTACAAAAAAATTTTTTTTAATTACTCAGGCACGGTGGTACATGCCTGTAGTCTCAGCTACTTGGGAGGCTTGGGTGGAAGGATCACTTGGGCCCGGGAGGCCAACGCTGCAGTGAGCACTTAAGCCTGGGCGACATAGCAAGACCCTGTCTCCAAAAATAATGATAATAATACCTGGCATCAATATTAAGGAGCAGCCATGGATACACGCAGCAGTAGGTGAAAGCAGCCAGAACAGGAAACCCCGTCACAAGAAAGGGATGCCTGGTGGCTCACGCCTGTAATCCAGGCACTTTGGGAGGTCAAGATGGGCAGATCACCAGAGGTCAGGAGTTCGAGACCAGCCTGGTCAACACGGGGAAACCCCGTCTCTACTAAAAATACAAAAATAAGGTGGGTGTGGTGATACGTGCTTGTAATCCCAGCTACTCAGGAGGCTGAGGCAGGGGAATCACTTGAACCTGGGAGGTGGAGGTTGCAGTAACCCGAGTTCGCACCACTGCACTCCAGCCTGGGCGACAGAGCGAGACTCCATCTCAAAAGAAAAAAAAACACACAAAAAAGAAAGAGTTGCCCATGAGAGGGCAGAGGAGCCACCATGCCTCGTACTGGATGCTAGAAGGAAAGAGTCGGACACTCTGTGCCAATGAGGGACCAGCTCAGTTTGCTCTTCTGTAAAATGGGACTTGAACTAGACCAGGACTCCTCCACAATTTAGGCGCTAGAGCAAATGGGAGTTATGGTATTCGTGGCAGAGCCCCTAAAGAAGGGGAAAGCTGGCATCTGACTTCACTAAGTTTAATTTGCAGAGAAGTGTTAAATTGAATTAAACTGACACTTATAAAACCAAATATGAAACTGCAGCCATGAGCACGTGGTCACAGGAGGAAAACTAAACTGTCAAAATAAGCAGGTGGCTGCTTCCAAGTGTTCCCACTGATTCTTGCCAGATCCTTGTTCATTTGTCTGTCTGCTGGCATCCTTTTGCCAACAAGTGGTCACAAGCAGAGATTCCAAAGACGTTTGTTGGACAAAAATGAAAAATCAAAAAGACAGTAGCCATTAATCATTAATGGTGCTTTTTTATATCTAAATTGGGAAAAACCCATCTGAGTCCACCTTTGGAGGCGCCACCCACATGTCAAAGGAGCCTGGCCTGAGACTGACTGGACGAGAGGCTGCTTAGGGGCCTTTCTCAGCCAAATCCTAAGACCGTTTTCCAGCCCCAGCTGCTGTGGGAGTCACCATGCAGCTGGTCCTGGCAGCAACCTGGGGACCTGAAGCAGGGGCAGGGGCAATTGTCCCAATTTTTTTTTCCCAGCATCAGCTGTTCCCAGCCACAGACACAAGCACAACAGAACAGGCCAGATCCCGAAGCATGGCCAGATGGCAGCAGGGATCCACGGGGCAGCACGCCTCGCAAGGCAGCTGGGCAGAGGCCCTGTGTTCATGGGAGAGCAGTCGGGACAGGCACAGATGCCCGGTAACGGGTTTCAGAAGGGGGAGAGCCAAGCAACCAGCTGTCCTTGGGTGGGGGCTGCCCCTGGCAGCAGCGGAGGAGCTAGTGAAACCTTGCAGTAGCCCCAACCCAGGGACACAGTGTGTGCAGCCTGGAGTCACATACCACTAGAGCCCTGGGGGTGCCTGAGAGCACCTGCCTGGATAAACCCAGACAGGTGATGAGCCAAGGTCAGGAAATACAAGCAAAAGAGCAGAGAAGCAGAGGAGACAAGTGGCCTGGGGCATTCATCCTTTCAACAAATGTCCATTGAATGACAGTCACATGTGAACCTTCAGCAATCCTTAGTTTTTATTCTTTTTCCGGAAGGTAATACATACTCTTTGTAAAAATATTAAAAGACTATAAGAGTATCAGGTAAAAAAGTAAGAAGTCCCCCCTCATTTTACATCTCCAATTCCACTCTCCAGAGGTAATCATTGGTTTTGTTTTTGTTTTTTAAGACAGAGTCTCGCTCTGTCACCCAGGCTGAAATGCAGTGGCTTGATCGCAGCTCAATGCAACCTCCACCTCCCGGGTTCAAGCGATTCTTCTGCCTCAGCCTCCTGAGTAGCTGGGATTACAGGCACACACCACCATGCCCAACTAATTTTTGTATTTTTAGTAGAGATGGGGTTTCACCATGTTGGCCAGGCTGGTCTCAAACTCCTGACCTCAGGTGATCTGCCCGCCTTGGCCTCCAAAAGTGCTGGGATTACAGGCATGAGCCACTGTGCCTGGCCAAGTTGTCATTGTTAACAGCTTGTGTGTGGTCTCAACTTTATGTGCATATATAGCTATATATTTACGTAGATAGACACTGTCTTCTATGCAAAAACTAAGATCTGAGTCTTCATACTGTTCTGCAGCTGTTTTTCACTTAACACCTTATCACATTTTACATGTTAGTACATACATGTCATTCTTTTGAACAGCTAAATAGTATTCCATAGTTTGAGTGTAATGAATGCAGCTTTCATGTTTCCTATTTTTCACTCTTACATTGTGCAATGAACATCCTTGGACATAATTCTTGCACACTGGTCTGAGTATTTGTGCTGTAGCAGCTGGATCTCCTGCAGTTTACAGCACTGGATCATGAAGTTGGCATATCAAAATGTTTAACAGGCTGGGCGCGGTGGCTCACGCCTGTAATCTGAGCACTTTGGGAAGCTGAGGCGAGTAGATCACTTGAGGTCAGCAGTTTGAGACCAGCCTGGCCAACATGGTGAAACCTCATCTCTACTAAAAATGCAAAAAATTAGCCAGGCATGGTGGTGCATGACTATAATCTCAGCTACCCGGGAGGCTGATGCATGAGAATCACTTAAACCTGCATAGTGGAGGTTGCAGTGAGCCCAGATCGCCCTACTGCACTCCAGCCTGGGCAACAGAGTGAGACTGTCTCAAAAAGAAAACAAACAAACAAATAAAAAAAAAAACGTTTAACAGACACTGATCAACAGCCTCTGGAAACAGTTATAGCCCCAACCACAGTGCATAACTGCCTTGCAAACAGCAGTTTTGATTTAAGAAACAAATGAAATCTAAAAATATGCCATCCACACATTTGGAATATAATTTTTAGGGGTTCGAAGGCCCCCTACCCTGAAGCCCACACAGGACTCCTGGCTAAGACCCCCTTTACAGGAAGACCCTAACAGGTCAATGAAAAGCTGTGATCACATCTTTTTTTCCGAAACGTCATCAGAACTCCTCAGGCAGGAGCTACTGTAGTGTGGGCTGCCTGTAACTCACATGAGTAGCTTAGCCCAGGAGGACAGAGACAGGAAACTGCCATGCACAGCTCTGCGGTTAGGTGAACCTGACGATTATCTTGTGTGTCCTGCAGGTGATTGCAAATAACTAACCAAAAGAAGTCCCTGGGACTGTTTCAGACTTGGAAAGGTCACAGAAGGAAAATAATATAATAAAGTGACAACTATGCAAATCACATCTTGATGAGAGATTTATTAGCAATCCGTCCTAACATCCAGGGCTGTGGGCACAGTGGCACAACCCTGTAATCCCAGCACTTAGCACTTTGGGAGGCCAAGGCAGGCAGATCACTCGAGTCCAGGAACTCAAGACCAGCCTGAGTAACATGGCATAACCCTGTCTCTACTAAAAATACAAAAATTAAATGGGCGAGGTGTTACCCACCTGTAGTCCCAGCTACTCAGGAGGCTGAGGTGGGAGGATCACTTGAGCTCAGGAGGTAAAGACTGCAGTGAGCCAAGATCACTTAGTCGCACTCCAGCCTGGGCGACAGAGTGAGACCCTGTCTCAAAAAAAAAAAAAAAAAAAGAATTTCGCATCTACGTCACCCTGCCCTACTGAGACCTCAAGGACCCAGCCCACTTTAGAACCTGACACATGACATCGTTGTCCAACAATATATAAATGGAGCACTAAGCTCCAGCGAAGGAAGTGGGCTGTAGCAGCTTCCTGCACTCTGCCTCCTCTGCCTCTCTTTCCTCCCCTCCCAGCACAGAAGCCTGGATTTCTGTGCAGGCGCTGCCCCATGGGATCCCGGAGGTTCTGCCGAAACCTCATGGCCTAGGACCAAGGCTGGAGCCCGTGCTCCAGGCCTGGCCAATCAACACATTGCATCCCCTTCCCCACCACAGCGATTGGCTCAGGGATGGGCATGTGACCTGAGACAGGTCCAATCAGAGAGGTTGCACGACTCGTGCAGGGAGCTACCGAGGGCTGTCACTCATTCACTGCATGGGTGTGAGGATGAGGGGATGTGAGGCTACAAAGCAAAACGAGAGGGGAAGGGGGAGACGGGGTTATTTTGCTCCCCAGCATACATCTGGCAATGTGTGGAGACATTTTTAGTTGCGGCAACTGTGTGGGGAGGGGGAGGGACTGGCATCTAGCAGCCTGGGGCCAGGGATGCTGTCAAACTCCTGCAAAGCACAAGACATAGACACAGCCCTCAAAACAAGAATCATCTCGCCCAAAATGTCAACACTGCTGCAGTTGAGGAACTCTGGACCAGAGATGCGGTGGTGATCTTGTCCTCAAGGAAGGGAGAACCCAGAGCAGCTACAGGCCACTTAACGGAGCCTGAGATGAGACCTCAAAGCAGAAGGCAGAAGCAAAAGTTGAAGAAAAGCCAAGTCCAGGGACCATCACCAGGGCCCTGAACCCAGCTCTGCTCCTGGACTTTGCCATTTTGTGGCCCAATGAATGGCCCTTTGGCTTAAGCACAACTGAGTGAAGTTTTGTGTCACTTTCCAATCCTGAAAGCGGCTGGGTACAGTGGCTCACGCCTGTAATCCCAGCACTTTGGGAGGCCGAGGCAGGTGGATCACCTGAGGTCAGGAGTTCGAGACCAGCCTGACCAACATGGTGCAACCCTGACGCTACTAAGTAATACAAAATTAGCCGGGTGTGGTGGCGGGCACCTGTAATCCCAGCTACTCGGGAGGCAAAGGCAGGAGAATTGCTTGAACCTCCTAGTGGAGGTTGCTGTGAGCCAAGATGGTGCGGCTGCATTCCAGCTTGGGTGACAGAGTGAGACTCTGTCTCAAAAAAAAAAAAAAAAAAAAAAAAAAGTCCTGACAGCAACATGATGGAACAGACTGAGCATCTGTTCCTCTCCCTGTTTGTAGATAGGCACCCCAGGCCAGAAAGCCTGTGGGACTGGCCAAGGTTACACAGCAAATTCACAGCAGGTATTTTTTCAGTGGCCTCATACAGGACACTTTATTTTTATATTAAAACAAACAAAGATACAGAGCAGAACGCCAAATTCACATGAACTTTTAAGATAAAATATGAGACTTAAGAAATAGTTGGTTACTGTAGTGACTGATACAGACCATAAATGAGTCCAAACTCTTACAGGTAGTATGGGATGGAGTTGGGACTGGAGTCCACGTCTTCTGACATCCAGTCCCATGGGATTCTGCCCCCCACCCAATCTTTCTCACCTTTGCACCATCCTAGGGAGATTACAGAATTCTTTCCCACCCATTTTCTTACCCATACAACAATCCTGCAATCCAGGCCTGGATGGTTATCTAGGAAACTAAGGCCCAGAAGATAAGTGGCTTGTCCAGACCACCACACTCAAAATTGATGGATCAAAGACTTGAACTCGGCTGGGCGCGGTGGTTCATGCCTGTAATCCCAGCACTTTGGGAGGCCGAGGCGGGCCAACACGAGGTCAGGAGTTTGAGACCAGCCTGGCCAAGATGGTGAAACCCCGTCTCTAATAAAATACAAAAATAAGCCAGGCGTGGTGGCCGGCGCCTGTAGTCCCAGCTGCTCGGGAGGCTGAGGCAGGAGAATCGATTGCAGCTTACCGCAACCATTGCCACCCAGGCTCAAGTGACCCTCTGCCTCGGCCTAGCCTCCAGAGTAGCTGGAGCCACATACGTGTGCCACCGCACCTGGCTAACTTTTTAAAAGAAATTTTGTAGTGACAGGTGGTCTCACCATGTTGTCCAGGCTGGTCCTTTTTTTTTTTTTTTTTTTTTTTTTTTTCAGACGGAGTCTTGCTCTGTTGCCCAGACTAGAGTGCAGTGGTGCAATCTCAGCTCACTGCAACCTCCACCTCCAAGGTTCGAGAGGTTATCCTGCCTCAGCCTCCTGAGTAGCTGGGACTACAGGCATGCAGCACCACACCCGACTAATTTTCGTATTTTTAGTAGAGACGGGGTTTCACCATGTTGGCCAGGCTGGTCTTGAACTCCTGGCCTCAGGTGGTCCGCCCGCATCAGCCTCCCAAAGTTCTAGGATTATAGGAGTGAGCCACCACGTCCGGCCATAAAGTGCATTTTCACCCACCAGATGAAGCCCTCCTCTGCCAGCATTCTGCTTCCCCCCATCATTAGAGCGGCCAGATCCTAATTGTGCATGTCGGCCTTGCCTTCTGCTACATGTGCACCTTCCCCGCATTATACAAATCCTTACCACAATGTTGTGAAACAATACTGGGCATGGGCTTCTCTCCCTGTTTCACAGATGGGTCTAGAGACTTACATGACTCAGCCAAGGTCACACTGCAACCCCTGGTATGACCTAGAACAGGCTTCTCAGCCTCAGCACCATTGACATTTGGGGCAGGGCAAGTCCTATTGCCCAGTGCATTGTCGGGTGTTTAGCAGCGTCTCTGCTCCCTGCCCACTGGATGCCAATTTACATCAACCCCAGCCATGACAACCAAAAATGTCTCCAGATGTTGTCAAAAGGTCTCCTGATGGGCTGAACCAGCCCCATTGAGAAATACTGCCTTAGAACGCTGTGGGTTCAGCATGCCACCTTAATCTTTTCATTGAAAACACAACTCCTGGCCGGGCGCAGTGGCTCAGCCTGTAATCCCAGCACTTTGGGAGGCCGAGGCGAGCAGATCATTTAAGGTCAGGAGATTGAGACCAGCCTGGCCAACATGGCGAAACCCTGTCTCTACTAAAAAATACAAAAATTAGCCAGGAATGGTGACACACACCTGTAATCCCAGCTACTAGGGAGGCTGAGGCAGGGGAATCACTTGTAACCCAGGAGACAGAGGTTGCAGTGAGCCAAGATAGCACCACTGCACTCCAGCCTGGGTGACAGAGCAAGACTCCATCTCAGAAGGAAAAAAGAAAAAAAAAGAAAGAAAACACAACTCCTCTCCTCAGTCTTACCCAAGGAGGGGAAAAAAAAAAAAAAAAAAAGAAAAGAAAAGAAAACACAACTCCAAGGACCAACAATTAGTATTTTTCTTCCTTCCCTAATACACAACATAATCTCTTTAAAACAGATGGAACTCATATTCCAGTATCTACCCTTGGCATCTTCTCAAAGTATTTCTAGGGTGACAGTTGGGAGAAAATGGAAAAAAAAAATTTGGACACAAGCTCTTTTTTCCACTGGGCTTTGAGAAAATCCCCATCTTGCGTGCTCCTAGTGTATCTCTCACTGATAAGTTTGCTCATAAAACCAGGGCCTTATCCAGGGCCACGCTTACAGAACTCCCACGGACACACCATGATTAGGACCCTGCTGCTGTCCACTTTGGTGGCTGGAGGTAAGTCCTGTCACCCAGAGGCACTGGTTTCCCATCCCCTGGTGGGGCTGGAAATGGGATCTTCCTGTCCTCCCCTCTCGCCCCCACCCAACCCCTACTGCATTCAGACCTATAATCATAAGAAAACCGAAATGGAGTTTCAAAGAATTGGAGCAAACAGAAGGATTTTATGACCTCTTGGGATCCTTCTAGAACAAGGGTTTTCTATTTGGGGGTTCAGAATGCAGCATGTATAGTTTACATTGTGTGGGTCGCTGCTTCCTGGACTCAAGACCCTTTCTCTTTTCACAGCCCTCAGTTGTGGGGTCTCCACTTACGCGCCTGATATGTCTAGGATGCTTGGAGGTGAAGAAGCGAGGCCCAACAGCTGGCCCTGGCAGGTGAGTTGACCACACTGTACTTCTCCCCGTCCCTGCCCCACTCCCTTTACATCCCCCCTTTGCCCTTCCACCATGGCGTCTATTGTGCTGGCAAAGTTAGGATTGATGGGATTCAGAGAGCAGCACAGGAAACTTCACCAACAAGATACATTTCCAGCTGGGCACAGTGGCTCATGCCTGTTATCCCAGCACTTTGGAAGGTCGTGGTGGGCAGATTACCTGAAGTCAGAAGTTTGAGCCCAGCCTGGCCAACATGGTGAAACCCCGTCTCTACTAATAATAAAAAATTAGCCAAGCACAGTGGCACACGCCTGTAATCCCAGCATCTCGGGAGGCTGAGGCAGGAGAAAGACTTGAACCTGAGAGGCAGAAGTTGTAGTGAGCTGAGATCGCACCACTACACTCCGGCCTGAATAACAAAGAGAGACTCCATCTCAAAAAAAAGAAAAAGATACATTTCTGTGGCCTTGGCCAACCTTGGGAGTGAAGGGAGAGGTGCCTCCTCCAGCTGCAGTAAAGAGCTGTCCCCTCCCCACTGCCCATAAACAAATTTACAACTATAGTCTTACTCTGTTAACCAATCAGAGGCTTTCTTTCAAATGTACCATTATCCTATGAACCATTCAAGACTACCTATGCAAATATTCCTTGCTTTAAGGAACCAATCAGTGCTATTCATGCAGATTCATCTTTAACTACAGGCAAATCAATGTTACCAAGGAAAATAAATGTTTCTTAAGTTGATATAATAGTGATATTAAGACTAAACTGCCGAGTGGGGCACAGGCACAAATTACTAAGACGTGTTAACGGTGGGAATTTCAAAAGAAATGTGTAAAGTTTACATTGACGCAAACAAATATAGTAAAATCTCATTTATCTGATATAATTGGGACTGACTAAATGAAAAGTTGGTTATAAAGAAATTATTTTAAATCATATATGCTGTAAACATTTTATTTTAGACTATGTAAACAATTTTTTGAGTTCTTAACTGTCTTTTTCATATAAACCATGCCCCATAATATCTCATCTACAAGTCCATTTCTTTAAAGCAGAGCAATAACTTTGAGATATTCATAAAGCAATCTGAGTTACGAGCCCATCCCGACTTTTACGACTTTTCCCCCCAATCTTTCTGTTTCCTCAAAGACACTAATTCAAGAGCAATTTTTTAGGAATCATGGTATTCAGTCTCTTCCAAGCATTTAACTTTGTTTCACAACTCTCTTTCTGAACTCATATTTCATTGGTTACATATTTAATCAAATTTCACTATTGCAAACATAATTGATATAAACTGCTTTAGGAGCAAACCCAGCTGAACCAGGATGAGTTTCTAATTTAAGTAGAAGGAGCAACTAGCAGCCCACTAGCCTTGAGCATTCAGAGTGACCTATGCAGCAGTCACTGTGTTTAGAGAGGCCAGCGTTCATTCATCTGCTCTTTGATTAAGAGACTGTCCATGATAGGCCAGGCGTGGTGGCTCAGGCCTGTAATCCCAGCACTTTGGGAGGCCAAGGTGGGTGAATCACTTGAGGTCAGCAGTTCAAGACCAGCCTGGACATGGTGAAACTCTGCCTCTACTAAAAATACAAAAATTAGCCAGGCATGATTGCGGGCACCTGTAATACCAGCTACTTGGGAGGCTGAGGCATATATATATATATATTGGGATATATAGTTTGTTTGTTTGTTTGTTTTTGTTTTTTGGTTAGACAGAGTTTTGCTCTTGTTGCCCAGGCTGGAGTGCAATGGTACAATCTCAGCTCACCACAACTTCTGCCTCCCAGGTTCAAGTGATTCTCCTGCCTCAGCCTCTGTAGTAGCTGGGATTACAGGCACGCACCACCATGCCCGGCTAATTTTGTATTTTTAGTAGAGACAGGGTTTCTCCATGTTGGTCAGGCTGGTCTCTAACTCCCGACCTCAGGTAATCCACCTGCCTCGGCCTCCCAAAGTGCTGGGATTATAGGTGTGAACCACCACACCCAGCCAAGAGGAATAATATTTTAATGCATTTTTTTTTTTTTTTTTGGAGGCAGAGTCTTACTCTGTCACCCAGGCTGGAGTGCAGTGGCGCAGTCTCAGCTAACTGCAACCTCAGCCTTTCAGGTTCAAGCAATTCTCCTGCCTCAGCCTCCTGAGTACCTAGAATTAGAGATGTGTGCCACCACACCAGCAAATTTTTTTTGTATTTTAGTAGAGACGGGGTTTCACCATGTTGGCCAGGCTTGTCTCAAACTCCTGACCTCAGGTGATCCACCTGCCTCGGCCTTCCAAAGTGCTGAGCTTACAGGTGTGAGCCATCCTGCCCAGCCAGCTATTGTAATTACAGTTATTAATCACCCTGAGAGCCCTGCACCGTGGCTTATGTTCCCCATTTCCAGAGAAGGTAACTGGGACTTGGAAAGGTTACAGAATTACCCAAAGGCACTGGGTTAGCCCGGGGGGGAATGAGGATTCAAATCTGGTTCAGTGCTTGTTCTTTTAGCTACACTTTGCTGGCCACAAATAATACGTATTACGTGGACGAAATTTCCCATCTGTAGGATGGTTTCAGCACATTTTTAAATTGGGGTGGGGGAGTAGATACTTTTCAGTGTCTTTTTTCACTTGGTCCAATTTTAAGCATCTTTTTAAAAGCCAGTTCATCTAAGGCCCCTTAATGTCACAAAAACGAGAAATGCCCAGTGGCTAATTAAAAACAAGGACGTGGCCAGGCACAGTGGCTCACGCATGTAATCCCAACACTTTGGGAGGCTGAGGCAGGTGGATCACCTGAGGTCAGGAGTTGGAGACCAGCCTGGCCAACATGGTGAAACCCCGTCTCTATTAAAAGTAAAAAAAATCAGCAGGGCATGGTGGCAGGCACCTGTAATCCCAGCTAGTGGGGAGGCTGAGGCAGGAGAATGGCTTGAACCTGGGAGGCAGAGGTTGCAATGAGCCAATATCGTGCCACTGCACTCCAGCCTGGGCGACAGAGGGAGACTCCATCTCAAAAAATAAAATAAATAAAGTGGAAGAGACAATAAACAACTGAATAGGTAAACTAATAACACGCCGGAAAACGAAAGATACTATGAAGAGTAAAGCAGAGTAAGGGGAAAGAGACAAGTGTGTCTGTGTGTGCATATGTACATGAGCGTGCACGCATGTGTGTGTGCACATTGTTTGGGATAGCGTGGTCACAGAAGGCCTCATGGAGAAGGCAACCTTGAGCAGAGACTGACAGGAAGTGAAGGAAAGAGCTACGCCGATATTTGCAAGAATATTCCAGGGAGGAGGAAGAGCCAGTGCAAAGGCCCTGAGGCAGAAGCGGGTTTGGTGTATGTGCAGAACTGCATGGAAGTCAGTGTGGCTGGAGGAGAGGAGAGTGGGAGCCTATGGGGTCAGAGAGGCCACGGAGAGCCTAGCAGGTCATCAGACAGTTTTAAGTTTTGCAAACTGTAAAGGGGGAGCCACTGGAGAGTCTGAGCAGAGAAGAGAAGTCATCTGACTTCCATTCAAAAAGGATCAGTCTGGCTGCTGTGTTGAGAAAATGTGGGTGGGAATGGGGAGAAGAGATGGGAGACTAGAATGATCATCGAGAAGAGAGGGTGATTGCGACACACAGTTGAGGTAGTGACCAAAGGGTAGCAACCACTCCACAAATTCTCAAGGTAGAGCTGACAGGACATCCCCTGTGGAGACGGCCTCACTCTGTCACCCAGGCTGAGCACAGTGCAATCGCAGCTCACTGCAAGCTAGACTTCCCAGGATCAAGCAATCCTCCCATCTCAGCCTCCTGAGTAGCTGGGACTACAGGCATGCACCACCACACCCAGTGGCTAATTTTGGGGTATTTTTCTGTAGAGACGGTGTATTAATCCGTTCTCACACTGCTAACAAAGACATACCTGAGACTGGGTAATTTATAAAGGAAAGAGGTTTAATTGACTCACAGCTCAGCATGGCTGGGGAGGCCTCAGGAAACTTACAATCATGGCAGAAGGGGAAGGAAACACATCCTTCTTCACACGGTGGCAGCAGGGAGAAGTGCCAAGCAAAAGGGGGAAAGGCCCATTATAAAACCATCAGATATCATGAGAACTCACTCAGTATCACAAAAATAGCA
Source organism: Homo sapiens (assembly GCF_000001405.40). NCBI lineage: Eukaryota > Metazoa > Chordata > Mammalia > Primates > Hominidae > Homo > Homo sapiens. The sequence goes on from NC_000001.11 coordinate 15,480,663, forward strand.
TGGGGTAACCACCCTCATGATTCAATTACCTCTCAGCAGGTCCCTCCCCCTACCTATGGGGATTATGGGAACTATAATTCAGGATGAGATTTGGGTGGGGACACAGCCAAACCATATCAGACGGGGTTTCACCACGTTGCCCAGGCTGGTCTCAAACTCCTGGGCTCAACCCATCCTCCTGCCTTGGCCTCCCAAAGTGTTCTGATTACAGGCATGAGCCACCATGCCTGGCCTGATTTTTTTTTTTTTTACTATAGATTGCATTAAAATGTTTTTTATCTTCATGGCTGAGGTTTTGGGTGCCCCCTTAAGTTGTGTACCTGAGGTGAGTGCCTCACTCCCCCTTACCCTTGTCCCAGCCCCGTTCTTGGGAAACTGGAGTGCAGGGAGGCCCTGCTTTTTCAGCCACAGCCACAGACCTGTGTTTCTCCCCAGGTCTCCCTGCAGTACAGCTCCAATGGCCAGTGGTACCACACCTGCGGAGGGTCCCTGATAGCCAACAGCTGGGTCCTGACGGCTGCCCACTGCATCAGGTAACTGCCATTCCCTGGGCGCTTGGCCTGCTCACCAGCCGGTGCTCATTTCTGAGCTGGGGGCTCAAATGGCCTGAACCACACTACATGAAGTAACCTTGCAAATAACCACTAGCCTGGCCGAGACACAAGCTGTAGTCAATCAATGGTTCAGTGTGTTGGCCCACCCATGGGTCATTTCATGGCATGGATGGAGTGTCTGTGCCAGGCAGGCACTGAGGGAGGATGAAGAGGAGGGGAAGGCCCAATCTCTGCCCTCTTGGGGAAACTACATGTGGCCTCAGTGTCTGGAATTGGGTTCCCTTGAACAACTTAACTGACTTCTCAAAGCTTCAATACCATCACCTGCAGAAAATGGAGTAACAGAATTTAGTGTGGACTCAGCAATTGATTTGCTAAAGTGCCTGGCACTTATTAAGTGCTCAATGAAAGCTAATTCTGAATTGCAGACAAATTATAAAGGCCCACAAGGTTCTGCAACGTTGTTCACTTATCCTCTTCTTTGTCCGTGACCTCTGCTCATCACAGCTGGAACTCACCGGAGTTTCTGCCGGGTCAGTGTGACTCCCTACCAGGAGTGATCCCTTCTCCCATCCGACTTATAATAAGCTCTAGGAGGTGATGGGGATACTAATAGAGGCCTACAGTCAGGAGTCCTGGCTTCTAGTTCTGATTTCTCACTAACGGTGGGACTCCGGACCAGTTACTCCTCTCTGGGCCTCAGTTTCCCCATCTGAAAATAAAAGGTTGAAAATTTCCTTGAGGGCAAATGACTCCTGTTTTCTCTGTGTTCATCTCATTCCTCCATAATACTATAGAGTTTGTGCTATTACAACATTAATTTTAAATTGTAGTTTATAGTTAGTATAGTAACAATTATTATATGATCATAGTTCTTACATTATATACTTTAGGCCCTATGATAACTAACTGACTGTCCCAGGGGAGGAAAGATCCCCAAGTGCCAACTAGTGGCTCATGAAGCAGCCAGTTACTTGGGTCTATCCCTAGCATTATTCAAAGCCAGGCCTCTGGAGGTGACCCTCTCCCTGGGACCCCTTTCTCCCAGCTCCTCCGGGATCTACCGCGTGATGCTGGGCCAGCATAACCTCTACGTTGCAGAGTCCGGCTCGCTGGCCGTCAGTGTCTCTAAGATTGTGGTGCACAAGGACTGGAACTCCGACCAGGTCTCCAAAGGGTTCGTTTCTATCTGGGTGCACTTGGGGGTGAGGTTGTCAGGGAACAGATGGGGGTCTCACAGAGGCAAAGGTCTCAACCCCACCACACCCCCTCTGCTTTTTCTATAGGGAAGAGAAAGGAGCTCTGGCCTATTAGATGTGGAACCGGCTCCAAAGATGTCTGGGGTGGGGATGTGACCTGGGGAGGGTGAAGCAAAGACTGCCAGAGCGACCTGGGTTTGCTGCCAGTTAAGCCTGCAGGGCCCCTGTCCGCTGAGTGTGTATCTACTTCATGCCAAGTCCTGGGGACACAGAGACAGTGCTGTCGACCCTGTGACTGTCCCTGGAGTAGGACACAATCTCTCCTGCCTTCCCCCTTTCAACAAAGCCCTCCGCATTTTCTTTTTTCTTTTCCTTTTTCTTTTTTTGTGAGATGGAGTCTCGCTCTGTCACCCAGGCTGTAGTGCAGTAGCACAATCTCAGCTCCCTGCAAGCTCCGCCTCCTGGGTTCACACCGTTCTCCTGCCTCAGCCTCCAGAGTAGCTGGGACTACAAGTGCCCACCACCACAGGCCCGGCTAATCTTTTGTATTTTTAGTAGAGACGGAGTTTCACTGTGTTAGCCAGGATGGTCTCGATCTCCTGACCTCATGATCCACTCGCCTCGGCCTCCCAAAGTGCTGGCATTACAGGCTGGCATTACAGGCTGGCATTACAGGCCACCGTGACTGGCCGACCCTCTACATTTTCAAACATGCCCTGTGGGCCCTGCCGGTCAGAGCAACCTGGGGTAACGTACAGGGAAGATGACAAGGTCTCCAAGCCCTCCAAAGCCCCATAGGGCAGGAAAAGTCAACCCTGTTCTCATGCTCCGCCTCCGCACTCACCCAGGAACGACATTGCCCTGCTCAAACTGGCTAACCCCGTCTCCCTCACCGACAAGATCCAGCTGGCCTGCCTCCCTCCTGCCGGCACCATTCTACCCAACAACTACCCCTGCTACGTCACGGGCTGGGGAAGGCTGCAGAGTAAGTGGGAGCCAGGAGCCCCCAGGCCTGGGAGGGAAGGGAGGTGATGTCACCCCTGTCCGGCCAGGGCCTCTCACCTCACATGTTATCCTGGGCATGTGGCTGCCTTGGAGAGACAGGATGGCATAGGCTGATGTCTGCCTGGGTTCAAATGTCAGCTCTCCCACTTAATGACTGTGACACCTTGGACACATTACTAGGTCTCTCCAAGCTGCACTTTTCTCATATGTAAAATGCAAATAATTGGCTGGGCGCGGTGGCTCACGCCTGTAATCCCGGCACTTTGGGAGGCCGAGACGAGCAGATCACTTGAGGTCATGAGTTTGAGAGCAGCCTGGCCAACATGGTGAAACCCCGTCTGTACTAAAAATATAAAAAACTCGCCAGGTGTGGTGTTGTGCGCCTGTAGTCCGAGCTACTTGGGAGCCTGAGGCACAAGAATCATTTCAATCTAGGAGGCGGAGGTTGCAGTGAGCCAAGATTGCGCTGCTGCACTCCAGCCAGGGGGATAGAGCGAGACTCCATCTCCAAAAAAAAAAAAGGCATAATAATACCACCTACATCACAGAGTTGTCAAGAGGATTAAAGGAGATAATCCACAGGAAGCCTGGCATGTGGTAGGTGCTGTGTGTTAGTTGTTGTCACTGTCCCTATGATGGAAAGAAAGTTACAGAGATCATGTGACATCTTCTGTGTGGCCCAAGGCTAGAGTTCAGAACAGCATTTCCTCTGTGACCTGAGGTCTCTGGAGCTCCACAAAGGCCCCTGGAGCCCTCATCAGACCCTCCATGCCCCATAGCAAAAGCTGTCCCCTGTGCCATTTGGTCTTGCTACTGAGAACCCGGCTGAGGGTGGGTCTTCTTTGACATAGACTCCAAGGGTCAGAGATCCAATGACAGTAGCCACCAAGAGGAACAGAGTTCCCGCCCTTCCCTTGTGAAAACACCAGAGGTTTGGAAGATTCTAGGAAGGGATGAGTGATAATGACCTTATGACCGTAATGACATTATTAGTGATGATGACATTATGACATTTTTTCCTAATGACATAAACCCATAAGTATAATGACATGTTTTTCCAGGGGTACATCCACATACGTACCCTCAAATAAATTCCCATTGCCCTCTTGACTGGCTTATCTGTAAACACAAGGACACATCAAATCCTGCGGTGAGTGGTGGTGGAAGAGGCATTTCATGCTTATTAAGATACAAGCACAACCACCTGTTTGTTTCCCCAGCCAACCCTGGGGCAGGTGCATTTCATCTGAGACAGTGAGAGTGGGGAGGCCTCCAAATGCTTGGCTTTTCGGCCCAGCTCTGTCGGTCACGGTGAAACCTTGGGCAAGCCACTTCCGAACCTCAGTTTCCTCATCTGTAAAATGGAAACACTGTTGGTGAAGACTAAAAGAGGTGAAAGGTGGAAATGCATCACACATTGCAAAATGTTACACAAGTGTTAATTACTTATTAATTAGAATGGTCTTAAGCAAAAAGCTTGATTTTTTTTTTTTTTGAGACAGAGTCTTGCTCTGTCGCCCAGGCTGGAGTGCAGTGGCACAATCTCTGCTCACTGCAACCTCTGCCTCCCACATTCAACCGATTCTCCTGCCTCAGCCTCCTGAGCAGCTGGGATTACAGGCATGTGCACCACGCCCAGCTAATTTCTATATTTTACTAGAGACGGGGTTTCACCATGTTGGCCAAGCTGGTCTCGAACTCCTGACCTCAAGTGATCCGCCTGCCTTGGCGTCCTAAACTGCTGGGATTACAGGGTGAGCTACCATGCCTGGCCGACGCTTAACTTCCCTTGGCTTCAATAGCAAGTGAAAAATTATGTTAATCTCATCCTTGCCACTCATAGCTGTGGTAACAGTAATGGAGGTGATGGTGGCTGTGTCATTGGGGGCCATTATGAAAGCCCTCCCTTCACCACACCCAAGGAGGGGGCTCTAACTGCCAGGAGGCTCACTTTCTTATTTCAGATAAGTGACAGAAAGCCATGGAGCTAGCTCAGCAAAAAAAGGGAAATTGTTATAAGGATTTAAAAGTTTCAACCCAAGGGCAGAGATATAGCCAGGCATCAGGAAGAGACTAGAATCAGGGGCTGGAAGCCTGTGAGAAACTCAGGAAACACTCACTGAGAAATTTCTTTCTTTGTGGGTCTACTTCATTCTTCTGCACATAGAAGAAAATGTCAGCCATTGACAACAGCTTCCAAGATTTGCATCCTCTGGAACCGGAATCTCTTAGTCCCCATCTCAAAATCTCAGGGGAGGGAGTTCATTGGCTTAGCTTGAGTTAGGTGTTCACTGCTGAACCAATCACCAGTGGCCAGCACACTAACCAATCAAATGTGAGGACACAGTATAGACAAACATGGCTGTTCCCATGTTGCAATGGATGGAAGATGGTAACAGGGGAAATCCAGTAGGGGTCCACCACTTCCTTTTTCTCAGGAGTCCCTGCGTCCCTAATGGCTTCTCTCTGGTCTCATTCAGCCAACGGGGCTCTCCCTGATGACCTGAAGCAGGGCCAGTTGCTGGTTGTGGACTATGCCACCTGCTCCAGCTCTGGCTGGTGGGGCAGCACCGTGAAGACGAATATGATCTGTGCTGGGGGTGATGGCGTGATATGCACCTGCAACGTGAGTACCAAAAATCAGGGGCCCCGCTCCATGACAAAATGTGGCTGGGGATGGGAAGAGGCTATGGAAAACCATCCCTCCATAGGTCCATCCTCCGACCTCCTGGCAGAAGCACCCGGAAATGGTACCAGATATATCAGAACCTGACCTTTGGCCAGGCATAGTGGCTCATGCCTGTAATCCCAGCACTTTGGGAGGCCGAGGTGGGTGGATGCCTTGAGGTCAGCAGTTCGAGACCAGCCTGGCCAACATGGTGAAATCCTGTCTCTACTAAAAATAAAAATTAGCCAGGCATGGTGGTGGGTGCCTGTAGTCACAGCTACTTGGGAGGCTGAGGCAGGAGAATCACTTGAACCCAGAAGGCGGAGGTTGCAGTGAGCTGAGATGATGCCACTGCACTCCAGCCTGGGTGACAGAGTGAAACTCAAAAAAAAACCTGACCTTGTTCTTGTTTGTTCTTGTTTTGAGATGTTTTGAGATTCTCCTTGTAGTGTCCACCCATCTCACTGCTGGGAAGTCCTTCCCTGGGTCTCATCAAGGTCTCTCGTGACTGTCCTTCTGTATCCTTTCCTCTACGCTGGAAGGGAACCAAAGGAAAGTATTCCCTGGCTTAAGGCCTTTCTAAGATGACTTCTGGTTTTTCTGTTGAATTACTCTCATCAATGGCGCAGTGTGTCCCCTCCAGGTAGCTGTCACGGAAACCTTCCTGGAGACAGTGTCTTAACCACCAGGAATTGCTCTGTGTTGGACTTAGCAGTGAAGTGGGGATGGAGTAGGAAGGAGATCCACACGCCCTTCAGATCACACTGTGCCCTACACACTCTGCCCACATAGACCACCTGCGGGAAGACAGAACCAGTGGGGAAGAGCCTGGCAGCTGAAGTCTGGGATGTGGCCTCAGCTCCTTTACAAACTGCCTGTGCAACCTTGGGCAAGTCCCAACCTCTCAACACTCCAGTTTCTCCTCTTCCGTGGCCTGGGGATACTACGAATATTTACCTCATAGGATTTTGTGAGGATTAATGAGATGAGGCATAGAACATGCTTAGCTCAGCTCTAAGGAAGAATAAGTGTTGGCTCTTGTTGGAATTATGGTACCACCTTGAGCTATGACCACAAGGACCAGCTTCAGAGGACAGTGACCTGCAGCAGAACAATAGAAATGCATTGAGAACAATGGTTCCAATGGGCAGCCCCTTCCTCCCACTTCAACTCCCTATAACTCTGGCCTTCCTCAGGGAGACTCCGGTGGGCCGCTGAACTGTCAGGCATCTGACGGCCGGTGGGAGGTGCATGGCATCGGCAGCCTCACGTCGGTCCTTGGTTGCAACTACTACTACAAGCCCTCCATCTTCACGCGGGTCTCCAACTACAACGACTGGATCAATTCGGTAAGAACCGGAGCAGCCCTGAGCCCCAAGGCACTGACCTGCTCACCTGGCCTCGGGAGTGCCATGCCCACCTGGCGACTGAGAACCCCCTCCTTCCTCTTGAGAGCTAGATGGGAACCCCTTGGAGGAGGCTGCAGACCTTGGCAACTGCTGAGTCCCCCATGGGTCCCCAAAATTTCTGTGTGGGTAAAGCTGAGTGAAAAGGAACATGAGAGTATGGCCTTGTCCAAAGACGTTGGACACTCCTCAGGTACGTTAAGAGTGAGTTCCACAGGAATGATTTTATTTTTGTGTATTTGTGTGTGGCCCAGACTCTACCATCCAGTGCTATAAATGGGTATATGTCTGCAAAACCCAAAACCTGATACTTTGAGACCCCCATAGCATTAATTATTGGAAATTAGTCCCCCTCAAGGGTCCTCCAGCTATTCTGTAGGGTGACCAACCATCCCAGTTTGCCCAGGACTGAGAGGTTTTCCAGGATGCGGGACTTCCTGTTTTACACTGGGACCATCCCAGGCAAATAAAGCTGAGTTGGTCCCCGTCTTGTAAATGTAAACTCAGAGAGCTGTCTCCTGTGAGCTTCCACACTAGCTCAAATTCTTTTTAACAATGAACACACATTTTTTATAACAATAAGCATTAAAAATATTTATTAAAAATAATAGGCCAGGTGCCATGGCTCATGCCTGTAATCGCAGCACTTTGGGAGGCCAAGGAAGGAGGATTGCTTGAGCCCAGGAGTTCAAGAGCAGCCTGGGCAACATAGCGAGACTCTGTCTTTACAAAGATTTTTTTTTTTAATTAGCCATGGTGGTGCATGCCTGTAGTCTCAGCTGCTTGGGAGGCTGAGGTGGAAGGATCGCTTTGGCCCAAGAGGTGGAGCCTACAGTAAGCCAAGGTCGCACCACTGCACTGCAGCCTGAGCGACATAGCAAGACCCTGTCTCTGAAAATAATGATAATAATAGTTGGCATAAATATTAAGGAGCAGCCATGGATACACACAGAAGTAGATGAAAGCAGCCAGAAGAGGAAACCCCGTCACAAGAAAGGGGAGCCCAGGAGAGGGCAGAGGAGACACCATGCCTGGTAATAGAAGCTGGGGGAGAAGAGGCGGATACTTTGTGCCAATTAGGGACCACCTGTTTGCTCTTCTGTAAAGTGGGACTTGAACTAGACCTCCACATTTTTAGGCACTAGAGCAAGAGGGAGTTATGGTATTCGTGGCAGAGCCCCCAAAGAAGGGGAAAGCTGACATCTGACTTCACTAAGTTTAATTTGCAGAGAAGTGTTAAATTGAATTAAACTGACACTTATAAAACCAAATATGAAACTGCAGCCATAAGCACGTGGTCAGGGGAGAAAACTAAACTGTCAAAATAAGCAGGTGGCTGCTTCCAAGTGTTCCCATTGATTCTTGCCAGCTCCTTGTTCATTTGTCTGTCTGCTGGCATCCTTTTGCCAACAAGTGGTCATAGGCAGAAATTCCAAAAAAGTTTGTTGGAAAAAAATGGAAAATCAAAAAGACAGTAGCCATTAATCATTAATTGGGGCTTTTTATATCTAAATTGGGAAAAACCCATCTGAGTCCACCTTTGGAGGCACCACGCACGTCAAAGGAGCCTGGCCTGAGACTGACTGGACGAAAGGCTGCTTAGGGGCCTTTCCCAGCCAAATCCTAAGACCGTTTTCCAGCCCCAGCTGCTGTGGGAGTCACCGTGCAGCTGGTCCTGGCAGCATCCTGGGGACCTGAAGCAGGGGCAGGGGCAATTGTCCCGATCTGTTGTCCCAGCATCAGCTGTTCCCAGCATCAGCTGTTCCCAGCCACAGACACAAGCACAACAGAACAGGCCAGATCCCAAAGCATGGCCAGATGGCAGCAGGGATCCACGGGGCAGCACGCCTCCCGAGGCAGCTGGGCAGAGGCCCTGTGTTCATGGGAGAGCAGTCGGGACAGGCACAGATGCCCGGTAACGGGTTTCAGAAGGGGGAGAGCCAAGCAACCAGCTGTCCTTGGGTGGGGGCTGCCCCTGGCAGCGGCAGAGGGGCTAGTGAAACCTTGAAGTGGCCCCAACCCAGGGACACAGTGTGTGCAGCCTGGAGTCACGTACCACTAGAGCCCTGGGGGTGACTGAGAGCACCTGCCTGGATAAACCCAGACAGGTGACAAGCCAAGGTCAGGAAGTACAAGCAAAAGATAAGAGCAGAGAAGCAGAGGAGACAAGTGGCCTGCGGCATTCATCCTTTCAACAAATGTCAGTTGAATGACAGTCACACATGAACTCCAGCAATCCTTAGTTTTTATTCTTTTTCCAGAAGGTAATACATACTCTTTGTAAAAATATTAAAAGAATACAGGAGAGTATCAAGTAAAAAAGTAGAAGTCCCCCCTCATTTTACATCTCCAATTCCACTCTCCAGAGGTAATCATTGTTTTTGTTTTGTTTTTTTTCAAATGGAGTCTCGCTCTGTTGCACAGGCTGGAGTACAGTGGCTTGATCTCAGCTCACTGCAACCTGCGCCTCCCGGGTTCAAGCAATTCTCCTGCCTCAGCCTCCTAACTAGCTGGGATTACAGGCATGCACCACCATGCCCAACTAATTTTTGTATTTTTAGTAGAGATGGGGTTTCACCATGTTGGCCAGGCTGGTCTCAAACTCCTGACCTCAGGTGATCTGCCCACCTCAGCCTCCCAATGTGCTGGGATTACAAGCGTGAGCCACTTCGCCCTGCCAATCATTGTTAAAAGCTTGGTGTGTGGTCTTCTCAACTTTATGTGCATATCTATCTATCTATCTATCTATCTATCTATCTATCTATATACACACACACACACATAGACACTGTCTTCTAAGCAAAAACTAGGATCTGAGTCTTCATACTGTTCTGCAGCTATTTTTCACTTAACACCTTATCACATTTTACATGTCAGTACATACATGTCATTCTTTTGAACAGCTAAATAGTATTCCATAGTTTGAGTGTAATGAATGCAGCTTTCATGTTTCCTATTTTTCACTCTTACATTGTGCAATGAACATCCTTGGACATAATTCTTGCACACTTGAGTATTTGTGCTGTAGCAGCTGGATATCCTGCCGTTTACAGCACTGGATCATGAAGTTGGCATATCAAAATGTTTAACAGGCTGGGCGCGGTGGCTCACGCCTGTAATCCGAGCACTTTGGGAAGCCGAGACGGGTAGATCACTTGAGGTCAGCAGTTCGAGACCAGCCTGGCCAACATGGTGAAACCCTGTCTCTACTAAAAATGCAAAAAAATCAGCCAGGCATGGTGGTGCACACCTGTAATATCAGCTACTCGGGAGGCTAAGGCAGGAGAATCGCTTGAACCTGGGAGGCAGAGGTTGCAGTGAGCCTAGAATATGCCACTGTACTCGTCTGGGCAACAGAGCAAGACTGTCTCAAAAAAAAAAAAAAAAAGTTTAACAGATACTGATCAACAGCCTCTGGAAACAGTTATAGCCCCAACCACAGTGCATAACTGCCTTGCAAACAGCAGTTTTGATGAGAAACAAATGAAATCTAAAAATATGCCATCCGCACATTTGGCATATAATTTTTAGGGGGTTCGAAGGCCCCCTGACCTGAAGCCCACACAGGACTCCTGGCTAAGACCCCCTTTACAGGAAGACCCTAACAGGTCAATGAAAAGCTGTGATTGCATCTTTTTCTCCGAAACATCATCTGAACTCCTCAGGCAGGAGCTACTGTAGTGTGGGCTGCCTGTGACTCACTTGAGTAGCTTAGCCCAGGAGGACAGAGACAGGAAACTGCCACGCACAGCTCTGTGGTTACGTGAACCTGACAATTTTCTTGTGTGTGTGTCCTGCAGGTGATTGCAAATAACTAACCAAAAGAAGTCCCTGGGACTGTTTCAGACTTGGAAAGGTCACAGAAGGAAAATAATATTATATAAAGTGACAACTATGCAAATCACATCTTGATGAGGGTTTTATTATTATTATTAATTCAGAAATCCATCCTAACATCCAGGGCCCTAAGAACCAGAAATAGGTCAGGCGCAATGGCTCAAGCCTGTAACCCCTGCACTTTGGGAGGCTAAGGCAGGCTGATCGCTTGAGTCCAGGAGTTCAAGACCAGCCTGAGTAACATGGCATAACTCTGTCTCTACTAAAAATACAAAAATTAACTGGGAGAGGTGGTGCACACCTGTAGTCCAAGCTACTCAGGTGGCTGAGGTGGAAGGATCTCTTGAGCCCAGGAGGTCGAGACTGCAATAAGCCAAGATTGCGTCATTGCACTCCAGCCTGGGCGACAGAGTGAGACCCTATCTCCAAAAAAAAAGGCCCAAAAAACAAGAAATAGGCTGGCATAAGGACAGCTTAAAAGACCTCAGGGTGGAGCCTTGTGGGGAAGCCCAGCGTGTCACTATTGCACAGCACGTTCACACTGCAGTCCGGGGGTGCTTCAGCAAGTAAGGCACATGGGAAGCATGGCTAGGACTCAGGGGACCCAGGTTCTGGCCAGGTCTCTTCTCTGGATAATCGTTTTCCCTTGGACAAGAGACCTAACCTCCCTGAGCACAGGGTTCTCACCCTTGTTGCCTTCCTGGGATGGGATAAGGATCAAGTGAAATAAGACATGAATAAATGGGGCTGGGTGCAATGGTGCACGCCTGTAGTAAGAGCTACTTGGGAGGGTCACTTGAGCCCAGGAGTTTGAGACCAGCCTGGGCAACATAGCGAGACCCCAGAAAAACATGGGGAAATGTTTCGAAAAAAGCAAAAGTCTCTTTTGTAAGGAAGAAGAAAGAGTTGGAGCAAAATGAGGGAAGAAATAGGCAAAAGAGAGTCCATATTTGCCTCAGATTTATTTTTTAAAATTAATGCAATATAGGAAAAATTAACAATTTTTAAAATTTCACTTAGAATTCATAGATTACAGCTGTTCAGACTCTAGTAGGCCCCGGTTTGCTGATCTATGAGCGATACTGGTTTGTGTGTAGCCAAAAATCCCTACAGACCAGTGGTTGTCAGGCGAGGAAAGTTTTATACCCCAGGACATATTTGGCAACACCTGAGAACCTTTTTGTTTGGCACCACTCAGGAAGACGCGTTACTGGCATTGAGGCAAGGGACAGTGCTGAACATCCCACAATGTACAGGACAGCCTCACAGCAAAGGGTGACCTGGCCCCACATGTCAGTAGTGCAGAGGTTAATCCCTGCTCTAGAGACAACACAGGGATCATGGGACACAAGTCACTAGCCCTGGACCAGCCACTGCTCAAGAGGCCACGTGCAATCCACGGCATTCATCTGTCCCTCTTCCTCCACTGTTCAGCACTTGTCGTCAATCTGGAAGCTGCTAAGAGCCTGTCTGTCACTGGCAGAGAAAGAGCAGACCCTGTGCCGGCTGCAAAGTCCTTGAGTTGCAGGAAAGTCCAGGCCTCAGCCTCTTTCAGGCCTGGGGCAGGAAAGCTTTGGGGTGCAAGATAAGGCAGGGTGAGGGGCCCTGGCCTTATGATGTTTTAAAGAAAAGTTTTTTCCGGAGGAAATTAAAGCAACCAGGCATCTGTTTATAAATCCCTTTCACCGAAACAGCATTAGCGACCTGTAAGACATGACCATGGAGAGCTCTGTGAGTTCAGTTCTCTGGACTGAAGGAAGAATTCAAGAGGGGCTGGGGGGAATGTCCACTCAACCCGCACCTTAAAAACAGCTCAAACTGCAGCCTCTTTGAGCAGGAGGGCTTAAAGAATACGCACCTCAACTTTACCTTTAAAAAACTCAAAATTCAAAATTTCCAAATTCATAAAGTTCAAATCAGACTGAAATATTTGCAAGGAGCCAGGAGTGGCCCCAGCCTCGCAGCCCCTTCTCGTGGCATGAATACCTGAGCAGAGCAGCTGGGGCCCATACATGCTGCCTCCCAAGGCAGCCACAAGGCCACAGGACCCTCAGAGGAAGCAACTGCTCTGAGTCGGGTTTCTATGGAGTAGGACTGGGCCTATCAGGCCACCCTTCCCTATCTGTTTCCTCACTGGGGCCTCCTGAGAAGGCGATGTACAAGGAGGGGTTCACAATTCTTGAGGGTCAAGAGTAGAAGACTACATGATGCCCACAGGATATAGGGAGGGGCCCATGACCCGCCTTCAGGGTCTGGACAGAGCCATCCTGCGCTGGCACTGAGGACCAGCTCCATCAGTGGAGGAGCGGGAGGTGTCAACCTGGGGACCTTGGAGGAGACAGGGAAGGCAACTCTTTGAATAAAGGGCAAACGTCACCACAGGCAGGATGCCTCTCATAAAGAGACACAAAAGTGCCGACTCCAAGGCTCAGAGGCAGGAGTCTACTACCTTTTACCCTTGGTTTGGGCCTGCCCTGCTCACCCCAAATCCCCAGCCCCAGGAGGACACGCTGCCCCTCAGCAGCCTCCCCTCTCCTTTGCAGAGGAAGGCAGCACTCACCCTAAGCAGGAGGGACTGCAGGTCTTCAGAGTGAGCCCACTGCTCAAAGATGTCGTCCAGGGTCTCAACGTACCAGGAGCCACTCTTGGGGTCCCTCCAGGAAACAAAACCTTTGGAGGGAGGAGGGCTGAACACTGCTGGAGAGCCACCCCTCCGCCGGCTCCCCACCACCCCTCTGGCCATGCACGCTGGCTCGGGCGCCCTCCAGACCTTGACTCATACATACATCCAACAGGAGCAGCCTGGCCCCTGAGGCTCTGCCCTAATCATGATCTTATTTCACCCTCATGACCATCCCCTGATTCCGGCTATAATTCCTGTTTTCCCAGCAAGGAAACCAAGGCTTGGAAAAGTCAAGTGACTCATCCAAGACATAAGAAAGGAAGGAAACTGCCAGGCACAGTGGCTCACACCTGTAATCCCAGCATTTTGGAAGGCCGAGGTGGGCAAATCACTTGAGGTCAGGAATTCTTGACCAGCCTGGCCAACATGGTGAAACCCTGTGTCTACTAAAAATACAAAAATTAGCTGGGTGTGGTGATGCATGCCTGTAATCCCAGCTACTTAGGAGGCTAAGGCAGGAGAATTACTTCAACCCGGGAGGTGGAGGTTGCAGTGAGCTGAGATCATGCTACTGAACTCCAGCCTGGGCGACAAAGCAAGACTCCGTCTCAAAAAAAAAAAAAAAAAGGCTGGGCGCGGTGGCTCACGCCTGTAATCCCAGCACTTTGGGAAGCCGAGGCAGGTGGATCACGAGGTCAGGAGATCGAGACCATCGTGGCTAACACGGTGAAACCCCATCTCTACTAAAAATACAAAAAATTAGCCAGGCGTGGTGGCAGGTGCTTGTAGTCCCAGCTACTTGGGAGGCTGAGGCAGGAGAATGGTGTGAACCCGGGATGCAGAGCTTGCAGTGACCCAAGATCGCGCCACTGCACTCCAGCCTGGGCAACAGAGCGAGATTCCATCTCAAAAAAAAAAAAAAAAAAAAAAAAGAAGGAAGGAAACTACCGCTTGCTGCAACTACTACGTGCCCCGCACTGTGCTCAGTGACGTGCCAGCCACCTTGTTTAATTCCCATGGAAACCCCTGAGGCACGATTCCTATTCCCCTGCTAAAGATGCGAAGGCAGAGGCAGGGTCAGGCAGAGGAGAGGCAAGTGAGGCATAGGAACCCAAGGGCGCAGGCCTCCTTGCAGCGCGCATCCTTGCCCGCTCAGCCTGAGCCGAGGCTCAGAGAGAAGTAACTTGCTCAGGGTCACAGAGGGGCAAAAGACAGAACCAGGACTCATACCCTGGTCTTTTCTCTCACCACACAGCTGCCTCTAGGGCAGACGGGAAGACCCACTGGCTGCGAGGACGAGCCCTTCTGATGTGCTCACCTGGGAAAGTAGAGTAGGACACAAAGATGTCACTGGGTGTGGGCAAACTAGATATGGCGTCCAGCTGGTCGAAGGTCCTCAAACCTTCCTGGAACGGGGTGGCATCTGGCTCGGGGTTACTGCCAGGGGACTCGTCTTCAGGGGAAGTGGAGGCCACCTCAAACCCATGGTCTTTCTGCTCTGCAGGAAGCAGAAACAAACACCTCTTGTCATTGAAATACACAGACAAGGATGGTTCAACATATGAAAGTCGGTGCAATATACTACATTAACAGTGTGAAAGGAAAATAAATCTTGGGACCCCAAACTCATTAAGCCAAACGGAAAAGTCAAGCTGGGAACTGGGTCACGCAAACCTGCCTCCCCGTTTTGGTTCCTAAATAAGATGGCTACAAGATGAAAAGCTACACACCTCTCCCATATTTTGCCCACAAGGAAATTCCTGGTGAGCTCCAAGATAGTTGTCTGATAAAATTCACCACGGCAATGTAAATGGATAGCTTATCTTTACAGAGGCATCACCCCTCTGCCCACCTGGCACAAATGCATATCTGATTATTCCCCTGCCCCATTTGTCTTTGTTATCTTACGTAAAAATGCAGGTTCCCTGCATTTTCCCCTGCCCTATGTTACCTTACGTAAAAATGCAAATTCACTGAGCCAGACAAATGCTTGAATGACTATTTCCCCCTACCCTGCTCTTACCTGAAAACTGTGTACTTCTCAATATCCTGCCCTTTCCCCTTTAAATTTGGAACCCTAAAATTCATGTTCAGAGAAAGGCATAGACCTGTCTCCTGGGCGTGCATCCTTAACTTTGGCAAAAGAAACTTCTTAAATTGACTGAGACCTGTCTCAGATTTTTGGGGTTCATAAGAGAATGAAAAAAACCCTACATCATCATCTCAATTGATGCAGAAAAAAGCACATGACAAAATTCAACAAGCTTTCATGATAAAAACAGTCAACAAACTCAGAATAGAAGGAAACTACCTCAACATAGTAAAAGCCATATATGAAAAACCCACAGCAAACATTATACTCAATGGTGAAAGACTGAAACCTTTTTCTATAAGATCAGGAAGAAGGCAAGAATTTCTGCTTTTGCCACTTCTATTCAACACATTACTAGAAGTTAATAGAGCAAGGAGGCAAGAAAAAGAAATAAAAGACATTCAAATTGGAAAGAAGGAGTAAAATTATCTCTACTCACAAATGGTATGATTTTATATGCAGAAAACCCTAAAGATGAAACACTATTAGAACAAATAAAATTAGCATATTAGCAGGATACGAAGCCAACCACAAAAAATACTTCCATTTCTATACACTAACAATGAACAATCAGAAAAAGAAATTACAAAAATGGTTCCATTGACAATAGCATCAAAAATAATAAAATAGTTAGAAATTAACTTAACCAAGATGAAAGACTTGTAAAATGAAAACTACAAAACATTGCTGAAAGAAAGAAGGCTGGATGCCATGGCTCACGCCTGTAATCTCAACACTTTGGGAGGCTGAGGCAGGAGGATCCCTTGAGCCCAGGAGTTCCAGACCAGCAAAACCTCATCTCTACACATAATAAAAAATTTAGCCAGGTGTGGTGGCATGTGCCTGTGGTCCCAGCTACTCGTGAGGCTGAGGTGGGAGAACCACTTGAGTCCAAGCAGTTGAGGCTGCAGTGTGCAGTGATCGCGCCACTGCACTTCAGCCTGGGTGACAAAGCAAGACCCAGTCTCAAAAAAGAAAAAGAGCCGGGCACAGTGGCTCACACCTGTAATCCCAGCACTTTGGGAGGCCAAGGCAGGCAGATCACCTGAGGTCAGGAGTTTGAAACAAGCCTGGCCAACATGGTAAAACCCCGTCTCTATTAAAAAATACAAAAATTACCCAGGCGTGGTGGTGGGCACCTGTAATCCCAGCTACTTGGGAGGCTGAGGCAGGAAAATCACTTGAATCCAGGAGGCGGAGGTTGCAGTGAGTCAAGATCGTGCCATTGCACTCCAGCCTGGGCAACAGAGCAGGACTCCATCTAAAAAAAAAAAAAAAAAAGAAAGAAAGAAAGAAAGAAAAATAAAGAAGACATAGGCCAGGCACAGTGGCTCACGCCTGTAATCCCAGCACTTTGGGAGACCGAGGCTGGTGGATCACTAGGTCAGGAGATTGAGACCATCCTAGCCAACATGGTGAAACCCCGTCTCTACTAAAAATATAAAAATTAGCTGGGCGTGGTGGCGTGTGCCTGTAATCCCAGCTACTCAGGAGGCTGAAGCAGGAGAATTGCTTGAACCAGGGAGTCAGAGGTTGCAGTGAGCCGAGATGGCGCCACAGTCCTCCAGTCTGACAACAGAGCGAGACTCTGTCTCAAGAAAAAAAAAAAAAAGATATAAATAAATGGAAATATATCCTATGTTCATGGATTAGAAAACTTAAAGATCTCAATACTACCCAAAGCAATCCATAGATTAAATGTAATCCCTATCAAAACCCCAATGATGTTTTTTGCAGAAATAGAAAATCTATCCTAAAATTCACACGAGAATCTCAAGGGACCCCAAATAGACAAAACAATCTGGAAAAAGAGCAAAATTGGAGGACTCACACTTCCTGATTTCAAAACTTACTACAAAGCTACAGTAATCAAAACAGTATGGTACTGGCATAAAGACAGACATAGGTCAATGTCATTGAATAGAGCCCAGACATACACCCTCACATGCGTGGTCAAATGAATTTTGAAAAGGGTGGCAGGACCATTCAGTGGGGAGAGGGCAGTGGTTTTTTGTTTTGTTTTGGGGGATTGTTTTTTGTTTTTGTTTTTGTTTTTTGAGAGAGTCTCATTCTGTCACCCAGGCTGGAGTGCAGTGGTGCAATCACAGCTCACTGCAGCCTTGACCTGCCAGGCTCAAGTGATCCCCCACCTCAGCCTCTCAAGTAGCTGGGACTACAGGTGCCACCACACCCAGTTAATTTTTGTATTTTTTGTAGAGACAGGATCTTGCCATGTTGCCCGGGCTGGTCTCAAACTCCTGGGCTCAAGCAATCTGCCTGCCTTGGCCTCCCAAAGTGCTGGGATTACAGGCATTTTTTTTTTTAAGAGACACACTTTTGCTCTGTTGCCCAGATTGAAGTGGCATGATCTTAACTCGCTCCAGCCTCAAACTCCTGAGCTCAAGCAATCACCCCAAAAAAATGGTTAAGATAGTAAATTTTATGTTATATGTATTTTGCCACAATTTTTAAAAAGACATAAAACTTGTCTTTTTTTAGAAATATAGTTGAGGAAACTGTCCACTATATCATAGGCACTCACTCAAACCCTTTACTCAGGCTGTCAAGATCACAGTGTCCCCTTTAAGACAACCAAGGGAAGAAATGTGTCTGGAGTCTCTATTCCTGACTTCTGTCTTGCAAATACCAGATATAGAACTATAGAACACCAGATTCCATGGATCTTGAAAGTGATCTTTTTTTTTTTTTTTTTTTTTTTTTGAGACAGAGTCTCGCTCTGTCATCCAGGCTGGAATGCAGTGGCGCGATGGCTCACTGCAAGCTTCGCCTCCTGGGTTCAAGCGATTCTCCTGTCTCAGCCTCCCAAGTAGCTGGGACTACAGGCGTGTGCCACCACACCTGGCTAATTATTTGTAGAGATGGGGCTTCACTGTGTTAGCCAGGATGGTCTTGATCTCCTGACCTCGTGATCTGCCCGCCTCAGCCTCCCAAAGTGCTGGGATGACAGGCGTGAGCCACCGCCCCTGGCCAATGATCTTATTTCCAATGGCGGCTGGAAAGCGTAAAAAATGCGCAGGCCACCTCTAGCAAGTAGCTATCAGTATTCCATTTTATGTAATTAGGCAACTGAGACTGAGATAAGTTAAGGGGTTTCCCCCCAGACAGAGGCTGACTGGGACTTTGACCTACCTCATTTTTGAGTCTACTATTACCAATGGCTGGGATTTTTCCATGTTTCTTTACATCTGCAAAGTGATTTTATCTCTAAAATCAGTCGTTGTATACCTTAAATTTTTAATTCACTTGTACATTAGAGAACTGTAGAAAGCTGCAGGACATCCTAGGATGTATTTTTGGAATCCAAACTTTTACTTTTCTTCTCTCCTTGTGTTCCCTCTCTATTTTGTCCTAGTGTTATCATTTGTACTTCTTGCACTATGGCAAATCCTTTTCTAGAATCAAAGAAGCCATCAGAAAAATACCAAATAGACACCAAGTCATGGATAATGAAATCCATGGAGATGTTTACACCTTCTAATCCAGTAATTTCCTAAGAAAATAATTCAAATGCAGTCAAAAGCTTTCTATATGAAGACACCTGTGGTTGTGTGAGCCAAAAATTAGATATCACCTAAATGGCCGACATTAGGAAAATGGTTTAGTAAATTAGTGCATGTCATGAAAATGGCCCATTATAAAGCCATTTGAGCTAGTGATGATGAAGGCCATGGAGATCTGGGGAACTGCTTAAGGGATAACGTTAGCTGAGAAAAGCAGACTGTGCTCATGGGCTGGAATCCAAAAGGAAGATGCAAAAATGAGATGGCTGTATTAGCTTATAACATTCTGAATTATTTTCTTTTTTAGGTTGCCATATTTTTTGTCTTTTCCATTTTAAAATCTAGACTCCCCAAAGGCAGTGCCAAGCTTGGAAAACAGAGAGGTCCTGGCAGGACTTGTGCCCCACATGGCTCAGCTACAGAGCTACTGAAGTGGAGACACTGACGGAGGTCTTCCGGGATGAGGTCTTCTGCAGTAGGGCTCATGGTGGGTGGGGTAAGGCGGAGCACAGAGGGCTACTCAGGAAAGAAGGCATCTAACAAGAGCTTTGGTTAAAAAATATAAATATATATTTAACTATGTATACATACTGCAGAAAAAAAAAGAGAAATTTTTTTAAAAATAGGCTGAAGTTGGAGTAGGAGTGATCCAGAGGGTCCCCTGCAAAAACACTCCTGGAGAATGTGACTGTGATCCAGGCCCTGATGCCATCAGGGAGAACGGTCCTGGTGAGAGAGACAGCAAGTGCTGTGGCCGCAACGCAGGCAGGTTTGCATGGCTGGATCTATGTGACTGAGGGAAGTCACAGTTCACCCAGAGGAGCTGGGGGCCCATCTGGCAGGAACAGAGGTGGCTCTGGCAACCCCATAATAGTAACACCAAAATCTATTGACCTCTTACCCCACACAGCTAAAGCTCAGAAACCACTGGTCATTGGCATTCTCCCAGCTGATATGAGGGGCGCGGAATTCTGCCCCATGTTTTTTGCCTCTCAACTATCCCACTGCTTCTCACGGAGGCCCCCAGCCTCCAAAGGGGGGCCTCTTTGATCTGTGACAGCCATGTTTTTCTCCAGATTTTGTGGTTCATTGCTTCTGGTTGTTTTCTTGGTAGAGACTCCGGAATCTGCCCCAGGTGTCTGGGAATGACGTGAAACAGCACAGCAAGGAGGCCTGAGGCGTGAATGTGATGGTGCTGGGTCTGCCTGGCAGCCTGTGGGGGCGGAGGGATGCCTAAGTGGGGGATGCCGTTAAGAATGGCCAGAAGAGACAGGGTGAGCAGAGAGGCTGAGAAGAGACAGCAGATCAGAGCAGGGGGTGTGGGGGAAAGGAAAGAGGGGGTCAGGCGGGGCGCTAAGGCAGCTCCGTTCACGTGTCAGCCTCAGCCCACAAATCTGATGTGAAGGCCTTGCCTAGGGTGTTCTGCACTGTATGCATGGCTTGGTTCTTGGAGAGCCTCGGTTCTTAGAGAGCCTCATTAATGCAAAACTCCCCGTAGGGCAGGACTCATTCCCCACAAGAATAAATATACAGTAGGAGGAGATGTTCCCTCCGCACAGAAAATCCACGACCACTGCAGCATATTGTCATTGCTTTCTGTCTTCTCAGCCCGATCTCTCAAATCCCAAAGAGGGGTCACCCCAAAATTGACGGCTCAGCCTCAGAGAGGTGGCTACTTGGTTGCCTATCACGCTGACGTTGCACACCAAAGTTATCGACTTTAATGCACATTTTTCAGCCCTGGTGCTGTTACCTCCTAATGAATGGGTGGATGACATGTTGGAGGGTTTTAAAATTATTATTTAAAAATGATTTTTAAATTATTTATTATTATATTTAAATTAATTATTAAATGATTTTTAAATTAAATATTTTTAAAGTATTATAGTGAGTTATAAAATAGCAATACAAGAGTCCTCAAAACCCAGGACAGGTGTTCTGATGCATGTAAACAGACCCCTCGCCAGGCACTAGTGAAGAACGGGGACCTTTCTATTTCTGCTCTCAGCTGACGTGGCGCCACCATGTGGTAACTGCGTTAAGCACCAGGTCACGCAGCCTGCGGAGGCAAAGCAAGGACCCGACTCCAAAGGGATATCTTAATCACTGCATGCTGGCTTTGAAATCTTGCTGTTTTCTGTGAGTTTTGTTTTAATGATGGAAATCTACATTATGCCAAATTTGGCTCATATTTTTTTTTTATTTTTTATTTTTTTAGAGACAGGTGACAGACTGGCTCTGTCACTCAGGCCGGAGTGCAATAGTGTAAACATGGCTCACTGTAGCCTCGACCTCCAGGGCTCAAGCGATCTTCCTGCCTAAACATCCCAAGTAGCTGGGACCATAGGCACACACCACCAGGCCTGGCTAATGTTTTAAATTTTATGATAGAGACTGGTCTCAAACTCCTCGTCTCAAGAGATCCTCCCACCTTGGCCTCCCAAACTGTTGGGATTACAGGCGTGAACCACCACAGATGCTTTTGTATGGTTCTCCTTTACATTCAAATTAGAATCCACATGAGACGCAACCAGACTGTGGGCTCTGTGCCAGGCTGGGGGCCTGGCTGCAGGGTAGGCCTGGCCCTCCCCTCAGAGCTGACCAGGGGATAAGCCCATCTCAATACAATGAGACAGTGCTATGGTAGGGGAGGGACAGAGGCTGCAGGAGCACAAAGGCCAGCTAACCCTGACTTTGGCCAAGAAAGGGGGTGTTTAGGGAAGTGACAATAAATTGTAACCAGAAGGATGGATGATTAAGAGTCAGCCAGGTGCCAGGCACGGTGGCTCATGCCTGTTATCCCAGCACTTTGGGAGGCGGAGGTGGGAGTATCACTTGAACCCAACAGTTCAAGACTAGCCTGGGCAATATAGTGAGACCCCCATCTCTAAAACAAAATAAGTAAAAATGAATTTTAAAAAAAGAGTTAGCCAGGGGAGCAGGTAGAAGAGCAAGCAAGAGCCTGGACATCCTGGGAAGGCTGGGCCGTGCTGGGGACTCGGAGCATGCCAGGCTGGGGAAGGTGAAGTGGCAGGGGCCAGGTCACCAAAGGCCTTGGAAGCCCTGCTACTGAGTCCTAAGAGTGACAGCAGATATTCACGTGACAAAGGCCCTCCCTGCTGTTGAGACTGAGACTGGATGGGGCATGGGAGGAGCACAAGACTGACTAACTGTCCAGAAAGTAGGTATGCCTGCTCAGCCTGCATTCCTAATTCCCCTGCCCTTTCTGTCTTTCATTTGATTCATAGGAGAAAGAGGGACCGGAGGCTCCGAAGGAAGAGCATTGCTGGACCACACACTGTGGATAAGACAGGAGGTGAGGCAGAGCAGGGTTTCTACAGCCCCGAGAGTGGCAGCCTTCCTCACTTCCTGTTACTGTTGTCCTGAGGGAACTCTGCTGGCGACAGCGGGGTGGGGGACTCTTATGTGACACTGGGTCCTCCGGGGTGGGAGCGGGGGGCAGGCTGGGTTTTCAGTTATTAAAATGAACCAATCACTGTACACACACCAATTAGTGCATTAAATATTATTAAAGTTGCCTGGGCACAGTGGCTCACGCCTGTAATCCCAGCACTTTGGGAGGCCGAAGTGAGCAGATTGCTTGAACCCAGGAGTTCAAGACCAGCCTGGGCAACATGGCAAAACCCTGTCTCTACAAAAAAAAAATAGAAAAATTAGCTGGGCATGGTAGTGTGCACCTGTAGCCCCAGCTACTCAGGAGGCTGAGGTGGGAGGATCACCTGAGCTTGGGAGTGGGTTCTGTTATTTTCCCCATTTGCTGAGCTGTCTAGAGATGAACTGGCCCAGGGCTGTGTGATAGATAGGTCAGTAGCCCATCCAGGGTTAATCAAGTGTTCTCAATCACTTGTGGTCAAGTTATGGGCATGGGTCATGACAGTGACTTAATACAGTTCATGTCAAATTATAAATTCCAGGAGACTGAAACTCTGTTTTTCCCCTATCCCCAGCACCTAACGCACAGCCTGGTATATACAGATGGTGCTC
Source organism: Homo sapiens (assembly GCF_000001405.40). Taxonomy (NCBI): domain Eukaryota; kingdom Metazoa; phylum Chordata; class Mammalia; order Primates; family Hominidae; genus Homo; species Homo sapiens. Next base: position 15,503,573 of record NC_000001.11, read on the forward strand.
AATAAACACTTACTGGATGAATGATGTGACCAGAGACTGCTCTCCTAGGTAGCCTCCACCCAACTCCACCAACGTGGAATAGGGATGGGGCAGTTGGATGTGCACAGGAGAAATAGACCACAGGTGCCCATGTCACAGCTGGACGAGCTGGACAGCGCTATGGTATAACAGTGCTCACTTCTCTGGCAGATCAGGCTGGAGGCAAGGAACTGATATACCTTCTGAATGTTCCAGTCCGTGGAGAGCCTAGGGCAGAGGGGACTCCCTGGGACAGAATTTCTAGCGCTCCCTGATATTCCTGTCATGACCCACAAACTAGGAACCCCATGTTTGTCTCTCTTCCCTCTTTTTTTATAAGAAAATCAGATAACACTGTAATAGGAGTTAAGTTTAAAATTAGAGCATACAGCAAAACTACAAAGAATCCAAGTAATACATTTAAAAAACAAAACAAAAATAGAGACAGGGTCTCGCTGTGTTGCCCAGGCTGGTCTCGAACTCCTGGCTCAAGCAATCCTCCTGCCTCGGCCTCCCAAAGTGTTGGGCATGAGACACTGCACCCAGCCCAAGTAATCTTTAAATGTTCCTCGAACCCCCACAACTACACTTTTGAAAATTCCAATATTTAAATTCTTTGGTTTCTCCATGCAGTTTAGCTGTGGCCACCCTTTCTCTGGGATAGTGGAAACGGGGTCTAGTTGATGGAGGTCAGGAGAATGGTGACAAGAAAAATAAAAAGAGGTTTCTCCTCTCTCTTCTGCTTTCTTTTTGCCAAGTCTTTGGAATTGAAGCTGCCAAAGTTACTTGAGCCCATGATGCCACTGTGCCATGAAACAGAAGACTCTGACCTCTACAAAGCAGACAGAGCAGGGCCTGCTCCAGCCAGACAGAGGTGCTGCCAAAAAGGGACCATGTGTGGTACCCTCTGACTGCCTGGAGAGACCTCATGGGCCCTGTGAGGGGCAGGCTGGAGAAAGAAGCAGGTGGCGGCTCCCTCCCCACCAGACCCACCCAGAGGGAGGCTGAGGAGCTGCTTACCCCCACCACAGGCCTGGATGAAAAAGAGCTTGGGCTTCCCTCCCAGGCTGGGGCAGCTGGTCCCATTGAAGATGTTCACAATCTTCTCGACCGACACAGGGCATCCATCTGTGCCGTAGACAGCCCCTGGGAACTGCAGGTGGCTGGCCTAGAAGACCAAGAACCCTGGTTACAAAACCAAGAAGTTGGAGTAGGAATCCAACAGCCTGTTCAGAGGTTTTGTGGGAGCCAAGGATTTGGAAGGTCAAAGCCAGGGGCACGAGGCTGATTGAGACAGAGCAGGTTGGTTCTGGAAAGACCCTGGTCAGCATCTGGAAAGACACCTTGACAGCAAGGGGTTGCATGTCAAACTCATGTGCCTCTAGGGGCCAGTGTGCCTGGAGAGTGCTGGCTGCGGCCTCTAGACCAGTGGTTCTCAAAGTTTGGCCCCTGCAGCAGCGGCATCAATATCGCTTGGGAACTTGTAAGAAATGTGATTCCTGGGCCCCACCCAGACCTCCTAATCAGCAGTATGGTCCTCCAGGCCCCTCTGACTGAGGCAGCTCAACGCTGAGAGTGGCTGCTTTAAATCAGTTCAGCTCAGACCTCAAGGGCATGGAAATCACCTGGAAACCTTGTTGCTGGGCGGACTTGGAATGAAGAGGTCCAGGGTAGGGCCTGGGAGTCCACATTCTTCATGAGCTCTAGGGACCATATTATGAGAGAAAGGACCAAAGGGAAAGCCCTGCCCAGCCACAGGCTGGAGTTTTACTGGCTGAAGATGCTGGCCTCGTCAGGCCAGACCTTTGCGGTTTGTCAAGAGAAACTAGAAATCCTGATTTTTATGTGAAATTTGCCAGTTTTCAAAACACCGTGCAGACCACAGGGGGACTCCAGGCCCCAGCTTATAACTGTGATCTGTCCAACTCCTCAACTTAAAAGATGAGGAAACTGAGGCCCAGTAAGGGGTAAGGGCTTAATCACAGTGACAAATACGTAAGGGGCCAAGCCCCCAGTGGGCCTGGTGTCCTGAGTCCCACCAGCAGCAAGGGGCCTGGGGCAGTGCCTCACAGGACAGAGACAGGAGCTGAGACAACATGTGTGCTGTACCCGCCTCTGAACAAACTCTGGGTGCAGGAGCTTCGTGAGCAGACCTGGTCTCTGCCCTCCCTCTCCCAGAGGGCTTCTCCCAGGAACACCGACCTGCCCAGGACGGTGCAGCCAACTCCTCAGAGGACCACATGGCTCCCAAGAAAACAACAGGAGGTGGGCAGGGCCCCACAGCCCTTTTCCACAAAGCCAAGGGTGTTTTGGACACAAGAAGGGACATGGCCCCTGCACAGCCTCTTGGCACGGCCAGTACCCAATGCCTGCCCAGGGAACAGTGGGAGGCTTCCTACCTGACAGCCGTGAGAGAGAATGACCACCACGCAGCAGTCCAGAGCACCGTGGTCCTGCTGCGCCAGCTCCAGCAAAGCCAGCACCATTTTCTACAAGAGAGGGCTGCAGGTGAGCCAGAAGCACGGATAGGTCTAGATGCAGACTGGACCGTTCCTAACAATAAAAGGGCCCAGCCTGGCCAGGCATGGTGGTTCACGCCTGTAATCCCAGCACTTTGGGAGGCCAAGGCAGGTGGATCATTTGAGGTCACGAGTTCGAGACCAGCCTGGCCAACATGGTGAAACCCCGTCTCTACTAAAAATACAAAAAAAAAAATTTAGCCAGGCATGGTGGCACACACCTGTAATCCCAGCTACTCAGGAGGCTGAGGCAGGAGAATTGCTTGAACCTGGGAGGTGGAGGTTGCAGTGAGCCGAGATCGCGCCACTGTACTCCAGCCTGGATGACAGAGTGGGACTCTGTGCCCCCGCCCCCCCCAAAAAATAAAACAACAAAGGGCCCAACCCAAACGCCTGGGCAGAGCACTTTCTCGGTTTCCCAGGGCCAGTACCGAAGTGCTGACAGTCCCAGCAGTCGTAATAGCCACCATTTTTGGGGAGAAGGTGCTACGCTTGGGCACTGTTCATCTAACCCCCAAAACAACCCAAGGAGGCAGGTACTATTCCTGCTTTCCAGACAAGGAAACTGAGGCACAGGAGGTCACACAGCAGGTGGCCGAGAGAGCCAGTCCTCAAACCCGGACTTCTGCGTCTGAACTTGAACCTGTAGCCGCTGGGCCGTCCTACCTCCCATGGTCCTCCAGATGTAAGGGCTCGCCTGGGGAGTCAGCTGGCTTTTGGAGTCCCTCAAAAGATACTTCCCCACCCACTGCCCCCCACCCTGTCTCCCTCCACAGATAGTGAGTGTACCTTGGCAGTCAGGTCGCCCTTCACCTCCACCATGAAATGCAGCGAGGAGAAGCGACGCCGCAACTTCTCACAGTCGATGTTGGAGCCAGTGCGGGTGCGGAGCCCGGACTCACGGCAGAAGTTCACATTGTTGATAATGAGGCAGTGGCCACAGGGCTCCATGCTCAGGATGTAAGCCTGCCAGCACAGGGACCCACGTAAACCCGGGCTCTCCCCACGCTCCCTAGAGGACAGTCTGGAGAGGCGGGAAGAAAACGGGGTCTGCCCTCTCGCACAAGGAGTAGCAGGGTCTCCACCCGGCATTCCAGGGCAAAAGAGAAGCAACTGCAGGGAAGACTAGCACTAGAAGGTGACCCCCCCATCTTGGTATTAAGGGAAGGGAGCTGGTAACCTGGAAATCCAACAGCCATGAGCATTCATCCCAAAGGACCTCACGGGTCACCTAGGCCGGGGTGTACCTGAGAACTCTGTCAGCAGAACCATGCCCAGGCCACCTGGAGGCACCCAAGGCTGCCCTCTCCCCAGGCTCAGTCCCCTTGTAATTCTCTCAAGGCAGCCTGTTCTTTTGTTGATGGTACTTATCACTATTTCTATTTATATACTCATTTGTCTAACTTCTCTCTCGCCTAACTGACTGATGGCTCCTTCCCAGGTGGCCCCAGCACAGAGCATGGGAGCCACACAATAAATACTTGTGAATGAGAGAGTGGCGACTTGGTCTGGATCCCGATGACTGCCCCTCATCAGGTCTGCCCTGCTTCTGCTGTCAGCTTTGCAGATGAGGAAGCGCAGAGATGAACAATCTGCCCCAGCAGGCGCTGGGCCGGAGTCAGGGAGGCTGAGACCAGACCCCCACTGCACTGCCTAGGGTTGGGTTCCCTGGGCTCCTGACACACCTGCAGGGAAGGACCTGAGGGGTGGGGAGGGAAGGGCCCAGAGCCCGAGCTACTGGCCCAAATTTCATGGAGACTCACCAAATCTGCATTTCCCCTCAAACTCTCAAGAGCACCTGAAGAGGCAGAGAAAGAGAGAAACATGAATGTTGGGTTACAGCAGAGGAGGGGCAAGGGGCTCTGTGAGGACAGCCCCCCAAGAACGGAGCAGCGAGAACTCAGACCCTCAGACTCTGCTGGTGGGAGAGCCACCTTGGAGATCTGTTTAGAGGTTTCTAACAAAGTTAAACACACACCTACCCTCTGACAGCAAGTCCACCCTTAGGTATATATCAAAGAGCAAGGAGTGCAAACGGGCACAAAAGACTTGGCCAAAATGTTCCCTGAGGCCTTATTCATCACGCCCCAACATGGAAACAACCAATCTAACAACAGTTTGGTAGATATACAAATTGTGATACAGCCACACAAGAGAACATTACACAGCCTAAAAAGGAATGAGCTACTGATGATACAGGAGACAGAAAGAAATTATTTAGGCAGATAGTGAGGGTAAAACAGTCCTCGGCAGAATTTCCCTTTTAACAAAATCCCCAAATCGTTTCTTTTCTTTTTTTTCTTTTTTCTTTTTCTTTTTTGAGACGGAGTTTCACTCTTGTCGCCCAGGCAGGAGTGCAATGGCACTATCTTGGCTCACTGCAAACTCTACCTCCCAGATTCAAGCAATTCTCCTGTCTCAGCCTCCCAAGTAGCTGGAATTACAGGCACCCACCACCATGCCCGGCTAATTTTTTTGTATTTTTAGTAGAGACGGGGTTTCACCATGTTGGCCAGGCTAGTCTCAAACTCTTGACCTCAGTTGATCCACCCACCTCAGCCTCCCAAAGTGTTGAGATTACAGGTGTGAGCCACTGCACCCAGCCTCAAATCATTTCTTTTCTAAAAAAGAGCAGCCTGAAAAATCAAGCTGCAGACATAGATAAGCAAGCTGGAAGCTCACAGGAGTGAATGCCAGCAGCTGTGCCAATAGAAAAGGGCTACCAGGGGGCCAGATATACTCAGCAAAGAGGCTCTATCTTCCCTTTTGTTACCACAAGACAGTAAAGAAGTAGGCAACATGGCACTGGCCAGGTAGAGAACCCATCTGCATAACACAAGATTGGAGTGGGGCTGGCCAGCTTTTCGCACCACATGCAAATGGCACACCTAGCCCTAACCAGTTTTATGCATCCTATGCAAATGAAACACCTGGTCTGACCAATCTTTGTGCCCTTTGTAAATCAGACACCATCTCCTCAGGCTCATCTTTAAAACCCCTTGCATTTCATTGCAGAAACAGCAACCCATTTCACTGGAACCCCTCTCTCTGCAGCAGACAGAGCTCTTCTCTTTCTTTCACCTATTATACTTCCACTCTGAACCTCACTGTATGTCCGTGTCCTAGTCTTCCGTGGCTGTGAAGACAATGAATCTTGGGTATTTACCCCAGACGAGTGACACCGCTTCACTGATACACGCAATGCGGGATAACCTTGAAAATGTGCTGCGTAAGGCCAGGTGCGGTGGCTCACGCCTATAATCCTGGCACTTTGGGAGGCAGATCACCTGAGGTCAGGAGTTCGAGACTAGCCTGGCCAACGTGGTGAAACCCCATCTGTACTAAAAATACAAAAAAAAAAAAAAAAAAAGAAAAATTAGCCAGGCGAGGGGGCAGGCGCCTGTAATCCCAGCTACTCGGGAGGCTGAGGCAGGAGAATCGCTTGAACCTGGGAGGCAGAGGTTGCAGTGAGTCGAGATCACGTCATTGCACTCCAGCCTGGGCAACAAGAGCAAAACTCCATCTCAAAAAAAAAAAAAAGAAAGAAAACGTGCTGCGTGAAAAAAGCCAGACACCAGAGAGTATAGAAATAGTGTGGTCTCATTGAGAAGAAATTCCAGAGCAGAAAGAGGTGAGAGAAGCTCAGGAGAGCGGATGCTCACTGTCTGCGAGTCCACAGGGGCCCAGCACACAGCAGGTCCTCAGGAAATACTTGCAGAATGAATAAATGAATAAAGATGATTATTTTCCATCAACATCAAAAGAGTTTTCATTTCCGTTAGCAAGAAGTTGACTGGCCACCAGCCTAAAAGGTTATGAGATGTTTTTTCTTTTTTTTTGAGACAGAGTCTCGCTCTGTCACCCAGGCTGGAGTGCAGTGGCGCGATCTTGCCTCGCTGCAACTTCTGCCTCCTGGGTTCAAGCGATTCTCCTGCCTCAGCCTCCCAAGTAGCTGGGAGTACAGGCACCTGCATCACGCTTGGCTAATTTTTGTATTTTTAGTAGAGATGGGGTTTCACCATGTTAGCCAGGCTGGTCTCGAACTCCTGACCTCAGGTGATCCACCTGCCTCACCCTCCCAAAGTGCTGGGATTACAGGCATGAGCCACCACGCCCGGCCTACATTTTTTCTTTTTTAAACAAGGAGAATACAGTGGCCACCTCCAAGTTGCAGTGGAGCCCATACTCCTGTTCCAATAACAGTGCCATTCCTTGCTTAGAACAGGTCTGAACTATTCTGCCAGCTTAAAGGCCACAGCAGAAAAGCACTCACATCCCATTCACATCCCATTTTTAAAGTTAGAAATGGTTTTACCTACCCTGAAAATTCCTATTCATCCACAGACTTCATTCTGAGAACATTTGCTCATTTCCAAAATTCCGCTGTACCCCAAAAATATAACTACTATCCACTACTGAGGAATTCACTCATTCCCCAAATTAGAAATATCTATTGATAAAGCAAAATGACTGCTCTCAAGAGGCCAAGGGCTACAGGTGCCCATGGAGGGAGCAAATCAACCAAGGGGTGCCCAAAGAAAGAGGGAGAGGAGACACTCCAGGCAGAGGCCCCGGCATGAGCAAAGGCAGGGAGGATGCAGGAGCATGGCATGTTCAGGGCCCCTCAAGTTGGGTGACATGGTCAGATACAAGGTGCATGAGACCAGTTTCTCCTGAAATGGCCACTCCCATGGGGACAATAAACACACATGGCTAAGTGTGTGCAAAAGAATCAGTCTTCCAGCCTGAGTCACTGGGCATGTGCCCAGGTCTCCAACACAAACAGAAGAGGGCAAGCACATCCTCTCTGCCACCCAAGGGAAAGAAGGGGTTTCGTCCCTCCGAACCTATGCTGGAATCACCCCAGAAGTGGCAGCAGAAGAGTTCCCACAAGGGAGTGCCCCAAACTGTCCTAAGATGGGGCCAGTTGGGATTCCAAAGAAAGAAGCAATAAATGCCAGGGCGATCTGGCCAAAGCAATCCTCGAGGTGCGGAGGCGAGAAAAAAAAACAGGTGTCTACCTAGGTTTGGTCCAAAGTGAAGAGGTCAGGGTAAGGAGTTTATATGAGGGTTTAAGGAATTTGGCTCAGGGCCAAGGCTGGTTTCTTTCAGTTGTTTTGGGTGATAACCTAGATACCTTTTTGTTTTGTTTTGTTTTTGGAGACGGAGTCTCACTCTCTTGTCCAGGCTGGAGTGCAGTGGTACAATCTCAACTCATTGCAAACTTTGCCTGCTGGGCTCAAGTGACCCTCCCTCCTAAGCCATCCAAGTAGCTAGGACTACACCACCACACCTAATTTTTTTTTTTTTTTCAGACAGAGTCCCGCTCTGTCGCCCAGGCTGGAGTACAATGGCACAATCTTGGCTCACTGCAACCTCTGTCTCCCAGGTTCAAACAATTCTCCTGCCTCAGCCTCCCAAGTAGCTGGGATTACAAGCACACACCACCACGCCCAGCTAATTTTTGCATTTTTAGTAGAGACAGGGTTTCATCATGTTGGCCAGGCTGGTCTCAAACTACTGGCCTCAAGTGATCCATCCGTCTTGGCCTCCCCAAGTGCTGGGATCACAGGCGTGAGCCACCATGCCCAGCCTACCTAGATACCTTTATCAATGCCTGAGAATGTTTAAGGCCCAGGTTTGGGCTCAGGTCTGCTGGGAAAAACCTGTAGCTGGCTGGGTCACAGGGTGGTCAAAGCACTCTGTGATTTTCAATCAGGACACAGAAAGAAACAGGGGAACTGGGGGACCCTACAGAAGGGAAGATGCCCTAGGACTGGCCCTCCCCAGCCCTTGGCAATTTAGAAATCACAGAAGGAAGCAGAGCTGACCAACAAGACCCAAGGCTCACTCAATAGGAGGCCCCATGTGAAGTCCCTCCACACACTGCCTCATTTACTCCTCAGAGCAGGCCCTTCAGCACAGAAGTACTGGCACACATCCCCATTTGCCAGAGGGGAATTGGGGGCTCAGAGACCCTGAGTTGTAATGGGAGGTGAGCACAGCCACCAGCCCCAGAGCAAAGAGACCAAGAAGCCAGGTAGGGCTGAAAAGCCAACTTCTACTTTCAAGGAAGTTCCAACCCAGGCAAGGCATGAGCAGAGAAAGCCACTGATGGTTGAGTTCACAGGTCAACTTGACTAGATCACAGGGTACCCAAATATTTGGTTAAATATAACAGTATTTCTCAGGGTGCCTGTGAGAGTGTTTTGGGGATGAGAATGGGATTTGAATAGGTAGACAGAGTAAAGCAGATGGCCCTCCCCAGGATGGTGGGCCGCGTCCAATCCGTCAAGGGCCTGAATAGAACGAAACAGTGGAGAATGGGAGAATTTGATCTCTCTCTGTCTCACTACTTGAGCTGGGACATCAGTCTTCTCCTGCCTTTGGAATGGGACTTCTACCATTGGTGCTCCTGGATCTCAGGCCTTCAGACTCAGACTGGAACTACACCACCAGCTTTCCTGGTCTCCAACTTGCAGATGGCAGATCTTGGAACTTCTCAGCGTCCATAATTGCATGAGCCTGTTCCTTGTAATAAATATGTTTTTAGATAAAGATATATATATATACACACACAAAAAAAATGCATATATCTTTCTATATATATCCGTGTGTGTATGTGTGTATATGTATATATATAAAACAGAGGCCCAGAGACTCAACTACTTGTCCACTGTGACACAGCTGCTAAGTGTTGGAGTTGGGCTTTGAACCAAGTACCTCGGACTCACTCCATCACTGCCTCATAAAGGACAAATGGCTTGGCCAGGTGCAGTGGCTCACGCCTGTAATCCCACCACTTTGGGAGGCTGAGGCGGACAGATCACGAGGTCAGGAGATCAAGACCATACTGGTTAACATGGTGAAACCCTGTCTCTACTAAAAAAAATACAAAAAAATTAGCTGGGCATGGTGGCAGGTGCCTGTAGTCCCAGATACTCGGGAGGCTGAGGCGAGAGAATGGCGTGAACCCAGGAGGCAGAGCTTGCAGTGTGCGGAGATCGCGCCACTGCACTCCAGCCTGGGCAACAGAACAAGACTCCGTCTCAAAAAAAAAAAAAAAAACGAACGGCTCATTCTCTTTCTTGTCTGTGTATATGTGCCATTAATCATTAGCTCATGCAAATGTTTACTAAGTACCTGCTGAGTTCTAGGTGTTGGGGATGCAGCATTGAACAAAAGATGCTGTTTTATACACATACACACACCCCCTATTGGTTCTCTTTCTCTGGAGAATCATGAGAACACAGCCACCAACAGTTCTCCCAGTCCTCCCGGGCAAGAGGCCCTGGCTGGAACAAGCAGTTACACACAAGGCATCACGTCTGAAACTAAGAAAGTTCCTTCCATTCTGAAGGAAAAGGCATTTTCCTTTGAATATACAAAGACAAAGCCACTCTCTCTGGTGGGTCCCCTAATGATGCACCTCTAAAGCACCGTGTTCAGCTTCATAGCACTACCCACAGCCGTGAATAAAGACCAAATTAGGCAAGCATGAACTGAGTACCTGCCCCTCTCCACCTGAAGGCAAGGACTGGGCATCCTTGTTCGAAGCTGCATCCCCAACACCTAGAACCCAACAGGTACTTAGTAAACATTTGTGTGAGCTAATGAGTAATGGCACAAATATAGGGACAAGAAAGAGAATGAGCCATTTGTTCTTCATGAGACAGTGATGGAGTGAGTCTGAGGTACTTGGGTTCAAATCCCAACTCCAACACTTAGCACCTGTGTCACAATGGGCAAGGAGCTCAGAGTCTCTGGGCTTCTGATTTCCCCATCTGTATTACAGGATAATAGGAGCAACTACCAACCTCATAGGATTGTGATGACACCTCAAACAATTAATACATGTGAGGCACATAGAACAATACCCGACACACTTGACAACTCAATAAAACTGATGTGTCCACATTATTATTCATTGACACTCATGCTCAATGAATATGTATGAGTGCAGTGTGTGTACTCAGCCCCACCACACTAACCCTTTGGGCCAGATTCTTCTTTATTGTGCAGAGCTACTCTGTACACTGTTGGGTTTTGGCAGCATCTCTGTCTACCCACTAGATGCCAGTAGCACCCACCCACCCTCAGCTATAACAACCAGATTTGTCTCTAGACATTGTCAAATGTCCCTTGGAGGTCGGGGAAAAATCGTCCCCAGTGTGAAACACTGACCTACAGCATCCTTTCCTGTATTCACTTATTAAAGGCTCTGCTGCTGGCCCTATTCTTGCTCAGCCAGACCTTCCCATACATATGAATACACAGCTCTTCCTTTGTGGGTCACCATGAAACCTACCTTGGGAAACATTCCCATGCAGTACTCTGGAGTCTAAGGCCCAGCATCTAAAAAGGACATCTCTCAGCAGCTCATGGAAAATGGGACAGTCGCTCTATTAAGCCAGAAGACCTAGGCCCAAGTCCTAGCTCTGTACTGGAACTCACTTTGTGACTGTTGCTCTCAGAACCCAGTTTCCTCCCCTGTAAGTAGCATATAATGACAGACGGGCTTGCCATGTCTACCACGGCACAGGGTGGTTTTGATGACCTGAAAAAACACTGTGTATACTACAAAGTGATATTCACATTATTTAAAGTGATCTTGGGCCAGCCGTGCTGGCTCATACCTATAATCCCAGCACTTTGGGAGGCTGAGGCGGGTTTATCACTTGAGGTCAGGAGTTCAAGACCAGCCTGGCCAACATGGGGAAACCTTGTCTCTATCAAAAAATACAAAAACTAGCCAGGCATGGTGGTGCACCTGTAGTCCCAGCTACTTGGGAGGCTGAGGTGAGAGAATTGTTTGAACCTGGGAGGCAGAGGTTGCAGTGAGCCGAAAACACACCACCGCACTCCACCCTGGGTGACAGAGTAAGACCCTATCTCAAAAAATAATAATAATAAAGTAAAAAAAATTAAGTGATCTTACTATTGCTGTTGTTATTTACCCTTCAGAATTAAGCTCCTACTAGGAATAAATATTCACAAGAAACAGGAAATAAAACACCTTCCAAAAAAACAGGAAGTTTCAAATTCTGACTGTTGGTCCTAAATGACTCACGTTGACATTTCCCAGAACCAAATAACAACAGATGAGCTTTGTATTCTGCCTGCCTCCTTTACAGGATGGTAATGCACATGGCCAATTCCAGAACCAGTCTTCTTCCTTACACTTCAAGCAAATGCAGCTTCCTACCCTTATCATGTTTGTCTGTTTCTCTGCTTTAGTGGATTGCCCAAAAATCACCATTATGCAGCAAGTACTCAATAATGTTCACCATTACTATTATGAATATTAACTCTGATACCATGCAATGGTCCACCAGGCACCCATGAAACAGGAAGTGCTAGAGCTCCACACGCTGCCATGGGAACAAAGCCCCAACTGAAAACAACCCACATGTCCATCAATAGGAAAATGGTTAAATAAATTGTGGATTATTCAGAACAGGAACTGCTGCCATCTAGAAATTAAAAAGAATGAACTACTGATATGCACAACAATATGAATGAGTTTTGGTGAATTTTTGTTGAAAGAAAACAGCACTTTTTACCCATCACACAGGAAAAAATGTCAATATTCACTGTTGGCAAGAATGTGGGAAAGTGGTCACCTTCACTCGCAGTTGGTGAGATTATAAAATGACACAATTTGGGCCGAGTGCAGTGGCTCACACCTGTAATTCCAGCACTTTGGGAGGCCGAGGTGGGCAGACTACTGGAGCACAGGAGTTTGAGGGCAGCCTGGGCAACACGGTAAGACCCTATCTCTACAAAAAATTTTAAAATTGGCCAGGCATGGGCTGGGAGTGGTGGCTCACACCTTTAATCCCAGCACTTTGGGAGGCTGAGGCAGGTGGATCACTTGAGGCCAGGAGTTCAAGATCAGCCTAGGCAACATGGTGAAACCCCATCTCTACTAAAAATACAAAAATTAGCCAGGCATGGTGGCGGCTGCCTGTAGTCCCAGCTACTCAGGAGGCTGAGGCAGGATAATTGCTTGAACCCAGGAGGTGGAGGTTGCAGTGAGCTGAGATTGCGCCACTGCACTCCAGCCTGGGTGACAGAGCGAGACTCCCTCTTAAAAAAAAAAAAAAAAAATGGCCAGGGATAACATGCACAGCTATCCAGGAGGCCGAGATGGGAGGATTGCTTGAGCCCAGGAGATCAAGACCAGCCTGGGCCACATGGTGAGACCCTGTCTCTACAAAAAATACAAAAAAATTAGCCAGGCCTGGTGGCGCACACAGCTACCTGGGAGGCTGAGTGGGAGGATCGCTTGAGCCTGGGAGTTCAAGGATGCAGTGAGCCGTGATCATGCCACTGCACTCCAGCCTGGGCCACAGAAGACCTTGCCTCAATTAAAAAAAAAAAAAAGACACAATTTTTCAATTTCTTTTTTCTTAGAGATAGGATCTCACTAAGTTACCCAGGCTGGCTGTGAATTCCTAGGCTCATGTAGTCCTCCTGCCTCAGCCTCTCAAGTAGCTTGTCCTACAGGCTCACACCACCACACCTGGCTAAAATGACATATTTTTGAAGTATAAGTTGGTAGCATCTATCGGACAGGAACAAGTACCCTTTAACACACAATTCCATTTCTAGAAATATCCTGCAGTCAGAACTAGACGCACATGCAAGGCTAACTGCAGAAACAACACAATGTCCACCAGCATGAGTCGGATCAATGAGGTGTGTCCCACAAAGCACACATGGGGCTACCCTGCAGAGCAGACAGAACAGGTAAGCCCGGGCTGCAGCCCTGTCTCCACTCCTCACTAGCTGTGTGATTTGGCACAAGTCATCTCCCAATCTGTGGCTCACTTTTTCTAACAGCAAAGCACCTGCCTTACAAGAGAGATGGAGAGATTAAATTAGATCATTTATGTAAGCACTCCGAACGGTGCCTGGCAAATAGCAATTACTCAATAATGTTCACCATTACTATTATGATTATTAACTTTGATACCATGCAATGGTCCACCAGACACCCATGAAACAGGAAGTGCTAGAGCTCCACACGCTGCCATGGGAACAAAGCCCCAACTGAAAACAACCCACATGTCCATCAGTAGGAAAATGGTTAAATAAACTGTGGATTATTCAGAATGCCATGTAGAAATTAAAAAGAATGAACTACCGATATGTACAACAATATGAATGAATTTCAAAGATACAATGATGAATGAAAGAAGCCAGGCTCAAGAGCATATAAGACTATATAGGATTTATATTGAAGTTTAAGGACAAGCAAAAGGGATCTCTGGCGATAGAGATGAGAACGGTGATTACCTTGGGAAAGGGAAAGTGGGAAGAAATGGAAAGAGAGTCAACGGTCTTACAGGACCCCGGAATGTTTTCATCTTGATGATATGGGTGTTAGTTACCTGTGGGTATGCATAGGTAAAAATCACCCAGCTTACTCTTGGGATTTATGCATTTTGTTGGATGTAGCCGTGTGACCTTTGGCAAAGTGTTTAATTTCCGTGAGCTTCAGTCAGTTTCTCCATCAACAAGGATGGGTCTAATGATACCTGCCTTGCAAGGTTGCTATAAACGAAGAAGGTAAGGGTAAATACTTTGCAGATGTCTGTTTGTATGGGGCAGATACAACTGAGGCCTGTCTCCTGCCCCCAGACATGAGGTAGTCCAGGCTACCCACCCAGACTGAAAGGCAAATCCAAAACAATAGATGGCTCTGGAAACATTGATCAAAACCTGGGGCCTGCTATCTCAAAGGCAGGAAAAAAAACAAAAACAAAAACAAAAAACCTGGGACATCCAAAACAGACCTCAACACATGCTTTTCAGAGGAGGGGCTGCCAAGATTCAACCTCCTGAAAACCTCCCAGAATTTTGCCATCCCTATGAACATTCAGAAAGACAATGCTAAAATTAAATTCTGAATCTCAGCCCACCCAGCTGTACTCATAGTGAGTCCCAAATGACTACGTGTCATGCCCACCCACCAATCACTCTCTTGCTACTTACCGACATCACCAAATCCTCCAGAACCAATGTCCACTGGTCTGGGTGTTTCCGGTCTGAGAACCTCTGGTTTGCGAATCTCTGGTCTGAGCACCACTGGGGTAAGGTTTTCTAGGGTTGGCTTCGACAACTTTGCTGCTTGCCTGTTAGTTCGCAGAAACGAAGCCAGCATGTCCTGGCCTGTGTCCTCTAAGCAGGAGATGAACAAAGGAAGAGCCTGACTCCCTCGAGTCTCCAGATCTATGATCAGCTGCCTGGCCTGATCCCGCCGAGATCCAGAGCCTGCCCGCTGTTTGGAAAGAAAGGCAGGATACTAATTATCCACGTACTTTTATATGGCTCTCACCTTGTCTCCCCATTTCCCAGCTACTGTAAGTCTAAACAATCAGGCACGTGGGCAGCAATGGAGCTGCAGGTGCACTGTGTGCCATTTACCAGCCTTTGCTGATCTGTTCATTATTTTGCAGGGCAAAAGATGCCCAGCACTATGCTAAGTGCTGAAAATGCTGCCATGGACAGTCTCAGTCCTTAAGGAGCAAATTTCTAATGGGGAATGCAATCAGACAAATCAGCAATGACACAACAAGAGACAAGTGCCCAGAGGGAAGCACATGGGGCTGAGGATATCATGAAGTGAATAGCGAATTCAGAGTCTTATGAGGTGGGAGGTAGATAGTGGCAAGGGACAAGGCCTTTGTGTGGCCAGGCCAAGAAATTCATCCTGAGACCTGTCAGGTGCCACCAAAGAGTTTTTTGGTTTTGTTTTTGTTTTTTTTTTTTTTTCTTGAGACGGAGTCTCACTCTGTCACCCAGGCTAGAGTGTACTGGTGCAATCTCAGCTCACTGCAACCTCCAACTCCAAGGTTCAAGCGATTATCCTGCCTCAGCCTCCGGAGTAGTTGGGGTTACAGGCACACACCACCATACCTGACTAATTTTTTTTTTATTTTTAGTAGAAACAGGGTTTCACCATGTTGCCCAGGCTGGTCTTGAACTGACCTCAAGTGATCCTCCAGCCTTGGCCTCCCAAAGTGCTGGGATTATAGGCATGAGCCACCGTGGCCAGCCATCGGTTGTTTTTTTGTTTGTTTTTTGAGGAGTCTTGCTCTGTCACCCAGGCTGGAATGCAGTGGCACCATCTCAGCTCACTGCAACCTCCACCTTTTGGGTACAAATGATTCTCCCACATCAGCCTCCCAGGTAGCTGGGACTACAGGCACCCACCACCATGCCTGGCTAATGTTTGTATTTTTTGGTTAAGACAGGGTTTCACCATGTTGGCCAGGCTGGTCTCAAAACTCCTGACCTCAAGCGATCCACCAACCTCAGCCTCTCAAAGTGCTAGGATTACAGGCGTGAGCTACCATGCCCGGCCACCAAAGAGTTTTAAGAATGGAGTGACAGAGACAGATATGGCCTTTCAAAAAGTCATCCAGGGGTCAGGGTGAAAAATGGAAAGGAGTGAGCCATAGCCAGATCAGGAGGCAGCAAAGATGGTGCAGCTAGAATAGAGAGAAGTGAAAGGACAAAGCAGAGATACAAAGAGAGAGGGTCCATAGGACATGGGCACTGACTGGGGGGACTGTGAAGACAGAGCAAGGGTCAAGGTTGACAGGCAGGCCAGGCACAGTGGCTCATGCTTGCAATTCCAGCACTTTGGGAGGCTGAAGTGGGAGGATAGCTTGAGCCCAGTTCGAGACCAGCCTGGACAACACAGTGAGACCCTGTCTCTACAAAAAATAACAAAAAAAAAGCCAGGTATGGTGTCACGCACCTGTAGTCCCAGCTACTCAGGAGGCTGAGGCTCCCAAGAGGATGGCTCGAGCCCAGGAGATAAGGCTGCAGTGAGCTGTGATAGCACCACTGCACTTCAGCCTGGGTGACAGAGCAAGACCCTGTCTCAAAAAAAAAAATTGAGAGGTGTCAGGATGGTGGGGTCAGTCACTAAGAAGGAAGAGTCTGGTTATCTGCCACCTGTCCTCAGATACCCAGCACTGGACAGGTTCTCAGGATCCACAGGGATAAGATGGCACCGTGTCCTCAACTATCCTACAGCAGCACTGTCTATGAGAACCTTCCGTGATGATGGAAATATTCTTGGTCTGTATTGTCCTATTTAGTAACCATATATCACATGACCATTAAGCACTTGGGTAGTACAACTGAGGAACTGAATTTTTGTGGGCGAAAGATTACCCAGGTGCCGAGGCAAGAGACTGAAGCCACAAACTGTTTCAGTATAATAAAGAAAATAGTTAGAATAAGAATAGTCATAATACAAATTAGGTATAGAGATGATCATGGACAATTATCAATCATTATTATAAACATTATTAATCATTAGCTTTTAATATTACTCTTTGTTGCATTGCTAATATAACTTAGGAATAACCGGCGGGTATAGGGTCAGGTGCTGAAGGGACATTGTGAGAAGTGACCTAGAAGGCAAGAGGTGAGCCCTCTGTCAGGCCCGCATAAGGGCCGCTTGAGGGCTCCTTGGTCAAGCGGTAATGCCAGTGTCTGGGGAGACACCCATTACTTAGCAGACCGCGAAGGGGAGTCTCCTGCCAGGCGCGGTGGCTCACGCCTGTAATCCCAGCACTTTGGGAGGCCAAGGCAGGCAGATCACAAGGTTAGGAGTTCAAGACCAGCCTGACCAACACGGTGAAACCCGTCTCTACTAAAAATACAAAAAAATTAGCTGGGCGTGGTAGTGCGCACCTGTAATTCCAGCTACTCAGGAGGCTGAGGCAGAACAGCTTGAACCCTGGCTGGGCGCGGTGGCTCAAGCCTGTAATCCCAGCACTTTGGGAGGCCAAGGTGGGCAGATCACGAGGTCAGGAGATCGAGACCATCCTGGCTAACACGGTGAAACCCCATCTCTACTAAAAATACAAAAAATTAGCCGGGCGTGGTGGCGGGTGCCTGTAGACCCAGCTACTCGGGAGGCTGAGGGAGGAGAATGGCATGAACCCGGGAGGCGGAGCTTGCAGTGAGCCGAGATTGCGGCACTGCACTCCAGCCTGGGCGACAGAGCGAGACTCCGTCTCAAAAAAAAAAAAAAAAAAAAGGAAAATAGCTTGAACCCGGAAGGTGGAGGTTGCAGTGAGCTGAGATCGTACCATTGCACTCCAGCCTGGGCGAAAAAGTGGGACACCACCTCAAAAAAAAAAAAAAAAGAAAGGGAGTCTCCTTTCCTTGGAGGCGTCAGGGAGCACTCTGCTCCACCAGCTTCTTGTGGGAGGCTGGATATTATCCATGCCTGCCCGCAGTCATCCGGAGACCTAAACCCCTCCCTGTGGTGCTGTGCTTCCATGGTCACGCTCCTTGCCCACTTTCATGTTCCTCCCGTACTCCTGGTTCCTGTTTGAAGTTCATAGATAGCGGTAGAAGAAATAGTGAAAGTCTTAAAGTCTTTGATCTTTCTTATAAGTGCATAGAAGAAAACGCTGACATATGCTGCCTTCTCTCTCTGCTTCAGCTACCTAAAAGGGAAGGGCCCCCTGTCCTATGATCACGTGACTTGCTTCACCTTATCAATCACTTAGAAGATTCACCCTCCTTACCCTGTCCCCTTGCCTTATATCCAATAACAGCGCAGCCAGGCATTCGGGGCCACTACCCTGTCTCCACGTCTAGGTGGTAGTGGTCCCCCGGGCCCAGCTGTCTTTTTTTCTATCTCTTTCTCCTGTGTCTTTATTTCTACGATCTCTCATCTCCGCACACGAGGAGAAAAACCCACAGGCCCTGTAAGGCTTGACCCTACCAATTTTTAGTTTTATTTAATTTTAATTACTTCAAATTTACCTTTAACGACATGTGGCTAATGGCTACTGTTGGGAACAGCACAGACCTACAGTGCCACTGAGAAGGTAAGTCTCACTAGCAGAACAGTTGGCTACATGCAAATAGATGGTGGTGTTTAGGTTTCTCTCCACATTTGCTGAACACTCCAGGAGGTCAACACTGTGTTAAATGCATTGTTTCATCTTTTTCTCCCTCAATAACTTTATAGAGTTAAATTAGAACTTCCCAACTTTTTAGGGTAAAAAATTTCAGGGAAACTGAGTCATAGGGTTTTTCTGTTTGTTTGGCTCATTGGTTGTGGTTTTTTACAACTTGCTAATATGTAACAAGGCCAGGATGAGAGCCCAGATCCAACTGGTTCCAAAACCTGCCTGTTTTTCAGCCATACTGAATGGCAAAATGGCAACCTGTGGTTCCCACAAGGTTCTTAAAAAATTTCTGAATTTGTTGCTAACATTTTAAGCCAGGGAATTTGACAGAGGAATCAAGATTTTCAGCTTCTTTTTTAAGATGTGAAAGCTGGGCCGGGTACAGTGGCTCACACCTGTAATCCCAACACTGAGGCAGGAGAATCACTTGAGGCCAAGAGTTTGAGACTCATCTAGGCAACATAGCAAGACTCCTATCTGTACAAAAAAAAAATTTTTTTTAATTAGCCAGGCATGGTGGCATGTGCCTAAAGTCCCAGCTGCTCTAAAGGCTGAGGCAGGAAGACCACTTAAGCCCAGGAGGTCAAGGTCGCAGTGAGCCATGATCTCATCCCTGCACTCCAGGCTGGGCAAGAGTGAGACCCTGCCTCAAAATAAGTGTAAGATGTGGCAATACTGGGCCATTTGTTGATATGGCCATACTCAGCTGGAGACGGAGGGCAGTGCAAAGGCTATCCACTATGACGCCCATCCATTGGTCCTCCATGGGCATTTGAGTTTGTGATCCCCGTGAACATTCCTGAAGGCAAGGACTGTGGCCTCAAACCATTACTGTTCCCCAGTAGGGGCCACACAGAAGGCACAAAACTTATTTTATTATTAATGAATAATTACTCATATGATACTCAATTATTTAAAGACTCTTTCCCTGGGCCAGGGCACTGGCCAGGGATATCCAGCCAGCCACTCACACCTACTGCACCTCATGGTAGGAAATATCTCCTGCATCCTCACAGGCCTGTGATGAGGGTCAAATGAGACAAAGATGGGAAAGTGCTTTTAAACAAAACCTCAAATGTTTGACTTCATTATTCTCCATTCTGCATCAGGTCCCCTCATTTCCAAAACCTCTTAACAAAACATAAACTGAACACAGAAGGGGCTGGCCAAAGAGGGCAGGGTACGCTGATCCCCCGCTCTGTGCCTAGCACTACAGTTTCACATCCGTTATTTCATTTAGTCCTTATGACAGTATTATTCTTATTCCCATTTCACAGCCCAGAAACTGTGGCTCAAAGAGGGTAAGTGACTGGCCCAAGAACACGCTGCCAGGCAGCCTGATGCCAAAGTGGGTTCCCGAAACCTCTATGCTAGAAAAGTAAAAACGCACACGCCTCCTTCCTCGCAAGTATTAACGTAAATTAAAATGGAGACCAACCATGAAGAATTCCTGAGCAGACAAAACCAATCAGGTATCCTAAGTGACCTAAATCTTGCTTAAACTGCAAACATAAGCAAAATTTAACTTGGGTCATATCTGATAAATGCTTATGTTAGAGAGAAATAAAACTTAAGACCAGCCAAAAGCAGTCAATTAACAGACCTTAAAAAAAAAAGGCAATTTTGTAACTGCAAACCAATCAAATAATTTCTTTATTTTGCTTCCACATTTTCCCAATAAATACTTGCCTCTGACGTTTTGTCATTGCAACACTAAAGCTCTTTCAGTCTGATGTTCTCCAATTCATGAATTGTTTCTTATTCAAAGTTCTCAAGATGTGTCTCACATTTTTCCTTTACACAAGAAACACAAGCACTAACAGTGTACGCTGACTGAGTATGGCATGGAATCGCTTTAGCGAACACCCGACTAAGAGGTGTTTGGGATTCTTTGGCTCCGCTGAGGGGTTTGAAGCCACAGGGAAGGCTAGGCTCCCGCACAACGCCTCCTCGAGGGGCGTGGGGACCCGGCCGTGCAGCGCGGGGACAGGGGGCCGGGGGCGCACCTGGATGTCCTCGATCATATGGGGCCTGAACAGCTCGCGGCTCAGCAGGGCGTCCCAGAGCTGGTCCACCTGCAGCTCTTCCACCAGCCGCAGCCGGCACCGCCGCAGGAGCCGCCGATCCGCTTCGTCCATGGCGAGTAGCCAACTAAGACTCCAGGCCGCCTCAGTCCGCTTCCGGGCCTCGGCCGCCCGCCCCAGTCCCCAGGACCCGCCCCCGCCCCAGGGCCTGCCCCCGCGTCACGGCCCCGGGTCAGTCTTCGCTCCCCACCGCCTCCGGACGCATCTCCAAGGCCTCGCCCCGCCCCCAGGAGTCGCTCTTGCGTCACCGCCCCGCCCTCAGGACGCACCTCTGCGCCTCGCCCCGCCCCCAGGGCCAAGCCTCCCATCACCGCGCCGCCCCAGAACACGCTCCGCGTCACCGCCCCGCCCCAGAACCCGCCCCACGTCACCGCCCCGCTCCAGAATCCACCACTGCGTCCCCGCCCCAGAACCCGCCCCGTATCCCCGCACTGACCTCACGTCACCGCCCCGCCCCCGCGTTACCGTCCCGCCCGCAGGACGCATCTCCAACGCCTCGCCCCGCCCCAAGGATTCGCTCTTGCGTCACCGCCTCGCCTTCAGGACGCCTCCGCGCCTCGCCCTGTCCCCAGGGTCAATTCTGGGGTCACCGCCTGTCCCCAGAACCTGCCACCGCGTCACCGCCCACTCCCCGGGACGCATCTAGAAGGTCTCGCCCCGCCCCCAGGATTCGCTCTGCGTCATCGCCCCGCCCTCAGGACGCACCTCAGCGCCTCGCGCCGACCCCAGAATCCATTCCGCGCCACCGCCCCGCCCCCAGGATTCAACCCACGCCCCCACCCCGCCCCCAAGGTCAATCTTGCGCCACCGCCCCGCCCCCAAGGGCTAGCCTCGTGCCACCGCCCCGCCTCCAAGAGCCAATCCCCTCCCCTCGCTCCACCCTCAGAATCGTCCTTGCGTCACCGCTCAGCCTCAGACTCCAGTTCGCACTCTCGCCCCGCCCCCAAAGTCAATCCTCACCCCCAGGATCCATCCTTCTGTCACCGCCCCGCCCCAAGGCGGCACCTCCGCGACTCGCCCCGCCCCCAGGGCCCCGCCCCGCCCCCGCATCACCTCCCCACTCCGGGCGCAGGTGCCCTTTTGCAATTCTGGCACCAGTTCCTGGTCCACCGCGGGCCCTTCGCCAGAATTCACTATAGCCCCGCTTTTACAGAGATCCGGAGGGAGTCGTCACACTTCCAGCAAGAGGGAAACCATGAGTGGAGCCGTGATCTGTCCCGCCCATTCAACCTCCTCCGGGGCATGGCTTCCCCTTAGCCCCCTCCTCCACCCCAAGTAAAACCATAAGCTCCCCTCACCGCCCTTGTGCCCAGATCGCAGTTGACTGTTCCAAACTCGAGTGTCTGATCCAACCAAGCCCACCTTACACAGTCTTCCATTCCCTCTTCCCTCCCTCCCACCCTAACACCTCCCACACAGAAAAAAAAAAAAACGGCAGAAATCTAGTCCTGTAAACTCCCATCGTTCTGAACGGTTCATTTTCACATTTCAAAAATAATCGTTTCTGTTTACTGAGCATTTGCTAAGTCCCAGGCATCGTGCTAGCCACTTTTCATGCTTATTTCACTTATCCTTAACTACAATCCTGCCAGGAAAGTATTCCCACCCCCCGCCGGTTTTACAGATGTAGACCCTAGGGTTCAGGGAAACGAATGTTTAAGGTCACTTGGGTACTAAGTGGCCGAGGCAGGCAGGATTGAAACCCGAACCTGACTCTGTAAGCCACACTCTTAAGAATCCACCTTAGAATATAATCTCTTGAGCACCAAAACCTCAGCCCCATTCGTTCACTTCTACGAATATTTATTGAGCCTGTAGTCAAACACTAAGAACATGAAGGTGAACAAAACAAAATCCCTGCTTTTAGAGTTTACATTCCAGTGGAAGGATCAGGTGATAAACTATATCAATAAATAAGACATACTATGTTAGATAGTGATAAATGCAAAGAGAAAAAAATAAAAACAAGACAGGGAGATATGAAAGCTCTTTATATCCGCAAGGGATCTATCTCATTGGCTCAAAGAAAGTTTCCTTCACTTACCTGTGCCTTATCCCTCTCTCCACCCCCACCGCCCTTTCCCCGTGCTTAAGGCACAGACTGGTACATTCTTGGGTGGAGCTCGGTTTTCGGTAAACGGGATTAAAAGTCCTGGATTCTCTCAAAAAAAAAAAAGATAAGTAAACAAAAATAAAAGGAATGCTGGATTCTAGGCCTTGGGCAAATCTCTGCCCCTCTCTGGACCTCGGTCTCCCTATCAATATTGCAGGAGTTGGAGAGTTAAAGAATCCCTAAGGTCACTTCCAATCTGACGCTCTAAGGTTCTACGAATAGGGTTAAAGAGAATAGGGACCAGAGAGTGCGTCCCCATCCTAGCAACTGTTGCTAGACGAGGGCCATCTCCCGGTAGGAGCGGAAACACCTTCCTGGATCGAGGAGGTCCTTCTGGTATCCCATCATGCATAGCGACTTCGCCTCGCTAGGAGGCACGTTTTGGCCTCTTTGGTCACGATCAGCCTTTTGGCTGCAACCAAAGAGCGCGCCTCGTTTCTATAGCAACCACCCCAGGTCCACGCCTAGACGGCGAGTGGCAAGGGTCAAAATAGATTCGCCCAGTAGACGCCCTCGACCTGTTCGGTCCTCGCCTTCAGTGCGATAGACCTTTAAGCGTCACGTGACTCCCCTCGGGCTTGTCCCCTCCTCTTTCCCCTCCCCAGGCCCAGGCGAGCGCTGGTGTGGACGGGAAGCTCCCGGCCCGGCGAACTAACTGGAGCACGGAGCTGCAGCCGGTTGGGCCGGTGTACTTTCCCGGTAACTCCTTCCCGGCGTGACGCGCGGAACCGCGGACGCGGCGGGGCCAGGCCGACTCAGGGATTTCCCCTCAGTTCCTTCTCGTTTCCAGTCACTGCTGGCCCCGGGGGGAGCCGGGAGCCAACAGGGCCGGGCCCTGGGCTCTCGGAGGGCGGCGGGGGAGGGGGCTGTCTCCTGCAGGGTTGCGACCTCCGGCAGGAGCGCGAGGCGGGGCTTAGACCTGGAGCTTGTCTCTGGGAGCTTCTTCCTGGTCCTGGATATGCTGCCCAGAGAGCTGGCAGCCTACCTGTTGGGCAGGTGTTTGCTGCTCCGAGGTCGGCGCCGTCTATCTCGCATGTCAGCTAAAGAACTTCCCAGACCACCGCCACTTCGGCCCTCTAGCTGGAAGGAACTGACATGGTTAAATAAGGCAGCGATCGTACTGCATGGTAGAAATAATAGCACTAACGACCATTTGTTGACTGTTGACTCTGGGCTCAGTAAACCCTTTACATGCATTTAGTCCCCACATGATGATCCTTCAAGGTGGTAGTATTCATTCCCATTTTATGAATAAGGACGCTGATGCTTAGTAAGTTTAAATAATTTGCCCAAGGTAATAAAGTAGTGGAGAATAGATCCTAGTCTTCAACCCATATGCTTAACCAGTAGCTACATTGCCTTCACGTGTTTTCTAGGATATAATAGGTTGCCTTAACAAAGAAGAAACTGGTTTGTTTTAGGATTTTATTCAGCACGTATGCAATTTTAAACGTTGGTCATCAGATTAGTCAATTTTGTGAGGACTCCCAGGCGGCATTAAACTTGCACTTACGGAAATCCACCACTGTTATAGCTTTGCCCTTCTTCAGTAAGGTGTCACAGAAGACACTTGAACCTTAAAACTGTATTAACTTGTGAGAAATCAAGATAAATGTGTTCCTTGAAAAAAAACATTGTAGGGTATAACAGCAATCATAATTGTGGAGTATAAATATCTGCAGTTCCAGCACTACCCTGTTCATTAACCAGCCAGGATTATTTCCAAAATTCACAATGAATTAAGTCACTGTACTCACCAGAGATGGAGCTTGAAACTTTTAAAGACCACGCCTGCTATTTGGTCTTTGCCGTTAATTCTTCTTCACATGTAAAACTAAATTTTTTCTTGCCGCTTTTTCTCATCTGAGGTTTCCATTAATAATGACCATATTGGCCGGCGCGATGGCTCACGCCTGTAATCCCAACACTTTGGGAGGCCGAGGCGGGTGGATCACCTGAGGTCAGGAGTTCAAAACCAGCCTGGCCAACATGGTGAAACCCTGTCTCTACTAAAAATACAAAAAATTAGCTAGGCAGGGTGGCGCATGCCTGTAATCCCAGCTACTGGGGAGGCTGAGACAGGAGACTTGCTTGAACCTGGGAGGGGGAGGTTGCAGTGAGCTGAGATCCCATCATTGCACTCCAGCCTGGGCAACGAGTGAAACTCCGTCTCAAAAAAAAAAAACAAAAAAACACCATATTACTAATGATTAAAGAGCAGCTTCTCATTTTCTTGTTTGAATGGTGTGGTGAGAAAGAATAGAATTGAGGCATACTGCGTCTTAACTACACAGTTTTTTGAGAGTGTTTCACGTCCATGTTTGTACTTATTTAATGCCCAAGAATGCCACAACTATCTCATTTTGTAGTTTTGTACATGGTAAATCTTACAGTTTCATGAGTTTGTTTAACATGTACTCAATGAAGTATTCTTAAACCATTTATTTTATTTATTCTTATCAGAATAAATGAAATCATGTATTTGAGAGGTAGTCGTCCTGATTATCCTATTTAGGTTTTCTCTCATTTATGTATTATTTCTGCATCCCATTCATTTTCATTCATTTCTAAAGCTTTTCTAGTCAAAGTGTTCTGGAGAGTTGCTATTCTTATTACTCATCTTTTCATCTGTAATAGTTCTCATTTGTGATATTCAAAAGCAGTAGCGAGATTTTTATTTTAAGATACAGTTCAACAGCTTGACACTTTTCCTGCAAAATACCTTTTGTTGGTTTTGTTTTTCATCTATATATCTTATACCTTTACCTAAAAAGCAAGACTGTCCAGGTTTCTGCCACTGAAACTCATTGCCTCTTCAATCATTTCAGCTCTGGAAAGGAAGAGAAATGGAAGTGAGAAAGTTGAGCATTTCCTGGCAGTTCTTGATAGTTCTGGTTCTGATCCTGCAAATTCTGTCTGCGTTGGATTTTGACCCATACAGAGTCCTAGGGGTCAGCCGAACAGCCAGTCAGGCTGATATTAAAAAGGCTTATAAGAAGCTCGCCCGGGAATGGTAGGTGAAACAAAGAAATAGAGGTTTAACATAAGCTAAACAGTCTTAGCAGGGATGAAGTCTAAATTATGACTAGCTTTTATTTGTCTCTGTTTCTATGTTCAATATATATATCTGTCTAAAATATTTTACGCAGGAGAGCTAATGTTCATGTTCTATAATTGTTAGCGATAAGATCCAAAGCCTATGTTTACTCTGAAACTCCCTTTTAGGAATACTTTGGCTTAAAGAATTGCCTTAGATACTGTTAGCATATTTAATGTTAAAGTAACAAGTTTTAATTTTAAAAAAATGTATATATAGTCAATAATGGATATGCTACCCTTCCCATGATACATTATTCATAAAGTAACTTTATGAGTGTAATTGCTAAACAGGAACACTATACAACCCTATTCTCTAAATTATTAATTTCTACACTTTGAAAAAAAGTTAAGAGTAATAGCCTTTTGCCTCCAAAAAAAAAAATTCAGAAACCAAGGATAGTTGTCTCTTGATATCCATGAGGTCTTGGTTCCAGGATCCCCAGAAATACCAAAGTCATTGGATGCTCAAGTCCCTATATAAAATAGCATAGTATTTGCATATAATCTATGCACGTCCTCTCATATACTTTAAATCATCTCTAGCTTACTTATAATACCTAATACAATGTAACTGCTGTGCAAATGGTTGTTATACTGTTATTGTTTAAGGAATAATGACAAGAAAAAAGTCTGTACATGTTCAGTACAATGCAATTTTTTAAAAATATTTTTGAATATTTCAAAATAGAAAATATTATATTTTGGTTGGTGGAATCCATGGATGTGAAACCAACAGATATAGAGGGCTGACTATATATTACTCAAAAAAAAAAATTGGCCTGGCATGGTGGCTCATGTTTGTAATCCCAGCACTTTGGGAGGCTGAGGTGGGAGGATCGTTTGAGCCCAGGAGTTTGAGACCAGCCTGGGCAACATAGTGACACCTCATCACTATGGAAAAAAAAAAAAAGCCCAGAAGTTTGAGGCTGAAGTGAGCTATAATCACACCACTGCACTCCAGCCTGGGCAACAGAGTGAGACCCGTCTCAAAAAAAAAAACTTACAGAAAATTGTAATTTTGCCTGTAGTTATCAGGATAGCAATTAGCAGGGTAGCAATAAATCTAAAACTTTGGACAAATATCATCAGTTTCTTCCACCAATGCCTTGGCCATGCCAAAGAAGCAGAAGTGTTGGATTATATAGATGGAGGGGGAGCAGCAGAAGGAGGAAAGGACAGAGGTGACTCCAAGCTGGCTGTACCAACCATGAGGAATGGAAGAAAGTTTGGGACAGGTACCATCACTGAGCACCTACTACATGCTAATCTCCTGGTTCTATACTTTTTATCTCATTTAAACCTTATAATGAGCCTATGAAGGAGGATATCAGTATCTCTTTTTTTTTTGAGACGGAGTCTCGCTCTGTCACGCAGGCTGGAATGCAGTGGCACAATCTTGGCTCACTGTAACCTCCGCTTCCTGGGTTCAAGGGATTCTCCTGACTCAGCCTCCCAAGTAGCTGGGACTACAGGCGTGCACCACCACACCCAGCTAATTGTTGTATTTCTAGTAGAGACGGGGTTTTGCCATATTGGCCAGGCTGGTCTCAGACTCCTGACCTCAAGTGATCCGTCCACCTCGGCCTCCCAAAGTGCTGGGATTACAGACGTGAGCTACCATGCTCGGCCAGTGTCTCTGTTTTATAGATGAGAAGATGGAGGCTTAGAGTTGGTAAATCTGTGGTACCTCTGGGTTCCGTAGTTTGACCCTCTGCATCAGTAGTCCATTGCTTTATTGTTTTTTAATCATTTACACATCTAGGCATGAGTAAGGGTGAGTGGGCTAATGGTTGGCTGGGGAGGAGCTGAATGCGAGTAGGAAGTTATCCAGAAGCAAAACTGCCACATTGAGGTGATGCATGGTACAGACTGCATGCGTGACTGCGCCTGACACTGTTCTGCTTCAGTGAACAGGTATATTTTAGCATTAAACTGGTTGAAATAAAGGTAAAGATCATTGAAAATATATTTTTAAAATAAATGTTTTAGACCATATTCCATGAGAAATCCAGAATTGGATGCCAAAGAAGCAATCTCTAATTATACATGACCTCCTTCCAGGGACTCTTTATACCAAGGTTATGTTCTACATCATTTCAGACTCTTGCCTCTTTATGTTTAAAGCAGGATATATAAATCTGCAGCAAATTCATAAGGTAACAACATTCTTTTGGACAAGGCATAGCCTTTGACAATATTTTAAGAACACAAGTGACAGCTTGAGTATGTGGGACCTATTAAAATGTATAGCTTTGACTTTTCTGTCTTCCAGAGCTGAAAAGGGTGTTATGATATTAATTAAATGAGTCATATTCTTCTCTTTTTTAATTAGATTCTCTCTAGGAATAATTCATCACCATAGAAGTGTATTGAGTGTGTCATCCAGTAAAAGTCTAAAATTTTACTTTACGTTTTTAATTTTGCTCTACTATTATTTTCTGCGGTTTTGGCTATGACAATGCTTTGTCACTTGGAATAGTTTAAGTTTTGCTTACTAATGGCTTGATATACACTGAAAATAGCAGTGTTTCCCAGTTTGACTTTTCAGAATGAGCTATAGCAGGGGGAAGTGGTTACTTGTTGAGTTGGATCTGGAGCCTTCCTCTGATACATTTTACTAAGTGTTTCTTAGACTGCTTAAGAATTTTACTTTGCTTGGTGAAACCATTTGACTTTACTTTTTCCCTTAGGAAAACTATGTTTTTCTCCCAATAATTAAGTTTTATCGTAGGTACTTTTTGTTTGTTATCCACATTAGCAAAAGAAATAACTCCTCCCACCCAAAGAATGGCAGATTGGTGTGACGTGGTTATGCAATAAACTAACAGTAAATTATTTTGTGTAATTCTTTGCTGTATTACCTTCTCTATCTTTGTTTTTATTCCTTTAAGAGGTAACTAGAGAGCCAGTAGATACTACACGCAATATTTCCTCTACTTTGAATTTTAAAGATTGTGTATTATATTGCAGTTCCTGAAATAATTTCATATTAACTGAAAATAGCATTGGACAATACTTTCCTATGGCTGAATTTTTTTTTTTATGTTTTCAACCTTGTGGTGTCTTCCCACAATTAGGAAAGTATTCCGTATGAATACAGCTGAAAGTGCTGTGGTTTCCTCCCTGTTCTTCAGCCTTGCCCTCCTCTGTTTCAGGATCTGTGTTTTCTAACCTAGCTGCCCTCAAGACTCTCTCTTTGGTTCATTCTCCTAAAAAGCCCCTTCCTACCCTTCTTCTACAGAGTTCTATATGTTAAATCTTCATTTGTATGATTGCATAATTTTTGATCCACTCAGTCGTCAGCCTGATGGTTTGGTTGATGGGTTGGTTTTGTTGGTATTTTTGTGTTTTTTTTTGTCATCCAGAAATGCTTTGGAGTCTCCATCTCGTTTCCTTAAGTCATGCTGTTTTCATTATGACTAGCTGAGATTTTTTTCCCCCACTAATACTCATAGCAAGGATTAAATGGTTAAGGAAGGAATGATTTTTAAACTCAGCAGTCAACAATTTGGAGTTTCCTTATTTGTAGAGAAATCAGAATATGTGGTATAATTCATTCAAACACATTCCTGCTAGAATAAATCCATTAAGTTGTAGATTTTTTTTTATTCCAATGTGCTTGGTGTATCGTTAATAGTCATTTGCTTCCCAGTGAATTGTTTTTCTTTCCAGAACCTATGTCAGAGGAAATTTACTAGAAGTTACCAAAAGTGATTATGTAAAGAATACTGTCATACAAAGTCTCTTAAAGTGAACATTGAAAAATCAGTCCATATAAAACACTGATTTAGGTCTTAGGGGCTTTCAAGGAATTAAACCTAGCCCTTACTATCGAGAACTTTAAAATCTCCAAAGCTGGCCGGGTGTGGTAGCTCACACCTGTAATCCCAGCACTTTGGGAGGCCAAGGCAGGAGGATGGCATGAGTCCAGGAATTTGAGACCAGCCTGGACAACATGGCAAAAAATGTTAAACATGTGGCATTGAGGCCGGGCGTGGTGGCTCACGCCTGTATTCCCAACACTTTTGGAGGCCGAGACAGGTGGATCATTTGAGGTCAGGAGTTTGAGACCAGCCCAGCCAACATGGTGAAACCCCATCTCTACTAAAAATACAAAAATTAGCCGGGTGATAGTGGCGCAGGCCTGTAATCCCAGCTACTCGGGAGGCTGAGGCAAGAGAATCGCTTGAGCCTGGGAGGCAGAGGTTGCAGTGCGCCAAGATTGTACCACTGCATTCCAGTCTGGGCAACAGAGTGAGACCCTGTCTCAAAAAAAACAAAAAAACAAAAAAAACAGTGGCCTTGAAATCTTTATCCAGGTAAAAAGCAATCGTAATAATAACGAAAAATGTTCTAATTTGAAAGTCAGGCACAAGTGCAGTTTGAAACCTGATTGTTACTAAATGAATTTAGTCTATCCTAAAAGCTATTTCTCATGTCTACCTGTGTTATCAGAAGAAACAACAGCATTCTAGCATCCTGATATCATTCTAGCATTGGGATGAAACGTTGCCATCCTAGGAGAAGACATGGGTTCTTATGGATAAACGACTTAGCCTTCAGCCAGCTTTAGCAGTGTTTGGGAGCAGTGTACAGACATGCACCATTTCCCACCTTCCTCTGTGAAATGCTGCAGTATTATATGGTGCTTTGAAAACATGCCCTGCTGGAGTGCTTTGGGAAAAAATAGCCTGTTTCAAAGTTTCATTTATTATAGTCATGTAAAACAACTGATTGCCTCTATCATTTATTTTAAGAAACTTTCCTAACAAAATAGCCCTCCGTCTGCCTCTGTAGTGAACTCTGTGGACAAGGACATTAAATGACTGTGCATTAAAAGTTACATCCTTTCTCACCGCCTGCCTGTTTGTGTTTCAG